>NC_000001.11:159434587-160684587 GCF_000001405.40 Homo sapiens
ATGCTAAAACAGTATGATATTGTAGATAGAGTACAGGCTTTGAACAGAGAGGCATGCATTCCCAATCATAGATCTGCCATTACAAGCATGTGTCCTGTTATGATACTTAACCTCCCTGGTTTTTGTTTCCTATCTGCATGGTGAGTCGGACAATATCAACTCCCAGGGTTGCTGTGAGAAGTCAACAATGTTATGGACATACCATTCCCTGGCACATGGAAAGCTCTCAGTGCCTTCTCCACCACCACCCTACACAGACATTGCTCCCTGGGTCACTCTGAGGTCAACATCAAGTCACTCTTGATATGGACACAGAGCCCTAGCTTTAACAATAGGATTCTCATTTGTTCTTTGTCAATAGAATTCCCTTTTACCTAGGAGGTCTTGACTTTGTAACTGGGCTTCTCTTATAGTCCCTGATCCTATGTTCCAGTAAAAGGAAACTAACTATTCTCCGAGGGTCTTCCAAGTATTACTTCCTGGATATACCCAGGACATTATTTCAGGCTCTGCTTATGTGGAACTAGACCTAAGCAAAGTGGTGTCTATGTCTATGGGGCAATCACTCAGATTTCACTCCGAGTGTTCTTTTTGTGGTTAATAAACCACTAAGAGCACCTGTCTGCATTTCTCCTCCAGATTCCCTTTATTTATGCCCTCCTTACTGACCTGCCAAATACATCTCACAACATCATTCTCTCTTCTCTCCTAGTTGCCTCAGAGTCACTGCAAGAAGTCTCAGGGTTCCTGTGTGCATCAATTCTCACATGCAGTCTGAATAAATACTGACAAAAGCATCTACAAGTATTTTTTAAAGTACCATAATTCATTTGAAAGCACCAATTACTAATTCATAGTTCTCCTTTTCAGAACTTATTTTTCCTATCAATAGGTACAAATAGTACAACTATTATTATCCAAATATTATCAATTTGGAGATTCAAGAAATATTTGAATGTAAAAAGGGGTTTTCATACACAGACAGTTTGGACACGCCAGCTCTAGGTGACAGAAATAGTGTGGAAGATGGTGTGAGAGTAGATCTAACTTTAGGAACCTCAGTTAAATCTGTTTTGAGCCCTATCCGGGGCCCTGAAAGACTCCCATTGACAATTCCAAAGCCTTCTTAAGAGGTCTAGACCCAGGATCCTAAACTAAATTGAATGCCATAAACAAACTATAATAAGAACTACTGAAATCTGTTCCCCAAATAAAGCAGTCTGCAGAACTAGAAGATTTTGCATTAGGTTCTTTTGGCTGTTTTGCCAGCTTTGTTTCTATAGTCACTCCACATGTGTTCATTTTCTTCTAGCATAAAATCCCAATATATTTGCTATTGGTGGCAGATTGGACTTTCTGTACATCCCTAATCTGTAAAATTAGATACTGCTACTGACTTCGGAGGGTTATTTGGAGGCCTATGTGAGACAAAAATCTGTGAAAGTGTTTGATAAATATTAATTGCTACTGAAGTGGTATACCTGTCCTTTTTGCCAGATACCACATTTTTATATCATCAACCCAGTTCTCCATTTCTACAGTCTTCCTAATTTGTCCCAAAGCAATAGTATCATAAAGTCTTGAGCTCTTTAGCCCAATTCCACTCCTTTCCTGTTGAGATCTCGTAGCCACCAATGATATCTGATCATGAACCATTAATATGGAGATCATTTTCTTTGCTTCATCTGTTACAAGAAGAAGCTATGTATATTTGTAAATAATCAGAGAGTTGGCATGAATGAACCTGATGAGAGCAGTTTATGAAATTATTGGTTCTTTCCTCTCCTTTGAGCCACACATTGATTCAGTTACAAGCCCTATTGATTTCCCTCAAATGTCTCTCACATGTATCCCTCCCCTCTGGGCCAATTGCCACCCCTCTAGATCAGTCCCAATTATCTCTGTTACATCAGCAGCCTAGCTGGTTTTTCTTCCTCTTTTTGCCAACTTCAAATCCATCTTCACACCACTCACAGGTCAATGTACCAAATCCCAGTGCAGGGTATGGTGTTTTCTTTTTTTCAACAAGGAAGGAAAATCACCAGAAAGACCGGAAAAGGGAAAAAAATGGTTAGCGGTTTTAAAAAAAAAAAAAAGTATCACTTCCTTAAGACGCCACTTGCTAAGGAACTTTAGAGTCTAAGAACAGGAGAGATAAGCGAGAATCACTTGAGAGGCTCTTAAAAGTGATACATTCAAATACTCTTTTGTAATCTGTTCTCACTTTACCTATACAATGTAATTTTTCATAATCAACCTGAGTCTAATCAAGGACTGTCTCCTCCCTGTCTCACTTACAGTTACATTTCAGTTATTATGATTGTCTATCACCTGCAACTAAACCCTGAGCTCCTGGAGGGTTGGTGCAGCACCTCATCCATTTCTGTATTTCCAGCAACTAGCACAGGGCCTGACATATGCTAAGTGCTTAAAGAATGAATGGATGCAGATAAATAAATATCACATGAAAGACTAAGAAATTTTTAAAGAAGTAGTAAACAACTCATGGAAAGTATTCAGTGAGAAGTAAGTTTAGAGTTGGGTCTTGACAGACAGTTAGAAGCTTACCAAATAAAGGGAAGAAAAATCCGGGTAAAGAGAACAGTGTTCAAAAGCTAATTTGTTTCCTAGCCTCCAGGAGAGAATCTTTGGATCTAAAGATGGTGTGCTTCCAATCCTGAATGCCACAGGGCAAGGACAGGCAGCATGAACTGCCCTCTGCAGAATGACGACCATATTTAAATACTTCTTTTCCAAAAAGAAAACCAGATTCTTATACTAGATAGAGTTCCTGCCTATAAGCAAAAGGCCCTAAACTTCCTGAAATCCAAGGTGGTATGGCTCTAAGCTTGAGCTGCCTAGATTTTTCAATATGGATTTCTAAGATACATCTGTAAAAAAATAAAAAATAAAAAATAAACCACATGCACATATACACACTCACAATGTACTTATTCAAACAATTAAAAATCAACTAAATAAACCAGCTTCCTCAAATGTTATTTCAACTTGAAGCAAAAACTTTCCCCAGGCTCCCCAAGCGCTAGCCTGGAATTGAGTAAATGAGCCCTATACATAATGAGACCTCCAGGTACCTGATACCTGCATCCTCCCAGCCCCAGGGGGGTGGCTGTCAGAATGTCTTCAGGGAGTGACCCCCAGAAGCCCAGCTGCCTGATCCTGGGAGAGCATCTCCTCTGGCTTCAAAGACTTTTCCACACAGAGGGGTTATCAAGAATGCCTATGACTCTCAAACCTGACTATATTCCTACTAGTGTGTGTTTATGCCCTGCCTGCTCAGCCTCAGGTCCTGCCGTAGGCACTCTTGGTCACCTTGCTCACCTTGGTCACCCTATGCCTATCCATTGTGGCCAAGGGAGCCTGACATTTCAATCTTTACTCCTCGGCCTCCTCCAGCCCAGCTTTCCCGTTGTGCCTCAGTGCTAAGCAGAGTCATGTGAGTGGTCTTTAGAAGAAGGACTGAAATGGGGCTCATTACATATGAGCTGACTTTAATTTATTGTAGTATTTCAGGTCCTATCACAGCTGGACAGGTCTTCATAAGCTATATTTGCTCTTCCTTCCATTTCCTTTGAAGAATTATAGACTTCCAAGAGTGGGGAGGATGCTAACCAAATCATAATAGCCATTCTTCTACCTCAAGACAGACAAGTTTCAGCCAGATAAGATGATATTTTAGCCGTGTGTTTCTCAATGGGAACTTTATTGGTATTTGGAAGAAGGGAATTCTTCCTTGGGCAGAATCACCACAAGTTTTGCAGGACATTTCACATCGTGAATGGCCAAGAGCTTCTGTGCTCATTATTGTAACAGTTAAAAGCTCTGCCAAGCATTTCTGATTTCACCATAGAGGCACCATACCACTCCGTGGCTGGACTACTACATAGTTTTTGCTCAGAAGCCTCACAGAAGACAAATGTCTTTAGACATATATTTTAGTATCAAATGATTTTCTTTATTGGAAAATATTCTCTATTGCAGCTTTACTTTCTTTTTAGCATTCTTAGTGTAAATGATTAACAGCTGGTCATCAACTTCTTTTAAATAGATTTTTATGAACTTGAAGAAAGTCTCCGTGCGTACTAACCTTCATCATTGATGTGATTTACTTTATGCAAAACTTCTCTTTCTGAATATGCATAAGCAAATCAGAATATAATTTAAATACCCTAGAGAAGCTTACTGTTTAAAGAGATAAAAATGTGAAATATTACATAAATTGAACTGATCCCCTTCCTTCAACAAAATGATGTATCTTTGGTGTAGCTGTTTTTTTATATTCAGGGTTTGCTTTTGCTTTAGGTGAGGGACACTTAAATTTGCTGTATCTTTCCTGATACAATTGTTTATCTCTGCAGAGTGGGTGTAGGCTTACTCACAAAGTTGTATTGGCTATAAATTTGCCTTCTAGTTTAGGGAAGGTAAAGATGTAGCATAGTTTATAACATACGTGAATCAGTGCTCTGAACTGTCAGCAGACTTCCATCACTCAGACAGAAGTGGGGAGAGGCTGGTGGTTGGCTAAGATTTTCCTTTTTCTTCTTGAAGACAAGATGAACCTTTCTACTTTGCTTCTAATTCTTAAAGGATGCGCAAGGAGGATGATTCATAGTCTTGAAAGAAAAGACATCACTAGTCCATCCCTAAACAAATTATTTTCAAGCACCCAATCCATGCATAATTTGGAGCTAGTGAAATATGAAAAGATGTAAAAGGTATTATAAAGTTGCTAAGTGTTTGTATGAGGTGAGGCAGCAATAATGGGGTAAAAATAATCCAAATAAACATGAGAACCTCTGAGTGTAATACGGTTTTATGAAGGCCTGAAAATGTGCACTCATCTCTGAAGAGTAGGAAAGAAATAAGAGGAGAAAAGAGAAGCCATTCCAGATGTCAGGGAGGAAGAGTAGATATGAAGTAGGAGCATGTATGGTTATACAGTGAAAAAGTGAGACTATATGATTCTATGATGCATGGAAAATTATAACAGATGGTCACAGAGTAAAAATATTTTAAGTAAAGATAAGTAAACCCAGGGATTAACTTAATCCACTAGGAAATACATCACCAGATTTGTAACTGAGAACTATTGAACTTCAATCAATTTCAGAAATGTGCTTCTACTGCTTTACTGGGACTATGTGACTTTTATGCTTTTATGTTTCAGATTTGGGAACCAATCCATGAAAAGAGAGAACTTTACTCTCATCACTGACTTTGTTTTCCAAGGTTTCTCTAGCTTCCATGAGCAGCAGATCACCCTTTTTGGCGTGTTCCTTGCACTATACATCTTAACCTTAGCAGGCAATATCATCATTGTGACCATCATCCGAATGGATCTTCATCTTCACACACCCATGTACTTCTTCCTGAGCATGCTGTCCACTTCAGAGACTGTATATACATTGGTCATTCTCCCAAGAATGCTCTCCAGCCTCGTAGGTATGAGCCAGCCCATATCATTGGCAGGGTGTGCCACACAGATGTTCTTTTTTGTAACCTTTGGCATCACTAACTGCTTCCTGCTCACAGCAATGGGATATGACCGCTATGTGGCCATCTGCAACCCCCTGAGATACATGGTTATTATGAACAAGAGGCTGCGTATCCAACTTGTCCTGGGGGCCTGCAGCATTGGGCTGATTGTAGCAATAACGCAAGTGACATCTGTATTCAGGTTACCCTTCTGTGCTAGAAAGGTGCCCCACTTCTTCTGTGACATCCGCCCTGTGATGAAGCTCTCCTGCATTGACACCACTGTCAATGAAATCCTGACTTTGATTATCAGTGTGCTGGTGCTTGTTGTACCTATGGGTCTGGTTTTCATTTCTTATGTTCTCATTATCTCTACAATCCTCAAGATTGCTTCAGTTGAGGGCCGGAAGAAGGCTTTTGCCACCTGTGCATCCCACCTCACTGTGGTCATTGTCCACTACAGCTGTGCCTCCATTGCCTACCTCAAGCCCAAGTCAGAGAACACCAGAGAACATGACCAGCTGATCTCGGTGACCTACACTGTCATCACTCCCCTACTGAACCCTGTGGTATACACCCTGAGAAATAAAGAGGTCAAAGATGCTCTGTGCAGGGCTGTTGGTGGGAAGTTTTCCTGACCATGTAGGAAGAGTTCTCCTGAGGCTGTCAACATCCACACTAGGCAGGAATATGAGGTGTAAACTCACAAACACTTGGCTCCTAGAGACCTGCCCCTTAAATAAGAGGCAAAAGAGGAATAGCAGTTTCATACAACTGGGAGTCTGAAGCTTTAAATAAAGTTACTGGATGGAGTGTTATCCCTATTTTTGGGGATAAATAGACAAACAAGGATAAGATATGCCTAAATAAAAGGCCAGAAAGTAGTATGGGCTGAGAATTTTTTACTGACCTTTTGGTTTCTTTGTGAATCTCCACCTAATGAAGGCAATAGAAAGCCCCTTGAGAAAATAGAATCCAAGACACACTTAAAATCTTTTTCCTATAATCCCTTTCTTCCTATACTAGAGCACCAGGGCTTCTGAAACTGGATTCCCTATTGGAGTATGTTTATGACATGTCAAGTAATAAGTTACTGTGTGGGGAGGGAAAGTGGCCTCAGGATTAGATAGCCCAGGAGAAATAGATGTTCTCTCCTGGATGTGTTAATTTATCCCAGATTCTAGCAAAACTGCTTATTAAAGATGGTGAGCATACACAGTTTAATTAGAGATGCTGGCAATTCTACAGTCATCATGACAGTGTTTTGAGGGCATAATCTGAGATACTCCTGGATCCTTTCAAATTTGGCTAAATCAGAAAACACATAATGGGCAAGAGCTATGAACTAGCCTCTGTGCTAGGTCCTGGAGAAATAAAGATTAAAAAAGCTTTCTTGTCTGGCTTCAGGAAGCTACAAGCCTAGTGGTAAAAACAAGCATTTGACAGTATGGTTTCAGTTCTTTATGGTAAGTGGTGTTTACACACAATTAAAGAAGAACTCAGAAAAAGAAAGAAAAGGAAAGGGGAAGAGAGAGAGACTGTTGGAGATGTTAGGGAAGTCTTAAGAGGAGGGGACCTGTGATGCAAACTGTTTTTAAAACACAAGAGATTGTCTGAATGATAAGAAAGAATTCCAAAGAGAAGAAACAATGTAGCTACAGGTATGAAAGCAAAAGGACTGATCAGGTAACGAAAAATGATTCAGTTGTGCTGACTCCAGGACATGGAAGAGGTGGGGATTGAAGGAGATAAAACCAGAAGGGTAGGTTGGGGTCATATTCTGAAGGCCTCATATGCCAAATTAAGGAATTTCAGCTTTAACTTTTTTTTAAAAAAAACAGAGTCTTGCTCTGTTGCCCAGGCCGGAGTGCAGTGGCACAATCTCAGCTCTCTGCAACCTCCGCCTCCTGGGTTCAAGTGATTCTCCTGTCTCAGCCTCCTGAGTAGCTGGGATTACAGGCATGCGTCACCACATCCGGCTAATTTTTGTATTTTTAGTAGAGACAGGGTTTCTCCATGTTGCCCAGGCTGATCTCAAACTCCTGACCTCAGGTGATCCACCAACCTTGGCCTCCCAAAGTGCTGGGATTACAGGCGTGAACCACTGCACCCGGACAGTTTTTACTTTTAAATATGGGAACTACCCAGGACTTAGGAGAACTAGGATTCAGTTTGTGAAGCATCTATATGAATTCTTAACATCTTTATCATACTTAGCTCCCCTGAGATATCTAAAAAGCCATATAGGGGGAGGGAGACTTTGGACTGCAAGCCAAAAAGCTCATGAGTAAAAAGAAAATGTGACTAAGGTATTGGGGAGAATACACAGAAATAATTATGTACTTAAGATGAAGCTGAATCAGACTGTCATAGAGAACATGGAGTGGAGGCTGTCCCAGGACTGTCATGTAGATTTGGGGTTTGAGATACAGATGAGCACCAAGGGAAGAATAAGGATTTGCTGTCAAATCAGTGACTAGGCTGGGCCTCAGACCTGGTGGCAGTATGGTCTCAGGGCACACTTTCTACTAGGCTGAAAGTGTGGACTCTTTAATCAGAAAAGCCTTTGAACGAACAAACAAACAAAACAGCCGAGATCCAAAGGACACATGTATCTGCATTCCAGACCATAATAGAACTACTAGGGCATTTTTCAGGATTAACAAGGTCAATGGCAAAAATAAAACCATATCTAAAGTTCTCTAAGAACATCATAAGGTGGCTAAAAGTAACTAAGACAAGTTGTTAACTGACAAGAAAAAAAACTGAAAAAAGCAAAACATTGCTGGTAAAGATTTTGACAGGCATTCAGTAAACATTCATGAAATGTTTACCAGTTATTCAATAAACATTCATAAAGTATTTACTATGTGCCAGATACTATGCTAGACATAAAAAAATCTTGAAATAAGCCCTGTACTATCCCTTAAATAGTTTCCAGTCTTGAAAGGGAGATGGGTTTATGCAGAACTCACCGTAATTCAATGTGATGGAGAAATGAACAAAGTATGCTTAATATTTAATGACAAAAATGTAAGCCTCGGGATATTTTTTCCTGATCTATATAAAGCTAAATCTCATCAAGCTAAGAATGGACTTTGCACGTTGAAGTTCAGTGAAATAAATGCCTGTTACCTGGACAGTAAGGTTGCCTTGATCTGTGTGTAGTGCTATCTCCTGGGGCCAAAGGCTATGTAGCTCCTGCTGGGCATCACTCAGAACATTTCATCACCATGGAATTTTAGAACATTTATCACTCAGGTTTTTCAGAAATCTTGTTTGAACAGAATAGCTTAACAGTCAGACATTATGGAATCAAATGTTTTCAACAATCCCTTTTTTTGGAATTATTTTAGTCATCATTCATGCTCTGTATCACTGCTTTCACACTGTAGCCCCTTGCCACAAGACAATTTCCCAACCATTATCTCACTAGGTCCTCAGAACAATCTCAAGGGAGACAAGGATAAGGCTCTCATTATACAGATAATAAGATTGAGATAGAAAAAGGAGTGAAGGCAGAACTTGAACTTGCACCAGTTGGCTGGCATTTTCTGTTTTCCTAGAATAAATCCTCACCCAAGGGCGACTCACAATGGAGATAGTGATGTACTAGAGAAATCAAACTAGGCAAAATTTACATTCTCCGGGGCCTCAAACATTCCAAATAAATCAAAACCTCATCCCCAAGGCTTTTCCAAGAGAGGTCCTATATAAAAGGGCCACCTGGTACCCTTACTCTAGCCAGTGGGGACTCATGAGGAAGAGCATCTCCAGCACAGCACAAGCTGTAAAGTCTTATTCATGCAGAACCAGCTGAGAATTTAGGGAACATGAGTATCCATTTTCTCCAATATTAAAACAAATCATAGAAAAGCATTTAGAGCTCCACAAGCAAACCTAACCCTTACTTAAACAGATTCAAGAATTCAGTAGACACTGTGTTGCGTTAGATCTGGAGCCAGATGCTGGGAATAAGTGGTCAATTATGCCAAGTGTCTGGCCTGTGGACAGACAGACTGATATATATATATATAAATAATATATATTAACGTAGCATATATATTAACATAACATATATATATATATATATATATATATATTTGGTAGACTAATGAATGTTAAACTAGAGCACAGAAGGAAGAAAGCTTTAGTTCCAATTGATGTTTTTAAATTATAAATAAAGAATAATAAACACAGGTTCTTGGCCAGTCAACCAGCTCACCTCTCTTCAAGCACACACTAAACACCATTAGCAATAAAGGGACAGATCATGCAATAGAGGGATTTGAGATCTTTATGGTGGTGCAGGACTCTTTTATGTAAGGAAACTTCCAGCAACTCAAACTTTAAACTCTTATTTCTGTGGATGCCATCGAAGACTTCAGAAAGCATGAGTACCTCACTCACTCACTGCCTAGTAGAACTGAGGCTAGGATATGTTAAATGCCTTTGCAATATTTCTGTTGGACACACACTCCCTCCTCCCCAGCAATCTACAGACATATATCTCTGAGACATCTGTAAGCCCAAAGGAAAGCCTATGCACTTGTACTGGGTGGGGGTAGGGAGACACAATATAAACCTGAAGGCCACTGAACTGAGATAGAAGTTAATGATTCACCCACAAAGACCTCTTGAAATTGAGAGTCACAACATTTAAGCAACTCAACCAGGAATAGAGAGTTAATGAATGAGGGAGCTAAGGCTTGAATTCAGTCTGCTGACTTCAAGCCTTCCCATTCCTTATGCTGTAGCTGTGAGAAGTGACTGGTAAAAATGGGCTCTTAACCAAAGTCCACCATGGGATCCCAGTATTCACTAAAAGAAAACTTTCACCATGGGATCCCAGTATTCACTAAAAGAAAACTTTCAGTGGGAATAGAACAATGAGAACACATGGACACAGGAAGGGGAACATCACACTCTGGGGACTGTTGTAGGGTGGGGGGAGGGGGGAGGGATAGCATTGGGAGATATACCTAATGCTAGATGACGAGTTGGTGGGTGCAGTGCACCAGCATGGCACATGTATACATATGTAACTAACCTGCACATTGTGCACATGTACCCTAAAACTTAAAGTATAATAATAATAAATAAAACATTAAAAAAAAAAAGAAAAAAGAGAAAACTTTCATACTTTAAACAAAGTAGATTAGATTAAGAAAATAGGAAGATCTATTCAATAGGGTTGGGAAAACAGAGAAAGAGTATGCAGGAAGAGTATGCATTTTTCTTTGGCGATAGAGTTTTCTTATCAAAGACTAGAAGTGGATGTTGCAGTTTCTAGATGTCACTCTTGAGGCTTTCAAGGATCCTCAAAATAGCTTCAGAATAGGCTGTGCTCCCACCAGAGTCTGGACTTTCTTCCTGTCTTCTCATTGGCCATCTATAAGCCATCTTATTTTTTCCTCATTTGGCTTCTGGACCCCTAGCCTCAATAGCTCCTTCACTCTTGCCCTGGAAATGAGCTTACTCTAGCTTCTTATGGCCTGTGGACCCTTAATGTAATACGTTAGCAGCACCAGCATATAGTTTATAAAGCATTTTCATTTGACCCTCACCACATGTCTGTGGTATTGTAGAGATAATATCATCGGCACTTTATCTGTTAGGAAACTAAGGCTCAGAGGAGAGATGGGTAACTCTAATAGGTAGTCAAAGTCATATAGCTGGTGATTGTCAGAATTACTTAAACCCAGGTAGTTGCTCCAATCCTTCTTATTGCACTATTCTTCTTTGCTTAAGAGAAGTTCCTTTCATTTACTGTGTAGCAACTGAGGTTTAGCTCCAGCATTCCTCCATCCTGATAACCGAACACATCTGTATTTAAACATTTTCTGCCTTCGTTGGAAATGACAGCAAAGCATGCCCTCAGGCATGCTGTGTTGTTGCATTATTGTGGCTCAGAGGAGAGTTTTCTAGCTGGTTCCATATCGCCTCAACTTGCCTAAATATAAGGGCTTACTTTTTTACCCCCCACTGTACCCCCAATTTCTCTCTAATGTTCCCTTCTTCTCTTGTACTATTTCTACCTCTTCTTCTTCTTCTATTCTAGAGGCTTTTATCTTTTTTCTTTGCTCTTTCATGAGGGACTATCCACAAAGGTATTTTGGGTGGGAGAATTGCTAAGCCACTTCTCGATGATCAATAAACTTCCAGCTGATTGCTGTCAACAAACCTCACTAAACTGCAACAAGATGGACATCGCATCTTGGTTCTAAACTCTCAGAAAGTTTCCTGCATTGTTCAGACAAGACTGTTAAGTGTTTCACTGCTAATTTCACTCCTGTGTGGTTCCTTCCTTTGAATTTGACCAGCCCAAAGCTATATCTAGTTTAAGAAATTAAAAAATCTGCTCTCCAAGTGTGCATGCAAATATTTCTATTGTATACCTTTTGGAACTTAAAAGTCAAGAATTTTTCACTTTTGTTTCTCGAGCTTTTTAATTATCTCAATTTTTTCAAAGGAATTGAGGAACTGAGTGACCAGAGTTTAATTCTGTGGACTGGAGATAGGAGGTGGGGAGAGGAAAGGCCTTTAGGATGAAAGTAAAATATAAGATGAAATGGGGGAAGGAAGGAAAACAATGGAAATATTTTTCAAATTTATTTCTCTAGTCTTTCATTCGATTTGTTGATTTCTTGATTTAGAATGTTTATCCCACAGAACAATTTAGACTCTAGGCTTTCTGTTACTGGGCAATTTTAGCTAAGTTTCTTATTTCTAACCAAACTAGGAATGAATGGATGCTACTGTTAGTGTTCAATCTGTACAACGTCTTTTTAAGGTTTAATCAGAGCAAAAGGAGTTTAGAAGTTGTCATTCCATCCTTAGAATCAGAAAAAGCTGGACAAACTAAAAGCCAATAACTTTTTTGGACCCATTAGAGAACTGAGGTTGCAAATCAAGTTGCCACCTGGATATCTGAGGAGATATTACAGCTAAGACACAGCTGAGATCTGCCTCCTTTCAGGAGGCACTGGAGCCATAAACTAGAGTACTCGAATGGCAATTTTGATGAACTGCTGGGAGCTGAGTATGGACTAGCTCGACAGTGAGAAATTCCTAGGGGTCACAGTCTTATAGGAGCTCCCACACTTTCATGGATTTTGCATACAGGAACCTCACCAGATTCTCATGGTGAAGATTCAAAAAGGATCTCCTCTTGGCTCTGGCAGGGGGAAGGGAAAATTAATCATTGTGAAATACACTCACATCCTTCTCCATAACAAAGGCCTGTATTTCATAGAAAACTAACTTTGCTAGAGTCTTAGGTCAGGGGAAGGAATCCTTTCTATCCAGTCACCTTTACCCTTTCCATCTCAACTAAGAAGGAAAAATTGTCAACACGGGTCAGGACTTCAAATGAACAGATGGGCAATTCTGCAGGCAGGGAAAGGAGATGAACTGGGGAAAATATACTAAAGGAGAAAATCATGTGATGGTCACAGCTTTGAGACATGGGCCAACTAAAAGACTGAGAACTAATTAGTAGATAATAGAAAACTTCCTCCACCCTAAATTACCACCATACCAACAGGGCTCCAGTATAATAGCAGTGGATTACAGCTGAGAGAGTGTCAGATGCAGACTTTTTGAGGAAGAGTACTTATGGGAACCCAAAGTCAAAAGGAGAGACAAAAACAAGGACAGTAGAGGAATTTGAAGTCTCTGACCAGATTAGCATAAATTCTTGCATTAAAGGCCTATTTATGTTACTTTCTATTACCTAATACAACATGTACAGCTTTCAACAACAACAAAAATTATAAGGTATGCTGAAAAGAAAAAAACAGAATCTGAATACAGAAGTCAAGCATCAAACCAGATTCAGATATGTCACAGATATTGGAATTATCAGTCAGAGAATTTTAATAACTATGAAGATCTAAAATACATGATAAGGGCTCTAAAGGAAAAAGTAGACAACATGCAAGAAAGATGGGTAATGTAAGTAGAGAGAAAACCTAAGAAAGAATAATAAAGAAATGCTAGAAATCAAAAACAAAGTGAGAGAAATAAAGAATGCCTTCCATGGACTCATTATTACATTCAACATGACCAAGGAGAGAGTAAATGAGCTTGGAAATTTTTCAATAGAAACTTCACAAACTAAAATGCAAGAAGTAAAAAAAAAGAGAAGAAAATAAAACAGAACATCAAATAACTGGGGGAAAATATCAAAAGGCATAACATACGGAATAAGAATAACAGGAAGAGAAGAACAAAAGAATGTAATAAAAAAATTGAAATAATAATGACTAAGAACCTTCCAAAATTAATGACAGGCATGACACCACAGATCCAGAAATCTTAGAGAACACCAAGCAAGGTAAACCAAATGCTCCTATGAAAAAATAAGCAAACAAACAAACAAAAACTCCACTTAAGCAAATGAGTCATATTATATTCCAGGCTCAGAAAATCAAGGACAGAGAAAATCTTTAAATAAGCCAGAGGGAAATAATTATCTTAACTACAGAGGAGTGAGAATAAGAATTAATGCAGACTCCTTATCAGAAACCCCTGCAAACAAGAAGGTGGAGTAAAATGTTTAAAGTGTTAAAATAAAAAACACAGCCACCTAGAATGGAGAGCAAAACTATTCTTCAAAAATAAAAGAGAAACAAAGACTTTATCAGACAAGCAAAACTAAATGAACTTAATGCCAAAAGACTTGCCATTCAAGAAATGCTAAAATAACATATTTATGAAGAAAAAATTATATAGGTCAGAAACTTGAATCAACATAAAAAAGGAAGAAAGTAGATTATTCTTAGCTGAACTAAAAATACTAGTTTTTTTTAAAACTTTTATTTTAGGTTAAGGGGTGTGTGTGCTTCTTTAAAGCAATAATAGTAGCAATGTACTTGGTTAGTGGAATAAATAAATAAATAAAATAAACAAAAAGTAGCTGGGAAGAATTGGGAATAATCACTATTATAAGATATCTACACTACATGTGAAGGCAGAGTGTTTTTTGAAAGTGAACTTAGATTAGCTTAAAATGTATATTGTATACTCCAGGATAACTATTATAATTTTTAAAGAATGAAAACTGGCTCCCTCTCCCTCTCCCTCTACCCACAGTCTCCCTCTGCCCACTGTCTCCCTCTCCCTCTCTTTCCATGGTCTCCCTCTGATGCCGAGCCGAAGCTGGACTGTACTTCTGCCATCTCCGCTCACTGCAACCTCCCTGCCTGATTCTCCTGCCTCAGCCTGCCGAGTGCCTGCGATTGCAGGTGCGCGCCGCCACGCCTGACTGGTTTTCGTATTTTTTTTGGTGGAGATGGGGTTTTGCTGTGTTGGCTGGGCTGGTCTCCAGCTCCTAACCGTGAGTGATCTGCCAGCCTCGGCCTCCCGAGGTGCCGGGATTGCAGACTGCAGACGGAGTCTCCTTCACTCAGTGCTCAATGTTGCCCAGGCTGGAGTGCAGTGGCGTGATCTCGGCTCGCTACAACCTCCACCTCCCAGCCGCCTGCCTTGGCCTCCCAAAGTGCTGAGATTGCAGCCTCTGCCCGGCCGCCACCCCGTCTGGGAAGTGAGGAGCGTCTCTGCCTGGCCACCCATCGTCTGGGATGTGAGGAGCCCCTCTGCCCGGTGCCCAGTCTGGGAAGTGAAGAGTGCCTCTTCCCGGCTGCCATCCCATCTAGGAAGTGAGGAGCATCTCTGCCTGGCCACCCATTGTCTGAGATGTGGGGAGCGCCTCTGCCCCGCCGCCCTGTCTGGGATGTGAGGAGTGCCTCTGCCCAGCCACGACCCCGTCTGGGAGGTGAGGAGCGTCTCTGCCCAGCCGCCCCGTCTGAGAAGTGAGGAGCCCCTCTGCCCGGCAGCCACCCCGTCTGGGAAGTGAGGAGCGTCTCCGCCCAGCAGCCGCCCCGTCCGGGAGGTGGGGGGCAGCCCCCGCCCAGCCACTGCCCTGTCCGGGAGGTGGGGGGCGCCTCTGCCCAGCCGCCCCTTGTGGGAAGTGAGGAGCCCCTCTGCCCGGCTGCCACCCCATCTGGGAGGTGTACCCAACAGCTCATTGAGAACGAGCCATGATGACGATGGTGGTTTTGTCTAATAGAAAAGGGGGAAATGTGGGGAAAAGATAGAGAAGTCAGATTGTTGCTGTGTCTGTGTAGAAAGAAGTAGACATAGGAGACTCCATTTTGTTCTGTACTAAGAAGAATTCTTCTGCCTTGGGATGCTGTTGATCTATGACCTTACCCCCAACCCGGTGCTCTCTGAAACATGTGCTGTGTCCACTCAGGGTTAAATGGATTTAGGGCGGTGCAAGATGTGCTTTGTTAAACAGATGCTTGAAGGCAGCATGCTCCTTAAGAGTCATCACCACTCCCTAATCTCAAGTACCCAGGGACACAAACACTGGAAAAAAAAAAAAAAGAACAAAAACTGGTATGCTAAGAGACAATATGGAGTTATAAGCCACAGAATACAAAAAAGAAGAAAGCAAACAAAGAACAAATGCAATAAATAGAAAACAGTTGCTTCAATTAAAAGACAGACTGTCAAGGTTATAAAAAACAAGACTCATTTAAAGGTTGTTTAAATATGAATGGTCCAAATACATTTAATTAAAAGACTGTTGAGGCACACAGGATTCATTTATAGGTTGTTTATAGTTTCTATCTGAATAAAAACCCATGTACACAGCTTAAAAATAAAGAAATGGAGAAAGATATACCATGCTAACACTAATCCAAAGAAAGTTGCAGCAATTATATTAATTTCAGACAAAGCTAAATTCTGAACTGGGAAGATTATGAAGTATAAAAAAGGGTATAACATAACGATAAAAATATTGATTCTACAAGATAAAAAATATATAAATGTGTATGTTTGGAGCAAAAAGACATCAAAATACATGAGTCAAAAACTTTTAGAACTGAAAAGGTAAAGCACCAAATCTATTATAGGTGAATACTTAAATGCCCTTTCATCAGTAATTGTTTAAGAACACAGAATATCAGAAAGAATATAGAGGAACTAAACAGAACTATCAACCACTTTCTCTAATTGATATTTATAGAATACTCCACCCAATGACAATGGAATATACATTCTTCTCAAGCTCACATGAAACATTCACCAAGATAGACATTCTGGAGCATAAACCACACATTTACCAATTTTTAAAAATAGAAATTATACAACGTATGTTATCAGATCACAGTGAAGTTAAAACCAGAAATCAAGAACAGAGGATAGCTGGAAAATCCCAGCATATGTGAAAATTTCTATATAACACATTGGTCAAAGAAGAAGTCTGAAGAGAAATTTTTAAAATATATTTTGAGCTGAAAGAAAATGGAAATACAACTTATCATTTTTGACATGCAGACATAGTAATATTTGAAGGCAAATTTAAATCATTAAATGCATACAATAGAAAAGAAGAAATATTTGGCATCAATAACATAAGCCTTGTCATAAGAAACTAGGGAAAGAAAAACAAAGCAAGCAGAAGAAAAATAAATATCAGCAGAAATCAATAAAATTGAAAGTAGAAAAACATTTGATATTGACTATCAGCAAAGTTTAAAGCTGATTCTTTGGAAAGATCAGTAAAATTTATAAACCTCTTGAAAGAGAAAGAAGAAAAATAAAAGAACACACAAATTAGCAATACCCTAAATGAAAAAGGGGCCATAACTACTGACCCACTGATATTAAGAAGATTATAAGGAAATAGGAAAAACTCTATGCCCAGAAATTTGATAACAACTTAAATGAAATAGGTCAATTCCTTGAAAGATACAATGTACCACAACTCACACAAGGAGAAATAAAGAAACTGAATAGCCTTATATGTATTAAAAAAATAATTTAATAATAATTAGCCTTTCAAAAAATTAAAGTAACAGGCCCAGATGGTTTTACTGGTGAATTCTACCAAATAATTAAGTAATAAATAATGCCAATTTTCCACAGTCTCTTCTAGAAAGTGGAGGCAGAGAAAATGTTTTTTGAGTAATTCCATGAAGTCACTATTACCTTCATACCAAAATCAAACAGACATATTTTTTAAAAACATAGACAATATATCTAATGAATGTTAAGGTAAAAATTTTGACAAAATATGAGTAAATCAAATACAACAATATATAAGATAAAGTATACACCATGACTAAATGTCGTTTATTTCATGTTTTCAAGGCTAGTTCAAGATTCAAAAGCCAATCAATGTAATCCACCAAATCAACATGATAAAGAAGAAAAATCATATGTTTATGTCAGTTGGTGCAGGAAAATCATCTGACAAAAGCCAATGCTGACTTCTGATTTAGAAAAAGTAAAATTCTCAGCAAATTAGGAATAAAGAAGAACTTTATCAACTTGATAAAGAATATTTTTTAAACCCACAACTAACGTTATACTTAAGGTGAGAAACTGAATTCTTTCCCCCTAAGATCAAGAGCAAGACAAGGATGTTTCCTCTCAGCACTTCTATTCAACATCTTACCAGAAGTCCTGGTTTCTGCAATAAGACAAGAAAAAGAAATAAAAGGTATATAGATTGGAAGAAAGAATTAGTGTTGTCTTTATTAACAATTGCCATTATTGAATAAACCCCAAAGAACCTACAAACAAAGCTTCCAGGACTAATGAGTATGGTAATGTAATAGAATACAAGGTCACTATACAAAAGTCAATTGTTTTTCTATGCACCAGTAATGAAAAAATGAAATTAGAAGTAAATACCACAAATAATAAAATAAACATAAATCTAAACAAGAGTGTAGAATTTTGATATAGAAAACTACATAACACTGAATAGAAAAATCAAAGATTATCTAAATAAATTGAGATATTTCATGTTCTTGGATTGAAATAGTCAATATTGTTAAGATAGCATCTTTTGGAGGAGGAGCCAAGATGGCTGAATAGGAACAGCTCTGGTCTACAGCTCCCAGCGTGAGCGACGCAGAAGACGGGTGATTTCTGCATTTCCATCTGAGGTACTGGGTTCATCTCACTAGGGAGTGCCAGACAGTGGGCGTGGGTCAGTGAGTGCGCGCACCGTGCGCGAGCCGAAGCAGGGCGAGGCATTGCCTCACTTGGGAAGCGCAAGGGGTCAGGGAGCTCCCTTTCCGAGTCAAAGAAAGGGGTGACGGACGCACCTGGAAAATCGGGTCACTCCCACCCGAATATTGTGCTTTTCGGACCGGCTTAAAAAACTGCACACCACGAGATTATATCCCGCACCTGGCTCGGAGGGTCCTACGCCCATGGAGTCTCGCTGATTGCTAGCACAGCAGTCTGAGATCAAACTGCAAGGCGGCAGCGAGGCTGGGGGAGGGGCGCCCACCATTGTCCAGGCTTGCTTAGGTAAACAAAGCAGCCAGGAAGCTCGAACTGGGTAGAGCCCACCACAGCTCAAGGAGGCCTGCCTGCCTCTGTAGGCTCCACCTCTGGGGGCAGGGCACAGACAAACAAAAAGACAGCAGTAACCTCTGCAGACTTAAATGTCCCTGTCTGACAGCTTTGAAGAGAGCAGTGGTTCTCCCAGCATGCAGCTGGAGATCTGAGAACAGGCAGACTGCCTCCTCAAGTGGGTCCCTGACCCCTGACCCCCAAGCAGCCTAACTGGGAGGCACCCCCAGCAGGGCACACTGACACCTCACAAGGCAGGGTATTCCAACAGAACTGCAGCTGAGGGTCCTGTCTGTTAGAAGGAAAACTAACAAACGGAAAGGACATCCACACCAAAAACCCATCTGTACATCACCATCATCAAAGACCAAAAGTAGATAAAACCACAAAGATGGGGAAAAAACAGAACAGAAAAACTGGAAACTCTAAAACGCAGAGCGCCTCTCCTCCTCCAAAGGAACACAGTTCCTCACCAGCAACGGAACAAAGCTGGATGGAGAATGACTTTGATGAGCTGAGAGAAGAAGGCTTCAGACGATCAAATTACTCTGAGTTACGGGAGGACATTCAAACCAAAGGCAAAGAAGTTGAAAACTTTGAAAAAAATTTAGAAGAATGTGTAGCTAGAATAACCAATACAGAGAAGTGCTTAAAGGAGTTGATGGAGCTGAAAACCAAGGCTCGAGAACTACGTGAAGAATGCAGAAGCCTCAGGAGCCGATGCGATCAAGTGGAAGAGAGGGTATCAGCAATGGAAGATGAAATAAATGAAATGAAGCAAGAAGGGAAGTTTAGAGAAAAAAGAATAAAAAGAAATGAGCAAAGCCTCCAAGAAATATGGGACTATGTGAAAAGACCAAATCTACGTCTGATTGGTGTACCTGAAAGTGATGGGGAGAATGGAACCAAGTTGAAAAACACTCTGCAGGATATTATCCAGGAGAACTTCCCCAATCTAGCAAGGCAGGCCAACGTTCAGATTCAGGAAATACAGAGAACACCACAGAGATACTCCTCGAGAAGAACTCCAAGACACATAATTGTGAGATTCACCAAAGTTGAAATGAAGGAAAAAATGTTAAGGGCAGCCAGAGAGAAAGGTCGGGTTACCCTCAAAGGGAAGCCCATCAGACTAACAGCGGATCTCTCTGCAGAAACCCTACAAGCCAGAAGAGAGTGGGGGCCAATATTCAACATTCTTAAAGAAAAGAATTTTCAACCCAGAATTTCATATCCAGCCAAACTAAGCTTCATAAGTGAAGGAGAAATAAAATACTTTACAGACAAGCAAATGTTGAGAGATTTTGTCACCACCAGGCCTGCCCTAAAAGATCTCCTGAAGGAAGCGCTAAACATGGAAAGGAACAACCGGTACCAGCCGCTGCAAAATCATGCCAAAATATAAAGATCATCGAGACTAGGAAGAAACTGCATCAACTAACGAGCAAAATAGCCAGCTAACATCATAATGACTGGATCAAATTCACACATAACAATATTAACTTTAAATGTAAATGGACTAAATGCTCCAATTAAAAGACACAGACTGGCAAATTGGATAAAGAGTCAAGACCCATCAGTGTGCTGTATTCAGGAAACCCATCTCACCTGCAGAGACACACATAGGCTCAAAATAAAAGGATGGAGGAAGATCTACCAAGAAAATGGAAAACAAAAAAAGGCAGGGGTTGCAATCCTAGTCTCTGATAAAACAGACATTAAACCAACAAAGATCAAAAGAGAAAAAGAAGGCCATTACATAATGGTAAAGGGATCAATTCAACAAGAAGAGCTAACTATCCTAAATATATATGCACCCAATACAGGAGCACCCAGATTCATAAAGCAAGTCCTCAGTGACCTACAAAGAGACTTAGACTCCCACACATTAATAATGGGAGACTTTAACACCTCACTGTCAACATTAGACAGATCAACGAGACAGAAAGTCAACAAGAATACCCAGGAATTGATCTCAGCTCTGCACCAAGCGGACCTAATAGACATCTACAGAACTCTCCACCCCAAATCAACAGAATATACATTTTTTTCAGCACCACACCACACCTATTCCAAAATTGACCACATAGTTGGAAGTAAAGCTCTCCTCAGTAAATGTAAAAGAACACAGATTATAACAAACTATCTCTCAGACCACAGTGCAATCAAACTAGAACTCAGGATTAAGAATCTCACTCAAAACCACTCAACTACATGGAAACTGAACAACCTGCTCCTGAATGACTACTGGATACATAACGAAATGAAGGCAGAAATAAAGATGTTCTTTGAAACCAATGAGAACAAAGACACAACATACCAGAATCTCTGGGACACATTCAAAGCAGTGTGTAGAGGGAAATTTATAGCACTAAATGCCCACAAGAGAAAGCAGGAAAGATCCACAATTGACACCCTAACATCACAATTAAAAGAACTAGAAAAGCAAGAGCAAACACATTCAAAAGCTAGCAGAAGGCAAGAAATAACTAAAATCAGAGCAGAACTGAAGGAAATAGAGACACAAAAAACCCTTCAAAAAATTAATGAATCTAGGAGCTGGTTTTTTGAAAGGATCAACAAAATTGATAGACCACTAGCAAGACTAATAAAGAAAAAAAGAAGAATCAAATAGACACAATAAAAAATGATCAAGGGGATATCACCACCGATCCCACAGAAATACAAACTACCATCAGAGAATACTACAAACACCTCTATGCAAATAAACTAGAAAATCTAGAAGAAATGGATAAACTCCTCGACACATACACTCTCCCAAGACTAAACCAGGAAGAAGTTGAATCTCTGAATAGACCAATAGCAGGCTCTGAAATTGTGGCAATAATCAATAGTTTACCAATCAAAAAGAGTCCAGGACCAGATGGATTCACAGCCGAATTCTACCAGAGGTACAAGGAGGAACTGGTACCATTCCTTCTGAAACTATTCCAATCAATAGAAAAAGAGGGAATCCTCCCTAACTCATTTTGTGAGGCCAGCATCATTCTGACACCAAAGCATGGCAGAGACACAACCAAAAAAGAGAATTTTAGACCAATATCCTTGATGAACATTGATGCAAAAATCTTCAATAAAATTCTGCCAAAACGAATCCAGCAGCACATCAAAAAGCTTATCCACCATGATCAAGTGGGCTTCATCCCTGGGATGCAAGGCTGGTTCAATATACACAAATCAATAAATGTAATCCAGCACATAAACAGAGCCAAAGACAAAAACCACATGATTATCTCAATAGATGCAGAAAAAGCCTTTGACAAAATTCAACAACCCTTCATGCTAAAAACTCTCAATAAATTAGGTATTGATGGGACGTATTTCAAAATAATAAGAGCTATCTATGACAAACCCACAGCCAATATCATACTGAATGGGCAAAAACTGGAGGCATTCCCTTTGAAAACTGGCACAAGACAGGGATGCCCTCTCTCACCACTCCTATTCAACATAGTGTTGGAAGTTCTGGCCAGGGCAATTAGGCAGGAGAAGGAAATAAAGGGTATTCAATTAGGAAAAGAGGAAGTCAAATTGTCCCTGTTTGCAGATGACATGATTGTATATCTAGAAAACCCCATTGTCTCAGCCCAAAATCTCCTTAAGCTGATAAGCAACTTCAGCAAAGTCTCAGGATACAAAATCAATGTGCAAAAATCACAAGCATTCCTATACACCAACAACAGACAAACAGAGAGCCAAATCATGAGTGAACTCCCATTCACAATTGCTTCAAAGAGAATAAAATACCTAGGAATCAAACTTACAAGGGATGTGAAGGACCTCTTCAAGGAGAACTACAAACCACTGCTCAAGGAAATAAAAGAGGATACAAACAAATGGAAGAACATTCCATGCTCATGGGTAGGAAGAATCAATATCGCGAAAATGGCCATACTGCCCAAGGTAATTTACAGATTCAATGCCATCCCCATCAAGCTACCAATGACTTTCTTCACAGAATTGGAAAAAACTACTTTAAAGTTCATATGGAACCAAAAAAGAGCCCGCATCGCCAAGTCGATCCTAAGCCAAAAGAACAAAGCTGGAGGCATCACACTACTTGACTTCAAACTATGCTACAAGGCTACAGTAACCAAAACAGCATGGTACTGGTACCAAAACAGAGATATAGACCAATGGAACAGAACAGAGCCCTCACAAATAACGCCGCATATCTACAACTATCTGATCTTTGACAAACCTAAGAAAAACAAGCAATGGGGAAAGGATTCCCTATTTAATAAGTGGTGCTGGGAGAACTGGCTAGCCATATGTAGAAAGCTGAAACTGGATCCCTTCCTTACACCTTATACAAAAATCAATTCAAGATGGATTAAAGACTTAAACGTTAGACCTAAAACCATAAAAACCCTTGAAGAAAACCTAGGCTTTACCATTCAGGACATAGGGATGGGCAAGGACTTCATGTCCAAAACACCAAAAGCAATGGCAACAAAAGCCAAAATTGACAAATGGGATCTAATTAAACTAAAGAGCTTCTGCACAGCAAAAGAAACTACCATCAGAGTGAACAGGCAACCTACAACATGGGAGAAAATTTTCGCATCCTACTCATCTGACAAAGGTCTAATATCCAGAATCTATAATGAACTCAAACAAATTTACAAGAAAAAAACAAACAACCCCATCAAAAAGTGGGCAAAGGACATGAACAGACACTTCTCAAAAGAAGACATTTATGCAGCCAAAAAATACATGAAAAAATGCTCATTATCACTGGCCATCAGAGAAATGCAAATCAAAACCACAATGAGATACCATCTCACACCAGTTAGAATGGCAATCATTAAAAAGTCAGGAAACAACAGGTGCTGGAGAGGATGTGGAGAAATAGGAACACTTTTACACTGTTGGTGGGACTGTAAACTAGTTCAACCATTGTGGAAGTCAGTGTGGCGATTCCTCAGGGATCTAGAACTAGAAATACCATTTGACCCAGCCATCCCATTACTGGGTATATACCCAAAGGACTATAAATCATGCTGCTATAAAGACACATGCACACATATGTTTATTGAGGCATTATTCACAATAGCAAAGACTTGGAACCAACCCAAATGTCCAACAATGATAGACTGGATTAAGAAAATGTGGCACATATACACCATGGAGTACTATGCAGCCATAAAAAATGATGAGTTCATGTCCTTTGTAGGGACAAGGATGAAATTGGAAATCATCATTCTCAGTAAACTATCACAAGAACAAAAAACCAAACACCGCATATTCTCACTCATAGGTGGGAATTGAACAATGAGAACACATGGACACAGGAAGGGGAACATCACACTCTGGGGCTTGTTGTGGGGGAGGGGGAGGGGGGAGGGATAGCACTGGGAGATATACCTAATGCTAGATGACGAGTTAGTGGGTGCAGCGCACCAGCATGGCACATGTATACATATGTAACTAACCTGCACAATGTGCACATGTACCCTAAAACTTAAAGTATAATTAAAAAAAAAAAAAAGATAGCATCTTTTCTCAACAGATTTACAGATTCACACAATTCTAATCAAAATCTCAGCAAGGTATTTTGTAAATATTGACAAACTGCTTCTAAAGCTTTTATGGAAAGATAAAGCATCTAGAATAGCCAACACAATACTGGACAGAACAAAGTTAGAGAACTGAAAGCTACTGAAATTGAACTTGTATCCAAAATGTACAAAGAACTCTTACAACTCAACAATAACAAAACAAGTAACCCAATTTAAAAATCAGCCAAATAACTGAATAGCAACATCATCAAAAATCTATAGATAGCAAATAAGCACATGAATAAATGTTCATCATTTCTTATTAGGAAAATGAAAATTAAAATAACAATGAAATACCACCACGTAGTTATTAGAATGGCTAAAATTTAAAACACTGACAACTCCAATTGCTGGTGAAGATGTGGTACAGTAGGAACTCTCAATCATTAAGGGTTGGGATGCAACATGGTATAGCTACTTTGGAAGAGAGTTGGACAGTTTTACACAAAGATAAACATATTCTTGCCCTATGATCCAGCAACCACACTGCTAGGTGTTTATCTAAATGATGAAAAACTTTTGTCCACAAAGAAATCTGCATACAAAAGTTTATAGCAGCTTTCTTCATAGTCTGTAAAAATTGGAGTCAACCAAGAAGTCATTCAATAAGTGAGAAGGTAAATAATCTGTTGAACACCCACACAATGGAATCCTATTCAGTATTATAAGTAATAAGCTGTCAAACATTTTAAATTTTGATGACGTTTTAAATTTTAATGAAACCCAATTTATCATATTTTTCATGGATCATAATTTTAGTTTAAAGAATCCTGCCTATATTTATGTGAGTAGTCTACTTTGACTTAATTTTTATATAAGATATGAGACTTAGGTTGAAGTTTATTATTATTATTATTTTTGCCCGTGAATCTCTAAGTGCTCTAGCATCATTAATTGTTGAACAGGCTATCTTTCTCCATCAAATTACTTCGTAATCTCTCTAAAAAATAAGTAGGACATATTTGTGACTATTTTAGTTTCTCTATTCTGTCCTATTGATCTGTTTATCTATCTTTCTACCAATACTTAACAATCTTTATTATTATAAATATATAATAAGCCTTAAAATTTGGTAGACTTATTTCTTCACTTTACTCTTTCTTTCCTATATTATTTTAACTATTCTAGTTCCTTAGCTTTTCCACATAAATTTTAGAATAATCTTTTCTATATCTACAAAAAAATTCTGAGATATTGATAGAAATTACATTATTTCTATATATCAATTTAGGAAGAAGTAATGTATTCACTATATGAGTCTTCCAATCCATAAACACATATATCTCTTCACTTACTTTGATCTTTGATTTTTTTATCAGCATTTATAGCTTTGAATATACAAATCCTATACATATTTTGTTATACTTACTGCTATTTCACTTTTTTTCCAGTTGTAAATGGCTTTTTGCTACTAATTTCAGTGCCTGCGTGTTCATTACTAGTATATAGAAATGCAATAGATTTTTGTAGGTATATCTTATATTTTATGATCTGACTGAACTCACTTATTAGTTCTAAGAGATTTTTGTAGACTCCTTGGAATTTCTACATAGACAATTATGTCTTCTGCAAAGAAAGACATTTTATTTCTTTTTTTTTCCAATCAGGATGCTTTTTATTTCCTCTTTTTGCCTTATTGTGCTGGCTAGTTATAGCATTGTGTTAATAAAAGGAAGTGGACATATTTACCTTATTTTCAAACCTATAGATAAAGCAGTCAGTCTTTCACCATTAAGTACAAAGTTAGCTGTAGGATTATCATCATATTATGTCTCTCTCTTTCTCTGGTCATTTTCTTTTCTCAGAAGCCTACCTTACCTCATATTAATATACCCAATCCTGGTTTCTTTTAATTAATACTTGCATGATTATTCTTTCCCATTTGTTTATTTTCTACCTGCCTATATTTAAAGTTAATTTCTACTAGACAGCATATATTTAGGTCATGTTATGACATCCACTCTGCAATCTGTTTTGATTTGGTATATCTAGACCATTTATGTTTTATGTAATTATTAATATGCTAGGACTTAAATCTGCTATTTTATTTCTTTTCTATTTTATCTGTTTTTTTGTGTTTCTCTTTTTCATGCCTTACTATGGGTAACATGGACATATTTTCAAATTCCATTTTGATTTTTCTGTTTCATTTTAGATGTAGATTTTGGTATAGATTTTTGGTGGTTGTGGTAAGTATTATATATACAAAATTCATCATAGTCTAGGTGTCATCAGTTTACCAGTTTGAGTAAAGAGTAGAAATCTTACCTCCATTTATATCCCTTTATCCTCCTTCTTTTATAACATAATTGTCTTAAATATTTCCTCTACACAAATTTAAAACCACATCAACCCTTATAGCACTGACAGATATAATTTTCATTTTAACCAAACATAACTTTTAAAACTCCAGAGAAGGAAAATCTATTTTATTTACCTCTATTTTCACATTCAATTTTCTTTCTTCCTCCCTGATATTTCAAGCTTCTTTCTGGTACTGTTTCCTTTTTAAGAGAACATTCCTGTCTGGGAGGGAGAGGTATGTCTCGTTGCCACTCCTATGTGACTTCCACTGAGCCTATAAGTGGGGTGGTCTTATTACTACCGGCTGGCAATATAAGTCCTGACATGCAACTCAGCCTCTTCTGACCCCATCCCAGCAGGGGAGGAGCTGGGCCCCTCATTACTGCTGGGTGGAGTGGACATAGACATTCAGAAAGAACTTCTATTGGCCATTCTTTTAGGGTAAGTCTGCTGGCAACAAATTCTTAATTTTCTTTTATCTGAGAATGTCTTGTTTTCCCTTTTATTCCTGAGGGGTATTTTTGCTGGGTATAGAATTCTGAGTTGTTTTGTTCAGTACTTTACAAATGTGGTATTGTTTCCTTGTAACTTTATGGTTTCTGATCAGAAATTCTCTCCATTTGAGTCTTTTTGTTTGGTTGGTTGTTTTTGTTTTGTTTTGTTTTGTTTTGTTTTGGTGTAGGTAATTTGTTGTTTCTCTAACTGCTTTCAAAAATTTTCCTTTTTCTATAGCTTTCAGAAGTTGGACTATGATGGATCTTGGTGTGAATTAGTTTTAATTTATCTTGTTTCAGGTTCTCTCAAGTCCTTGAATATGTAGCTTTATGTCTCTTGCCAAATTTGGGAAGTTCTCGGCCTTTAATTCTTTGAATACTTTGAAAGAATTATTTGAATTCTTTCAGCTCTGTCCTCTTTCTCCTTTGGTTCCAGGAAATCAGTTACACAAATGATAGCTCCTTTGTCATATCCTCCCAGGTCCTTGAAGCTCTGTCAATTCTTTTCCGTCTATTTCATCTGTTTTTCAGACTGGATAGTTTCTATTTTTTAATCATCCAATTCATTGATTCTTTCCTCTGTCCCCTCCTGTCTAGTGTTGAGTACATACATTGATTTTTTTTTTCAATTCTGAAATTTTCATCTAGTTCTAATTTATATCTTCTTTTTTTTGCTGAGAATTTCTATTTATCTGCTAAGATCTTCTATTCTTTGTTTTAAGCATGTTCATAATTGCTCATGAAGCATTTTTATGGATGGCTGCTTTAAAATCTCTCAGCTAATTCTAACATTTGTATCATCTTGATATTGGCATCTGTTGATTGCCTTTTATCATTCAGTTTGAGATATTCCTGGTTCTTGATAAGATTCATGATTATCTATTGAAACATAGATATTTTGTATTATGTTATGAGACTTTGGATCTTTTTAAAAATATTCTGCCTTAGCTGGCTTTCTCTGACACTGCTGTTGCAGAAGATGTGCCACCTCATTAATGTGAAGTAGGGACAAAAATCCAGGTTCACCACTTGGCTTCCACTGACACCTAAAGGGAGGTCAATCTCCTTATTACTGATGGGTGAGGATGGGAATTAAAGTTTCTCACTAGGCTTCCACTTAAACCATCCTGGCTCGGAGGGATAGGTGTGCCTTGTTACCACTCCTGTGTGACCTCCACTGACTTCCACGGACACTATGAGGGGGATGGTCTTATTGCTACTGGCAGGTAGTATAAGTCCTGACACTCAACTTGGCCTCCTCTGACACCACCCCAGCAGGGAAGGAGCAGCACACCTCATTACTGCTGAGTGAAGAAGACATAGAAGTTCAGGCTCCCTATGTTGTCTCTCCTCAACATTTTAAAACATTCTTTTTTGTGTGATGCAGAATATTTAAGCACTCCAAATCTCTCTTCCAACCAAAATATCCAAATTCACCTTAACTTGGATGACAAGTGAGTGCTTTACTTTAGCATAGTCCAATCTCTTTAAAGAGCAGTTGGAATTATACCTCTCAATAATATTTTGCTTTAAATTACATATTTGGATTACTTCCTCTGTAATGGGTTTTCTGATTTTATTCCAATTTTCTTGCTGAGTTTTCACCAAAGTTAATCTTAGCCTGTCAGCATTTAAAAAAAAAAAAGCAAAGACATCATTTATGAGGATATATGCATATTGGTAATATTACAATAAAGTTGTAATACCCATAGCTTCATTATTAAGATTGTGAACTGCTGAAATCCACCAGAAAATAATTTTTTAAATTTTTAATTAAGTTTTTTAAAATTATCACATAGGAAAGTTGACGTGTGTGTGTGTGCAATTCTATAAATTTAGCAAATATTCATTTGTGTAACCAGCACCACAATTAGGATACAGAACCATTTGGTCATCTAAAAAACTCTCTCATTCTATCCCTTCAGTCACAACTCTCATTCACCCCAATCCTAACAATTACTGATCTATTCTCTATTACTGTAGTCTTCTCTTTTCAAGACTATAAGGTAAAGGGAATCATACAGTATGTGACCTTTTGAAATTGTCTTCTTACACTTAGCTTAATACTACTGAGATGCAGCCAAGCTGCTGAGTCAATCAACAGCTTGTTCCTTTATAGTGCTGAATGGTATTTCATTGTATGGATGTATCTCTTGTTGTTTGTTCATTGAAGGAGATTTGGGTTGGCTACAGTTTTTGGTAATTATGAATAGAGCTGCTAGAAACATTAGCCTATTGGGTTTTGTGTGAATATAAATTTCCATTCTATTTGGATAAATAGCAAAGAATGAGGTATCCATGTCATATAGTGAGCGTATGTTTAATTTTATAAGAAACTGCCAAACTGTTTTCGAGTGGCTGTACATTTTTTCTTTCCCAATGTGATAATTCCAGTTGTTCTGCATCCTTGCCAGTAGTTGGTAATGTGTGTGTGTGTGTGTGTGTGTGTGTGTGTGTGTGTGTGTTTTATCTTTTAGCCATTCTTTTACATGTGTAGTTGTATTATAGAGGTTTTACTTTCTATTTCTTTAATGGCTTATAATACTGAATAGTTTTCCATATGCTTGTCATCATTACATCTTATGGTGAAGCATCTGTTCAAATATTTTGACATATTTAACTGGATTGTTTATATTCCAAGTCTCGGATTTTGAGAGTTCTTTATATATTCCGGATACAACTCTATTGTCAGATATATTTTTTGCAAACATTTTATCCTGGGCTATTGCTGGTATTTTCATTCTCTTTACAATTACTTTCACAAAGCAAAAGTTTTTTATTTTGATGAAGTTTGATTGATCAGTTCTGTCGTTTTTTGGCACCATGTCTGAAAACTCTTTGCCCAATTCCAGTTCAGGAAGATTTTCTCCAAAAAGTTTCATAGTTTTAGATTTACATATATATCTATAACATATTTAAGTTTATTTTTGCATAAGGTGAAAGTTAGGTCAGGTTTCATTTTCCTATTGAAAAGATTATCCTTTCTCCACTAAATTGTTATTGTATTTTTGTCAATTGTACATATTTGTGTAATATTTACCATTGTCATTCTGGAATATAATATGTCTTTTGTAAGATCTGCCCTCTTCCCATCACGTATCTTTGTATTGCTTCATTTTGTCTTCATTAATTCACTTATTTCTAGGAATTTTGCTAGACATTTTTAGCTAGGAATTTTAGCTGGAAATAAAGGTTGTATGCTTGAGGCAGGAGAATAGGGTCTGGAGGCAGGGAACCTAAGGCTGTTTCATGCCGACTTCCTAGAACTAAATTGAAAGGAAAATCCTAACTTTACACGCCTAAGTAACAAAAGGACCAGAGGCTACTGCCTTTGACCTTTTCTGCAGGCAGATGGGAAATTGTCTGTCCGCAACAAATCAGACTGATTGCAGGTCCAGTCTTCCTTTGCAAGTTTGTAACTTCACTCCAGCTTCTGAATGGTTGCTGTCCACAATCAATCAGATTGATTGTGGGTGGAGTATTCGTTTGCATTGAAGTATAACTTTGTAACTTCACCCTAGCCTCTGATTGACAACCAATCAGATGTTTGCACAGGAGTGTGACCTTTGTAACTTCACTTCAGCCCCTGGTTGGCTGCTTTCTGCAACCAATCAGACTGATGGCAAGCTACCACTTCACTGACATGAGGTGAGCATGAAGTGGCCAATGGGAAAATTCTAGGGAGTATTTGGACCCAAGAAGATTCTGTATCCTGGCCCTAGAACTACCGCTCAGCACACTCCCACACTGTAGAGTGTACTTTCATTTTCAATAAATCCCTGCTTTCATTCTTTCATTCTTTTGTTGCTTCATTCTTTCTTTGCTTTGCTGGCGTTTTGTCCAACTCTTTGTTCAAAACACCAAGAACCTGGACAACTTGCAATCACGACCCTCTACAGGTGACATGCTGACTGACACTGTTTCTTTCAGTCTTCTCAAAAGAGTAGAAAAACTTCTCCAAGTGGCATTGCTCTTCATTACATAGAAACGGAAACAGACTTTTTTTTCTTTTTTGAGATGGAGTCTTGCTCTGTCGCCCAGGCTGGAGTGCAGTGGAACGATCTGCAAGCTCCGCCTCCCGGGTTCAAGCCATTCTCCTGCCTCAGCCTCCGGAGTAGCTGGGACTACAGGCACCCACCACCACGCCCGGGTAATATTTTGTATTTTTAGTGGAGACGGGGTTTCACCGTGTTAGCCAGGATGGTCTCGATTTCCTGTCCTCATGATCCGCCCACCTCGGCCTCCCAAAGTGCTGGGATTACAGGCATGAGCCACTGCGCCCGGCCAGAAACAGACATTCTTATTCCTACAGAGCCCGTCATGACAACAGCTGCCCTGCAGCACCTCTTCCAGACATCACAATGGGAAACAGGAAATACGCTGTCCCTCTCCAACCTCTGCCTTCATCTCCCCTCCCCTTGTACAAGTTCCTTCACAGAAGTTCTTTCACATAAATTTTGTGCAAATGGATTCCTGTGGACTTCAACTCTGACAAGTCTGAATCCCAGTGGAAATGCAAGTTAGCCTCAAACTGAGAACCTCATACTACATTCAGAATATGTTTTCATGTTTCCAAAATGTCACCAACAATGAGATGACAGGAACCTGAACCAAAAGGATGAGAGTAGAGATGGAAAGTAAATGTTGTTACAAAGGCTAAATCAGAAATTTGTCCCAGATCTAGTATGGATCATGAAGAAGAAGATAGAATGAAAGAACACTCTTACCATTCTGAGTGCCGAAAGCAGGAGGTGGTTCCTAAAAATATGAAGTTTGGGTGAGTTCGGTTGTAAACACATTTAGTTAGAGATGACTTTAAAGACATTAAGTGGAAATACTCAGCAGAAAGTTGAAAAGATAGGTAAGAAGTTCTTAGAATATAAAATAGGGAGCTATCAATATAAGGTGAAAAAGTTAAGCTATAAGAATGAACAATATCTCTGAGAGAGAGAGATTATAGAGAAAGAAAAGCAAAAGGTTGAGGATTTAGCCTTGAAATTAATGAGTTGCATTCAAGTGGTCACCAAAGACCAGGCAAAGAGAGGTGCCAAACGCAAACAGAAAAGAGGTAGTTGAAAAGGGGCAAAGAGCTTTCCTTTGCTGCAGGCACTAAATTAATTTTTGCTTTAACGTAAGGACTTTGTTGTATATTTGTTTTGTTTTGCTTGCTATTGTTATTGTGTGTTTGCTGTACCAGCTGATGCTCAGGAATATCACTCTCTACTTGGCCCTGCTTTATCTTCTTCTATAAGGAAGAAAATGCTTTCTGCTCTCTGAGGGGTGGGAAAGCCAGGAGACTAAACTTTCACACTATCACCAACAATACAATGTCCTGTAATGATAATTTTCTAATTTTACCCTTTCAAAAAAAAAGAGAGCATTTCTGCTTTCAGCAGTTTTATTGCTACCAGATATCTTCTGATTAATTATTTGCCTTTATGAATAACTGTTCTTTCCAAAACAATCTAAGAGGTTCCTTATATATTCCAAGACTTAATCAGATTATACACAAGGAGGTTTTCAAATTAAGTATTTCGTTTTCCAATTACAAATAAAAATACTGTGGACCCATTTGGAAAAAATAGGATATTATAAAAAATACATAAAGAAGAATGAATGAATCATTCAAAATCCAACTAACTGGACATTATAGAAAGAGCATTTCTTTTAGTTTTTTTATGTTGAGATAATATTTTATATAAAAGTCACATTTTACTTTTTCACTTAATAAAGTAAAAGATTTTCTCTATAGTATTACAGACTCTTCATAAGCATAATATTTAAAGCATGCAAAATAATTCAGCATAGGTGTGTCCAATATTTATTAGTCATTAGCCAGTTTTTAGCATTTGAATTGCAATCTAATTTTTTTAGTACAAAAATATTGTAGAAAACTGTATTTTTTAATTTTTAAAATCATCAATTTTTTACTCATTCCCACATAAAATAGATTTAATATGAACATCAATTTCAGTTAAATGCAAAAAGGTGATGTTTCACTGCATATGAAATTCCTCAGGTCCTCTCTGCATGTGAAATTCCCATCATGCACAAAAATGATCCAAAGACTTCTTTCTGGGTAATGAATACAAAACTAGAGTTAATCCTTCTCCTTTGCTGTATTAATCCCATATCTCTCTTCTCATAACTCTATTTCCTTTTCCTTTTTAAAAATCCTAATTACTTTAAATTATTTTCTGCCATAAAGTTCACTGGGCTTTGGTTATTTATAGGTATCCTATACAATGAGAGAAGAATGTCTATCTTCATTATGTTCAAGTACCCAGATAAATGAACCTGCTGTTATAAGGTATTATCTTAAAGCCTTTCTGATGTTTTCTCTTAGGACTTGATTGCAATGAAATGTTCACACTGGGGCTGGGGTACATAGAATACTAGGCAGAGAGTTATTATTGTGGTTTAAAAATTTGTTACCAACAGTTTATAAAATTTTTCAACTAAAGCAATTTTTAAAAACATGTAATCTGAGAATAATATGGTTTCAAAATTAAGCTGTATAGTGTTTTCTCTACAAACAACTTCTATTGCTTCTCTTACTATACCTTGCTAGAGTTCTACTTTTGACCGTCTTACTCTTTGCCTCCAAAGTTGTGGGGCAGACATGCAGTTTGGTCCTTTTGTTGAGTCACTGAGCACAAGACATTGGAATGATCTAGTACAAAGGCTTCATTTTATAAGTGAGGTCACTGGATCTTACAAATTTTAAGGAATCTGTCCTACATCATGCAGCTAGCTGGTACATGGCTGATTTGAAGCGAGTGTATTTTCCAAAATACTATGCTACATCATAAAGAGGGATAATTACAAGTTAGCTGAAAACATTTCTTCTGGGAGGGTAAATCATTCAGAGAGAAAAATTGGGATGACTTTAGGCTTTAATTTAAAAACCGTTTGTAAAGGTATGAACCATACAGAGCAAGAGCATAAATCTGACTCAGGATAAATCCACCCCACTTTAGCCATGGTGATCTTACCTTCAGTGAGAGATGAAAAGAGGAATCTTGAAGCTTATTTTACCAAATGACTTCAGTTGTATATTAGTCCATTTTCACATTGCTATAAAGAATTGCCTGAAACTGGGTAATTTATAAAGGAAAGAGGCTTAGTTGACTGACTCACAGTTCAGCATGTCTCGGGAGGCCTCAAGAAACTTAGCATTGTGGTGGAAGGCAAAGGGGAAGCAAGGCACCTTCTTCACAGGGTGTCAGGAAGGAGAATGAACACAGGTGGAACTATCAAACACTTATAAAACCATCACATCTCGTGAAAACTGACTCACTATCATGAGAACAGCTTGGAGGAAGCCGCCTCCATGATTCAGTTGCCTCCCCCTTGTCTCTTCCTTGACATTTGGGGATTATGGTGATTATGGGGATTACAATTCAAGATGAAATTTTGGGTGGGGACACACCCAAACCATATCAAGACCACTTTAATTACAGTGGCTATTTTAATAACCTCATCGTCCCCAGTAATCTTGTGCTGCATATATACAAGGGTTGTGGGTTGGGGCATATTTGTCACGAAAAAAAAAAAAAAATTGTACATATGTTTCCCAGGATAAAACTTCCAGTATATTCTCAGAACCAATGTTAAATTAATTTTTGTTTTAATGTAAGGAGTTTTTTGTATATCACCCTTAGTTGATTCTGCCCAAAACTAAGATCTTCTCCAAAATGATTTTTTCTTCATTATTATTTATATAACTAGCTAGGACTTTAAAATGGCAGTTTGCCTTACTAAAAAAGTAAAGAAAAGAAAAACTAAAGGGAAAACTAAAGGTTCTGCTTTTTTGAGCACCCAACTATATAAGTCAATAAATGTTTAAAAACAAGATCTCTCTATATCTTCCACTACCAAGTATTGTGTTTTGCACAAACCAGTTCACCATTAAATATCTATGGAAGGAGACAAATATCCATGGAAAGGAGAAAAAGAAAGAAAGGGGAGAAGGAAGAAAAAAAATGTATGAGCTTTAGACAAAGAAGAAAAAGAAAGAACTAACATAACCGACATCTAACCATTTGTTGGACATTTGCCTTATAGGCTTATTTTATCCTAACAAAGAGAATAGGAATTTTATCTATACTTAGCTGATGAAGGAAATGAAGTTCAAAGTTCATGTATAGTTAAGGAGCCATGAAGAGAGAAATTCAAACTGCTACACTTCCAGCTCTCCCTGTCTTCACTATGGTATTTTCCTAGGATTACTGTAACAGCTTCCTGACTCTCCTTGCTTCCACTTTAGCTTCCCTAAAAATAGTAACTGCTCAGCAACCAGAGCCTCTTTAAAATATAAATCAGATTGTGTCACTGTTCCCTGCGTGAATCATTCTGGTGGCTTCCTTTTGCATTTAGAATAAAATGTAAATTTCTTCATAAGTCTAAAAAGCCCTACCTGACCTGGCCTGTACCTCTGTCTCCAACACCCTATCACTCTCACTCTCACTAGCCTCCAGCCATACTACTTTCTAAGAATACAAGAATACAAAGCCCACACCCAGCCTTGGCCTTTCAACTTCCCAGATTCCTCCTGCCTGAAATGCTTTCCTCTGCAGGCCAGATCTGACTCCCGCACCCCTGCCTGTTTTTCTAAATAAAGACTTACACGGGAGAGATAGCTCAATTCCAGCACTTTGGGAGGCTGAGGCAGGCAGATCACGAGGTCAGGAGTTCGAGACCAGCCTGACTAACATGGTGAAACCCCATCTCTACTAAAAATACAAAAATTAGCCTGGTGTGAGGGCGCACACCTGTAATCCGAGCTACTTGGGAGGCTGAGGCAGGAGAATCACTTGAACCTGGAATGCGGAGGTTGCAGTGAGCCAAGATTGTGCCACTGCACTCCAGCCTGGGCAACAGAGTGAGACTCTGTCTCAAAAAAAAAAAAAAAAAAAAAAAAAAAAAAGCAAGACTTATTAGTACACACCCACACCCATTCCTTTATGTATTACCTATAGCTGCCCTAAATTATGACCTATCGGCCTCTATCTGTTCACTTATATGATGTTTCCTTCTCAGTTGCTGCTTCCAAAGAGAGGCCTTCTCTGACTACCCAGTCTAAAATACCTCCTTGCCACAAATCTTATCATCCTATTGTCCTTATAAGATTTATTTTACTCATTTATTGATGTATTAATTATCTAACTCCTCTCTCTAGAATCTGTGTTCTATGAGAGTAGTAGCCTTACAAGTCTTATTTATAACATTTGCCAGTTACTAACATAGAGTCATCTCTTGATAAATATTTTTAGTAAATGAATATACGATGGAACACTTTGTTTTTATTACTCCAAAATTCAAGATTTTTTATTACATAATGACTCTCTCTAACAACAAAAGAATGTCTGGCCATAGGAAAGAACAATGTATAATTAAGCAATTTTTGTTCCGTTCTGAAGATCTTTTTGATATTCAGCAGAGATAGGCATCATACCATCCTCTAGAAAACCGTAAAGTCTACGAAACACAGAGTACACATTTGTAGAATACATATTTGTAGCGTGCTCTCCAACTTAATGGGCAGTGCCATATGAGATCAATTTATAACAACCAGGCAAAAGCATTTGGAAGGTTTCCGCATGGGGAGGAGTTCGTTCTGGGTTAGTCCTGGAAAACACTTCAAAGTAAGCAGTGTATCTTTTGAGCTCAATAACTTGACTTTTGTCTTCATAGCATTCCCTGTTTCCACTGATGCAATCACTACCCTCCGGCTGATTAATCATGATATACCCAAACAGTATCAAAGCTGCTATGGTCTGAATGTTGTGGTCCCAAAAATTCGTATGTCAGAAGCTAATACCCAATATGATACGAAGGGGCCTTCAAGAAGTGATTAAGTCATGAGTGCTGCACCCTCATAAATGTAATTTGTACCCTTATAAAGGAGGCTTAAGCAAGCTTCCTTGCCCCTTCTGCCAACTGAGGACACAGCAAGTGCCATCTATGTGAAACAGACCCTCATCAGAACCAAATCTGCTAGCACTTTGATCTTAGACTTCTCAGCCTCCAGAGCTATAAGCAATAAATTTCTGCTGTTTTATAAATTACCCAGTCTAAGGTATTTTGTTACAACAGCCCAAAAGGACTAAGAAATAAGCCCATAAGACAGCTACCCAAGCTTGTGACAGCCTTTTCCGATAAAGTTTACTCATCTTGAGGCTGATTCCTTAAATACCTTTATCTGCTACTAAAAGTTGATGGTAATACACTGATCATGCAAATAAAAAGCTGGTAACAAGTCAGCTGATATGTTGCTCCCTACTTGAAAGAGCTGTTCTTGGAAAGCCATTTGCCTTCATTTAGGGTCATTAAGAAAAAAGATATTTTAAACCTTTTTGCAAGCCAAGTTACTATCATTACCTCCTGGATGTCCCTAAATGTATAATATTCTATCAACCAAGTCTTGGGGTAAGAATGGCTCTAATTAGTTGGGACATCTGTAGTAATTGTAAAGTGAGTATATAGGATTAGATAATCTCTAAGTCCCTTCAATTCCAAAACCCTATGCTTTTATAATGAACTTTATGGACTTCAGAGCAGTGGGGAAGTATATGGAGTATGGACCCTGAATGAAACATCACATTGATGGGAAATAGAATGTCGTTTTTTTTGGGGGGAAATACCTTAATCTTGTTAAGCCGTAGTTTCCTAGGTACAATATAGACATAATAATGCCTGCCTCTTCTGTAGTTATGATAATTACAATGCGCTAATTGCATATAAAGCAACTTAGAGCTGTAGCTAGCTGATAAATGAAACCTAGTTTTATTATTATTGGGATTCTAGTGTTCTCAACTCTCAATATGGTAGTATGATACTGAATATTACATTGGTTATGTTCTGATAAAATCATCATCTTAGGAAATGAGACATACTAGAGATAAATTTCAAAGAACTGGAAGAATGTGGAAGAGTTGATAAAGTGAGCCAACAAGGATGAGCTCTTGTCTTGGAATTTGGAGGGTTAATTAACACAGCTACACAAATGAACTATGACCTATTTTTGACCTTAAATTAAGAAACTTGTTATCATAGGGAGATTATTAAGGACACATGGGGGTAGGAAGGGACATAAATGAGAAAACTATGTGTTGGCCTTGTCTTCAGACTGATGAACTGCTCTTGTAGTGTAAAACAAGATGGAACCTGCCTTGTTATTAGAACGGAATGTGCAAGCTGCAGGTAGACTATATCAACCCAAATGTGATGAGGAATGATTGTCTTACACTAAGGAGGTTTGAGACTTGGTAAAGCTCCTTATTATATTTACCAAATTTCTTAGCATTGAAATCTTTACTTTCTAAACTTATCCAATTTATTCTGTGTAATGAAATGAAGAAAATCATATTTCCCAAAATTCCTCTTAGGGAGACTTTGTATTTATTCAAAAGAAATTACTTTTTTTGGAGTATGAGACCCTAAGGAAATGCCGAAGGAACACAATACAGCAATTAAATTGTTCCGCTTACTAAAGGGATGAGGAATTTTAACAGGAGTGAATCTTAGAGGCGGAGGAAGAGGCCAGTGAGGCAGGAAGATAGTGGAGAGAGGGAGGAAATAGTAGGAGGGAGCCAGAAGACCTATTCATTGAGTAACAGAGAAGGGATTTAGGAAAACATTAGAAATGACTAATTGGAGGGGGTGTTAGATTTGCTTTAAGGGTGCAATGTAAAGTCCTTCATCTATTTTCTTTTACAGCTCTTCAAGAATGCCATTATCATTGCTTACCCAGGCTTTTGGAGATTATTTTGCAGACTTGAAGAGGTGCCAAGTTCTGTGTTCAGATTAGTACAGGGAGAAAACAGAATGTTCCAGAGTTTCATAACTTAGGGGACAGGGTGGGAGAGCCAATATCAGAGTCAGATGTAGTCATATTTCTTTGTGGTTTCTCATAATGTTTTTAATGAATTTTTTAAAAATACCTCATGTAAACTGTAATATGGATAATTAAAACCAGAGAAGCAGGAGAACTCTAAATGCGACAGAAAGACCCTCACAAGAGGGAGACGCAAACTTAGAAGGTAGAGTTCAGGGACTAGTTCTGGCATTAATGTCCAAAAGAAATATAATTAAATTACATATGTAATTTTAATGTTTCTAGTGGTCAAAGTTTTTAAATGCAGAAATAAAGAAATAAAATTAATTTGAATAATATATTTTATTAAGTCAATATTTCTTTAAAATATCATTTCACCACTTAATTAGTAAAAAATTATTAATGAGACATTTTACATTTACTTTACACTAAGTCTTTGAAATTCAGTGTGCATTTTATTCTTATAGAACCGTTCATACTGTTCTATACCGGACAGCACTGACTTAAATTGTCAATCCTATACCTAGTTACATCACAGATGGACAAATTGACAGTAAATCCATCTTTTGAATATTATTGACATGATTTGGGGTTGAAAATTAATACTCTTGATTATGAATAAATGGTTTAAGAAAGAAGACCCAACAGTTATTGAATATTACTACATTTAGCTGCTATAATAAGCAATTCCATATATTATCACATTTAATCCTTTCAAAAAGCATCTGATGAGGGATCGTTATTGAGATGAAAATGGTGGACTCATGTTCAACATCTACTTCACTCTTCTAGTTTGCCTTTCCAAATGGCAGAGAGTGAAAGGCTAAAAAGTATATTTCCTGGACTCCCTTGAAACTACAGTTCTCAAGGTGATTTTGGTTCAGCCCATCAGATATTTAGAGGCTGGTAGTAAGACAGAGACTACATATCTTCCTCTTTTTTTTTTTTTTTTTTTTTGCCATTTTTACTGACAAGCACAGGGACTGATTTTTCAGCAGCAGAATTGAACCAAGGTGCCATCTTCCAGCCTTTCCTTATGGGTATTGAGAAGCAGGGCCCTGGGCAATGTTGCTGGAGTAGATTAGAGCAAATGCAGTGCGACTCTAGAGGAAGCATCTCTCTAAATATGTGAACTTTTGAATTTTGTGGATTTCTAATGCTGGTTGTAGCGGTGTACAATGTGGAGCAATCTGCATCCTAATTGTAAAAGAAGCAGGTGTTCCTTTGACTCAGTTCTGCAGTATGGATGCAGAGGCTTCTCCTCAATGCTCATGCTAGATTCTGTTCCTTTCATCCAATGGTTCTGAAAGCCATTGCCACAGAACATCACACTGATCCACCATATCAATCACATCATGTTGATCAGACAGGGTGAGTGCAATGTGGCTAGCATACTAGAGGGTTTGGTAAGATACATGTACTACAGAGAGAGAGAAAAAAAAAACTCTGAACACTCAGAAATTTGTCATTTTGGTTTCAGAAATCCTGTGGTCAGAGGTATGCTACGACACTCCCTCCAAATAAAACAAGTTGGTGCATCTCACATCCCATACCACAAAAAAAGGAAGCACAATACTTGGTAGGCCCCTTTTCATTCTGGAGGCAGTAAGTCCACAAACTAGGTGTAATGCTCTAGCTTTTATATTACATGATAGCCTTGCAACTTTGAGTAGGACTTGGAACAGAAGGAGTTCTGCAGCAGATACAGGTTGTAGTGCAATTAGACCTGTCACTTGGGCTATATGATTTAGCAGACCTTATTTTGTTGTAGCTGTCAATGGTAGAAAAATAAGTAGTGTAGAACATATGGCAAGCTCTAGAGGAAGAATCACAACGTGAGTCTTTGAGGTTCTGTAGCAGGGTTATGCCTTGTAGAGCAGAGAATCACAAACTTTTGGAAAATCAGCCCCTGGCAAGCTACGAGGCCCTAGTAGAGATAGAATGTTTGGCAACAATGGACACCAGTGATCATGCATTTAGAATTTTTCTTCATGAAGTAGATCTTGCTTGACCTTCAAAACTGTAAAGTCAGATAGGCCCAGTAACAATTATTCAAAAGATCCACAGTATACATCAGAGACAGCACAAGCAGGACCAGAAGGCAAAAACATAAAAGCAAGTTGCATAAACATGTAAACTAAATCTCCATGTCACCAGCCAGGGTGGTATCTGCATCACCCTTCCCTAGTTCACTATGAAGTTTCTGCATAAAGAAAATGTACTAGCTTGGTTTGTGGATGCATCAACTCAATATGTGGGTACAAGTCAAAAATAGATGCATTATAGCCTCACTCAAGGATAGCCTTCAAAGATGGTGCAGAAGGAAAGTTTTCCTAACTGGTGGGGCTTTGGATGGTACACTTGATTATTTACTTTTTGCTAAATGAGAAGTGCCCCTACATTAGAATATGTGTAGACTCATAAGCATAACAAATAGCCTGACTTGTTTGTCAGGAACCTAAAAGGAAAAGGATTGGAAGACTGCAGACAAGAAAGTCTGAAATAGAGGCATGTGGATGTATATGTGAGAGTGGACATGAAGTGTGAACCTTGTATCACACATTTGTTACTACCAGGAAGCATCAACCATAGAAGAATCACCAAACAATCAAGTAGATGGAGTGACTCAGCCACTTGATATTAGCCAGCTTTTATCAGTGATCAACTTAGTCCTGATTTGACAGGAACATCTTCAACAGTGGCAGAGATAGAGGCTATGCATGTATTGCCATTCACTAAGCTTTTGATAACTACTAGCACCTCTGATTATCCAACTGCCAGTAACAGAGACCAATAATGTACTCCAAGTATAGCACTATTTATCAAGGAGACAAACCAGCTATTTATTGGCAAGTTGACTACATTGGGCTCCTTTCTTCCTGGAAGGGTTAGCAGTTTGTCCTCACAGGACAGAAACTTACTCTAGGTAATGGTTTCCTTTTCCTGCCTGGAGATCCTCTATCTGCACCTCTATTGGGGGTTTACAGACTACTAGATCCTCAAGCATGAAATCCTGCTCTATAAATCATCCAACCATTGGACCCACCTTGCAGCAAAGGAGGTGCAGGAGTGGGCCCATGACCATGGTATCCACTAACTGTACCACAAGCTGAATAATTTAGAAGCAGCCTGCCTGAGAGGATATTGGAATGACCTGCTAAAGACATAGCTGAAGTACCAGCTTGGAATAAACCATTTGCAAAGATAAGGTGCTTTCTTCCAAAACACAGTATGTACACTGGATCAGAGACATCTGTCTATACGATGCTGTGTCACTAGTGGGAATAATGCATAGGTCCAAGTCCAAGAAGTAAAAACAGAAGTATCCCCACTTACCATCATTTCTGTGTCCCTTTGGGAGAATTTGTGCCTTCTGTCTGTTTATTCTGAGCCTTGCAATGTTAAAGGTCCTGGTGCCCCCAAAAGGCCCACCCTACACAGGGACACATCAAGGGTGCCATTGAATTACAACCTATGACTGCCACCTGGGCGTTTTGGACTTTTTATATTCAAGGACTAGCAGGTAAGAAAAGGAAATTGTGACAGCAGGAAGAGGTAGGGATGTTTTTACACAGTAGGGACACCAAGAAATAATTGTGGAACTCAGTGATTCATTTAGATTAGATACTTCTTGGTAATTCCTTGACAATTGTGATTGTGAATGTTCAAGTGCAATAACCTCTACCTGTGAAGGATGGGATTACTAGACTCAGACATCTCAGGAACAAGGGTTGCGGTGAAACCACAAGTAAGCCACTGAGAACTTTAGAAGTAAGAGCTGAAAGTGAGGGGGAAGTTAGAATTAATAGATGAAGAAGAAAATAATAGTATCAGCTGTGGCCCCAAGACAGACTGCAAAGATGAAGGCTACAGTTTTTCCCACTAATCTCCATCATCTAGGTTTCTCTTCAGAAAGAAAGGCTTCGTGGAAGCCTTAAAGAGGTACTGCCTGAAGGTATATTGAAAATGTATCCATGCCATATAAAAGGTAGACTATTAAAGGTGTGGAGATAACCTATTCAGATTCCCTCTTCAAGAAAGAATTTGTTACCTATACGCAAAGAGTATGGACAGATAAGAGTCTCAAGATGTTAACACCTCCAAGTCCATGGGGGCTTTTGATTCAAGGTCATATTCTTTTGGGGGTCTCCCAGCCAATGACTAAACAAGACTGTGGTACGGAGGCCATTTCTACCAATATGGGATTCCTTTACTAAGTCGTCATCTCTCCAGTGTTCCCCAATGGGTTGGGAGGGACTTTGTCAAATCTACAGCACAGCCTGATCACACACACTCCCTATTCTCGCTTCCTCCCTTTTGCTTTCATAGGTCACTCCACAATAGACCTTTCACACTCCTATCTCCAATTCAGATTCTGTTTCCTGAAAGACTCAGATGAAACAAAGTGTTACCTTTTTTCATGAAGGTTTCTTCTTGGTAGGGAGAAGTATCATAAACAAATTCATAAATATACAAATATAATGTCACACATTATTTTTAATAAAATAATACAGAGCAAGGGTAATACAGAGGCTTTTTTTTTTTTTTTTTTTTTGAGACGGAGTCTGGCTCTGTCGCCTAGGCTGGAGTGCAGTGGCGCGATGTCGGCTCACTGCAAGCTCCGCCTCCCGGGTTCACGCCATTTTCCTGCCTCTGCCTCGCGAATAGCTGGGACTACAGGCGCCTGCCACCGCGCCTGGCTAATTTTTTTGCATTTTTAGTAGAGACAGGGTTTCACTGTGTTAGCCAGGATGGTCTCGATCTCCTGACCTTGTGATCCGCCCGCCTCGGCCTCCCAAAGTGCTGGGATTACAGGCGTCAGCCACTGCGCCCGGCCAGAGGCATTTTTATTAATGGGCTGGGCTTGTGAGACTTCTGTAAAAAAGCGACATGTGAGTAGAGACCTGAGTAAACCACAGAAATATGAGATATACAGATATCTGAAGAAAGTGAGTATGTTTTTGCCTTATATCACATTCAACACAGTGGCTTTTCCAAATCACCAACTATAGCCCTACTCATTCCAGTCTTAGTCAGTGACTTGGTATCCTACCTTACCAGGAATATTAAGGCATTTTGACATGTGTTCCTTCAAATCTCTCCTCTTAACCAAATGTCTCTCTGTATCTTTATTCTACCTCTGTTGCCCTGTGACCCTCTTTGGGGAAGAAGAGTCTGCTCTCATGGCCAACACTAATCTCTCCATTTGTAACTGAAGACAAGCAATGTAGTGGTGTTCTCAACTGCCAAGGAAAAATTGTGCATTTCTGCCTCCGGGGAACACTGCCATTTTCACAGAGTATGAATCAGAAACTACTGATGCTTCATAAAATAAGACAGATGACTCTCAGTGCCATATTGCAAAAGGACATGTTCAGTAGACTGTTCATTAATTTATTATTTAGTGAGCACCTGCTTATGTGCCTCATATTAGCAGTGATAGTAGAAAGCCAGGACCCCAAATCTTTGGCCAGCTGTCTCCTGCTATAAATTCTTAATAGGGCATGTTCGGCACAGATTACACTCCAGGAAATTGCATACATTTGTCCCCAAATAAAGTCCAGTGTCTGATGACCAGGCCTGGTTCACATGTGCCGTCTGAGATTTTCTTCAGCTGGTGCAGATGTAAAGTCTTAGGATAACCTCTTTGACTTTTCCCACCAGGTCTACTACAGGAATTTGGCTAGCTGGGGTTTTTCGTTTGTTTGCTCATTTGTTTGTTTGTTTTAATGAAACAGTAAAAGGAGGGACAGAAAGAAGATCCTGAGAATAAGAACTCAAATCTCCCTAAGTACAGTCCAGGCTTCCCTCACTCCAGGAGCTCACTCCAGGCTTCTCTCTGTGCCCTTTCCAGGACTGTCGGCCTGTCCTGATGCAGACATGCTTCAAAGCCTGGAAAAGTAGGCACTATTGCTGTACCAGCCCCATTGGAATAAGGGCAGAAGCAACAATAATTCCAACTGACAACCTTCTTGAAAAACACATGTAACCTCTTTGACCAACCTGTTAAAAGATATACCTGTTTCTTTTACTCCTCCCAACATCAACACTGTATTATAGTGCCCCAAGAAACCTAAGAATCTTTTTGCTTTTATTCTAAAACTGATAATTACTTCTGTTGTCAATGATGTATCCTGCTTTTATGACCTGTCAGAAAATAAATAATCATATAATAAATAACTGACAAATCATTACACATAAAGTTCAGCATTTTCCATGTCTAAGTGCATCAGTATTTAAGTTCAGTTCTTACTCTTGCCATTGTTGTCTGGATAAACTTGGAAGGATTACCTCCACACACAAACATCACCACTTACACCTTGCACCTCTGGATTCTTCCTAACTCTCACAAAAACTTTGTTCCTATTCCTGAAATTGTGATTTCCCATCATTATGAAGACAATCAAAACTTTGGGAGTCATGGTGATGAGCTCTTAGAAAACCTTTATCCACTTCACAACTGGATGAATTATCTTCTTTCTTTCATCAAGATCAGGTCTGCCACTTGTTCGGAACCCAAATCTAGCACTATAAAACTTCAAAACAATTCTTCCAAGTGTGTAATAATATTCAATGTGTTCTTAAACACAATGTCTGCTATGACCCTCAAAAAAATTTTTTTAATTGTAAAGTGAGCATAGCAGAAAGTGTTAGCTCCATTTTATAGGAGAGAAATGTGGTACACATTTTTTGTGAACCTGTCAAACTCCAAATGTTTTCTTCACTGTAACTGCCTTTACTCTGAATCCATATTGTTTAATTCTCAAAATTTATCTCTTTGTAATGTGACCCTATCTTTGATCAGAGTTGGTAGAATCAGAGAAGTTTATCAAATCCCAGTTAGATCACTCTGATTCCCTCATTTAGGAATTTGGAACTAGGAAAGAAGTAGAAATTGGGAAGTAAAAATGTAGAGAAGAAAATGAAACAGGAGAGTCAGGAAGTGGTGGGGAAAGATGAAAAGAAACTGTCCATGTAGATTAAACTATAACATTAAATTGGTAGTTTTTGTGAGGAAAATAGCCATCTGAACAGAAAAAAAAGGAAGTAAATAGATTACAGACAGAAATGGAGACAAAAAAGTGAGAGAGAGTGCTAAAACTTCCCAACTTCATCATCTAATGTCTTCTTAAGGTGTGGCTACATTCTTGCACTTAAGTTTTATGGGATGCTGCTACAATTTACAATGAATTTTTCTTTTTCTTAAGCTAGGTCTAATTGATTTTTACATTTGCAACCAACATGAAAAATAAGATTCAAAGTGATTAATAGTACCAAAGATCACATTGTCTGGTAATGAAAACTGAAAAATTCAAAAGCAAAGCCCAGGTCCCCTGACTTCTAGTGAATTAATTATGATGGGTTATTTTATCTTAGAGACATCTGTGTAGATCTAGATGGAGCAAAGATAGAAAGATTTGTGCATCAAAGTCAAAAGGAGGAAGACGGTCCCATAATTTTAAAAAGCAAAGATGATTGTAAGGTTGAATGTTGGCCTTGAAAAGATATGTCTACCGGGAACCTGTGGAGGTGACCTTATTTTGAAAGTGTCTTTGCAAATACAATTAAGTTAAAGATCTTGAAATGAGATTATCCTGGATTGGGTGGATCTTAAACCCAAAGACAAGTGTTGTCCTCATAAGAGGAGAACATGAGAGAACAATTGAGTATACTTAATGAAATAATTTTCACAGAAAAGAAGTCAATGTGAAAACAGAGGCAGAGATTGGGGTGATGCATCTGCAAGCCAACAAACACCAAGGATTGCTGGAAACACAGAAAGATGGGAGAGAGCCATGGACTTGACCAGCTCTGTGGAGGTCTTGATTTTAGACTTCTAGCCTCCAGAACTGTGAGAGAATAAATTTCTGTTGTTTCAAGTCACCAAGTTTGTGGTCATTTTTTATAGCAGCCACAGGAAACTAATGCAATGCTTAACAATATAAATAAATACGGAGAATGAAAAGAAAGTAGAGAATAAGAACTAAAGAATACATTACTATAACCTGGGATATTTAAGCTATAAAGTCCGTACGAGAAGGCTAGGGTCAGTATTCACTTGATTCAGGTGTGGTCATCTAGCTTTTATTTAACACTTTGTAAGTGCTGGGGAGACACACTGCTGAGGATACATGAGGAGAAGAAAACATTTGACTTCAAGGAGCTCCCAGTTTGTAAGACTGTGTTGAGGCTGAGTTGTTGACACCTATGCTGCTAAAGAATAATTATTATTCTTAAGTTTACTGCTAAATTTTATTTCTTTGGAAAAAATTATTGAGAAATTAATTGTTTTCTTTTTTCTGTTATGGCCTCATTAGAGAATACATGTCTTTTTTTTTGCTTCTTCATTAACACCAACAAATATGTTATATGCTTCTCTACCACTTCTTACTTTGGAAGCTCTTTGACTGCAGGAGAGTAGTAAACTGTATTTTTTCCATACACTTCAAAACGAGAAAGGCCACCAAGTGGGTATGGCTGGAGACTGTAGCTTTGGGGGGGAAGTGGGTGGCACAGTTTCAAGGGAGTTCATTCTCCTAGAGGAGGAACAGGAGAAGATGGGTCACTTGAAAGAGCTCCATGTCATGGATTCATGAATATCTGCACATTCTTCAAACACAGCACCCCACAAGCAGAAAGATCCCAGAGGAAAACAGCCGTATGAATGCCCATGGAGATTAAACTCTGTGAAAAGAATAATTTTGCAGATTATAATGAAACTAGAACCTGTGAAGGCATCTTTTATTTGTGGTGGAATCAAGGAGAAGAAGTAGACCATAAGATATGAGTTCTCCCACACACATTTTTTCTTTCACTGAAAAAGAAGAGCTTATATGATTTACAGAGTAATGAATCAGACTAACGTACAGCTGATTAGTTCGTTTGCAATTTTAATGAAAAATTCAGTTTCCTATAATGTATGTTTTATACCTAAAATGAACAGTATATGTTTTGTAACTCTTCAAGTGATGGTTACATCTCAGGGTGATTACATAACGCTTGAGTATACTTAATGAAATAATTTTTCTAGGAGGAGCTTGTGATAAATAGCTCCAGAAAACCCTGTGACTATCTTGGAAAGTTTCTTGCTTCTTCTTAACAAACGGAACAAGAAACAGAGCCTCACGCATTTAAATTTCATGTTCTCTTAGTACCTTGTGCTCCCAATGTCACTAGATTGTGAAAGTTCTTCAACCTCTTCTCACTTACTTTACTAGGGGGAGACATGACAAGCTTTACGTGTTGAAAATACAAAGAGCCTGACCCTACAGGAATCTTTCTTTCTGGCCTTTTTCATCGTGAGTACATGCTTTTGATTTTGATCATGGTTAAATAGAAAATATTTAAATTATAATTTCTATCCACAAGGATAAAATTTCTATCCACAATTTCTAACCAACAAGAGTCCCCGTGACTCACCTGGCACAGAGGTTGGGAAACTTCAAGTTGATTCCCAGGCCTAAGTATGGAACAGTCTTTATCACTTTCCAAAATGTAGCCTGTCCACATTTTCTTGTGCTGCATAAGCCCATCATCCCAATATAATACAGTAGAGAAAAAGAAACTGATGCTGAAATTCTCATGGGCTTTGATGAGCAGAAACTTGGTAATATAATTTTGATTTAGAAAAATAAAGAAACATGACATTTGTTATCCCTAGAGATTTATAAATTGATTCAAACTTATCATTACTGCACGTGGAGAATCCGTGCTTAGGAAGGACTACCTGTGTTTATTACTCAAAAAATCAGGGTAATTTGAGCAAAGTTGAAAAATGTTGACTAAAGACTCATCTTGGCCAGGGCACAGTGGCTCACACCTATAATCCCAGCACTTTGGGAGGTCCAGGCATGTGGATTGCTTGAGCTCAGGAGTTTGAGATCAGCCTGGGCAGCATAGTGAAACCCCATCTCTACAAAAATACAAAAAATTAGCCAGGTGTGGTGGCACGCCTGTGGTTCCAGCTACTTGGGAAGCTGAGGTGGGAGGATTGTTTGAGCATGGGACGTGAAGGTTTCAGTGAGCTGAGATTGCACCACTGCACTCCAGCATGAGTAACACAGCAAGATCCTGTCTCAAAAAAAAAAAAAAAAAAGACTCATCTTTAATCTGTTGTGATGATTTGTTCATTACGCTTAATATATATGATCTGCCCATAGCTTTAAAAAATGATGTAGTATTAGCCTGTAAATCCTCTTTTCTTTAGTATTACGTCTTCTAAAAGCTTATGCTGAATGCATACTTCCTCGGCTACCAACTCAGAAAGGAAAACGCCACTGGTATCCAAATCAAGTGTAGTAGACTGAGCCCTCTCCCTTGTAATTACTGCCACTCCCACTTCTCCAGACACTCTTTCCACCCCATCAGCTCACCAACAAAACTTACTTTCTATGTATGTTGCAGTGGCAAGCACTGGTCTGTTGTCCCTCTGGGCCTTAATCTTGAGTAAAAACTGGTTCTCCTTCTAGTGCTATATTCTTTTTGTTGCTCAAAACACAACACTACCACCTTGAAACTGTAACATTTCCTATTTGCTTATATTGTTGTTGGTATCTCTTTCTATCATCCCAGCAATACTCATGTATAAGATCTAGGGACTTCATGGCTCTCAAAGAATCTAAGCTCTCAATATCCCAAACTGAAGGCCCAACCCAGCCTTTGATCAGAATTATAAAGTGCATTTATTGCATAAAAAAACAGTTATCCTGAACACAAAAATTAGATGAAAATAAGATCCTTGGAAGTTTTTGCTGCATAGCCGTTTTAGATATATTTATTAAGCACCTATTGATCCATCACTAAATAAATTTACTGTGCATATTTGTTAATATTCAAGAAACAAAATGGACAAGTTCTCTGCTATTATTCTAGTAGTTATGGAGAGACAATAAATGTTTAACAAATAAATACATAATATTTCAGATGGCAAGAAATGCTAAAGAGGAAAAGTCAGGCAAGGGAGGTAAGGAGTGCTAAGAGCAGGGTTTCTATTTTATATGAGATAGTTCAGGAAGACATTACTAATGAATGACTTTGCAGCAGAAACTTGAAGAAATGAAGGAGTCAATCATGCAACTTCATGGTCAAAAAGCATTCCAGAAGAAGCAGAGAATCATTTCAAAGACCTTGTGGCAGTACTGTACTGTGCATGCAGGAGGAACAGAAAAAGAAAAAAAAAAAAAAAGCCAGTATGTACGAAACTGAGTCATCTGGAAGGGCAGTGGTTCTCAAATGTGGCTACACATTGAAATCACCTGGGGATATATTTTTTTAAATGATGCCTTGATTTACCAGCTCGATATTGTGATTCAAATGGTCTGGGGCATAACCAGGACATTAGGATTATTTTGAAAGCTTCCCCAGGATATTCTAATGTGCAACAAATTTGGACTAGAAAAATATGATAAGGTTGCCTAGCAATACTTGAACCCACAGTGTCTTTAACACAGAGTGGAATGAAAGGGTCTTTGTGTTGTTCTCCAACTGTCTACTGTTTGTTTCCGTGGCAAAGTAGGTTGAAAGTTGGATTTAACTAGGGTTGGAGATTTTTTAGGTAAATGCAAAGGAAAGAGAAATTAGCTGATACTCTGCCAGAGAGTGATTATAAAAAGGGACCATGGAATCTAAGGTGGGTAAGAAGAGAAGCTAGGACAGGAGAAGAGTAAGAAACAGTGTTAGGATCAACAAAGTGCTATTTAGGTCAAAGATTTGTTCCCTCAGATACTAAAAGGAGAGAGCTGGAAATATAGGCAGTGATGGACATAGTGATTAACAGAGGGGATATAGTTTTTGATAATGGACAGATCTAGCATAAGACATAGAAATATGTGGCTGAGCTAGAGTAAGAACAAAAATTATCGGAGGATAAGACAAAACAGAAACACCAAGGTTTTGACAGGATAGTCTACATGGTTATTAAAATCACTAAGAATTATGATAATAGCATTACAGAGAGTGATAGTAATGTAGGAATTAAAATATTCAAGGAAGTAAAGGGAGTAACCAGAAGTGTCTTTAAATGACCAAAAAAAAAAAAGAAAAAAAAAAAAAGGACCGGGCGCAGTGGCTCACCCCTGTAATCTCAGCACTTTGGGAGACTGAGACGGGTGGATCACGAGGTCAGGAGATCAAGACCATCCTGGCTAACACGGTGAAACCCCGTCTCTACTAAAAATACAAAAAAAAATTAGCTGAGCGTGGTGGGGGGCGCCTGTAGTCCCAGCTACTCGGGAGGCTGAGGCAGGAGAATGGCGCAAACCCAGGAGGCGGAGCTTGCAGTGAGCTGAGATAGCGCCACTGCACTCCAGCCTGGGGGACGGAGCAAGACTCCACCTCAAAAAAAAAAAAGGGAGAGACAGTTCCAGTAGTGGAGTCTGATAGCAGGAGTTTCAAAGCTGAAAAATTTTTAAGGAGGATGGAGAGAAATGGACTGGAAGCAGCAGTAAGGAGCAAAGAGCTACCCTATCCCCAGGACAGAAAATATCTACTCTATGAGGGGCCACAATAGAGACAGAGCTTCAAGGGAGTGCCAGGTTTCAGTGTGAACACAAAGGTGAAGGAAACATTCAAGAGAAGAGACAAAGATATTAGGGACCTTGCCAGTGATGGGCCATGGATCCTCTAGGGAAACGATTTGGCAACTGGAAGTGGAGAAAGAGCAATTTAGACTGTGAATGAAGACCTCAATCGAGAGGGGTGACTTGGTGTATTTGATGTGAATATGTGTCAAGCCATTCAGACAGTGTCAGGTATAGAGTAAGTGCTCTATAGTCAGCCACTATTGGTTGTATGGTGGCTGATGAGTACAGGGATATAGGTCATGATGGAATTAGTTCCAATGGACTCCTGGGATGGTTGCATTAATAAATACATGATTTGGGGGGAAAACTATGAGTAAAAGTCTTTACAAAAATTTGTGGAGTTCTGGTCTTGTATAAATGGAAGTAAATACAGGACCTAAAAAAAGGAATGGAGAACCTAGATCACCACAGCTCAATGAAGTTAAAGAAAAGCTGTTAAGAAAATACTTCACAAACCTCTGGAGAAAAAGAATGTCTTCAGTGGACCTGAAATTTTTAGGAATTCCTGAAAGCTAGAAAACAGCAGGGTACCAATGAGTATTGTGTGGTGGTTGTAGCTTAATGTTTACACACTCTCACATACTCTTCGCTTCAAATAATGGAGCCTAACTCCTCTCTCCTTGAGTGTGACCTTTGCTTAGTGACTTGCCACTAATGGAGTAGAATGTACAATAGGGACTGCATGTGACTTCTGAGGCTAGGTCATAAAAGGCACTGTGGCATTATCCTTGCTTTCTTCCTAGGATCAGTAGCTCTGGGAGACGCCAACTGTCCTATCTCTAAGGACACTAAGCAGCCCTGAAAGAGGGCACACATGGGAGAACTTAAGGTCTTTCGACAACAACCAGCTCTAACTCACTAGCCATGTGAGTGACCCCCTTGAATGCTGGTCCTCCAGCCCCAGTTGAGTCTTCTGATGAGCCCAAGAAAATACCTTGACTCATGAGAGGCTCTGATCCAGAACCAACCAGCAAAGTCACTCCCAGTGTCCTGACCCACAGAAACTGTATGAGCTGGTAATTTTTTTTAAATTATACTTTAAGTTTTAGGGTACATGTGCACAACGTGCAGGTCATCATTCTCAGCAAACTATCACAAGGACAAAAAACCAAACACCGCGTGTTCTCACTCATAGGTGGAAATTGAACAATGAGAACACATGGTCACAGGAAGGTGAGCTGGTAAGTTTTGAAGTAATTTGTTATGCATAAGTAGATGGTTAATACATTATGTTTGAGCTTTGATGTTAGACTGGACATACTTTTTTATTTTTTTAAAATAACTATAATTGGCATGTAATAATTGTACACATTGTGGAGTATATAGTGATGTTGTGATACATATATAGAGGGTAATTAGCATATGCATCATCTCAAACATTTATCATTTCCTTGTGTTGGGTACATTCAATATCCTTCTAGCTATTTGAAACTACATAATATATTATTGCTAACTTCAGTCATCCTACAGTGCTATAGAATGCTAGAACCTTTTTAAGTAGGAAAATTTTCTCATCCCTTTAACTCCTTTTTGGGGGCATGACCCATTACCCCCTACATTCTTCTTAAGCTGGATGCATACCAATTTAGGAACAGGACGGGGATGGGATGGGGTGGGAGTAGAGATCTTTCTCTTCACCTACTTACTGAACCTTGACTAATAGACTTCTCATCCTGCAGCAAGTCATGTACCTTGCACAGAGTGCAGAAGGTTTATATTTTTATAACATCCCTCAAAGCACAGAAAAGAGATGAATTTCTTAGTATAGTAATGCACAGGAGCTGTACTAAGAGGCAGTCACTCTTGGCAATGTAAAAAGTCTGATGGACTATAGATGTTTGACCCTGAGGCCATACCATCCACAGCATCTCTTTTGTTGTATTTATTCCCTCTACAATTTATTGAATTTTGCTTTCAAGCTACAAAAGCAGTACCTACTTGTTTGAACAATAAAACAACTGTCAGCATATAAAGAAAGTCAACAGTCTCTTCACTTTTCCTCATTCCCAAAGTAATCAGTGTTAACGGTTTATTCTCTACCCTTTTACCCCTTATCTTTCTGCATTAACAAATATAAAGATACCTATTTCCCTTTGTTTCTTTATGTTTACCAAGACTAAACCACACGCATTACTCTGCAATATGCATTTTTCACTTAGAATATGCTATAACTGTCACTTCAGATTAATACACACAGGTTTAACTCATTTTATGTAGCTGCATAATATTCCATAGTAAATATGGAGTATAATTTATTCAACCATTCTCCTGTTAATGGTTGTTTTACATATTTACAATTAAAACATAGTGTGACGATCATTCTTTTAAATATACTTTTACATACTGGGACCTATTAGGTTGTTAGACTTAGTGATTTATGAGTCAATGGGTATTTTTTTTAATTTTATAACAGTGTTCCAAGTAACTTTACAATATTTGTAGCCTTTCACAGTGATATCACCAATATATGAATCCCCATTTCTCCATATTCTTGGAAGGGCTGAAGAGTTCTAAACTTCTGTAACTTGAGGCAAAAATGATATCCCAATACTGTTTGACTTGCACTTCCCTGATTAGATGCTGAGCATCTTCTAATGTGTTTTGGGACACTGGCTATTCTTTCAGTATCCACAAGATTTGCTGAAGAAGACAAGAGAGGATGGATATTTTATTTTATTTTGTTTTTTGAATTTTAAAATTGAGTTGAATAGACTTTATTTTTTAGAACAGTCGTAGGTTCACAACAAAGTTGAGCAGAAAGTACAGAAAGTTCTCACATACCCTCTCCCCACTCCCACATACAGCCTCCCCAACCATCAATATCCAGCACCAGTTACAATCCATGAACCAACATTGATACATCATTATCAACCAAAGTCTAAAATTCTCATTAGCATCCTCTTTGTGTGTTGTACAGACTATGGGTTTTGACAAGTTTACAGAGACATATATCCACCATTATATAATCATACAAAATAGTTTCAAAGCACTGAAAAAAATCACCTCTGCACCACCCATTCATCTTTCTGATGATAGCCCCTGGGGATGTTGTTTATATAACTAAGTCATCTAACACAACCTGTTAAGAGAAAGTTAGATTCTTTCTGAAATGGGTAGATAGATATGGTAGAGATGGCTCCCAATGGCTACAGTGGAACTCTGGACTGATATCCTTCTGTTACCCAGCGTAATGCCTGTGTGACATAGCTGAATTTCTACTCTGCCCTAACTTTGCTGATCTTTAAGAAAAAGAATACCTGCAATAAAAATTTTCCTTTATAGCCAGACCAGCTGAAACTGGTTATAACCAAGAGAGATCAACTTCAAAAAAACCTCAGGTTTCATTATAATCTCATTTCCATGCTAAATGACACTCCTATCAGTGCTGTGACTGTTGACAATCGCCATGGCAATGACCAGAAGCCATAAAACGACAAAAAGGAAGGGAGAACTCTGGTTCCAGGGAGTTCACGGCCCATTTTTGGAAAACACATGAATATTTCTCCCCTTACTTGTAATGTCATTAAATAAACATTCATTAAAGAAATATTATATTTTAGCCCTCTCACCCTTCACTAGTGGAGAAATTGATTTGTGAGCCATGCCCCCACATCTGAATTCTATGGCCATCGAATAAAATTTGCTCTGCTTGATGCTCACTTTTCGTTTTGTATATTGGCTTCATGACAGGAAACAAGGAAAGACTCTATCTTTTGGGGGACCAGCTTTGTCAGTGACACTTCTGCTGAAGACAAGATGAATGATGCAGGCAATGTTGAATGCTACTGGATATCAAAACCTGATAATTTTTAGGGATACAGAAAAGAAGAGAGAAGCTTGAACTGTTGATTCAAGTCCTATTGAGTGGTCACTAAATTCACTCATACTACAAGTTCAGATACGCAGAGAAAATACAAATTCTTTATTGTCTATAGCTGATTGCTTCCTGCCAGGTCTCTAGTCATTGGTTAACAGGAATAAACAAGTGTATTACATAGTTAGTCTTAGTCCTATGCAGTAATTTCTACAGTTCATTTAGATAGTAGCCTCTCATTTGGAGAAAAACACAGTCTCTCAGGTAACCTTCCCCACCCTTGTCTCTCTTCCCAAGATCTTGTTGAAACCAAGGGCTAATCTTTTTAGTCACTTGCTTTTTGTTGATTGTTTTTAACCCATGTAGCTGAAAGCCACACTGCTAAACACTATAACTTAACCTTCATGAGCTCCTTTAGAGATAATGCTTCTGATGTATATGTCACCATGGTAACAATTGCTTAAGTTGTTTTCAGGAACTTGGGGGTCAGCTTTTGTCCAACTTAAACCAGTTAAGACCACTGACCTTTCAACTGGGCCTGCACAAATGCTCAAGAGGTGAGCTTTTGATGTCAAAGAGCCAAAGATTCTTCTCTCAAATCGTGATAACACCACCATTTTCTGAACATGCATCCTATAAGGAGCCATGAACACCAACTACACTTGTACACATCATCAGTTACCTCATTTATCCCTACTGCCAATCACTTTTCTTCATGCTTTAGACCACCTCGCTTCTTTACCCCATGAATATCCCTGAGCCAGCCTTATCTTCAGGGAAGCCGATTTGAGAGCTGTTCTCCTGTCTCCTCTCTGGGTTTCCCTATGAATAAATCTTTCTCTACTGCAAAACTCATTATATCAGTAATTTGCTGTCTGCATGATGGGCAGAATGAGCTTGGTTTTGTATCAATATCGGGTAGTAGTGAGAAGGGTGTGTGGGTGATGCTTCATAGGTGGAGAAAAGAGGAAAAAGTCTCCCTGTCTCTGCGTGTACCCACCGGTCTCCAGATCTCTACTGTTGTCCTCCTGCTGGTTGTAATTCTGTAATGATTAATTTGATATGTCAACTTAACTAGGCCATGATACTCTCATATTTCATCAAATATTATTCTAGTCTAGATATTTTCGTGAAGGTTTTCTTTCTTTCTTTTTTTTTTTTTTGAGATGGAGTCTCACTCTATCACCCAGGCTGGAGTGCAGTGGCGCAACCTCAGTTCACTGCGATGTCCACCTCCCGGATTCAAGCGATTCTGCCTCAGCCTGCTGAGTATCTGGGACTACAGGTGCCCACCACCATGCCGAGCTAATTTTTATATATTTAGTAGAGACAGGGTTTCAGCATGTTGGCTAGACTGGTCTTGAACTCCTGACTTCAGCTGATCCGCCCACCTCGGCCTCTCAAAGTGCTGGGATTACAGGTGTGAGCCACCATGCCCGGCCCTTCGTTAAGGTATTTTTAAGATCAGACTAACATTTAAATCAGTAGACTTTGAGTAAAGCAGATTATCCTTTATAATGTGCGTGGCCTCATCCAATAAGTTGAAAGCTTTAATAAAAAGAGACTGACCTCCCTGAAGAGGAAGGGATTCTGCCAGCAATCCACCTTTAGACTCAAACTGCAACTCCTCCCTGGGTCTCCAGCCTGCTGCCTTACCCTGCAGATTTTGAACTTTCCAGCCTCCCCAATTATATGAGCCCAATTCCTAAAATAAATCTCTCTTTCTTGATAGATATATACATAGATAGATAAAGACAGGGTGATAGTTGCTTCCTTGGACCACCTGTCTTCTGGTTTATCTGGACAAAAAGATACAAACATATACACACACTTATATGTATATACATATGCATATATGTATATACATATGTGTGTATATATATGTGCATGCACACACACACACACACACACACACACTGTAGTCTGTGGCTGGTGAACAGATGATCCACTCTTCTGGCTTGGGTTATTCTTCCATGACATCACCCATATCTTCCTGAGCCAAGGTGTACTCCCAGCTTTGGGTGTTTACCACATCTTCCTGCAGAACCCTTAGCTTGGCAATTCTCTCCTCTTCTCCAGCCTCAGTTGTGTTGTTTACTTTCCTTGCCACAAGTTTCCCAGAAGTCCCATATCTCTTGATCTATTGTCCTTACCTAAAACCGCTGAGAGTGTCTTGGAAATGTCCTTATGCATTCTCTCTTATCTAGGTTGAGCTGCCTTGTTTTGGACTGCAGGCTCCTGCACATCAGATATCTGGAATTCAAAATCAGATCTGAGTCAGGAGCTCTCTGTTCTTAACATTGCCTTTACTTCTCAAATGTTCCCTTCACCCAGTCCGAGCTGAAGACCCACATTTTGAATATAAGACTCTCCTCCCTCACACTGATCTTCTTGTCCCTCAGTGGAAAGGGAGCAGGGTCTTCTTAGACTTCCCTTATTTTTATCTGTTTTGTATATAAAGAATCAATCCTCATGGAATAGCTACTAAAGGTAGAAATACCTTCTTCTCTACACTATAGGAAAACTTTAGAATTTACTTTTCCTCAGGGCTAATTGTTGATAGGTAAGCTATGTATGGGAGGAATGGAGTGCTTCTAAAATAATTTAGCAAATTATTTCATAGCACAGTAATCTAGCTTGTAAAGTTATTTACCTATTGCATCATCTCATTGTGTCAGAAGCCAAGTATTGTCTGGGTCTTCCTTCTTTCATCTCTTCTATAACATTTATTAGCATTTTCCTCACCCCCACTCTATCCCAGATGGAGCCACAGGCCAACTAGGTGAAGGACACAGCCTCAGCATGTCAAAAGAGAAACACTTATATTATGCTCACGGTGTACTCTTCTAAACAGTTATTTATATTAATTTATTTAGTCTTCATAACGGCTCTACAAAGTAGACACTAATACCATTCCTGCACTTGAGGAAACTGGGGTACAGAAAGTTTAAAAGCTTGCCCAAAATCACACGGTTATAAGAAGCTGAGCCAGGACACAAACCCAGACAGTCTGGCTCCAACATCTTTGCTATTAATCACTCCTATAGCTGCTACTATATTCACTGTGAATCATGCTCCTGGAATTTTTGTGCCATACAGCAATCCTATCGGAACGCCAATTGAGAGTGATCTATTCTATCCTAAGCCCCCAGTTCATCTCTGTGTGGCCATTGTGGGTCCAAGTCCCTGGAATGATTTTTCTCTCAGCTTCACACTGGTGAGTCTGTCAGGGAAGGGATTAGCACAAACAGGTGAAATTCCATGCCAAGTCCCAAGCACAACGTCACAAATCACTTTTATCTTCCATGCGCTCTATGAAAGACATCTAAGCCACTTCCCTAAAATGACCTGATAGATTAGGCTTTTGTCACCCAAGTGCCAAGGACTACCTAAGCTTAAGGTATATGGTAGTGAACTAGGAATTTCTGGAGAATATAGCTGAGGAGAGAGGACAGTAAGGCCTCTGATGCTATGAACTGCTCTGGACTCTGGGCATGGCTAGCATGGACGCTCTAGCAGCTAGCTTGGTGCCTGCGCAAACACCCGCCCAAGTTTTGTGCTTGAAACCCAGTGTGTCCGGAATTGGTGGGTTCTTGGTCTCACTGACTTCAAGAATGAAGCCGTGGACCCTCGCGGTGAGTGTTACAGCTCTTAAGGTGGCGCGTCTGGAGTTTGTTCCTTCTGATATTCGGATGTGTTTGGAGTTTCTTCCTTCTGGTAGGTTCGTAGTCTCGCTGGCTTCAGGCGTGAAGCTGCAGACCTTCACAGTGAGTATTACAGCTCTTAAGGCGGACACCTGGAGTTGTTCATTGCGTGGCTGGAGTTGTTCATTCCTCCCGGTGGGCTCGTGGTCTCGCTGGCTTCAAGAGCGAGGCTGCAGACCTTCGTGGTGAGTGTTACATCTCATAAAAGCAGTGTGGACCCAAAGAGTGAGCAATAGCAAGATTTACTGCAAAGAGCAAAACAACAAAGCTTCCACAGTGTGAAAGGGGACCTCAGCGGGTTGCCACTGCTGGCTCCAGGCAGCCTGCTTTTATTCTCTTATCTGGCCCCACCCACGTCCTGCTGATTGGTAGAGCCCAGCGGTTTGTTTTGACAGGGCGCTGATTGGTGCCATTTACAATCCCTGAGCTAGACACAAAGGTTCTCCAAGTCCCCACCAGAATAGCTAGATACGGAGCGTCCATTGGTGCATTCACAAACACTGAGCTAGACACAGGGTGCTGATTGGTGTATTTACAAACCTTGAGCTAGATACAGAGTGCTGATTGGTGTATTTACAATCCCTGAGCTAGACATAAAGGTTCTCCAAGGCCCCACCAGAGTAGCTAGATATAGAGTGTCCATTGGTGCATTCACAAACCCTGAGCTAGACACAGGGTGCTGACTGGTGTATTTACAATCCCTGAGCTAGACACAAAGGTTCCCCACATCCTCACCAGACTCAGGAGCTCAGCTGGCTTCACCCAGTGGATCCCGCACCAGGGCTGCAGATGGAGCTGCCTGCCAGTCCCCCGCCATGCACACGCACTCCTCAGCCCTTGGGTGGTCGATGGGACTGGGTGCCATGGAGCAGGGGGCGGCACTCATTGGGGAGGCTCGGTCGGCACAGGAGCCCACGGAGAGGGTGGGAGGCTCAGGTATGGCGGGCTGCAGGTCCCGAGCCCTGCCCCACGGGAAGGCAGCTAAGGCCCGGCGAGAAATGGAGCGCAGCACAGGTGGGCTGGCACTGCTGGGGGACCCAGTACACCCTCCACATCCGCTGGCCCGGGTGCTGAGCCCCTCATTGCCCGGGGCCGGCAGGGCCGGCCAGCTGCTCCGAGTGCAGGGCCCGCCAAGCCCACGCCCACTCGGAACTCCAGCTGGCCCGCAAGCGCCACGTGCAGCCCTGGTTCCTGGCGCCTCTCCCTCCACACCTCCCTGCAAGCTGAGGGAGCCAGCTCCGGCCTTGGCTGGCCCAGAAAGGGGCTCCCACAGTGCAGCGGTGGGCTGAAGAGCTCCTCAAGTGCTGCCAAAGTGGGAGCCCAGGCAGAGGAGGCGCCGAGAGTGAGCGAGCGAGGGCTGTGAGGACTGCCAGCATGCTGTCACCTCTCACCAGGACCCTGGTAGTGTAGGCTCAGGAGAGACTCTCCTACTCTGTAGATTGCAAAAATCTGTGGGAAAAGCATAGTAGTTCTCGGGGTGGGTAGCACAGTCCCTTACTGCTTCCCTTGGCTGGAGGGAGGGAGGTCCCCTGGCTCCTTGCACTTCCCAGGTGAAGCAACACCCCATCCTGTTTCTGCTTGCTCTCTGTGGGCTGCACCCGCTGCCTAACCAGTCCCAGTGAGATGAACTGGGTACCTCAGTTGGAAATGCAGAAACCACCTGTCTTCTGGGTTGGTCTTGCTGGAAGCTGCAGACAGGAGCTGTTTCTCTTCAGCCATCTTGGCCTGTCCCCCCATACAAATTTTAAATAGGTTTCTTTTTTATGGCTGCAAAGAATGTCATTGGTATTTTTTTTTTTTTTACTTTTTTCTTTTTTAAAAAAATTTTATTATTATTATACTTTAAGTTTTAGGGTACATGTGCACAACGTGCAGGTTTGTTACATATGCATACATTTGCCATGTTGGTGTGCTGCACCCATTAACTCATCATTTAGCATTAGGTATATCTCCTAATGCTATCTCTTCCCCCTCCCCCCACTCCACAACAGTCCCCGGTGTGTGATGTTCCCCTTCCTGTGTCCATGTGTTCTCATTGTTCAATTCCCTTGATAAGAATTGCATTGACTCTGTAAATCACTTGGAATACTATGGACATTTTAACAATATTGATTTTTCCAATCCATACACACACAATATCTTTCCACTTAGTTGTTATCTCTTCAATTTCTTTCATCTCTGTTTTATAGTTTTCATTGTGGCATTCTTTCACCATCTTGATTAAATTTATTCCAAGGTATTTTATTTTTTGTAGCTATTGTAAATGGGATTGCTTTCTTGATTTCTTTTTTAGATTATTCATTATTGGTGTACAGAAATGCTACTGACTTTTGTATACTGATTTTTTATTCTGAAACTGTATTGAATTTGTGTATTAGTTCTAGCAGTTTTTTGGTAGAGTCTCTAGTGTTTTCTACATATAAAATCATGTCCACTGGAAACAGGAATAATTTGACTTCCTCCTTTCCAATTTGTATGCCTTTTTTTTTTCCTTTCTTTTCCCTAATTGCTCTGGCTAAGACTTCCAGTACTAAGGTGAACAGGAGTAGCAAAAGCTGGTATTATTTCCTATCCTAGATTTTAGGGGGAAAGCTTTCTACTTTTCCTAATTTAGTATGGTGTTAATGTGGATTTGTCATATATAGCCTTTATTGTGTTGAGATATGTTCCTTTTATATCTAAGTTACTGAGAGTTTTTATCATGAAAGGATGTTGAATTTTATCAAATGCTTTTTCTGTATCCACTAAAGTGACAGTTTTTCTCCTTGATTCTGTTAATATCATGCATCATGTTTATTGATTTGTGTGTGTTGAATCATCCTTGCATGCCTGAAATGAATTCCACTTGAGTATAGTGAATGATCTTTTTAATGTGTTGTTGAATTCAATCTGCTAGTATTTTGTGGAGTATTTTTGTATGTATGTTCATCAGAGAAATTTGCCTGTAGTTTTCCTTTTTTGTTGCTGTTGTGTCTTTGTCTGGTTTTGGTACCAAGGGATGCTGGTCTTATACAATAAATTTTGTATTTTCTTTAATATTTTAGAATAGTTTGAAAAGTATTTGTATTGGTTCTTCTTTAACTGTTTGGTAGAATTTAGCACTGAAATCATCAGCTCCTGGACTTTTCTTTGGTGGGAAACCTTTTATTTCTGAATCAATCTTCTTACTCATTATTGATCTGTTCAGAATTTTTATTTCTTCATGATTCAATTTTAGTAGGTTGTATGTGTCTAGGAATTTATCAATTTCTGTTAATGGTTTTCCAATTTATAGGCATATAGTTGTTTATAATAATCTCTAACAATCCTTTGTATTTCTTTGATATCAGTTGTGATGTCTACTTTTTCATCTTTAACTTTATTTATTTTAATCTTCTCTCTTTCTTACTTGGTCTAGCTAAAGGTATGTCTGTTTTGTTTATCATTTAAAAACTCTTTGTTTTATTGATCTTTTGTAATTTTATAGTGTAATTTATTATTTCTTTTCTTTTAATATTTTTGGGTTTAGTTTGTTCTTGTTTTTCTAATTCCTCAGGTGCAACATTATGTGGTTTATTTGATATCTTTCAAATTTTTGGTGTATGCATTTATTGCTATAAGTTTTCCTCAAATAACTGCCTTTGCTGTATCTAATAGCCTTTGGTATGTTGTATTTTCATTTTCATTGTTTGAAGAAAATTTTAATTTCCTTTTTAATATCTTAACTGACCCATTTGTTATTCAGGACTCTATTGTTTAATTTTTGTATACGTTGCTTGTTTTCAAGATTCCTCCTGTTATTAATTTCAGATTTTATCCCACTGTGGTCAGAAAAGATGCTTGATATGATTAAGATATTTTTACATTTTTTTGAGACTTGTTTTATGGCCTAACATGTGATCTGTCCTGGAGGACATTCCATGTGCTGATGAAGACTGGATTTTATAGCTGTTGGGTGGAATATTCTGTAAAAGTTTCTTAGATTCATTTTATATAGAGTCCATTTGAAATCCAATGTTTCTTTACTGATTTTCTTTCTAAATGATCTGTCCATTGCTAAGCATGGGGTGCTTAAGTCCCCTACTATTATTAAATGTTACAGTTTATCTCTCTAATTAGATTTATAACATATGCATTATATATTTGACTATCCAAGTGTCAGATGCATATAAATTTATAGTTGTTATGTCCCCTAGTTGAATTGACACCTTTATAACCATCTTTGCATCTTTTTACTTTTTTAACTTAATGTCTAGATCTAAGTATAACTACTTTTGCTCTCTTTTGGCTTTCATTTGCATGAAATATCTCTTATCCCGTTTCCATAGAATATCCTTTTTCATCCCTTTACTTTCAGTGTATGTGTGTCCTACAGGTAAAATGACTCATTTGCAGGCAGCATCTAAATGGGTCTTTTTTTCTTTTTTATCAATTCACTCACTCTATATCATTTAATTGGATAACTTAATCAGTTTACATTCAAGGTTATTACTGATAGGTAAAAACTTACTACTGTCATTCTGCTAGTTATTTTCTGGTTATTTTATAGATCTTTTGTTCTTCTCCCTCTCTTGTTGTTTACCTTTGTGGTTTAGTGATTTCTTTAGTGATAAGTTTTGTTTCCTTTCTCTTTTTCATATGTGTATCTGCTGTAATTTTTTAAATTACTCTGGGTTTACATAAAACATTACAGCTATAAAATACCATTATAAGTTGGTAACAACTTAGCTTTGGTCACATACAAATATTCTAGACTTTTACCCTCTTCCCCACAATTTTTCATTTTGTTGCCTTAATTAAAATCTTTCTATGTTGTGTATTTCTTAACAGTGTATTTAGTTTTGGTAATTGTAGATGATTTTTAACCTTCATACTAGACATTTGAAAGATTTACATACCACTATCACAGTAATGCAGTATTCTGAATTTGATTATGAGCTTTTCTCTCAGTGAGTTTTATATTCTGTGATTTAATGGTAATAAAGTCCTTTCACTTCCAGTTAAAGCATTCCCTTAATCATTTGTTGTAAGGTCAGTATAGCAGTAATATGGTTTGCCTGTGTCCCCACCCAAATATCATCTTAAATTCCCATGTGTCGTGGGAGGGACCCAGTGGGATGTAATTGAATCATGGGGACAGGTTTTTCAGCAGTATCACTTATTCATGATAGTGAATATGTCTCACAAGATCTGATGGTACTATAAGGGGGAGTTTCCCTGCACAAGCTCTCTCTCTTTGCCTGCTGCCATCCATGTAAGATGTGAGTTGCTCCTCCTTGCCTTCCACCATGATTGTGAGGCCTCTCCAGACATGTGGAACTGTAAGTCCATTGAACATCTTTCTTTTGGAAATTTCCCAGTCTCAGGTAATGTCTTTATCAGCAGCATGAGAACAGACTAATACAAGCAGTGATACATTTCCATAGCTTTTACTTGTCTGGAATTTTGTGTCTTCATTTTTGAAAGATAGCTTTGCTGAGTATAGTATTTTTAGATGATGATTTTTTTCTTTTAGCACTTTGAGTAGGTCATCCTATTCATGATCCTATTCTCTCCTGGCCTGCAAGGTTTCTTCTGAAAAATCTGCTTATAGTCTAATGGTGGTTCACTTACATATTGACTTGATGTGTTTATAATTCTTTTTGTCTTTGACTTTTGATAGTTTAATTATAATGTACCTTGGAGAGGATCTCTTTGAGTTGAATCTAATTAGGATCCTTTAAGCTACATGTATCTGCATATTCATATCTCTCCCAAAACATGAGACATTTTCAGCTATTATTTCGTTCGATAAGTTTTCTATGCCTTTCTCCATCTGTTCTTCCTATGAAAATCACATAATGCAAACATTTGTTCATTTAATGGTTGGTGTCCAAAAGGCCTCATCGGATTATTTTTGCTATTTTTCATTCTTTTTTCTTTTTTTCCCCTGACTGGGTTATTCAAGAGACTGGTCTTCAAGTTCAAAAATTCTTTCTTCTGCTTGATCTTAGACTGCTGTTGAAGCTTTTAAGGGTATTTTTATTTCATTTACTGAAGACCTCAACTCCAAGATTTCTAAGTTTTTTTTAATGATATCTATCTCTTTGTTGAGTTTCTCCATCAAATCATGATTTATTTTCTTGATTTTATTTTATTTTCTATCTGTATTCTCTTACATCTTCCTGAGTTTTCTTAAGAACATTATTTTGCATTTTTTTCAGGTAATTTGTAAATTTCCATTGCTTGAGGTCAGTTACTGCAGATTTCTATTCCCTTGGTGATGTCATGTTTCTTTGCTTTTTTGTATTTTTTGTGTCCCTATGTTGATATCTGTGCATCTTGTGGAATGGTCACTTCTTTCAATTTTATACAGTGGCTACCACAGGGAAAGAGTTTTGGCTGCAGATGTGTCCTAGGGTATTGTTTGAATAGGGTGCATTGGCTTTGGCTCCATGTGGGCTCAGAAGTATAGTCTCCATGCAGTTCCTTTAACTGTAGTCAATGTCAGCATGCCTTCAAATACCTTAGAAGCCTAGGCTGCAGGAGTTTGTGCAGCTGTTCCACTAAATTGGGTGTAGCCACCCCACTAGCGGGTGGGGGGGTACCAGGCCATCCTGCATGGGTGCATAGAGGCTGCTCTGCTGGGGTCACTCCCAGCCTCCCTACTGGAGTCAAAAACAGCAGTCTGTTTTATCAGTGCTTGAGGTCAGCTGGACCAGGGTTGGGCATGTCCTATTTACTGGGGAAAGGGACATGAGGCTGCTTCACCAGGGTCAGGCAATGCCTCTTTCCTAGGCATGACTATCTGTTCTTTGGACAGTGGGGCATCAGCTGGGCCTGGGTTCCACAGTTACAGCTGTACTGCTGGGCCTACACTGCAAGTAAATGAGGTTGGCATGCTACAGTCACTGGGATGGAAAAGTTGAAGTGCCTCCTAGGCACTTTATTCTTAAGGGGTATGGGGCTATGGCTACTTGACTAGGAATAGTGCACTACCATGTATGGGCATGGTGTAGTGGTGGTGGAGCCTTGGGGATGGGGAGATGCAGTGGCTACTGGCCGTGGAACATGATGTACTGGAGAAGTGACTTCAGTCTTAAGATGGCACTTTAGGGTAGCAGCTTAGATCATGGAGGAGGGAGCATAATGTGGGCTGCTTCTTTGAGGTAATATGGCCATGTGAACTCCAGGCAGTTTCCTTGACCGGTCTGGGGGTCTTTGCAGACTGCAGAGTTCTCCAGCAGCAAAGACTGCAGTAAGTGTCCGTGGCTTTAATTGGAGCACTTGGGGGTCTCCCATTCACTTTTTCCCAGTAGGAAGAGTCCATCCTGATTCTAAGCTGATCCTAATTGGGGAGATGGGGTGGCAAAGACAGGGTATTTTGTTGCCTTTTTAGTGCAGCCATCTCAAATCTCCATGCCTCACAGGGTCTCTGTCATTCCCCTGTTTTACTCAAGCACTCTCCTTCAGATACTGTCATTGAAATGTGATTGTTTATTGTTTTGGTCCTTTTTTGTGCAGAGACAAGCATTAGGCAGCACTAACCAGCCATCCTGCTGATGTCACTCCCTTCTATTTCCTTCCCTAGAAATTCTCAATGTGAGGATTTCATCACAAGGCCTTTTGTGAAGGCTTTACCTCTATCCATCTTAAGAATTTCTCAGTAAACACAAACGGCTAAAACAAAAAACAAGCCTCTTCCCTTTAAGTGTACAACCTAGTAGATCCACATCTCTTCCATTTACATTGACCTGTTGGATATAACGTGATCATATGGCATCTGTTGTTTTTAGGGTTTCCAAGTGAGATAATGGTGGATCACTAAGAGTCTCTTACACATTCACTAAACCGGTGATGGTTCTTAATATAGGCTGTCCACACATTGATGAATGTGCGAAATGATTCATTGGACTGGGAAGAAAATACTTAACATTTTATTTATTTGTATCTATAACATAATAAATATAAGGTTTACAGATATGTAATGTGCATATTGGCAATGATACACTCAGAGCCTATTTGAGATGGATTCATTTCACATACAGTACACATGCTTTCCTGAGTGTGAATCTATGGCCCAGGGCCATTAACAGTAGGGAACCTCACACATTATGCACTTTCAGCATATTGAATATTAAGACAAAAATAATGTACATGTATCTGTCTACATAAGTTTACAGATGATCTTATCTAGTTTTTATTACATTAACCATCATAAAAGGAATGAGGGGCTTAAAAAGATTCCTGTGAGAAATTGCAAATTAAAGAGACTCTTCATAAAGCAAGCACAAGCAAACAACCAAAAAGTGGAAGTCCTATTACTTTTCCTGCTAGAACAATCTCTTTATCGGCTACACTGTGAGCTGAAACAATTACACATTTACTTCCATTATTATTAATGATGAACTTTGCCTTGATGATATATAGTGATGTAAGAGACTAGCTAAAATTGATAAAAAATTAATATTATATATTTCAAATTTAACTCAACTATTTAAATGTTTTATTTTTGTGTTTTTAAATGCACAGATTAGTATAATCAACTATGTATAACTTACAAATAAATGAATTTGTAACTAAGAGATGAATTCAAAAAATTGTAAAGAAAATTGTGAATGTTTAAAAAATAAGTTTGAAGACCACTGCACTACACCCATCCCAGTCTCTGTCTTAGGAATGTAATGAGAGTTACGTTATAAAACTGCCAGCTTCCTTCAATAGGGAAAATGGTTATGACATGTGTCTTTTCCCTCTTCTTGAGAAGAGGGAAAGGAGCTGGCATTCAATAGAAAATAATGAAGAAGAGGTATTAGAGAAGAGAATGATGGAAAAAAATCAATCTTCCACCACAGGAAGAACATATAAGATAATATTTCAAGTTAAGGTAAGTGAGCAAAGACAAGTCAGTTCCTGGTTAAGGTACCGGGTAAAAAAGAAAAGACCACCAAAAGAACAAGGGTGAGGCTGTCTCCACCAGAGAACTGATTTATGGACTGTACAAACATTAGAAGGGCCCTTCTTTTTCTGTTGGTGGATCTCTGCATGTGCTGAAGGCTGAGCTGCATTATAAGCTCAGCTCCACTAGCTGGGGGAAAGAACACCGTTGCTACAATTCTGCTCCATAATAGCCTTTCTGGGAATGCTGTCTTCCAGTTAGCCCAGTAAACCAGAGCAGAGCTGTCTTTCTCTCCAGGGAGCCATGTGGGCCACAGCTTATCTCTTCTCCTGCCTGGATCCCCCAGAGTTTTTTCCAGGGGCAGAGGAAGTTTGCATGAGACATGCTGATGCTCTCAGGTTTTGTCCTCTCTTGGGAACTTTGTAGACTTCATGTCACCAGCCCCCTCCACTGGAAGCACTAAGTTTCTCCTTGTCCTAGGTGCTGAGGGTTCTCAAGAGAGGTAGAGCCCTTTATTTTTCTGAGCCAGAGGAGCGAGATTTCCAGCTATGAAGGAAAGCAAAAACTTTATTCCTAATGATGTTAGTAGCTGGGGCCTTCTCCATACCTCCTAGTTTCTGAACTCTCTGTGCTGCTGAAAAACAAAGACAATGCAAAGTCAGGTCCTAGTTCATCTAAAGAGATCAATGCTGCTCTTACATCATTTCTACGATAAAATTATGTCAATAAGAACAGTTTCTTCTCAGTCCACTCCATATTCTCAGCCTTCAGCAAGACAAACACCATGCACTGACATATGAGGCATAATGTTCCTTCTCTCCAAATCAGACAAATGTTAGAAAAGAATTGCAGTGAATTAGAAAAAAAAGAATGAAATCTAAGACCACTATCCTATTCTCTGGCTTCTTCCCCCTCCCTTGCATGCAGCCACGTATTCAAAGACAATTTCATCCCGTATCTTAAAAATCCCATTGCTCACCACAGGCAGTTTCACCCTTTAGTTCTTTCTTACATTTTACAAATTCGAGCTATCTGACTCCTCTGTTCAGTCATTTTAGGCTCTGAAGGGGCTTTTATCAAATAAAACCTAGTATGAAAAAATGAAATAGGAGCTGGAATGTCCAGGCTGACATTATTCTTTCCAAAATATCACTAATGGATAGAATTATTTCTCCAATAATGCAGCCAACTTCGTGCAGTTAAGAGGAATGTCTTTTTATAGAAATTCTCTATTTCTATCTCCTGCCCACACCTCTCCAAGGACAGTACTACTTCAACTCCCAGGGAAGACCTCCCTTTCTGGGATAGAAAGTTAATTCTTCCTTGTTGGAGACCCTCAGAACAAGCATTCAAGCAGATCAACCACATCCACATACAGAATTAAGCCTATAAGGGCCAAATGCTCTACCCCTAAAAGAGATTCTAGAGCAGTGAAAAGTAACTTTAAAATTTCATTGATCAGTAAAATTTCCCATTTTTAAAATTTCGCCAAGTAATTTTTTAAAAATCTGTCATTATTACTGCTTTATTAAATTAACAATATTTTATATCACCAAACTACCAAGGCATCATTGTAGGGACATTTCTTTAATTTAGTGTTTTATTTAAATAGGTTTATCATTATTTTTCAAATTTACCATATAGCCCTTTATTTCTTTTTTTTCCCCCTCAAGCTAGGGAAAAATAGTGGAAATTTGACAAATACAAGTCTTTGTGCTATCCATTGGGCTAAAGGAGAGTAGCAGAGAGCAAGCAGCTTCCAGGAGAAGTTTATTCTGTTACGTGTTAAAGGTGAAAGACAGGGAAAAGAAGCTGACATGATCATTCTGGGCTCGAAGGACACATTTTTACAGGCTTTTAACCCATAGGATGTAAACTTTTTTTATTATACTTTAGTTCTAGGGTACATGTGCACAACGTGCAGGTTTGATACACAGGTATACATGTGCCATTTTGAAGATGAAACTATGTCTTGCAATTCTTCAGATTCCCATGGTGTCAAACAAAGAACGTGTGGGCAGTACAAACATAATAATATTTTTATTTTATTAGGTATTGCTTGCTTTAATTGATTTTTACAATTTGTCTCACTTATTCAATACTTAACATACATTTATTTGCACACTTATTTTTCTTCTGTTGTGCAATCTTGTGTACTTTAACTAAAAATTAAGCCCCTAAAAATGGATAACTTTATTTTTTATATAGTTGGGTAGCAGATATAAACCTCAGTCTATGAATATACGGATACAATAAAATTTACTTTTTCTTCTCTTTTTTGAGACAGAGTCTCACTCTGTCGCCCAGGCTGGAGTGCAGTGGCTCGATCTCAGCTCACTGCAACCTCCGCCTCCCGGGTTCAAGCAATTCTCCTGCCTCAGCCTCCTGAGTAGCTGGGATTACAGGTACCCGCCACCACACCCAGCTAATTTTTGTATCTTTAGTAGAGATGGGGTTTTACCATGTTGGTCAGGCTGGTCTCGAACCCCTGACCTTGTGATCCACCCATCCTGGACTCCCAAAGTGCTGGGATTACAGGTGTGAGCCACCGTGCCTGGCCTAAAATTTACTTTTTCTGTATTTTGGCCTATATTTTTCCTTTTTTATTGATACACATAGTAATACATATTTATGGGGGTACATGCGATATTTTGATAACTACTATGTGTAATGGTCAAATTAGGGTAATTGGGATATTTATCACCGCAAACCTTTATCATTTCTTTGTGTTGGGAACATTCGAAGTTTCTTTGCTAGCTATTTAAAAATATACAATAAATTCTTGTCACCCTGATGGGTTAACAAACACTAAAATTTATTCCTTCTAATGGTATTTTTGTATCCATTCACCAATCTCTCTTCATTCTCCCCTCTCTCCAGGCCTTTCCAGCCGCTGATAATCACCACTCTACTTACTATCTCCATGATATATATTTTTAGTTCCCACGTATGAGTTAGAACATGTGATATTTGTCTTTCTGTGCCTGGCTTACTTCCTCTAACATAATATCTTCCAGATTCATCCATGTTGTCACAAATGACAGGATTTCATTTTTATGGCTAAACTGTAGTCCATTATGTATATATCCTACATTTTCTTTATCCATTCATCCATAGATGAACATGTAGGTTAATTCCATATCTTGAGTATTGTGAATAGTGCTGCAATAAACATGGAAGTGCAGATATTTCTTCAATATACTGATTTCCTTTTTTTAAGTGTATACTCAGCAGCAAAATTGCTAGATCATATGGTAGTTTCTATTTTTAGTTTTATGAGGAACTTCTATATTGCTTTTCATACTTGCAGTACTAATTTACTTTTCTACCAACAGTGTATGAACATTCCATTTTCTGCACATCCTCACTGGTATCATTATTTTCAGTCTTTTTGATAATAGCCATTTTAACTGGCTATATCATTTTAACTGGTCATTTCATTGCAGTTTTGATTGCATTTTCCTGATGATTAGTGATATTGAGCATTTTAAAATATATATTTTGGTCATTTGCATCTTTTCTTTTGATAAATGTATATTCAGGTCTTCCTCCCCCTTTTAAATCAGATTATTTGGGATTATTTTTGCAATTGAGATGTTTGAGTCTCTTGTTTCTTTTCTCTTGATGCTTTTAGGACCCTCTCTTTGTCCTTGACCTTTTGAGAGTTCGAATGTTATATGCCTTGGAGTATCGTTTTTGAGTTTAAGCTGCCTGGTGATCTTTGACATTCTTGTGCTTGGATCTCTATATGTTTCTCTAGGCTTGGAGTTTCTCCATTATTATCTCTTTGATTGAACATTCTACCACTATCTCTTTCTCCACTCCCTTTTTAAGACCAATGACACTTAGATTATTTTTGAGGCTATTTTTTAGATCTCACAAGCATTTTTCATTTTTTCCTTTCTTCTCTGATGGTGTGCCTTCAAATAGCCCGTCTTTGAACTCTTTTTTCTGCTTGATAAATTCTGTTGTTGGGACACTCTGATGCATTTTTTAGTTTGCCAACTGTATTTTTCAGCTCCAGGATATCTGGGTGTTTTTTTAAATTATTGCTTCAATCAAGAGATTTTTAAATTTATCTAATAAATTTCTAAATTGTTTCCCTGTTTTCTTAAAGTTTATTGAGCTTCCTCAAAACAACGATTTTGAATTCACTTTCTGAGAGATCACACATTGTCACATTGTCTTCACTTTAGGATGTCACTGGTGACTTCTTTAGAACATTTGTTGAGGTTATATTTCCCTGAATGTTCTTGATGCAGGTGAACATGCATCAGCGCCTGATGTTCTAGTTCTTACAAAGGTGCTTTCTTGTGTGAATAGTTGTTCAGATGATTTTACTAAAGGAGGACAATTGCTCAAAGATTCTACTCAACCATCTTCTTCACCCCCCTTCTACAAACCTGATCTATTCTTTTTTTTTTTTTGAGCCTCTGTCCCATTGAGCTTTGAAAAAATATAGCCTCACTTTACTAGGGATTCCCCTTCTGTTCCCTAAGTTGTACCAGTTTTTCAGAGTCTTGTGAATATTCAACAGCACAACACTCCTATAGGAGTGGCCCTATAGGAATTGGGTCGTCTGTCCACACAGGTAATCAACTGAAAGATGTCCATTATCTTTATCAGCTTCATTTTCAGATCCAGTAGTTCTCTCTGCTGCTTTCATGCCACACCTGGGACATGAAATTATAGTGGAAGTATTTGACACAATTATCAGAAGCTGATAGAATAGTTAAATGAAAAATTGTATGGAGACAAAAAGTTTAAACAACTCATTAACAAACTTGATTGAATTTATATATACATGTATATAGATACAGATGTCACTACTCACCAACTGTTGAATACACACTCTTTTCAAGTGCATACAAAACATTTTTTAAACTTGACTATATGCTAGGTCATAAAGCAATTCTCGAAAAATTTCAAAGAATTAAAATCATGTAGTGTATATTTCCTGACTTATAATTAAGCCAGAAACCCAAATCTGTTAAAAAATTATTTTTAAAATTTTAAATATATTTTTAACAAACAGCAGGTGAGAAATAAATCTCAGTGGACATTAAAAAATAATTTATCTGGATGATAATAAAGATAAGCCATGTAAAAACTTGTCAAATATTGCTACAGCAGTGATTATAGAGCAGTATACAGCTTTAAATGCACATCTTAGAAAAGAAGATAAAAATCAAGCAATTAAGCATTTGTAACTTAAATCAAACTAAGGATCTATAATTCAATAAATTAAGGCAAGAATTTGTCAAATAGAAAAGAATAGAGAAGATCAATAAAGCAAAAAGTTTGTAATTTGGAGAAACCAATGAAGTTAATATTCCCCTACCTAGACAGATCAAGAAATAAAGCAAGCACAAAGAACAAATATCATGAACCTATGGGCATGTGAAATCATAAGAAGATATTACAGATAATTTTATATCAAATATTTGAAAAGTTTTAGATAAAATAAACCTAAAAATATAACTCATAAAATCAAACACAAAAAAACTGAGAATCTAAATAAACATATTAAAGAAATTGAATTTATACTTTTAAATCTTTGTATAAAGACAACACCTGGATCAGATCAGATGATCGCTGTTAAGCACCAATCTTACAAAAATTGCTCCAGAGAATAAAAATGAGGGAACTTTTCCCAATTTATTTAGTAAAAGCATAGCCTGATAGCAAAATCTGACAAGGACAGTAGTAGTATTTAAACCTGGTTATTCATCACAATTGTGTTGGATTTACTCCAAGGATTAAAGCTGGGGTTAACATTTTTAAATCAATACATTTATTTCACCACAACTGCAAAAATAAGAAAAGCACGTCATCATCTCAATCTATGTAGAAAAAGACTTTCATGAAATTCGGCATCCATTCATAATGAAACTCTCAGCAAACTAATCCCAGAAAAAAATGCTGCCAATACATTTTAGAGCATGGATTTATTTAGTCACATCATTCTGGCTGTTCAAAATATATTTTCAGTTACTCTTTAATTCTCTGCTGCTCAGGGTAATAAAGAACTGATTAATGAAGATCTTAATAACTATACACAAAGCCCTCTGTTTAGGAAAAAAAATCATTTTACAAGCTTAACAAAGCATTTAAAAATTAAATTTTGCAGGCAACTTGAAGCATAAGCAATGCAAAAGTAGTAGCAGAAACGTAAGGAAAGTAAGCTGATAATGATCCAATTCAAATGCCAATCATATTTATTTCTGAGTTCTTAGATGGGGCTCGGTGATAAAAAACATTTTACTCTAGAGTTCAGAAGTGAACTCTTTTCCATTGCTCTAGAATATCAGGATGGCAGATGTACCTCACTTATACACACACACGTAAAAGAATCTCTGATAGCCAGATTACTTCCACAAAGAACTGGTCCTTGTGGAACCCATTTCCATAGAAATCCTACTCGTGTCCCAGGACTGTCTTGGAATGAGCCCACAAAATATCCCTGCTATAGACCTTGCCTCGCCATGCCTTTCTATTGACCCAGGGTCCAGCAATGCCTCAGGAGGACTCCTAAAGCTAGTAGCAGTGAGCGCTAGGGTGGTTAAATATTCAATGATTTGGAGAGCAACATTTTAACCCCACTGTACAAACTGTATTTTTTTAATTCTCAACTTAACTAGAACTAATTCACTGTCTTTGTACTAGGTTTTAAAGAAATGGAGCCTGCAGGTAAGGGTGAAGCTAAAGAAGGCTCAAGAACAAAGTAAATGTCTGCAGAAGTTTCTCTAGCTGTAGAACCAAGCTCACATAGTAAGTAGTAGATTCTCTAAGAAACAAGAACTTATTCTTATGCATGCCCAAGAAAAAGAAAAGAAGAAAAATATTTACCCAACAAAATGTTAGGTAAGAAAAAAGCAGATTGAACCCTTTTATTAGCAGTTTTTTTTCCCACTTTTCCCACATGCCCTCCAGCCCACCCCACTACCTCTCCTATATGTCTGAGCAAAGTCCAATGCCAGCAGCAAGTGTGAGCAGGCTACACAACACCCTCACAAAGTGCTAAGTGTCTCACTAGTTAGGGGAGCTTCTGCCACAGAGCTCAGACCATTTACAGTTTACCTACATAGGGTAGGAGGTGGAGGGTGTTGAAGAGAATCAATAATTTGGATTTTTCACTTCTTCACATATCTATGTGTCTTGAGTCTGAGCTTCAGAAAGGTAGAAAGAGAATGACCTTTGGCTGAGAAATCAGTGATAGTTAATTATTAAAACTACCAGTTACTGTTTGCCTCCCAACCTTTGTGGCCCAGATTCCAGTAATGAGAAGATCCAGAAGCATTTGAAAGTATTCATGTCAATGAACAGCCAAAGTAGAGAAAAGATGTATACAGCCAACATCTTCATGCCCCAGGAGCCCAAGTTTGGAGATCTTTGTTTCATTCTCAAAGGACAGCTCTACTTATCCTTCCAATGATCACTGCCAAGTTCTCTTTAGCCATGGTAAGGTCTCCATTAACTCTGGCCTTGTGGTCTAAAGGACAAATCCTTAGAGTATGTATGTTGACTTCTCTCACATTGATTAGAACAGTAGTTCCCAGAACAATGACAATGTGCTCCATCTTCCTCCCTCCCTCCCTCCCTCCCTTCCTTCCTTCCTTCCTTCGTTCCTTGTGCTTTTTGAATATTCACTATGAGCATTGCACAGGCCCAACCTTATTCATCACCCTCACTTTCAGCAGATTGCATCACCTTCTCTTTTATAGAGATCTAAGGAGCCTTTCCACTCAGAACCCAAAACCCCACAGTGTAACCCTCTCTCTCTGGCCTAGTATCCTCTGGAAAAAAAAGTGTCCCTATTGCTGCACAAATTCTGGAGCTAAGGACAAACACCTTCACAAATAATTCCTGTTTCACGTGATGCAGTCTGAAGAGGATGTGGAAAATGCTGATAGATAATGCTATGGAGTCAGTGTCATTTAGGGAAAAAAATCACTCAACTGCTGATTCTGGAAATATTATTCTCTATAATCTTAACTTTAATCATTTAAGTTTAACCCGGTTCCTTTCTATTCTCAAGTTTAAAACCTTGCTATTATAAAACAATAAAGGTTTATCAGTGTCTACCTAAACCAATAAAGGTTTATCAGTGTCTACCTAGCACAATTTACATTTGATAGGTACGCAGCATATTTCTTAGGGAAACAGATATCTCCTCAGTGCAACCACATTTTGTTTATTTTCTAATAAAAATTTTTTACATTTAAAAATAAAAAATATATATCTATCATTATTATTGTAATCCTGTGACTAAAGTCACAGTGGTTCTTAGAGATTATTGTTTCCTCCTCTTCTCAATACATCAGAATTCCTTCCACTATTGTCATGAGAATTTGGAATTGTAGTAAAAATTTGGAGGTCAATTGCAGTAGATTCCTAGAAAAATATTTTATAACTCTCAAAATTCAACAGTAAGAAAGCAAACAATCTAATTGAAAATAGGCAAAAAACACATTAATACTATGGAATATTGATCAGCAATATAAATGAATGAACTATTGATATATGCAAAACTTGGATGGCTCTTACATTGAGTTTGTTTTTCTCCATCTAGCTTTTTAAGATAGAAAGATAGATCACTGATTTTATCCCATTCCTCTAATCTTATATAAAAATGCAATGCTATGATTTCTCCCTAAGCTCTACTTTAACAGCATCATGACAATTTTTTAAATTTTCATTTAATTTAAAATACTCTCTAAACTTTCTTTTGATTTCTTCTCTGACTCATGGGTTATTTAAAAGTGTGGTGTTTAATTTTTAAACACTCAGGTATTTTATACATATATTTATGTTATAGTAGAAGATACTCTGTATTATACTCCTTTTTAATGTATTTTAAAGGATTTAGACTTATTTTAAATTCCAGCAAATGGTTTCTCTTGACGATTGACCCATGAACACTTGAAAGGAAGGTGTATTCTGCCACTTTAAAATGAAGTGCTTTATAAACAACAAAGAGCTCAAGTTAGCTAAAACTGTAGGTATCCTTTTTTTATTCTTCAACATTTTCTTCCTTTTTCTTCAATTCTTTTTATTTTTTTCTTTAATTTTATTGACTTTATGTCTACTTGTTACAATTATTGAGGGAGAAGTATTAAACTATCAATATAGCACAATGTAATTGTGAGATTGTCAATTTTTCCTTTCAGTTTTATCAGTTTCTGTTTTATTTATTTTGAAACTCTGGTATTAAGTGCATAGATATGTTATATTGTTATGTCTTCTTCATTCTTGATGTCTTTTATCATTTTGGAATGATAATATTTATGATAATTTTCTTGTCATACTACTCCTATTTATCCATGATAATGTTCTTTATTCTGGAGTCTACTTTGTCTGACATATCATATGAAACCTATGATGCTTACTGTTTTGCATGGCATACATTTTCCATCCATTTACTTTTATCTATTTGGTATTTATAATTAAAGTGCACTTCATACAAACATCATATAAGAGGTACTGCTTTTTAAATTCAGTTTGGCAAACTTTGACTTCTAATTGAGATGTTTAGTCTACTAGGTTCAATTGCTAATATGTTGCTAATATGGTTGGGTTTAAGTCTCCCGTATGGCTATTTATTTTCTATTTTATTTATTTGTTTTTCCTGTAGTCCTCCTTTCCTGCTTTGTTTTGCATTAATCATGTATTTTTAGTGTTATATTGTACCTGTTAGATTGGCTTTTTCAGCCCCTCCATCCCCTCTTCCTCCTCCCTATTTTTCTTCATCATTGATCTATGATTTATATTGTGGACATTTAAGTTTCCAAAGTCTATCCTTAATTCACATTATATCATTTAAACATAATACAAGAAAATTAAACAGTTTGATGCCGTTTACTCATTCCTCTTCTTTGTGCTGTTTGTAATTCATTTTATTTCTACCTATATCAAAACCCTGGAGTTCACCATTAAGTATAATTATGACTTATTTTAAAGGACAACAAATTGTACAAATCTAAAACAAATCAATCATTATGCTTATGATAATAGCTGGCAGTTGAGAAGATTCTTTCCTATTTCTAGGTTGCCAGAAGTTTTTTCGTGAATGAAGGCTAAATTTTGCCAATTTTTTTTCCTGAATCAATTTTCAGTTAATCACATGACTTTTCCTATATACAGCAAATTGTATTAACTGATTTTTAAATGTTAAACCAACCTTTTATTCCTGGGGTAAATTTTACTTGTTTATATGACCCATTTTAATTATTGTTGGGTTTTATTTACTAGCATTTTGTTAAAGAGCTTTGCATCTGTATTTATGAGGGAGGTTTTTCTTTAGTTTTTCTTTTTTTATGTTGTGCATGAAGACTTTGTCTGATTTTGATATCAGAATAAAGCTGGCCTTATAAAACTAAATGGAAAGTATTTTCACTTCCTTTTTAATCAGAAAGTTTGTGATGAATTAGTACATGTTCTTCCTTAAATCTTTTATAGAATTTACTAGTGATGTCATTGAGCCTGGCACATTCTTTGTGGGAAAATTTAATTTAATTTAATTAATTTAATGGATATATGGCCATTCAGATTTTCCATTTCTTATATTTTCTTGAGTAAAATTTTATCACCTGTGACTTTTGAAGAATCATTCACTTCTTAAAAGTGGTGGAATTTATTGGCACAAGTTCTTCATGATATTCCTGTTTTAATCTTCTTATATTTACAGAATTTATAGTTGGAGTCCCTCATTAATTATGTCTTCCTCTCTTTCTTGGCTCATCTAACTAGAAGTTTATCACATTTATTTATCTATTTATTTATTTATTTATTTATTTATTTATTTATTTATTGTACTTTAAGTTTTAGGGTACTTTTTAAAAACCTTTTGGGCTTTTTGACTTTATTTTTGTTTGCTTTTCATTTCATTGATTTCAGTTCTCCTCTCTGTTATCTTATTCTATCCAATTTGGCTTCAATTTTTCTTTTAGCCTCTTAAAATGCTTAATCATTGAATTTGGACATTTCTTATTTACCAACATAAGCCTTAGAAACTACAGATTTCTGTCTAAGAACTGCTTGATGTTTTTTCTACAAATCACTAAAGCACAGTTGATTGTTTTCCAATATTTTCTCTCTGTGTGCTCCTTATTTTGATAATTTCTATTGCTTTGTCTTCAATTTAAATGTCCTTTTCTTCTGCAGGTTCTAGTCTGCTACTAATCTTATCCAGTGAAATTTTTATTGCAGATATTTTCTTTGATTTCTAGAAGTTACATTTGGTTCTTTTACCTCACTCATTCCTCTCCTTATTACATCCATATTTCCTCTTAACCTTAAACAAATTTGTACTATTTGCAATTGTTTTAGCATCCCTGTCTGCTAACCCCATCATCTTTTTCATTTCTGTCTCTTTTTTTTCCGACTGACTTTTCTTCTGATTATAGGTGACGTACTTCTGCTTCTTCATATATCTAGCAGTTTTTTAGTGAATATTGGAGATTTTTATTTTATGTGTGGAGAGCTGCATTTTTTTCTTGTGTATTTTAAAAGAATATTGAACTGTGTTCTGTTAGGTATTTGAGTTACTTGTAAATAAGCTTGACCTTATTGAACTTTCTTCCTAAGTGTGATATGGCATTTCACATTACCCATTACTTCAGTGTTAGAGTAGCCCTACCATTAAGGTGTGGCCTTATTGAGATCTCAGTTGAGGGCCCACAGTATTCAGTTAAGCATCTCCACTCTAGCTGGTTACAACATCCCCCAGCCAAGTGTAAACTTAATAATCTCTGTTTAGCCCATGTCTTCCCATAAGTCTTCTCTGCCAGCCTTATGGTATCTGGCCCAGTGTACACATAGTTTAGTATTCTGTTACAGACACGAGGGATGCTTATGCAAATTTCTGTAACTCTTATTTTGTGCAGCTTCCTATTTTCTCATGCTCTGCCTCATAATTTCCAGCTATATTGCCAGTGTGATCCACCTGGCAGGTTTCTTTAGTACAGGCTGACTTCACCAATACCAAATTCCTGCAACATGGTCAGCTTCACCAACATCCATCTCTTGCAGTACACAGTAATTAATAGCACCAAGTTTCCCTCAACATCCCTCTTTGCATGGTGGAGTGCCTCTAGTAAGACATATTCTTCTGAATAACTTTCCCCAGTACATTAGAAAGCATTTTTTTTTTTTGGCAAAATTTCAAAAGTATAGATCCAATCAAGTTCTCTCTGAATGGCACATTGCAGCATCTTAATTGCAACATCGCAGCCATACAGTGGATCAATGCTGAGACAGGGTCTCACTCTGTCATCCAGGCTGGAGTGCAGTGGCACAATTACAGACTCAGTGCAGCCTCGACATCCTGGGTTTCAAGTGATCCTCCCACCTCAGCCTCTTGAGTAGCTGACAGGCACATGCCACCATGCCTAGCTAGTTTTTGTATTCTTTGTAAAGATAGGGTTTCACCATGTTGCCCAGGCTCGTCTCAAACTCCTGGGCTCAAGAGATCCACCCACTTGTGCTTCCCAAAGTGCTGGGATTACAGACATGAGCCACTATGCCAGACTGTGCCCTCTCTAATAAAGTCTGGGTATAAGCACTGATGCAGGAAGGGTTGCCTCTGGGTGCATGTCAGCTTTTAATGTTTATCTTTATTAAATTTTCCTTAATGCAAACATGAAGTTTCTGGATAAAAGATGATTTCTTGATAAAAGTTGATTTCTTACCATGTTCAATGTACAATCAATAGCCAAAATGACATTGCAGTATTAGTCTCTCCACACCCAAAATCCTGCATTATAAGACCCAAATAGAAAAAAAATTGATACACAAGTGACAGAATTACTCTCTATGCAAGAGATGAAGAAACATAAATGTCCTCCATTTATAAAGGGGAAAAATCATTTTTATCCCTCCGCTTCTGAATCTCCTTGGAACTGAATAGGAAAAGTCCTTACTCTAACTCTTTGGTTTGTATATCAGTTTCTCCAAGAGGAAGATAAACCCAGTGTCTGTGGCTTTTACAACCTAAATGTTTCTTCATGGCCCTGGGGTTCTCCCCGTTTGGGATGTAAACAACTAGGCAGATAATGCTTTAATTTTTGTGCCTAACCCAAAATTACTATTTGGCTCTTGAAATGATAAGGTCTACAGTAGGGAAGCAATTAGCTCCACCATTAGGGAAACAAATGTTTACAGATTTAATACTCAGTGTATCTAAAAAACAAAATGTTTCTAGAGGAAATGAAAGCAAACACTCTCTATTCTTATAATGTATACATTTCCATGTCTCTGAAGACTGAGGTTTTTGTAAGAATGCTAAAAAAATCCATGGAAAAGTTGTTTTCTCACACTACTCTATCTTAACCCTAGGGGTAGTGACTGTTACTTATATCTGCTATTCCTATATTCTTTAGAATTATTTTTGCTAATTACTATCAAATACCTCATTACTCAAGTTCCCTCTTGTACTTAATAATTCATTACATTAAACTCCCTATTCAAATCACTGTGTGTTTTTTCTCCTAATTGGACCCTGACTTATACAGTATGAGAACTTACCCTCTTATTCATGCATCTTTATTACTAAGGCCTCTAAAGTATGTGTTACCTTCCCTTTGACTGATCCAATTTGCTTAACTTTATCAATATAAGTTAATAAGTGTGATGTTCTATGAAATTTTATGACAAACAACATTTTTGTGATCTATATTATGATGGAGGGCAGCAGAATTATCATAGCCCTAAGGCAAAACTGTGAAAGTATACTATTGGTCCTGCCAGGTAAAAGCAACTGCTTCTGGTTCTCCTTAAAGTTAATGTGGAGAAATAGTCACTATTTCAATAGCTACATACCAACTGACAGGTGCTATGTTCATTGGCTCCAATAGAGATACTACATCTGGAGGAGCAACTGCAATTAGTGTGACAAGCTGATTAAGTGTACAGTAGTCCAGAGTCTTCCTCTAATTTACATCTAACTTTTTCACAGACCAAACTGTGAGGATTAAAGAGGGACATGATGGGTATAACCACCCCTGCTTCTTTTAGGTCTTTTAAGATGCCATTAATCACTACAATTCCCATAGTAATGCAGAATTGCTTCATATGTACTATGTTGGTAGGAAAAGGAAGTTCTAGGGGCTTCTACTTAATACTTCCTATTATAATGGCCCTCATGCTATGGGTCAGGGAACCACTTTGAGTATTCTGCCAGTTGCTATGTATGTCTATTCTAATTATACATTCAGGAACTGAAGAAGTAGACACTGGGTAGGTCCTTGAACCAACTTACCAGAGAGTATGTCAGACCAGAGCTAACACTACTTCTATCATGTGACTTAAGTTAATACAGCAGAGCATCATGGTCTTTCAACCAGTTTCTAGACCTATCATAATTCACAGAACCATGGCCCTCAATTGAAAGGGAGTTCAAGACTTCTTGGGGAAGTATCACTGATGCAAGCACACACTGTAAATCTTCCACCAAAACTTCCCCCAAAAGGATCTGTGGCCGTATACTAGAGGTATATACATATACTCCATTGAGAAGTAGAAAATACTCAGACATTTCAGAATAACTTGACCTTGTCCCTGAATTGATGCTAATATCTCAAAACCCAAAATGTGACTGTGGCCCACCAAGCAAAATGAAGGCTTACAATGGTCACATGAGCAAAATGGCATGTTCTATAGATGCCAGTTAGCTTCTTTCCCCAGACACTTTGCTTATACAAAGGTCTGATAAACAAAATGGCCACGTTAGCAGGGACAGAGACTACACATGGATTTAACAATATGGGCTTCCCCTTACCAAGGCTGACGCAGCTAACACTGCTGTTGAGCACATAATTTGTTGAGAATGGAGACAAATAGTAAACCCTAACTATAACACCATGCCTTGTGAAAAATGGCCTCATAGCAGGTTGATTATTTGAACATCTTTTATAATGGAAGGGGAAGAAATTTGCCTTTGCTGGAATAGGCTTGTATACTAGACATGGATTTGCTTTCCCTGCCTGTAATCCTTCTGGCAGCACCACTATCTGTGGGTGCACAGAATGCCTTAAACACCTTCATGGCATTTCCCATAGCATTGCATCTGCTCAAGGAACTAATTTAACAATAAAGGAGATACAGCAATGGGTTCACGTCCATGGAATAAACTTGTCTTACCACATGCTTTATTGTCCAAAAATAGCTTATGTACTTGAAAAATGAATGGCATACTAAAGACTTAGTTACAACACTAGTTGGGAAATATCTTGAAATTATAGAGTTCTGTTTTATAGAATGTAGTGTATGTTTTGAATCATACTGTTATATAGTACTGTCACCCCATCATAGCTAAAATTCAAGGGGTCAGGAGTTAAAGGGTGGAAGTGGGAAGGATTTCTTTTATTCCTATTACTACACCTAATAATTCACTTACAGAGTTTTTTAGCCTGTCTCAGCAACCTTGAACTCTGCTGGTTTTAGCACCCCTGGGGAAAATACTTCTACCAGAAAACATAACAATAGTCCATTTAATTGGAAGATGAGACTGCCATCTGGCCATTAGTGGCTCCATATGTCACTGAACCTACAGGCAATCTCCTGTTACAATTAATTCATTATATTAAATTTTCATTGTTGAAATTACTATGTGATTTCTGTCTCAAGAATGGGCCATGGCTGATATACTGGTTTTCTTAACTATAAGCATTCAAACTATAATTTCTATGTACTGGTTTAGCTGAATTTCACAAGATTTAATACTTCTTGTCTTCATTTCTATTCAACTTATAATATTGTCTGATGTTCCTTATGGTTTCTTCTTTAATCCCTCAGTTATTTAGCTGTGTGTTGTTTAATTTCTAAATGTTTAAGAATTTTTTATTTTTTTTGTCTTATTACTAACTGAATTTCATTATGGTCAGAGAAAGTCGGCATTATTTTAATTTTTATAAGTTTATTGAGTCATTGTATGATTCATCACATGTTCTCTCTCGATTCCATAAGCACTTGAAACGACAGTATGTTCTGTTTTTGGTTAGAATGTCCTTAGATATCGATGTCGTATATTCTTATTTTATGTCTACTTGTTAAATCAATTGATAAAAGAAGAGGACTAAAATCCCAATTAGAATTGTGAGTTTGTCTGTTTCTCTTTTGATTTCTCCTAGTTTTTGCTTTATTTATTTTGAAGTTCTGTTATTAGGAGCAGGAGCATTTAAGATTGGTATGTCTTACTGATGAATTAGACCTTTATCATAATGAAATCATTTTCTCATCTATGGTTATATTTATTGTTTTTATGTCTACTTTGTCTGCTAATGATTTAGAAATAAACATGAAAAACGTTTTTAGGTAGGTGGAAATTCAAATAATTTCTACACTACCAAAAATGCTATAGAAAGTTCTGGAATGTATAACCACTCTGGTAGAATTAGAGTTTGCATACTATATCTTTCTCCATAGTTTTTTCAATATATCTACATATTTTTATGTTTGTCTTCTAAAATAGAGTATACTTGGGGTTTGCTTGTTTTCATCTATTCTGGTAAAATACAATGACTGCCTTTTCACAGACATGTTCAATATAGTTAGGTTAAACATAATTACATATATTGTTGGATTTAAGTCTACCATTTTTCTAATATTTAGGAGATGAGATCTCACTCTGTTGCCCAGTCTGGAGATCAATGGCATCATCACAGCTCACTGCAGCCCCAAATTCCTAAACTCAAGCAATCCTCCCACTTCAGCCTCCCAATAAGCTGGAACTACAAGCACACACCACCATGCCCTGACATTTTTTAAAAAAATTTTTCTTAGAGATAGGGGTCTCACTGTATTGCCCAGGCTGATCATAAATTCCTGGCCTCAAGTGATCCTCCTGTCTCAGCCTCCTGAGTAGTTGGGATTACAGGCACGAGTCCCCACACCCAGCTTTTGCTATTTTTTTCTATTCGTCCTATCCTTTACTTGTTCCTCTATTTCTCACTGCTTTCCTCTTTTAGATCAAACAAATTTTTTAGTATTCTATTTTATTTATCTATTGTCTTCTTAGCTATACCTCTTTGCATTATTCTAATTGCTGCTCTGTGGATTAACATGCATTCATAACTCATAACAATTTTTCTTAGAGTTAAATTGCACCACTTTTATTAAACAAAAGCATTTCATAAAAGTATATTTACATTTGTCTTTTCCTTTTTGCTATAGTTGTCATAAGTATGATGTCAACACACATTATAAACATTATAAATCTTACAATATTTCATATTTTTCTTTAAATAATACATTATTTAAAACAATTGAGAAAAAAAGATATTCCTTTATATTTACCCACATATTTGCCATTTTCAATTGTCCTTATTCTGCAAATATAAAGCTTGCACCTGATGTCACTTAACTTCAGTCTGAAGAACTCCCTTTAGTATTTCTGGTAGTGCATAAATTATCTCAATTTTTACTTACCTGAAATTATCTTTACCTTTATCTTGAATAAAATTTTTGCTGGATATAGAATTCTGGCATAACACTAAAAATGTCATTGAATTTATTCTGGCCTCCATTGTTTCTGATTAGAAGTCAAGTAAAATTATTCTTGTTCCCTGCTATGTAATATGTCTTTTTTTGTATAAATTTCAGGGATACAGGCGCAGATTTATTATATGAATATATTACGTAGTGGCAAAGTCCAGGCTTTTAAGGTAAGCATCATCTGAGTAGTGTACATTGTACCCATTAAGTAGTTTTTCATCCCTTACCCTCCTCCCACCCTCCTACCATTCCAAGACTCCTGTGATGATTATTTCACAAAGCCTGTGTACATGTGTACACATTATTTAGCTACAACTTATAAATGAGAACATGCAGTATTTGACTTTCTGCCTCTGAGTTGTTTCACTTAAAATAATGGTCTCCAGTTCTATCCATGTTGCTGAAAAATACATGATTTATTTCATTTTTGTGGCTTAGTATTTTATGGTGTGTGTGTGTGTGTGTGATTTTCTTTATTCAATTACCCAATAATAGACATTTATGTTGATTCTATCTTTGCTATTGTGAATAGGGCAATGATCAACATGTGAGTGCAGGTTATGTTTTTGATATAATGATTTATTTTCTTTGGATATATATCCAGTAGTTGGATTGCTGTATCGAATGGTATCTCTATTTTTAATTAATTGAAAAATCTCTGTATTGTTTTCCATAAACATTGTAGTAATTTACATTCCCACCAACAGTGTGTAAGCATGCTCTTTACTCTTTACTTTGTATTCTCCCCAACATCTGTTATTTTTCCACTCTTTTATAATAGCCATTCTGACTGTTTTAAGATTATATCTCACTGTGGTTTTAATTTTTATTTCTCTGATTATTAGTCATTTCGCATTTTTTTTATAATCTTGTTGGCCATTTGTATGTCTTCTTTTGAAAAAGAAGTCTATTCATGTCTTTTGCCCACTTTTTAATGTGGTAATTTGGTTTTTGTTGTTTTTATTGTTTAATTCTGGATATCAGTCCCCTGTTGGATGCATAGTTTATAAATATTTTCTCCTGATTGTCTGTTCACTCTGTTCTGTTGCTGTGCAGAAACTTTTTAGCTTAATTTTTATTTGTTTATTTTTATTTTTCTTCCTTGTGCTTTTGTCACAGTCATAAATTCTTTGCCTAGACCTATGTCTAAAATAATTTCCATAGGTTTTCTTCTAGTAGCTCTATAATTTTAGGTCTTAAATTTAACTTTTTCATCCATCTTGAGTTGATTTTGTATATGGAGAAAGACAGATCCAGTTTTATTATTCTGCATACAGTAATATAATTTTTCTAGCACCATTTATTGAAAAGAGTGTCCTTTCCCCAGTGTATGTTTTTCTCAACTTTGCAAAGGTCAGTTACCTAAAGATATGTGGCTTTATTTATGGTTTTTTTTTCATTCTGTTTCATTGATCTATGTGTCCATTTTTATACCAATACCGTGCTGTTTTGCTTACTGGCCAGCTTTATAGCATAATTTGAGGTCAGGTAATGTGATTCCTGCAGCATTGTTCTTTTTGCTTAAGATTGCTTTGGCTACTCTGGCTCTTTTTTCATTTCAGATGAATTTTAAGATTATTTTTCCTGGCCGGGCGCGGTGGCTCACGCCTGCAATCCCAGCACTTTGGGAGGCCGAGGCGGGCGGATCACGAGGTCAGGAAATCGAAACCATCCTGGCTAACACAGTGAAACCCCGTCTCTACTAAAAAACACAAAAAATTAGCCGGGCGTGGTGGTGGGCGCCTGTAGTCCCAGCTACGCGGGAGGCTGAGGCAAGAGAATGGCGTGAACCCGGGAGGCGGAGCTTGCAGTGAGCCGAGATCGCACCACTGCACTCCAGCCTGGGCGACAGAGCGAGACTCCGTCTCAAAAAAAAAAAAAAAAAAAAAAAGATTATTTTTCCTAATTCTGTGAAAAAAAAAATGATGTTGGTAGTTTCATAGGGATTGCATTGAGTCTGTACATTGCTTTGGGCAGTATGGTCATTCTAACAATGTTAATTCCCTGATTCATGAGCATGGGACTTTTTCCATTTATTTCTATCATCTACAATTTCTTCATCAGTGTTTTGTAGTTTTCTTTGTGGAGATCTTTCACTTCCTTGGCTAAATATATTTCTAGATATGTTATTTTTGTAACTATTGCTAATGGAATTGACTTCTTGATTTGGTTATCAGCTTGATTGTTACTGGTGTATAGAAATGCTACTGATTTTTGTACATTGATTTTGTATCTAAAACTTTACTGAATTTGTTCATCAAATCTAAGAGTGTTTTTAGAGGAGTCATTAGGGTTTTCTAAGATCATATCATCAGTGAGCAGAGATAGTTTGACTTCCTCTTTTCCAATGTGAATGCCTTAAATTTCTTTCTCTTGCCTAAATGCTCTGGCTAGGACTTCCAGTACTACGTTGAATAAGAGTGGTAAATGGGTGCATTCTTGTCTTATTGCAGTTCTTAGGGAGATTGCCTTCAACTTTTCCCAATTCAGTATTATGTTGGCTGCAGTTTTGTCATATATGGCTTTTATTATTTTGAGGTATGTTCCTTCTATGCATAGTTTGTTGGGGACATTATTATGCTGAATTTTATCAAATGCTTTTTCTGCATCTATTGAGATGATCATATGGTTTTCGTTTTTAATTCTGATTATGTCATGAGTCACATTGATTGATTTGTGTATGTTGAACCATCCTTGCATCCACAGAATAAAATCCACTTGATTATGGTGGTATTTTTTTATATGATACTGGATTCCATTAGCTAGTATTTTGTTGAGAATTTTTGCCTCTATGTGCATCAGAGATACTGGTCTGTAGTTCTGTTTTATTGTTGTCCTCTTGTAAGGCTTTGGTTTTAGGATGATACTAACTTCATAGAATGAGTTAGGGAGGATTTACTTCCTCTCTATTTTCTTGGAATAGTTTCAGTAGGATTAGTACAAATTCTTTGTATGTTTCATAGAATTGGATGTGAACTCACCTGGTCCTGGGATTTTTTTGTTGTTGGCAGAATTTTATTACTGACTCAACCTCACTCTTCATTATTGGTCTGTTCAGGATTTCTACCTCTTCCTGGTTTAATCTTGGGAGATTGTATATTTCCATGAATTAATACATTTCCTCTAGGTTTTCTAATTTGCCAATGTAGAGTTGTTCATAGTAGTCTCTGATGTTCTTTTGCATTTCTGTAGTATAAGTTGTTAATGTCTACATTTTTATTTATAATTGTGTGTATTTAAATCCTCTCTGTTCTTTTCTTGGTTAGTGTAGCTACAGTTTATCAATTTTGTTTGTCTTTTCAAAAACCAACTTTTCTTTCATTGCTCCTTTCTGTTGTTCCCTTGGTCTCAATTTTGTTTAGTTTTTCCCTGATCTTTGTTATTTCTTTTCTTCTTCTAGCTTTGGGTTTGGTTTGTTCTTGTTTTCTATTTCCTTGAGGTGCAATTTCAGATTGTTAATTTTTTATCTTTTTATTTTTGGTGGGAGGTTTTTGGTGTAGGCCTTTGACACTATAAACTTTCCTTGCAGCATTGCTTTTGCTATATTCTAAAAGTTTTGCTTTTGTCTCTGTTTTTATTAAATTCAAAAGTTTTTCAAACTTCCAATTTAATTTTGTCATTGATGCAAGATTGTTCAAGAGTATGCTGTTTAATTTCCATATATTTGTCTAGTTTTGGGAATTCCTCTTGGTATTGTTTTCTAGTTTTATTTTGCTATGTTCTGAGAAGATACTTGCTATGATTTAATTTCTTTCAATTTACTGAAGCTAGTTTCATGGCCTAACATATGAACTGTATTGGAAAATGTCCTATGTGCTATGGGAAGAATGTATATTCTGCATTTGTTAGATAGAATGTTAAGTCAACGTCTGTCAGTTTCCTTTGATCTAAAGCCTAATTTATGTCCAATGTTTCTTTGTTGATTTTCTGTCTTGATGATCTTTTTAGAGTGGGGTGTTGAAGCCCCCCCACCATTATTGTATTGCTCTCTCTTTGTGTCTAGTAATATTTGCTTCAAGAATCTGAGTGCTCCGGTGTTTAGTACATACATATTTATGATTGCTTTATATTATTGTTGAATTTATACATTTATCATTATATAATAATGTTCTTTGCCTCTTTTTAATGTTGTTGATTTAAAGTATATTTTATCTGATATAAATATAGCTATTCCTCTTGCTTTTGGTTTCCATTTGTGGGGAATACCTTTTTCCATCCCTTTGCATTCAGTCTGTTTCTAGCAGTAAGATAAGTTTTGTAGAAGCAGCATACAGTTGGTTCATGTGTTTTAATTCAGCCATTCTATATCTTTAAAGTGTTTAATCTATTTACATGCAAGCTTAAGATTGATATGTAAAGTTTAGTTCTTGTCATAATGTTAGTTTTCTAGTTATTTTGAACATTATTTTTTCCTTTTTTATCTCTGCTTGTCTTTGTGGTTTTGTGGAGTTGTGTCATGTTGCCATTTGATTTCTTTCTCTTCTTCCTTGTATAATTGTTTCTACAAGGTCTGTGAGGTGTATATTTTTGTGTGTTTTATGATGGCAAATATCAACCTTCCATTTCCATGTTTAGAACTCCTTTGAGCATTTCTAGTAGAACTGGTCTGGTAGTAATGAATTCTCTCAGCATTTGTTTGTCTGGGAAATATATTTTTTTCTCTTTCACATAAAAAGCTTATTCTTGCAGCATGTAAAACTCGTGGTTGACAGTTTTTTCTTTAACAACTCTAAAAATAGGATCCTAATCCCTTCTGGCTTGCAAGGTTTCTGCTGAGAAATCCACTGCTAATATGATGAGGTTTCCTTTATGGGTGGCTAGACAATTTTATCTTGATAATTTTAGAATCTTTTACTTTCTTTTTTTTTTGCTTTTATTTTTATTTTTATTTATTTTTTTATTTTATTTTATTTTATTATTATTATTATTATTATTATACTTTAAGTTTTAGGGTACATGTGCACAATGTGCAGGTTACTTACATATGTATACATGTGACATGCTGGTGCGCTGCACCCACTAACTCATCATCTAGCATTAGGTATATCTCCCAGTGCTATCCCCCCCCCCCCACCCCACAACAAGCTCCAGAGTGTGATGTTCCCCTTCCTGTGTCCATGTGTTCTCATTGTTCAATTCCCACCTATGAGTGAGAATATGCGGTGTTTGGTTTTTTGTTCTTGTGATAGTTTACTGAGAATGATGATTTCCAATTTCATCCTTGTCCCTACAAAGGACATGAACTCATCATTTTTTATGGCTGCATAGTACTCCATGGTGTATATGTGCCACATTTTCTTAATCCAGTCTATCATTGTTGGACATTTGGGTTGGTTCCAAGTCTTTGCTATTGTGAATAATGCCACAATAAACATACGTGTGCATGTGTCTTTATAGCAGCATGATTTATAGTCCTTTGGGTATATACCCAGTAATGGGATGGGTGGGTCAAATGGTATTTCTAGTTCTAGATCCCTGAGGAATCGCCACACTGACTTCCACAATGGTTGAACTAGTTTACAGTCCCACCAACAGTGTAAAAGTGTTCCTATTTCTCCACATCCTCTCCAGCACCTGTTGTTTCCTGACTTTTTAATGATTGCCATTGTAACTGGTGTGAGATGGTATCTCATTGTGGTTTTGATTTGCATTTCTCTGATGGCCAGTGATGGTGAGCATTTTCTCATGTGTTTTTTGGCTGCATAAATGTCTTCTTTTGAGAAGTGTCTGTTCATGTCCTTTGCCCACTTTTTGATGGGGTTGTTTGTTTTTTCCTTGTAAATTTGTTTGAGTTCATTGTCGATTCTGGATATTAGCCCTTTGTCAGATGAGTAGGTTGCGAAAGTTTTCTCCCATTCTGTAGGTTGCCTGTTCACTCTGATGGTAATTTCTTTTGCTGTGCAGAAGCTCTTTAGTTTAATTAGATCCCATTTGTCAATTTTGTCTTTTGTTGCCATTGCTTTTGGTGTTTTAGTCATGAAGTCCTTGCCCATGCCTATGTCCTGAATGGTAAAGCCTCGGTTTTCTTCTAGGGTTTTTATGGTTTTAGGTCTAACGTTTAAGTCTTTAATCCATCTTGAATTGATTTTTGTATAAGGTGTAAGGAAGGGATCCAGTTTCAGCTTTCTACCTATGGCTAGCCAGTTTTCCCAGCACTATTTATTAAATAGGGAATCCTTTCCCCATTGCTTGTTTTTCTCAGGTTTGTCAAAGATCAGATAGTTGTAGATATGCTGTGTTATTCCTGAGGGCTCTGTTCTGTTCCATTCATCTATATCTCTGTTTTGGTACCAGTACCATGCTGTTTTGGTTACTGTAGCCTTGTAGTAGAGTTTGAAGTCAGGTAGTGTGATGTCTTCAGCTTTGTTCTTTTGGCTTAGGATTGACTTGGCGATGCGGGCTCTTTTTTGGTTCCATATGAACTTTAAAGTAGTTTTTTCCAATTCTGTGAAGAAAGTTATTGCTAGCTTGATGGGGATGGCATTGAATCTGTAAATTACCTTCATGCTAAAAACTCTCAATAAATTAGGTATTGATGGGACGTATTTCAAAATAATAAGAGCTATCTATGACAAACCCACAGCCAATATCATACTGAATGGGCAAAAACTGGAAGCATTCCCTTTGAAAATTGGCACAAGACAGGGATGCCCTCTCTCACCACTCCTATTCAACATAGTGTTGGAAGTTCTGGCCAGGGCAATTAGGCAGGAGAAGGAAATAAAGGGTATTCAATTAGGAAAAGAGGAAGTCAAATTGTCCCTGTTTGCAGACGACATGATTGTATATCTAGAAAACCCCATTGTCTCAGCCCAAAATCTCCTTAAGCTGATAAGCAACTTCAGCAAAGTCTCAGGATACAAAATCAATGTACAAAAATCACAAGCATTCTTATACACCAACAACAGACAAACAGAGAGCCAAATCATGAGTGAACTCCCATTCACAATTGCTTCAAAGAGAATAAAATACCTAGGAATCCAACTTACAAGGGATGTGAAGGACCTCTTCAAGGAGAACTACAAACCATTGCTCAAGGAAATAAAAGAGGATACAAACAAATGGAAGAACATTCCATGCTCATGGGTAGGAAGAATCAATATCGTGAAAATGGCCATACTGCCCAAGGTAATTTACAGAATCTTTTACTTTCACATTGACTTTAGACAGTCTGTTAACTATATACTGTGGTGAAGTCCATCTCGCTATGTATTTTCCAGGTGTTTGCCAGGCCTTTTGTATCTGGATGTCTAAATGTGTTGTAAGATAAGAGATGGTTTCATCAATTATTTTTTTAAACAGATCTCCTAAACTTCTTGGTTTTTCTTTTCCCTCAATAATAACAATGATTCATAAGCTTGGTCATTTTCTGTAGTCTCATACTTCTTGAAAGCTTTGTTCCTTCTTTTTATTCTTTTTACTTTATTTTTGTCTGATTGGATTAATTCAAAAGACCTGTCTTCAGATTCAGAGAGTCTCTATTCTGCATGGTATAATCTATTGTTGAAGGTTTCAACTGTATTTTGTAACTCCTTCAAAGATTTTTTCATTTCCAGAAAAAAAATTAAGATATCTCCTTAGTAAATTTCTATTTTATATCCTGAGTTGATTTTCGGATTTCTTTGTATTCATTTTTAGATTTATCTTGTATTTCATTGAGCTTCTTTAAAATCAATATTATGAATTTTTCTGGCTTTTGAAATATTTTCTTTTGGATAGGATCCATTGCTAGAAAATTACTGTGTTCCTTTGGGGCATCATATACCCTTGTTTTTTTAATACTTCCAGAATAATTATGCTGATTTCTTTGCATCTGGGCAAACAGTCACTTCTTAATTTTGAATTTACTTTCATTAATGCAGGCAGGAACTTTTTTTCTTGGGGGTATCACTATGATTTATGTTGGACAGGGTCATTTGACTATGCCTCTGGGTGCATTCAGTAGTCAAGACTCTATTATTTTCTTGGTTATAAATAGCTGTAGTGTGCCAGCTTTCTAAAATGCTGGTTGTTGTAGTGGTGTACCAGGTGGGTGAGCAGGCTCACTGCCCCCTGACAAGCTAAGGTGGCATGGGCAATGGTGTTAGTAGAAGTTGGGAAAAGTTTGTCTCCTTCCCAAGTGCTGCACTCTTGTATCAGATTTTGTATTGTGTTGTTTGTGCCAGTCAACTTCCTAGCCAGTAGGTGACATTTTCAGGTAAAAGCCAGCTGAGGTGGTACCTGTAGGGTTTATGCTTGAACTGTGTTAACAGCTGGAGAAGTGCTCCAGTGTTTCAGGTGGTGGGTTGGGCTCTGGAGCACTCAAGAGCTTCAGTCCCACCCTCCCTCTAGGAGGGGATGGTGGAGCCAGGGAGGGGAAGCCTACACTCAGGCCCTCCAATAGCAAGTGCAAGCACCAGCCCTGACAGGGTGGTGGGGAAGTCCTCAGGTCCCTGGAGGAAGTTGCTGAGGTCTCTTTATGGTAATCCCAGTACCACAACCTCAACAGGTAAAAATGGGATTAGTTTCTCCTTCACATCTCTGTCTGGGCATTCAGGATGTTCAGTTAGGTTAGACATTGCTATTTGCTTCTAGGCTGCAATTATGTTAGCAAATTTTATATTGCACTGTGTGGGTTCACCTCTTGGCCATTAAGTGGTGCTTGCAGGTGAGAGCCAGCTATGGTGGTAGCAGTAAGTTTATGCTTGACCTTTGTTAACCAGGAGAAATGCTCAGGTGTCCCAGGTGATGGGTTGGGCTGTGGAGCTCTCAGTGGTTCTAATCTCATGCTCTGCCTCTGAGGCAGGGGTGAGCAGGCAAGCTGGGGAGGGCTGGGATGGTGAAGCCTGCACTTGGGCCCTCAATAATGGGCATATGTGCTGGCCCTGACAGGAGTCAGAAGGCAGTTCTTAGGCCCATGGAGCAATACTTCAAGGAGGAGCAAAGCACCTGTTACCATGCCATAGAGCCGGCATGGTTGGAGAGGCAACTCATGCACCACAGCCAAGCAGGCAGTAGTGGAACCCACCTTGCTTTAATGCTTTCAACCTGACAAGCATCCTTGCCACAGCTTGCGGCTGGCAGCAAGCTGAGACAACCAGCCAAGTCACAAATAGTTTTCTTCAGATGGCAAAACTGCTGCAGGCCATAAACTCACTGCCTGTGTCAAAACCATGGCTTCCAGGCCAAATCTCTTCAAGTCGTCTTACAAAGACAGGGTGATCAACTCCCATGCCTGTGGCTAAAGCCCACATCACATTCACCTCTGTTCTAGCCATGGGGACTCCTCCCCTACTCAAGGCCAGATCACAAATTTCCCTACCAAAATTCTCCAAACCAATAACTGCCTCCTGTGCTGGCTGGCAATTTCTTGGGCACTCCTGGTGTTTTTTGTTTTGTTTTTTTTTTGATAAAATTTAGCAGTGTAAATTTATACACAGTATTTTGCTATTTCCAAGTGGGTGAGGTGTGCTGACAAGCTTCTAATCTGTCATCTTGGAAAAAATTATTATTTTAACCTGGTTACTTTCAAGATTTTTTTTTCATTTCTGGTTTTAAATATTTGACTCTGCTTACATATATTTGACATTTTTCTATTTACCCTACCTGGAATTCACTCAGATTCTTAGATCTGTATCTTATATTTTTTAATAATATGAACATTTTAACCAATGTTTTTTCAAATATTTTTGTGACACATACTATTCTCTCTTTCTGAGACTTCAAGTACATGTACATTAGATGTCTTGAATTGTAGCACAGGTCATTGAGACTCTGTTCATTGTTATTCATTTTTTCTCTGTTTTTCAGATTCAATAATTTTTATTAATCACTCTCAAGTTCATTGACCCTTTTTTCTACCAACACCAGTCTACTGTTAAACAGTAAATTTTTATTTCACGTATTTTAATTTTCAGTTCTAGATTTCTTGACTGAGATTCTACATATGTTTACTTATTATAAGAAAATTTTCTATAAGTTCTTGAGCCTATATACACTAGCTACTTTAAAGTTCCTGACTACTGAATGGAGTCATCTTAGGGTTGACGTGTTGACTCATTTTCTCTTGATAGGGGCCACAATGTTGTTTTTTTCCCCAATGTTGAGCATTTTGTAATTACATACTGAAAATTGTGGATGATAAATTATAGAGATTCTGGATTCATTAACCTGGGGGCACTTGCTATCTCTGAGTAGGCTTAATCTCATGAAGTTTTACTAGAATAAAGTTCTTGAACTTGTCAAACTCATTTACCTTGACCTGCTACAAATACATGCAAGGATGAAATTCACCAATTGAGTTGGGAATTTTTTTCTCTGGGTCTTCACAGTACTCCGTGTATTGCATTAATCACACTGCACTGAAATGGGTTGCAAGTAGATTGTTAGCTACTCAATGCAAGACTAGGGCCTTATTTATCTCTACATTCCTAGTGCCTAACCCAGTGTCTGATACTCAGAGTGAACAGGCATTTTATATTTGTTGAAGTAACAAACTAAATAATTAAAGAATCAGAAACTATACAATTCTACACAAAGTTCATAAAATACTGGAATATGTGAATCTTTTAATTCAGAAGCAAAGATTATATAAGCTCAGTTCCAACTGACAATATCACTGAACCACAACACAAGATACAGTTAAGTGCCCATGGTAAACGTTTTTAAAAAATACATTCATGATCATCAATATATTTTATTTACAGGGTCAGGGAAGGAATTAGAACGTTTTAGAAAAAGTTCATCAATTCTGAGTGAAATGAAGTTTTAGGATCTCAGAAATAAAGTTTATTCTTTGTACTTTATTCTCTGATAAGAATTAATACAGTGTGTGTGTGTGCGTGCGTGCATGCACACGCAGGCACATGCACACGTGTGTTTGAATGAATGGATGAGGTAATAAAAATGGACAAAGAATAAAAAGCATGGAATTCACAATTACTAGATTTGTAGTTAAGGCTCACTTCTATTTTAGTCCTACTGCTAGTTCTAACAATGAATATGACCTTGGAAAAGTAATTTAAACTACCATTTGCAATGGATATATCCGAAAACTGTGGGACTAGTACCTTACAGGAGTGTTATAAGAATCAAACGGGATGATGAACACAAAAGACCTTTGTAAACTCTAAAGAGCTATATAAACATTAAAGATCGTTATTAAATGAAATAATGCAAATAAAGCATTTTATCGCAATGCCCATTATACCTAAAGCTTTTAAATGTTAGCACCCTCCCACAAAAATATACATGTGCATGCATGTATACATATACACACACACCACACACACTCACACTTGTGTTCACACCTTAGCGGCACAACAAAACTAACTTAGGTTCTTGTACCCTTTAAATATGTCATTTTCAAAGTTAAGCTCTCTGTGACACATACTACCTGCTTATCCTTGGCTTAAGTTTATCTCTCCTGCCCACTTCCATGCTTTCTCCTCTCCCAGAAACATTTGCACCCATCAATAAAATGTTTTATTCCACTCATTGTTGGGAGTGATGGAGCCATCGTCTCCTCTAATCCATTATAGGTTACAACTGATGAATGTAAAAGGATATCAGGTAAAACTAGTTTTTCTCTAAAGAAGTTACAAAATCAACACTGTAAAAATCATTTACAGAAGTTATAAGATCCATAATAGTCTTTTCATAATTTTCCTAAAGATAAATGTTTAAATGTCTTAACTCTTGATTTTATATGTCAAGCTATCAAGCAATTATTTTAAAGATTATCAAAATAACGGTCCTGCTTATAGCTAAAACATATTAATCCAGTGTGCAATTTTAAGTGACTAACTAATGTAAATATATGATAAATAGTCAGCTGAGTCTATTAGGCAATCCTGCAATGAAGGCAAATAACTTCAAGTATGCACTCAGGATTGTCACCTGTACTCTGTTATTTTCTCTGTTACTTGATTTTAGGTAAAAGGAGTCTATCAGACAAACAGAAAGAATATAACAAGATGTATCTATCAAAAAATACACCTGAGGAAACCCTTGGACAAGACTTTATACTCAATAGATGTTCACACATTCATTTATGCAAAGGTATATTAAGCACTTACTTTTTGCCAGACTAGTATTCAACAGGGCAATGGGCATACAGGTGAATAAAACACCCGCCCAACTAACACTTCTGCCTTTTTCAGGTTAGTGTGTCTCTGTCAGACTCTTCTCTTTCCCTTATCATCTTCCCTCATCCTTTGCAGACACCAGATGACCCAATGCCACAAAAAGTTAATTAAATATCACCTCTCTATGAATGTTTTCTGACCTTCTAAATAGATTCCTTTTCTGAACAATGCCTCTGACCCAAACAACAATCCTGTGCATGTGCCTTTAGCAAGTTTTTGTACTTCTTGTTATTTTGTCTGCTTTCCCCCTGGACTGTGAATTACATGAAACAGAATATCTGCATTAGTCGTTATTGTAACCCCAGAGATAGTTAATTGCTTGACACATAGTGCTTGAAAAAGGTAAATAGATTTAATAAATATCTGATATTATGACTATGTTTCTGGTGAATAAAAGAGCTTAACAAAAAACATATTAAAATAATAAAAGTATTTGAAATGTACAAAGGAAGAAAAATAAAGGAGTATGGATAGAGTGAGACATTGGGGAATAATCATGCACTCAGGATGAGTGCAACAAATAAAGACAACAAAAACAATTGTGGTGGGGTCGGGGGAGGGGGGAGGGATAGCATTGGGAGATATACCTAATGCTAGATGACACGTTAGTGGGTGCAGCGCACCAGCATGGCACATGTATACATATGTAACTAACCTGCACAATGTGCACATGTACCCTAAAACTTAGAGTATAATAAAAAAAAAAAATTAAAAAAAAAAAAAAAGATTCACTATTAAAAAAAAAAAAAAATTGAGATAGTGAAAATAATGCCACATTTACTATCAATATAAGCATTTTGCATAGACAATAGGAAGCAGCAACAAAATGACTCACTCTTCCTAATTCATCCTCCAGGAGGGACCTGTGACCACATAAACCTACTCACTCTTATGCTATTGCACTTTGCCTGTAGATGCTGCTTTCTCTAGTGAGTCTAAATCCATGCAAAGTATGTAAAACAACAAACACTAGTGGGGTATTCACTCATCTACAAAGTGTTGGAGGAGCAGGAATAGTATTGAAATACTTAAGGAATACAGGAGGGAATACAGGAAGGGATGGAAGAAGACAGAAAAACTTTCAATAAGACCACACTTGGCCTTTGATATTCCCCCATAACCCATTATTCCTCAACCTCCAAGCTGAGAACCACCCATACCTTCCATATTCTCTAACTAGTGTAAGAACAGCAATGCCTATATAGGCAAAACTGGACCAGGTCAAAGGATCCTTATTTAAGAGGGTGTAAGGATATTGTGGATGTCAATAGTCTCTGAAGGAAGAAAGTTGGATCTGGTCTCATATTTCTGTTTGGATTTGAGGGAAGAAATACTTATGCCAGAATTAATTCTCTAAGAATATGATGAAAAGGTCACATTAATACCTATATTAGAAATGTAGTGAATAATTTCAAAAAAGTTCAAAAATCCTCTGACACCCGCCCAGGCACCCTCTAGAAAACTATGAACCTCAGGTTGAGACATCTTTTGGGAAGGATATCAGGCTGGTCAGTAGGGAGACCCTGCTATCAGCTGTGATGTTATCCAACTGGGACAGCCAGTTGGGGATCAAGGGGACTCTGTGCAGAGACCCTTCACCTCCAGTTTGTGACCTCCTCACAAAGGGATCTGTAGAAGACAGAGAAGATCACAGGTCACCTAAAAGACACTTAACCCTATTTCTGTGGTTAGGAACAGAAAAATAAAACTCGAGAGTAAGAGATAGGAACTGACTTGAGGATGGAACAACAGTAGATGTCATGAGTGTGTGAAAACAGATGTTTCCATACCTGTGTCTCTTAGAAAGTACCTTCCAGCTCTGTCTCAGAGTAGAGATAAACTCTGGTGGGAAGATTCATAAAACAAAATATTCCCACAATGTTTCCCATTGAGGGTATACAATAATGTAGCACAGTTATGCTTATTTTACAAATAAATATCTGGAGAAATATGAAGCTTGCACAGTTTGCTGAGAGAATGGAAGTTAATGGCATTTACCTTGGACCCTAGAATTAGTATAACCAATATCTAAGACAACAACTTCAATGTCACTGAAGCTACTACATATAAATTAAAAATCTAAAAAGCTACCATAAGTTGAAAAGAGACGAGTCTTCATGAAAAGTGCATCTGGATAAAAATGTAGTTTCAGAGAAAAGCCACCAGTATGTGTTCTTTCTGCTTATCCCCTAGGGAACAGCAGAGATTTCTGCCTTGGTTGCACAGAAGGAAGGAATACACATAGAAATGAACACTATTTGAGGAGCGAATACAGCTGGATAATAAAAGAAGAGACTTTTTTTTCAAAGCTGTTCATTTTTCAATCCGCAAGAATTAAGATATAATTACAAAATGACTGTCACATGGAATATTATTTGACTCCTGAGAATGAAAGCTTTCTTTTTTATGTAAGCAGAGAGAAATAAAGGTTGGTGTCTCTGCGGCTTATTTCCCTAACACCGCTGCCACCTATGTTCCCACTGTCTCTACTCCACATCCCCTAACCAGACAAGCTCAAAGATTTGACTGTCAGAGAGTTCAGGTAAAATGGGAGCCAAAAAGCTTTCAAAACTGAAATCTTCAAGCACAGAAACAAGTAGTCTTAATCCAGCTTGGAGTGATTCTTGTATCTGGTAACAAAATTCACCAGAGCAGAAATCCTGCTTTCTGCCATGCCTAGAACACTAAACAGACAAGCATTTCTATTCTTTGACAGTATTCTCAACAAATATTATATTTGATGAATTTGTGTATTGTGGCATGTTTGTGAGTAGACACACTACACTGGGCTAATGGTCTCTTAATGAAATAATCCAATCCATTAAGAAATATTTCTGCCCACAACTCTGCATAGGGCATCCTTTACCTCCTTGTTTCTCAGACTGTAAACAACAGGGTTCAGCAAGGGAGTGATGATGGTGTACGTCACTGAGAGAACAAGGTCTTTTTCTATTGAACTTTCTGACTTCGGCTTGAGGTAGGCAATGGAGGCACAGCCACAGTGGACAATAACCACAGTGAGGTGGGAGACACAGGTGGCAAAGGTCTTCTTCCGGCCCTCAGCTGAGGCAATTTGAAGGATGGAAGAGATGACAAGGACATAGGAGATAAATATCAGGCCTATGGGCACAAAAATCACAAATGAACTTACACCATAATTTATTATCTCATTGATAGTGGTATCAATGCAAGAAAGTTTCATGACTGGGTAAATGTCACAAAAGAAGTGGTCTACCACTGTGCCACAGAACGGCAAATTGAACATGGCTGTCACATGGAGAACTGCCATAGTCAGACCAATGCCAAAGGACCCACACACCAGCTGGGCACATAGTCCCTTGCTCATGATGACAGTGTATCTCAGGGGTCTGCAGATGGCCACATAGCGGTCATACCCCATTGCAGTAAGCAGGAAGCAATTATTAGTGGCCAAGATAACAAAAAAGAACATTTGTGTAGCACAGCCTGCCAAGGAGATAGGTTGGTTATGAAAAATGAGGCTCAAAAGCATTCGTGGCACAATGACCAGTGTGTACACCGTCTCTGAACTAGCCAGCATGCTTAGGAAGAAATACATGGGAGTGTGGAGATGATGGTCAATGCAGATGATAGTCACAATGATGATGTTAGCAACCAGAGTTAAAATGTAGACAGTTAGGAAAACCACAAAGAGGGTTATCTGATGCTTTCCAAAGCTAGAAAATCCCAAGAAAATGAATTCTGACACTTCTGTGAAGTTCTTTCTCTTCATTCTGCTATATCAGTGTCTGAAAGCAACAAATGGAGTCAACAAGGAGTAAATTCTCAACAGCAATTGGACTTTAAAACAAAGAAAAATGATAATTGTACTGAGACTGAATCCAATTTCCTTCTTTTTGATCATGATGCTCATGCAGGGTCCTTGCACATGAAGAGAGAAGCCTACTTGTGCCTCTTTGGGGCTTTATACATATGAACATTGTCACTGTGGAGCAAATTACTTTCTGCGCATGGAGAGGGCTTCTGCATGCCTGCTCACCTCACAGACATTATAGTGATGTTAGGAAGGGAAAAAGACAGCAAGGAGAAAGCCATGCTCTATATTTCAACCAATAATAATATCCACTCTTTAAACCCTCTTAACAAGGAGGACTCCAGTGAAGCCCATGTCAAGAAAACCATAAAGATGAAAGTTTTGCAAAAAAAAAAAAAAAAGATATAGCAGTTTGAAATATTTGAAGACGGAAAACTTTGAGACGTGGTCACTGGATTTCATAACAGGGTCACCAAGGAGCTTTTACACAGTGTTTCAGTTGAATTATGAATATAGAAACTTGATTTTGGAGAGGTAATGTGGTCCAAATATGTTATTGTACTCTCAAAACAGAACAACTACAACACAAATTCTGCCATTATCTCTCTACTAAAATTGATCACTCAAGTCCCATCAAAGAAATCTTTTTTTTTTTTTTTTTTTGCTGATTCTAGTAGGCCTTTTGAGTGAAGTCAGGAAGAGAGAGCTGTGACAGAAAACGTTGTGTAGTTGCCACTGTCATTATAAAGGACTGGGACAACTTGAGGTGTAGAAGAGACTCCGGAGTTGAGAGAGAAATCTGCAGCTATCTGTAGCCCAACTGGCTTAACTATTTTTAAAAATATGGTGAACATACAATTTTGAGAAGCAGAGACACTAATCCCTTTTGTCAAAAAGCAAGCATGTATAAACTGTATGGAGAGCATATATCTGATCCTATGGTTCTCTTTAGTGACCATCTTATTGTTCTCCCTTTATTTTCAGAAGTATTAAAACAGGCTTTCTTTCCCACTCTCCATAATTCCCTGCAAGTTGGCTTTGGCATGTTCATGCCCATGAGATTGTTTGCTCAAATGTCACCAAAGAATTCTCCATTGCTAAGGCCACTGGACTTTGTTTTATCTCCTTTTTCTCATCTTTCTCTGTTTAAACACTTCGAACTCCTACCTCATGGAAACATTCTCTGACCTTGGTTTCCATGAAACCACACTGTTTTTCTCTCTTCCCAGCACTCATTTCGTTACCTTCCATGAATCTGCTCATTCTCCCTCTACCATAATTACGTATGCTCTTCTCTGGTACATCCTTAGCCCTTGTGTGTGCGATTTTTATGATGATTGTTCTCAAATCTCTATTTTCATCACCAATCTTTTTCCCAAGTCTCCAGCTTACCTCCCTCTTGGCTTCTCTATTAATGTTTCTTGCAATCATAATAAATTTCATATTTTTGAAAGCAAACTAAACATTAACCTTTCTTATACTGATAAAAATCTCTCTATTTCAATTTTTCTGTCTTCTTTAATGACCTTGCCATTATACCTGTACATTAATGGGTCAACATTTTGGAGCCATATCTATTTTGACATCACATTCAGTGGGCTTTTTCTTTAAAGTTATGCCTCCTCTCTGTACAATTTCTGAATTCACAATGACCTACTTAAGACTAGGGTACCAAATCTTCTAGCCAGAATAATGAAACATATTCCCATTCTAAAATTTATATGAATATGTGGAAGACCAAGAATGCTAAAACAATTTTAGGAAAGAAGTACAAAGTTAAAGAACTTACACTACTTCATTTGAAGACTATGGTAATCAACATTGTATGGTAGTGCTGCAAGTGCAGGCAACAGAAAAAAATGGAGAGTCCAAAAGTAGACCCACATATATAGCCACTGATTTTTGATAAAGTGCTAAGGTATCTCAGTGACAGTATTTTCAACAAATGTTGATAGAAAAAATGAATGTCCATATGGGAAAAATAAACCTCAAACCTTATCTCATGTCACACACACACACACACACACACACACACACAAATTCAGAATGAATCATAGATATGTATATAAAAGATAAAGCTATACAAATTCCAGACAAAAATAAGAAATAAAATCTTCAATACCTTGAAATGAGCAAAGATTTCCTAGATATAAAACAAAAAGCGGTGGTCGGAGCCAAGATGGCCGAATAGGAACAGCTCCAGTCTACAGCTCCCAGCATGAGTGATGCAGAAGATGAATGATTTCTGCATTTCCAACTGAGGTACCAGGTTCATCTCATTGGGGATTGTCAGACAGTGGGTGCCAGACAGTGGGTGCAGTGCATTGAGCATGAGCCAAAGCAGGGTGAGGCATCGCCTCACCCAGGAGGTACAAAAGGTCAGGGAATTCTCTTTCCTAGCCAAGAAAAGGGGTGACAGATGGCACCAGGAAAATCGGGTGACTCCCACCCTAACACTGCGCTTTTCCGATGGTCTTAGCAAATGGCACACCAGGAGATTATATCCTGCGCATGGCTCAGAGGGTACTACACCCACGGAGCCTTGCTCATTGCTAGCACAGCAGTCTGAGATCAAACTGCAAGGTGGCAGCGAGGCTGGGGGAGGGTCGCCCACCATTACCGAGGCTTGAGTAGATAAACAAAGCGGCCCGGAAGCTCGAACTTGGTGGAGCCCACCGCATCTCAAGGAGGCCTGCCTGCCTCTGTAGACTCTGCCTCTGGGGGCAGGGCATAGCCAAACAAAAGGCAGCAGAAACCTCTGCAGGCTTAAATGTCCCTGTCTGACAGCTTTGAAGAGAGAGTAGTGGTTCTCCCAGCATGCAGCTGGAGATCTGAGAATGGACAGACTGCCTCCTCAAGTGGGTCCCTGACCCCTGAGTAGCCTAACTGGGAGGCACCCCCCAGTAGGGGCAAACTGCCACCTCACAGGGCTGGGTACTCCTCTGAGACAAAACTTCCAGAGGAACGATCAGGCAGCAACTTTTGCTGTTCACCAATATTCGCTGTTCTGCAGCCTCCACTGCTGATACCCAGGCAAACAGGGTCTGGAGTGGACCTCTGGAAAACTCCAACAGACCTGCAGCTGAGTGTCCTGATTGTTAGAAGAAAAACTAACAAACAGAAAAGACACCCACACCAAAACCCCATCTGTACATCACCATCATAAAAGACCAAAGGTAGATAAAACCACAAAGATGGGGAAAAAACAGCAGAAAAACTGGAAACTCGAAAAAGCAGAGTGCCTCTCCTCCTCCAAAGGAACACAGCTCCTCACCAGCAACGGAACAAAGCTGGACAGAGAATGACTTTGACGAGTTGAGAGAAGAAGGCTTCAGATGATCAAACTTCTCCGAGCTAAAGGAGGAAGTTCAAACCAATGGCAAAGAAGTTAAAAACCTTGAAAAGATTAGATGAATGACTAACTAGAATAACCAATGCAGAGAAGTCCTTAAAGGACCTGATGGACCTGAAAACCATGGCATTAGAACTACGTGATGAATGCACAAGCCTCAGTAGCCGATTCGATCAACTGGAAGAAAGGGTATCAGTGATGGAAGATCAAATGAATGAAACGAAGCGAGAAGAGAAGTTTAGAGAAAAAAGAATAAAAAGAAATGAACAAAGCCTCCAAGAAATGTGGGACTATGTGAAAAGACCAAATCTACGTATGATTGGTGTACCTGAAAGTGACGGGGAGAATGGAATCAAGTTGGAAAACACTCTGCAGGATATTATCCAGGAGAACTTCCCCAATCTAGCAAGGCAGGCCAACATTCAAATTCAGGAAATACAGAGAACACCATAAAGATACTCCTCGAGAAGAGCAACTCCAAGACAAATAATAGTCAGATACACCAAAGTGGAAATGAAGGAAAAAATGTTAAGGGCAGCCAGAGAGAAAGGTCAGGTTACCCATAAAGGGAAGTCCATCAGACTAACAGCTGATCTCTCAGCAGAAACTCTACAAGCCAGAAGGGAGTGGGAGCCGATATTCAACATTCTTAAAGAAAAGAATTTTCAACCCAGAATTTCATATCCAGCCAAACTAAGCTTCATAAGTGAAGGAGAAATAGAATACTTTACAGACAAGCAAATGCTGAGAGATTTTGTCAGCACCAGGCCCGCCCAAAAAAAGCTCCTGAAGGAAGCACTAAACATGGAAAGGAACAACCAGTACCAGCCACTGCAAAAACATGCCAAATTGTAAAGACCATCGAGGCTAGGAAGAAACTGCATCAACTAAAGAGCAAAATAGCCAGCTAACATCATAATGACAGGATCAAATTCACACATAGTGATATTAACTTTAAATGTAAATGGGCTAAATGCTCCAATTAAAAGACACAGACTGGCAAATTGGATAAAGAGTCAAGACCCATCAGTGTGCTGTATTCAGGAAACCCATCTCACATGCAGAGACACACATAGGCTCATAATAAAGGTATGGAGGAAGATCTACCAAGCAAATGGAAAACAAAAAAAGGCAGGGGTTGCAATCCTAGTCTCTGATAAAACAGACTTTAACAAAGATCAAAAGAGACAAAGCAAGTCCTGAGTGACCTACAAAGACACTTAGACTCCCACACAATAATAATGGGAGACTTTAACACCCCACTGTCAACATTAGACAGATCAACAAGACAGAAAGTTAACAAGGATACCCAGGAGTTGAACTCAGCTCTGCACCGAGTGGACCTAATAGACACCTACAGAACTCTCCACCCCAAATCAACAGAATATACATTTGTTTCAGCACCACACCACACCTATTCCAAAATTGACCACATAGTTGGAAGTAAAGCACCCCTCAGCAAATGTAAAAGAACAGAAATTATAACAAACTGTCTCTCAGACCGCAGTGCAATCAAACTAGAACTCAGGATTAAGAAACTCACTCAAAACCGCTCAACTACATGGAAACTGAACACCCTGCTCCTGAATGACTACTGGGTACACAATGAAATGAAGCTGGAAATAAAGATGTTCTTTGAAATCAACGAGAACAAAGACACACATACCAGAATCTCTGGGACACATTCAAAGCGGTGTGTAGAGGGAAATTTATAGCACTAAATGCCCACAAGAGAAAGCAGGAAAGATTTAAAATTGACACCCTAACATCACAATTAAAAGAACTAGAAAAGCAAGAGCAAACACATTCAAAAGCTAGCAGAAGGCAAGAAATAACTAAGATCAGACCAGAATTGAAGGAAATAGAGACACAAAAAAACCTTCAAAAAATCAACGAATCCAGGAGCTGGTATTTTGAAAAGATCAACAAAATTGATAGACTGCTAGCAAGACTAATAAAGAAGAAAAGAGAGCAGAATCAAATAGACGCAATAAAAAATGATCAAGGGGACATCACCACTGATCCCACAGAAATACAAACTACCATGAGAGAATACTATAAACACATCTACGCAAATAAACTAGAAAATCTAGAAGAAATGGATATATTCCTCGACACATACACCCTCCCAAGACTAAACCAGGAAGAAGTTGAATCTCTGAATAGACCAATAACAGGCTCTGAAATTGAGGCAATAATTAGTAGCTTACCAACCAAAAAAAGTCCAGGACCAGATGGATTCACAGCCAAATTCTACCAGAGACACAAGGAGGAGCTGGTACCATTCCTTCTGAAACTATTCCAATCAATAGAAAAAGAGGGAATCCTCCCTAACTCATTTCATGAGGCCAGCATCATCCTGATACCAAAGCCTGGCAGAGACACACACAAAAAAGAGAATTTTAGACCAATATCCCTGATGAACATCAATGCAAAAATCCTCAAAAAAATACTGGCAAACTGAATCCAGCAGCACATCAAAAAGCTTATCCACTATGATCAAGTGGGCTTCATCCCTGGGATGCAAGGCTGGTTCAACATACGAAAATCAATAAATGTAATCCAGCATATAAACAGAACCAATGACAAAAACCACATGATTACCTCAATAAATGCAGAAAAGGCCTTTGACAAAATTCAACAACCTTCATGCTACAAACTCTCAATAAGGTATTGATGGGACAAATCTCAAAATAATAAGAGCTATCTATGACAAACCCACAGCCAATATCATACCAAATGGGCAAAAACTGGAAGCATTCCCTTTGAAAACTGGCACAAGACAGGGATGCCCTCTCTCACCACTCCTATTCAACATAGTGTTGGGAGTTCTGGCCAAGGCAATCAAGCAGGAGAAGGAAATAAAGAGTATTCAATTAGGAAAAGAGGAAGTCAAATTGTCCCTGTTTGCAGATGACATTATCATATATCTAGAAAACCCCATTGTCTCAGCCCAAAATATGTTTAAGCTGACAGGCAACTTCAGCAAAGTCTCAGGATACAAAACCCATGTGCAAAAATCACAAGCATTCTTATACAACAATAACAGACAAACAGAGAGCCAAATCATGAGTGAACTCCCATTCACAATTTCTTCAAAGAGAATAAAATACATAGGAATCCAACTTACAAGGGATGTGAAGGACCTCTTCAAGTAGAACTACAAACCACTGCTCAACGAAATAAAAGAGGATACAAACAAATGGAGGAATATTCCATGCTCATGGGTAGGAAGAATCAATATCATGAAAATGGCCATACTGCCCAAGGTAATTTATAGATTCAATGCCATCCCCATGAAGCTACCAATGACTTTCTTCACAGAATTGGAAAAAACTACTTTAAAGTTCATATGGAACCAAAAAAAGAGCTCGCCAAGTCAATCCTAAGCCAAAAGAACAAAGCTGGAGGCATCACGCTACCTGACTTCAACTATACTACAAGGCTACAATAACCAAAACAGCATGGTACTGGTACCAAAACAGAGACATAGACCAATGGAACAGAACAGAGCCCTCAGAAATAATACCACACATCTACAACTACCTGATCTTTGACAAACCTGAGAAAAACAAGCAATGGGGAAAGGATTCCCTATTTAATAAATGGTGCTGGGAAAACTGGCTAGCCATATGTAGTAAACTGAAACTGGATCCCTTCCTTACACCTTATTCCAAAATTTATTCAAGATAGATTAAAGACTTAAATGTTAGACCTAAAACCATAAAAACCCTAGAAGAAAACCTAGGCTTTACCATTCAGGACATAGGCATGGGCAAGGACTTCATGTTTAAAACACCAAAAGCAATGGCAACAAAAGCCAAAATTGACAAATCGGGTCTAATTAAACTAAAGAGCTTCTGCACAGCAAAAGAAACTACCATCAGAGTGAACAGGCAACCTACAGAATGGGAGAAAATTTTTGCAATCTACTCATCTGACAAAGGGCTAATATCCAGAATCTACAATGAACTCAAACAAATTTACAAGAAAAAAACAAACAACCCCATCAATAAGTGGGCAAAGGATATGAACAGACACTTCTCAAAAGAAGACATTTATGCAACCAACAGACACATGAAAAAATGCTCATCATCATTGGTCATCAGAGAAATGCAAATCAAAACCAAAATGAGATACCATCTCATGCCAATTAGAATGGCGATCATTAAAAAGTCAGGAAACCACAGGTGCTGGAGAGGATGTGGAGAAATAGGAACACTTTTACACTGTTGGTGGGACTATAAACTAGTTCAACCATTGTGGAAGTCAGTGTGGCGATTCCTCAGGGATCCAGAACTAGAAATATCATTTGACTCAGCCATCCCATTACTGAGTATATACCCAAAGAATTATAAATCATGCTGCTATAAAGACACATGCACACGTATGTTTATTGTGGCACTATTCACAATAGCAAACACTTGGAACCAACCCAAATGTCCAACAATGATAGACTGGATTAAGAAAATGTGGCACATATACACCATGGAGTACTATGCAGCCATAAAAAATGATGTGTTCATGTCCTTTGTAGGGACATGGATGAAGTTGGAAACCATCATTCTCAGCAAACTACCGCAAGGACAAAAAACCAAACACCGCATGTTCTCACTCATAGGTGGGAATTGAACAATGAGAACGCATGGACACAGAAAGGGGAACATCATACACCAGAGCCTGTTGTGGGGTGCAGGTAGGGGTGAGGGATAGCATTTGGAGATATACCTAATGTTAAACAATGAGTTAATGGGTGCAGCACACCAATATGGCACATGTATACATACGTAACAAACCTTCACGCTGTGCACATGTACCCTAAAACTTAAAGTATAATAAAAAAAAAAGCGTAACCCATAAAAGAACAAAATCACAAATCAAAAGCTTCTAACCTTCAAACAACATCGCTAGAAAAATTAAAAGGCTTGGGCAGGTGCAGTGGCTCATACCTGTAATCCCAGCTCTTTGGGAGGCTGAGACAATCTAACTACTTGAGGCCATGAGTTTGACACCAGCCTGGGCAACATGGCAAAACCTCATCTCTATTAAAAATACAAAAATTAGCTCATCTGGTGGCACACACCTGTAATCCCAGCTACTCAGGAGGCTGAGGCATGAGAATCACTTGAACCTGGGAGGTGGAGGTTGCAGTGAGCCAAGATTGTGCCACTGCACTCCAGCCTGGGTGACAGAGTGAGACCATATCAAAAAGAAAAAAAGAAAAGAAAGAAAGAAAAGATAAATGAAAAGGAAAACCGCAAGTAGGAGTAAATATTTACAATACATATGTCTAAAATTGTAACTAGCATATATAAAGAATTCTTATAATTCAATAATAAGACATTTTTCATGGACAAAATATTTGAAGAGACATTTCACAAAAATAAGATATAGAAATGGTCAGTAAGCACAGGAAAGAATGCTCAACATCATTAGCCATTAAAAACTTGTAAAATAAAACCACAATGAGATACCACTGCATGCCCATTTGAATGGCTGACATTTAAAAGCCTAACAACAAAGAATTTTGGCAAGTAAGTAAAGAAGTTGAAGCTTAAACATTGCTGGTGGAAATGTAAAATAGAATCATCAAGTTGGAGAACAATTTGGCAGTTTTTTATAAAGTTAAATATGTACTTACTCCATGACTCAGTAATTTTTTCTACATGTTGACACAATAGGAATGAAAACATGTGTCCACATAGAGACAGGTAAGTGTAAATGGCCCTCTCAGCTTTCTTCCTGAATGTCAAAAAACTGCAAATAACCCAATTGTCCAAGAAATAATGCATCCATATAATGAAACACTGCTCAGCAATAAGAGGAACAAATTTCTAATACTAACAGCAATATGGCTGAATCTTTAAAACAGTATGTTGAATCAAGTCAGAAACAAAAGAGTTAATACTGTATGATTCTATTTATATGATACTCTAGAAATACAAATCTAATTTATACTGACAAAAAAAGTGGTTGCCAGAATTGCTGGGGAATTGCCAAAAAAGAACACAAGGGAACTTACTGGGGTAAAAAAAATGTTATTGATTGTGAAGGTGATAATACAGGTGCATAAATTTGTCAAAACTCTCAAAAATGTATACCAAAAAAACGGTAAACTTTGTTACGTTATATTTTAATTGTATTGCATTGTATTATATTATGTCATGTAATATTATATTGTATCATACTGCATTATACTTCATCAAAGTTAATTCATTTGGGCATGAATAAGATTTTATCCCTAGGAATCTGTTGCTACTAGACTTACCATCCTTTAGGTGGGCTTATTATGATGGAAGAAACATTGGAATTGACTGGGACTTGGGAAATCTGGAACCTGATCTGGAGTCTGTCAATGTCAAAACATGTGGTCTGGGGCAAATATGTCTCCATGGCCTCAAATGCAAAATAAGAAGCTTAAACAAGATTGTCTCTAAGTTCTAATATACTAATCATATATCACTTATCTGGTCTGGTAAGCACAACTCTGCTGGGCTGATAAGGCCCTGCACTATCAGACTATTCTTACACAGCCAATCTGCCATCTTCACTATCTCCTCCACTGCAAAAAAAAAAAAAAAAAAAGCCAACCTTCCCAGGGTCTAGGAACATTCCAATACCCCTTGTCAAAGCTGTGCCTGTGTTCATATTTTTCTTCTTGCCTGGGCTGACCTCCACTCCCTGTTGCCCACCCAGATTCCAAGTCCTCTGTGCTTGGAAGCACATCCTCATCACTCTCAGTACTTTCTTAACATAAAACCCCCAAATGAAATTATATTCTTATTCTTCGCTTAAATACAGAATTTTTAAATCACCAAATTAGATCTATTTTTAATGTTTAAAAATTGTTTCTTAGGAGTATTTCAAGACTCAGCTCATTGCCTAGCATCTTCATGAAATCATCTCACAACAACCCTGCTTCTCACTTCTCTTTCTTTCATAAAGCCTATACCCAAGCTGGAGGCAGCTTGCACCAGCTCACCAGAGAAGATTGCTAACATTCTTTCTCAGCTCCATATTCTGTAGTATCATCTGGGTAGATTAAGATCTACTGTAGAGAAATAGTGTTAACTGAGAAATGGACAATCAGTATCAGGACTATTTTTTTTCCTGGAGAGCTGATTGTTAAACATCTACCAACACACCACTGCCTTCATCCTTGTACCATATGCTGTGGCCCAGTCCATGTTATCTTGCATTGTTGTCTGTTTTCTCCCATGTGTCAGTCTTATTTCCCAAATTAGATTGTAAACAGTTTGAAAGAATGTGCCAGGGCTGTTAAATCTTCTCAGTCCTTCACACAATTCACTCAGAGAATCCTTCAATATGTACTAGGTGACTGAAGAGTATGAAGAATCTAGAATTATTATTGCATTATAATTGGAGCTTAATTTGCCAAGGAGACAGCATTAGCTACCCATGAAAATAGTGGGACTCAAACAATAAGGGATGCTTTTGTGTAGCATCCTGGCGTAAATCTCAGTGTTTTTCTCCTAATCCTTCTTCACATTTTCCCACATGGAATCAGATGATAATGACAAACTAGAGCAATCATGGGAAAAGACAAAAAATGTTGCATGGGAAAGAGAAGGGTCAGCTTTGACTTAGTGGCCAGTGATGTTAGAGCTTAGGAGGGATGAGTTTCTGAGTTGTCAATAGGTGTCAGGTCTTTATTAGTTGACCTTGCCACCTCCTTATCTCTGCTAGTTGGTGAATGTGTCCACCATCCACGTTGAGAGTTTAGAGTAAGGAATAGTGTTAACAAAGTATCCCTATGCACCAACATTACCACCATTCCTGGATCCTTTCTTTTTCTTATTATTGTGTAAATTTAAAGTTCATTAATTCTTGAATCAATCCCCAGCTCTACCACCTAACTATGAAGACTTGAGCAACTTGTTAGCCTCACCAACCCTCATTCTCATCTGTAAATAGGGTAACAAAAGTACTAACCTCAGAGTAATATTGTGAGGATTAAATTATGTAATTCATTCAAAGCCCTTAGCACAAGGTAGATGTTCAACAGTTGGTATTTCTTAAAATTATCCTTGATATTGCTCTGTAATAGGAAGAAGGTATTCAAGAATTTTTTAAAAATCAACAAAAACAAAGAGAACAAAACAGTATGAGACAATAAAAGATGAGAGCACGAGAAAGAGAGAGAGAGATTGATGTGTAGATGATCCTCTTGGGAAAATAAGAGCACTGCAATAGACTGATAAAATAGCACAGCAAATGTTTTAGTCATGAAGATTATATGCCAAATAAAAAAGAAAAGAGGGACTAGAAAATTCTAAAGATGTGATAAGATAAAAGAAGCTGTTATAGAATTTACTGGTACCTATAAAAAGGTGTGTGTCTTTTATTTAAATCTGAATGAACCTATGAGAGAAAAGAATTTAAAATATTCAATTTATTTCCTGAAAATTGATGTTTCATGTAAATAACTACTAAAGAAAACAAACAAATAAACAAAACCCTATGGCTTCTTCCCCAGACACCTTGAAACACAAGCAAATTATAAGATGCCAGGCATGGATAAAGTGACCTCTTTAAACATCTGTGATTATAATAGCTATTTGAAGAATCCAAAGGAATAAAAATCCTTGTTCATAAGATGAATGTGAGAAAGACTCTGTAAGGCTGTGCTTTTAGAACTTGAGTCCAGTTGGCATATATGTGATGTTTTCCACCCAGAATTCTAGATCCTAGCCTAGGATGGGTACAGGAACAAGTAGGACTGGAACCTGCTCGAGCTAAGAAGGACACGAAGGTATCCCCATCACCTCTCAAATCTGGTCTGACAGTGTCTATAAAAAATAAACAAACAATAAAGCAAAAAACCTAGTTCCTCTTCAGAGATATAGACTCTTACAATTACTTACTTCTCCAAATAGATTGTAGCTTAGAGAAAGAATGGCATGTGACATTTCATGGATCTCCCAGGCTCTGAAAGCTATGTCTATAGGAGGAGAAAAAGAAGTTCCTATAAGCTCAGAGATCAGGAGGAAAATCTCAGAGGAAAAGCCATGTTGTCTACACCTCCTCTCCTGGGTCTCTTTTTCTCAATACTTTCTGAGTATCTCAAGGGAAGCAATAGAATTAGACTCCAGACAGATACCAAGGAGACTTATTAAAAATGGGAATTTTTAATTTTCCCAGTAGTTGATGCTTTGAGATTTCTGGAGCAACTCTCTTAGATGGTTTATCTTCCCCTATTTTTGACTACATCGAGGGAGATTTTATATATATATAGTGCAAGAATTTTTGTCTTTAAAAAATGATGGACTCCTGCTCGACAGAGCATTGGAAGTTCTGGCCAGGGCGGATCAGGCAAAAGCAAGAAATAAAGGTATTCAAACAGGAAAAGAGGAAGTCAAACTGCCTCTGTTTGCAGATGACATGATCCTATATCTAGAAAACCCTTTATCTCAGCCCAAAAGCTACTTAAGCTGATAAGCAACTTCAACAAAGTCTCAGGATACAAAATCAATGTGCAAAAATCACAAGCATTCCTATACACCAAAAATAGACAAGCATAAAGCCAAATAATGAATGAACTCCCGTTCACAATTACTAGAAAGAGAATAAAATACCTAGGAATACAGCTAACAAGGGAAGTGAAGGACCTCTTCAAGGAGTACTACAAACCACTGTTCAATGAAATCAGAGAGGACACAAACAGATGGAAAAACATTCCGTGCTCCTGAATAGGAAGAATAAATATCGTAAAAATGGCCATACTGCCTAAAGTAATTTATAGATTCAATACTATCCCCATTAAACTACCACTGATGTTCTTCACAGAACTAGAAAAAACTACTTTAAAATTCATATGGAGGCTGGGAGCAGTGGCTCACACCTGTAATCCCAGCACTTTGGGAGGCCAAGGCGGGTGCATCACGAGGTCAGGAGATCGAGACTATCCTAGCTAACATGGTGAAACCCTGTCTCTACTAAAAATACAAAAAAAAAAAAAAAAATTAGCCAGGCATGGTGGTGGGCACCTGTAGTCTCAGCTACTTGGGAGGCTGAGGCAGAAGAATGGCATGAACCTGGGAGGCAGAGCTTGCAGTGAACTGAGATCACACCACTTCACTCCAACCTGGGAAACAGAGTGAGACTCCGTCTCAAACAAACAAACAAAAATTCATATGGAACCAAAAAAAGAGCTTGTATAGCCAAGACAATCCTAAGCAAAAGAACAAAGCTGGAGGCATCACACTACCTGGCTTCAAACTATACTGCAAGGCTACAGTAACAAAAACAGCATAGTACTGGTACAAAAACAGACACATAGACCAATGGAACACAATAGAGATTTCATAAATAAGACTGAACATCTACAACCATCTGATCTTTGACAAACCTGACAAAAACCAGCAATGGGGAAAGGGTTCCCTATTTAATAAATGATGCTGGGAAAACTGGCTAGCCATATGCAGAAAATTGAAACTAGACGTCTTCCTTACACCTTACACAAAAATTAACTCAAGGTGGATTAAAGACTTAAATGTAAAACCCAAAACTATAAAAACCCTAGAAGAAAAGTTAGGTGATACCATTCAAGACATAGGCACAGGCAAAGATTTTATGACAAAAACGCCAAAAGCAATTGCAACAAAAGCAAAAATTGACAAATGGGACTAATTAAAGAGCTTCTGCACAGCAAAAGAAACTGTCATCAGAGTGAACAGACAACCTACAGAATGGGAGAGAAATTTTGAAATCTATCCATATGACCAAGGTCTAATATCCAGAATCTACAGGGAACTTAAACAAATTTACAAGAAAAAAAAAGAAAAACAAACAACCCCGTTAAAAAGGGGACAAAGGATATGAACAGACAGTTCTCAAAAGAAGACATTTATGCAGCCAGCAAACATACGAAAAAAAGCTCAACATCACTGATCACTAGAGAAATGAAAATCAAAACCACAATGACCTACCATCTCATGCCAGTCAGAATGGTGATTATTAAAAAGTCAAGAAACAACAGAAGCTGGTGAGGTTGTGGAGAATTAGAAACACTTTTACACTGATGGTGGGAATGTGAATTAGTTCAACCATTATGGAAAACAGTGTGGTGATTCCTCAAAGACCTAGAACCAGAAATACCATTTGACCCAGCAATCCCATTACTGGGTATATACACAAAGGAATATACTTCATACTGAAGGAATATAAGTCAAATGAAAGAGATGTTCATTGCAGGTATGTTCATTGCAGCACTATTCGCAATAGTAAAGATATGAAATCAGCCCAAATGCCCATTAATGATAGACTGGATAAAGAAAATGTGGTACATACACACCATGGAATACTAGGCAGCTATAAAAAGGAATAAGATCATGTCATTTGCAGGGACATGGATGGAGCTGGAAGCCATTATGTTCAGCAAAGTAACACAGGAACAGAAAACCAAACACTCCATGTTCTCACTTATAAGTGGGAGCTGAACCATGGGAACACATGCACACAGGGAGGGGAACATCACACACTAGGGCCTGTTGGGGGATGGGGGTAGGAAGAGCATCAGGATAAATAGCTAATGCATGTGGGTTTAATACCTAGGTGATGGGTTGATAGGTGCTGCAAACCACCATGGCACACATTTACCTATATAACAAACCTGGACATCCTGCACATGTATCCTGGAAATTAAAATTTAATTAAATTAAATTTTTTAAAAGACTGTGGATTAGCCTCTGTAGTGTTTCCAAGGCAGAGGGCACTATGTGAGTAGGTAACGTTTGGTATTTTCCAAAGACATCAATTTGTTAACTAATTCCATTTCAGCAGTATAGATTTTCTGAGAAAATCGTAGCCTGAGTATTGGCAGTTAGACTCTTTCTGGGAGACTTTTCATTGGGCATGTCAAGCTCCTGGCATCCAGGGTTTCCTATATTTGCACAATGCCAACTCCTCTTGCCTGATGCAAATTCCTGTCTCCTGCATGTCACTCAAAGTTCTTCTGAGACAGTTGCAAGTGATGTTTTGATTTTTTCATTTGACTTCTGTTTATTTTTCTCTTTACTACATGGAAGTTATGGAATGGTGTGAAGACTTGTAATTGCTTTTTATTCCATAAGACCATTCCATCAGCTTGGAATTGTGCATTTTTGATTTAGTGCAAGTACACACCGGGGTCGTAATCAAGTAGTCATATCAACTGTGGCACCTGCTTCCATCCAGTACAGTTAAATGTCCTTAAACCTCCACAGCATTTCAATAAAAATCAGAATAATGAATTCTTGAGTTGTCCCCAAATCCTGTTCTACTTCATGTTTTCAATCCCATAACCCCTTAACTCAGTCGTTCCTCAAGTTTATAGTGACCTTGATATCTTGCATAACCCTTAGGACCTTAGAAGTTATCTGAAGCATATTCATAAATCCCTTAATCTTCAGTTATCTCCATGATCTCTGCCTTTCACCTGTCCTATGTTTGTTTCAGCTCTTCTGACAGAAGCAATGTCATCACTAATTCTTCCTCCCCCAACATTGTTTTTACTTGTGTATTTTTTTAATTTCAAACTTATGAAAAAGTTGCAAGTATAATACAAGTAACTCCTACATACCCTGTTCCTAGATACACCAATTGTTTACTTTTTGCCTCATTTGCTTCATCATTTCTATCTCTAAATTATATGAGAGTAAATTGGAGTCATCATGCCCCTTTACTCTTAAATACGTTAGTCAGTGTTTCCTAGGAAAAAGGAAATTCTCTTATATAAGGTGATCAAATTACAAAGACACTAAATCAAGAACCACTGTCATTCCTAAACACTTAGTGTCATAAAACATAAATTAAGACATAAAGTTCAGTTGTCCACATCACAATTCCAATACATCCCCTTCTGATTTCTGCGTACCCTTTATTGCTTTCCCCCAAGGCCTTGAGGGAAACAATGACTTATTCCAGAAAACAAAGAGTAGAACCGTTAGAGCCCCGTCACCTCACCTTTTCTTACCTCTTATTACCTCTCCTTCTCCCACCTGATCAAGAACATTGTTTCTGAGAAGGGTAGTCTCCTCAGAGTGACTGATCACCCAACAGGAGTGTTCATTTAGAAACTGTGAAAACGCTCATCCTCATTTTTTTCCATGACCTAAATAGTTTCTCTTACTTTCTCCTTGACCATGGCTCATGTATCTTCCCAGGCAAGATCGAGTGCTATTTTTTCTCTTCAAATTTTCCTTTTTTATTTTTCTTAAACTTAAAGACAACTTGAAAGTACAGTAACTCCATTTTTAAACATTAGAGAGTAAGTCGCTGACACAAAGGTCATCACTCTCAAATATTTTAGTATTTCCAACAAACAAGGACATTCTCCTTTGTAACCACAAAGCAATCATCCAATCAGAAAATTAACATTTATTAATTATTACTATGTAATCCTCAGATTCCCAGTCAATGTTTTTCCAGGTGTGTCAAACACTTTCTTTATAACAAAAATGTCAAGCTCAAAAATCAAAGTTTTCACTTATTGTTATTAACTTCCTTAAAACTGGAAAAGTTCCTCAGTGTTTCTCTACCTTCCATTACCTGGACACTTCCAAAGATTATAGGCTGGTTATTGTGTTGAATGTTCCTAAATTTTTATTGTTCAGATATTTTCTTATGACTAAATTTATGTTATGAGTTGTTGGCATGACAGAAGGAATGCTGTGTTTTTTTCATTGCATGCTATCAAGAGGCATGTGATTCTGAATTATCCTATTTCTAATGATGTTTGCTTAATAACTTGATTAAGGTTATATGAATCAAGATTCTCTCTTCTGAAGTCACTCTTTTTCTCTTTTAAATTAGTAAATATTTTTCAGGGAGGTAGTTTGAAACTAAATATCTTGTTCTTTAACTTTTAAACAATTTTTTATCTAAATCATTTTGGATTCATGGCTTACTATTTTATTTAATGATTTATAATTACATTAATTACTTATATTAGTGTTCAATTATTGCCAGTGTGGTCAGTGGGATCTCCTTTAAGCTAGCTTTGCTGTCCTTTCAACTGGTCTCCATTATCATTAATCATCAAGAAGGTGCAAATCAAAACCAAAATCAGCTGTCACCTCACATCTGTTAGAATGACTATTTAAATAAAAAAGATAACAGGTATTACCAAGGATGTGAGAAAGTTAAAACCCTTGTATGCTGTTGGTGGAAATGTAAAATGGTGAAGTTGTTCTGAAAAATATAGGTTTGTTAAATGAGATTTTCAGAAAATTAAAATGGAACTACCACATGATCCAGCAATCCCACTTCTGGATATATATCCAAAGAATCTAGATCAGCATCTCGAAGAGATATCTGCACTCAATGTTCATTGCAGCATTATTCACAATAATCAAGACATGGAAACAATTTAAAACCTGTAGGACATTATGCTAAATAAAGTAAGGCTGTCATGATCTCACCTACATGAGGACTCTAAAATAGTTAAAGTCATAGAAACAGAGGAAAATGGTGGTTGCCAGTGACTGGGGAGAGAGAGAAATGGAGAGATGCTCTTTCACAGGTACGTAGTTCCAGTTATACGATATGAGCAAATTCTAGAGATCTGCTGTATATCCTTGTGCCTATAGTTAACAATACCATACTGTGCACTTAAAAATTTGTCAGAATAGTAGATATTATGTTAAGTGTTCTCATCAAAATTATAAAAAAAATCTTTAATCCATGGGAATGTGTGTTGTAAAGGTCTTGACTCAGAGGGAGTATTTTCCTTTCTTTTCCCTTAATTATCTTGTCACTTAAAAAAATCTATACAGATTTGTATTACTGCTTATTTAATTCAACAAAACATTTACTAAGTCCCTACTAAGTATAAAACAAAGGGATAGCTGGTGGATGGAATGAAGAGAAGGACAAACTACTTTAAGGATCTTCCCATCTCTAAGGGTGTTTAGATGGCACCCTGTTACATATATAAATACCTATAATATGAAGCAGAATATTGTAATTACCAGAGACATTTCATAATAACAACAATGATGTTGAAACACTTCCTATGCTTCAAAGCACTGCGCTAAGTACTTAGTGTGCATTAGTAGCCACTCAAACCCCATGAATGTGGGGGTATTCCTGTTTCACACATGAGGAACTATAGGTTCAAAACGTTTGAATGCTTCCCTAAGTGTCCACATTTATAAAATGAGAAAGCTAGAGTTGAAATCCAGGTTTGTCTAATTCCAAAACCTTTGCACTTCATCACTATGGTATTCAGAAGATGAAAACATCCTAATTTATTCGATCAGGAGAGACTTCATGGGGATGGCATATGAAATAGAATTTTAAGAAGCATTGGAGTTTCAAAAGCAGAGAGATATGCCTGAAAGCTACTTCAGTTATAAAGAAGAGAATGGATCAAAGTATTTAAAAGGAGAGACCCAGGGCATATAATAGGATTATAAGTAGATGAGTTTGACCACAGAACAGGACTTATGGAGGAAGCAAGGTCAGACCAATAGATTGGGAAAGAATTGTGAATCACTTCAGATCCCAGGATAATGATTCTGCATTTCATTCAAGACACAAGTGGTAGCTTAAGCAAACTCCAACTGTAAACCTTATTCAGACTTTCAGGGAAATGACAAAATGGGGAACTGCTTTGAGAAAGTGACAAGGTGTGACCCACTCTGAAGATTAGAACAGGAGAAAAAAAGGTTATGGATGGGCGTTACTAAATCAGGAAAATCCATCCAAGAATGTTGGGAGGAAAGATGAAGCAGAGTGGATCAAGTGCTGGCAAAAAAAAAAAAAAAAAAAGGAAAGGAAAAAGAGGAGTGTTCAGGAGTAGAGTAATCACAATAAGGTGTAGAGCTGATTAATATAATTTAAAATGTAGAATAAATGGAATAATAAATATCTGGGGTTAAGAAATTTCAGTTTGATGTTTGGGGAAAAAAAGCAAGGTTGAGTTATTATGACTCCATTCATGACCATTTAACCGCAAGAGACATGGGGGTCACTGTTAAAGCCCAGCAAGAAAGTCAAGAAAATAAAATCTACATAATGCATGGCACACAGTAGACATTCACAGAAAGTGTGTTTAATGAATGCATGCATGCATGTGTGCATGTTAAGAGAGTATCAAGGATTATAAATCATTCTACTACAAAGACACATACACACGTTATGTTTATTACAGCACAATTCACAATAGCAAAGACTTGGAACCAACCCAAATGCCCATCAATTATAGACTGGATAAAGAAAGTGTAGGCCGGGCGCGGTGGCTCACGCCTGTAATCCCAGCACTTTGGGAGGCCGAGGCGGGCGGATCACGAGGTCAGGAGATCGAGACCATCCCGGCTAAAACGGTGAAACCCCGTCTCTACTAAAAATACAAAAAAAATTAGCCGGGCGTAGTGGCGGGCGCCTGTAGTCCCAGCTACTTGGGAGGCTGAGGCAGGAGAATGGCGTGAACCCGGGAGGCGGAGCTTGCAGTGAGCCGAGATCCCGCCACTGCACTCCAGCCTGGGCGACAGAGCGAGACTCTGTCTCAAAAAAAAAAAAAAAAAAAAAAAAAAAAAAAAAGTGTAGCACATATAAGCCATGGAATGCTATGCTGCCATAGAAAAGGATGAGTTCATGTCCTTTGCAGGGACATGGATGAAGCTGGAAACCATCATTATTAGCAAACTAACACAAGAACAGAAAATCAAACACCACATGTTCTCACTCATAAATGGGAGTTGAACAATGAGAACACATGGACACAGGGAGGGGAACATCACACGCTGGGGCTTGTCAGGGGATGGGGGGCTGGGGGAGGGACAGCATTAGGAGACATACCTAATGTAGATGACGGGTTGATGGGTGCAGCAAACCACCATGATACATATATAACTATGTAACAAAACTGCACGTTCTGCATATGTACCCCAGAACTTAAAGTATAATAAAAATAAATAAATAAATAGATAAGAAGATATAGAGGACAGGTTTTCATATTACCTAATGCAATGAAGCTAGAAGTAATAATAAGTATGGTGGGTGGCAAAAATCAATCTCAAAAAAAATCTTAAGCACCGGGAGCAATATATTGAATTTAATAAAATGTTATTTCACTGAAAAAAAAGAGAGAGTATCACCATATATGGTTTTTAAACTTCCCCTTAAATGGCTGGGGTCAGAAGATAACAAAACTGTCAGTCAACCGCTGACCTCTCAGAGAACGGTTACTAAGTATCTGGGAAGGCAAGTCATAATATGAAAAGGGAAAGGGAGATAGGCAGGTGAGAGATGGTCAGAACAATTCCTCAGAAACTAGAAAGGATATCCTCCAATTTTTTGAATCTCCTTAACAAAATGCTGGCATATTATACTAAATTAATGGGGGCAGGGGATAGATTTTCAGTGTTTATATCAGAAAGCAGAAACCCAGAATGTTCTACAAACAGACGACTACTTCGCAGAACAAAAAAGAAAGAAGAGGACTTGTTTCCACAGCCCGTTAGAGGCCCAAGCTCAGGGAGACCCTCCACGTGGCTCAGGAGCTCATGGAAGAACACAGGGTCCTCAGACAGAGTGGAGAGTAGCATGATGCCCTCTTGACATGGCCAGCCCAGCCCCTCATCTCATCCATAACACTGAAGCTCTGTAACCACTGTCTTTCCAGCAGCAAAATCTGGGTCACAGGACTCGGAGCTCTAGCAGTCACTTGTGTCTAATAAATAACTCCCATTGATTTTCCAGCCCAGGGTCTCACCCTTCCTTCCCCAGCAGCAGCTCTGATTGCTGACACCCAGGGCGCAGGGCTGGAAAATTACTCACACATTATTGGTGCTCTTCCTCCCCCATCCTCACCCAAGGTGCATATAAACCCTGAATAGCCTGCAGCCTAAGAATGTGAATCTCTACATAATAACTAAGTTAGAAGCTGGGTGGGCACAACCATTGTGCTATCTGATACCCTCATCCCGGTCACTGCTGCTGCTGTAAGAGCCCAAGCTAAGAACATGGACAAGCTACTGTTTGGGTTTCTGTCCTCACTAGCCTCGTGGAAGCCATTGCTCAGACAAGTAGGGAGGTCAAAGGTATATGACTATGTGGAGTAGGGTAGGTGGGGGTGTCAGGGATAGATGGTAGGAAGAAAAGACAAGAGGTTACCGAATATAAAATTGAATTTGTGATTTTTTTCCTGTTCACATTTCAGGTGAAGATTATATCTTTTTTTTTTCTCTCACAGACATGATTGGGAAGGTGTTTATTTTTCCTAAAGAATCTAATAGTGCTCACGTGAGCTTGATCACACAGCTGGAGAAATCTACAGAACTTCACTGCGTGTCTTCATGCTTATACCGACCTCTCCCATGGCTATCGCCTCTTCTCCTACAGCATCCAGACCAAGAGCAATGAGATGGTCATTTTTAAGTCTCAAATTGGGGAGTACAATCTTATCATTGGGGGTGACAAGGTTTTCTTCAAGGTCTGTGAGAATTTCCCCACCCTGGTGCACATCTATGCCAGCTGGGAGTCCTCCTCAGGCATTGCTGAGTTCTGGGTCAGTGAGAAGCCTTAGGTGAGGATGGGGCTAAGGCAGGGTTTCTCTGTGGGAGCTTACCCCAAGATTGCCCTGGGTAGCAGCAGGGTTCCTATGGAGGCAAGTTTGGTAAGAGCCAGTCCATTGTGGGAGAGATTGGAGATGTGTACATGTGGGACTCTGTGCTGTCCCCAGAAGAAATCTGGTTTGTGTATCAAGGTATCTACATCAAACCCAATATTCTGGACTGGCGGGCATTGAACTATACAATGCAAGGTTATGTGGTCACCCAGTCCCATAAATAGAGTTGAAGTTCTGCTTCAACAGGACAAAGTTACTGGGAAGGAAATCCCCAACATGAAAGACCAGCTCTGAAGACAATTCTACTTCATGCCTTATGTCTATTTCTCTGTTTTCTCTGAATTTCCTATCTATTGAACTGCTTAATTTACAATAAAAGTACAATGCCTTCTAGCATTTGTTCAGTATTTTTTCATGGCCAAAAACATCTCTCATTTGGAAGTCACGTTTTTAAGTGTTGCCATTATTCAAAAAATGGGGCACAACCAGGATACAATGAAAAAAAAACTTGGAATAAGAAGGAAAAAGTAAAAGGCTTAACACTTGATTAGTACTAGAAACTTTTAGACTTTTCATTTAATGAAGTTTATTCTTATTTTACTCACAACTGACAATTAATTAATCACAATTGTTTATGTGGAATTCAATTGAAGGATGCCAGATTGGATTTCCAGGTCACAGTTAATAGAAATAGAAAGTTAGGACAGTTCTGGGGTTGCTCTACCCATGAAGAGCTCTTGCTCCTTTCTTTATGGCACATCCGTAGACCCGTTCCAGTAAAACACATGCATGTAAACCAGGGCAGCAGGACTATCGGGACCATATGGGCCAAGGTGAATCTTCCTCATAGCCAGTAGCCCCAGAAGTGCTGTATATAATTAAAGATCCTACAATGTCCCACAGTCATCAAGAAAATATGTTCTGAACAGTACTCATGTCACCTTTGCTTAAAATCCCCTATAAAATTCCCAGACACTTGCATAATAGAGTTGTCATTTGAGCCTGCAAAGGTTTCCTAAATGCTAAGGAAGAGCTGCTACATGTATTTCTTACAAGTCCCATTAACTGGTAAGAGAATGGTAAGTAGACCAGGATAGGCAGGTGTTTTGTTGATATGAGAAATGTTTTACTTTCCTCTGCCATCTCCTGACTTACACATATTTTCTGTTTATAATACATGTATTAATCTGTTTTCACACTGCTATAAAGATACTACCTGAGACTGGATAATTTATGAAGAAAAGAGGTTTAATTGGTTCACAGCTCCACATGGCTAGGGAGGCCTCAGGAAACTTACAGTCATGGCAGAAGGTGAAGGGGAAGCAAGGCACGTCTTACATGGTGGTGAGAAAGAGTAAGCAAGCAAAGGGGAAGAGCTACACTGTAAAACCATCAGCTCTCATAAGAACTCACTCACTGTCACAAAACAGCATGGGGGAAATGGCCCTCCTGATCCAATCACTTCCCACCAGGACCCTCCCTCGATATGTGGGAATTACAATTTGAGATGAGATTTGGGTGGGGATACAGAGCCAAATCATATCAATACATTTTTTCATAATTTTGTATTTTTCATACTGGAAAGAACAAACAAAATCCTACCTTTTCTATTTGATGAATATAATGGCAATAATCTTTTGCCAGCATTAATTTAATGCATTTTAGTTTTTCCTTTAAAATATCTCTCCCATGTGGCCTTTCATCCCTAGGACTAAGATATGTGATATATTGTTCCCAGGTAGGCATAATTTAGTAAGACAAAAAAGTATTTAAGTGTGAGTGTGAGATATCCACATGTGAGGAAGTGTGGAAAAGTCCACATGTGGGAAAGTCCACAAAACCCATTCTGGTGCAGCTGCAAGCTGGTGGTGCCTCTGTCAGCCAGGATCCCTGAGTGATGGTATATAGCAGAGCATCTCACAGTGCACAGTGTACAGTGGATATGTACTACATTATATCAAGCTACTGAGAGTCCGGCTTCTATTTGCTGCTGAAACATAGCCCTGTCCAATCTAAGATACCTACTGAATGATAGATAAGGGAAAAAGAAGGAAATAAATCACAGGAAAATGTGTTCCTTCTGTCCCTTAAGGGTTGTGTGAAGGAAAAGGCAGACTGAAGAGAAAGGGAATCAATTAGATTTGTGTGTCCTCATCCCTCCTCTCTGGGCTGCCTATGCTAATCCAGGAATCATCCCATCAAAACGAATGTGGTGGTTCAACTCAGTTTGGGAGAGGGGCCTAGAAATCTAGCTTAACTTGTGGTCTCTGTTTCCAGATGGGGAATATGTTTCCTCAGACCCTGAGAGAAGTTCAGAAAGCAGGTGGTATGAAAGTCAATAGGGTTTATATGGGACCCACATGGGAGAAAGAACATTCCCTTCTCTATACCCAGTCACCATCTTTGGGAAGTGCAGGGAAGAGCATGGAAGTGGCAGACATTGATCAATTATTCCAGAAGACTACCATCTAAAGGGATGACTTAAATTATCAGTCCAGGCACCCCACCACCACCACATTGTCTACTGAGTAGTGTTTCATGAAGAAGACCAGAGAGTTACCATGTGAGTAAAATACTCAGCCCCACTACACAGATAGACCCATTGGGAACTTGTGGAAATGAGACCGCTCTTCTGTGAAACATGGAGAAGTTCTGAGGACTGTCTTATAGCACTTTGATATCACATAACCACTTTATTCCTTCATTCACTTGTCTAATAAGCTAATATTTATTTCGTGTCTACTATGTGCCAGGCCCTGTGCTAAGCACAGGAGATACAGGACAGAGCAAAACAGATGAAATCTCTGCCCAAGGAGTTTCGTCACTGGAACAAATTTCTCCAACTCCACAATTAACTAATGTTGTAAACTTTGGCTCCTGAATATTGACATTTCTCCAAACTCTAGTTAATGCTATACCTTTCCTCCCAATCTCTTCTTCAAGAGAAGAAATAAACCTTTTTCAGAAGTGTTAATTCCCATTGGTAATGTCTACAAGTTACAATAGTCAGTTAGTTGTGTTAATTGAATTGGAACTCTGGTAACCTTCCCTTGGTACCTTTTGTAACTGTCAGATACATTGGCAGTGATAGTAAAGGAGAAAAAAAAACCCAACTTGGGAAACACTTGTGCCATTCATAACCCAACAGGGAAAAAAAATTATCTGCACAGCACAGAGGCCCAGAAACATAACTGAAGAAAGAAACCAGAGTCAGAGATCATGATCATTTCTGACCCTTCCAGTTGTCATAGAGCCAATGAAGCCCTGGAGAACAATGGATATATTGGTGTCCTAGGATAAATGTCCAGTGGGCAGAGCAGTCATTAACATCAATGTCCCTTTTTTGATCCTCTACCATATTCATGGGTAAGTCTATTACCTATGGTGGGGATGAGGCAGGGAGTCTACAGTAAGGTCTTCCCGTGCAATTTACTAAGGAATTTTCCAGGAAAAAAGCACATGATATGGTTTGGCTAATACAGCACATGTGGTAATACTCTGCTCCATACCATTATACCCCACAATTTACTTAGGGCAGTTCAGTGTATATCCTTGAGATTACAGTAAATAATAGTCTACTTAAGACTACAATAAAATTTAGCTTCAGATTGAGTTGAGATGACAAAAAGTGAAAGATTTGACCTAGAAGTGTTCATTGCTAGTTCCTTTTGAAATGTGAGACTGAACTTTTCAGATGACCCAAAGAGATGTCCCAATGCTGACATGAAAAGAGGAACCAGACATGGATCACTTTGACCTGATATAGATAATAGCTCTTTGGGTTATAAATTAACTTCATTTGGGCTTCAGAGTTTTCCATTATCCTCCATGACTAAGCATCATCTTAAGTGGCACCACATAAATTTAATACTATTTTAGCAGTCAAAATGGTCAAATATCAGCAATTTCATTTATGTATTTCAACCTAATAGATACCCAGAGAAACAACCTCAGAGTTGGGATAGTATGGTGTTTACATCTGGAATAATACAACTGTAGGAGTCAGGGTTGACTGGAGTATTGCAGCTGATATATTGCATGAGGCCTGGTGGCTCCAAAGGGCCCACTCAGCTATGTCTCTAGGAGATAAATGACCTCCAATGGAAACAAAAATGTGCTGCAGTGATGTATTCCTTCAGTGCAACCTCTTGGGTACCATCTCCCCACCTCACAAGCATGGACAGACAGATGAAAGAGTTGTTAGAGAAAGAAAGGGAGAAGGAACAGAGGAAAGAGAAGAAAGAAAAGGAAGGAGTAGATAGATAGAGAAAAGATGTTGTAGCCATTTGGAATGCCTTCAACTGCCAATACTCCAACTCCTTCTGGACTAACAGTGGCTTAAACTAACAAAGATACATACTTTTTCTGTGTCTCATACCAAGAGGCTCAAAGCAAGTGGTCCAGAGTGGTGCATTTTTAATGTCTCCTTCCAGATCATGTTGATTCTAGCAATGTAGGTCACAAAATGGCTTCAGCAGTTCCAGATATCACATTCACGTTCAAGGTAAGAAGAAAGAGAAAGAGGCAAGAGCCAGAAATATCCATCCCGTTTTTTAGAAAAGCCAAAGTTTTCTGGAAGCCCTCTGCCCCATCCCACTCCATGCAGAAATCTGCTGTGTCTCATTGGCTGAAACTATGTTACATGCAAGATGCTGAATTACTGGGTATTTACTGCCAGCAAGGTTGTAGCAATGTTGTTTTTCTGAAGCAGCATTCCAGCATCTAGAGACTAGCTTCATGGGTTTCAAGAGGCAGTTGTGGTAGTAGTGGCAGGAAAACAAAACAAAACAAAACAAATCTGTGATCCAGTGTCTGGCCACTAGCTACCTTGCTGCAGACAGGCATTGGCCTCAGCATCAGTGGCTTTCTGAACCCTGGGTCACTATTGCAGTGGGGAGTTTGTGAATGCTGCAGGCCTGGGAGTGACCTCCTGATCCCTCACCTTCCTGACTTTTGCACAGACTGAAGCACCCCTGGTGGGCTAGCTCAATAATCTTGTTCTGAGAGTCATTCCTAAAGACACAGCTTACAGCCTGCTTCTACAGTCCTTTGTGACTTTGTAAACACTTAATTACATCGTTTCAATATCTTTCTGTTTAAAACAGTTTGCATGGTTTCTGCTTCCTGCAACAGGACTCTGATGCACCAGCCTACTTACTGTTTTGCCACAGGTAGTGAAGTGAAAAGCAGGCTCTGCAGGGCCTCAGCCTCTGCCCAGGCCTGTCAAGAAGAAACTAACAAGAACTAATTTCCTCAGCCTCCCAGAGTCTCCCTAAGAGAACACATATTTACCTTTCAGGCACAGCCTTAATCACAAAGACCTGAATCTTTGTAAATGTCCATGGTTCTGACATTATTTCTTTCTTGAACAAATGACACTTCATTTGCATCCTCAGATTTTGGTTTCCGGTTCTCTTTATTTTTCTTTTTTTTTCTATTGTATAAAATGACCTTAGGACTAACATACTGATACACGAATACATCACGGGATATTCACCCTCCAGAATGTATAATCATTTTTGGAAGCTCTTTCTCTAAAGAACAACTTGTTTGAAATTTATTAATGAATTTCTTCTCTCACAGAGTCACCTTCAGTGAATACAGTTTGTGGAGATGGAGAGTTGTACAAAGATTTTTGCTGCAACTGTGAGTTGACTGGGGTCAGTTGTGGCTGGGCCATGACAAGGACCTGACCTGAATGAACCTCAAAACCACCAGCATATAACTTGTCCAGAGTGAGGGGATGTGTGTACTTACCACTATGTGCTCAGCACCTAGAACAGTGCCTGACACATAGTGAGAGCTCAATAAATATCTGTTGAATGAAAGGATATATAGTGGTACCTCAGAGTCCACACTTCACTAAGCCTCCAACATCATTTAGTCACCGAGGCAAAGTCATTGGAAAGGATGCTATCCTCACTTCCCTGTCTCTGTGCTGCCTTTCTTCATCCTCTTACTTAATGTATATCAAGTACTAGATTCCCTGGCTTCCCTCTGAATAATAATACAAGGACTGAAGAAAAAAACATGAGGCCTACCCCAGGGCTCTTAGGGACTCGTTTGCTGGCTCTAGGGTTCACTACTCCCAAGGCTAGTCTCTAGCCTTGGTGAAAAAGCCTTAAATCCCACTGCTAAAATAGTGTTGTATCACTCTTCTACCCCAAAGAGAGGCACATTAAGGGATGGATTAGCCAGTCAAATAGATCTGATTGCCAACTCTACCAGGTAAGTAGCACTAAAATGTAATGAGATGGGCAAAATTATAATATTTAAGAAATTAAATTTGAGTAAATATTTTGGAAATCAACAGAGGGATATGTGTGTGTGTGTGTGTGTGTGTGTCTGTGTAATGTGATGGTGTGATGTGTAGTAGAGTAAGACTGCCAAGGACTATACTTAAGTCATCATAGATATATTTTAAATAGCTGAATTAAATAGTAGTTTAAAACACAAACATTTATTATCTCACACAGTGTCTGAGAGTCTGAGAGTCAGGAATCCAGGAGCAGCTTAGCTATGTGGTTCTGCCCAGGGTATCTCGTGAGGTTGCAAACATGTCAGCCAGCATGCAGTCATCTCAAGGCCAGCACTAGTGGATCCACTTGAAGATAGCCCACTGACAGCTAATGACAGACAGCTACATTTCCTACTGGGTCTTGGCAGAAAGCTTCAGTTTCTCACTAGTACCTGGGTGTCTTCATCTGAGTGATCCAAGAGCAGGTGAGATTGCAAGCAAGAAGCCGCAGTGCTTTTTATGACCCCATTTCTGAAATCACATTTTCATTTTTCTTTCTACTCATCAGAAGTGACTCACTAAGTCCAGTTCACACTCAAATAGAAGGGGAAGCTCCATGTCCTGAAGGGAAGAGTATCAAAGAATTTGTGGACATTTAAAACCACTGTGGTCTCTGAAGGAAGGTGGATCTGGTTAAGTACATGGTGTTTGCTAAATTCAGTATGCAATTTTAGGATGAAATACTCAGAGTATTGAAAGGTGTTCCCTCTTCTGTCCTCCCCAACTGTACCTAAGTTTTCTTCTAAATAAATATTTGACACCTATTTAAAGAATACTTCCCAGATTGTGAAAGAAAGCATATAAAGAATGAAGGATAAGGCAATTGGACAATTTAAGCCCCCTCTGGCCTTCCTGCCTTATATAAGGGGAGGAGAAAAAAAAAAACTAAAAAACTCTTCTGAAGGTCACAGCCCAAGGACTCTGGCCCACTTGAAAAGACCAAAAATAAAAAATAAAAGCTCCAGCCTGGCCAATATGGCAAAAACCCTGTCTCCACTAAAAATACAAAAATTAGCTGGGCATGTTGGTGTGTACCTGTAATCCCAGCTTCTCAGAAGGCTAAAGCAGGAGAATTGCTTGAACCCAGGAGGCAGAGGTTGCAGTAAGCTGAGAATGCACCACTGCACTCCAGCCTGGGCAGCAGAGAAAGACTTCATCTCAAAGAAGAAAAAAAAGCAAAACAGAGATTTAATCATAAGATGATTGGACATTTATCCTCTCCAATACCTTACTACCCCATCTACAGAGCTCCAGCATAACAGTGGATTACAAGTGATAGAGTAGCAAGACACGGATTCTACTTAAGAAGGAGTCTCTAGAAACACCCAAGGAAAATAGGCAGACAAAAATGAGAACACTAGAGGAACCTGACAACTACAGCTACAGTAAACAGTAAACACAGCCTCACTCTTCTTAGCCAGATAAATGTATCTAAAACCTCACACTAAAGCCCATTTACCTCAGTTCTTATTGCCTAATACATCATGTATAAATTATTAAAAATTACAAGACATCCCAAAAAGCAGGAGGAAAAGTCGGAAGAGACAAGTAAGCATCAGAACCACGTACAGATAGAGCATAGATCTTGGAATGATTAGAAGCCTGGGAATTTAAAATAACTATGATTAATATGCTAAGAGTTCTAATGAAAAAAGCTTCTGGATTCTTTCCTTGACCATATCCAGTCTACTGACAAATCCATCAAAGGTATTCTTAATTTCTGTTACAAATTTTTTTATTTCTAACATTTTCTTTTGGTTCTTTCCTGGTTTCCTTCGCTCTGCTTACATTATTCATCTGTTCCTGCATATTGTCCATTTTTCCCATGACAACATCTAGCATATTTTGTAGCTGGTTTTGAGGGAATTGCCTAACAAGAGAGGGCCAAAATACATAAGGCAAAAACTGATAGAAATAGGAGAAATTGACAAACTCGCTATTATAATCACAGTCTTCAACACCACACCACACTATCAGTAATTGACAGATCCAGCCAGCAGAAAATTAGAGAAGATATAGTTGAACTGAATAGCAACAGAATTTAATTGACATTTATGGAATCCACTGTTCAACAACAGCGGAATACACATTCTTCTCAAGCTCACATGGAACTTTTACCAAGATAGATCACATTCTGAGCCACGAAACACAACTTAACAAAATAATAAACATCACCCAAAGCATGCTCTCAGACCCCAATAAATACTATTAAACTAGAAAAAAAAAAAACAGAAGATAGCTGGAATGTTCCAAAATATGCAGATTAAACAACACATTTCTAAATAAAATGTAGGTCATAGAAGACATTTCAAAAGACATTTTAAAATGTTTGAACTAAATGAAATACAACTTATCAAACTTTGTGAAATGCAGAAAAAGCAGTGCTCAGAGGGAAATTTGTAGTATTGAATGCATATATTAGCGAAGAAGAAACATTTAAAATCAATAACCTAAAATTTCACCTATGTAAGCTAGAGAAAAAACAGCTGTACAAACCTGAAGCAAACAGAAGAAAAGAACTAATAAAAATTAAAACAGATATCAATGAAATTAAAAGCAGGAAAAAATTGAAAGAGAAAATCATTGAAATTAAAAGCCAGTTCTTTGAAAAAAATTAATAAGATTGATAAGCCTCTAGCCAGGCTAACCAAAAAAAAAAAAAGAAAGAAGTCACAAACTGCTAATATCAGAAATTACTACCAATCCTATGGATATTAAAAGGATAATAAATGAATATAATATAAATGTTTCCATGCTCTCAAATTTGCTTACTTACTTAGAAGAAATGGAAAAATTATTTGAAAGACATAATTTACCAAAACTCACACACAGAGAAATATATCATCTGAATAGCTCAATATCTATTGAAGAAATTAAATTGATAATTAATAATCCTCCAAAAATAAAAACACCAGGGCCAGATGGTTTCACTGGTGAATTTAAGAAACAAATATTTAACAAGAAAGTATATTAATTATCCATAATCTCTTTCAGAAAATAGGAGTGGGAACACCCAACTTGAAAAAGAGCATCTTTTGCCAAATCCACAGATATGACCATACTTGATAAGGAACTAGATGTTTTTCTCCTAAGACTGGGAAGATGTCCCCTCTCATCATTCCTATTTAACATTGTATCGAAAAAGTCTTAATGCAATAAAACAAGGAAGTAAAAGGTATATACATTGTAAAAGAAGAACCAAAACTGTATTTGTTAGCAGATGACATGATTATCTATTGTTGACTGAGAAAAAATAAAAAGCCTTCCTGGAACTAATAAGCGATTATAGCAAGTCTGCAAGATAATAAACAAAAGTGTGCTGTTGGTTAATCTACAAAAGTCAGTTGCTTTCCTGCAAACCAGCAATGAACAACTGGAATTTGAAATTAGAAACACATCATTTACATTAGCATCAAAAAAATGAAATACCTAGATATAAATTAACAAAATATATGCAAGATTTATATGAGGAAAACTATAAAATTGATTTTAAAAATCAAAGATCTTAATAAACAGAGATGTATTGGTTTTCCCAACTTGATCTGTAGATTTAAGGCAATCACAATCAAAATTTTAGCAAATTATTTGTGTATATTAACAAACTGGTTTTGAAGTTTATATAGAAAGAAGAAGACCCTGAATAGCCAACCCAATCCTGAAGGGGAACAAGAAAATCCTAGAGTCAACACTATTCAAGACTTTAACAAAAAATGATGTGGTACTAGAAAAAGAACAGACAAGTGGATCAATGGAATGGAATAAGAGTCCAGAAATAGACCTACACAAATAAACCGATCTTTAACAAAGGGGCACAGGTAAGTCAATGGAGAAAGGATCATCAAAATATGGAGCTAAAACAACTTGCTAACTACATAAGACTACATGGATCTAGACACAAAACACATACCTTTCACAAAAAAATTAACTAAAATGAGTTAAAAACCTAAATGTAAAACACAAAACCATAAAATTTATAGATGATAATAAAGGAGAAGTTTAGGTGACTTTGGGTTTGAGAATGACTTTTTAGATAAAACACTAGAAGTATAATCCAAGAAAAAATTGATGTTAGACTTTATTAAAATTATAAACATTTGCTCTGTAAAATACTTTGTTGAGTAAGTGAAAAGACAAGCCACAGCCTGGTAGAGTATATTTACAAAACACATATCTCATAAAGGACTTCTATTAAAAATATACAAAGAACTCTTAAAATTCAACAATAAGAAAATAAACAACCCAATTAAAAATGGGCAAAAGATCTGAATAAACACTTCACCAAAGAAGTATTCACATGGCAAATAAGCATATAAAAAAGATACTCAACAATGTGTCTCCCTAGAGGATTGAAAATTAAAACAATAAGATACTACTACACACCTATTAAAATTGCTAAAATAAAAAACCTGACAATACCAAATGCTGACAGGGTTGAAGAAGCAACAGGAATGATCAGTCATTGCAAGTGGAAATGCAAAGTGGTATAGCCACTTTAGCATACATTTTTATAGCTTATTAAAAAATACAACATAGTCTTACCATAGGACCCAGCAATCACACCAGGTGTTTACCCAAATGAATTGAAAATTTATATCTATACAAATATCTGCACGCAAATGTTTACAGCTGCTCTATCTATAATTCCAAAAACTAGAAGCAACCAAGATATCTCTCTTGTTTTTATTTTATTATTATTATACTTTAAGTTTTAGGGTACATGTGCACAATGTACAGGTTAGTTACATATGTATACATGTGCCATGCTGGTGTGCTGCACCCATTAACTCGTCATTTAGCATTAGGTATATCTCCTAATGCTATCCCTCTCACCTCCCACCACCCCACAACAGTCCCAGAGTGTGATGTTCTTCTTCCGGTGTCCATGTGTTCTCATTGTTCAATTCCCACCTATGAGTGAGAACATGTGGTGTTTGGTTTTTTGTCCTTGTGATAGTTTACTGAGAATGATGATTTCCAATTTCATCCATGTCCCTACAAAGGACATGAACTCATCATTTTTTATGGCTGCATAGTATTCCATGGTGTATATGTGCCACATTTTCTTAATCCAGTCTATCATTGTTGGACATTTGTGTTGGTTCCAAGTCTTTGCTATTGTGAATACTGCCGCAATAAACATACGTGTGCATGTGTCTTTATAGCAGCATGATTTATAGTCCTTTGGGTATATACCCAGTAATGGGATGGCTGGGTCAAATGGTATTTCTAGTTCTAGATCCCTGAGGAATCGCCACACTGACTTCCACAATGGTTGAACTAGTTTACAGTCCCACCAACAGTGTAAAAGTGTTCCTATTTCTCCACATCCTCTCCAGCACCTGTTGTTTCCTGACTTTTTAATGATTGCCATTCTAACTGGTGTGAGATGGTATCTCATTGTGGTTTTGATTTGCATTTCTCTGATGGCCAGTGATAGTGAGCATTTTTTCATGTGTTTTTTGGCTGCATAAATGTCTTCTTTTGAGAAGTGTCTGTTCACGTCCTTTGCCCACTTTTTGACGGGGTTGTTTGTTTTTTCTTGTAAATTTCTTTGAGTTCATTGTCGATTCTGGATATTAGCCCTTTGTCAGATGAGTAGGTTGTGAAAATTTTCTCCCATTTTGTAGGTTGCCTGTTCACTCTGATGGTAGTTTCTTTTGCTGTGCAGAAGCTCTTTAGTTTAATTAGATCCCATTTGTCAATTTTGGCTTTTGTTGCCATTGCTTTTGGTGTTTTGGACATGAAGTCCTTGACCATGCCTATGTCTTGAATGGTAATGCCTAGGTTTTCTTCTAGGGCTTTTATGGTTTTAGGTCTGATATTTAAGTCTTTAATCCATCTTGAATTAATTTTTGTATAAGGTGTAAGGAAGGGATCCAGTTTCAGCTTTCTACCTATGGCTAGCCAGTTTTCCCAGCACCATTTATTAAATAGGGAATCCTTTCCCCATTGCTTGTTTTTCTCAGGTTTGTCAAAGATCAGACAGTTGTAGATATGTGGTGTTATTTCTGAGGGCTCTATTCTGTTCCACTGATCTATATCTGTGTTTTGGTACCAGTACCATGCTGTTTTGGTTACTGTAGCCTTGTAGTGTAGTTTGAAGTCAGGTAGCATGATGCCTCCAGCTTTGTTCGTTTGGCTTAGGATTGACTTGGTGATGCGGGCTCTTTTTCGGTTCCATATGAACTTTAAAGTAGTTTTTTCCAACTCTGTGAAGAAAGTCATTGGTAGCTTGATGGGGATGGCATTGAATCTATAAATTACCTTGGGAAGTGTGGCCATTTTCATGATATTGATTCTTCCTACCCTTGAGCATGGAATGTTCTTCCATTTGTTTGTATCCTCTTTTGTTTTATTGAGCAGTGGTTTGTAGTGCTCCTTGAAGAGGTTGTTCACATCACTTGTAAGTTGGATTCCTAGGTATTTTATTCTCTTTGAAGCAATTGTGAATGGGAGTTCACTCATGATTTGGCTCTCTGTTTGTCTGTTGTTGGTGTATAAGAATGCTTGTGATTTTTGTACATTGATTTTGTATCCTGAGACTTTGCTGAAGTTGCTTATCAGCTTAAGGAGATTTTGGGCTGAGACAATGGGGTTTTCTAGATATACAATCATGTCATCTGCAAACAGGGACAATTTGACTTCCTCTTTTCCTAATTGAATACCCTTTATTTCCTTCTCCTGCCTAATTGCCCTGGCCAGAACTTCCAACACTATGTTGAATAGGAGTGGTGAGAGAGGGCATCCCTGTCTTGTGCCAATTTTCAAAGGGAATGCTTCCAGTTTTTGCCCATTCAGTATGATATTGGCTGTGGGTTTGTCATAGATAGCTCTTATTATTTTGAGATACATCCCATCAATATCTAATTTATTGAGAGTTTTTAGCATGAAGGGTTGTTGAATTTTGTCAAAGGACTTTTCTGCATCTATTGAGATAATCATGTGGTTTTTGTCTTTGGTTCTGTTTATATGCTGGATTACATTTATTGATTTGCGTATATTGAACCAGCCTTGCATCCCAGGGATGAAGCCCACTTGATCATGGTGGATAAGCTTTTTGATGTGCTGCTGGATTCTGTTTGCCAGTATTTTATTGAGGATTTTTGCATCAATGTTCCTCAAGGATATTGGTCTAAAATTCTCTTTTTTGGTTGTGTCTCTGCCCAGCTTTGGTATCAGGATGATGCTGGCCTCATAAAATGAGTTAGGGAGGATTCCCTCTTTTTCTATTGGTTGGAATAGTTTCAGAAGGAATGGTACCAGTTCCTCCTTGTACCTCTGGAAGAATTCGGCTGTGAATCCATCTGGTCCTGGACTCCTTTTGGTTGGTAAGCTATTGATTATTGCCACAATTTCAGAGCCTGTTATTGGTCTATTCAGAGGTTCAACTTCTTCCTGGTTGAGTCTCGGGAGGGTGTATGTGGCGAGGAATTTATCCATTTCTTCTAGATTTTCTAGTTTATTTGCATAGAGGTGTTTGTAGTATTCCCTGATGGTAGTTTGTATTTCTGTGGGATCGGTGGTGACATCCCCTTGATCATTTTTTATTGTGTCTATTTGATTCTTCTCTCTTTTCTTCTTTATTAGTCTTGCTAGTGGTCTATCAATTTTGTTGATCCTTTCAAAAAACCAGCTCCTGGATTCATTAATATTTTGAAGGGTTTTTTGTGTCTCTATTTCCTTCAGTTCTGCTCTGATTTTAGTTATTTCTTGCCTTCTGCTAGCTTTTGAATGTGTTTGCTCTTGCTTTTCTAGTTCTTCTAATTGTGATGTTAGGGTGTCAATTTTGGATCTTTCCTGCTTTCTCTTGTGGGCATTTAGTGCTATAAATTTCCCTCTACACACTGCTTTGAATGTGTCCCAGAGATTCTGGTATGTTGTGTCTTTGTTCTCATTGGTTTCAAAGAACATCTTTATTTCTGCCTTCATTTCGTTATGTACCCAGTAGTCATTCAGGAATAGGTTGTTCAGTTTCCATGTAGTTGAGTGGTTTTGAGTGAGTTTCTTAATCCTGAGTTCTAGTTTGATTGCACTGTGGTCTGAGAGACAGTTTGTTATAATTTCTGTTCTTTTACATTTGCTGAGGAGAGCTTTACTTCCAACTATGTGGTCAATTTTGGAATAGGTGTGGTGTGGTGCTGAAAAAAATGTATAATCTGTTGATTTGGGGTGGAGAGTTCTGTAGATGTCTATTAGGTCCACTTGGTGCAGAGTTGAGTTCAATTCCTGGATATCCTCGTTAACTTTCTGTCTCATTGATCTGTCTAATGTTGACAGTGGGGTGTTAAAGTCTCCCATTATTAATGTGTGGGACTCTAAGTCTCTTTGTAGGTCACTGAGGACTTGCTTTATGAATCTGGGTGCTCCTGTATTGGGTGCATATATATTTAGGATAGTTAGCTTTTCTTGTTGAATTGATCCCTTTACCATTATGTAATGGCCTTCTTTGTCTCTTTTGATCTTTGTTGGTTTAAAGTCTGTTTTATCAGAGAGTAGGATTGCAACCCCTGCCTTTTTTTGTTTTCCATTTGCTTGGTAGAGATTCCTCCATCCTTTTATTTTGAGCCTATATGTGTCTCTGCATGTGAGATGCATTTCCTGAATACAGCACATTGATGGGTCTTGACTCTTTATCCAATTTGCCAGTCTGTGTCTTTTAATTGGAGCATTTAGTCCATTTACATTTAAAGTTAATATTGTTATGTGTGAATTTGATCCTGTCATTATGATGTTAGCTGGTGATTTTGCTCGTTAGTTGATGCAGTTTCTTCCTAGCCTCGATGGTCTTTACAATTTGGCATGATTTTGCAGTGGCTGGTACCAGTTGTTTCTTTCCATGTTTAGTGCTTCCTTCAGGAGATCTTTTACAGCAGGCCTGGTGGTGACAAAATCTCTCAGCATTTGCTTGCCTGTAAAGTATTTTATTTCTCCTTCACTTATGAAGCTTAGTTTGGCTGGATATGAAATTCTGGGTTGAAAGTTCTTTTCTTTAAGAATGTTGAATATCGGCCCCCACTCTCTTCTGGCTTGTAGAGTTTCTGCTGAGAGATCCGCTGTTAATCTGATGGGCTTCCCTTTGTGGGTAACCCGACCTTTGTCTCTGGCTGCCCTTAACATTTTTTCCTTCATTTCAACTTTGGTGAATCTGACAATTATGTGTCTTGGAGTTGCTCTTCTCAAGGAGTATCTTTGTGGCATTCTCTGTATTTCCTGAATCTGAATGTTGGCCTGCCTTGCTAGATTGGGGAAGTTCTCCTGGATAATATCCTGCAGAGTGTTTTCCAACTTGGTTCCATTCTCCCCGTCACTTTCAGGTACACCAATCAGACGTAGATTTGGTCTTTTCACATAGTCCCATATTTCTTGGAGGCTTTGCTCATTTCTTTTTATTCTTTTTTCTCTAAACTTCCCTTCTCGCTTCATTTCATTCATTTCATCTTCCATCACTGATACCCTTTCTTCCAATTGATCGCATCAGCTCCTGAGGCTTCTGCATTCTTCCTGTAGTTCTCAAGCCCTGGCTTTCAGCTCCATCAGCTCCTTTAAGCACTTCTCTGTATTGGTTATTCTAGTTATACATTTGTCTAAATTTTTTTCAAAGTTTTCAACTTCTTTGCCTTTGTTTTGAATTTCCTCCTGTAGCTCGGAGTAGTTTGATCATCTGAAGCCTTCTTCTCTCAACTCATCAAAGTCATTCTCTGTCCAGCTTTGTTCCATTGCTGGTGAGGAACTGCATTCCTTTGGAGGAGGAGAGGCGCTCTGCTTTTTAGAGTTTCCAGTTTTTCTGCTCTGTTTTTTCCCCATCTTTGTGGTTTTTTCTACTTTTGGTCTTTGATCATGGTGATGTACAGATGGGCTTTTGGTGTGGACATCCTTTCTGTTTGTTAGTTTTCCTTCTAACAGACAGGACCCTCAGCTGCAGGTCTGTTGGAGTTTGCTAGAGGTCCACTCCAGACCCTGTTTGCCTGGGTATCAGCAGCAGTGGCTGCAGAACAGCGGATTTTCGTGAACCACGAATGCTGCTGTCTGATCGTTCCTCTGGAAGTTTTGTCTCAGAGGAGTACCCGGCTGTGTGAGGTCTCAGTCTGCCCCTACTGGGTGGTGCCTCCCAGTTAGGCTGCTTGGGGGTTGGGGTCAGGGACCCACTTGAGAAGGCAGTCTGCCCGTTCTCAGATCTCCAGCTGCGTGCTGGGAGAACCACTGCTCTCTTCAAAGCTGTCAGACAGGGACATTTAAGTCTGCAGAGGTTACTGCTGTCTTTTTGTTTGTCTGTGCCCTGCCTCCAGAGGTAGAGCCTACAGAGGCAGGCAGGCCTCCTTGAGCTGTGGGGGGCTCCACCCAGTTCGAGCTTCCTAGCTGCTTTGTTTACCTAAGCAAGCCTGGGCAATGGTGGGCGCCCCTCCCCCAGTCTCGCTGCCACCTTGCAGTTTGATCTCATACTGGTGTGCTAGCAATCAGTGAGACTCCGTGGGAATAGGACCCTCCGAGCCAGGTGTGGGATATAGTCTCCTGGTGCACCGTTTTTTAAGCCCTTCGGAAAAGCACAGTATTAGGGTGGGAGTGACCCGATTTTCCACGTGCCATCTGTCACCCGTTTCTTTGACTAGGAAAGGGAACTCCCTGACCCCTTGTGCTTCCTGAGTGAGGCAATGCCTCGCCCTGCTTCGGCTTGCACACGGTGCGTTGCACCCACTGACCTGCGCCCACTATCTGGCACTCCCTAGTGAGATGAACCTGGTACCTCAGATGGAAATGCAGAAATCACTCGTCTTCTGTGTCGCTCATGCTGGGAGCTGTAGACCGGAGCTGTTCCTATTCGGCCATCTTGGCTGCTAGAGCGATATCTCTCAATAGGTAAATGGATAAACAAAGTGTGGTACATCTATACAATGGAATATTACTCAGTAATAAAAAGAAAATAATTTATCAAGCCATAAAGAGACATGAAGAAACCTCAAATGCATATTTCTATGTAAAAGAAACCAGTCTTAAAAGACTACATACTGTATGATTCCAGCTACATGACATTGTAGATAAGGCAAAACTATAGAGACAGAAAGATCAGTGGTTGCTAGGGGGAGGCAGTATAAATAGGTAAAGCAGAGGGGATTTTTAAGTAGGGAAGCTATTTTGTATGACATTGTAATGGTAGACACATAAAACGCATTTGTCAAAACCCAAAGAAATGTACAACACAAAGGGTGAACTCTAATGTTATCCACGTTAGTGAATAATGACGTATCGGTATTGGTTTATCAATTGTAATAAATGCACCACATGAATGCAAGGTATTAATAAGGGAAACTGTGGCTGGGTGCAGTGGCTCACGCCTGTAATCCCAGCATTTTTAGAGGCCTCGGTGGGCAGGTCACAAAGTCAAGAGACTGAGACCAACCTGGCCAACATGGTGAAACCCTGTCTCTACTAAAAATACAAAAATTAGCTGAGCGTGGTGGTGCACACCTGTAGTCCCAGCACTCGGGAGGCTGACGCAGGAGAATCACTTGAACCTGGGAGGCAGAGGTTGCAGTGAGTTGAGATCGGGCCACTGCACTCCAACCTAGTGACAGAGAGAGACTCCATCTCAAAAAAAAGAAAAAAAAGAAAAAAGAAAGAAATGGAAACTGTACAGGGGAACTCTGTACTATCTACTCAATTTATCCGTAAACCTAAAACTGTTCCAAGAAATAAATTCTATTCATTTAAAAAATATGTATGATCATATAATTGATTTTAAAGGCATTTAATAATAGCATTCATTCATGTTTTAAAACTCATAGACTAAGAGTTCTTCCTTCCATTAATTTTTAACTTTGTTCTCTATACTTTTTTTTAGCAGCCTTTTTTTTTAAACAAAACTGATAGGCAAAGAAGAGGAATATAAATAATAAAGGTAACTAACATTATAAAAGTATTTACTATGTGCTAGCCACTGTACTAAATCCTTCATGCAAAATTAATATATTTAAACACCACAGAAACCCAGTGAGGTAGGTAGTGTCATTATTCCCATTATCGCAGATGGGCACCTAAGATACTGGGATGTAACTTGTAGAGTTCTCTCAGAAAGAGGCAGACACAGGATTGGGAGGGAGCCAGCGTCTGGGGTAAGAGTCCATGATCTTTCTCTCTACACTATACTTCCTAGATTGCAAATATGAAACTTAATCTCTTGTGTCCAGAAACAATTTTTTTGCCTCATTACTAAACAAACTCTTCTCTCTTGAAACTCGTTCCATGCCATATTTTCCTCCCCCCAACACCCACCTTTATCATCATAAGTCCCAGAAGTCTCTCCTGCTTTCTTCAAGAGCTACATCATCTTGGGGTTAGAATCTTCCTTTTGTGTACCTCTGTTGGACACACTCACTGAAACACATGTAAGACATGGTCCTGAGGACACAGAGTACATGGGATCCTCAAACTGTAAACATAGAACAACATTCTTAGGATGTTTACTCCTACAACTCTGGGCCCATGCAGATGGATGTCCAAAGGAGGGAGGCACAAGCTGGGTGGACCACAGCAGTGCCAAACGCCAGTTTAATTTTAAGTGTGGTTGTGCAGCAATCCCTTTATCTATTTATCCCATCTCCAGCCCTCCATCATGTTACCCAAAGATCTGCTTCAATCTTTCTATTTTCTTTATCTTCAGGCTTCCATCTCACTCAGCAATCTTGGCAGACAATCTGCTTTTGAGTTTCCAGAAGGTCAATTTGTCTAAGTTGGGTTTCCAATGTCTCTTCTCTCCTTCTACTGAAAAAGCTCTGTCTCTCCCTCTCTACCTCACTCATTTCTAAGAACAACTGTTCCTCCTCCTGACAAAAACACTAATCTGCCCATATGACCAGCAGAAACATTTAGGAACAAGATGATTTTTAGCTTCCAGAAGTGCCTCCAAATGAGACAGTAACAACCATAGAAGTTTTAAAAAATAAAACTAAGGAAGAAAATTTTACTTCATATGGTAGATGTGTTTAATAAAATTTCTCTAAACATTAATTTTAAGAATAAAATCATTATGGACCTACTTAAAACTCAGTACAGAAAACTCACTTAGTTGTACTCTAAAAACGATAGGATTCTATGGCAGAAGTTCTTGCCAAGGAATGCATGCGGAAGTGGCATGTACCACTTCCAGACCATCATGGTAAAGAAGCAGGTGAGGCTTTTTCACTGTACTTCTCCCGTTGTCACCTGGAGGTAGAACATCTATCACAGGACTTCTTTTCTTAGAAGCCCTAAGAAAAGCAGAGCCATATGATATAGTGTCCTTGAGTTGAGAATTAGAGGAGAACTTCTTGCCAATCAGGAGCGTGTAGTTATATTTTACATGAGCCAGAATTAATATTTAATTATTTAAGTATTATTTCTTAATTATTAAATATTATTTCTTAATTCTTAATATTAAGAATTAATATTAAGCCATAAGATTTTGTAGTAAATCTGTTACCACAGCAAGTATTACCCTTACCTAATATGGGTGTTGTCTGTTCTCAACTTTTTAAATCTTGCTTCTTTCTTTACTTTTTGCAAAGCAAAACTCAAAGATGCCTTAAACAGGCTGGGCACGGTGGCTCACGCCTGTAATCCCAGCACTTTGGGAGGCTGAGGCGGGTGGATCATCAGGTCAGGAGATTGAGACCATCCTGGCTAACACAGTGAAACCCCGTCTCTACTGAAAATACAAAAAATTAGCCGGGCGTGGTGGTGGGCGCCTGTAGTCCCAGCTACTCGGGAGGCTGAGACAAGAGAATGGCGTGAACCCGGGAGGCGGAGCTTGCAGTGAGCCAAGATCGCACCACTGCACTCCAGCCTGGGTGACAGAGCAAGACTCCGTCTCAAAAAAAAAAAAAAAAAAAAAAAAGCCTAAAACAGAGACTTTTTGCACAAAGTGGGTGATCAATAAATGTGTTAAGATAACATTGATTTTTTTGGAGTTCTGAATCCTATTGCTTCTTTGAAATCTTTGTTTTAATTTAAAGATATATTCAACTGAAACATATGGAAATGTAGGACAAACCTATGAAAACTGCTCATTACAAAAAAAAAAAAAGCCATGTACTTTGAAAGCACTGCTCTTCTTCCTTTCTTCCTCTTCCCATACTACCAGATCTCCTTAAGCTTCTGCCATGAGGCTCCACCTTTGAGAGAGTCATGGTGGTTATCTCCTGAGGAAACTTCTGCTTCTTAAATCATCTAAAATGTCTTGCTATTTTTATTAACAAACATTTCAACTTAAGTTTCACTTTTTCAGAGAGGCTGTTTCTTACCACCCATTGATCACCTGGTTGCCCAAAACAGAAACCTGAGATTTACCATCCCTGTCCTTCACTTACAGGTTTTGACAAAGAAAGTGGAATGTGAAGGGTACAAAGGTGTGAGTGGTCATGGTATGTCCTAGAAACAAGCACTTGAGTAAAGAATGTATGAGATAATTTGGGGTGGATTGAAATCTTGTAAGTTGTAATACAGCCTCTTATTTAGTGCATTTGACTTGTCTTATTCATGTCACAGTCGTTTATTTTATGTGTACTTCTCATCACTTCTCTCCTCTGTCTAAAACCCTTCAAAAATATGCTCACAGCAACAAGAATAAAATCCAAAGCGTTCATATACTTTAAAATATTCTATAATTTCTGCATTTTCTAAACAGCCCTGAACACAACTGGCTTGCACATTGGCTTCCTGAACTCTCCAACTGTCTGCAATGCTCCTTTTTTCCTTGTCACAAAGCAGACTTTCACTCATCTTTTCAGCTCCCAATCAAATGTTGCCTCCTGCACAAAGCCCACCTGTAGGCAGCTTTCCACCTCCACAGTGATAGTTAGAATCCTTCATTAACTGTAAGCAGCTCCCTGTAATGTAACCTTTACTGCTCCTATTTTGCTGCCATGTGAGGGAGAGTAATTACATTATTACCGTCCCAAAACCGACTAAGTAGGATTTATCTCTGCATCCTTAGTGCTGGATCCAGTACTTGATACTTCAAGAGTGGCTAGATGTATTTATTGAAAGAAATTATAATGATAAAAAGGATATTAGCGAAATCACAAAATGAAAACACAAAAACTCAGGGAATAGTAACATGAGGAGCTCAGCAAAAACCTTCTTTTGAACAGACATCTTTTCAACTCATCAGAATTATCGAAGCAATCATTTAAAGTCTCTGGAAATTGACTGAAAGGCTTGTAACACCTACCACTCTACCACCATCACCTACCTAGTTGTGCACCTACCCCAATATCTGCATTTTTTTTTACATGTTAGTTGCTCTCTTGAGACCCTGAGCTTCTTAAAGGTAAAGGCTTTATCTGGCTTAGACAAAATATAAATGCCTTATCAATACTCAGCATTTATATTTTGAGTGAAAATATGACAACATTTTCCATTGAAAAAAAGATATGTTTTTAAAACAGGAAATAACACCATAATACAAACTAAAATATTGAAGGTATTTGCAAAGTTCTATGAAAGAAGAGATGAAAAAGCAATCAATCTTGTTTGGATGGAGTAGAAGAGAAGAGAGTAGAGTAGCCAATGATGATGATTATGATGATGGTGGTGGCCCCTACCATTATCACCACTGATGGAGCCTAGCCTCTTCAAATACATTTTCTATCATTCTCTCCTCTAGTCCCACCTCTCTATCTCACAGCACTCCTTATCATTTCTCAAACAGTTCAGGATTTGACATAAGCTTTTGTGTTGTTTTATGATAATTTTGATTAAGATATATTTATATGTGTATTCATGTAGACATATACTGTTGCAATACAAAACCTCTTACTGTAATTTTTTGTCAAAACAGTTTTGCAAAACTCTATTCCAGAACAATAGATTCTTACCTTTGGTAGATCAGAGACTTCTTTGAAAATCTGGTGAAAAAAAACATTTGCAATATTTTGCACACAATTTCAGAGAGTTTACAAACCTACTGAAACTCATTCAAGAACCCCCTAGGGACCTAGGAACTTCAGCTTCAGAATCACCCCGAAGGCACAAAATGTGCTGATTATCACTGAGGCATTGATTTCACCTATTAACATACACAGTTCCACCAAATGAGAGAAAAGGGCACCCACTATACCTGGGGCCCTCGACCTCCAGCAGTCTGTTGGAGGGAGAGAAGATCACAAGTGACCAAAAATGTGCCTCAGGCCTGCTTCTGTGGTTACAAAAATATATATAGCAAAAGTATAAGACAGAAAATGGAAAGAGTTTACCTCGGGCTGAACTAATAATGAGTCACTTATTCCTGAAATATAGTAGTGTATGAAATAGATACTACTATACCTGGGCTTTGGGAAAGTACCTTGTAGCTCTGTCTCACAGTGGATATACATGACAATTTTCTTAATTACACATGTAACTACTCACCAGGAAAAAGTGTAAGATATGAGCAGAGAAGAACAATTCAGAAGAAAAATTCTACTAGGAAACACAAAAATAAACTTTAAGCCGCTTATCCCACTACCTCTCACCCACCCAGAAAAAGGGAAAATCAGTACTTGGAGTTTTAAATGATTGAAAATTGTGGTCCACGCTTAGAGAAGAACAACCAAATCCACTTACCCAAAATAAGCCACCACTAATCAACAGTTACCATGCAGCCACTGTGGAATTAATAATTCCTAAAAGCCTTCAAGGAACAAGAAGATAAATGTTTAAGAAGAGGAAATCCAGATGAAGGCACCATTCTTTGAGAAGAGCCACCCATCTGTTCTCTTTCTTCTCAGCTTCTGGGGCTGCAGCAATAATGTGGTTTTAAAAAGTCTTTGTTTCCTCCCACAGAAGTAAAGGGTACTTCACCTAAACACACACTATTTAAGTGGCCAGTGGGGACAAATTCATGGAAAGAAGGACCTCTCTTTGCTAAACTATTTATTTTTCAATCAGCACATGGTAAGGAAAGCCTTTTTGAAATGTCAATTAAGGGTCATAAAGCTGAAATCACGGAGCTGCAGAAAGTCTCAGGTGGTCCCTGGGATTCTTTAACTGAAGTCACTGCTGCCATTATCATCAGTAGTTCTGCTCCACTCAAAGACAAAAGTCAAGCACCAAATGGCCAGGTAAAGTGGGAGCTAGGAGGATTTTCAATCAACTCGCTCACACATAAAAATAAGTCATCAAAATGCTCCTGGAGTGCCACTCGCCTCTGCAGTAATGTGCACCCTGAGCAGAAATCCTAGATTCTGCCTTCTTTCTAGAAGTAGAAAAGCAGTCTAAGTGTTTGAACCAATTCACAACAGAACTTTCTATTTGGTCTTCTTATGAGATGAAAAATGTTTATGAGCAGGAAAAACATTGCCCTGGACTAAAGGTCTCCTGATGAAATGAGTCAATCTGTTAAGAAATATTTCTGTCCACAGCTCTGTACATGGTATCCTTGGCCTCCATGTACCTCAGAGTGTAAACAACAGTGTCCAGAGGCAGAATGAATGATGATAATGTAGGTCTCTTATAGAAGACCTGTTTTCTATTGAATTCATTGGCTTGTGCTTGAGGTAAGCAGTACAAGCACAGACATATAGACAATGACCATGATGAGGTGGGGGTTGGGGGACACAGGTGGCAAAGACCTCAGATTAGGAAATTCTAAGCACGATGGAGGTAACAGGGATGTCAATATAGGAAATGCAAACCAAACCCATGGACACCTGCACACATGTGTGGTGAATAAAATACTGTTTATTTCATAGATAGTATTGTCAATGCAGGAGAGTTTCATGACAAGAAGGGTGTCAAACAAGAAGCAGTCTAAATAGCATATGTGCTCCTTTTGTACCTCTGTGACACTGTGGTTATTTAGACCACTGTCATGATCAGGCCAATGCAAAAGGCACCACACGCCAGCTGGGCACATGCCCTCTTATTCACAAAGACTGTGCACTCCAGGAATTCCCAGACAAATACACAGCAGTCAATGGTGGTCAAGATGGCAAAGATCATTATTTGTAATTCAAAAGATAAATGCTTGAGGGGATGAATACCCCATTCTCTATGATATGCTTATTTCACAGTGCATGCCCATAAATATATACACCTACTACATACTCATAAAAATTGTTTTAAATCTTAAATAAATTTTTTTAAAAAAGAAAGAAAGAACCCAGAAATTAAAAAAAAAATGACAAAGACCAAGAAAATCTCCTGGTTCTGAGCTATGAGACTAGAAAGTATTGTAGAATAAGGATGAGTGTATAAAGTCACTGAACTAACCAACACTCTCAGGAAAACATACATGACCAATGTGGGTGAGACTCAAGATGATGGCATTCCCTGCTGAAGTTAAGATGTGGATGACATCATTCACAGAAGCTGGAGACAACCAGCAAGGTGAACTTTGTCAGCTTCTGTGAGGTTCTTTCTTTGTATTTTGAAGTTTTAGGGATAACAATAAAATAGATCAGCATAAGAAAACTCTTGTGCTGCCATGTTTCTGTCATGAGCAGAAACATGGCATAGTTGACAAGATGACAAGAGTAGCGCAAGACAGCTCTAGCCAAGACCTCTTGTAGCTGCACGAGCAAGGAATCTGCTTCTGCATCTTCAGTGCATGTATTCTCTATCACTGTGGACTGGAAAATATATTCCTAGACACAGAGAAGGGAACTTTTAAACATACTCAAGATACAGAGTTACACTGAGTCCCTGCTGTTACATTTTTCTTCTTTGCACATCTCCTCCCAGAAGACTCAGGTATTATGAAGGGATTGTGAACAGCATGAAGATGGTTGTGGCCAGTGGGAGTCTGAATGGTAAATTTTATTTAAAAATTTATATTTAAAAAATGAATAAACATTAATCTCAGCAATGAAATCTATATTTTATAAAACTATAAAGATGGGTTGTTCAAAAAGAAGTGTAAGAGTGAAGGGATGTCAAGAAAGATAAAGACTAAGATACAGATATGGTGACATTCCAGAGAGCAGTTTCAGGTGAATTCTGAACTTAAAAGTGAGATTTCAGTGAGGTAATATGGTCGAGGTGTCTCACTAAACCTAAAAGTAGAAGATAAAAAAAAACTTAGCAGAGATTTTCTTTTATAAATGAACCCTGAAATTAGGAACAGAGAAATGAGATCAAGAAAAGACTCTTGTGTATCAGCATGACCTGGAAAGTGACTGACAAATTTGTGAAGCTGCCAGAATTGTGAAGGGGAGTTAGGAGTTCACAGCAGCCTGAGCCTGGCATTTAGAGTCTGAAAGAGCTACTTTGGTAGAAAGGTCAGTCATAATCTCAGGTGGACACTGATTTTTCTCTGTTGTTGGCTGAAATGTTATTAGGTAGGCAACAAAGACATGATAGCCACTCTGTCAAGAAGAGACAATCTATAAACTGTGTGGGAAATATGCATTGAATCCCAAGTCTCCTGTGGAGAATCTTGTTTCTCTCCTTTTGTTCTTTGTCAGAATTACTGAACCTTAGGAAACAAACTCCCTTCCTCTTTCTCCCTCCATCATTCCCTGAAACTTGGCTTCTGACATGCTCACTTTATGAAAATTACTCTTTCAAAGGTTACGACTGAAGTTTTTATTGCTAAATCCAGCATGCATTCAACTTAGATCTCTCTGATGCATTTAATACCACTGGATACTGCTTCCTGGACACTTACACTGACTTGGTTTCCATGACACCACACGCTATCCTCTCTGCCAAACATAATTTTTTGTCTCCCACCTCCCTCCCCACCTGCCATTCTTATCTTGCCTCTAACACCATGAATGTGAATGTTTCCTCAAGTCAGTGGTTGGCTCCCTGACCTTTCCTCTCTTCTCTTTTCCACTGAAAGACAAAATTCATTTTTGTTTCATTATCATTTATATGTTGATTTCTCTGAAACCTGTATTTCTAATTCCAAGTGGCCGTCACATATTACAAATTCTCCAAGACCTTTCTTACACATAAGTCATACTATCATTTCAAATTTAGCATTTGAGGAACCAAGTTTACCACCTACCCTCCACCTCCTCCAAGTGAACATCCTCTCAATTGTCCTATCTGTACTGGCAGCACCATATTTTTTTTCCACATGATTTGCAGTAAGAAATATGGTTCCATATTCTATATATATATTTTTAATTCTCATCTTTGTCCTTTTTTGCACTTACAATAAGACCCTGCCATCAGTCTAAGTTGTGTATCTTTGGTTTTATCCAACCACATATCAGAGTGATAATCAGTTACTCTTGATGCATGCCTCCATTGCCTCTTTCCATCTAAATGCTCTCAAATTCCCTTACAACTGACAGAACACACAGCAAATAATTCTTTACTGAACACAAATCTTGTTCTACTCAGTCTCTTCCTATCCAGTCTTTCCCATTGGTTACTGTGACTTAATGTCTTCTACAAACACCTGAGGTCTCAGAAACCATCTTTAGGTTATTCTTTAATCCCTCAGGTGATCTCCAGTTATATCTCATACTTCTGCTTTTTTGAAGCTCCGAGTCAGATCCTCTTTCTGCTACTGCTGATGCCTTCTTCCACTATGCTCTCTGAGGGTAAACTTTGTTGCATGCCAATTAATGTAGCCAAGACAACTCTGTTTGTGGCACACAGGTGGACCTGTTTCTCTTCAGCATACTGTATCTTTTCTTCCCCCAGCCTCAACTCTTCCATAGCCATCCAGACAGGAGCCGCCACCTTGACCTGAACTTTCACTGGCAGGATGGCACCCAGGAGGATCCAGCAACAGTGAGGATTGGCTCACTGTGAGGATTGCACCCAGTTCTGAAGACCCAGGATTCATTTTCCTACATCCTGACATCAGAACTTTTCCTTTCTACAATAAAAATAATTCTCAGTTTCCTCTTTGACAACTCTTGAAGTGCAGGCTGTTCTCTTCCAAGGCCTGAGAAGCATATTCTGGGGAAGGAAACTAGACAACAGAATCAGACTCCACTTTTTCTCCCTTTTCCAATTATACTGTAGACCCTACCTTCCAACCAGGGTTTCCTTTTCACAGTGTATAACACAACATTTTCATATTCAACTGCAAACCCTTGCACTTGGCCCCAACAGCTATCTAAAGCCGTTATCTCCAAGCTCTCCCACCATGAGTCTAAGGCTGTGTCACTTATCCCCAAGACCTGTTCCCTAGGCTTATCTCCCATTAGAGAAGACTCTCTTTGATATTAATTTGCAAACCATTTTTTGTTAAGATAATGATTATTTATTTATTTATGAAGAAAACTAGAAGCATCTGGTAAGCCCTGTGTTCTCTGAGTTTTATGGCACTTATTAATTAACATCTGGAAATGTTAGGGAATTGCATAGTCCCTGGGTTCTCAAGAAATGTTACCTTCCTGCTCCTACTTCCAGTATTACCTTATCATATTATTCAATTGTATTCTACTTTTTGTTGCTAATAAACTGTTTCTTGTAAAAAAAAAAAAATCCTCACACAAAGTTGAGTCCTTTGATTCCACAATATGTAACAGTTTCTTTTCATGTGTAAGAAAAATTGTTAGATGAAACCAATGATCTAAATATAAATAAGTCCTAATACCCAGATTCAGTCTAGAAGGGATTCAAGATAAATACAATAATATCTATAATATGAGACAGATAGTGGTAACAGCCATAAAGGCTCTAAAATGATGGTAATAATAACCATCCAGATACTGTTCCATGTACTTTATGTATATCATAGTATCTCATTTATCCTTAGAGAAACACTGTGAGGTAGATAGTTTTATCTTTGTTTCACAGAGAAGGAAACTAAGGTTCAGAGGGGTTTAGTGACTTGCAGAATAGTCAGCCACTAGTAAATGGCAACATTGGAATTCTATCCCAAAGTCTTTGATCTTAACCTTATGGGAAGTACGAAAGAGGGGAAATAATGTATAGTTGGGATATTAGAAAAGTCTTCATGAAGCAGATTGTTTTTTATTTTTTATATTTTTGTATAAATTCAAGGCATACAAGTTTAGTTTTATTACATAGACAGCAATAACATAATAGTGAAGTCTGGGCTTTTACTATAACCATCACCTAAATAAGCTTGAGATTAATGTGGAAGAATGGCTGGAATTCCTAGAAACAGGAAAAGAAAATAAGAGAGAAATTCAAGACAGTATGAAGGCACTGAATAGAAGTAATGAAATCAAGAAAGCCAGGAAGGTATAAAGAACAACAATTAGAGGTGTTTGACTGGAGAATAGGATTAGATTCTGAGATAATAGCCAGGTTAGAGCCAGATTGCAAATGGCATTGGCTTCCAAGCAAATGGTCTGTATTTAATTCAGGAGTCAATAGATGCATAATCCCAACTTTATCACTAACCTATACTGTGCAACAAGCCAGATAAGGCTTCACAACCTGGGATTCCATTTAGAGAAAAAAAGTAGAGAATGGAAACTCCCCAGGGATGAGAATAGGAAGGATACTTTGAACAATGATAGAGAAAGTGTATTCTTGGTGGCAGTGATTGTGTCATTGAAAAGGCTGATTAGGTCTGTGGTGAGCTAACAGAAGAGAGAGTGAACAAGAGGCTAAACAGTAGGATGAGAAACAAGACACCATATAATTCAGGGATGAGAGAGAAAGAAATAATGTGGCTAGAAAGAAGAACTTCAGTTTGATATCTCAGAGGCAGAGAAGGTTTGAGTGGTGGTTAATAAACTGTACAGAGAGAGAATGAAGGAGACATAGAAAGAATGAAGGTGGAGATCTCTGGGGCTGTGAGAGAGCCAGTGACCACTGAATCCCCAGCACCTAGTGTAGTAACTGAGAGCTAGTGAATAAATGTATTAGTGGGGTCATCACCAAAGATGGATTAGATATACACTCAATGACCAAGGACTCAAAGAAGAGGAGAGAAAAACTTGGGGAGATGCTGACATCTCTGCAGGTAGCATGAAGTAACCAGAAAACAAGTCGTAATGAGAAATGGAAAGATCTAGGATAAGGAAGCACCATGATATGCAAACGAAAAAAAAGCACTGAGTAGAAGTAGCAGAAAAATACTAAGCTTCATGGGGACAGAAAGTTTATTCTCCAAGTCCCTCTTTCCCCTTAGCTTTGCCTGGATGTATTACTTGATGTTGAATTAGTCAAAGTTGAAGGCACTTTTTAGGGTCTTCAGCAGAAAGCAGAATCCTAGAATATCCTACAAATACAAGACAACTTGAGAACTATAAAAGAAAGAAAAGGCCTTGTTCCCATAGCCCACAAGAGGGCTGAGCTCAGCGATACACTCTGTGTGGCTCAGGAGCTTCTGGCAGAGCACAGAGCCATCAGAGAGGGGGCCCAGAGAGCAGAGAGAGGCTCTGCTGACATGGCCAGCCCAGCGCCTCATCCCATCCATAACCCTGCTGCCCTGCAATGACTCTCTTCCCAGCAATAAAATCTGGGTCACAGGAGTTGGAGCTCTAGCCATCACTTGTCTCTAATAAATAACTCCCATTGATTTTCCAGCTCAGGGCTCACCACTCCTTCACCGTAAGCGCCAGGAGGCAGACCTGGAAAATCACTCACATATTATTGGTGCTCTTCCTCCCCCATCCTCACCCAAGGTGCATATAAACCCTGAATAACCTGAAGTCTAAGGGCATGAATATCAGACGCTAGGGGGACAGCCACTGTGTTGTCTGCTACCCTCATCCTGGTCACTGCTTCTGCTATAACAGCCCTAGGCCAGGAATATGAACAAGCCGCTGCTTTGGATCTCTGTCCTCACCAGCCTCCTGGAAGCCTTTGCTCACACAGGTAAGGAGGTGAAGGAATGGTCAAGAATCATAAAGTGAGAAAATAGGTTGAAGCTGAGATATCTTTTCCCTGCATTTATACTGAAGGTCATTATCTTTCTTTCTTTATCCCGCAGACCTCAGTGGGAAGGTGTTTGTATTTCCTAGAGAATCTGTTACTGATCATGTAAACTTGATCACACCGCTGGAGAAGCCTCTACAGAACTTTACCTTGTGTTTTCGAGCCTATAGTGATCTCTCTCGTGCCTACAGCCTCTTCTCCTACAATACCCAAGGCAGGGATAATGAGCTACTAGTTTATAAAGAAAGAGTTGGAGAGTATAGTCTATACATTGGAAGACACAAAGTTACATCCAAAGTTATCGAAAAGTTCCCGGCTCCAGTGCACATCTGTGTGAGCTGGGAGTCCTCATCAGGTATTGCTGAATTTTGGATCAATGGGACACCTTTGGTGAAAAAGGGTCTGCGACAGGGTTACTTTGTAGAAGCTCAGCCCAAGATTGTCCTGGGGCAGGAACAGGATTCCTATGGGGGCAAGTTTGATAGGAGCCAGTCCTTTGTGGGAGAGATTGGGGATTTGTACATGTGGGACTCTGTGCTGCCCCCAGAAAATATCCTGTCTGCCTATCAGGGTACCCCTCTCCCTGCCAATATCCTGGACTGGCAGGCTCTGAACTATGAAATCAGAGGATATGTCATCATCAAACCCTTGGTGTGGGTCTGAGGTCTTGACTCAACGAGAGCACTTGAAAATGAAATGACTGTCTAAGAGATCTGGTCAAAGCAACTGGATACTAGATCTTACATCTGCAGCTCTTTCTTCTTTGAATTTCCTATCTGTATGTCTGCCTAATTAAAAAAATATATATTGTATTATGCTACCTGCATTTGTTTAGTGCTTGTCATAGTCCCATATCTTTATCTTATGTCTACTACTTATCTATCTACTAATTGGTGTTTCATTGGTAATTGGTGTTTCATTATCCTGAAAACTCCAATTGCCAAGTACGGGGAGGAAAACCTGTAAGTAACTAGAAAGATATATCACAAAGCCAGAGCACTCAATGAGCACAACAGTGGCAATACTTAAAAGCTACTAACAATCATTTTAATGACGATTCAAAATATGTGTGGAATTGTAATCACAATTCTCCTATTTGTTTTTCCAGCTACAAATCGATCAAAAAGGGGTCTGAGGTTGCATCAGGTAGACAACTATAATGATATAAGTAAGCAATAGTTGAGAACCTGACAGCAAGTAATAAGACAGGAAGAATAAAACTAGAAGAAGTCAGAATGAAAACCAAAAAAGTATGAGACTGGGATCATTTTGTATGAAGACAAACATAACTTTATGTCTCAAAAACCTCAGTAGGACTGTACAATGCTTGATTTTCATAATGTTCTCTTGATGTCATCAAAAAATATTATACTCTGAATATTGCTCACATGAATATGCTGTCTAAAATTCTTCCATGGATTCACACTTCTTACAGGACATGATTTAAACCTCTAAATATGACATTGCCCTCTATAACCTGGTCCCAGTTACTCTCTCTGAAATGTACACAGAGAGTATACACAGAATACTCTCTGAAATGGACTTTCCATGTACATTTCAGATACAACTCTTAGCAGAGCAAGCCACATCCTAACTATCACACTGAAAAATAATTGTCAGATGCTATTACTAGTAGTTATTTTTATGGTTATGAAAAGCATGGAACACAGTGCCTGGCACATCGTCAACAGATATAAGTTGCATTCCCAGAGAAGCAAGGATCCCAGAGGGAGTTTGAGCTACATATATGGGAAATAAGACAGGCTTTTCTCACTGATAATAAGTAGAGCATGTAGTCAGTGGAATCAGAAAGATAGCATCCAGAAGCTTCAGGATGGTAACCAATGTCATGATTTCAAACTCATGAGGCCATTTGGCCAGAATGAACAGAGGCAGTCACCAGATATGAAGAAGTAGGATAGAATCTGGAAACTCCATAATGGGACAATGGGGTGGAAGCAGAGGAGAGCAGACAGAACCTGGGAAGATTTGCTGAAGTACTTAAATGGAGCAGCAGGGGCTTCATAAGAACATTTCAACCTCATTTCTGGTGAGGTGGTATGATGGTTTGGATATGGTTTGTTTGCCGCCACCACACGTCATCTTGAAATTTTATTCCCAATATGGTGTTGTTGGAAGGTGAGTCCTAGTGAAAGGCATTTGGGCTATGGGGGTGGGTCCCTCATGAATGTTTTGGTGCTGTTCTTACGGTAATGAGTGAGTTCTCACTCTTATGAGAGTGCATTAACTCTTGTGGGATCAGATTAGTTCTTGCCAGATGTAGCTGTTATAAAGCCAGGATGTCCCTTAGATTTTGTTCTCTTCGCACATGTTCACTTCGCCTTTGAATTTCTCCACCATGTTTTGACACAACACAAAAGCCCTCACCAGAAGCCAGAGGCATGATCTTTAACTTCTCAGCCTGCAGAGCGATGAGCCAGATAAACCTCTTTTCTTTATATATCACTGAGTCTCAGGTATTCTTTTATAGCAACACAAAATGGACTAAGACAAGTAGAACTTACTTAGAACATTGAGTTGGTTAGGTAGACAGGGATTTTAGCAATATGAGAAATTATTAATTTCTGATTGACAGCTCATGAGTTAAGGCTTGCTTTACGCTTTCTCAATATTAACGACCTTTCCATAAACTTGTACTGTGAGTACTAGAAAGGTCTATCTATTCTTGCATAACAGATATTTCTATCATGTTCACTAACACTGTGTTTTGGTTTAACAACCCCTTTGCCTAGGAACCCAAGACAATTTTAGAAATGAAACCAGTGTACTTCCAAGTGATATAATCCATTCATTCAACTATTTATTGAGCAACTTCTCAAAAATACGCCAGGCAATGCCAGGTACTGAAAATATAATATTGAATAAAACAATCATGGTGCTTGCTATTTTAGAATTTACATTCTAATAAATCTGTGTTAACTACATGTGGGTTTCTCCTAACAATAATCAGGCTGTACTGTAATCCATCTCTCACATGTTTAAGCTTTCTTCTATCTCAGGTTGATATCATAGTCCACCTCTCACTTTCCCCTAAGTTAAAGGTATTATTTATTCTTGGTGATCATTTGCAACTACTTGCATAGATCTCAGGATACAGTGTTTGTGACAGGTTTCTTGTTCTTGTGAACCCTCTGCCTCTTAAAATGGCTCTTTTGAACAGAATCCAAAATGACTGCATGTAAGCTCTTTCTTCTATGTTGTCTGTATTTCAGCCAAAAGAAGCACTTATACATCTCTTGTCCCTATAAATTCTAGAAGTCTCAGATGGTCTTAATATAGACAACTCTTTCCTATTTACACAGTGGTTGCAGCTTTCTCAAGTCCTTTGAGTCTCCCAATAGCAAGAGGGATATTTCAAGCTTCCGCAGTGATTCCACAGAAGCCCCCACATTAGGCTTGAGGTTGGGTAAAGAAGTAAAAAATAATAATCTTCTCAAGATACAAATAACATAACCTAATACTCCCTCAAAGCAGCAACAACAGCAAAACAGCAGCTCTCTGCAAAGAAGTTCTTTGGAAAAGTTCCTTCCTATCTCCACATTCTGTCTTCTTTGGGCACCTTGTTCTAGCCAAAAGGTAGAAGAGTTGTAGAGATGGTTCTTAATCATTTCCTTCATGAATTCTTTATTTGAGTGAATCTGTGTATATTATTTTTATCATTAATATCTATCATATTGATGGCTCATTCAAAACTGAAGACAGTCCATTTTAACATAATTTATAATAGAGATGGTGATATGGTTTGGCTGTGTCCTGACCCAAATCTCATCTTAAATTGTAGTTCCCATACTCCCCATGTGTCGTGGGAGGGACCCAGTGGGAGGTGATTGAATCATGGGGGCGGTTACCCTCGTGCTGTTCTCATGATAGTGAGTGAGTTCTCACAAGACCTGATGGCTTTATATGGGACTTTTCCCCCCTTGCTCCACGATCCTCCTTCCTGCCACCATGTGAAGAAGGACATGTTTGCTTCCATTTCTCCATAGTTGTAAGTTTCCTGAAGGCTCCCCAGCACTGTGGAACTGTGAGTCAATTAAATCTCTTTCTTTTATACATTACCCTGTCTTGGGCAGGTCTTTATAGCAGCATGAAAACAGACTAATAAAGATGGAATTTCTGGTAACGTCATCTCGGCATTTTTCTCAGATACAGTTGTTGTCACAACAAAGAAATCAGCAAAAGTCACAGAGGAAACTACTTGAATAATTCAGAATCTATAAAGAAAATGGAAGGATTTGGAGGTGCAATAACCCAGGAACATAGTTGTGTAGTGATTTAATAATTACAGAGATAATCACGCCCTTTCCCATACTTGCCACTAAGGCTGTTAGATACTAGGGGACAAGTAGTACACAAGATGTACAATAAGTTGCTAAAACCAGGAGTCATCTCTAATAAGAAAAGCAATTTTTGAGTCTCTATCTTATACAAGTAACGATCTGATTCTTATTTTTGACTACAGAAAAACAGGTAAGAGCATTTAGCCACATAGCTTCAGGACTGGTTTTAACAGAAGTCCATAAATAATTTTCCTGGATGAGAAGGCTTGCAGGTAGTTTTCTGTGAGTTTTGTGTGGGAGACTCTGGGTGGAGCTCTGAGATTAAAGCAATGAGGCCCCTTAGCTTGGGATATGCCTTAGCTAAAACTTGAGTTGAAGTGGAAATTTAAAAAAAATATTTTATCTGCACTGGATAGGATCAATGTATAGTCACATTTGGAATGCAATGTGGAGACTTTTTAGGTATTCATGAGACTTTGCATTGTTTAGAAATAATAGGTGTCCAAGACCATTCAAATGACAGAAGAAAAAATGAAACATGACCTGAATTGTCTTTAATCCTTATCTTGTCAAGACTAAATAGCTGATTATCATATAAACTAAACTCCATTTGTATTCCAGAATTTTCTATCTCCTTTTCATCTGGCTGGCTGTGGCCACTTTTCTGAGTTTAACATGGGAGATACCTCAAGAGACCACCGTCGAGTTCGGGCACTGGTAAAGGCATCTGCATCATGTCACATTCAACCACAGGATCCAGAAGCAAAGCTAATCTAATGTTATTGACATATTTCACTGAAGCCCATAATCTATGAGGGGTTCACACAGCTGTGCCTGGGGTGAGATGTCAAAGACAAATACTTCATCTAGAGCTCCAGCTGTTGCAACAGCTTCTCTCAGTATCCTTATGGGGATCCTATGAGGATTCAGTATGACAATGCATACAAAACACCTACTCAGTCCCTGTTCTGGCACAGTGCAAGTGCTCAGTGATTGTTAGCTGTAATTATGAGGAGGATGATGATCTAAAATGTAATCACCTGCCCTAACTTCTTTTTATATTCTGACAAATCAAAATGAGCACTCATGCTCCATTTTCAGTTCCTACCCCCAAAACTAATTTTTACCTAACAAAACCAATGCATGGCCTCTGCTAGCAGGAGAAATGATGTAAGCTCTTTCTATATACAAAGAGAGACACCATATCTGACTTTTACACGAATGTATTCTCACTGACAGTAACTAACCAAGGACCAAACACTAACAGGGATTCAAAAGAAGAAAAGATGGTGCCATGTGACAACATATCTTCAACTGAGTTGAGCTACTTTTTTCCCTGAAGAAACATAAGTAGCAGGCCATGTGAGACCAAAGCTTGCTCAATATTCCTAGTGTGATCTGCTTGTAATGAGATCCCCCGGCTCATTTCTGGATTCTCATTGTGCAGACCCAAGGGAGACATGGTAAGTCTCTTGACAAATTGATGCAGTGACTAGAGCTAGACAGAAGAACTTCTCCTCTGAGAGTCTCTTCCTAATCACAGAGTTTAAGGGGGCAGCTCTTCTAGAGCCAAAGCAAAAAGGGCCAAACGGACTCTGTGAATGTCACCCTGTGCTTTAGCCAGAGTCCAGTGAAATGTAAGTGACCCAATAATCTAATAAGGCTGAGAATCAAATAAGGCTAAACTTTTAAAGACATCAAGAGTCTGTCAATTATTTTTCCAGACAAACAATAATCAGATTTCCTAGAATTGTAATGATCTTTTGTAAATTAGTCACAATTATTCTAAAACTGAACACAGATTCCACAGACTGCAGAAGGTGGATGGACACTTTTGGGTCTGAGAAGGCTTCCATGCAAAAGAAAAGTTATTATTCTCTTATTTATTCAAATAGCTCTCGTAATCATCAGTTTCTTAAGTCATTGAGTCCTCCTTCCCTGGCTCCTTAGATCTATTTTGTTTAAAAAAGAAAGGAAAGGGAAGGAAAATAAGGGAAAGGAAGGGAGGGGATGGAAACTCTACCAAAAAGGCAGGTCACTATTTTTTTTAAGTGTGCAATTCCTTTACACACAAAATATATTTATAGAAGTTTTGCCTACCTGCATATTTTAATTTTTTTAACACAGATTCTGTTTCCAGCAACAAATTTTGCTTATAAAGACCAAAATATTTGGGGGCATCCATGGCTGTTGTAATAATTTCTTCCCCTTGCAAATGGCATTTCCTTTACACTTTCAAATTCTGTTTTCCCCTCCACTTTATTTTCCTTTTTCCTCTGGTAGGAATATTGACTTCATGACTAACATTTTGATGCATGAGCACATTTCAGTATTTTTACTCTCCCACAGGGTTTTTATCCTTCTGGAATGTATAAATCATTTTGAAAGCTTCTTTCTGTTCTATACTGTGCTTTTGAGATTATCCACTGGCGTGTTCCCTCTACAGAAACACCCTTAGGGTTCAGCCAGAGAAGGTCCAGATTTGGGTGGTAGAAGGGCTGCTGCTACTGTGCTCAGCTGCACTCGCTTCTGGCTGGGTGGAGACTCATAAAAAGCAACCAGTAGAAAAAAAAGAGAGAGAGAGAGAGAGACAGAGAGAGAGAGAGAGGTAGCCATCTGGTGCTAACATAGCCCTTAAGTTCACTGAGACACATTCTAACCACTGAGAACTCACCCTGGCAAACCTCCGCAGGTGAGACCAACCCACCCATTCCATACATTTCTTTGGCTCCATGGTACCCTCTGGGACCTCTTCTCCCTTCCCAAGCTAAACGTTGGTGTTCATTGCTCCCTGATTTTGTGTGTGTAAGGCTCTAAGAAGACCGAGGAGAACTAACAATGTGATTTCCTCCTGTGTCCCAGACTTCCTTATCTCTCTCACCAGGGCCTTCCTCACTTCCAGGGACAGTAACAGCTGTGTATTTGACATTTGAGCCATAATTTCTAACAGTAATAATTTTAGATTGCTTCTGCACCTCAGAAAGTGACAGGTTAAAAAATGAGACAACAAGGCAATTGCCCTTAATCTCAAAGGGACTCTAAAACATCGCTGATAGGTAGCGAAATGAAGTGAAACACATAAGAGAACTCCTTTCATGGAGAGTGATGTGGCTGGGAAGAACACTTGGAAAAATCAGGGCGAGCAATGGCACCTGCTCTAGGAGGTATGGATGGCCACTAAGTGCACTAAGTGCACTCTGTGCAGGACAAAGCCCAATCACTGTAGGGCTTGTTTGTTTGTTTGGGCTAAGCCTAGTGTTGGGAGATCCCTTTAGCTGAGCTCCACATGCAGGAGAAATGATAGCTTCCCCTGTGGCAGGGCTTTACCTTTCCCTCACACACCACACACTTTTCCTCCAAATAAATACTAAACAATAAGGAAAGAACATTGGTTTGAAGGGGCTATTCTTGCTCCCACATCTTACACTGACCTTTCATTTTTGCATTTGTTTCCCCACATTTTATGAATATCTTGTATTAAGATATTATTTTGTTGCCCATTCAATCCAATTCAAATGTATACCACAGGTAATAAACTTCTTTTCCTGGGCTTATGTACCTGACCCAGTTTCCCTGCATCTAGTGGGTCCTTAGCCATCTTGTCTATAGCTTCACAATTTATTCCAAGAAAGTAAATTTATATTTACATGAAACATATTTACAACAAATTGGTGGCTGATTTGGGGTGAAAGCAGCACTTTTCAGCTCCTAAATTAAAGATACCAGAAGATTTTTCCTCCTCCTGATTTAATTCAGTTTTGTACTTTCCTCCCTTCCCTACTCCAAATATGTTTATAGTTTTCCTGGCTCAACATAGCCTTAACCATATTTTGTCACTCATTGCAATAGGCTCATCAGGAAAGGGAAAAGGCACATGAGATCTGTTTTTCTCGTCTAACATATTAACAAAATTCTTCTTTATTTACTCCACATAATCAGGCTTTCCAGCCCAAGACTCTGCTAGATTTGTGGCAATAAGGTCATTGGTAGCCTCCTTCTTAATCAATTGAATATATGTTTTCAGTTGTCATCCTCCTTGACTTCTCCAAGTTATTTATGAGTTATAATTTTATGCTTAAAATATTTTAAAATGAGCCATTATCATCACTGTGAAAATGATAAAAGTTAAAGTTCCCTATAGCACCCCCAGCACAATATAACTGTTAATTCATGATAATATCAAGTTCATATTCTTTCAGACTTTTTTCCCCCACATATGCAAATATTTATGAACATCCACAAACACACACACACACACACACACACACACACACACACATGCAAATATTCCTAACCATATGGCAGCATATCATAGTATTGTTCTCTAAATAGCTCGTTTTGTGGTTGTTATTTAATGTATTCCACACATCTGTTCATGGTAGGACACCATAACAGCACAGTCCAGCATAACTTTTACCAACAAAAGAAAATGTTTGATAGCTGAGCTATCCAATATGGTGGCCACTAGTCACATGTAGCTTTTTATCACTTGAAATGTGGCTAGTATGACCGACTAAGTGAATTTTTAATTCTCTTTTATTTTAGTTAATTTAAATTTACACAGCCATAGCTCCATCCTATCCTTTCTAAAAAGCTGCTTGGAGTTCCACTGTCACTCTCTTTAATCTTTGCCTATCCAACTGGTATCTCAGTGGTCTCTTAAGGCAAATTCCTTTAATTTTAGTGACACACTCATTTCTACTCGAAACATTTGCCTCATTTTCCATGATGGACTATTTTCTAAAACACCCACAATATTTCCTAGATTCCTAGTGGCAGTTCCCTAAGTGTGCCAAAATCCCCCAGCCTGTTAGTGTTACTTGTTATTTAAGCAAAATGATTCAAATCATCATTTGATACATGATGGAAATCCCAGGCTCACTCACCAAATTTCTAGCAAATATTGTGTGTGCTTGTAAGGGGGATGGGAGGGCAGGAGAAGGCCTTGTATTTCTTCTAGTCATTACAAGCTAGTGGTTTTTCTTCCTCAGTCTGGAACTTACTCCTTGCACATACCTTTTTCTGCACTGTGCCATCATCCACTTCTCTTTACTTCCTAACTACCACCAACTGAAAATTATACATATAAAAGCTTTAAACAAAGTCTCTTGAGGCTCTCAAGGGAGTTTACATTACAGTATAGTTCAGCAAACAATTTTAAATCAAATAGTACACCTCTTTATTCTTAGAATTCCCTCTGCCAAAAAAGAAATCAGCTACTTTTTTTTAAATTCAAGGTCCAACTTTCTGTTGTGTTGCTGATTCTCTTCTCTCTTTTTCCAACGACTTCCACTTCTCTCTCTAGTTTACATGTCTCCAAACCTTAAGCCTCTGTTAATACTTTCACAATAAGTCAATTTTGCCAACGGTTTGCCTCCCCTAGACCATCTAGGCTGGGCCCAGAACACCTCATCTTCACTCCCACTGAAGTGTTCCTGAAGGTCAGCTCTCACTGACCTTGATTCTGCTCCCCTACACTGTCACCAGAAGCTATCCACCTATGGTTCTAATTCAGTAAGTCCAACTCTCTCACCCCCTTTTTTTGTCTCAGCTGTGTGGGCTTTCCCAGGATGGCATGCAATGGGACCCCTGTGCCATGCATATTGTAAAGGAAAATGCCTCCCTCCATGCGCTACAAAACAGCACATTTATGATGGCACTTTGAAAAGATATGGGTTGTGGTGTCACATATTGACAATTCCTTGGCCAGAGGCTTAACAGTGCCAGCAGTGCCAGAAGATTAAGAAGACAGCAAAAACAGAAAAGGGAGAAGATGGTGAAGTAGTTATATAACATGAGCGAGAATGCTCCTGATTACAAAGCAGAGAAATTGACTTTTTTTCTTAGTGTTTTCTATAGTCATTGCTCTATCCCTGTTCTAGAATTCAAGTCATGATAAGAATTTCTTCACGTTGACTTCCTGCATTGCTTTCAGACATTGCAATTAAAGAATGCGAAGAAAGAACCTCACAGAGGTAACAGAGTTTGTTTTCCTGGGATTCTCCAGATTCCACAAACATCACATCACTCTCTTTGTGGTTTTTCTCATCCTGTACACATTAACTGTGGCTGGCAATGCCATCATCATGACCATCATCTGCATTGACCGTCACCTCCACACTCCCATGTACTTCTTCCTGAGCATGCTGGCTAGCTCAAAGACAGTGTACACACTGTTCATCATTCCACAGATGCTCTCCAGCTTCGTAACCCAGACCCAGCCAATCTCCCTAGCAGGTTGTACCACCCAAACGTTCTTCTTTGTTACCTTGGCCATCAACAATTGCTTCTTGCTCACAGTGATGGGCTATGACCACTATATGGCCATCTGCAATCCCTTGAGATACAGGGTCATTACGAGCAAGAAGGTGTGTGTCCAGCTGGTGTGTGGAGCCTTTAGCATTGGCCTGGCCATGGCAGCTGTCCAGGTAACATCCATATTTACCTTACCTTTTTGTCACACGGTGGTTGGTCATTTCTTCTGTGACATCCTCCCTGTCATGAAACTCTCCTGTATTAATACCACTATCAATGAGATAATCAATTTTGTTGTCAGGTTATTTGTCATCCTGGTCCCCATGGGTCTGGTCTTCATCTCCTATGTCCTCATCATCTCCACTGTCCTCAAGATTGCCTCAGCTGAGGGTTGGAAGAAGACCTTTGCCACCTGTGCCTTCCACCTCACTGTGGTCATTGTCCATTATGGCTGTGCTTCCATTGCCTACCTCATGCCCAAGTCAGAAAACTCTATAGAACAAGACCTCCTTCTCTCAGTGACCTAAACCATCATCACTCCCCTGCTGAACCCTGTTGTTTACAGCCTAAAGAACAAGGAGGTCAAGGATGCCCTATGCAGGGCCATGGGCAGAAACATTTCTTAATGCATTATTCCTCTATATAAATATACATTTAGTCATAGAAATGTGTGTCCTTACTTACATTAAACAACCTTACGACTCTGTCCCATGCAGTCTATGCTGCAATGGGATGTGCATGTCTTGCTTTGGTATATTTACTACAAAATCTTAGTCTCTGTTTCCATATATTTCAAAGTTTTGTCCAGGCATTTTCAACTAGGGATGTGAGAGGTCAAGGAGAATGGGCATGATTTTTAGGAAAGAGCATCCAAATTTCTAGGATGAAGAAAGGGACTTTTAAAAGTATATTAAATATGATTATATTGTGTTTAAAAAATAAAAAGCAATGTGTCTCATTTTTGTAATGCAATCTACAGAAAATAAAACTACAAAATCATCGCAGCAAGGTAAGGATAGTCAATAATGATGGATTCCCTTGAAAGAAAATAGTATCAGAATTGTCAGGGAAAAGTGAGATGAGCGTATTAAATTTAAAAAAAAATAGGAAAGTTGGAAAACACTGGCTTAGTCCTTGAAAATTTAGTCTTTATTATTCAATTTATGCTAAAGCCTTTGCTTTTATCCAGTGTAGTCGTCAGATGCTGGCCATGGCCACAGATCATACTTAACTCTCACCTTTCTAATCTAAATTCCCTAATTGAATTCTTTCTGGCTGCTGGTTCTCTCCATGGGATCAACTTCTCTCTAATCATTATGAAGAAAAATTGAGTTGGTCAAGAAGATCTGTGCCCTGTTAGAATAAGAACCATAAAAGCTTTCCTCATTTGCACATACCATGGCACCTCCTGGTAGCATAAAGAAACAAAAGTAGAACAAAACAAACAGTCCCAGCAGTCAGGAGTAGTTCAGAAGTATAATTGTAGAATCACTCAATTCACCAAAAAAGGCTAACAAGAAAAAAAAATATTTTTCCTTAGTAGACTCCTTTGAGAAAAATATCCTTTTTCCCAGGGCTTTCTGGGAACTTTTTTGGTTTCATGCCTATACATACCTTCTATGTGGTTATCTTGGGTGATGGGTGATGGTAGGGAGGGTTTAAGACTTTTGTTGAGTGCTTCCTTCTACTAAAATATTTTTTGTCAAGAATACTTCTCTGCTCATTCCCTAATGCCATTTTTCTTTTTTTCAAGACAGTCATTTTTTTCCTTTCCCTCCACTGAGAAAGAATCGATAACATCCTAAGGAGCTCATCTCAGGTAAAGAATATCTTTACAGATTTCTGAATTCTAGATTGGGGAGACCATTGTTCTTTCAAGGTCTGACCAGTTCTTTCTAATTCCTGTCTTGTGTCTTTGCAATTTCTACATCATAGAAACAAGGCTTCCTACAGAAGCTGTTGGGGGCTCAAAGGTTGGGTCCAAGAGTCTTGGACATGCTATGAGGTCTTTCTTGACAGCACTCTCAGGGTCATCCCACTACAGATCTAAACCTCTATGCCCAACAAGAGTGAGGCAGATTCCCTCCAGAATGAGAGTGTCTCTCCTGACAGTATGAAAGAACCCCTCCCACTGCCATCAAGGCCACCTGTACTGCCAACTCTTAATTATAACCTGCCCTTCTCAATTCTCTCTGGCTAGCAACTACTTGTACATCCTCATACCTGTCTTTTTGTGTGTAGAAGGGAAGAGATGAGACAGAGAGGGCTGTTCTGAGCAGGAAAGTACAATGATGGAAGTTGGGTGGTGATCAAACCTGTTCTATCCTGCTCCAGTGGCAGTGGCCAACTCCCACTGCCCATTACTCTCCTTTCTACTTCTGCACACAGCCACTCTCCTTCATTAGTTCATGAATCAAAGACAAAGGTTTCTCCAGTATTGTCTCTACATCTAAATGCTGCAACAGCAGACATACCACACGCCACTCGTGCAATCAAAAGTTAAATGTCACAGCGGGGCCCACAAAGAGCTGGCAGAAAATATGAGTCATAAATCTTGAAGGTGAAATATCTTTGTCTCTAACTCTGTTACCCACAATGGTTCAATCATATGTCCAGTTTTTTTTAAATAAACATGTGTGCTTCTAATTTCTTCTTGACAATAAGATGTTGTCTTACATGGTGGATAGAATAGAGGTCCCAGAGTCAGATGGGTGCTGAGTTCACTTCCTCACTCAGCACCCATCAGAACCTTTTTATGAATATAATGTTTTTAATTCTGCCTCGCTTGTCATCAAAAGCATTTTTTAATCTCCTTACCCATTTGTTTTGCACAGGCTGGTATCCAGTGACAAACCCTACTTCACATTGTTTTCTGCAGTATCATTTACCTCACTCCCACCCAGCAGTTAGTTGTTCTCTCTTAAGTGTTCCTAAAGTTATTTTTGGGAAATTACATGAGTTTAACATTTTTTTCATTGTGCTTTTCTTGCTTGTTTCTATCACTGGATCACAGGCATATTGGGATCAGGAACTGCTTTCCTCATTATGATACCCCTGCATGGAACAGCACCTGGAGAGTAGGTGTTCAATAAATCCTCACTTAGAGGTTGAGTACCTACTATGTACAAGCACCATGCTTGGACTTCTCAGCGTGTCTTGCTGAACTAGACACATCTGCTGTCTTTGTTTGTTCAAGCTGCTTTAACAAAAGACCAAAGAGTGGGTAATTTATAAAGAACAGAAATTTCGAGCTTACAGTCCTGGGGTCTGGGAGGTTAATGACCAAGGCACTAACAGGTTCAGTGTTTGGTGAGGGCATAGTCTCTACTTCCAAGATGGCACCTTGTTGCTGCATTCTCCAGAGGGGATGAACACTGCTTCTCATATGGGAAGAGATGGAAGGGCAAAAATGGACCTATCTAGTTACTCCCATCCCTTTTATAAGGTCACTAACCCATTTATAAAGTTATATGGTTTGGAAGTCCCACCCAAATCTCATATTGAAATGTAATCCCCAGTGTTGGAGGTGGGGCCTGGTGGGTGGTGACTGGATTATGGGGATGGTTTTCTCATGAATGGTTTAGTACCATCCTCTTGGTACTGTCCTTGAGATAGTGAGTTCTCACGAGATCTGGTCCTTTAAAAGCGTATGGCACCTCCCGCCTCACTGTCTTGCTCCTGCTCCCACCATGTGAGACGCCTGCTCCCCCGTGAACTCCCACCATGACTGTAAGCTTCCTGAGGCCTACCCAGAAATAGATGCCCGTGTTATGCTTCCTGTACAGTGTGCAGAACCATGAGCTAATTAAACATCTTTTCTTTATAAATTACTCAGTCTCCAGTGTTTCTTTATAGCAATGCAAGAACAGACTAATACATAAGGGCTCTGCCTTCATGACTTAATCACCTCCTAAATGTCCCACTTCTTAATGATATCACGTTGGGGTTTAAGTTTCAACATGAATTTTCGAGGGGACACAAACATTCAAACCAAAGCACCTGCTATCCTTTTTCTGTGTCCTTTGCAGGGGGCCCTCCCCTAAATACAAACACAGAGTCATAAGCTCGTCCACTGTGGCAGAGTCACTTGGGTCTGCCTGTTCTTCCTCTTTCCCTGGCCTTTCTATGAGCCAATTCTCAGTTGCTTTAAGACCTCTCTCAGCCCCAATGTTAACTTAGTTATTTGCATTGATTAATCGCTTAGCAACACAGAAGCAGAAACAGTCAAGATTTTCACAAAAGGGCGTAGAGTTACCAAGAAAATCATTCTTACTCATATGAGGATGTAACCTTTGAAATGTATTTAAAGAGAAACAAGTTTCTAAACAGAGAGTGATGTGCCATATACAATTAAAAATCAGGACATCTTCTAATTATACTTTTGGCACATGACAAACAAATTTATTATGAGGCTAGAAAATCATCCCACAATTTTACATTTTGAATTATAATGGAACAAAAGCTTAGCTTCCTTTGTTGCTGGAGACCAAATCCTCAAGTTTCTGACCTCCTAATTTCCCAACTCCTATTTATTCTGCAATGAAGACAGTGACTAGATGAGATAACAGACATGAAAATACCAACCACCTGCAATAAAAAGCCTTACTGAGGGAAGCAACTAGCTCTGGGAAATGACAGAGGAGAGAAGGAAACAAGGAGATGACTCTGAGGGTAGATACCAGATGAATATCACTTTTCAGAAACTCATTTCTGAAGGAAACAGGAATTCCAAAGCAGCAAAGCAATGTGACATAAAGCAGAAGACAATTACCACTTATTAAGGGTTTACTGCAGAGCAGATATCATGTGAAATGGTAGTTGCGTACGTTATTTCACTTAAAACTTCAATTTTATAGTACTTGGCACTTCACAAGAGTCTTCAAATATAATGTCCTATTTGATCCTTATAGTAACCTTATGAAATATGCATTTTTATTGTTTTATTGTTTCATTGTTATAAAATGTTCATTGTTTCTACCATTAACTTTTTAGGTTCATGGTGGAAACATTACCTGACTTGCTTCAAGTCACACAGTTGGTAACTGACAGAACTAGAACCGATACCAACATTCACCAACCAACTTCAAAAGGTATGTGTTTTCCACTACGTCACCACCATCTCTCATCTTTAATCTTTTTGAAAGATAGAATATGCTTCCCGAAGATGGCCCAATAGGAACAGCCCCGGTCTACAGCTCCCATTGTGAGTGATGCAGAAGATGGGTGATTTCTGCATTTCCATCTGAGGTACTGGGTTCATCTCACTAGGGAGTGACAGACAGTGGGCGCAGGACAGTGGGTGCAGTGCACCATGCATGAACTGAAGCAGGGTGAGGCATTGCCTCACTCGGGGAGTGCAAGGGGTCAGGGAGTTCCCTTTTCTACTCAAAGAAAGGGGTGACAGACGACACCTCGAAAATCGGGTCACTCCCACCCTAAGCTTTTCAGAAGGGCTTAAAAAATGGTGCACCTGGCAATTATATCCCGCACCTGGCTTGGAGGGTCCTACACCCACGGAGTTTCACTGATTGCTAGCACAGCAGTCTGAGATCAAACTGCAAGGTGGCAGTGAGGCCGGGGGAGGGGCGCCCACCATTGCCCAGGCTTGCTTAGGTAAACAAAGCAGCCAGGAAGCTCGAACTGGGTGGAGCCCACCACAGCACAAACAGGCCTGCCTGCCTCTATGGGCTCCACCTCTGGGGGCAGGGCACAGACAAACAAAAAGATAGCAGTAACCTCTGCAGACTTCAATCTCCCTGTCTGACAGCTTTGAAGAGAGCAGTGGTTCTCCCAGCATGCAGCTGGAGATCTGAGAACAGGCAGACTGCCTCCTCAAGTGGGTCCCTGACCCTTAACCCCTGAGCAGCTTAACTGGGAGGCACCCCCCAGTAGGGGCAGACTTACACTTCACACAGCCGGGTACTCCTCTGAGACAAAACTTCCAGAGGAACGATCAGACAGCAGCATTCGTGGTTCATGAAAATTCACTGTTCTGCAGCCACCGCTGCTGATACCCAGGCAAACAGGGTCTGGAGTGGACCTATAGCAAACTCCAACAGACCTGCAGCTGAGGGTCCTGTCTGTTAGAAGGAAAACTAACAAACAGAAAGGACATCCACACCAAAAACCCACCTGTACATCACCATTATCAAAGACCAAAAGTAGAAAAAACCACAAAGATGGGGAAAAAACAGAGCAGAAAAACTGGAAACTCTAAAAAGCAGAGCGCCTCTCCTCCTCCAAAGGAACGCAGTTCCTCACCAGCAAGGGAACAAAGCTGGATGGAGAATGACTTTGACGAGTTGAGAGAAGAGGCTTCAGACAATCAGACAACTCTGAGCTACAGGAGGAAATTCAAACCAAAGGCAAAGAAGTTGAAAACTTTGAAAAAAATTTAGACGAATGTATAACTAGAATAACCAATACAGAGAAGTGCTTAAAGGAGCTGATGGAGCTGAAAGCCAATGCTCGAGAACTACATGAGGAATGCAGAAGCCTCAGGAGCCGATGCGATCAACTGGAAGAAAGGGTATCAGCGATGGAAGATGAAATGAATGAAATGAAGCAAGAAGGGAAGTTTAGAGAAAAAAGAATTAAAAGAAACAAACAAAGCCTCCAAGAAATATGGGACTATGTGAAAAGACCAAATCTATGTCTGATTGGTGTACCTGAAAGTGACGGGGAGAATGGAACCAAGTTGGAAAACACTCTGCAGGATATTATCCAGGAGAACTTCCCCAATCTAACAAGGCAGGCCAACATTCAGATTCAGGAAATACAGAGAACGCCACAAAGATACTCCTCGAGAGAGCAACTCCAAGACACATAATTGTGAGATTCACCAAAGTTGAAATGAAGGAAAAAATGTTAAGGGCAGCCAGAGAGAAAGGTCGGGTTACCCTCAAAGGGAAGCCCATCAGACTAACAGCGGATCTCTCTGCAGAAACCCTACAAGCCAGAAGAGAGTGGCGGCCAATATTCAACATTCTTAAAGAAAAGAATTTTCAACCCAGAATTTCATATCCAGCCAAACTAAACTTCATTAGTGAAGAAGAAATAGAATACTTTACAGACAAGCAAATGCTGAGAGACTTTGTCACCACCAGGCCTGCCCTAAAAGAGCTCCCGAAGGAAGCACTAAACATGGAAAGGCACAACCGGTACCAGCCACTGCAAAATCATGCCAAATTGTAAAGGCCATCGAGGCTAGGAAGAAACTGCATCAACTAATGAGCAAAATAACCAGCTAATCTCATAATGACAGGATCAAATTCACACATAACAATATTAACTTTAAATGTAAATGGACTAAATGCTCCAATTAAAAGACACAGACTGGCAAATTAGATGGAGTCAAGACCCATCAGTGTGCTGTATTCAGAAAACCCATTTCACATGCAGAGACACACATAGGCTCAAAATAAAAGGATGGAGGAAGATCTACCAAGCAAATGGAAAACAAAAAAGTCAGGGATTGCAATCCTAGTCTCTGATAAAACAGACTTTAAACTAACAAAGATCAAAAGAGACAAAGAAGGCCATTACATAATGGTAAAGGGATCAATTCAACAAGAAGAGCTAACTATCCTAAATATATATGCACCCAATACGGGAGCACCCAGATTCATAAAGCAAGTCCTGAGTGACCTACAAAGAGACTTAGACTCCCACACAATAATAATGGGGGACTTAAACACCACACTGTCAACATTAGACAGATCAATGAGACAGAAAGTTAACAAGGATACCCAGGAATTGAACTCAACTCTGCACCAAGTGGACCTAATAGACATCTACAGAACTCTCCACCCCAAATCAACAGAATATATATTTTTTTCAGCACCACACCACACCTATTCCAAAATTGACCACATAGTTGGAAGTAAAGCTCTCCTCAGCAAATGTAAAAGAACAGAAATTATAACAAACTATCTCTCAGACCACAGTGCAATCAAACTACAACTCAGGATTAAGAATCTCACTCAAAACTGCTCAACTACATGGAAACTGAACAACCTGCTCCTGAATGACTACTGGGTACATAACGAAATGAAGGCAGAAATAAAGATGTTCTTTGAAACCAACAACAACAAAGACACAACATACCAGAATCTCTGGGACACATTCAAAGCAGTGTGTAGAGGGAAATTTATAGCACTAAATGCCCACAAGAGAAAGCAGGAAAGATCCAAAATTGACACCCTAACATCACAATTAGAAGAACTAGAAAAGCAAGAGCAAACACATTCGAAAGCTAGCAGAAGGCAAGAAATAACTAAAATCAGAGCAGAACTGAAGGAAATAGAGACACAAAAAACCCTTCAAAAAATTAATGAATCCAGGAGCTGGTTTTTTGAAAGGATCAACAAAATTGATAGACCACTAGCAAGACTAATAAAGAAGAAAAGAGAGAAGAATCAAATAGATGCAATAAAAAATGATAAAGGGGATACCACCACCAATCCCACAGAAATGCAAACTACCATCAGAGAATACTGCAAACACCTCTATGCAAATAAACTAGAAAATCTAGAAGAAATGGATAAATTCCTCGACATATACACCCTCCCAAGACTAAACCAGGAAGAAGTTGAATCTCTGAATAGACCAATAGCAGGCTCTGAAATTGTGGCAATAATCAATAGCTTACCAACCAAAAGGAGTCCAGGACCAGATGGATTCACAGCCAAATTCTACCAGAGGTACAAGGAGGAACTGGTACCATTCCTTCTGAAAATATTCCAATCAATAGAAAAAGAGAGAATCCTCCCTAACTCATTTTATGAGGCCAGCATCATCCTGATACCAAAGCCGGGCAGAGACACAACCAAAAAAGAGAATTTTAGACCAATATCCTTGATGAACATTGATGCACAAATCCTCAATAAAATACTGGCAAACCGAATCCAGCAGCACATCAAAAAGCTTATCCACCATGATCAAGTGGGCTTCATCCCTGGGATGCAAGGCTGGTTCAATATACGCAAATCAATAAATGTAATCCAGCATATAAACAGAACCAAAGACAAAAACCACATGATTATCTCAATAGATGCAGAAAAGTCCTTTGACAAAATTCAACAACCCTTCATGCTAAAAACTCTCAATAAATTAAGTATTGATGGGATGTATCTCAAAATAATAAGAGCTATCTATGACAAACCCACAGCCAATATCATACTGAATGGGCAAAAACTGGAAGCATTCCCTTTGAAAACTGGCACAAGACAAGGATGCCCTTTCTTACCACTCCTATTCAACATAGTGCTGGAAGTTCTGGCCAGGGCAATTAGGCAGGAGAAGGAAATAAAGGGCATTCAATTAGGAAAAGAGGAAGTCAAATTGTCCCTGTTTGCAGATTACATGATTGTATATCTAGAAAACCCCATTGTCTCAGCCCAAAATCTCCTTAAGCTGATAAGCAACTTCAGCAAAGTCTCAGGATACAAAATCAATGTACAAAAATCACAAGCATTCTTATACACCAACAACAGAAAAACAGAGAGCCAAATCATGAGTGAACTCCCATTCACAATTGCTTCAGAGAGAATAAAATACCTAGGAATCCAACTTACTTACAAGGGATGTGAAGGACCTCTTCAAGGAGAACTACAAACCACTGCTCAACGAAATAAAAGAGGATACAAACAAATGGAAGAACATTCCATGCTCATGGGTAGGAAGAATTAATATCGTGAAAATGGCCATACTGCCCAAAGTAATTTATGTATTCAATGCCATCCCCATCAAGCTACCAATGACTTTCTTCACAGAATTGGAAAAAACTACTTTAAAGTTCATATGGAACCAAAAAAGAGCCCGTATCGCCAAGTCAATCGTAAGCCAAAAGAACAAAGCTGGAGGCATCACACTACCTGACTTCAAACTATACTACAAGGCTACAGTAACCAAAACAGCATGGTACTGGTACCAAAACAGAGATACAGATCAATGGAACAGAATAGAGCCCTCAGAAATAACTCCGCTTATCTACAACTATCTGATCTTTGACAAACCTGACAAAAACAAGCAATGGGGAAAGGGTTCCCTATTTAATAAATGGTGCTGGGAAGACTGGCTAGCCATATGTGGAAAGCTGAAACTGGATCCCTTCCTTATACCTTATACAAAAATTAATTCAAGATGGATTAAAGACTTAGATGTTAGACCTAAAACCATAAAAACCCTAGAAGAAAACCCAGGCATTACCATTCAGGACACAGGCATGGGCAAGGACTTCATGTCTAAAACACCAAAAGCAATGGCAACAAAAGACAAAATTGACAAATGGGATCTAATTAAACTAAAGAGCTTCTGCACAGCAAAAGAAACTACCATCAGAGTCAACACGAAACCTACAAAATGGGAGAAAATTTTCGCAACCTACTCATCTGACAAAGGGCTAATATCCAGAATCTACAATGAACTCAAACAAATTTACAAGAAAAAAACAAACAACCCCATCAAAAAGTGGGCGAAGGACATGAACAGACACTTCTCAGAAGAAGACATTTATGCAGCCAAAAAACACATGAAAAAATGCTCACCATCACTGGCCATCAGAGAAATGCAAATCAAAACCACAATGAGATACCATCTCACACCTGTTAGAATGGCAATCATTAAAAAGTCAGGAAACAACAGGTGCTGGAGAGGATGTGGAGAAATAGGAACACTTTTACACTGTTGGTGGGACTGTAAACTAGTTCAACCATTGTGGAAGTCAGTGTGGAGATTCCTCAGGGATCTAGAGCTAGAAATACCATTTGACCCAGCCATCCCATTACTGGGTATATACCCAAAGGACTATAAATCATGCTGCTATAAAGACACATGCACACATATGTTCATTGCGGCACTACTCACAATAGCAAAGACTTGGAACCAACACAAATGTCCAACAATGATAGACTGGATTAAGAAAATGTGGCACATATACACCATGGAATACTATGCAGCCATAAAAAATGATGAGTTCATGTCCTTTGTAGGGACTTGGATGAAATTGGAAATCATCATTCTCAGTAAACTATCACAAGGACAAAAAACCAAACACCGCATGTTCTCACTCATAGGTGGGAACTGAACAATGAGAACACATGGACACAGGAAGGGGAACATCACACTCTGGGGACTGTTACGGAGTGGGGGGAGGGTGGAGGGATAGCATTAGGAGATATACCTAATGCTAAATAACGAGTTAATGGGTGCAGCACACCAGCATGGCACAAGTATACATATGTAACTAATCTGCACATTGTGCACATGTACCCTAAAACTTAAAGTATAATAATAATAAAATAAAATAAAATAAAAAAGAATATGCTTCCCAACTTTTAGTCACTCTGGTCTCATCATGGACATCACTTCCACCAAAAAGTCTTCCCTAAATAATTTATTAGATGTTCCTTTCATAAGCACCCACACCATTCTAAGATTGTCTCCTCCCTGGCCATGTATCAAAATTGCTCATTTCCTAGTCTGCCTCCCTCACCACACAGTCAACCCCTCAACAGAACTGCTTTCTGTATCCTCAATGCTAGGACAGTTCTTGGCATAAGATACACCTCCATAAGTTACTTATGTACAAAATTGAAATGTACACATCTGTAGCTTCTTCTTGATGGTTGAGTATACCGACAATGACCATCCATTGTTCTCCAGTGCTGTGAGGCATCCAGGTTCTCAGGATGATGGGGTTTTCCCTTGCTTTGAAGAGCTCATGGTATCCTTTCTTATCTGCTATTTCCAAATTGTGAGAGAGGAGAAAAAGCAGATGAACAGTATATACAATTGCCTGTAAAGTAGCACCCTTGGGTATAGCACTGCCTAGAGATGAAGGATTTCCAATCAGATTTTCTAATTTTGCCTCTGCCACTCACTAGATGTTCTAACCTCTTTATGCATCTATTTCCAGATTTTTTAATGGGGTAGTGATAGCACCTAAAAAGGTAGGTATCATTATTCCCATTCTTATACATGGAGTTTGGCAGAGTTAAGTAAACTGCCAGGTAGTTTGAAGTAGCAAAGCTGTCTGCCTGATGTCAAATTCTGTACTCCACTCTCCCACTATTTGACAGGACTCATCAAAAACAGATAGATAATAAATCTCCACATGAATATTTGGGTCTATACAAAAATCTACATACTGTCATAAACCCATTTATCAAAGTTATATTGCATGCAGACACCGTGCTAGACACTGGGGTTAGAGTAATTCTTAAGCTATCACAACCTATGCCTTCATGTGCTAATAAAGAAAAAGGGGAGGCCAAAAATTAAGCAACTAGTTATGATAAAATGTGATAAGTCCTATGATAGGAGAAATATGAAATGCTATGGGAACACACATTGGTGGGTTCTAACCAAATAAAGGGGTCAAGGAAGAGCTACCAGAGGAAGTAAGAGTTTAAGCTTAAAATCTGAAGATTCAGTAGGTATCTTCAGCTGGATGAAATCTTGGCAGAAGGGTCTGGGAAAGAAAGATGAAAAGTATATTCCAGTCAGAAGAATTAGCAATGCAAAGGCATGTAAACAAATTAATTACAAAAAGTTTAATAGAGCTGGGGTATAACATTCATGGGGTATTGATAGAAGAGCAAAGAAGAAAGACAGTAGTAGTCACATGATAAAGAACTTCAAACCCATACTACAGAGAGTGTACCCTAAAGATAATGAAGAACATTTATGTGACTTTAAGTAAAGCAATGGTATGATTTAATGTGTAATTCAGAAATCTCACCCTGCTCACAGAGGGGAGAAATGGATTATAAAGGGGCAAGACTGGCTGGAAGACTGATTGGGAATCTACAGTAGGAATACAAAGATAGGTGTTGGTAGGCTGGGCCAGGTGGAAGCTGTGCTGATGAAGAGAAATTGACAGATTTAAGAAATCTGTGGGCGGCAAGATGACATTTCCTGGTGATGGATTCAGTGTGAGAGGTAATGGAGCCAAAGATGATCCTGATTATTTCTGGCTTAGGCAATGGGGTGAACGGCAGTGTCCTCAACTAATACAAGGAACACTGGAAGAGAAGCAAGTCAGAGTGTAAAAAAAAGACAATGAATTTAATTTTTGGACTTTTGAGGTTAAGATATCTGTGAGGAATTCAAGTGGAGATATCCAGGAAGCAGCTAGATACGTGGACCTAGAATTCAGGAGAGTGGTCTGAGCTAGAGACATAGCTGTAGGAATCAGAAGAATACAGATGGTCACTTTTGAAATGAGAATGAATGGGTTCACCCAGGGAGGATGTGGAGAAGGAGAGAAGTCCACCTAGGGTTAACGCTGAGGAGCGGCTGATGAGATGGAATACTGCACAGGAATGTGAGGGTAGCCCTGACAATGAAAAAAACTGTCAGGAAAGCAAGGTGTGGGGAGGAGGAGAATTCTCTGCAACAGGTTCCAAGGTCTTCAATGACTGATAATCTCCAATGTCCATTGGAATATAGGAGTGGGGGCAGGGGACAAATAAGACTCTCAGATTTACCTTGAGTTGGATCTGGGATGCAGCAACTATTGTGCAGAAGACAAAAATAGTCCACTCTTCTTCCAACCCTCTTCCTCCATCTTTTTCATACCATGGGGCCACACAGAAGTCAGGTCAATGTAGCTAGAGGTCTCTGTCCATCAGACATGTACTGTCCGAGTGCATAAGTGGGATTCCAGCCTCGTCTCACACCACCACCACCACCACCACCACTATCTTCACGGTGCTTGTTCCCTCCAAAGTGGAAGACACAAATGAAAGGGAACAGAAGAACAGCAGGATGCTCTAGGTAAGCTGCCAGGCAGAAAGCCTCATGTCAACATTCATGGGGCGGGAGCAGATGGCAGACCCTATTCATCCCATTATGCTGTGGCCAGAAAACTAAAATACTATCCTCACAGTCCTGTCACAGTATCTTGGATGTTTCAGCACAGAAATTTAAACATGAATTTTTCTAAACTTCTATTCCCATCCCTGTGAATAGGCTGGAATGTGGTTAAGAGGGTATGAAAAAGCAGTGATACCTTAATCCTTAAGATGACAAAGGAAGCTTCGAGGCTGCCCAGGACCAGAGGCCCCTCCCATCCCGGGCCCAGTTGCCTTTGCAGGTGTCTTGCCAGAAGGAGGCCAGACCTTCAAGGAACTCGTGTGACAGAATGCTCAGTTGGGTTCTTCTTGTTATCTTAGAATTAAAGCCCTATCTGAAAAGAAGACACACTTTAAAGATGGTCACTAACATTTAGGGCCTGACACCGCCTTCAGACTTTGTTAAAGGACACCAGAGCCAGCCTTATTACTACTCTCAATCAAAACCACAGCCTTGTTTTCTGTATTAGTCCATTTTCACAATGCTGATAAAGACATACCTGAGACCGAGTAATTTATAAAGAAAAAGAGATTTAATGGACTCACAGTTCCACGTGGCTGGGGAGGCCTCACAATCATGGTGGAAGGCAAAAGGCACATCGTACACATGGCAGCAGGTAAGAGAGAATGAGAGCCAAGCAAAAGGGGAAATCCCTTATAAAACCATCAGATCTCGTGAGACTTATTCACTACCATGAGAACAGTATGAGGGAAACTGCCCCTTTGATTCAATTACCTCCCACCAGTCCCTCCCACAATACATGGGAATTATGGGAGCTATAATTCAAGGTGAGATTTGGGTGGTGACACTGCCAAACCATATCATCTTCCTTCTAGTCCCTCCCCCCAGTGAAATAAGAGGTGAAATTAGAGGATGCTGGAAGCAGCCTTGGAGTACAATTTTGTGGTCATAGGAGATTTCCACCCACCCCATCTTTTCATTTCCCTAAAAAGAAACATCATTTACAAAAAGGGGGCAATGCTACAAAAAGCTTACTGGCATCTCACTTCCTTGTTAGATGTTTTCCTGGGCAGCAAACTCAATGATCTTATCCTGTACCCAAAAGGCAAGTAGACAGGGAGTTAGGGAAAGACATCCGGGTGTACTTTAGGGCCTGAAATTCCACGTGATGTCTTGATGTCTTTGAGCCTCACAAGCTTCAAAGGCTCAACCCTGAGTCCCCTGGCTCTTGCCAGATACATCTCCCACGCAGCAGGAAAGGTTCTCCATCCAGCTTGTTCATCTATTAGTTGGGCTGGCTGCACCCCCAACAGCCCCCAACTTAAATCTTCTGCCAGGTTTAAAATTATTCAGACAGGGCAATCTATCTTCCTATGGGAACCAACAGTCACCTCACCCCCTTGCAAATACAAAGCCTTCCTCCCATAGCCCCTTCTGGTTCACTCTGTTCCTGGGTACAATTCCATGTGGTTCTGCAGGGCATGTGATGTTCTTCTTCCCCAGGATGTGAATCTGTATGACTAATAAACTGGAAGTCTCATCTGCCCAGTGCCAAATGTTGTGTTTGGCCATCTTGTACTGTCAAGGGTTAGGATATTTCTTTCACCAACAAGGTGAAGAGGTGGTGATCAGAACAAAGGGTGGAGGTTATCACAAGAACATATGAGTTTCTTGGGATCGAATGGACTCCGCTAAGTGTGTTGGCTTGAGATAACTTGCAGGTTGTCCACCCAAGGGCAGCCTGCAAGGGGGTCTAGCAGCAAGAGATTGCATGTGTCTCCTGGAGGTGGGGTAGTAGAAGGGGACACGGGCAGGCAACTCTACATGCCCATGTCAAGGGGCTCTCTGGGAGGCCTTTGTGGGGCCCTCCACAAAACCCATGCATGTGCCAGAGCTGACATTTAGGTCTGCCCCACACAGAAACCTGTCAATGACAGCCAGAGAAGCCATGGTAACCACTTCTAGGAGACTGCAAACAAGGTTGTTAATTGAATCAGCAGACAGTTTTCTCTGTCCATCTCCTTACTCACCTCAACACCTCCAGGAAGTATGTCACGATGCAATGGAGAAATTTCAAAGCCAGTCTAGCACTTCCCTCAATCACACTTTCAAAAGCTGCTTAAGTAGCAGAGGAAGACAGATAAATAGTAGACCCCACCTTTCTCATCCCTGCCCTCAGTACAAATAGCTGGCATAGGAAGAAAATCAAAAGAACAAGCCATTATTCCCACTGGTTTTCCTCTCCTGCAAGCTACAAATCTAGCCATTTACAAGGCCAGCAGAGAGAGTTAGGAAAGGGAAATCTCAACTTGTAATAATTGAAAGAGAAGGAAACATTATGGGATCTGCCCAAAATGGCAGTAAGAGGCAGAAAATAGAAATTTTACAGAGCATGGTTGGAAACAGAAGCTGAACAAAAAAAACAAACTGTTTATATTCATCCAACTGTGTAAGTGATCAATAAACTGCTTACATATAAATAGGATTTTGCAAAATTGTTTAGATCTCAACGGAGCCCATCTGGTAACATGTAAGAATTTTATTCAACCTTCAGAAGTAAGACCTCTGTACACAATTAGAAATTGTATTAGGTGTGTATGCAGGGGAGTATACTTGCCATTTAACAGGCATTTGATAAACGTTTGTGGAATTAGCAGAACTGTAATGATGAGGTTAGGCCTTGGCTACAAAGCATAGGGGCATGCTATGAATGAGGTCTGGGTTTCAACTGGCCTAAAACAAAGCTTTGCTATGTATGCAAGAAGACTTTGCTCTAATTTAGGAGGAAAAGACTTCCTCAACCAGGTTTGTAGGAAAAAGGGTGCAAGGAGAAAACATTAGATTCCTCTGATTATTTAGTCATGTTCCTTTTCAGATACCTATGTGCCTAGGAGAAAAATAAATCACTTACCCATGTTTCTTATCTGGCATACCGTTCCCATTCTCTTAATTGTGCCCTTCATCCATCCCCAAGCCCTCTCAGGTACCTTGAGACATCTAGTAACAACCACAACCCTCGTACCTCTGAAAAACCTTTGAGAACCTAATGCCAAAAGCCAGCAGATAAAGAATAAAGCACCCACCAAGGCAGAGGGCCTGATGTAAGCATTGGGCCTGTCAGACCAGGAGCAAGACACAGCTTTCCTCTGTCATCACTGAAGCCCACACCTTCCCGGCCCCCAATTTAGAGGCTGCCCTATGGGGCTTTTAAAGGCAGTGAGAGAGTGGTTTGATAGCTTTCTTAGAGATATAATTAACATTCACAGTAAGAAGCAAAAACTTGGATTTCTAAATTTAATTCATAGGCATCACAGGACAGTCCTTATGTAGCTGAAGTAGTGAGATCTAGAAGCCTCAAACCCAAGGAAGGTATTAACTTCTGATTCATGTCAAATTACTGTCTGACCAGTCTTTACTTGAAGATCCATGTTATTACTGATTTATGGGTGGGTTAATGTTCCTTGGGCCTGGTTCTTTAATCATTCCTTTTCAAGCCTCCTTCCCCTAGGAGAAGAGGAGTATAGTAAGGAAAAGAAGAACATAAAGATACATAAAATATGACAATATACAATTACTTATCTACACATACATATATTTAGTCTTATTTTTTATTTTCTGTAATGGAAGGACTGACCTATAAGAACTGAAAACATGGTTCTGGGCAAGATGGCCGAATAGGAACAGGTCTGGTCTGCAGCTCCCAGTGAGACCAATGCAGAAGGCAAGAGATTTCTGCATTTCCAACTGAGGTATCCAGTTCATCTCATTGGGGCTGGTTAGACAGTGGGTGCAGCCCACAAAGAGCGAGCAGAAGTAGGGTGGGGCGTCACCTCATACGTGAAGTGCAAGGGGTAGGGGAACTCCCTCCCCTAGCCGAGGGAAGCTGTGAGGGACTGTGCCGTGAGGGACAGTGCTATCTGGCCCAGATACTATGCTTTTCTTATGGTTTTGGCAACCTGCAGACAAGGAGATTCCCTTGGATGCCTACACCACCAAGGCCCTGGGTTTCAAGCACAAAACTGGGTGAACATTTAAGCAGACACCAATCTAGATGCAGGACATTTTTTTCATATCCCCATGGTGCCTGGAACCCCAGAGAGAGAGAACCATTCACTCCCCTGGAAAGGGAGCTGAAGCCAGGGGGACAAGAGGTCTTGCTCAGCATGTCCTACCCCTGTGGAGCCCAGCAAGCTAAAATAAACTGGCTGGAAATTCTCGCTGCCAGCAGAGCAGTCTGAAGTCAACCTGGAAAGCTTGAGCTTGGTGCGGGGAGGGGCATCTACCATTACTGAGACTTGAGTAAGCGATTTTCCCCTCACAGTGTTGAGATAGACAGCAAGTTCAGACTGGGCAGAGCCCATTGCAGCCTGGCAAAGCTTCTGTAGCCAGACTGCCTCTCTAGATTCCTCCTCTCTAGGCAGGGCATCTATGAAATAAAGACAGCAGCCCCAGTCAGGGGCTTATAGGTAAAACCCCCATCTCCCTGGGACAGAGCACCTGAAGGAAGGGACAACTGTGGGCACGCCTCCATCATACTTAAACATCTCTGCCTGCTGGCTTGGAAAAGAGCAGCAGATCTCCCAGCAAGGCGATCAAGCTCTGCTAAGAGACAGACAACCTCCTCAAGTGGGTCCCTGACCCAGGTGCCTCCTGACTGGGAAACACCTCCCAGCAGAGGTTGACAGGCACCTCATGCAGGAGCGCTCTGGCTGGCATCTGGCAGGTGTCGCTCTGGGACAAAGCTTCCCGAGGAAGGAACAGGTAGTAATCTTTGCTATTCTGCAGCCTCCACTGGTAATACCCAGGGAAACAGGGCCGGGAGTGAACCTCCAGTAAACTCCAACAGATCTGCAGCAGAGGGGCCTGATTGTTAGAAGGAAAACTAACAAACACAAAGGAATAGCATCAACATCAACAAAAAGTACATTCACACAGAAACCCCATCTGAAGGTCACCAACATCAAAGACCAAAGATAGATAAATCCATGAAGATGAGGAAAACCCATCCCAAAAAGGCCGAAAATTCCAAAAACCAGAAAATCTCTTCTTCTCTGAAGGATCACAACTCCTCACCAGCAAGGAAACAAAACTGGACAAAGAATGAGTGTGAAAAATTGACAGAAGTAGGCTTCAGAAGGTGTGTAATAAAGTCCTCCAAGCTAAAGGAGCATGTTCTAACCCAATGCAAGGAAGCTAAGAACCTTGAAAAAAGGTTAGAGAAATTGCTAACTAGAATAAACGGTTTAGAGAAGAACATAAATGGCCTGATGGAGCTGAAAAACACAGCACAAGAACTTTGCGAAGCATACATAAGAATCAATAGCCGAATCGACCAAGCAGAACAAAGGATACCAGAGATCGAAGATCAACTTAATGAATTAAAGTGTGAAGACAAGATTAGAGAAAAAAGAATGAAAAGGAACAAACAAAGCCTCCAAGATATATGGGACTATGTGAAAAGACCAAACTTAGGTTTGATTGCTGTACCTGAAAGTGACGGGGAGAATGGAACCAAGTTGGAAAACATTCTTCAGGATATCACCCAGAAGAACTTCCCCAGTCTAGAAAGACAGGCCAACATTCGAATTCAGGAAATACAGAGAACTCCACAAAGCTACTTCTCAAGAAGAGCAACCCCAAGACACATAATCCTCAGATTCACCAAGATTGAAATGAAGGAAAAAATGTTAAGGGCAGCCAGAGAGAAAGGTCGGGTTACCCACAAAGGGAAGCCCATCAGACTAACAGCAGATCTCTCAACAGAAACCCTATAAGCCAGAAGAGAGTGGGGGCCAATATTCAACATTCTTAAAGAAAAGAATTTTCAACCCAGAATTTCATATCCAGCCAAACTAAGCTCCATAAACGAAGGAGAAATAAAATCCTTTACAGGCAAGCAAATGCTAAGAGATTTTGTCACCAGCAGGCCTACCTTACAAGAGCTCCTGAAGGAAGCACTAAACATGGAAAGGCACAACTGGTACCAGCCACTGCAAAAACATACCAAATTGTAAAGACCATCAACACTATGAAGAAACTGCATCAACTAACAGGAAAAATAAGCAGCTAGCATCATAATGACAGGATCAAATTCACACATAACAATATTAACCTTAAATGTAACTGGGCTAAATGCCCCAATTAAAAGACACAGATTGGCAAATTGGATAAAGAGTCAAAACCCATCGGTGTGCTTTATTCAGGAGCCCCTTCTGATGTCCAAAGACACACAAAGGCTCAAAATAATGGGATGGAGGAAGATTCACCAAGCAAATGGAAAGCAAAAAAAAAAAAAAAAAAAAAAAAAAGCAGGGGTTGCAATCCTAGTCTCTGATAAAACAGACTTTAAACCAACAAAGATCAAAAGAGACAAAGAAGGGCATTACATAATAGTAAAGGAATCAATGCAACAAGAAGAGCTAACTATCCTAAATATATATGCACCCAATACAGGAGCGTCCAGATTCATAAAGCAAGTGCTTAGAGACCTACAAAGAGACTTAGACTCCTACACAATAACAGTGGGAGACTTTAACACACCACTGTCAATATTAGACAGATCAATGAGACAGAAAATTAACAAGGATATTCAGGACTTGAATTTAGCTCTGGACCAAGCAGACCTAATGGACATCTACAGAACTCTCCACCACACAGATAAACAGAGTATACATTCTTCTCAGCACCACATCACACTTATTCTAAAACTGACCACATAATTGGAAGTAAAACACTCCTCAGCAAATGCAAAAGAACAGAAATCATAACAAGCAGTCTCTCAGACCACAGTGCAATCAAATTAGAGCTCAGGATTAAGAACCTCACTCAAAACCACATGACTACGTGGAAACTGAACAAATTGCTCCTGAATGACTACTGGGTACATAAGAAATATTCCCCTTTGAAACCAATAAAAACAAAGAAACAACATACCAGAATCTCTGGGACACAGCTAAAGCAATGCTTGGAGGGAAATTTATAGCAACACATGCCCACAAAAGAAAGCAGGAAAGATTGAAAATCAACACTTCAACATCACAATTAAAAGAACTAGAGAAGCAAGAGCAAACAAATTCAAAAGCTAGCAGAAGACAAGAAATAACTAAGATCAGAGCAGAACTGAAGGATATAGAGACACATAAAAACCCTTCAAAAAATCAATGAACTAAGGAGCTGTTTTTTTGAAAATATTAACAAAATAGGCTGCTAGCCAGACTAATAAAGAAGAAAAGAGAGAAGAATCAAATAGACACAATAAAAAAAAGATAAAGGGGATATCACCACTGATCCCACAGAAATACAAACTACCATCAGACAATACTATAAACACCTTTATGCAAATAAACTAGAAAATCTAGAAGAAATGGATAAATTCCTGGACACATGCACCCTACCAAGACTAAACCAGGAAGAAGTTGAATCCCTGAATAGACCAATAATAAGTTCTGAAATTGAGGCAGTAATTAATAGCCTACCAACCAAAAAAAGCCCAGGACCAGAAGGATTCACAGCCGAATTCTATCACGGCTACAAAGAGGAGCTGGTACCATTCCTTCCAAAACTATTCCAAACAATAGAAAAAGAGAGAATCCTCCCTAACTCATTTTATGAGGCCAGCATCACCCTGATACGAAAACCTGGCAGAGACACAACAAAAAAAGAAAATTTCAGGCCAATATCCCTGATGAACATCGATGTGAAAATCTTCAATAAAATACTGGCAAACCGAATCCAGCAGCACATCAAAAAGCTTATCCAACACAATCAAGTTGGCTTCATCCCTGGGATGCAAGGTTGGTTCAAAATACACAAATCAATAAACGTAACCCATCACTTCAACAGAACCGATGACAAAAACCACATGATTATCTAAATAGATGCAGAAAAGACCTTTGGTAAAATTCAACACCCCTGCATGCTAAAAACACTCAAAAAACTAGGTATTGATGGAACGTATCTCAAAATAATAAGAGCTATTTATGACAAACCCACAGCCAATATCATACTGAATGGGCAAAAGCTGGAAGCATTCCCTTTGAAAACTGGCACAAAACAAGTATGCCCTTTCTCACCACTCCTATTCAACATAGTATTGGGAGTTCTGGCCAGGGCAATCAGTCAAGAGAAAAAAAATAATGGGTATTCAAATAGGAAGACAGGAAGTCGAATTGTCTCTGATGACATGATTGTATATCTAGAAAACCCCATTGTATCAGCCCAAAATCTCCTTAAACTGATAAGCAACTTCAGCAAAGTCTCAGGATACAAAATCAGTGTGCAATAATCACAAACATTCCTATACACCAATAATAGACAAATAGAGAGCCAAATCATGAGTGAACTCCCATTCACAATTGCTACAAAGAAAATAAAATACCTAGGAATACAACTTACAAGGGACATAAGGGACCTCTTCAAGGAGAACTACAAACCACTGCTCAAGGAAATAAAAGAGGAAACAAACAAATGGAAAAACATTCCATGCTCATGGATAGGAAGAATCAATATTGTGAAAATGGCCCTACTGCCCAAATATATACACTCAGTGCTATTCCCATCAAGCTACCATTGACTTCCTTCACAGAATTATAAAAAACTACTTTAAATTTCATGTGGAATCAAAAAAGAGCCCATATAGCCAAGACAATCCTAAGCAAAAAGAACAAAGCTGGAGGCATCACACTACCTGACTTCAAACTATGCTATAAGGCTACAGTAACCAAAGCAGCATGGTACTGGTACCAAAACAGATATATAGACCAATGGAAAAGAACAGAGGACTCAGAAATAACACCACATGTCTACAACCATCTGATCTTTGACAAACCTGACAAAAACAAACAATGGGGAAAGGATTCCCTACTTAATAAATGGTGTTGGGAAAACTGGCTAGCCATATGCAGAAAACAGAAACTGTACCCTTTCCTCATACCTTATACAAAAATTAACTTGAGATGGATTACAGACTTAAACATAAGACCTAAAACCATGAAAACCCTAGAAGAAAACCTAGGCAATACCATTCAGGACATAGGGATGGGCAAAGACTTCATGACTAAAACACCAAAAGCAATGGCAACAAAAGCCAAAATTGACAAGTGGGATCTTAATAAACTAAAGAGCTTCTGCACAGAAAAATAAACTATCATCAGAGTGAACAGGCAACCTACAGAATGGGAGAAAATTTTTGCAAGTTACCCATCTGAGAAAAGTCTAACATCCAGAATATACAAAGAACTTAAACGAATTTACAAGAAACTTAAACAAAGGAACTTAAACAAACAAGGAACTTAAACAACTTTACAAGAAAAAATCGAACAACCGCATCAAAAATTGAGTGAAGGATATGAACAGACACTTCTCAAAAGAAGACAGTTATGCTGCCAACAAACATATAAATAAAAGCTCATCATCACCGGTCATTAGAGAAATGCATATCAAAACCACAATGAGATACCATCTCACACCAGTTAGAACGGCAATCATTAAAAAGTCAGGAAACAACAGATGCTGCAGAGGATGTGGAGAAATAGGAACGCTTTTACACTGTTGACAGGACTGTAAATTAGTTCAACTATCGTGGAAGACAGTGTGGCAATTCGTCAAGGATGTAAAACTAGAAATACCATTTGACCCAGCAATTTCCATTACTAGGTATATACCTGAAGGAGTATAAATCATTCTACTATTCTATGTATGTTTATTGCAGCACTATTCACAATAGCCAAGAGTTGGAAGCAACCCAAATGCCCATCAACGATAGACTGGATAAAGAAAATGTGGCACATATACAACATGGAATACTATGCAGCCATAAAAAAAAGAGTTTATGTCTTTTTCAGGGACATGGATGAAGCTGGAAACCATCATTCTCAGTAAACTAACACAGGAACAGGAAAACAAACACTGCATGTTCTCACTCATAAGTGGGAGTTGAACAATGAGAACACATGAACACAGGGAGGGGAACATCACGCACTGGGGCCTGTCAGAAGGTGGGGGACAAGGGGAGGGATAGCATTAGGAGAAAGATCTAATGTAGGTGATGGGAGGATGGGTGCAGCAAACCACCATGGCACATGTATACCTATGTAAGAAACCTGCATATTCTGCACATGTATCCCAGAGCTTAAAGTATAACAAAAAAAAAAAAAACTGAAAACATGTCTTATTTCTACTATTAATGATGTGGGCTCTGTTTTAATAGGCTAGTGGATTTCTTCCCAAGGAAATAAAAGGAGCTGGAAGAAGGAGAGGCAAAAAAAAAGAGCAAGAAAACGTGGAAGGCTCCCTAGACTGGGATTCATAGAGAAAATATGATCCAAAAGAGAAAGCAGTATGCAGATAGTGACAGCCAAGCTGGCCTGGAGAATTATCATAGAGAGTGAGGGGCATTGTTTGAGCCCCTTGGTGCACCCAGATACCCTACCAATCAACCATCCAGCCTCCACAAGAATGAAAGCTGCACATGGCCTACAAAGATAATTCCATGTCAAGTGATCTTCCAGTCTTTACCTAGATAGAAACTTTGATCCACTTCCACCACTTTTGCACCTGCTGAGCAGAGTAAGATCCAATTCATGCTTTCTAGCTGTGGCAGGGTATTCTACTGTACTCATTTAATTCATCCCCTGTTAATTAGTTTGGCACTAATCTTTTTCTATGACCAGCAATGCCAAAGTGAATAAACCTCTTCAAATGCCGTTGTATACATGCGCAAGTATAAAGCAACCTGGATAAATCCTAAACACACAGCACTCAGTAAGAAAAAAAAAAAAAAAAAAAAAAAAAAGTAAGACAAAATTAAATATAAAACATAAGAATTTCATAGACCTGAAAATATGTGCATATGAAACCAACAAGTTTCTAGAATATATGTAAAATAGACACATATTAAGTGTAATAGAATGACTTCAGGAAGGTGTAAGAGAGCTAAATCATCTGTATTATGACAGGAAGTTAATGGATTATTTCAATTTGATAAATCAAGAAGAGAAGTAGTATAGAAATACAGAAATAGCTACCTGACTTCAAACTATACTACAAGGCTACAGTAATCAAAACACCATGGTACTGGCACCAAAACAGAGATATAGACCAAGGGAATAGAACAGAGCCCTCAGAAATAATGCTGCATATCTACAACCATCTGATCTTTGACAAACCTGACAAAAACAAACAATGGGGAAAGGATTCCTTACTTAATAAATGGTGTTGGGAAAACTGGCTAGCCATATGCAGAAAACAGAAACTGTACCCTTTCCTCACACCTTATACAAAAATTAACTCGAGATGGATTAAAGACTTAAACATAAGACCTAAAACCGTAAAAAGCCTAGAAGAAAACCTAGGCAATACCATTCAGAACATAGGCATGGGCAAGGACTTCATATCTAAAACACCAAAAGCAATGGCAACAAAAGACAAAATTGACAAACGGGATCTAAGTAAACTAAAGAGCTTCTGCACAGCAAAAGAAACTACCATCAGAGTGAACAGGCAACCCACAGAATGGGAGAAAATTTTTATGATCTACTCATCTGACAAAGGGCTGATATCCAGAATCTACAATGAACTCATACAAATTTACAAGAAAAAAACAAACAACCCCATCAAAAAGTGGGCGAAGGACATGAACAGACACTTCTCAAAAGAAGACATTTATGCAGCCAAAAGACACATGAAAAAATGCTCATCATCACTGGCCATCAGAGAAATGTAAATCAAAACCACAGTGAGATATCATCTCACACCAGTTAGAATGGCAATCATTAGAAAGTCAGGAAAGAACAGGTGCTGGAGAGGATGTGGAGAAATAGGAACACTTTTACACTGTTGGTGGGACTATAAACTAGTTCAACCATTGTGGAAGTCAGTGTGGTGATTCCTCAGGGATCTAGAACTAGAAATACCATTTGACCCAGCCATCCCATTACTGGGTATATACCCAAAGGATTATAAATCATGCTGCTATAAAGACACATACACACGTATGTTTATTATGGCACTATTCACAATAGCAAAGACTTGGAACCAACCCAAATGTCCAACAGTGATAGACTGGATTAAGAAAATGTGGCACATATACACCATAGAATACCATGCAGCCATAAAAAATGATGAGTTCATATCCTTTGTAGGGACATGGATGAAGCTGAAAACTATCATTCTCAGCAAATTATCGCAAGGACAAAAAACCAAGCACCGCATGTTCTCACTCATAGGTGGGAATTGAACAATGAGAACACATGGACACAGGAAAGGGAACATCACACCCCCAGGGCCTGTTGTGGGGTGGGGGGAGGTGGGAAGGATAGCATTTGGAGATATACCTAATGTTAAATGACGAGTTACTGGGTGCAGCACACCAACATGGCACATGTATACATACGTAACTAACCTGAATGTTGTGCACATGTACCCTAAAACTTAAAGTATAATAAATATATATATATTTATATAATTTAAAGAAAAAAGAAATAGAGAAATAACTACAAGAAGACCAAGCTAAATGAATTGCTTCTAGGAAGTAAGACTTAGGGATGAAGAGGGATAAAGCTGGAAATCACTGTTTTTCATTTTACACAGCTTTTTAGTATTATTTTATTTTTAAGCTATGGGATTGCACTACCTTAATAAGAATAAAATTTAGAAATAAAAGTAATAAAAGTCAAAACTAAATAAATAGCCCTATGGGTAAAGATATAGAAAATAATGTATTAAGATTTTGGATTTCAAATCCAAAGGAGCTTTTTAAGTGTATATGTGTGTGTTGTGTGTGCATATATGCATATGATTAAATTTTCCTCTAAGAAAATTACATTACCACAATAATAAGTGAGACTGCTCGTTTCCTCATATTCTCACTAACATTAGAAATTAACTTTTTAAAAATTCTTCATGGTAGGTTTCTGAAGAATGTCAGGAAATAATTGTTTCTTAAAAATGAATATTTATGACACACTTCAAACATACATACACACACAGGATAGGCCTAGCTACATAATTTTGGGGGGTCAATGCAAAATGAAAATGCAAGGCCCTTTGTCCCAAATTATGAAGACTTTCAAGGTAGCATCAACAGTGTATTATAAACCTAAGTACAGGACCCTTCTAAGCACAGGACTCTGTTCAAGAGGTCACTTGCCCATGAAGTTCTGCAGGTGAAAAATCTGAAAATGTTTCACTTTTAATAAGAACCTCAAGTATCTTTAATTAGGATTCCCAGGAACTATATTTTGGGAAACACTGCTCTAGGTCCACCCATATGGGCCAGAGAAGCACTCATTGGCAGCTGCTGATAACAAAAAGTTTAATAGGACTGGAAAAAAGTATAGTTAACAGTAGAGCACATTTCAGTCTTAACTCATCAGTGGCATAAGATGAAGGAGTCAGATTGTATACCAGAAGAAAAGAGCACGTATGATTCCACAGACTGAAGGTCCTGGACTGAGGTTTGTTACATCAGCTTTGGTTATTAAAGAGGGAAACTTGCTGTCAAGGGTAAAAAAGGATCCCAATTCTTATGTTTAGCACAGGACAAAACAGGTAACTAGAACAGAAAGTCAGAACAGGGAATATGCATTAATTAACTCAACTATTATTTCCTGAGGTTTTTGATAGACAGTCCTTCTCCAAGGAGTTAACAATACAATGAGTGACTTAAATAAATTGATATTGGTAATTGTTATAATAGAGTCATACCTATGATATACCCTAGAAGCAGAGCAGGAGTACAGCAAAAGAAATAGGATGGGGAAGACAGAAAAGAAGGGGTCTCTCAGTGAAAGAGTAGGAGTTAGAGAGCAGAAAAGGGTAGAATGAAAAATTGCAACCAAATAAAAAGCATAAAAATGAAAGCGTGTGTTGAATTAGGAGAGCAAGGAAAAGCTCAGTACTCTGGATGGTCTCTAAGGTGGGATATCAGAGACAAAAGGCCAGAGCAGGGGCACCATAAAAATAGGTTACCAAATAAGGGATATTATACAGGCCAGCAGCCCCATGGAACCTGAATGTGGAGAAAGATAGTCAAAGAAATCCTGTTTCTAAGCAGAATCAATCCTTCTTGCCTCAAGCTCAGATGGGCTTGGGAACCGATATGGGGCCAAAACTGTAGGTGGGAAAGCAGAAAGCCCACCTCAGGAAAGCAAAGTATGACTTCCATAGAGAAGTAAATCTGAACAGGGAGGGAAGGCTGAAATTGTTTTCTTTCAACTTTTTTTAATTTTCCTCCTCACGTGTGTTAAAAAAAAAAAAAAAACTTTAGGCAAAATAAATTTAACTGGGTTTATTTGAGCAAAGAACAATTCATAAATCAAGCAAAACTTAAAACTGGAAGACATTCAGAGAGCTCCACTTCAGCAATGTAAGCAGTTGGCTTTTGTAGGCTGAGCATGGATGCAAAGCAAAGACATTATTTGATTGTCTACAGCTAGGCATTTGCCTTAATTGGGTATGGTTTGATGGGAGGTCCCTAGATATATAAACAATCAGCTAGTTAGTTGTCTGTGATTGGCTGAAACTCAATTCAAAGTTAATCAGGTACAAGGAATGCCTCTAAGTTTAGTTTTGTAAAACTTGTGTAAGCCTTCCAGGTAGAGAAACAACCTCAGGCCAATCACCTTCTGCTTACTTTGCTTTAACACATGTTAAAGTGCTAACACATATTAACACTTCAAGTGTTTAACACATGTTAAAGGGTCAGTGTAAACTGACAGTCATGTGAGCATGTCATGCAACAGGTCAAGCAGGGTTATACCTTTGAACAAAGCCTGCATCTGAGACAGAGCTCTGGTGCCTGAAACAGCGCAGATGTACCTCACCAGATAAAAACACAGAAGCACAGATGTCCATATTCCTCCCTTGAAAACTCTGTCCTGTAGGCAAGTTGGGTTGGAGTAGCAGGTCGTTTAGTTCTAGAGTTGGTTTTTTTTCCAGTCACATAGATTTTTACATCTGATTACCATATATTGCTTAAAATATTACTTAATCCATTACAGATACCTTAGAACTTATTTGTTTTTAAAGGCCTCAGGAGAAGTGGCCACAGGTTACTTTTTACCACAGAGTCATTTACACATGAATCATATTTACAGAGAGTTATCCTATATCATCTATTTGAATTTGTTTCTACACAAAACAAGATTCCCTCCAGGCACGGAGCTTATGTATAAATATCTTGTTCCTTTGCAGCCTCAGACTGTCAGTATTCCCCCCAACCACCACCTTTTAGTTTCCTTTTTTTCTCTAAGTGCATTGCCTTTGCTTACACATCATTTGCTATCTTAATTATTTGACAAACAGGAGTATTTCCATCATCTTTCACTCCTACTGAGTTTTCTTCACTGTGGTACTTTCAGTGAGTACCATCATATTGTTTCTGCTTAACTGTTTGAGATTCTTTCTTAATATGGTATTGGAAAGTTTTCTAATGGCATCTTCCTTGTAAAGAATTACCTCTAGACCTCAGAGTAAAAAGGGGCCCAATATTTAGAGTGTGAATTTCTCACCTTTTCTCTGGATAAGAAAAATGATGTGACATAGTTAACTGATGCTATCATAAGGCTGAAAATCATAAGACACACACAAATAAATTACTTCTCAAGCCACCCCAACCCAAACATTGCAGCTACCACTAAATACAAAATGGCAAGAGAGGCTTTTTGCTATTGTAAACACTTTAGGCTTTGATGAGATTTGCCATTTTTCATCTGAAGGCTAACCTTAATATTGACCATGTTGTAACTTTATGTGAATAAAAATGTAGGCACATAGTGCTCTGATATGGTTTGGCTCTGTATCCCCACCCAAATCTCATCTTAAATTGTACTCCCATAATTCCCATGTGTTGTGGGAGGGACCTGGTGGGAAATAATTGAATCATGGGGGTGGTTTCCCCCATACTGTTTCCATGGTAGTGAATAATTCTCACAAGATCTGACGGTTTTATCAGGGGTTTCTGCTTTTGCATCTTCCTCATTCTCTTTGTCTGCTGCCATGTGAGAGGTGCCTTTCACCTTCTGCCATGATTGTGAGGCCTCCCCAGACACATGAAACCATAGTCCAATGAATCTCTTTCTTTTGTAAATTGCCCACTCTTGGGTGTGTCTTTATCAGCAGCATGAAAATTGACTAATACATGCCCTGACCCATGAAACAAAGAAGTACATAGAAGGTAGTACCAAGTACTAAGTGTTACTCAGAATTAAGTGGCTGAGAAGTATGGTTCTGATTGTTCAGAGGAGAGCTTGGTAATCTCACTTAGTCCTTGCATCTACTCTCTTATACAGAAACACTTACAAAGACACAAGAATAGGTAATGATCCTGTTATGTTCATACACCTGGGTAGAGACTTGCCTGACGGGAAAATAAAGAATCAAGACAATATGAAGTTGGTCTCACAGGTAAAGCTAGGCTATGAGGAGCATTAAAATGAGGCATAAAGACAAGGACAGAAGCTGAGGGATGTCACACAATCAGAATGTTTCCATGTCAAATGATCATACAGACACTACAACTCTACCTTAATTTTACCCCGTATATAAGGAAATGAGACAAGAGCAGTTAAGTGATGGCCCATGTCAGAAAGCTTGCCATTAGTAGCAAGGTCCAGACTGGCATGCCAGTGTCTGACTATTGTCTACTCCACCACGCTCTTCAGGTTGAACTGAACTCCTCATGAACAGTAAATTAGAGTATTAAAAGTCTCCAGCATGGAATGAAGAGTCTAGGGTAAAAGTGGTGTGTCAAAATTCAGGGCAAGGACACAGTTCAAAGGAATAATTCATAAGCAAGGATAAGCACAGAAATGAATTAAAAGTGACTCCAAATTTTCCAAATTAGTGGAAGTCCTGCCTCAGTCATTTAAATAGTGTGTTAATTTATCAAATCTAAGCCACCCTACAAATTATTATAATTATTATCATTACAATTATTACTAAGAAAATGGTGAAGCAATTGACAATATCAAAAATGTTACGAATAAGAAACTTACCTTGAGGAATAGGGGAGAGTTGCCAGTAGAAAGAATAGATGAAAAAATTGGTTTCCAAAATGTTAAGCTAGAAGTGACAGAGAACTACAACTGAAAATATGGAACATAATGACAGCAAGTATATTTTAACTGAATGAATAAAAAATAATTTATCAAATTGTTTAGGAAAATGTTCATGATGAATCAGGATATGCAGAGCTGCAGCTTGAGAAAGAAAACAGAATTAAAAATGTAGATTTGGGAGTCACAGTGAAAAATTACATTTATTTAGTGCTTTTTACGTATCAAGATTGTTCTAAGTGCTTTACATATATAAACACATTTAATCCTAACTAAGTTCAAGAGCTTAACTACTATACTATGTTGTGCTTTCCTGTTCCTGCAACAAAGAAATGATAAATGACTAAGATCAGATGACCTCTTAGAGTGAAAAAATGTGGAGAAAAAAGGCAGAAGCCCATGCATAGTCAAGGCTATATGGAGGGACTAGGGCCAGGATAGAGAAATATTACAAGGTGATAGAGTGGAGGGATAGAAACTAGAATGGTTTATCAGTCAGAGTCCAACTAGGCAAGCCTCTCCTGCCATTTTGTACTTAGTGGTAGCTGCAATGTTTGGGTTGGGGTGGCTTGAGAGGTAATTTATTTGTGTGTGTCTTATGATTTTCAGCCTTATTATAGCATCAGTTAACTATGTCACATCATTTCTCTCACCCAGAGAAAAGGTGAGAAATTCACACTCTAAATGTTGAGCCCCTTTTTTCTCTGAGGTCTAGAGGTAATTCTTTACAAGGAAGATGCCATTAGAAAACTTTCCAATACCAACTAACAAAATCCACTCTACATGTGTAAAACAGAAAAGCTTAATATAGGAAATTGGTTACACAGGCAATAAAAGAGCTGAGAATACCAACAAGATACAATGAGGTAACCCAAGGATTAGCAACATCAAGAATCTGGTACCGCCCTAAATAAGAAGGACAAAGAAAGCAGCATCTTAGCTTGGGTTCTTTGCTCTTTTCCATGCCTCCCACTGCAAATCGGAGCCTGAAATCAGAGCTTATGTGTAAGTAGTTTATTTAGGAGGTGATTTCAAGAAGCTGGAGTGAGGTACCAGAATGAGAAGAGGAGAAAAATTCAAGATAAGGATGCATTGTTTAGATAACTGCTTTGGGCAACTGAAGCTCATTCCCACACAGGATCTTTTGAGGATCATGTAGAAGACTCAGATTTTTTCCACATAAGGATCACGTGGGAGAAGTGTTTGTTCATCAGCTTCCATCTCTCCTTGGTGGAGAGTCACTGTATTTGTTCTCACACTGCTATAAAAAAAACTATGTGAAACTGGATAATTTATGAAGAAAAAAGGTTTAATTGACTCACAGTTCCACAGGCTGTACAGGCGGCATGGTTGGGGAGGCTTCAGGAAACTTACAATCATGGCAGAAGGGCAAAGGGGAAGCAAGCACATCTTCACATGGTGGCAGGGGAGAGAGAGCAAACCGGGTGGTGCTACACACTTTTTAACAACCAGATCTCATGAGAATCCTCTCATAAGAACAGCATGGGGGAAGTCCGCCCCTAGATTAAATCACTTCCCATGTGGCCGCTCCTTCAACATGCAGGGATTACAAATGGACATGAGATTTGGGTAGGGACACAGAGCCAAACCATATCAGTCACCTTCAGGGTATTGATATCCTACAGTTTCTGTTTGTACATGGTTGCTTGCCATACAGACTTTCAGAAACTTCTACAGTGTAGTAGAAATCCCATGAGAGAAAGTGAAAGATGGCTAGCATTGACGTGAGACCCTGTAAGCTTGAGATGAGTTGAAACTGTCCAGTTGTTTACTGCAGTTGTGCTGAAATGAAGCTGAAAGGGTGTGAATTAGGGCACTAATGGGGCCTGATAGAAGAAATGTTCTCAGAACCCAGTATCAGGATCACCTGGTAAATGTTGGGATTAGAGTGGGAGCCATGGAAGAGATGTTGCTGCTGCTGGAGATGCTACCCAAGGCAGAATGAGCGATAAACACTCTCATTTTTCCATTAACTTCTGTCCTCCCGTCTCCCACTGTCCAAAGCCAGCCAGAAGCCAGGTGACACAGGACTCTATCAAACAACCAGCAAATATATTTTCCACTCCTGTGGCTGGCCTTTTCACTCTCCCAATGGTGTCCTTTGATGAACATTCTTTATTTCAATGTCACCCAATTTATCAATCTTTTCCTTCATGGTTAATGCTTTGGGTGTCCTGTCTAAGAAATCTTTCACTTTCCGCAAGGTCATGAAGACATTCCCTGATGTGATCTTCTAGAAGCTTTATTATTTTGTCTTATATGTTTACATCTACAATCCACCTGGACTTTATTTTTAAGTATGATGTGAGGCCAGGATTAGGTTTCATTTTTTTCCATTTAGATATTTAGTTGATTCAGGATAATTTATTAGTGAAAATATTTTCCCACTGCTTTTCAATGTCACATTGTCATAAGTCATGTGCCTATACATTGGGGGTCTCTTTCTGGTCTCTACTCTGTTTTATTCATCTTAAGTCTAAGTGTCCATACATTGGGGGTCTCTTTCTCATTTCTACTCTGTTTTACTGATCTTCTATCCATGAGTCAAAACCATAATATATTACTTTCCATTTAAAACAAGTCTTGAAATTTGATAGAGTAATCCTCCAACTTAATTCTTCTTCAAAATTTTCTTAGCTATTCTTGTTCTTTTGCATTCCCATGTAAATTTTAGAATTGACTTTTTAATTTCCACAAAATAAACTGTTTGGATTTTTATTGATATTCCATTAAACCTGTAAATTAACTTGGGAAGAGATTTTTCTTAAATGTTACATGTAGTATATATAAAAACTTCTAAAAGTATATGAGAAAACTTTAAAGAATCTGAAAGAAGAAACACAGTAGACTTAAATAGGCATTTTAGAGAAGAGGATATCCAAATGGCAAATAAACATGTGAAAAGGGTCCAACCTTCGTAGTGATCAGGGAAATCAAATTTAAAGCCACAATGAAATATCACCACACACTTGCCCAAAGAGTTAAAACTGTAAAAGCTGACAATGCTGTGTTGGAGTGATGAGGAGCACCTTGAACTCTCATGCAATGATAACTGAAAGAGTAAAATGGTATATACCCACTTGGGAAAATTATGTGGTAAATTTTACTAACCCTAAATATGTATATACCCTATGAGTTAGCAATTTCATTTCTAATTATAACTTAAAGTACATACATATTTTCACCAAGAGATGTATGCAACAATGTTCATTAAAAATAATTATAATAACGAAATAGTGGAAACTTTCCACATGTTCATTAATAGTACAATGGATAAATTGTGCTATATTCATACATAGAATGTTGCAATAAGAATAAATAAATTACTGCTAAATTGAGCAATATGAATAAATCTCACAAACATAATTTTGAGGAAAAGAAGCCAAACACAAAACAATGCAAACTACTTTATTCTGTTTTATACAAAGTTCAAATACAGACATGGTCAAGCTATGATGTTAGAAGCCAGGATAATTATAATTTTTAGAGAGAAGAGAGAAAGTAGTCATTGGGAGGAGGCATGAGGAATACTTCAGGAGTCCTGAGAATGTTCTATTTCTTGACCTGGTGGTAGGTTTATGGGTGCTTCACTTTATGATAATGCATTCAGCTATGCATTTCTAATTTGCATACACTGCTGTATGTTGTGAAAGTTGCAAGAAGCAAAAAGGAGTCACTTGTGTTAAAAACCCTGCCCAAATAGAGCTATGGAAGGTCATAAAGAGAGAGTTCTTATGCACAAATGCCTGATGACAAGAACTATCACAAAAGACTGCAAAAACCACAACCTTGCACAAAGGCTATCATCACACACACACACACACACACACACACACAATACTTCTGTGAGAACATCACTCAGCAACTGCCTGTCCACCCTCAGATTAGTGCCACCCTTGTTACTGAACCTTGTAGACAAGGAGAATTATCTCAAAACAATATGTAACCCTTCTCATTCTTCCTTTAAAAAATACATTTTTTTCCTATATCATTTGTCTTTTGACTTGCTTTTATAATAAATAATGTTTAGCATAGTTGAATTTATCAATATTTTCATGACTGGTGTACTTTGTGGCATGTTATATAGGTCTTCTCCTAACCAGAATTATTCTTTTTTTTGTTGTTGTTGTTCCTTCTTGCAGTATCTTTTTTTTTATTATTATTATACTTTAAGTTTTAGGGTACATGTGCACATTGTGCAGGTTAGTTACATATGTATACATGTGCCATGCTGGTGTGCTGCACCCACTAACTCGTCATCTAGCATTAGGTATATCTCCCGATGCTATCCCTTCCCCCTCCCCCCACCCCACAACAGTCCCCAGAGTGTAATATTCCCCTTCCTGTGTCCATGTGATCTCATTGTTCAATTCCCACCTATGAGTGAGAATATGTGGTGTTTGGTTTTTTGTTCTTGTGATAGTTTACTGAGAATGATGATTTCCAATTTCATCCAAGTCCCTACAAAGGACATGAACTCATCATTTTTTATGGCTGCATAGTATTCCATGGTGTATATGTGCCACATTTTCTTAATCCAGTCTATCATTGTTGGACATTTGGGTTGGTTCCAAGTCTTTGCTATTGTGAATAATGCCGCAATAAACATACGTGTGCATGTGTCTTTATAGCAGAATGATTTATAGTCCTTTGGGTATATACCCAGTAATGGGATGGCTGGGTCAAATGGTATTTCCAGTTCTAGATCCCTGAGGAATCTCCACACTGACTTCCACAATGGTTGAACTAGTTTTCTTAAAGACTTCCTTAGTTTTCCTAATCATTTATAGCAAGTTTTTTACATTTACATTTTTAATCCTTTTAGAAACCATTTTGGTCTAGAAATTGTCTTCCTTTACCTCCCTGAATATGAGCATAGTTTACTATGGTGTGTGTATTCCTCTTGCAATGCCTATTTCCAAATAAACATGATTTTTTTAAGAAAGTGTTTTTCTGTTTGTTAGATTGACAATGTATATAATACCTCCATTTTAAAATCTTATTTAGAATAAGATAATGTATGTAAAGCGCTAGTTACAGTGATTGACACGTTAAGTACTTAGTATTTAGTAAACATTAGCCATAGTGAATTAAATTCTGGAAGCTCCACAATGTGAGGCTGTAGTAGTTTAGATCTTTGATGCCTTTATCAATACCCTGTAGCTAAGGCTAAAGTTGCAAAAATGTGTAGGGACAGGGATGCAGGGTAAAGACTCTTACAGTGACCTTGCCATTTAGAATAGTGGGAGATTTACCTATTCGCATAATCTCCTTTCCTGAAGCTGAAGCAACCCTTCAGCTATATATAACATATATAATATATATATATAACCCTTCGATTATATATAACAGTGTTTATATAATTGAATGTTATATTATAATGTCAATATAATTGAATGTTATAACATTCAATTATAAATGTTATAAATGTTGCTCCCATGAACATGCCTCTATTACTTTTTGACAAATAAAATTATTTTCACACACTATCCCTCTATATCCTGCTTTCATTAAGTTTTGGCCCTCCCAATTTCAGAAATCTGAAGTTACAACTCTCACCTGATTTCAGCTTTGGGGTTATCTGAAGTTACCCCTCAGACTTCTGGGAAGAATTTCTCTCTGTTACAGAGTTCTTTTCTCTCAACTGGGCCATCATCTGTAGTCAGCTTAATCTATTCCTATTTCATTACAGCTTCTTGGACAATGAGCACAGGTTTGCCTCCCTAGTTATGCTTCCTTCCTGCCTTACCTAGTGGCATTCTACAATCCAGCCCTGTGTGCCTGCTTCACTTCACCAATGCACTTGAGTCCCATTTCTAACTAGTCCGTCCTAAATGAAAGACTCCTGCCAGACAGCAGCCTCTATACTCTCTGGGCAGTAGTTGTGGACTTGAATATTTACACTCTCATTCCATCAGAATAGAAAAGTTCCCTCTTTTGTTAACTGCTATATCTCTATCTCTGTGCCTTAGTAGGCAATCAATTCATATTTGTTTTTGAATTAACACCCTGTGGTTGGGACAGCAGATGTCTCATAGGGTCTTAGGCATAATGTCATTGCACTGTTTCACTTCACTGGAAACACACTGGACAATAAGCCCAGCTGGTAAGTCCCACAGGGATAGAACAAGAGGAAAGATGGAAATTAACCTAGTACCCTGCTTCATAAGGCCAGAAGTGGCATCGCAAATTAATATTGAACAGTGTGAGAGCAAGCCACTTGTGCCTACAATAGATAGGTCAAAGTGAGCTATGCTTCAGGAGAGAATTAAGTATACAGGTGCAGAGCTGAGGAGTTCCTAGGGCTTAGCACAGAGTAAATATTGATCACGTGAATGAATAGATTAATTAATTAATTAAAATAGGGCCTTCATGGGAACTAAGGAAATTAAAAGCCAAGGGTGCAATTTAGAGTAGGTAATTGTAGATCACTATTATGTGATACAGACTATTATACCACGTAGCACAATGTTACCATTATAGTACAACACTAGCATAAAGGTAATATTGTGCTATGAAGTCTGGTCACAAAAATCTGTCTCCTTTATATCCTGAAATCAGGATTCCTCTCCAAATATTCTCCTGAAATTGCAGTCATAAAATCTGGCTAAACACAAACCCAGTGGCCATAGAGTGTAGCAGTTTGCTCTCCTACAGCAATAAATGAGTGTCTCTTTCCCCCATGCTTGCCAACCCACTGTGTTTTCAAACTTTTTGATGTTTCTCAGTCTGATTGATGAAAATTAGCATTGCAGTGAAGTTTTTATTTGCATTTTCCTAATTATAAAGAAAGTTGCCCATCTTTTAATGAGTTTAATGAGCTGCTGATATGTCTTTTCCTCTGAACTACTTATTTATGCCTTTTGCCTATATTTCTAGTGGGCTGTTGGTCTCTTTCCAAGCAATCTGTAAAAATCACTCATATTGTACAAAACTCAGTCTTTTTTAACATGACCTGTAAATACTTTTTCTTACATCATTTGTCTTTTGACTTTGGTTTTATAATAAACAATGTTTAATATGGTTGAATTTATCAATATTTTCATGACCATGACTGTTGCATTTTGTGGCATGTTTAAGAATAATTCTCCTAACCAGAATTATTCTTAAACACTCCCTTAATCTTCCTAATCATCTATAACAAGATAGATTTTTACATTTGCATTTTTAATCCACTTGGAAACCATTTTGGTCTAGAATGTTCAGTGTATATGATGCAACCTTTTTGATTCCAGATGGCTACCCAGATGTCTGACTATTCTTCCTTTCCACTACTGTTTTAAAATGATGCCTTCATCAGACCCTAAATTCCCATATGCATTTAGGTCCATGTCTGGACTCTATTCTGATACATTGGTCTGTTTATGTGCTATCATACTACTATTTGAATTTGTATAACTTTATGTTTAATAGTAGAAATTTCCTTGGCCATTCTTGCTTTTTAACTTTTCTCTACGAATTTTAGAAACAGTTTGCTTTACTGCAAAAGAAAGTCCTGTTGGTGATTTAATCAGATGACTCTAAATTTATGGATTGACTTATATAATCCTGTCCAGGAAAAATACATCCTTCCTAATTCCTTCAAGTTTCCCTTTATGTTTCCCAGGAGGTTATAGAGTTTTCTTCAACTAGATCTTGCACATTTCTTTAGACTTTTCTCAGAAATTTTACCTGTTGTTGCTGTTGCCATAATAATTGGATTCCTTCTCATCAAATCCTCTAATGGTTATTTGTATAAATGAAGGTTATTGCTTTCTTTACATTAATTTTACACACAGTCACTCTTCCAAATTTTCTTATCATGGGAATAAACTTTCACTTGATTCTTTGGGTTTTCCCAAAAAGCAGTTTCAATTCTCCCTCCTTCTCTCTTTCCCTCCCTCTCTTTTCCTCTTCCTCTCTTTCATTCTCCCTCTCTTTCCCTCCCCCTCTCTTTGCTCTCCTAATTTTGGCTAGTATCTCTACAACAATGTTTAAACATTTTTATGATGGTAGAAATCCTCTAGTCATATTTTTGTTGTTGATCTCTGTTATAATTTCATGTATGTATCCTCCCAAAATTCATATCTTGAAACCCTAACCCCCAATAGGATGGTATTAGGATGTGGCATCTTTGAGGTTCATGAGGATGGAGTCCCCTCTGTGAGATTATTGTCCTTATAAGAAAAGAAAGAGAGCTAGCCCTCTCTATTTCTGCCACCTGAGAACACAATGAGAAGATGGCCATCTGCAAATAGAGCCTTCACTAGAACCTAGCCACGCTGGCACCCTGATCTTGAACTTCCAGTTTCCAGAACTGGGAGAAATTAACGTTTGTTATTTAAGTCATCCAATTTATGGTTTTCTGTGACAGCAGCTCAAACTAACTAAGACAATCTCTTAATATGATAAATTATATCAACAATTCTTACCTTTCTGAGCCTTTTTAATACCTATAATAAACCAACTTGATCTTTATATATTATGCTTTTAATTATGCTTTTATATCTTTATACATTATGGTACTAGCTTCTTTTGGCTAATTTTATTTAGGGTGTTTGCATCCATTTTTATAAATGACATTGGTCTGTGGTTGTTTCATGTTCAATCTTTATTAGACTTACAATTTTATTCATTCTTGATGAAAGAATTTGAAAACTCTCCTTCTTTTATATGCTCTGGAACTGCACTGTCCAATATAGTACCAAACAGCAACATGCGGCTGTTTAAATTAATAAAAGTTAAATAAAATAAACATTCGGTTTCTCAATAGAACTAGCTGCATTCAAATGCTCAATAGCCACGTCCCTGACTACCACGCTGGTCAGTAAACAAGAACATATCTATCATCACAGAATGTTCTAATTTACAGCAATGCTATAGGAGAACTTAAAAGGGAATAAATCATCTGTTCTTTAATATGATGCTTTGAAAGAATAGTGTCTAGAAAAATGTTTAGGTCCTTGATGGAAATTGATGTTCTGATTTTTCCACTTTTTCTGGAATTTGTTTTGAAGATTTATATATTCCTAGAAAATTATCCATATCTTTAATGTTTTTACCTTTATTTGAATAGAGTTGAAAAAATGTCTATTATGTTTCTTTTAATTGTATTTAGTTTTCTTTTCATCTGTAGTTACTTCCTCAGTAATCTTTTTATTATTTGAGAAATTTGTGCCACCTTTCTGTTTTCTTGATTAGATTATGTGGTGGTCACCTAGAGTACCCAGTTGTTCAACCAAACACTAATCTAGGTATTGTCGTGAAGATATCTTGTGGATGTGAATAAAGTCTATCATCAGTGTACTTTAAGTAAAGAAGATTTTCCTAGATAATGTAGAGTGAGTGTGACTCAATCAACCAAAAGGCCTTAAGAGAACAGAGACCTCTCAGAAGAAGAAATTCTTCTATGAACTGCAGCTTTAACTAATGCTAGAGTTCCAGCCTGCCCTTCCTAATAGCCTGCCCTGTGGATTTCAGAATTACCTAAGCAGCCCTATAATCGCATAAGCCATTATGTTTCTCTAGTAGAACCCTGACTGATACAAATTTGCTATTAGTTTTTCTGTTTTACTGGTTTTTCAAAAGGACATCTTTCATTTATTTATTAGCTGTATCTATCATTTCTCTTTTCTCTGAATCATTAATTTTTGCTTTCATCCTTCCTAATTCCTTCATTGTTATCCATAAAATTATTTTATTGAATTTTTAATAACTTCTTGAGACATAGAAGTAACACATTTATTCTCACTTTTTATTAATATATATTTTGAGATTTTAAATATTTCTCTGAACACTGCAAAATATTCTGTAAGTTATAATGCTGTTCTAGTGTTGTTATTAAATTTCTACATATTCTGCAATTTAGTATGGATTTTTTCTCTGAGTTATTCAATAGAGTATTTGGGGAATATTGTTTCAGTTGTTCCCCCAAAATTTTATGATTCTCATTTCCTTCAGTTTTTATTACTTTATATCTTCTTTTATAGGAAAATGTTTTTTGTTTTATTTCCATTTTTCTGAAATGTGTTATTTTGTGTGTAGGGAAATGTATGGTCAAATTTTGTGAATATTCCATGAGGACTTGAATGAAAAATGGACTCTGTTTTCAGGCTACAGTTTGTTATATATCAATTTGATCTTATTTTTGAGATTGAGGGCTTCTATATACTTAGCTAGCTATCTTTTGTCCACTTGAGTGTGAACTGAGAAATGTTCATATAGATATTAATATGTATTAATGAAAGCTCCATAGATATTAATATCTATTTCTTCTCATATGTTCTATAACTTTTTATTTATGACTATTAATGCTATGTAGTTAATGAAAATATATTTGCATTTTCTTCATTGTGAATTTCACCCTTAAATATTACAAAGTGTACTTTTTTCATCCTTAAAATACCTTTAGCCCTAAATTCAACCATGTCTGATATTCTTTTTGCTTGAATTTGCCTAGCATAACTGCCTTTATTTTCATTTTCAACCTTTCTGAATCATTTTGCTTTAGAATTGAGTGTTGCCTAGTAATTTAATCTGACTCTTTTCCTTTACATGAATGGTTGGCCTATTTACATTTATTAATATAATAATTTGAGTTTTGATTCTGACATTATATTATATATTAAAATCTGGGGTTTTCTTCCATATAGAATTTTTGTTTCCATTTCTTTGTTTTGGGTGTATCTTTCTTGTGATAATTTGAAGTGTTATTTTTGTTCTAACAGTTTTTTGTATAATAACTCCTTTACATAATACCCTTAAAACTCCATTTTCTTAGAGAGCACCTACTAGTTATCTATCATGAGCAATTATGAAAACAGTGTTTTTCTTCTCCATCCTATTTACTTTCCTCTCCCTAAAAACATCCGATTTTAATTGCATTATGTATTTATTATGTTTACTTAGGCAAGATATTTGTATTCTTAAATATAGTTACAGCTGCAATACTTAATACTTCTGTTTTATATTACATGTTTTGATCTCCACCTACAAAAAGTGAGGAAACCAGTATACCCATCCTACCTCCTGCCTTCTTTCTAGCTTTTTCTCCTATTATAATATGTATATGTATATATAATCATATCACTTTTATATTGTCAGAGCACATAACATTTATGGTCTTTTCTCATCCCTCAATTACCACAATTGTTAAATTCTAACTCTGCAGTTCAGTAAATTATTCTTGCCAATTTCTTTCTTGTACATTTTCTTGTCATTTTTAGTTGGCTAAAGTTCATTCACCAAGAGAACCTTGAAGAAGGGTTCATGGGAACAATATTTTTTGAATTTTTGCCCGTTAAAAATATAAGAGCAAAAGACAAAATATTTTTCTTTTGCCTTTAAATTAAAAAAAAAATTCAATGAAGGTAATCTTTGGAGCACATTTTTTATTAAGAATTTTGTAGGGACTACTCTACCATCTCTCATCATGGTATAGTAAGGCTCTAGAGAAATCTGAGGTTGGCTTTTTTTCTGTCATAAATGAATTGACATTTTTTGCATGTCTTTCAAAATACCCTCAATATACATGTTTTGCTGAGGGTCTGTTCTTCAGAATCCAACTGTCTTACCTATTCTTACTCCCATTTTCTCATAATACTGTTGTATAGTATAGACCTTGTGATAGTTTCTTTTCTGGCTACTCAGCTTGACTGAGGCTTTTTTTCTGGACTGTGTTCCAGGTTACCTGGAGTTTTCTTTATGATTCTTGGTTTTATGTCATACTGTTTACCCATTGCTTCTCTCAACCTATTAAGATAGGCATCTGTAGAATACTTCACAGTGAGAAATATCCCCCTTCCCTGATTCACATGCTAAAAGACTGACACATATGGCTTGCTACATGATTTCTCACTTAGTCCCACTTTCTCTGGTTCTGGAAACAAACCGAGTCCAGGAAAATTCTTTCTGACAGTCTGTGTTCTATATTTACCATTATTGAAAATGAATAATTTACTTTGTACTTCAGTGTGTACTCTGAACTTTAAGAAGCACATTTGCCTGGCAAACTCCCTGGTTCCTTCTGGACATAACTACCCCTGCTCAACTTTCCCTGCTTTTAGAAGCCATTTCGCCCATTTTGCAGTTCAACATTTCAGCTGTTTTCTAATTTTTTCATATGCAGAATTTATATTTTAATTCTTATTCCTCTCCTTGCTTTTACATTATTTCCAAGAAGAGAAGGAAAATATCAACATCATGCTACCATCTTCAAACTGAGAATCTCTTTAAGGATTCCAAATATATTGTGAAGGACTGGCTCAGCATCCAGTCAAAAAAGAATTAAAATAGCTAAAGCATTTTCAAACGCCAAAGCATCACAAGAAGGCAATTTTTTGCTTATGTTAGTGTCTTTGCTCGAGACTTATTAGATCATGTGGATGACATAAATTCAGACTGCAAACTACTATAATGTTCAGGTCTGGGGTTTCCATTTTTAGGGGTGCATTTTTTTCACTTAGAGCTTAATTATATACCCATGTCCTTGTAGTTTCCTTATTTGGGTCATTAATTTTTTTCCTAGTTCTCCTTTCCCTGAAGATCCTAGGTCCTTGCTTTCACAGGAGCCTCAGCCCTACCTCTTCATTTCCCAAAGCATCTTTTCCTTCACCTACAGGGATATTAAAACCCAGGCTCTTACAGTTTTCACTATCTTAAGGTCAAGAATTAGGAAAGGATCTCTGGCCCTAAATAGTGTAATCAGGCAATGAAAATACATAGAAGCCTCCAGATGAATTAACTAAAAGGCTTCCTATAGAACAGTTCAGCAGTAATTATTCCTCTTGTCCCCAAATAATGCACAGCTGTTTAGCACTTTGGCATTAATCACAAGGACAAAATCCCCAGATCTGCTCTCCAAACAAGCAAAAGTCTACATAAAGAAGGCTCTTATTTCAAGTCTTTGGGTGAAGAGAAAAGCAGAGAACACCTGGAATAGCTTCAGATTTCCACAATAGGCAAGATATTCCTTACAGAACAACCAGCCAGACCCAGAAGTAGAACACATTGATGTTTTTTACCACCAGTATAAATATTTGCTTACTTTGTCAGTAGTGGGTCCTCAGCTGTCTTCCTCTCCCTGCCTACATAACACCATGATGAATCTTATCCCTCAGCCATAGTAAGACCTCCATTTGGAGAAGGCAACTTGGGGAAAGGCACATCAATAGCAATTCAAGCAAGAAAATCCTACCAGGCCTTTAGGTGATGAGGAAAAGTAATTTCAAACCTAGAAGACTACCTCCAACCAAAGTATCAATCAGCTGTAAAGATGAAACCAAGACTTTTGAACATACAAAGATTTAGAACATTTACTGTTCAGGTACTATTTCTATTAAAAACTTATTCTAGATTGCTTTTTGGCAAAACAAAAAATATTCAAGAAATTATAATATACTTCCTGTTTCTAGTAATGGCAGACACATTTATTTGGAAAATAGCTTAAGAGCTAGGTAAAACATTTTTAAATCTTGAAAGAAAGAAAGAAAGAAAGAGAAAGAAAGAGAGAGAAAGGAAAGGAAAGGAAAGGGAAGTAGAAAGAAGTAAGGGAGGGAGAGAGGGAAGGAAGGAAGGAAGGAAGAAAGGAAGGAAGGAAGGAAGGAAGGCAGGCAGGCAGGCAAGCTGGGCGCAGTGGCTCACGCCTGTAATCCCAGAACTTTGGGAGGCCGAAGCAGGGAAGATCAAAAGGTCAGGAGATCGAGACCATCCTGGCTAGCATGATGAAACCCTGTCTCTACTAAAAATACAAAAAAATTAGCCAGGCATGGTGGTGGATGCCTGTAGTCCCAGCTACTCAGGAGCTGAGGCAGGAGAATGGCATGAACCCAGGAGGCGGAGCTTGCAGTAAGCCAAAATCACGCCACTGTGCTCCAGCCTGGGCGACAGAACAACTCGTCTCAACAACAACAACAAAAAAAGAGAAAGAAAAGAGAGAGGGGGAGGGGAGGGGGAGGGGAAGGGGGAGGGGAGGGGGGAGGGAGGGGGAGGGGAGGGGAGCGGGGGGAGGGGAGGCGAGGGGAGGGGAGGATTCTAAAACAAATACAAGGCCAAAACTGAAGGTAAACTAGAAACCCAAGGAGATAAATTAATATGGAAGTTACTTTGGCTCTAAGGGTATTTGCCAGTCCTAGCCAATTTGAATTTTTATTTTCCCTTTCAACTTTCATTTTGGAACTAATTTAAGTTCTACATTATGTATTTTACGTTAAACTTCTACTTTAGTAGTTTTGCGTGTGTTTAGCCTTTTATGAATGAAATTATATTATATATGTTATTCTGTGCCTGGCTTATTTGGCTCAACATTATGTCTTTGAAATTCATATATTTTTTGGTAGTGTATAGCTGTAATTTATACATGTATTTCACAATATATTTATCATGTATACTGTTTGATACTTGAGTTATTCTTGGCTTGGGGGATGCTCTAAATAGATCTGCTATACACAGGCTTATACATATCCCAGTACACAAGGATGTCCTCACATCAATTCTCCAATATTACATTTTGTAACACCATTTGGCAACAATTTAATCTACAGGGGCCTTGACCATTTAATCATCCCTCAAGACCTCACACCAGTCCACTACACTGACAGTGTCATGCAGATAGGTCCTGGAAACAATGTTACAGGGCCAATAGGTTCATATGCCTGCTTCACAGTAACATACCAATACACTGAGACAGCAGGATTTACAGCAGAGAAAGAGTTTAAGTTCAGGGTGGCCAAGCAAGGAGATGAGATGAGACTTCAAATTCATCTCCCTGAGGAGTTCTTGGCTGTGCCTTTTAAGGGGATCATGGAAGGCAAGAGGCTGGAAAATTGGGGTCATAGATTGGTAGAGGTAAGGGGCATGAAATAATCAGTATGTGGAAATTGTATTCTTTGGTGAGTTAGCTCCCCAGGGGGTCCTTCAGACCAAATGATGTCAGTAGCTTCATTAATAAGCAGGACCTGAAAGAACACCTCAAAGGAAAAACAACAATTCATAATATTCAAGTTGTTAGTTATAGAGCAATTAAGAGTAACTATAATCTTGTAACAGGTCTACATGATTCTAGGACAATAGGCACCAAATAGCTATAAGGAAGCATGTCAGAGAGCAAGCTCACATAATGATTATTGATGAATGGGCTGCAAGCTTGGTTTATTTTCACTAGCCCCCTTGCCTTCTTCCCTGATTAATTTTATAAAGTTTATAGGAATGGTTTCATTAAGAAGTAGCAAGTACTTTCCATGTTTTAGTAAGGCCTACATAGTAAGTTGCACAAAAACAAAGAAGGGGGCTGGGCACCATAGCTCACGCCTGTAATATCACCACTTTGGGAGGCCAAGGCAGGCGGATCACAAGGTCAGGAGTTCGAGACCAGCCTGGCCAACGTAGTGAAACCCCATCTCTACTAAAGAAATACAAAAAAATTAGCCGGGCATGGTCATGTGCACCTATAATCCCAGCTACTCAGGAAGCTGAGGCAGGATAATCACTTGAACCCAGGAGGCAGAGGTTGCAGTGAGCCGAGATGACGCCACTGCAGTCCAATCTGGGTAACAGAGCGAGACTCCATCTCAAAAAAATAAATAAAGCAAAAGCATTCATGCAGCCCATTTACCTGTCATTTCAGAGTGGCCCATTCATAAAGAGCCTAGAGCCTGAAAATATCTGAACATAGCATCTCATACAAATTCCTCACTGAAGATGAGATGCTTAATAATCAGAGCATCAGGAGAACTATTTTGTTGTTGATCCCAACTCTTTTTCTGGCCAGCACATTCACTGCTAAATGAACTAATAAATTAAAGGCCGTGATGGAGGATATACATGGACTTACTAGCATGGACTTCCACTCACCAAATCTGACTTGGTTACTTAATGCTAAACTCCTGACATGGAGAAAGAGAAAATGGCATTATTCTCTATCATGAATAGGGTAGCAGTTCGTCCTCAAGAATAGACATATTACGGGTTTAGATTTGTTTCCCTGCTCATCAAATATCTGTCAGCACCACCTTTGGTGGTTATACTAAATTTCTTATGCATCATTGTGGCATCCTACATAATAGTGCCTCTGACAGAGGAACACATTTCACAATGAAAGAGAGGAATAATCTGATGCCCATGGAGGGAAATGGCCAAATTATTTTCTAATTATTATGGACTTATAAAAGGCTTTTGCAATGAGATGTGTGTGTGTGTGTGTGTGTGTGTGTGTGTGTGTGTGTATGTGCCTGTGTGTATTTGTGGCTGCTGTAGAAATTTTTAAAGTTTTTTAATTTGTATATAAAATACGATAAATAAGTTTTAAAATTTGATCACTATATTATTAAATATGCAAAGATTCATTTTCACACTATCTTTAATAATTTATAATATAAAAAGACATTTTTACATTTAACAAGTGACATGCTACTTAATTTGCTTTAAGTTACATGTGTGTATCTGACTATATTATAAATAAATTCTTAAAATTGATATTATGCTTGATTTAGAACCCAAATGTAGGTCTTTGTAACACATTGTTAGATACAATCACGACAAATTTTCTATCTTAATACAGAGAACGCTTAATGTGCCACATAAGAGTTTTGATTAGCTGAATGCCACTTAAAGATTTGGTAAGATCATCTTGAGATGAATTTGCTGAATTATTGTCATTAACTTATACTTCAACATCAAGCTTCATTATGTTTCTTGTATTTATCAACAGTTCATTATGAGTATAAATTAAATAGCATGCAACTATGAATAAAATAATTTAAAACTGTTTAATGGTCAAAACTATTAAACAAGAGTTTCTGAGTACATTCATCTGATTGCCATCAGCCACAGATAATGTTCATTCTATATCTGCTCAAGAATGACAAACTGTCCCATTTCCAAAAGGCAAACTAGAAAATGTTAGTTTATTAGATACTTAGCCAAATTTCGTTACTATCTTTATCCACACAAACTTCCTTGAATACATCTATGAACCCTGGGAATTTGTGAGCCACCAGATAGGGAAGGCTGGTATACTCTACCACAAAAGTGGCATCTCATGATGCCAGCTCTGAGACACAGGCTAGGCTGCTGCCTTACAGCATGCCATTAAACTCTGACCAGTCTCACAGCCAACAACCAAGGCATGGAGGTGGGAGTGACACTTTTACCTGTTTATGCTTACCTTGACTAATTCTAAAAAGGGTTTGAGGCAGCTTGAAAAAAATTCGGGGAACATTAGTTCACAAATAAGCAAATAAGGCAATAAGGATAAAGGAAAAATAAGGGTAAATAATTAAGTGTTATAGAAATTGTAACACCTAAGGGAAGAAAACTTACACTGGAAAACACAACAAAGATTTTCCATATTTGGTACAGAGACAACCACAGGGCCACTAGAAGGAAGTTGCAGAATCTTGGCTTGTGTGATTGACTAACTCTCCACAGGAAATAGGGTTGCTATTCTGAAAAGGGAACTAAACATCTAGGGAGTCTTGGAGATCAAAGAAGAGGCTCTGACCATGTTCCCCTTTCTTTTTGCAAACACTCCTGTTTAAATTGGTGAGCCAAGCTTGGATATATTAAACTCCTACCACCAAAAACATATTAGAGCATATTAGGATCAAGTCATATATGCCTTAATGCTGCCACAACACCAAGCTGCCAGGAAAATTCTTTGTTCTATTATGCACAAATTTAAATATTAAGAGAAGACAATCCAAATTCTTAACAGGTAGTAACACTAGTTGCTCAGACCCTCAGGATTGAGGATCAACCCACCAAGAGAGAAAAATCACAATCCAATGATGTCATAAGACAAAGAGAACATAGAATTACCGAAGTTAGAAAAAAGTCAAAATTCAAGAAAGTCTTGTGACCAATAAAATAAATGAAGATTGTGGTTTCCTTTTATTTTTCCTTGCTTACTATTTGGATATAATTATCATCCCCTTTTCTTTATCTATCTAAAGAGGGATTATATTTTTTCTTCTTTTTCCTCCTCTTTCCACTGATCATTGCATATACAATGTGATTTTTGGGGGGATAACTTTATCCATAGGTGGCAGAATATTTTAGATGAATCACAAAAAACTAGAGAAATGATCATTCAAAGAGGTAGAATCGGGGAAACAGTGGCAGAGGACGTTGCCCTGAGATGCAGTAAATATGTATAACTTTGGGTTGTCGCCAAAAATGGGGCCCAGTGGTGACACCTCTCCTATCAACTGTGTTGCCTGATCACACCTGATGATATAGGGGCAGACATAGCACCCATGATGAAACAATCAAATTCTCTCTCCTATGAATCTGGAATTTTTACTGGAGAGCACAGAGACTGGCACAGAGACTGGCAGTTGAAGGCTCTGAGTCATATTCATGGCAAAGACCTAGTGAGCAGATCCACAGACTCAGTTACTAAGGATGCAAGAATCATCATGTCACCACCTTTCCTCACAGCAGTTCTTTAAGTTCTCTGAAATACTCCAATATCTTTTCACTTAATTCCTTTGTTGTTAAGGTCGTTTGTGTTTTAGATGGTCTTAAGTTAGTAAGACTGACAGATTTTATTATAATACAAATATAATAACCAGTACAAAGGTAATAAAATTCTAATCAAATTTTCAACATAATTTTTTATGAAATATAAAAAGTGCATTCCAAAACTCACCTGGAAGACCAAGCTCACAAGAATAACCAACAAAACATGAAAGAGGGAAAATACTGATTGGAGAATTGCCTTGCCAAACATCAAAATGTACTATAAAACCATAGTAATTTAAATATGTGCTATTTATATGATAATACGCCAAAGACAAAAGGAAGAGCAGTTTCAGAAGCAAATTCATTTATATGTGAATTTAAAATATTTTAGAGGTAAAATTTTAAATAAGTAAAAGAAATTCAATATGCAATTTTCTACCCGTATAAGAGAAAAAAAGTTGATCATCTTTCACAATATACATAAAATTGAGTTGAAAATTATTTAAGCTTTAAAAGAGATTTTGTAAATGGTAAAAATATTAAAATTTTAAAGACTATATTTATAATCTTTGAGTGAGTAAGGTTTGCTTACATAAAAAAATACATAAAAATTCTACTCTCTAAGAAATTGAAATTTCTACACAGCAAAAAAATAAAAAATTATAAAATTTTTAAAATGCCATAGGGTTAAAAATTAATTGACAAACTTGGAAAAATATCTGGCACACATCAAATAAAATAGACAAAAATTAATTAGTTTAATATATATAGAATTCCTAGAAATCACTGAAAAATAGATTAATAATATGGTAGGAAAATGAGCAAAGCATTTGAAAAGACTACTCATATCGAGGAAAGATACTCAGCCTTGGAAATTAGGGAGGTGCAAAATGATGTACTTTTTTATGCATCATATTGGCAAACCCTTTAAAGTTCGAAAATATCAGGTGGGAAATACTGGAAATGGGAGAAAAAGCACTTATATGCCCATTTGGTGGGAATGTCAATTTTTTACAGCCTTTATTAAACAATTAAGCAACATCTAGTAGAATGTTAAGTCATATAGCCTTTAATCTAGCAATTTCACTTCTGGGTACTTGTTATGAAAAATATGCATACATATATACAAAGAGATATGATTAACAATATTCTTGACTATAATAGCAAAAAAAAACGGTAGACATAACACAGATGTTGGATAAAATTAAAGGCATCTCAAATACCAAGGATGACAAGCTAAAAAAGCTGGAATGGAAAGTGAGGGTTGTAAAGGGCTGCTCAGAATCCCACAGTGTCCATTCCAGCTAGCGAACTCTGCAAGGTCTCTGTTGATAGCAAAATCCAGGCCTGTGAGAGAAGCTGGTAGAAGAAATATACAGGAAAATGGTAGGCCCAAAGAGCACTTGTGAGCACAGGCTGGCTGGAGCCTGATAGCACAATGTTAATTATGGGAGCAGTAACCTGGGCATGATAGAGTTTGTAGGAGAAAACAAACCTTAAAAGGAAATAAATAACCTTAAAGTTCAGATGGAAGGTCCATTAGCCAGCAAAATTGCTATGACCATGAAAACAAAATGGTTACTTCAGGCAGCAGATCAAGAATAGAGAGGAGAAAATTGAAAGAATTGCCAAGAAGCCATTAGAATAATGAAAAGGAAGCTAGATAATGAATTTGACCTCTGCATTAGTTTGCTGGGGATGCACTCAGTACTACAGATTGGGTGGCTTCACATCAGAAGTGTATTTCCTTTCAGTTCTGGAGGCTGGATGTCTGAGATCAAGGTGTGGACAGGATTTTCTTCTAAGGCCTCTCTCCTTGGCTTGTCAGTGGCCATCTTTTCCCTGTGTCTTCACCTAATTTTTTCTCTATATGTGTCTGTGTCCTAATCTCTTCTAATGAGAATACCAGTCATATTGGATTAGAGCCCAATCACATGACCTCATTTTACCTCCATTGCCTCTTTAAAGGCTCTATCTCCAAATAGTCACATTCTGAAGTACTGGGACTTAGAACTTCAGCATATGAAATTGCTGGGGATACAATTCAACCTGTAACAGCCTCCTCATAGTTAGAGGTCATCTGCCTGGAATGCATCCCATGCTCCTTCCCCACTACACTTTTCCATGCTAAAGCTACAAAATCCTACAGGACTCAACTTAGATGCGATTTCCTCAGAGATATCTTTCCCATTCCACATAACGTCAACCGAAATTGAGCTCCTCTGTTTTACTTTCTCATATCACTTACAGTCTGCAAAAACCATTATTTATTCTTTATATTAGTTGTCACAGTTTACAACACTATAGCCATGCAACTAGGGTGTCAGTTGTTGTTGTTGTTGAATCACTCACCATCTCAAAATGTAGCTCTGTGGACTTTCAGTTCACTACCACCCCAAAAGTAACAAAGTCCCTAATACATATGAATAATAATAACAGTTAGCAATTATCGAGACTTTACTGTGCGTCACTTTGCTAAGCACTTTATGTTAATTCTTTATTCCTCTATCTCTATGATGTAGATAATATCGTTATCCTTATCTTATAGATGCAAAAATGGTAGGTTAATAAATATGCTCAAAACTACACAGCAAGCAAGTAGAATTTTGGATGCTCAATAGGTATCTATTGAACTGTTAATACATGAATAAATAAGCCTAATTGCACATAAATATAGGGAAATACAATAAATTATGGCTTACTTACATTACGGAATATTATATAATTTTAGAAAATTTTAGAAATTTTAGAAATATAATTTTAGAAAATTATTATATAATTTTAGAAAAGAGAAAGATTTCTATGTAGTAACATGGGAAGAAATGATATATTATTAAATTAAAGGAGCAATCATATCTCCCCATTTGTAAGTGTGTGTGTGTGTGTGTGTGTGTGTGTGTGGTGTGCATGCACGTGCATACACATCTTTATGAATGCTAAGAGAAAGGCTGAATAGATGTACCCCTAGGTTACATTGGAGAATGGTAAAATAAATTTAGGGGAAGGGAGACAAAAAATATATATAAGCTCAAATTACTTACATATATTTTTTTAGATGGAGTTTTGCTCTTGTTCCCCAGGCTGGAGTGCAATGGCACCATCTCACCTCTGCGGTGCAGAGGCACCGCAACCTCTGCCTACTGGGTTCAAGTGATTCTCCTGCCTCAGCCTCGCGAGTAACTGGGATTACAGACATGCACCACTATGCCCGGCTAATTTTGTATTTTTAGTAGAGACGAGGTTTCTCCATGTTGGTCAGGCTGGTCTTGAACTCCCAACCTCAGGTGATCCACCCGCCTCGGCCTCCCAAAATCCTGGGGTTACAGGCGTGAGTCACCACATCTGACCTTACTTACATATTTTTAAATATTTTATAAAAAGACTCTCTGATACTTAAATTCTTTAAACTACAGAAAAGGAAGAAAAATAAGTGAATAATTAAGCTATTTTACTGAGTTTATAGTTAAATTTTTTAGAGATAGCCCCAGAACAGTTTTCAAGATGGTAGATTGTATAGTCTTCCTTTCCTACCATCGCTTTGCAGTAAAACAAAAAGAGAGGGACTACTCAGATGTCTAATAAATTTTTTAATCTCTTTTTAAGCAGTTGAAAGTTGACAAAATTGAATATTAAAAGCAAACCAGAAGCCACAATACACACAAAATAATACTGCTTCACAGGGTGGGGATAGCACCAATGTGTGCAATGATTGGAGGGAGCCGGAGGTGTTCCAGAACATGCAGGAGGTCATTAGTTGAAGTACCCACAGAAGCTAATAGATAGACATCCCCAGTCCCTTCTTGCAATAGCAGGAAGCAGCAAGTATGTGGGCTTCCAAGTTGAGAGACAAGGCAAACATCCCAGGTGTCCGACAACAATTTGGAAAGATGGCAAATCGCCACTCCTAGAATATTTAAAGAAGTATCAGCACTTAATGGCAAATATTGCCTGCCCCTCACCCTCTTTCACAGAGTAACATTGTTACCTCTTCGCAGAATGACATATCAAAATAAGTATAGCAGGCAGACTGAGAGGGTACCTCAATTACAAAGGCGAACAAACAACCAAAAATCTCCAAATATTCACAAAAGCCAAGAACATAAAAGACAAACACAAAACTCAGTAAACAATAGCACCTATATCAAATGAAACAAAGCAAAGAGTAAAAATAACAGAAATTTAACATAAGACTATAATACCCCCGAGAGGTACAAGATATTTTACCCATTTAAAAAAACAAGATAACAGAAATTTAAACCTTATTAATTGAAATAGAATACATATATATACATGCTGAATATACATATATAGACTGAATAACATATTTAGAATACATATATATATATATACACACACACACATATATATATGTGCTGAATAATAACCTGGACACAAACACAAAATCAAATAGTGAGCTATACATCAAGCCTTAAACTTTTACTCTGAAAAAACAAAGCTGAAAAGTATGAGATAATGATAAGAAATAAGAGACAAGGTGCAGAAGTTGAACATCCACTCATACGACCTACAACAAACTAGAAAAATAATGAGCATAACCCAAACAGCCTAGATTCTGGGAAACAGTGGCAGAGGACAGAATCCTGAAATCCAGTAAAAGGATATGACATTGGGTCATTTCCAACAAGTGGGCCCAGCAGTGATACCTATAGTATTAAACTCTGCCGCCTCATCACAGCTGATGATGTAGGGGCAGACACAGCACCCAAGCTGAGACAACAAAATTCTCTCTCCTAGGAATCTGGAATGTGGAGTGGAGAGCACAGAGGCTGAGATTTCTACATCATGTTAACAGCAAAGAGCCAGGGAGCAGATTCACAGATTCAGCTGCTAAGGAATAAAAGAACAGTCATATCACCATCCTTCTTCACATTAATCAATTTAAACAATACTTTCAATTCTCTGAGATACTTCAGTATCCTTTTTAAGAAGTATATCTTGTATTTTATTATATATAATATACCTTATATTTTATTATATATATCTTAACATAATATAATAAATAATAAATTCTGCCCATTTCTACAAATTATTTTTATCTTCTTTTCTCTTTCCTCTCCTTCAGAGACACCCATCAAATGTATGTTGGTATGTTTGATCTGTCTCAAAGGTCTCTGAAATCTGTTCATGCTTTTTAAATCTTTCTTCCCTCTTACTCAGTTAGATAATTTCTTTTTATCTATCTTAGAGTATATCAATTATTTTTCTGCCATCACAAATCTGGTGTGAAGACCCTGTAGTAATATTTTTTCTTTTGATTATTGTACTTTTAAACTCCAGAATATAGCTTTGGTTTTTTAAAAAATAATTTATATCTCATTATTGAGATTCTCTATTCATTGAGTCATTCCCAGCACACTTTTCTTTAATTCTTTAAAGATGTTTTCCTTTAGTTCTTTGGGCCCACTCCAGTCTCAGCTGCATACACACACAGCCTCCAGTCAAGCCAAGAAATATGAAGGCTTTATCAAATTCTTTATGGCAGTCTCACTTCCCAGTATTCCTGTTTAAATTCTGGCTAGTCTGCTAGTCTGTGAGTTGCTCCAAACAGGAGCATAGCTTCAGGCTAGTGAAGACATTAGCCCTCCCTGTTTGCTTGCCACTGAAATCACTTGACAGTGTTTCTTTTTTTAAAAAAATTTTATTATTATTATACTTTAAGTTTTAGGGTACATGTGCACAATCAAATGAGTCCTTTTAGCTGTGGATGCAAAGTTCCTGATTTCATGGCCTGCTCCATGGTATGCCAATAGACCTGGGAGTGGGGAGTGAGAGAACCCAAGGAAAGACTATCACAGGCTCACGCTGTTTTTACACAAAGTTCAGCTGCTTTTCAAGAATAAAAGCTTCAACATTTGTGGTATGCTTATGGTAAATTTCTAGAGTACTGAAACGGTTATTTTTGACAATTTTGTCCAGCTTCATAGTTGTTTTTTAGGAAGAGAATCTTACCTTCCTAACTTCATCATGTTGGATACTGAACCATCTAAAATTCATTTTAAATTAAATGTTATTATTGTGAAACATTTATTAAACAATAATCTGGCACTCAGAATCAAAATATTAATATAATGATAGTAGATAAATTTCCTAGAGAATAAAAACTGGCAAATTTGCTTGATTGATTAATTTGAGGCATTATTAAATAAATATGTTTATCATGTATGTTAATATACGAGGATAATCACTTGAGGAATAGAATAGTTAACTTCTAAATTATTAGAAGATAAATACCAAATAAATAAAATTTTGTCAACCCAAACAAGATAGATGGGGGGAGAAGGAAATCATTTAGAATTGTAAATTGAAAACCCAGAAATAAGTCCAAACATGTCAATAATTATATTACATGTGCTTAGGTAAATCTAATCTATTAAAACTCAGAAATTCTCTATGTTAATACAATAAAACTACATGCTGTTTACAAGAGACATGTTGAAAACAGAATGACACAGTAAGGAAAACATAAGATAGGAAAGGAAATACCAGGCAAGTAATAAGACAAAAGAAAAATAGCATAACTATGTTGAGAGTAGACATAATAGAGTTCAAGGCCAAATGCATTTAAGAAAGAGGAAAAGGTATATTTATATTAATAACTGAAATAATAATATAGAAACATACATATTTTATATAACAATATTTTATATTAGTATTTATTTAAAATCATAAACACCAGTCACAAAATTCTATGTAGCAGCAACACAGCTTTGAAAAGAAGTAAAAAAAGAACCACAATAAGAAATGACCAGATGCACAGTTATAGTACTATGAAACAGCTCTTACTGAAAACAAGAGCTCAAATAATCTTTTCAAAAAAACAGAGAAAGGTATAGTTAAAAATATTTAAAAGTATTAATTATATACACACAGACACATACACATGCATATGCTTATGTGTAAACCAAGAATAGGTGGCTGTTCACAGGAAACAGGTGTATATCTGACCACTTATTAGCCACAAAGTAAATTTTAACAAATTCCAGAAAACTGGCATCATATGTGTCATATTCACTGACTATAATACAATTGAATTGGAAATGTAAAACTAACAAATGACATTCTTCCTCTACCTCCCCAAAACACTCTTTAGTGATTTTCAAATGTACAGTACATTGTTATCAACTATAATCACCATGTTGTACAATAGATCTCTTAAACTTATTCCTCTTGTATAACTGAAAATTTGTATCCTTTGAATTGAAAATTGCTAAAAGAGTAGATTTCAAGTGTTCTTACCACAAAAATATGTGTTAATATGCATGTTAATTATCTTGATTTAGCCATTCCACAACCTATATGTATTTCAGGACATCATGTTGTATACCATAAATATATGCAATTTATATTTACCAATAAAAAACAAATTTTTAATGTTAAAATGAGAATAATAATTTAAACTTAGAATGAGTTAGAGTAACACATAGCAAGACTTTGGAAATGTGCAAAGAGTATACACAAAAACATTTATAGTTACAAATACATTCATTAAAAATTATCATAATTTTAAAAATAATCTGCATTTTAATTCAAAGAACTAAGGACATGTAAAATAAAGCAAATGGCATACAAGAAATAATGAAGGTAAATTCAAACATTATTAAAATATTAAGACTGTAAGATCTATCAGTAGACTCAAGTATTAAAAGCCAACACTATTTACTGAAAAAGATCAATAAAATAGATCATATGTTTGATCAGAGGAAGAGTAAAATGGTGTAAATAAATAATAATAGAGATTAGAAAAGAAACAGAACTATAGAGAGAATACTACATTTAAGTTTGTACAATAAAATGAAAACTAAATAAATTGGACAATTTCTAGGAAAAAGGTGATTTCTTTAGAAAGAATAGGAATAAATTTTTAAAAGACCTATACCATAGAAGATATTGAAATGCTTACAAAGATTCATTCCTCTTTAAAATGCGCTAGACCCAGATGGATTATTGATAAATTCTAGCTTTTTTTTTTTTTTTTTGAAATGGAGTCTCACTCTGTCACCCAGGCTGGAGTGCAGTGGCACAATATCTGCTCACTGCAACCTCTGCCTCCCAAGTACAAGCAATTCTCCTGCCTCACCCTCCCAAGTAGCTGCAAATACAGGTGCCTGCCACCATGCCCGGCTAATTTTTGTATTTTTAGTAGAGACAGAGTTTCACATGTTGGCAAGGCTTGTCTCAAACTCCTGACCTCAGGCAATCTGCCTGCCTCAGCCTCCCAAAGGGCTGGGATTACAGGTGTGAGCCACCGTGCCCAGCCTAAATTCTAGCTTATTATTAAGAAATAGAGCATTCCCAACATACACCAACTGTTTCAGAATATAGAAAAAGATAGAAAGCTAAACAACTATTTTACATTGCTAATATAACACTGTTACAAATTTCAGACAAGAAGAGTATAAGAAAACTGTATATCAATCTTATTTAAGAATGTAAATATTAAAATTAAAATTACATAAAATTAACAAATTAACCAGTATATCTAATGGAAAATACATATACTTTTTATAACCAGGCAGTATTTATTCCAGGAATGGAAGAATGATATGGGAGGGAAAAAACTATCAAAACTTACTTTGTTTCTTTAACTTAGGAAAAAATATATGTATCAAATATATACATAAATAAAATTTAAATTCTATTTTTGATTTGCAAGTTATCAATAGACAAAAAATTCATTTGAGAAGCACATTTAAGAGTAAACCTGCAAGTATCATACTTAATGCTGAAATATTTTAAGTATTACAAATCAGAAATAGAAGAGACGCCTTCTGTCACATCCATTATTCAAATTTCCTAGAGGTCTTAGCCACAGGAACAAATACAATTTTTAAAAAGCATAAATATTGGGAAAGAAGATATAAAACCATAATTGTTTCTAAGCAATAGAATTATTTATCTAGAAAATCCAAAACAATCAACTGACAATTAGAATAAGAGAGGAATCAAACACGATCAGCAAACAAAAAGTAATAGCATTCCTTTACAAAGGCAATAACCCATTAAAATACTAGAGTAAACAATAAGATCTTTAGTAATAGCAAAAAGCAATAAAAATAATTCAATACTATGAAATCAAAAGTGCAGAGACTCATCAGATATCGAAAAATATTATAAAGTATATCATCTAGATTAGCAAATTACTAGAGCTACAATAGACAAGTAAAGCAATGAAACACAATGGAGATCTAAGAGCAATTCAATATAATTTAATGTATGATAAAGGTGACCTTCAAATTTGTAGGAAAAAAAAGCCGTATGTTCAATAAATAGTACTGACATAACCAGCTATCAATTTAGAGACAAAATTATTGTCTAACCTCACATCATTCTGAAAAATAAGTTATAAAAATCTACATAAGCATAAAAACAGAAATTTAAAATTATAAGAAATACGTGAGAATATTTTATGACTTGGGTATAAAAGACCTTGAAATAACAGAAAGCAAAAACTAAAAAAGTAAACAATTGATATATTTGGCTACACCAAACTTTTAACATCTGTAAGACTAAAGAAAGACTTCATTAAAACCTTGCAAGATAATGTACAAATGAGGAGAAAGTATTTGCAATATTCACAACTCACAATGAATTCATTAGTATCTAAACTCTAAAAGATAAAAAAATAAGAATCAAATGGCAAACAAGCCAAGAAAAAAATAGAGAAAACCTTTATATGTATGTACAGAGTAATTTATACAGATAGTTGCAGAATTGTGAGAAATTGGAATCAACAAAAGTGTCCACTAGGAGGGAATTTTTTTTCTTTCTTTTTTTTTTTTTTTTTTTTTTTGAGATGGAGTCTTGCTCTGTTGCCCAGGCTAGAATGCAGTGGCGCAATCTCAGCTCACTGCAACCTCCACCTCCCAGATTCAAGCAATTCTCCTGCCTCAGCCTGCTGAGTATCTGGGACTACAGGCGCCTGCCACCATGCCCGGCTAATTTTTGTATTTAGTAGAGATGGGGTTTCACCACGTTGGCCACCCTGGCCTCGAACTCCTGACCTCAGGTGATCCACCAGCCTCGGCCTCCCAAAGTGCTGGGATTACAGGTGTGAGCCATCATGCCTGGCCCAGGAGAAGAATTTTTAAATGAACTATCATTTATATTACAAAATACTTACACAATAATTTTTTTAAATGAGGTAGCCGTGTTTACATTCACAGGGAAAGATCAGCAAGATATATTGTTCAGTTAAAAAAAAAGTGTTGCTGAAAAACACCTACACTCTTGCATGTGTTTAAGATGGATGGAGGAGAAGAGAAAAAGAGATCCTGAAAGGATATATAACAAAACTAAGATAATATGCCTCTAGAGCAGTAAATGGTATTACTGGGAGTAATTAATGATTTTTTAACTTCTATAGGGTTTGAATTGCTTGCAATGAGAATGTATTCATGCATCATTTTGTGCAATCTTACTATTTAATATTTAAAAAGAAGATCTAAAACTAGCCTCACATTCTCACAAGACCCACCCCCAAAGCAAGCAAGCAACATAGCTAAGAGACACCAAAAGTGGCTCTCTTGTTCTTGATCTTGAACTTGTTCTTGTTCTTCAGGGTTCTTACAAGAATATACTGTGGAATAAACATCTGCAGTGACCCTGAAGAAGGACTCTAATGGGCAACATCTTATGTTCTAAAGTTTGATAAGTTGGGAGGAGAAGAAAGTAGGAACAGACTGAAGATTAAAGACTGTGCAATGAGGTAATCTTTGCTAGTCTAGAATGTAGCCTCTTCAAAGAATTTCGGGGAGCCACTGACTTGTGGGAAAGTCCACCCTTCACTCTGGGGCAAAAATCATTTGAAGTTCCTTTTAGTTTTTTGATGTATTTTAGGCCCTCCCATTGAACTTGGAAAACATATTGAAATAATCAAATGTACAATGTTTCAGCTGAGCAGGTTATATTCTGTTAAGTGATATAAACTGCATGTGCCATTTAGCATATCTTTATCTCTGCAGATTGTATCTAATAGGCAAATTTATTTTCCCTGTGTGAAAGTTTCTTGCTGATTCTTGGAAGGTTTGTGTGTTATTATTCATGTCCTTACTCACCGAAGAGGTGAGTGGTAGGATGGCTAGAAAAGATGTTCAGACATAACATTTCATCACCGGAGAAAAGAGTGGGAAAAAGACTTGGCCAGACTGTTGCCTGTTCTGGACTGTAATTGTCCCATATGTGATGTTATTTAAGAAAAATAACCCAGATGGTGTCATAGGTACTGTCTACCATGTTTTATTGCCTTTGGGAAGTCTAAGGGTAAAACGCCACCTCCTTAAATAGGAGTAAATTTCAGCTTTCCAAGAGAATTAAGCAGTCACACTGTTATCCTCATAAACAGGCAAGCTTTCACAAATAGTAAAACTTGGAACCTCACCTGAGGAGAGTAGAAAACTGTTCCATATATAGCCCTGTCTTCTAGAAGCTGAAGCACTAGATTTAAAAAGAGAATTGGGTTCAAAGGGTCTCCCACTGAGTCAGGGAGGGAAAGGAAGTTCCCCCTTCAGTGTGAGTTCGGGGGCCTCAATATAGTAAAGGAACCCAGATCCAAGCAAAGACCAGCTCATATCCAACAGTGTGTGCCCATGAACTCTAAATTTGTATTTATCTGAGGTCTATTTACCTTCCCTGTATGTTCTTTACCTAATTTTCTTATTCTCAAAGTTTGAGAGGTTGAAACTAGGCACTTAGAATAAAGTTTAGGGCAATGGCTGTAAGTTTGCTTTTTTGGATTGTTGTCATTGTTGTTACTTGAGAGTTCCCTAAAAGAATTTAGACAAACCTATGAACTCTATCATATATTTTAACATTTTTATGTCTTTATTATTTTATTAACATACAATATAGGTACATACTTTCAAAGCACATGTGATAATTTGGTATTCTCATATAATGCGTAATGATCAAATCAGGTTAACTAGTATATCCATCACCTTAAATATTTATCTTTTCTTTCTGCTAGGAATATTCTTATTATTCTCTACTAGCAATTTGAAATGCTCAATATTTGAAATGTTCCATCTATGCTCAACAGATTGTTAACTATAGTCACCCTACTGACCCATGGAACTTATTTCTTTTATCTTGTTTCTTCTAACTTTATATTTGTACCCATTAATCAACTTCTCTTCACCCCTCCTGCCTCCTACTCTTCCTGGCCTCTGGTAACTATAAAACTACTCTCTATTTTCATGAGATTCAGTTTTTTGGCTCCTACATGTAAATGAGAACATGTAACATTTGTCTTTCTGTGCTTGGCATACTTCACATAATGACGTCTGGTTCCCATCCATCCATGCTGCTGCAAATGACAGGATTTCCTTCTTTTTTGTGACTGAATAATATTCCATTGTGTAAATAGACCACACCTTCTTTGTCCATTCATCCACTGATTGACACTTGGATTGATTCCATATTTGGCCATTGTGAATAGTTCTGCAATAAAAGTGGGAGTGCAGATATATCTTTGATATACTGATATGGTTTTGTCCTGTGTTCCCATGCAAATCTCATCTCAAATTGTAATCTCCACATGTCGAGGAGTGCCAGGAGGGGAACCGGTGGGAGGTGATTGGATCATGGGGATGGTTTCCCCTATGATGTTCTCATAATAGTGAGTGAGTTCTCACAAGAGCTGATGGTTTTAAAAGTGTCTAACAGTTCCCCCTTCACTCACTCTCTCTCTTGCCGCCATGAGAAGATGTGCCTTGCTTCGCCTTCATCTTCAACCATGATTGTAAGTTTCCCAGCCATGTGGAACTGTGACTTAATTAAACCTGTTTTATTTATAAATTACCCAATCTCAGGTGGTAGCTTTATAGCAGTGTGAAAACGGATTAATACATATATTGATTTCCTTTCTTTGGGGTCTATACTCATTAGCAGGACTGCTAAATCACCTGGTTGTTCAAATATTTTCGAATTTGTTTTGCTAGTATTTTGTTGAGAATTTTTGCATTTATTTGCATTAGTGATACTGGCCTGCAGTTTTCTTTTCTTTGTGTGTGTGTGTGTGTGTGTGTCCTTGTCTGGTTTTGATATCAGGGTAATACTGGCCTCATAAAATGAGCTTAGAAAAATTCCATCTTCTTCAATTTTTTTAAAAGTTTGAGTATAATTGGTATTAGTTCTTTAAGTGTTTGTTAGAATTCAGCAGGAAAGCCATCCACTCTTTGGCTTTTCTTTGATGAGAGACTTTTTATTATGGCTTCAATCTCATTACTTGTTATTGGTTTCTTGAAGTTTTCTATTCCTTCATAGATTAATCTTGGTAGGTTGTAATGTGTCTCAGAATTTCTCCATTTCTAGGTTTTCCAATTTGTTGGTGTGTAATTGTTAACTATAGTCTCTAATGATTCTTTGCATTTCTGTAATCTCAGTGGTTTTTTTCTTTTTCATTTCTGATTTAATTTATATAGATCTTTTTTTCTTGGTTGGTCTAGCTAACAATTTGTGGATTTCATTTATCTGTTCAAAAATCTAACATTTTGTTTTAATGATCTTCTGTATTGTTTTTTAGTCTCAATTTTATTTACTTCTACTCGGATGTTTATTATTTCTCTGCTTCTACTAATTTTGGGTTCTGTTAGTTCTTGCTTTTCTAATTCCTTGGGGTTCATTATTGGGTTGTTTATGTGAAGTCTTTATACTTTTTTGATGTAGACATTTATTGCTATAAACTTCACTCTTAGTACTGCTTTTGCTGTGTCCCATAGATTTTGGTGTGTTGTATTGCCATTCTCATTTGTTTTAATAAATGTCTTAAATTTTTTCTGAATTTCTTCATTGACTTTTTCTTCATTGTTCAGGAGCATGTTGCTTAATTACCATGTGTTTGTGTATTTTCTGAGGTTCCTCTTGTTATTGATTTCTAGTTTTATTCCATTGTGGTCAGAAAGGTACCTGATGTCATTTCTACCTTTCTGAATTGGTTGAGTCTTGTTTTGTGGACTTAGATATAGTTTATTCTGGAAAATGTTCCATGTGCTGAGGGGAAAAAAAGTGTACTCTGCAGTTATTGGATGAAATGTTCTGTAAATGTCAGTTAGGCCTATTTGGTCCAGTGTGTAGTTTAACTCTGATTTTTTTTTATTGATTTTCTGTCGGGAATATCTGTCCATTGCTGAAAGTGGGTTGTTGAAGTCCCCTACTAATATTGTATTGCAGTCTGCCTCTCCCTTTAGATCTATTAATGTTTGCTCTATACGTCTGGGTGCTTCACCATTGGGTACATATATACTTAAAATTGTTATATCCTCTTGCTGAATTGACCCCTTTATCATTATATAGTGACCTTCTTTGTCTCTTCTTATAGTTTTTGTCTTAAAATCAATTTTTTGTGATGTATAGATAGATAGCAACTCCTGCTCTTTTTTGGTTCCATTAGCATGAAATATCTTTGTCCATCCCTTCACTTTCAGTCTGTGTGTGTCTTTACAGATAAAGTGAGGTTTTTGTAGGCAGAATATAGTTGGATCATCTTTTCGTATCCATTCACCCACTCTGTCTTTTAATTGCAGAATTGAGTTTACTTACATTCAGTGTTATTGTTGACAAGTAAGGACTTACTACTGCCATTTTGTTGCTTGTTTTCTGGTTGTTTGATCAATTCTCTCTTCCTTTCTTACTGTCTTCCTATGTGGTTAAATGATTTTCTATGGTAGTATGTTTTCATTCATTGCTTTTTATTTTTGGTGAATCTATTATATGTTTTTGCATTGTGGTTATTATCAGATTTAACAAAAAAATCTTACATATATAATAAGTTATTTTAAAGAGATGACAACTTACTTTAGATTACAAATACAAGAATAGAAACAGAGGCAAAGAAACACTAAGAAAACATCTAAACTTTAACTCCACTCCCATTACATTTTGACTTTTAGTCACCTCAATTTACATATTTTATATTACCTATCATTTAGCAGGTTGCTATAGCTATTATTGTTTTTGATCAATTTTTCTTCATACTAGAGTTATGAGTGGATTGCACACTATCATTGCAGTAATAGAGTATTGTATTAGTTAGGCTTCTCTAAAGGGACGAAACTAATAGGATAGAGATATATAAAGGGTGAGTTTATTAAGGAGTATTGACTCACACAATCACAAGGTGAGGTCCCACAGTAGGCCATCTGCAAGCTAAGGAGCAAGGAAGCCAGTCCCAGTCACAAAACCTCAAAAGTAGGGAAGCTGACAGTGCAGCCTTCAATCTGTAGTTGAAGGTCCCAGAGTCTCAAAGCTGAAGAACTTGGAGCCCGATGTTCGAGGACAGGAAGCATCCAGCATGGGAGAAAGATGTAGCCTGGGAGAATAAGCCACTCTTGTCTTTTCACATTCTTCTGCTTCTTTTTATTCTGGCCAGGCTGACAGCTGATTAGATTGTGACCACCCAGATTGAGGGTGGGTCTGCCTTTCCCAGTCCACTGACTCAAATGTTAATCTCCTTTGGCAACACCCTCACAGACACACCCAGGAATAATACTTCGCATTCTTCAATCCAATCAAACTGACACTCAATATTAACCATCACAAGTATTCTGGGTTTTATGCCTTAAAAAGTTTTCTTTCTGCAAGTTAGTGGGTTTTGTTTTTGTTTGTTTGTTTTTGTTTTTGTTTCAGATTGATGAACTCCCTTTAACATTTCATGGAAGACAGGTCCGGTGGTGATAAATTCTCTCAGCTTTTGTCTGGGGGAGACTTTATCTCTCCTTTATATTTGAAGGATAATTTTGCTAGATAAAGTATTCTTAAATGGTGGTTTTCTTCTTCAGCACTTTGAAAATGTTGTTTCACTTCCTTCTGGCCTGTTTCCTGTTGAGAAGTCTGTTGCTAGACAAATTGGACTTCTTTTTTTGTTGTTGTTGTTATTTGTTTCTTTTTTCTTGCTGCTTTTAGGGTCTTCTCTTTCTCCTTGACCTTTGAGAGTTTGATTACTATATGCCTTGTGTTAGTCTTATTTAAGTCAAATCGGTTTGGCATTCTCTGATCTTCCTGTATCTGTATATTTATATCTTTCTCAAGTGTTGGGAAGTTTTCTATTATTATTTTTTGAGCAAGATTTCTACCCCTTGCTCTTGCTCAACTCCCTCTTGAACACTAATAATTCTTATATTTGGTCTTTTCTGTATCTTGTAGTCAATCTTTATTCTTTTTCATTTTTTTTTCTTTTTTCTCCTCTAACTGTGAATTTTCAAATAGCCTGTCTTCAATCTTGGTGATTATTTCCTCTGCTTGATCCATTTCGCTATTGAGAGTCTCTAATAAATTTTTCAGTTCAGCAAATGTATTTCTCGCTTCTAGGACTTCAGTTTGATGTTTTTAAATTATTTTAACCTCTTTGTTAAATTTCTAGATAAATTCCTGAATTCCTTTTCTGTGTTATCTTAGAGATCACTGCGTTTTCTTAAAATCACTATTTTGAATTTTTGAGAAAGCTCACATGTCACTGTCTCATTAAGATCAGTCACTGGTTCCTTGCCTCATCCATTTGAGGAAGTCATGGTTCCCTGTTTGCTGTTGTTTCTCATTGATGTACATCTGTGTCTTTGCATTGAATGATTGGTTGATTATTCTAGTCTGTTTAGTTTGTTTTGTCTTTATTGGATATGTTTGCTTAGAGATTTTTTGGAATTTACTCGTTAGATTTCTTTTTTATTTTTCCTGTCAGGTCACTGCCTCCATTTAGCACTAGATGGTCCCTTAATCCCAGCTTTGCCTTAGTTCTAGTAACTGATCAGAGCTTTACCCATCCTGTATGGGAAAGATCTCAAAGAAGACATTTCAGCAGTTTGAGAAGCGCTGGCTAAGGGCTCATGACTGGCAGACCCATGGAATGTACTTCCTACTGCATGGTGCTGCTGAACAGCCACTCTGATTTGGTGTCTCCTTTGGTAGAATTACAGAATAAAGTTACCAGGACATGGGATGGTCATCCTACCTCACCCCTTTGTCCCTGACTGTCCTCAGAGCTACTTCTCCCTTCAGGGACTCCCAATAATTCCTTTGAGCTGAGGCAAGGACAGGTCTTTTGCCAGGGAACTCAGGTGGGGAAGGTAATTGTCTACCTTGATCTCACTTATTTTCAGTGTAATAACTGAGTCAGAGGAATTTTCTACACACTTGGTATCATGCAGATTGTGGGAACTTGCACCAAAGATATGGAAGTCTGATTCTCTTACCATCTTCTCAAAGTTTTTTCTCTTCTCTGTGGCCCTGGGAACTGTCTCATTCTCATCTTTGAGTTCTCGGATATTGTTGGTAATAATCTCAGCACTACGTATTTGGTGTTTTAGTGTTCTTTGCGGGTGGGGTATAGTGAAGCCTACTTGCTTCTACACTGACATTTTGGTTCCAGAAATCTACAGGAACTTCTCATACAAATCTGGCAATTAAAAGTTTTCATGATAAATTTAAAAATAATTTCAAAGAATATAACTAACACGTTTTAAATATTGACATTTTCAGATAAAATATTACATTATTTTTTAAATATATTACATAGAATATTGAAATTTTATATTCTTCATCAATTTGAAAATATATAAACAAGCTCTTCAACAGTCAAAATTTTACATCATTTCTTTTCTTCTTTGAACTCATATTTCCATTCCGCTTCCCCCATAGAATTTTGTCATGATGTAAATTGTATGCCCTAAAGTATTTTATTAGGCTGGGCGTGGTGACTCATGCCTTTAATCCCAGCACTTTGGGAGACCAAGGCAGGCAGAACACCTGAGGTCAGGAGTTGGAGACCAGTCTGGCCAACATAGTGAAGCCCCGTCTCTACTAAAAATACAAAAATTAGCTGGGCGTGGTCGTGGACGCCTGTAATCCCAGCTACTTGGGAGACTGAGGCAGGAGAATTGCTTGAACCCAGGAGGTGGAGGTTGCAGTGAGCCAAGACCGCGCCACTGCACTCCAGCCTGGGCGACAAGAGTGAGACTCCGTCTCGAAAAAAAACAAACAAAAAGAAAGTATTTTATTGATCACCTTATCCTAATTCTCTGCAAAATAAATAAATAAATAAAAATACATTTTTATTTTATTTCCAGGAGCTATAAGGATCTAAATGCTAAAGCATTTTTTCTGGATTAACTTATTATTCTAATTTTTATTTGTATGTGATAAAAAGTATATTTTGTCAGGAAATATATTTCCAAATGAGATAGATGTGGTTTTTTAAAATATATAATTAACATATACATGGATGAACATTTTTTATTGCTAGAGTGAGATAGGATTTATCATCAATTTTATTCCTTTTTTAATGTAAGCCCTGAGACAACTGCTTATATATATAAGTAAATGCAAATGCAGGAAGCTTTACTGTAGTAATGTCTTTCACTTTCTTTTAATTCTTTACAAGTTATAGACAAAACAAAAACAGTAATCAATCAACAAAAAAAAATTTAAATCCTCTATCCACTGACAACTCCATAAAATCTTCCTGTAGTTTTAATGAAAGCAAAGAATTGGAACCACCTGAGTTGCAAAAGGATTTGTTACCAATCATCATACTTGTTTCCTTTCTCAACACCAGCTCCAGTATTTTGAATTACCCCTTTGGCTGGCCCATAGATGCTTTTCCTGTTACTCCTTAGCATGCCTTCAGGTACCTCCAGGGAAATGTACACCCTAGTTTGAGATCATCTGGGATAGGTGAGAGCAGTAACACCCTGAGGAAATTGGTCTCAAGATAGATAAATACTATTTGCAGAATGGCTGACAGTACCTGAGGGACAAATGACTAGCTGAGGTAGCAGTGAGATTCAGGGCATATTTGTGGAACTATTTAACATTCCATGAAGACTCCCAGAAATATTAGGTGATAAAGAAAGAATTTCTTGAAGTCACTGTGATGGGATCCCACGGTGTTTTGAGCATGTAAATAAAGTAGCATTTAATTTTAACTAACAGAGAAAATACAGCTGTTTTTCTTTATTCTCTCATGAATCACTCAAAAACAACAAGAAAAGAACAAAAAGACAAACATCATCCTCAATAAAACCATGAAATATCTGTCTCTGATCCTCATATGAGAAGTGGAGTGGCCATATGCAACGAAGATTTTTTTAAAAAACATTTGAAGCGATTTATTCTGACCCAAATATGAGTGACCATGGCCCGTAACACAGCCCTCAGGTGGTCCTGAGAACATGTGCACAAGGTGGTCGGGGTACAGCTTGGTTTTATATATTTTACAGAGGCATGAGACATCAATCAAATACATTTAAGAAATACATTGGTTTGGTTCAGAAAGGTGGGACAACTTGGGCCGGGCACGATGGTTCAAGCCTGTAATCCCAGCACTTTGGGAGGCCAAGGCGGGTGGATCGTGAGGTCAGGAGTTCGAGACCAGCCTGGCCAATATGGTGGAACCCGTCTCTACTAAAAATACAAAAATTGGCCAGGCATGGTGGTGCATGCCTGTGGTCCCAGCTACTCGGGAGGCTGAGGCAGAAGAATCGCTTGAATCCGGGAGGCGGAGGCTGCAGTGAGCTGAGATCACGCCACTGCACTCCAGCCTGGGCAACAGAGTGAGACTCTTGTCTCAAAAAAAGAAAAGAAAAAACAGAAAGGTGGGACAACTCAAAGTGGGGACTTTCAGGTAAATTTAAATATTTTCTGGTTGACAATTGGTTGAGTTTATCTGAAGACCTGGGATCAATGGAAAGGAATGTTTAGGTTAAGCTAAAGGATTGTGGAGACCAAGTTTTATTGTGCAGAGGAATCTCTCAGCTGACTTCAGAGAGAGAGCAGGTTTTAAAATGTTTCCTATAAGACCTAAAAGGGTGCCTGGTTCTTAGTTGATTATCTACTGGATCTGCAAAGAAAGGAAGGAAAACAAAGGGGGAAGGGGATTCTCTATAGAATGTGGATTTTTCCCACAGGAGACTTTGCAGGGCAACTTCAAGGTATGGCAAGGAAATATATTTTGGGTTTAAATATTTTTTCCTTGTCTCGTAATGTTATGCCACAGTCAGACTGAAAAGTAAGTCACGACATATAGGGTCAAATAAAACCCATCTGATGACGATTTATGGTTTGTAAGGCATGACTCCCTAGACCCCTTAGGTAGGAATTTGGGCAAGATAAAAAATCAGAGCTTAGTCCTCAGTCCCTGCTCTTGGCCAAAAAGGATTCCACAGAATGTACATGCAGGCCCACAGCAGCGGGTCCCATGGCACTAGGAAGGGTTATTCCTAAAGTTGTCTGATCTGGTCATTTAGTGAGGTCCCACAATGCTAGGAAGGCTCATTCCTAGAGTAGTCTGGTTGATGGTCATAGTTTTGAATATTAGCAATTTGGATAATGGGGGGAAGACATGGTTTGATCTGATGTAATAGCCAATTGTTTAAGGGGTGAGATGGAGTCAGGTCTAGGGTTTAGTCTAAAAAAACACATCCCAGATTAGATCCATTTTCTGAGCTATCATGATCTGGGTCTTTAATTGTGCCTTTCCTTCTGTTGTATCTGGCATAACATTTACAGGAAATATATAATGCTAATACAGTGACAAATACCATAAAGATAGCAAGGATTAGGCATCCAAGGAGGTTATAGGTAGAGTCAAAGGGCTGTAAACAACCTAACAAGCCAAAAAATCACTGCATGCATCATCATACACTCTGATCAGACTCCCAGTGTATTTACCCTCCTCATCGAGGGTTATTTGAACCTTGTGATAAATCTTACTTGAGAATTGTAGGACCGACATTAAATTAGAATTTAATAAATTTAATCTCTTTTCCAGCCAATGTATCTCTATTGGCATAGCATCCTGAGGAGGGTATAAATTAAATGCAAGAAATGCCTGGTCCTCGGTGTCTAAATTGTTATAGACTTCTTAACAGTAGACAAATCTATTTTTCCCCCACTTTTGTATTGCACCATATACTAGTATTTGGAAGAAAAAAGGTTTGGTCACAGGATAAGTCATATAATTCTTCAGTGTCATTTTTCCCTCGGCAGGATCCCTATGGCTGAGGGCCTGAAGAGTCAAAAGATTTATAGCCAATTAATCGGTCTAGGCCAGATAGGAATGGATGTGGACAGGCATTTGTTACCTCTTAAAATTACTATTTTAAGTAAAAAACCAACAGAAAAACCAAAAGGAAAAGTTATAAGATTGACTTATTTTTAATTTCAAGCTCAGCTGCTGTGAGCTTGGTTTTTGTTACAGACTTATAGCCATTAGCTATATAAAACATAAGCATTGTTCTGAAAAATTAAAAAGATAGACAGACAGATAGATAGATAGATAGATAGATAGATAGATAGATAGATTTATCTTCACAGCTCTTAATTGTGAGTACTATATCCAGGAGGCTTTTTTACAAGGTATTTTATCCTGTTAGTAAATATTTTCCTTTAATTTTATAGTAAGCAGAAAATTTTTATGGTTGGGGTGAATGCAAAACTGACACATTAATAGTTTAGAAGGCAACTAAACTTGTTTTACCAGCTGTTTGGGCATTCTTTTGTACCCCCTTCTTGATTTGGAGGGTTTGATCTTGTCCTAATTTTATCCCTCAAAACCGGCCCTTCCAATCTTATGTACCCAGCTCTTTTGCAATAGTGCCTGGGCCTAGAGGGAGGTAGCTTGTTTAGTTTTAGCAACAGAGGATTAGCAGTGAAACAGGTCTGAGCCCAGTGGGATGCCAAATGAGGGAGATTCATGTCTCTGGTCTTCAGAGTACCATGATTTTTGTTTCCTTGGAAGTAAAACAAAAACAGATAAATAATATTCATAATTTGACAATTTTAAGAGTAACTTGTAAGTCAGAACAGAAAAAGGAATCTATTCCATTTGGGCACCAACTAAAAACATGAAGAAAAATTACAATCTGGTACTTTCTAGAGGATTATTGTAGCCAAGAAATAATGATTTAATCTGCACCTAAAAATTTAGGGCTGAAGTCTATTATTAAATGTTATGCTTGCCCTTGAAACAATTTCTTAGCCAGCTTTTTTATTACAGGGAATATTACAGCAAGGCCAATTTGTGTGCAAGGTTAGTTTTTGGCTTATTATGCTTGCCTGATTATTTGCATAAAATGCAGCAAGAAATTGACTGGCCATATAGACTCCTTTTAAAGTTGGTTTTGCTGAAACTTTACCTTAAAATAGAGTATTTTAGTTTCAGTCTTGGTAAAATAATCAGTGTTTCCAATTGTTAAAAAAAAAAACTACTATTGAACTTATGCAGACAACTACATTGCCATAAAATTACAATCTGAATTTTGGAGGATTCAGAAAGGTAAATTTGCTTATAAAAACATACTTTACCCAAATGACTTAAAAGGAAAAGATTTTCCTGATCCTCCTTTAACCAGAGCAGCAGCTTTTAAGATAAGATGTTTGTTTACCTTGGAAATGTTATTTACGAACCAAACAGTTTATGAGAGTTATTAGACACTATAGAATGTAGCAGCTTTTCACAATTAGTCCTAGGAAAAAAGCTCTCTGCTTATTAGATGCCAATATTTTATGGAAACCAATTTTATTTCATCATGGAACTTTTTGAAAAACATAGTTTCCATCAGTATAGGGGTAGCTTCAGTTAATATTCCATAGCAATGCAGTAAATGCCCCATCAAGTGGAAATTCTCTAGCTCAGTTGTTATTGAAAAGTACTCACAGCTTTTTTTGTTGTTGTTTTTGTTGTTGTTCTTGCTGTTTTTCTGAGACAGAGTTTCACTCTTGTTGCCAGGCTGGTGTGCAATAGCACGTGATCTCGGCTCACTGCAACCTCCACCTCTCAGGTTCGAGCGATTCTCCTACCTTCAACTCCTGAGTAGCTGGAATTACAGGTGCATGCCACCACGTCTGGCTAATTTTTGTATTTTTAGTAGAGACAGGGTTTTGCCATGTTGAGCCGGCTGCTGTCGAACTCCTGACCTCAGGTGATCTGCCCGCCTCGGCCTCCTAAAATGCTGGGATTACAGGCATGAGTCACCGCGCCCAGCCAGTACTCACAGTTTTTGCAATCAGCCCCCATAAATGCTCCACACAAAGGGCTATGCAGTGGAGGATTTACATGAGCAGATTTACATGTCTTCAGTTTTATAGTACTAGAAAGGGGAAAACATCCCCCAGTTATAGTTCCCATTTTCATAAGGCATTTAGGTAAAAAGGGTTACAACTACCTTACATAAAACTTGTTTAACCATTTTACATTTTATAGTTCTATTATCTTTTATGTTTTTTATGTTCTGGCCCCAGGAAGCCTTTTTTACCCCCCAGACCGTTTTACCTTTTCTGGTGAAAAAGTTTTGGGTTCCCAGCAGGGAGTTGCATCTGTTAGACTTTAGATAATTAGTAAAAGTTACAGGAGCCAAGAAAAGATGAAGGAGAGAGCCATCATTCAAGGCCAGCTCCACCAGAGAAGAAGCTCAAACTCGGTGGGGCTTCAATGGGCCCTGCTTGTACCTTATCTCTTAGCTCCAGTTTTGGGCAACTCTTTCAGGGTCTTGAGTCTTCTCTGAGGCTCCACGTGTTTGGGCACCAGATTACCGTCGATGAAAAGAGTCAAACTCTGTAAAGTATTTGAAGAGATGTATTCTGAGCCAAATATGAGTGACCATGGCCGGTGACAAAGCCCTCAAGGAGGTCCTGAGAACATGTGCCCGTATAGATTTTTTTTAATTGGGGTATGGGGAAGATACCAAGTCAAGATGCATGTGGTTACAAATCAGAATTTTTAAAAAGGCAGAATAAACATCTTGTAATAAACTTAATAAGAAATATGTAAAAGAAGAAAAACATATTGAAATGTATATCATGTTCTTAAATAGAAAAGTTCAGTATAACAATGTCAGCTCTCCCTTAGTTAATCTACTATTTTTATGTGATCCTGATAAAACAGCCAACAGGAAGTAAAGTTAACAAGCTGATTATAATATATCTATGGGGAAAAGAAAATTCAAGAATGAACATAGAATTCTAAACAGGGAAGATAATAAGGAAAGAATGTAATTAAAACACTGTGCTGCTATCACATGAATAGACAGACATATCAATGAAACAGATTAGAAAGTCCAGGAATGGACACAAAAAAACCACACAGGAATTATAATAAAAAATGAATTTTCAAATCAACGGAGAAAATATGGATTATTCAATAAATGGTATTAAAACATCTGACTAGTAAAGCAGGAAAAAGAAACACATTTGGATGAATACCTTATATTATATATCAAGAAAAAGTCCAAGTTGATCAAATATCTGAATCCTAAAACCAAAACCATAAAAGCACTAAGAAAAAAATGGAAGAATTTTGTTTAATCTCAAAGTTGGAAAGGTCTTCCTATACGTGAAGGAAAAAACTGAAGTCACAAAGGAAAATATTGATAAATCCAACTCTGTAGAAATAAAAATGCATACATAAAAACATCCAGTATAAATCAGAAGATAAATGACAGACTGGGAAAAAGTATTTGCAACTCATATTCAAAGGCCTAATTTCTTTAACGAATAAGAAACAAAATCAATGATTCAAAGAAAAACATGAAGAAGAAATAGCAAAAGACAATTTGTAGAAAGGAAAATCAAGCAATTATAAAAATTAAGGGGTATTCAATCTCAGTCCTTATTTTTTAAAAGTGTTAATCAAAACTATAATGAGCTGTAAGTTTTCATCTATTGCATCATCAAAGAGCAAAAGTTTGAGAATTCACCAGATTGCTCTGCCAGTTTTAGGGTTATTGTCCCTCAGCTCCAATCCCACCTTCTGAACCTGTGATGCTGGTGCTGGCACTCTGCACCCCACATTCATCATTGCCATCTGGCTCCCTGGTAGGCTCAGCCAATGAGAGGTACAAGAGGTAGAGAGCAAAGCTGAAAGAGGAAAAAGGGACTTATTCCTCCCGGTCCGCTTCCTGTTCCTGTCAACTTCACCTCAGCGCATTCTTTCACCTGCAGCATCAGTTCTTCGCCACTGCAGCAGCTGAGCCCAGTTTACAGTTTTTCCACCACCTGTAGATTCAGCCTGATTATTCTCCCCTCAGAGAACCATCACTAGCCAACCAGTGCTCCCTGCTAGAAGTCTGGTCACAGCCCCAGCGGGTTCCTCCCCCAAGCTCACGGTATCAGATGAACCATACTCCATGCTCAGAGATCTGGGTTTCAATACTGGAGGTCCCTCCTCTGAGTTTCTCAATTTTAATAATTTCAACTTCTTCACTTGTTCTCCTTACCCCTAGAGATGGTGGCTGTTTTCTGCAATTGCTACTTCCCTGATACCTTAGTATTCCATTCTTGCCTTAATTTTCTTCTTAACAACTTTACACGTAGTCAACAATTCTTTGTATTAAATTCTTCCTGTTGAAATAGTTGGTGCGGCTTCTGATTGGATCTTGACAGTACAAGTAGCCAAAGTTGTGGAAACACTGGTAATTTTGTACATTGTTGGAGGGAGCATTAACTGATACATCCCCCACCCCTTGCCCTCTTCTCCCCAAGAAGGCTGGCAATTGACTGGCAATTTTACTTCTAGGATTTATCTTACAAATAGATATATATGTGTGAAAATACTGTGTATAAAAAGAAATTAATTGTAGCTTTGTTTGTAAAATCAAAAGAGTGGAGAGGAAATTTAAATTCAACAACAGGAAATGTAAAATAAATTACAGTCTATTAATTAGTGAAACACTGAGTAGAAATCAAAAGTAATCTTTAAAAAGCTCTATACAGCACCAATAGGGATGATCTCCAAGATATTGGTAAATACAAAGAGGGAGGTGTGAAACAATGTGTCTGTATGTTTCTCCTTGCATTTTTTAATTTAAAAATATATATTTGCACAGAATATTTCTGGGAGGATACACAAGAAACTATGTGCCTAGAGAAGGGGGATGATGAGAAAGATTTAGATTTTACTGTGTACTCTTTTGGACTTCCTGAATTTTGTAGTATATACATGTATTATCTATTAGAAAAAATTAATGCAAATAAAATTAAAATATCTAGTGGGGGAGAAGAAGTACAGAGGATTTTTCAGTTCCAATTGCAAACTGTGTAAAAATATATATCTTTTCTCCCTCTCCCAAGGCCACATTAAAAAGATGTTAAGAGAATAAAAATTATATATACTCACAACAATGAAGATAATAAGGAAGAAACTACTAGCAAGTGAAATATTTCTAAACATGTCTGGAAAAGGAAAATGTAGATGGCAGATTCTGACACTGGGCAACAAAAAATTATACACTAGAATATATGAGGGAGTTGGGGGAGCTGCAGCCAAGAAGGAAGAAAATCAACCCCGGGGAACCTAGAAAAACACAGCCTGTCTCAGAGGCTTCCAACCACAGACAGTAGGAACTAAGCCCCGAATACTTAACAAAATCAACTCTAGCTATCCTTCCTCTAATCCCTTGTCCAGAATGGTTGATATCGAAGTGTTTTGCTTTTAGGCCAAAAATAAATACATAAACAAAGGACGCTTTTCTAAGGAAATTGACCAAAATAGCACAAAGGGAGCTAGTGATGGAGTTGAGGTCCCAAAGGTCTAGGAGCCCTTCAGATTGTGTTATTTAAGGATCCCCGGCCTGCAAGCTGGCTCCCCATACTCATCTGAAAAAGAAATCTCACCGATGGATGCACGCACTGAACTCTCTCTGTAGTCCTGTTTTTAAATATGATGCATAAAAGTCCATTAGATAATCGAGGGAAGAATGCAACATGTAGGTAAAAGACCGAAATAAGAGGAGAAAAGTAACTCTAAAGGTGGCACAGATGATTTAGGAAACAGAAGAGAATTTTAAAATAGAACTCTTATATTCTCAGAGATTATAATCAAGTGGATACTATGAAAAAGGAGCAATCAGAGAACCAAAAAAGGCACTTCGAAATAAAATATATTATTGCCAAATTAAGAATTATTAATTATTAATATAAAATTGAGAAAATATCTCTGAAACTAGAACTTAACGTGTTCAAAGCAAACACAAAGAAGCACAAAATAAAACCATAAGAAGGCCAATCCTGAAGTTCCAATATTCAACCAGTATGAACTCTAGAAAGAGAAAACAGAGATTGGGTAAGAATAAAATAAATAATATAAGAAATTCCCAAAATTAGATAAACAATTTTCCAGACTGAGATGGACTACTAAGTAACCAAAACAATGAATGGAGGAAAAAATGCCCACATCTGGTCCCAAATTTTTGGAATTTCAGAACAGCAGGGATAAGAAGAAAATACTAAAAATTTCTAGAGAATAACAGAACAGTTCACTAAGTAATGAGAAACAGATTGACATCAGACTGGGCAAATCAGTGCAAATTTTAGTAGAGAAAAACCTCCAAAGTAATAAAACAAAAAATACTTTCAATTTAGAACTCAATAGTCATTTTGACATCAATCCAGATGTCGTGAGAGCAGAAATAAAGACATTTTTAGACATTTAAGATCCCAGGGTATCCATCTCCTTCACACCATTCCTTGGAAATTACTACAAGACATGCTCCAGAAAAGAGTATAAGAGGCAAACCAAAAAAGACAAAGATATGAGATCAAAGACTGGAACTCCAATATAGGAAAGTAATGAAAGGAAGACTCAAAATGACACCTTTTAGGCCAACCTAAATAATAATCAGCCCTGATTAGAGATCAGGGTTCCACAAAAGAGGTATCAATAGGTCAGGGTTGTGTGGAGGGAAATAAAAGGATGCCTTTGGTTTGATAGTATCGTTGCTGCTACAAAGACAGATAATAGGGGAACAAAAGATAATTAGACAAAGAAAAACAATAGGGGAACAAAAGATAATTAGAAACTCCAAGAAACAAACAACAACAACAAAGAGCTGAAAAGGAAACACAGTCATACCATAATATTTCGCTCTGCAGTGAACAATAGTCACAAAATTATAATCATGTAAACACTACTGAGCCTCTGCTTTTAAAATTGATCAGTAAACAAAACTCATAATTTTTATTGTGTTAAGAATAGATCATAACACTATTACATTTAGTGATCTAAAAATATAAAACAAGAGAGAAATGAAAAGGGAAGGAAAGAACTAAAAGAAAGTATAGGGATACTGATTGTTTTGTTCTGTAAAATGTAACGTGAGGTGAAAAGAAATACTGGATACAGTTTCTCTGCTGTCTAGAATTAAAGTAAATGTTGCAAAGTAATTAGCAGACTAAAATGGTGACACACCTTCATTTAGGGGAGAGGGAAAGATAAGCTGACTCTTTATCTATTATTATTATTATTATTATTATTATTATTATTATTATTATTATTGTTTTGAGATGGAGTCTCACTCTGTCTTGCCCAAGCTGTAGTGCAGTGGCATGATCTCGGCTTACTGCAGCCTCTACCTCCTGGGCTCAAGCAATTCACCTGTCCCAGCTGCCTGAGTAGCTGGGACTACAGGCATGTGCCACCACACCCGGATTATGTTGTATTTTTAGTTAGAGACAGGGTTTCACCACTTTGGTCAGGCTAGTCTGGAACTCCTGACCTCATGTGTTCCACCTGCCTCGGCCTCCTAAACCTTTTCTATTATAATAGGAAGTCTATAGATAATGTTTAAAATTGGTAAAATAAGAAATAGCAACGTAAGACTTTTTTAGAGAAGTGGAGGCTACCTCCGTAAAATTATAAATAATTTTCAAAGTTCAAAGCGATTACCTCCATGGAGTGTGATTGGGAGTGGAATGGTAAAGCAAGAGACTGCTGTTTTTCTTTAAAACACTTCTGCACTATTTCACCTTTTCGTTACAGGCATAAATTGGTTGGATAAAATGTAAATATATCTATAAAATTGTAAAGGAAGTGCTACTTCATGTATTTGTGAGAGTTTGGACATTGGGGATTTCACATAGATGTGGGAAATGTAAACAAGACCAATAAATATCTTATGTGATTATTTAAACTGGCCTAATAATCTTTCCACTATTTTCTTTGAGGTTTTCAGTCAGAATAAAATGAACAATTTGAAAAGTGCATGAAATTTTCTAGCGACGCAAAAAACTGTTCCTTCAATTCCCAAAGTGTTAGTAAATTAAGATAAGGAAAAAATAAAAACAAAACAAAACACTGAATAGGCTATGAGAAGACCGAGGGTTTTTGCCCCACATCTGAATCTGACTCACCATTGGATTTTTAGAAAATCAGTGTTCTGCTGGCATTTGGTAAGTGCTTCTGCAAAGTGCTTCTAGATCAGTGGACCTCAAAGGAGGTGATACCATGCCCAAAAGCCTGTGTGATAGTGTGATATTTTTTTTGGTGGAGGGAGCTTTTTTTTTTTTTTTGAGACAGAGTCTCCTTCCCATCACCTAGGCTGGAGTGTAGTGGCATGATCACAGCTCACTGCAGCCTCAATTTCCTGGGCTCAGGTGATACCCTCACCTCAGCCTCCCAAGTAGCTGGGACTACAGGTGTGCATCACACCCAACTAATTTTTGTATTTTTCGTAGTTGGGGTGGGGGGATATTTTTCATTGTCACAAAGATTAGGGGATGTATTGGCACTAGAGGGCAGGAGCCAGAATGCTCTAAGTCCTCTAATCCTGGGGATAGTCCCACAAAACAAAATTGTCCCTCATGATTCTCAAAATGTCCTTCCAGACTTTCATGTAATTTTTTAAATAATGTATTTATATAATTACCCAAGCTTAGTACTTTCTTCTAGTTGTTTTGCATGTAAATATCAAATATATTTTATAGAATTTTAACCTAAGCTGGATTTTCCAGGAATGCAGTTACCATGTAAATTGAGGGATTATTTTGTTTTACTTCCAAATTTTACCAAGAATTGTTTACCAGTTCATAAAATTACATGACCAATCACAAGGCTGTTGATCTCTGACTTAGTAACTCTGCCCCCCATGTATCAGCCCACATTTGTGGCTGTTGTATTCACCATGAATCTACTTACAGACACAAGCATCCAATTTCTTCATTATATCATCTGCTGAAGGCATGCCCAAGCATTTTCATATTGAAATACGTAACATTTTATTATACATTGATTTACTTTTATTTATTTTTATAATTTAAGCATCCTATTGACATGTTTAAGTTATGTGGTAGGTTATATTATCTATGGATTTTACTTCAAAATAATGAAGGGGATGTTATAAATAATTGTTATGTAAAAAGAATATTGGCTCTAATAGGACCAAAAACTATTGGTCTAAGTAGTTGTTACAACTCTTTCCAAGCATATGGTTCTCATTTTTAATAGCCCCTGTTTTGCAATATGTTTTTCATTCTAATATGGAGCAGAGTGTGCTCTCTAGATGGTTATCTAGTGATAAAAAAATAAAGGGCAACCTAACTATATGGCCAGTTGGGCATCAGATGACTATCTAGCAAGATTATAGTCACCCAAACATCTAGGAAGTATCCAGATAGTCTAGAATATTGGTTGCTTTCTTCCTCCTATCCGTTCTTGTGTAGAGGCCAAATGCAATGAGCATGGATGTTCCAGGCACCTGGTGGGTCTCCTTCAGCATCTGTTGTACCAAGTGGGATAGATATCCCACCGCCTTCCTATACCCATTGCAAACATGTCACTAAATATCTGTTGTTAAGCAGCCAATCCATACCTTATCAGATCTCAATACCCTACTCATACTATTTATTCTACCTAGAATTTTCTTCTCAAAGTTCTGCACTAAGCAAAATTCGACTTGACTTTCAAATTTTACTAAAATACAATGTCTCCTGTGAAGACTTCCTTGGCTGCTCTTTTCTTGCTCTCCTCCCTCCCTATTGTCTAAGAAGAATAGATCAAACTCACCAGTCTTTACTTACACACACACACGCCCCAACCTATATATATACACACCTACATGTATATCTGCATATACATCTGATATAGGTAACACACATACATGTGTATTATATGTCATACATATACATATATGTACCAGAACATTTATATCATGAAAGCATAGCCATATGTTTATATGAGTCCTCTCTTGCTAGACTGAGGGCTATCGAATGGCAAAGACTGTCTCATTCAAGTCTTTAGCTATAGGGTTTCATTCAATAAGAGGCTCTCAGTAAATACGTATTAGATCAGTGGGGGAGTAGATGAAAAAACTGAAGGATTTCCTGAAATTTTTACGGAAGTGTTTCTGTTTTCATTGCTGTCATTCTTAATATTTTCTCATGACGCATCATATCCCTTTACTTATCTGTAACTTACAAAGTCTTTTTGTGTTGGGTTTGCAGGACTACAAAAATGTGTCTCAGGACACATTGACAATGGGGATTCCCACCTCTGTAATCTTTTGTAGGCAGCTGCTTATCTCCTCTGTACTACAAATGTCAGAGAAAACTTCCCATTGTCAATATTCCCTCACGCCTTGTACTGATACCTCTAGAAACGCTTTAAGTGCCCCAGTGCCTTTTATAGTAGATGGAGCAGAAATGGCAATAGGCATCCTCCACATCAGTATTTATCCCCATGATTTTGTCTTTCTTGTTCCTTACTGACACTCTCTGTTTCTTCTCTAACTCTTCTGTTGCTTCCTGCAACTTGAGCCTAATTCTATTCCTACTGGGTGCTCCTGGCTAAAGGTCATCCTGCCCTGTTGACACCAAGTGTATATGATCCTCCACGCCCTATTGCAAAAGCTTAGGAAGGGGGCTGCTCATTGGGTTTTTAATCTCCTCCAAAGCCCCTTTATTGCTGTTTATCCTGGGTCCATTTCCTTAGTTCCAGGACCTGCTTCAGAGATCGGCCTCCCCATCCTCTCAAGACAGCCATCTGTCTTGGTCACCGCACACTCCCTGCCTCTCAGTGAGAGCCACACTTAACTTTGTATCAGAGAGACTGCATGTCTTTTATTGAAATATCTTAGACCCACATCCTGATACCAAACATTCTCATAACGCTGTATTTTCTCTCCTACCTGAAGCATGAAGTTTTCATATCATCTCAGATCCTTAAAATAAAACCTATCCAGGGTGCAATTTTGACTAGCAATACATAAAATGTCACAACAAACATAACGTTTCCTGGAGTACCTTTGATACTCTAGGCCTCACAGTCCCGAGAGAAAGAATAATATAATGGCCTTACTACTTATGCACAGGAACAGAGTCAAAAGATGTTCTGGTACACTTTTTCTTTTTCTTTTTTTAGTTTTGTTTTGTTTTGTTTTGTTTCGGTTTGGTTTGTTTCTTTTTTTTTTTTTGAGACAGAGGCTCACTCTGTCACCCAGGCTGGAGTGCAGTGGCACGATCTCGGCTTACTGCAAGCTCCGCCTCCTGGGTTCACGCCATTCTCCTGCCTCAGCCTCCCGAGTAGCTGAGACTACAGGCGCCCGCCACCACGCCCGGCTAATTTTTTGTATTTTTAGTATTTTTAGTAGAGACGGGATTTCAACGTGTTTTAGCCACGATGGTCTGGATTTCCTGACCTCGTGATCCGCCCTCCTCGGCCTCCCAAAATGCTGGGATTACAGGCGTGAGCCACCACGCCCGGCCCACTTTTTTTAAACTAAATAGCAAATATAGATAAACTCACCTCTAATGAAGAAAGGGAAAAATAAAATACAGTAGGGTCCTAAGAAAAATACTGCCCCAAACAAGGAATAAATACATAAAGTGCATACTTCTAAAGATTTTCCCCAGAATACTTTAAACAATTTGATAACAACTTGCTTGCCCTCTGGTAGAAACAAGAGAAAAGTAGGCCCTCAGCGTGATAGTAGGCAATTTTTAAACCTACCCAAATTTTATCTTTTTATTATTCCAGTGAAGGTCTCTACTTCCTTGCTCTCCTAATTATAAGGTTTTATGATTGAGATTACTCTCGCTTTCACACTACACTTATTTTCCTTTATCTCAAGGAAGGAGTCTAGTTTTGCTCTATTCAATACAATATCTGCTAGCCACATGTGGCAATTTAATTTTTAACTAAAATTAAATAAGATTTAAAATGCAATTCTTCAGCCATACTCGCCATGTTTCAAGTGCTCATAGCCACATTTGGCTAGTGACTATTTGGAAAACGCAGATAGAAAACGTTGCCACCTAACATTAGGTATATCTCCTAATGCTATCCCTCCCCCCTCCCCCCACCACACATGGGTGCAGCACACCAACATGGCACATGTATATATATGTAACTAACCTGCACGTTGTGCACATGTACCCTAAAACTTAAAGTATAATAAAAAAAAGAAAGAAAGAAAACGTTGCCATCACCATAGAAAGTTCTACTGGACAGCACTGGTCTAGAGGAATTCCCATTTCAGTTAGGGTTGATTAAAGTCCCTTTATAATAATAGTACAGAAAGGTAATATTGCCACAGAGGATTTATAAAACTCAGAGCCAAAATGTCTTGCCCTTTTAAATGTGACTAAAACTCCTAGTGCCATAGAGTATGGTGCAAGCAGTTCACACATAAAAAGATAGGAGCTCTGCCTGGGCATAGACGTTTATGGACACTGATGAGGTGGAACAGGAAGAGGATTAATAAAATATTGATTTTTAAAAAGTGATAACTCGTGAGCTGAATGCAAGGTACTCAGAGGCAGCACTGAAAGTGGCATGACGTGATCACTTTAGGAGTAGTCAGGACATGTCCTAAATTCCCTTAGCCAGCTTTTCAGAGATCATCCCTCAGTTCAGCTATGAAAGGGTGGAAAGCAGGGGTAAGATTGTAGAAATGAGCACTGGAAATCATAAGATCAGGATTCTATTTCCAGTATCGAAACTCACCACTCCAGAGCCTGTGTGTGTGGTGTGCAGATGTGCACACAGTGTCTAGCCAAGGGAATGAGTGGGGACTGCTATCTCCCCACACTACACTCACTGAGCCATGCACCATGGCATAACATTAACCCATTCATTCATATAAAAGCACCATGTGGGCTAGCAGGAGCCCAAATGAGCCTTGCGGATTTTATTTAATTCTTCTTCTCTAGCATTCCAGTTATATCTTCTGTAAAATAAATGCAATAGACTGAATAGCTATATCCTAATTCTTGAAAACAGTGAGTATGTTTCCTCATATGACAAAAGGGACTTTGCAATTGTAATTAAATTAGGGATCCAGAGATTATCGTGGATTATATAGGTGAGCTTGATGTAATGACAAGGGTCTTTATGAAAGAAAGGCAGGAAGTCAAAGACAGAGAAAATGCTGTAACACTAGCTCTGAGGATGGAGGAAGAGGCCACAAACCAAGGAATACAGGCAGCCTCCAACTGCTGGAAAAGGCAGGAAAACAGATTCTCCCCTAAAGCCTCCAGAAAGAATACAACCCTGAGGATACATCCATCTTACACTTACAACGTCCAGAACTGTAAGATAATAATGTCTGTTGGTGCTGTTTTAAGCCACTAAACTTGTGGTCACTTGATACAGCAGAAATAGAAAACTCAACCAATGGCATGTTGAGTTATGTCTAAAATCCTTTTCAACTTAACAAACTAATTCCACAGCTTCGATTCGTTCTGAAAAAAAAAAAATGTAGAACATATGGCTTACTTTTCACTTAAGAAGAAACACGGCTGGGCGCGTTGGCTCACGCCTGTAATCCCAGTACTTTGGGAGGCCGAGGCAGGCGCATCACGAAGTCAGGAGATCGAGACCATCCTGGCCAACATGGTGAAACCCCGCCTCTACTAAAAATACAAAAAAAAAAAAATACAAAAAATTAGCCGGGCGTGGTGGCAGGCACCTGTAGTCCCAGCTACTCGGGAGGCTGAGGCAGGAGAATGGCATGAACCCTGGAGGCAGAGCTTGCAGTGAGCCGAGATCACGCCACTGCACTCCAGACTGGACGACAGAGCAAGACTCCATCTCAAAAAAAAAAAAAAAAAATGCACTGATGAAGACAGAGCAGGAAAGGGAAGCCAGAATCCATGGTGCAGCATTTCAGCCACAAAGGCAAAAAAAAAAAAAAATCTTCTGGGTCTGAGACATGGAGCCAGTGTGAGGTGTTATCTCCAAGAGACACTTTTCAGGACCTCTGCTTTTTAGCGGGATCGCAGCCCCAGAACCGCAGCCGGGGCTTGGTGAACACTCCACTGTGCACCTCAAACACCAGCACTATCCAGTCCAGGACACTAAAACTGAAGGCCACCCCCCCACCCCCCGACCATGATACACTGTGTTTCTCTCTTCTGGTCACAACACATAGTACTACATGTTCACTTCAATGTCTCCCACAAGGACTGGTTCTTATCAAAGACCACCTGCAAGGAATCTGCTCCTGCCCCCAGAATAATGCTTATCTCTGTTCCCACAGAGCATTGCTTTTCCAAATACCTCTTCACCACAGGCTTCCCATCGACCCAGAGCTCAGTAATCCCTGAAGTGGACCCCCTGGAACCCACAGATGTGCAGCAAAGTAAGAATGGCCCAAAGACCTTGAAAAGGCCTCCCATCCCACTCAATGAGTACAATATAAAGCAGTCTCTTTCCTCATAAGGCAGTCTTACTAGCTTGGGTCTAGGCATCACAAAAAGAGGTTGCACCCACAGGCAGAGTCAGGGTGGACTTCAACTGACTAGTGAACACCACTCTTGATTTCTATTGTGCTTATCTGGTCACAAAGAAATTCTTGCTGTCTTTGGGAAACACGAGAGCCTTTTTGCCCATGTCTGTGGAAGAAATAAAAGGTTGGACGTAAGAAATTGAATTATCTAGTATATTTATAAAAGACAATATAAGAAACAGGAGATTCACTCCTTCTCTTAATCTCACAATTCTGGGTGTTCTCCACTCCGTGCATCCTCTCTCCAGCCCACACAAGGCTCTTCAAAGTCTCAGACCAGGGACTGGCTCTCAGACGTAGCCTGGGGCTACAAACTGACTTCTGAGCCAAGGTACAGGAAGGCTGATGAGGACCAGGAAACAGTGAGAGTTTTGCCAGTTCAGTCTTCCTGCTGTTATTCTCTATGGTGAGAATGTCAGTATCTGAATTCTCAGGGCATAAATGTCTTAGACACCCTTGAATCCAAATATTAGCAAATGTGTGAATCATTTTCCAAAACTGCCTATGAAGGCATTAATTTGGAGACAAAGTGCAGGATCATTCTCAGGCTGGGAAATTGAAGAAAGTCATTTATTAGAGTTTCTGGCATTCCCAGAGCACCACATTTCTATGGTCATAATTAAAAACTTGGGGAAAATTCATTCCATTCACCATTTTAAGGAAACTATTCAAAATATGAAGACCCTTTTTTCATTCTAGCATTATTTAAAGGGGTAAACAAGTAGACCAAATACTCATTCTGCCCACTGATTCAAGCCAGAAACCCCTCAACTGCCTTGTCTTCCTAACTTCCAGTAACCTCTTCCCCCATAAGCACTTTTCAGATCTTTATATCCCTCCAGCATCACTGATTAGAACCATGTAATCTCCCACCTGGATCTCAACAAACCTCTGCTTTATGTCTTCACAGTCCTCCTGTCCCTCTCCAAACTAGTTTTCACAAAGCAGCTAGAGCAATCATTCTAAAATAAAACTATCAATTCTCACACTTGAAATATTTCAGTGGATCCCTATATTAGGATTTTCAATCATCTGCATGAAATCCACTCCAGGGGGCTTAACCAAATGTGGGTTTTTTTCACCTCACTCCATAAACAGTCTGCAAGGAGGGAGCTCGGTACTGGTACAGTAGCTCTGCAGTGACATCCGGGAAGCAAAATTGTTCTGTCTCTGTTCTACCCTCCCTAGCGATGACTTCTAGCCATTGCTGCCATTTGAGAAAGAAGAGTAAGGAAATAAATCAGCAGAAACTGCAAACTTCCACTCGGTATCAATTGGCCACACTGGTTCACACAGCCACTCCTATCTCCAAGGAAGTATAGAGAAAGTTGAGTATTTTAACCTTCTAGTCACTAAAGAAAAGCAAGGCAAGGAAAAAATGGGATTGGAATGAGTGTTAAGTGAGCCAACCCTCTTAACTCTTAAGAACCTCAGGACGCATTATAAGCTCCTTAACAACTGGAGCCATGTTTGATCCTCTAGCTTCATTTCTCTCAACACCCCAGTGTTGACTTCTCAATTCTTTTTGATTTTTCAATGCTTAAAACATGGCAGTATCTCTCTTTTTTTTTTCTTTTTTTTTTTATTATACTTTAAGTTTTAGGGTACATGTGCACATTGTGCAGGTTAGTTACATATGTATACATGTGCCATGCTGGTGCGCTGCACCCACTAACTCATCATCTAGCATTAGGTATATCTCCCAGTGCTATCCCTCCCCCCTCCCCTCACCCCACCACAGTCCCCAGAGTGTGATATTCCCCTTCCTGTGTCCATGTGATCTCATTACCCCATGTGTTTGCACATGCTATTCATTCTCATTCATCCTCATTTGGCCAGCTAACTCCTGCTCTTCTTCCATTCTCAACTTACATGAAACATCCTCTAGGAATGATTTCTGCCCCTCCCAACTCTAGATTAGGTGATTACCCCACTTATCAACTGTGTTGACATTGACTATTGGCTTGTGCATATCATCCGCTATGACAAAATCCTTGAAGAGGGTGACCAGGATCTGTCATGTTCACTATTATGTTCTCAGTGCCTGGTTCAGACTCTGTCACATAGTTAGGGGTTATCATTGTTTATTGTATAAACAAGTCAGAATACTCATTGAAGTAGTTATTTGTTAATGCTATTCCTGAATATATTGGAATATGTCTTATTCTAAGCAAGTAACATTGAGCTTCCTTGTCTCAGGCGAAGTTTGTAACACAAGCAACCAAATATGTTGGAGATAATCCCCTGTTTAATATTTGTTCTCCAAAACCGTGAGCTCTTGCAGAGATTATGCTGGGAGTTAAGGGAGGCAGACACATGGAGGCTTCCTGGGGGAATGAAGAGCACACCTCAGGCTGGCAGGTCTGGTGGGCATCAGGGACCTGGCTCACTTTCTGCCAGCCCTCTGGGAAAGGAACAGAAGCCCTGAGAAGATGGCTACAAAATGTACCTCTAGATCAGGGGTGTCCAATCCGTTGGCTTCCCTGGGCCGCATTGGAAGAAGAAGAATTGTCTTGGGCCACACATAAAATACATTAACACTAATGATAGATGATGGGCTAAAAAAAGAAAAATCACAAAAAAAAATTCATAACGTTCTAAGAAAGTTTGTGAATTTGTTTTGGGTTGCATTCAAAGCTGTTCTGGGCTGCATGTGACCCACAGGACATGGGTTGGACAAGCTTGCTCTAGATCCTTAGGACTCCCAACCAGGACCAAAATATCTGTGGCCTACTTGGCAGAAGCAGCAAAGTTACAGACATCAAGGATCCAGGTGGCCTTGGACAATGATCATCTCTGCAGTACCCAGTGGGTCTCTGAAATTTAAGTGTTAATGTGAGACTCCTAGAACCCTTACACAACCTTGAGGCAATGAATAGGGAATCCCAATGGTGACAAAGTTAAAATTTTTCAGCAACTCTATAGGACAGAAGCTCAGAGGCTTATTTAATTTGATTTAAACCAAATAGAGATGTGACATTTCTTGCTTACCTGAGTTTATTGAATAAGATTTATATTCACTACATAAATGGATGGCTTAGTGATTTATGCTGCACACATGTGATGGATGAAATAATAAGCAGTCATTCAAACTAACAGTGACTTACTGAGAGAGAAATAATAAACCTCACAATGACAAAGTCCTGTAAATGGAGCTTATTACCTGGTTTTATTCTCTCTGGACACCTTATTTTAACCTAAAAATTTAGATCCATTCAGTCAAGATCTTTCAATACAAGAATACCTAAAATATATTTATCAAAAATCCTTACAAAAATAGCAAATGGATCCACTGAGGGTGACTGCACTCACAATCTATAATGAGAACAATGTGTTTATTATACCTGTACAGTCATAATTACTTGGCCTTTCAGGCTAGACCATGTGTAATGATTTGCCCCTTCTGTTTCAGCTCACTGAAGAAAAGGAGAAGCCTTAATCTGTGTAAGATAAATGAACTAGTGTCTGTTCTGGCTACATCTAGATGCTATTTCCTAAGTCCCCCAGTATTCCAAAATCCCATGCAATTCAATCTACTTCTTTGCTTTGACAACCTGATTATCAAGCCTCAGTATGTGTGCATGCACTTGCTCAAAGTAAAGCTCAGGAGGACTCAGTCTCTATTGATTTTTCTGTAACATCTGGCTTTTCCCAGGCTTTACCTGCCTGGAAAAGAGAGCTGAATCACATTGACTGAAATGCTCCATGGCCCTTCCCCTTGGCCAGAGTTATACTCGGTTATTTCTGAGAGTCTCTAGGTGTGTTCATATGAGCTCTGCCCTCTCTTGGACTTTTACTGTTGTCCACTTTTCTGAAGCTCACAAAACCTCTCTTAGGTAGTGCCTTCAGCCACACACTGCTGTCACTGCTGCCCACTGTGGGAAGCCAACGATCACTCCAGAGATCCCATCTCTAGGGCTTCCAAAGCCGCCCTCACCAGGTGCCAAGGCTTGATGTTCTCTCTTCCATTCTCAAGGCACGGAAGCTTTGCTATCTTCCCCATAAAGCAGAGTAAACTTTTTTCTCTGCCACTCGATGGAGTAGCAAATCTGCATTGCTTGTCCTCCCTATATAGCTGAGTTCTCCAAAAATACAGTTTATTTGGCTTCTATGTAGCCCTGAATCTCCAAATGGCTCATGTATAGATCCATGGAGCCCAACTAGGAGAAAAACATCTGAGATATACACTAAGCTATCCTCCTGTCTCAAGTTTTTCCCCAAATGTCTCAAACAGGGACAAAAAGTCCTTGGGCAAATGAAGTCCTCCTGGTCCTGCTTCTATTTTATCAGACATGTTCTAATCCTGTTTTATGGTCTCTGCTATAGAGGGAAGGCTATAACTTGCTGGAATTTAATAGTAGATTACTTGTTTTTATCTCTCTAGTCTCAACCATCTATCCCTGCCTACTTCTAAACCACAAACACAAAAACAAAATATCTTCTCTGACAACCAGGATCCCCTGAGATTTACATAAAGCTTTAGGTAAGATTTGCAAAGTATGTGTGTTTTTCTCTTTTCTACCCATCGTATGGAAAACTCTAAAGCTGTAAGTGATTATATGAGCCTTTTCCTTGTATTGTCCTCTATGCACAATTGAGCAAAATGAACTGATCTAAAAATTACATCTCAGAGCCCAGAGACTTTAATCATAAGTTAATCACAAATTATTGACTCATTTATTTTAAGAAGCTGTGTCCTGTGCATTGTAATTTTTCTCAAATATTCCCCACCAGGAGAAAATACACGTGTCCCCAAGTTCCATTCAAAATCTCACCACATCTGAATACTTGACCCTGTTCCATCCACAATCTTCCCCTCCTCTATTTCAAAAGTAAAATAAATCACTCTATTAGTTTTTACTCCTGTGATTCAGTATTCCCTAATCTGTTACAACATATATCTCATTGGAATATAGTTGTTCATATATCTTCCCCTCCTGTAGGCTACAAGGACTGAGACTGCATCATCTTCACTGAATCAGTGATTCATGAATTCACTTATTCAATAAATATCTTCTTTCACTATGTGCAAGGCACTGTGCTAGGCTCATTAATCAGTCCTCTATCTCAAGAGACATTAAATGACTAATTTTTACCTAAGCAAAAGGGAAGAAAAGAGTTAATTAAGAAATATAAAGGACTTGCTCACTGAAAAACAATTTTTTAAAAAATGCAGCACGCACCTGTAGTCTCAGCAACTCTGGAAGCTGAGGCAGGAGGATTGCTTGAAGCCAGGAGTTAGAGACTGCTGTGTACTAAGATGGTGCCTGTAACTAGTCACAGCCTAGACAACAGAGCGAGACCCCATCCTTTAAAATCTAAAACAGAAAGAATTGCCCAGCTCCTCTCTCAAAAAACAAACTTTCACTCTTTAGTTGATTCCTCCAAGTATTTCTTCCATGATACATTGAGCTGTTCGGCCAGTCTATGATGCTTCTCATCTCTCCAAATCCCTTAAAGCAGGGGTCTCTAGCCCACAAGCCGCGGACTGGTATCAGTCTGTGGCCTGTCATCATGGCCTCATGGTTTGGAGTGGGGGTTCTCTCTCCCTCTTTTAAGTGAACTCTGAAAATAGACATAAACTCTTTTCTAAATTCTCCGGAACACAGCTAAGTCCATCCTATTATAGTAAATAAAACATCACTCAATTATCTTAAGAGAAAAAACAATGCAAAGAGAAACTTAGATCTGGTTCTTGGATATGAGTATTCTTGGAACCCACAGGTTCTGGCTTCTCCTCACATCACCTCAGCCCACTTCTCTCACAACTCAAGGGATGCCCTGAGGCAAGAGCCAAGGAAGACTCTGAAACATTTCTATCCTCCCTCTCCAAGCCTAGGCCAGAGAAATCAAGTACCTAAGATGGGAAAGAGTTCCCTCTCCTTCCTGCTCCACATCTTCCTGTGAGTTAAGATTATCCTCTTCCCAGAATGATCTACACTGGGAATGCCTACACCCTTTGTGTGAAACTCAAGATCTGCCTTTTTGTGCAGCCTTACCCATGAACCCAAACTCAGAAGGTAATAGCCCAGCCACACAGTGACAGATAAGCACACAATTACAATTAGAGGGGATAGGTGGATACCTCCCTACACTATCAGCCCCTGTGACCTGCTTCTCCAAATCAGCTTCTTTTATTACTCTATTTCCCTTCTCTTGGCCATAAACCTCACTTTCCATTGGGCACTTTGTCCCATCACACTCAACTTGCTTTGGACCTGTTTTTTTTTTTTTTTCACCTTTGACTTCAGAACATCCAAGCTAGAGCATTTTGCTTGTCCACCCACACACACGTGCATGCACACACATATACCACCTGAAAATAGCCAAGAGTGAACAATATATCCTGCAGGAGACCATGGATTATTACATCATAAAGCAAACCTGCCACAAACATGAAATGTCTTACTAGTTTTGTGTTTTATCCTAAAATAAGTACACATGTTGCATTCTGATTTCTAACATACTGATTTTTTTCATGTTCAGTTTAGATTTAAAATCACTCAAAATTGCATTAAGTAACCCAACCATGTCCTATGTCTCTTGGGTAAGAGCTGAGGCTGATATATAGAGCATGTCGCTTTCAAGGTCTGGACTGAACTGAACTGAGCTGATACTTGACAAATCAGATTCAACAAGCAGGCAATTGCTGTTGTCTGTCTGGTATTATATTTCAAGAGTCTAGGCTCCCTCATTAGATATAAATAGAATCAGATTTTGATGGTGGTGGTTTAGTGTGTTATGGAGAAAAAGTTATTTGTTTGTTTGCTTTTATGTTTTATTTTTATGTCAGTGTAATCACCCAGGTGAGAAACCAAAATAATGCTAATGAGGTGCCCACCTTTTCAACTTCCTCTTGGTGAAAATTTTGATCAGCATATTTTCTTACTGAGAAATCAAATAGTTTTTGTCAAAGTGATTCTGATCCACTGGTCAGTTTATTTTACTATTTTTGAAAAATCATACCGAATTTATTTTAAGCAAAAAAAGATGGTAGTGTTCTTTATTTTACTATCAAAGTTATAATTTGTATCACATCCACATGAATAAAGAATTTCAAACAACCCATAGTCTTCACAATCAGTTTTCTTTCATCAGTTCTCAAACATCATCTTCATTGCGGTGTGTTTGTTATATGCCATAAAAACTTCAGTAGTGTTGCCTTACAGTTGCTTACTGTGAGTATTCAAGCTCTTACAAATTGCTAAATAAGTAAAATTTGTAGTCTTCTCAATTAAGATAAGAATGTAATCAATTTAACCCATCTGGAAGTTTAACCTTTTTTAAGACACTTTTTTCTGTAAACTTAAGTAATCAATCTTTAATTTGTAAACTCTAACCAACACCTTTTCAAACTAATTCAGTATGAATATATATGGCTGGTAAGTAGAAACAAACAAACAAAAAGCTGTTTTCAAAACTAGTTCCCTATTCATAATTAATTTACCTTAGAAAATAACTTACAATAAGTGAAGACAAAAAAAATTGAGAAAAAACTCTCCCTTTCAAAAATTTTTCAAGTATAAGAAATATTTGTGCAAAAATTATAGCCAAACCTAAACTAAGTAAGTTACTTTTAGTTAAATAATTTCAAAACCAAGACTATAAAAATTGCTTCAAATTTTTACAGGAAAAAACTTATATTTTGAAAGATGGGTAAATGTGAATATTCTTCCTGAGATTTAGGATGGAGCCTCGAAAAGTAAGAGTGCAGCTAAGTGTGCAGATTTTGAAAAAAAAAAAAAGTTTTCCACTCATTCACATTGAAACATAATAAAATCTGTATTTGGATAGGCATCTAAGAATATCCTAAACCATTTAACTTTAAATTTGCTGTTTACTGCCAATTAGCAACGACAAATGCTATTTCTGTCATCTTCTCTATTTAGTCCATGAGACCTAACCATGTCAGCCACACTCTTCTCTGATGACTGCTTTTCTGAATTTCCCTGATGATCCTACTCATTTTTGGTGATTTCAAGCTTGCACTGCAACCTGTCTTCACTCAAACAAGTCCACCTTGTCATTTGAGTGCCATTTATAAATGTTCATAATTTTAAGAGAGAAATGAATAATGACAGTAAAATAGCAAAATTTGGAAATGTAGTTTTGTGTTCTTGAAAGTATACAAATTAAATAGAGCTTTAGATAAATATTTGATCAATTCAACTATGGGAGAAATTTCAAATAAATTGTGGAATTAGTCCGTGAGAAAGTGAAAAAGATAAAAACATTGTCCACGGATCCAGCTGCATATGCCTGGATCTGTGAGATTTCACCTCCTTCCTTCCGTTCTTGCATACACCCCCACAACCCAGGCAGTAGAGAAACCGGGATCAGTGATCCGCCCAGGGATGTACACCTGACCCAACCTAAACCAGACCAGATCAGTTCAACTTTCTGGAGTAAAGATGTGAGGTGTGAGCCTGGAAGCTGCCAGTGACCAGTTTCCAGCTACATAAAAAAAAACAGGCATGAAAGGATGAAGAGAAATGGAGAGAAGCAAAGGTGACAGAAAGCCGTGGCAGCATCCTTGAGGCCCAGCCACACCTTTTTCCTCTTAGCAAATTGCTACCTTGGATCAATAGAGTCCTGATTTGTCTTATGGTGTTTTATGTTAGGTACCCTCCAAACACAACAAACAAAACATAATATTAAAAAACATCTCTCCCTTATCCTCTCTGTATCTACTTAATTCAGCATTTACAGAACATGTACTCTTTATAAAGTTCTAGGGTTTGCATTTTGAAGTAGCCTCACTTATAGATTAATCTAACTAGACACAAAGCTCTCTGCTCTCAAAGCACTTATAATCCAGCAAATAATCCTGCAGCAGTCATATTTGAGCTGGTTTTCAAGATGTGTAAGGAATTTTCCAGTTGTATGAGGCAGGCATATGCATTCAATCTAAGAAACACACATCATACAAAGGCAGAGGCACAAGGCTGCATGACGTTTGGGAACAGCAAATAACTCTGTATTGCTGAGGCTTAACATATGGAGGAAATGGAAAGAATGGAGAAATAGATAGGCATAAACTCATAAAAGGCTTTGAAGGACCTGCTAAGGGATTTGGATTGATTATTCCTCTAGGTCAGGATCTCCAAAAAGGAGTTTGCACAACCCAGGCAGGGACAAGGTGGTTCCATGTTTTTATCTTTTTCTCTTTCTCAAGGAACTACCTTGTCCCTGCCTGGGTTGTGGCAAAGACAAGGGACCACCCACATAATTCATTCAGGCAAGATCAGCTACATAATTCATAGGTCTCAGTGTAAAATAAAAATACAGGGCCTCTTGTTCCAAATATTTAATCATTTCAAAATTGCAATAGCAGAGCATTAAACCAAGTATGGTGCCTTTCTGTACACTACACAGGTTGCACATTGATAAAGTTGGCCTGCATCCTAGGAAGCAAATACTGGAACTACCTTATATTTATTTTTATCACATTATTTCCTAATTTTCAATGCCTTATAATGTACATAATTATATTTTATACATATATGTAATTCACAATTAAATGAATGTTTTAGCACATATCTATCATTTACTAATAAATGACTATATTTTAGTACATATATGTAATTCACAAATAAATGAATATATAAATATTTGTAGAGTGTGCCTAAAATTTATAACTGATAGTACATGTAATCAGTCAAGGTTAAGGACTCTGCTATCTTCCCGAGACTGGGCCCAAATCCCTAATGGAGAGAGTCTAGCTATGCTGGCCTGGAATGTAAAGGGGAGTAGGAAGAGAAGGTAAAAGAGAGAGAAGAGACAGAGAGACAGTGGCAGAGGAAGGCAGAGAGAAACTCTAGCAAAGAGAGAGAATGAAATTCTAGCTCTTCTTACACTCTAATATCATTTTCTAAAAGCAAAAAAAGGCACTTTTTAATTCAGTAAACCAAAAACTATGAGAGTCATCAAATCTGACCCATCAATTACGATCTCTCCTTCTCGGATTAGAAAGGATGAATAGTAAGAAACAAGAATATTAAATATTTCTGCATTGCCCTTCTTGTATTATTTCTGCTGACCCACTGGGCTGAGTAGGATTCGTGGTAAATTGGAGCCAAGGCTATTCTCCCCAAGTAAGACAACCAAAGCTATGTCAGGGATGTCCTGATCACTCTCTCATTTCCACTTTTCAGTGTGTCAGTCTGGAACCAGTGAGGCTCCTGTTCAGTTACAGGAACTGTCTTCATAGTGTTTCCCACAGAAGCTCATGAAGCGGGTTAGAATATTGCAGTAACTCAAAGGCCATATGATCCAGGAATTGAATCTTCATTCTATGTTTTTAAAAAATGTTTAATATTTACTCCACTTTTAAAAAGGAAAATAAAACGTAAATGCATATTATGAAAGAAAGAAGCCAATATGAAAAGGCTACATACTAGATAATTACAACTCTATGACAATCTGGAAAAGACAAAACTATGGAGACAGTGAGAAAATCCATGGTTGCCAGAAGTTAGCAAGAAGGAAGGGATGAATAGGCAGAGTACAGCAGATTTTTAGAGGAGTGAAACTATTCCATATGATACTACAATAGTGGATACATGTCATTATATATTTGTTCAGACCCATAGAATGCCCAATACCAAGAGCAAACCCTAACATAAACTATGAAATTAGGGTGATAATGATGTGTCAATGCAGGTTCAAGAGTACCACCACGGTGCAGGTTGTCGATAGTGGGGAAGCTGTACACGCGGAGGGACCAGGGCATATGGGAACTCTGTATTTTCTGCTCAGTTTTGTTGTGAACCTACAACTTCTCTTAAAAAATTATTATTTTTTTAAAGCAAGATATTAAAGCAAGATATTATTTTTTAAAGCAAGATACATTTTTAGAGAAATGCCTATGATTTTTTAAACTACCTGTGATCCCTTCCTTTTCAAGAAAACCACGTTAACACTTTAGTTTGACACTCTTTAGTATTGTCATGTCTTTAGTATATGTGTGTGTGCGTAGGCTTTCCTTATAAAATGGGAAAATACGAGTATTAATACACTTTCTTTTTAATGAAAATGTAGCATAGGTATATGTCTATGTCAGAATATTCAAAGACACAATGAAGTGAACTTTATTGTAATCACCATGATGGGTCCTGTGGATCGCTCCACTCACTCATTCTCATCCCACCCATGCTGCTGGAATGATGATAAGCTAAACACTACATTCCCCAGGCTACCTTGTAATTCACATTCTGGATGTCAATCACAGTCTGTCAATTCAGTGAACTTACATGAAATGTGGAAGATGTAATTGTGGTGGGGGCCCTTTTCCTCCTCTCTATCAGGTAGTTTTGGCTGGCTAACAAGGCCATGGGAATATGAGGTTTCCTGGTTGCCATGTACCAGTGACCATTCTCCAGGACCCTAGATCTTGAGAAATAGCTGCTACTGTTTCATGATTCAAACTCTCTGCCTTGGATGGTAGCTATGGGATTATGTTCATGAAATTGGAATTTCTGTGGTGGCTTCAAAGGAGACATTGGTGTGTCACTTCTCAATTCTTCTAGGAGTCATTTTATTTTCAGAGGCCAGCCAAGAGCCTACTTAATTTAGTTCTTCTATTAATTTGGGCTAGACACAGTGGTTCATGCCTGTAATCCCAGTGCTTTGGGAGGCCAAGGCAGGAGGATCTCTTGAGCCCAGGAGTTCAAGGCTGCAATGAGTTGTGATCACAACACTGCACTCCAACCTGGATGACAGAGTGAGACTCTATCTCAAAAAGTGAAAAATGAAAACACTTAATTCTCCATATGAAATTATTTCCCACTTAAAATATTTAAAATAGTTTCTCCTTTCTACATTGAATACTAACTGACACAATTCAATCACTTTAAAATGTTTATAATAAAGTAATAATAGAGTTCCCCCCTCTGCCTATTTATTGTAACACAAACACAATCCTTTCCAATTTATTTTGTCTCTATACAGATCTACCTCTTATCTATCTATCTGCTTGTCTATCTATCAACTGTATGTCCGTACAAATAAAAATGCTCTTGTGTTGCAAAACTGAATTATGCTGCACATACTAATCTGCAATTTGCTTTTTTCCCTGAGCATTTTTCTTGAATGGTACATATAGATCTAGTCTATTATTTTTAAATAGCTGCACAATATTCCATAGTATAGTGATAGCACAATTTATTCAATCATATTCGAGGATTTCCCTGTTGATGAACACATGTGTTTTCCAAATATTTGCTATTAGAATGCTGTAATGAATATCTTTTTATGTATCACCTTAAGGACTCTGATCTTATTGCTGTAAGATAAATTTCTTTAAGTAGAATTAGTGGGCCAAAGAATATGAGCCTTTCAAAATTTTAATACATACTGTCAAATTAAATTCCAACAAGCTTCTACAAATTTACACTCTCAGCACAAATGCATGAAATGGCTTATTTCCCCATTAAACTAGTGATAACTGGATAGTAAAACCTTTTTTTGCCAATCTAATAACAAAAAAGTAATATACCATTGTTGTCTCTAAATTGCTTTTCTTAGATTACAAGTAAAATCAATGTTTACCGGGCATCTGCATTTTATTTGCGATGATTGTCCTTTCACATCTACACTTTGCCATTTCTTTTTTTCCATCTATTTGTAAGCACCTTAAGTATATTAAAGATATTAGCCCTTTGTCTGATACACACACATACACACATGTACACACACACGCACGGAGAGAAAGAGAGCAGAGGTAATATTCTTCTAGTTTGTCATTTGGTATTTGTTTCTGTTTATATTAACTTTGCCATCGCAAGGTTTTTAGGTAGCTATGGGTAATTGTGTTGCTTAGAAAAGTCTCCATGACTTTGAGATTTTACAAATATTTTCCTAAATGTTTTAATACTTTTGGTGTTTTGTTGTTTTATATATAAAGATTTAACCCATCAAATATTTAGTTTTGTAGATGGTTAAAAATTAAGATGTAACTTTATTTCAAGTGGATAGACAATAGTTCCAGCCCTAATTATTGTCTGAGCCATTCTTTCCTCCATTGAAATGGATTACTGTACTACATACGTACCTGAATCTGTCTCTGAATTCTTATTTGTTTCACTGATTTATTGTCAATTCCTGTTTTAATGCCATATTGATTTGATTCTAGTGGCTTTATAGATATTAAGTTCTGGTATCTATTAAAAAAATCCCTACTATTATTTTTCTTTTCAAAAATTTCCTGGCATTTATTACATATTTATTCTTCAAAATCAATTTCAGATTTATTTTCTTTGATTAATATAAGCTGGAAATTTTATTCAAATAATAGTAAATGTATGCATTAATTTAGGAATGATTGACATTCTTGGAATGATTGAGACTTTATAATATGAAGTCTCTCATCCAGGAGGATGTCATGTCCCTCCAATTTATTCATGTCTTGTCCTTCAATAACACTCCCTTTTCCTTCATATGGTTCTTGTGACCCTTCTATTAAGTTTTTCCTTGAGAGATTGACAGTTCTGTAGACTATGACAAGCTAGCCTGGGCTCAGGTCTCCTTCCCTTGAGCTGAACTCTAGAGAAACCACAAAAGTGAAAGGGATCCCAATACAAAAAAAAGTAGGGGGAAATACTTGGGAAGAACAGAGGTGACAGAACACCAATGTGATAGAAAAAAAGGTTAGGGCAAAAGGAAAACAGGTCCTACAACTGGGGAAGGGACTGGGAAACCACTTTCTAACTGAGTCTTTTATTGTCTTTCCCACATTGCCCTGAGAGGATTATTATTCATTCTATCAAAGTGGGTTGGTGAGAAAAACTGCATCCCAGCCCAGCACCAGCACCAGCCTGAGTTACATCAGGGAGACTCTAGCTGGGGTGAAATGCTTATAAGAAGAAGTTCACAGAGTCTGGCCAATTACTGAGCATCCTCTTCTCCTCCCTTCCTCTCTTGCCTCACCCATATAAGAATCGGTCGCAACAGAGGAGGACATTCTCTGGAAAACTGAAATTCTTGGGACAGAGGTGTTAGGTGGGTAGGGAGTCCCAAAGGACACGGCTATCTAGTGGCAGAAATGAAGTAAACAAAATAATTGAGAACTTATTACAACACTAGAAGCTTTCCACACTGAGATATACTCCGTTCCCACTCCCAAACTCGCCTAGAGGAGAACAAGCTGGAATAAAGTACATATGACCATCAAGGTACAGATGATCTTTCAAGGTAGTTGATAATTCTAAAGGAGTATGTGTTTGCACAGAAAAAAGCTAACATAGCAGGCCTGAGGCTGCTACCATTAGAAATGCCTACTGCAAGCCTAAACTTTCCCTTTTGCCATAAGAAAATGCAAGGGTGCTCTAAAAAAATAAAATAAAATAAAATATAAAATTAAAAAACCATAGAGTAGGTATCATACTTAATCTCAACTTATTGAAAGCATTCCTCTTCACATTAGGAACATGAAATGGATGTCTACAGTTACCATTTTCTTTTAAGTGAAGGTACTAGACAGTAGAATGAGACAAAAAATGATTTAGGATCCATAGCGATAAAAATAAATGAATGAATAAATGAGGAGAAAATAACACTTTTCACTTAAAAGTAGAAGGAATGATGGAAATGTAAAGTGACCATTTGATAAACTATCATAGTAATAATTAATCTATTCAAAAAACATAGATGGATGCTATAACTAGTGAGTGAAAGTATAATGGGAAATGATATATTTACCTAGTCTTAAAATATCACCTTACTACAAAATTATTAATTACAAGAAGTAAGTTTCAATGGAGAAAAACATAAAATCACTTTAATCTAATGATCAAGTAATGAGAAAAGTCAAACTTGTGTCTCCCTTGATAGAACGCAATGAGAAGAAAACAGCCCCAATTCTGTGATATTTCTGCCAAAAATTCATAACCTGAATCTAATCATTAGAAGACATCAGACAAACCTGAACCAAGGAATATTCTGGCTACAGCCTTCAGGTGTTAAAGTTTTGAGAATTAAAGAAAGACTGGAAAGGATGAGGAAATGCTCTAGAAATCAAAGGTGACTGAAGAAACATGACAACTAAATGCAGTGTATAATCCTGGTTTGTATCTTTTTGCTATAAAGGACATGATTGGATAATTGGTGAAAGTTGAATGGGATATGTAAATTAGATAACAGTGATATATCAGTGTTAATTTCCTGATTTTGATGGTTGTATTGGGGTCATGTAGGAGAAGGTCTTTGTTTGCTTGAATTACACACTAAAGTATTTGGGGATGATGGGGCATCATGTCAACAACTTACTCTTAAATGATTCATAGAAAATATTTTATATAAAGTTCCAAGACAGCCACAACTAATCTATGGAATTAGAAGTCAAAATAATGGTTACCTTTGGCTGGAGAAATTGTGACTGGGAAGGGGAGGAGGGGCTTATATGATGTCTTCTAATGATTAGATTCAAGTTATGAATTTTGGGCAGAAATATCACAGAATTAGGGCTGTATTCTTCTCATTACTAGAATTACTAGATCTGGGTAATGGCTCCACAGGTATGTTTGCCTTGGGAAAATTCACCAAGCTACATACTTGTGATTTCTGCATTTTTCTTATGTATGTTACACTTCAATTTAAAAACAAAAGAGGTCCTAGCCTCCTAAACATCAATAAATCAGCACATGTGTTAAACATACACACACACACACACACACACACACACACACACACACAGCAGAAATTTCCCTGTCAAGAAGCTGATTGTGCTGCAACATTTTCAACATCTTTGAGGAAAATTCACCAACATGTATACTGCTTCCTACTGTGGAGACAGCATTTGAATTATTTGTATCTCTTTGAAAAATTTAGAGATCTGTAGTGGTCTGCAACTGTTACACCTCTCCTGAAGCTACCTGATCCCCTATCTATCCCATGTATTCTTAATAATCTTTTAATTTCCATTTTCCTGCCTGCTTTATTCCCAGAAGCATAGTGATGAAATAAATGTGGACTCTGTCTCTGGACATTCCCTCCTAAGGAGCAAGCTACCTCACATTTATAACATGCCATTCTGTGAGCAGAATTATGGTCTAACAACTCCTTGCTCTTTAAGTATTTTTCCATCCTCAGCAGAATCCAAAGCATTTCTTAGCTGCTACTACCTTCTGTAGAATTAATTAATTCATCAAATATTTATTGAGAACATACTAAGAAACCATGCCATTCTAGAAACCAAGAATACAGTAGGGAACAATGTCTCTACTTTCATGGAATTTACAGTCTAGTGGAGAAGCCAAACTGTAAAGAAACAACATTTTTTAGGTAGTAATATTTGGTTAGAAAACAATAACAGGATTCTGATCTGAAACAGAATGATGTGAAGCCAGCCAGCCACATGAGGCTCTGAAGAAAGAGTGCTTTGGGCACAGAGAACATATGCAAAGGACTTGAGACGGAAGCAAAGCAAGCATATTGAAACTCACTGCTATACAAGTTCCAGGTGACCGTGATTTTGTCTGATGTGGGCGTGGGGATGTTGCTATTTCTGGTTTTACTGCTTATCCAAAGCATCTAAAGCTAGTGCCTGTCACATCATAGTCATTCAACATATATTTGTGGAAGAAATGATCAGACAAAATGGCAGAGGGGCTGGAATTCAGAGAGTGAGAAAGAAGCGTGACAATGTTACAGAAGGAGCAGAGGTCTGAAAACACAGGGCCATGAGGGCCAGGTAAAGGGTTTGCAATTTATACAAAAGGCAGTGGGAAACTTTTGCAGGTTTTTCATCAGGAAGGAACTTGATCTTACTTACATTTGAAAAGATCATTCTCCTTATTTAATGGAAATGGGGAAGCCTGAATGAAAACCCTTCTTCTTTGAACCCAGCTTCCCAGCAAAGGGCCTGTAGACTCCAGCTTAATTAATACTGCATGGTTAGTGCTTCCAGCCTTTACTCTCAGGAGTCCAGCAGCAACGATTGTGTCCTGGACTCAGCTCCTCCCCAGCCACCACCGTTCCTCAGATTGAGAGTTTCCAGGCCCAAAGCAACTTGGGTTATTCAATGATACAGAAACCTTTCCTTCCTCTTCTTTTCCTCAAAGGCGTGATCTGATGTGCTCCCTCTAGTGCCCCACTTCCTTTCTCTCCACGGCTCCTCTGTTCTTTTGAAGGGAGCCCTGTTGCTGGATTTTGAAAGCTACAGCCAGTTGCCCCTACAGATCCTGTTCCTCTTTATTTATTTTTTTATTTTTTTATTTTTTGAGATCGAGTCTCACTCTGTCACCCAGACTGCAGTGCAGTGGCGCAAACTCGGCTCCCTGCAAACTCCACCTCCTAGATTCAAGCGATTCTCATGCCTCAGCCTCCTGAGGAGCTGGGATTACAGGTGTGCATCACCATGCCTGGCTAATTTTTTTTTATTTTTTTGGTAGAGATGGGGTTTCGCCATGTTGCCCAGGCTGGTCTCGAACTCCTGGCCTCAAGTGATCTGCCTGCTTTGGCCTCCCAAAGTGCTGGGATTACAGGCATGAGCCACCACACCCGGCCAGATCCTGCTCCTCTTACCCCCTGTAGGGCCGATGTGGTCAGATCACAGTATCTTCCTTTCCTTTTCCATTTCCTGTTCTTTTGAGGTAGAATAAGGCCTTTTAAGTGGATTTTGATCCTCCATGCGTTTCTGATGTCCTCCTAAAAATCTGAATGAGAGTTTTCTGAGTACATGCCAAATTCTGAAGCTTCTTTACCCTCTCACTGACTCTTCTGTCAGTGTCTGAATCAACCTATTTCCTGTAGCCACAACATTCTAGATATAGGCCTTTCAAATTCTCCCCTTATGCTTTAACTTTGTGATAATTTCTACGATTTTTTTTCAGTCCAAGCTGACGCATTCTCCCCATACAATCAGGTGTCCCTTCTTCATTATCTACCCATTGATGGATCCCTTCACCATACTGAGGCTCTGACCCAGAGCCTGGGTAATTGAAATCATGATCACCAGCAATAATATTAGTCATAAAGCATAGATAACATGCATTAAGCACTAGCTTGTGCAGTGAAATGGGCCCTATACTATCCCCCATTTAAAAGACGAGGAAACCTGAAGAATACAGCATTTAAGTCATTTACCTAAGGTCACCCAGCCATTATAAGATGAAACCAGGACCTGAACTCAGTTAGTCTGGCTATCTTAACCCTTGAGGGTGAGATGGAGCAGGGACCCCACTTAGAAGCCTGCCAGCCCACATCCCTCACCCATGCACGGAAATAAAGGAAAATCTTGAGCTCCTTCAAGGGAAATTCCAGGTACCTAGCTAGCCCGGAGAATAAATAAGCCACCTGATAAGCAAGAAGGTAATAGTAGCTTAAAGCAATAGCCAAGGAAATTAGAATCATAGGATGTTTGGTTCCCCTACAGAAACTAAAAATAACATCCTAATATATGTTCCTGAGTTGTTTTTCAGAAACCCGACCCCTGACCTAATGCCATTATCTGAGATCTCTGTGCCAGTGGATGGAAAATGCTATCTTCCTCAGATGACCTCAGATAGTGGGGAACTGAGGACTGAACACTGACTGCTGTTCTTTGTTCTAAATTTCTTCCTGAGAGGCCTGAAGAAGGTCATGCCCATAGGCCAGAGCTCAATATTTCTGCTGATCCCAAGTTTTTAGACAAATCTTAACCAATCACATATCAGAAAATTTTTGAATCCACCTATGATCTTTGGCCCTCCCAACTTGAGATGCCCCCCTTTATAGGCCAAACCACTGTATGGCCTCCATGTGTTGATTTATGACTTTGCCTGTAATCTCTGCCTCCCTGCCTTTAAAAACCCTTCCATGTAAGTCATCAGGATGTTTGGGTCTCAGATTCTCCTTGTTTGGCATCTTGCAATAAAGACTTCACTTTCTCTCACTGCAAATCCTGTTGTCAGCATTTGGCTTTGCTGCACCAAATGGGCAGACCCAAGTTCGGTTGAGTAACAGGGGTGGAGAGGAAAGGTAGGCTTTAAGAAACTGTAAATGAGGCATATAAATGTACAGATTATGCCTTCAAAGTCCCTCTTTGACCCCAAACATGAGTAAAGCATAGAGAGGAACAGGATCTATTTCTGACTTTCAGACCCAGGCATCAACAATACAAAGGCCAAAGATTCCATGTATCAGGACTCAGTTTGTTTTGAAATGAGCCTGCCCCAGCTCCTGCAGAACTTCACAGCTTTTAGAGTTGGAGCTCCAGGACAAGTCTGCCCTGATTCTAAAAGTAAACCCATCCCTGATGAGGAAAGACTCTTTGTGCTATCTGTGAGAGACTGCCCGCTACACTGTTATTCCTCTTACAAGTCTGAAGTCCTGCCCAGGCTCCACCCTGGCTGTTTGCAGGTGAGAATCTCTCCATAGAGGAGCTTCCCTCTCTCTTCATGGTACTCTTAGAGTTTTGAGGAAACAATATCACCTCTTTGCCTGTTTAGAATAAACTGAGAAATAAATACTTGAATAAAAATCACATCAGCCTTGTGGCTAGCAATGCTTGATTTGAAGGACCCAGCTCAGATCTCAAGTGAACATGGCCTTCCTAAAACATTTTCCCCTGAAGATCTACGCTTCAGGACAGAACTGCAATGAGAATCTCCACTTGCTTCATACCTAGTGAAGAGGGAAAAGTCCCAGAGCCCCAGAGATAGATGTCATGCGTAGGTGACCTTGGACCTCTTTGGTGGAAACCAATGGATATCAGACATGGGACATGCCACTAGTCTCAAGGAGAGAAGCCAGACAGAGGAAAGGAAAGCTTCCCAGACTATCGCCCTCTCCAAAAGAACTCAAGACCTGATCTTGTCTGATGCTGCTGGTATTGTTAACTGTGTCTTCCCCAGCATTCTGAGTCATCCTTTTAAGAGAGACGTAAAGACACAAATACGAAAAAGTGCACCTGGGAGAGTCTGTGACAATCAGAAATTGGTGGAGGTGGGGAGTGTGTTAGTCTGTTTTGCATTGCCATAAAGGAATACCTGAGGCTGGGTAATTTATAAAGACAAGGGGCTTAATTGGCTTCAGTCTTCAGGCTGTACAGGAAGCATAGTGCTGGCATCTGCTTCTAACAAGGGCCTCAGAAAGCTTACAATCATGGTGGAAGGCGAAGGGGTGTCAGTGTGTCACATGGCGAGAGCAGGGACCAGAGAGGGAAGAGAGAGATCACAGGGTCTTTTAAACAACCAGATCTTATATGACCAAACTGAGCGAACTCACTCATCACTTAGGGGATGGCACTAAATCACTCATGGGGGATCTGCCCCCATTATCCAAACATCTCCCACCAGGCCCCACCTCCAACATTGGGAACCATATTTCAACATGAGATTTTGAAGTGACAAACATCCAAACCATTTCAGGGAATCATTTCAAAGGGGAGTTGAAAGAGGCCGAACCTGACTGGAAATTCATAGTATTACCTAAGTCCATCAGCCAACTTGCAAAGATTCCTAGGGAGCCTAAGTGTGGCCAGGTAGGGAGAAAGGAGACAAACAGAATGCACCCCTCACACTGTATTTGAATAAATAGTGAGACTGAAAAGTACTAAAATATAAAAGAAAATTATCTAAAGCATGCAAAAGATTTATGTCAAAAAATTTTAAAGATTAATCACAGGAAAATTTAGAAAACTTTAGACAGTAACTGCATTAAACTTTTAAGTAAATTGAAGAAAAGAGAATTAATGAAAAATAGTTGGAAAAAAACATACTAAATCTAAGAAAGAATTTAAGGAAACTCAAAAAGCATCACAGAATTTTCAATGGCATTAGAAAAAGTAAGGATCCCAATATGCAAAGCAGAAAATAAATCAGTAATATGGAAGAGAGATTTGAAAAAATAAAAGCTTAAAATATAAGGATGCAGGACATAGAAAAAAGTGACCTGAGGGATGATAAATAAGAAAACAAAAACCAATAGAAATTTCACCTAATGAAAATTGGCCAGCCTTAAGAAAGAAAATAGAACAAATTAAACAACAACTACAAAACATGTCTTAGATTTATTGAATCTTCAAATAGAAAGGATTAAAAAAGTTAAAGATAATTCTAATTTATAATGACCTCATTCTAATGATGAGGGCAGAATGCTGGAAAATACTCCTGTATTCCTTAGTTAATACAATAAAGCACAATAAACTATGGTAGGTATATGGATAAAGGCAAATGAAAATATTGGCAGAACTATAGTTGGACACGTGCTGTCTTTTTTAGGAGAGAAATTCTGGCTCATTTGCTCTTAGACATAAAGGCAACAGCTGTCAGCTTTGGCAGAACATTGGAATCACTTGAAGAGCTTTTAAAACATGGATGCTTGGGTCTCACCTCCAGGAAATCAGATTTAATTGGCCTGGGATGTAGCCTGGTGATTCTAAGCCATGAGTGGGACCCTCTGCTCTGCACTGGCCCTTGTGCTGATGAAAGCAGGGTGAAGAAAGAAGGGAAATAAATACAGGACCCTTGGGGTGAGACAGCCATGTATGCAGGACAAAAAGACCTCAGAGCCAAAGTCAGGGAAATGTCAGGTGTAATCCCAGGAGGAACCTTTGGGACCTGCAGTCAGGCCTCAGGGCCACCACTAGGGCTTGGTGAACTCTTCACCGTGCACTTCATATGTCAGCATCCACCAGTCTGGGACATTAGGACTGAAGGCCGCACCAACATAGATGGCATTAATCTCATCTGGCTGTCTAATCTAACCTAATATCTAATCTCACAAAGTCCCACATGTTCACATCTTCAATATCTCCCACCAAGGACTGGTTTGTGTCAAAGCTCTCAGTGAAGGAATCCTGCTCCTGCCCCAGGATGATGCCTGCCTCTGTCCCCACAGTGTATCCCTTCTTCAGACTCCTCCTCATCATGGGCTTCCCATCCACCCAGAACGCCATGATCCCTGAGGCGGACTCCAGTTTACACGGAGGTACACAGTGCAGGAGAACTCTTAGGAGACTTGAAAACTATCCCACTTCCACCCACGGATGTGCTGTAGCCTCCGGTCTTTTCCTTAGAGAGGAGGATTCATTATCTAGTCCTCATGGCATAAGAAAAAAAGGCTATGTTCACAGGTCAGGTGCATATAGACATGGAGACACACAATAAAGGCCTTGAGTGCCTTCTTTAGCTCTGCAGTCAGGATCACAAAGGAATTGTCTGACTCTGGGAAAACACAAAACCCTTTTTGTTCACATCTGTAGGATAGAAAGCAGAGAGAAAAAAGGTCATCAGTTAAGCTTGTCAGGCCACAAAGATGTATTCCTCGCAATGTACCAAGAGATTGGACTTAGAAACCACAGCCTGAACTCTGCCCCAGGCCACAACCTCTCACCCATGCTGGCCCTTTTCCCTAACTTGGCTTTGCACAGTCATATTTACAGGACAAGATCTCAGCCATCAGCGGAAGCAATGCCTCCCTGTCTGAGGGAAAGCACTGGGAAGCTGATGAAAACCAGGAAACATGGAAAACTCCATGTTTAGAGACCAGGAAACTCCGTGTTCCCTCCCTGCTATTGGTGTGCCTGGAATTTGGATCATTCTCTTGAAAAAAAGTATCAGTGGCTGAGATTCTGGGTTTGCACATCTGAGATCCCTCTGTTTCAAGTCTGCCCCACCTCGACCTCATATGTGCAGCAGTCAGGATGTCTCAGCTGGTAAATGATTTTCCAAAATTGCCCCCTTGGAGCCATGAATCAAAGCTCTAAGAGCAAAGAGAGCAAGATAAATCACAAAATGAGAGATCAATATGGGTTATTTATTAGAGAATGTGTGATGCCTGCTGCTGCTCCAACAACTCTGTGTGGCATCGCCTGGTGAATTAAGACAGTCACATTTTGAGAATCCGTTCTAGGGAAATGATGCAAAATATTGGGAGGGGGAACCTTTTTCACAAAGACAACCACTTAAAATTACTTAGGATAGCAAAGAGAAAAATGGGGCATGTTTAAGTAAACTGTATATGTCTACATCCACCAAATAGAATAGATAGCCATTTAAATGTTAGTGGTGAATTTTATACTATAACATGTAAATAAAAATGCTTTTGATAAAAGAAAAAATAACAGACTTGTATATACACTATTTTTAAAAGAAGTGACTATTTTAGAAAAAAAGTGTAAGGAATGCTTCCAGACAATATGTTCTTATTATAATAATGGAATTATGGAGGATTTTTTTCCTCACTAACTTTTCATAATGGGATTGTATTGCTTCTAAAATGAAGTGTGTGTGTTTACGTGAGTGTGTGTGTGTGTGCATGTGTAATTAAGAACCAAGGGAAGAGGGAATGAAGATCCCATTTTATGAATAGGACACCCAGTCTCACTGTGGTTATTTGGCTTTATGCCCAGAATGCCTAAAACAGAACAATATCAGTTGGACATCCTAAGCTATGTATACATTTAGGTACCAAAGTATTTCACAATATATTAATTCCCATATAAGACATCATTTCATGTAAAAAGAATCTGGAGCTTATTCATCATGATCTTATCATGAGTTTTCACATTGATATCCAATGAGAAATTGATAATAGAGGCTGTTTCTCCATTGACTAGGAGAACCAGCTAACATGTGGGCAGCATATTCGAAACGCGCAAGAGAAAAAGGACTATTACAAATGGTGGTACATTTCTGGACTGGTTTGTATTTTAATGATGTATAGTTTTAAAATTTTTAATATCCTTTTACAAACTTTTTGCATCTATTTTTTTAATTATATGACTGGCTTAAAGTAATTGCTCCAAAAGCTTTTGTTCTCTCATTCTAACCATTTGCCCAATAAAAGGTACATGTATAATTTAAACAAAAATAAATCATATAGGTGAAAAGATTGGTACAAAGAAGGAAGAAGATGTTTTTCCAATGCCAAATTGCCTTCTTGTTAGTGTCTGTCTGGGCTCCTTAGGTAAGTTAAAAGAATGCAGCTACCAATGCAATAGGTGAACACTGGTAATTTTATTGATTTCATGGAGCCCACTACATTATAGAACTACCTCCAAAATGGATATGCTGTAAAGAAGGCCTAAAATTGAAAAAGAGAGGGAGAGGCAGAGAGAAATAGAGATGGAGAGAGCAAGAGCTAAAGCAAAAGAAAGAAAAGCGCGAGAGACAGAATGAAAGACCTTCCCACAAACCATTTTACAACCCACCCCTGGCTCCAGCAACCCGCCAGTACAGCTCTATAACTGCTTGCAGCATATCACAGAGCATTCAGTGAACTTTATCAGGAGAGAAGTGTAATAAGCTTGCAATGCAACCTTTACCCTTCCCTCAGATATGTTTGTTTGGGAAGCCTCTTCTCTCTTCCTCCTATATCTGTGATGCTCTGATAAAAATACTGAAGGATTTCAGCTTTTCAAATATCTTGGCACTTTGGTTTCTCCACACTACAGAGATACAAAGTATTAATTGGGGAAAAAAGAGAACACTCTAAAACAAATACAATATTTGTCATCACAGTGAGGCTTTACTGAATAAATAAGAACACACTAAATACAGGGCTGTCGCTTTATTTAATCCTAGAGCTATGACTTAAAACTCCAGTGCTGAAATGGAGTTTGATATGCTCCCCTGACTCAAACGGAAACTACTATAACATAAGAAAATTAAGAAACAGGGGCATATCCATCAGAAATAACCACATGAACTGTCAGGGACCACAGCTGTGACTCTGCAATCTTTTCTAAACTATCACTCACCCTAGAAGAGTGGCACCTAGAAGAGTGGCTGTTGGAGACATGGCTGTACATTGTAATCACTAAGGAGGTTTAAAAATAATGATGCCTGAGTCTCACCGCCAGATAATCAACATAATTATCTGGTTATGGCCTAAGCAACTGGATTTTTGAAAACTCTCCAGGTGGTTCCAATATTCATAATCGAAGTTGAGAATTGCTGGCCTAGAGTCCCTTGTATGATTCTATGTCTTTGGTGAATGCCACTACGATGTAAAGTTACATCTAAGGGTGTGCATGACTGTAGAAGAGATGGAGGTCAGAGAAGAACTTTGACAATATGGCACAATTGTATTCATGCTAAGGCTGAATAGGATTTCTATGTGCAAGCCATTCTGCTAAGCACATAAGAACAAAATAAAAAGTAGGGTGATTGCCAGTGGACCTGCAATGGTAGCTAACACTGAATATACGGCATCCTGGAATGGCTTCCCCATAAGAAAAAACACACACATCCCCACACCCTCCGTCTTGCACTAGGGGTATAAGTGTAGGGTGTAAGCTTCTGTTGAATGTGGCAGTAGAATACAGTGGTTAGAAGCATAGAACTGAGTAGCCAGACTGCCTAGGTTCAAATCCTAGCTCTGAGCAAGTTAATTAACCTCTCCAAACCTCAGTTTTCTCATCTGTAAAATGAGGACTATAAAATATTACATAAATCATAGGATTGTCATTAAACAAGTAAATATATGTAAAAGACTCACAACAGTACCTGGCACATGGTAAGAGCTCAGTAAGTGTAAGAAGTTTTTGTTTTTGTTTTTGTTTTGTTTTAAGACTATGTGTGATCTTCCCTGTGTGATTAAGCAATTATCATCCTGGGGGCAGTGATGAGACGTTGGGAGATCACTTATCTGTGTGTATGAAGGGCATAGGACAGACGGGTCCACACTGAATGAGGCCTGAAAGAATGCACCAGAAGTAGGCTAAGGGGAAGACCTGGGTACATACAGATGCACTAGATGCTTCTTTAAACGTGACCACCTGGCCGGGCCTGGTGGCTCACGCCTGTAATCCCAGCACTTTGGGAGGCCGAGGCGGGCAGATCACGAGGTCAGGAAAACGAGACCATCCTGGCTAACACGGTGAAATCCTATCTCTACTATAAATACAAAAAAAATTAGCCGGGCGCGGTGGCGGGCGCCTGTAGTCCCCAACTACGCAGGAGGCTGAGGCAGGAGAATGGCCTGAACCCGGGAGGCGGAGCTTGCAGTGAGCCGAGATAGCGCCACTGCAGCCTGGCCTGCGCAAAAGAGCGAGACTCCGTCTCGGAAAAAAAAAAAAAAAGGTGACCACCTGCCTGCAAGCTTAGTGGGAGCCAGGCATGTCCCTGAGATAAGAAATCTGAGCTGTCAGGAAAACACTACAGTGATAGCTCTAAAAGCACATGGTACAAAAGAGCTTGTGATCTTGCATATTCCTGAGCACTAACCCCAGAGAATCTACTCTAGGAGGACTGGGGTCAATGAATCTATACTCAAACACCCCAGAGGAAAATGATGCCTGTAATCAGCAGACTATAAGTGATCACTGGGCCAGGTGATCCAGGAAATTTGAGCTAGGAGTCTGCATTTTCAGAAGGAAAAGGCTAACAAGCCCGCTTAACCTACGTTCTAGTGCAGAGGAAATGAAAAGATGCATATTTGAAATAGAGACAGGGAGCTGAAGAGAAGGAATCCAGGCAAGTACGACAACCCATCTGAGACTAGTGGGCAGTTGTCCTAGGATAAGCTACCTAGAAATCAAAGCAGTGCTTCTCTTTTCCCTGGGATTCTAGTGATCAGAAATCTATACTTTGGAAATTTGATCTACGTGGTGGTGGTGCTCAATCATCTAGAGTCATTTGCTTCCTTTGTCAATCTTTGCTTGCCTGGGGCACATCAAACTTGAGGATAGTGAAAGCATGGGGGAGAATATCACAGATTTAACATTCTACTTACTTTGTCAGCTGGGACTCCAAATCCATTTCCATCAGGTCCCAGCCTCACTTTTGAGGCAGCCTGTACTCTCTCCTCCAGGGCCTGGATAGACCAAGTCTCATCACAGAGGTGGCTTCTCATCCACTCACCTGGCCTGACATGCAGCCCATTCTTAACAATGCTCTCTCCATGACCACCTCTTTTTGGAAAGTGTGCAAGTCTTGTTGCCTGGCCAGTGAGCTAACATTTTTTTCTGACACAGGGAGATTTTAGGTTTCTGATCTGCACATCTCCATATCACATCCCATGCTAAGGCGCTTACATTAGGGTCAGGCCTGGCCCTAACCCTTATACCAACATGGCTATTTTCAGTTCCAAAAAGAAAGTGTTCTATCAAGTAGCAGCCTCCATCATCTCTGATTCATACTATTGTTCTACTTTCTCTTATTTGGCCTGTAAATGCACTACAGTATCTCTTCAGGCACTGGGCCACCACCCCGCTTTCACCTCCTTTCTATTATAGGTTTTATAGACCATTTGTCCCTATGTCTTTTTAACTCATTCCTTGAGGCCTGATTCTACTTCTGGAAAAATTGGATCCATGGTCCCTACTCTAACAGAAAACCAGTCCTGACAACATGGTTTTATTAGCATCAGCTAGAAGTGGCCACGGTGGATGTTTGATCTTACTCTCCACTTACTGCAAAAAAAAAAAAGCATTGCTTAGAACCAACATGCCCAAATCAGAATCATCTTCTTTGGCAGATGTCATCTAACATTTAATTGGATTACATCTAATAGCTCTATATGGTATGACAATTCACCAGTTACCTGGAAATACATTTTCCAACAAGTTTACATTGATGTACCCACCAGTAGGCTAAATTGCTTAAATCTAAACATCCTACGAATGCTTTGTTAAGATTTTTTAATGTTCTCTGAATGCAAATACCAGCTGTTAAGATTTTCCTGGCTCAAATTATTAAGGCCAGAGGCTGTCTACCAGACTACGTATAGTAAGATGCAAGCAACTGAATTCTGAAGAAAATATTAGCTCAACCTACATCCCTGGGGAGTTGGGATGGCCTTCTATAATTAAGACGTATCTGGATTATTTAACTAGAAAAGAGTGTCAATCCTCTCTTCTGCTTAGCTGAATGTGAGGATGGATGGATCTGCCCTAATTGGACAACAGAGAGTATTTGCACTCTCATTTTTGTCTGAGAATGTATCCTTAGCTTCTATGCTTACAAATGGTTATCAAAAGTCAATTAGAGAAGTCAATATTCATAAATAATGGCTTCAAAGACTTGTTGTTCACCCTTCTAACATTCTAAACCTAATTCTTAGCAAATGAGAAGCTTCAACTGCTGCCAACCAAGACAAATTCTACCAAGTTGTATTTTTATGTATTTTATGAATCTACATTTATGGATATAATACAAAATGGCTTAATAAGAATAATACCAGAAAACTGTTATAAGAGCTTACTATGTGCCAGGCACTGTAGTAAGTGCTTTGCTTGCATGATTTTCTTTGATTCTTATAGCAACCCTTTGAGCTAATTACTATTATTTCTCCTGCTTTGTAGGTAAGAAAACTGAGGCGTAAAGAGGTTATATCACCTAAGGTCACATAGCTAGTAAGTTGTAAAGCCAGGATTTGGACCTAGGCAGTCTGATTCCAGAACCTCTGTGCTTAACTAGTTTACCATATGCCTTCCCTAGGTAACCATTTGATATGCAGGAAGCCCCATAATTCATTCCTGGCTATGGTCTTTATGGAGTAACTTCTACTGGTCACTTAGTACTGAAAGACAGTGTTGAAGGACACTTCTGGAGGAAGCCAGCTGCTGTCATCTTTGAGGGGTCTGTTTCTACAAAGAACTTGAACCCGCTGGGGCAAGTGCATTCCAGTCACTGAACCTGGCAGCAGATCCATGGATCTCAATGATCTTTAGTTTTTGCTCCTCAAATTGGAATAATGATAGAATGAGAGTACTAAAACCCCCACAACTGGCCCTACATGAATGGCCAGCTATCTCAAAAGAGGGACTGTGCTTGTCAGAGGGAATCCCTTCAGGGGACTCTTGGACAGGTTAAAGTGCCATGGATATGTTGTGTAATGGGAAGTGTAAACTTACAGGGACTTGATTTCAAAGGTCATTAGAGAAGTTAGTCACAACTTCTAAAGCAACTATCAGAAAACAGCTTGGACTCACTCAAGTAAACAGGGGCTTTATTGGCTTATAGACCTGGGCAGTCCAGGTGTAGATCTGGTTCCAGACAAGGCTGATTCAGAGACTCCACGTGGTCAAGGCTCTGTTGTTTGTCAATCCCTTGGCTCCTCCACTTCCAGTTTGGCTTCTGTCCTCACAGTCTCTCTCCATGTGGCAAACAAGATGGCTACTGGTGGTCCCAGGTTCACGTCCTCTCAGCTTGGAAATCCAGCAGCAAGAAGATGTCTCACTCCCAAAGTCCATAACTCAATCCTTGGGAAGACTGTAGTTGGTCCTGCTAGGAACACGTAACTATCCAACTATCCTCCAGATAGGGAGCTGGGGAGATGGGAGATGGGCTCCTCTGACAGGACACCCTGTGGTTCACGTCCACTCTTGTGGCCTGGGTATATTGGGAATGCGGGGATGAAGAAAGAATTCACAGCCCCACAAGGTTCGTGTGGAAAAGGGGAGGAGTTTCCCAGAAGAGCCATAAAATTAAGAAAGCACTGCAAGCAAACAAAAACCAGTCATTTAAGTTCTTGGCAGTAACAACATATTTATACCTAGTGCTTCATTTTGCTCTGGAAAAAAAGCAGATCTGCTCTGCTGGGGCAATTCTAATGGCCTTTCCAGTGTGCTTTGAGAAAGTGGAGGGACTGCGTGGTATTGCTGGGCTTCCCATTTCAGGAGACCTGGGCCCAGCAGTTCTATGACATGATGATGAGCACTCTGGACCCAAACCAGACACCTGGCCAGTGTCCTGATTCTGAGACTGAAGAGCCCTGTGAATGTGGGCAATGCCCTCCTGCTTTCTGGGGGTCATGGGTGGGGAATTAAATAGAAGATCAGCGCTTCCTTCTCAGCTCTTGCCTTATGAGTTTTTTATAACATCATTTCTCCTTTCTGGGTGTTAGTTTTCTCATCTATGTGAGGTAAGAAATTATCTCCAAGATCTGTCCAACTTGAAATAAAAATGAAAACAAAACACCTCAAATTCTGATTCTTTTGGACCGTTTCCCAGCATAGTTAACGAGCTCCCAGACCAGACACTTTACCTCCATTCTCAGGCGCTGAGGAGGGTGGAGCAGGCCTGCAATGCATATAGGGGAACAAAGGCCCAGAGACAGAGACGTGGGAACCATGCAGTGTAAAAAAGCGGGAGGTACCAGAGACAGAGACGTGGGGCCCATGCGGTGTAAAAAACCGGGAGGTACCTTCAGGACCCACAGCTGGGCCTCAGGGCCACAGCTGGGGTTTGGTGAACACTTCGCCTTGCACTTCATACTTCAGTGCCCGCCAGTTCAGGACATTAGGACTGAAGGGCCCGCCAAGATAGATGGTGTTAATCTCATCTGGTGACAGCACAAAGTCCCACATGTTCACATTTCCAATGTCTCCCACCAGGGACTGGCTTCCTTCAAAGTTCCCACCGAAGGAATCCTGCTCCTGCCCCAAGATGATGCTTGCTTCTGCCCCCACAGTGTATCCCTTCTTCAGACTCTTCCTCACCCTGGGCTTCCCATCTACCCAGAACTCCACGATCCCTGAGGCGGACTCCCAGCTTGTACAAATGTGTACTGGAGCTACTGTGACTTCAGGAACCTCGAATAATATTTCAGACCCACCCACTGTAAAACTGTATCCTATATCCTTAGACCAAAATATGAGAATCTCATTGTCTTGTCTCTTGGTGGCATACGAGAAAATACTGTACCCACGGGTCGAGGACAGTTCCGTGTAGAAGTGGAGGCACACAGTGAAGGCTTTGAGAGGCTTCGTTAACGGTGCTTTGAGGGATACATAGGAAGTATCCGACTCTTTGGGAAACACAAAAGCCTTCCTCGACATGTCTGTGAGCCAGAAAAACAAGCAAATGTGAGAGGTTTCTCAGATCACACAGATCTATCCCCTCACTTACGTATAGAATTTAAGATTGAGAAACAGACTGACCCCTTCTCCAGTTACACACCACACACACACACACACACACACACACACACACACACACCATGAAGGATGCTCCACTGTTCTGTTCATACAGTCTTTTTTTTTTTTTTTTGAGACTGTTCATGCAGTCTTAGACCCCACCCCCATACCTCAGATCAAATCTCTCCCATAGCCTGGGGTGGCCCTTACCTGTCTGGCCAAAAGCATGAGAGAGGCTGGTCAAGACCAAGAAACACAACAGCTTCTCCATGGTCACGTCCTGCTGCCAGTGATACAAGGGCCTGAATTCACTCCTTTGGAAAAGATGTATTCGGCTGAAAGTTCAGGGGCTAGAAGTCCTAGATCTCTTGCCTTAGAGCTACCTCCTCCTGCCTGGATTTATATCCAAAGCAGTAAGGGAGTTTGCGCCACTATGTAAATAATTTTCCAACATTGCTTGTTGGGGCAGGTGTCAGAGCTTCGGGAAGAGGGGAAGCAAAATTATTTCAGAACAGAGAAATCAATGTGAGTTATTTATTACAAACTCCTATGACTACTGAATTACCAATTCTTTATGACAGGAAAAATGAAGAAATCTCTCAGGGCTCCACTTTGGCTATCTATCCTGCGAAAATAATGGGAAATGGTAACATATTAAACGAGTGGCCATCTGGGTGCACGTGGTAGCTGCCTCTCCAACACCTACTTCAGCCCAAATCATAGAGTTTGACAAAGGAAATCTGACAGCTTCTGGAGATGGACATTATCACTAACCCCTTTCAATTTGCTTATTTACAGACTGGGAAATGAGGAAAACAAACATGCTCCTCCCAGAGCCATGGACACATTTTTTTATTATTATTATACTTTAAGTTTTAGGGTACATGTGCACAATGTGCAGGTTAGTTACATATGTATACATGTGCCATGCTGGTGTGCTGCACCCATTAACTCATCATTTAGCATTAGGTATATCTTCTAATGCTATCCCTCCCCCCTCCCCCCACCCCACAACAGTCCCCAGAGTGTGATGTTCCCCTTCCTGTGTCCAAGTATTCTCATTGTTCAATTCCCATCTATGAGTGAGAACACGCGGTGTTTGGTTTTTTGCATGGACACATTTTCTCAGCCAATTGAGTACACTTATTAAGAACTCTCTAGACATCTTGGCACTAAATGACGGCCCTGACAGTAAAAGTCCAGTAAAATGTGTGCCTGATCACAGACATAGCATTATATCAAAGTTTCTTCCAACATTTTTCTCTGAATATGTAAAGCTTCAGGCAGGAGTCAGGATAATCTGATTCTACTCTTTCCTCTATTCACAAGATTCAAGTAATCCCTCCACACTGTCTGTCAATCTTACTACAGTTCCCTACTTAACTCACTCTTCAAAATGACTATTATACTCCTTCTCCTTGCTCCTCAAGTCCCCAAAATCTCATTTATTCTTTCATTCAGCTGATGAACTCACCTTTCATTGAGAAGTTAGAAGCAATCAGAAAAGAACCACCGTATCCTTTGTAGTAGAGTCTTCTAGCCATTCCCTAACATCCATTCTCTACTTCTCATAAGAGAAGAATAACATTTTCAGTTGGGCGCTTGGTCATCCCCTCAAACACCAAATTTCCCAGCCCCCACTGTAGCTTGCAGTGATGATGTGATTAAATTAAGGCCAACGAGATATGAACAGAATAGGGACCATCTCTAGGTTGTGCTCTTTAAGAAAGGTATGTGCTTTCCCCTCCCACTTCCCCCTTTTTCCCTTTGACTAGTATTCAGTCATGATAGCAGGAGATGGAATAGTTCACTTTCAGGCCAGCAAGTGTAAGCTGCATGTTGAGGTTGGCATGGCAACAAGATAGATGGAGCCTGGATAATTGGGTATGGAGCCACTGCATCAGCTCTAGGCTGCCTACCTGAAAATTTACTTAAAGGAGAAATACTCTCCTCTTTTGTTAAATCACTGTTAACTCAGTCTTTCTGTTCTTAACACCTAACTGATATCCTTATATATCCTCCTACAACCCAATGTACCAGCCTTTCTGTCTTCCTCTATTAAAAGGGATGAGCTCTCCCTGTGTTACATCTAAGGCCAACCCTTGCAATTCTTCAGTGGATCCCAGACCCTGTCGACTATGCAAGGAATTTTGCTCCTATAGGTATCCTCTCTATCTTCTGTATTATTAATTTATTCATCTTTACTTGATCATTTCCACAAAACCATACTATAATATATTTAATCTTTTAGAGAAAGAAGAAAGAAAAGAGAAAAAAGGAAGGATGGGAGGGAGAGAGGGAGGAAGGAAGGAAAAGTTTACGTGGGTTGACAACCTCTATTTTCCATCTCCTGTTCCCTCCTCAATCCATGGAAATCAGCCATTGGCCTTCACCACTCTAGTGAAGCCAACATAAACAAACACCTCTCTCATTAAATCTAATAATGAATTTTCTGTTCTTATTTTACCCAGCTTCTTGGCAATATTCAACACAGTTTATAACTTCCTCCTGAATTCTTTCTTTTCTTTTCTTTTTTTTTTTTTTTTGTGAGATGGAATCTCGCTCTGTCGCCCAGGCTGGAGTGCAGTGACATAATCTCAGCTCACTGCAACCTCTGCCTCCTGGGTTCAAGTGATTCTCCTGCCTCAGCCTTCTGAGTAGCTGGGATTATAGGCACACGCCACCACACCCAGCTAATTTTTTGTATTTTTAGTAGAGACGGGGTTTCACCATGTTAGCCAGAATGGTCTCAATCTCCTGACCTCATGATCTGCCCACCTCAGCCTCCCAAAGTGCTGGGATTACAGGCATGAGCCATCATGCCCAGCCAACTTCCTCCTGAATTCTTGCTCCTAGTTTAAAAGTGAAATAATTTCAAGGCTTTATGCCTAAAAGAAGTGGTCCTCTGTCCCACCACTCTCTATCTGATATGGTTTGGCTCTGTGTCCTCACCCAAATCTCATCTTGAATTGCAATCCCCACATGTCAAGGGAGGGACCTGGTGGGAGGTGGGTGGATCATAGGAGCGGTTTCCCCCATGCTGTTCTCATTTTAGTGAGTGGGTTCTCACAAGATCTGATGGTTTAAAAGTGTTTGGCAGTTCCTCCCCACCCTCTATCTCTCCTGCCACCTTGTGAAGAAGGTACCTGCTTCCCCTTTGCCTTCTGCCATAATTGTAAGTTTCCTGAGGCCTCCCGAGCCATGCAGAACTGTGAGTCAATTGAACCTCTTTTGTTTATAAATTACCCGGTTTCAGGTAGCTCTTTATAGCAGTGTAAAAACAAACTAATACAGAAAATTGGTACCAGGATAGTGGGATACTGCTATAAAGATTCCTAAAAATGTGGAAGCAACTTTGGAACCAACTAGGGGCAGAGGCTGGAAGAGTTTGGAGGGCTCAGGAGAAGACAGGAAGATGTGGAAAAGCTTGGAACTTCCTGAGTTTTGTTGAATGGTTTTGACCAAAATGCTGATAGTGATATGGAAAATGAAGTTCATGCAGAGGTGTCCTTAGATGGAGATGAGGAACTTATTGGAAACGGGAGTAAAGGTCACTCTTTCTATGTTTTAGCAAAGACAATGGTGGCATTTTGCCCATGCCCTAGAGATCTGTGGAACTTTTAACTTAAGAGACATGATTTCTTGAATGCTTTGGTGCTTAAGAAATTTCTAAGCACCAAAGCATTCAAGAAGTGACCTGGCTTTTTCTGAAAACATACAATCATATGTGTTCACAAAGAGATGATCTGAAATTGGAACTTATGTTTAAAAGGGAAAGGGAGCATAAAAGTTTGGAAAATGTGCAGCCTGACCATGTGGTAGAAAAGAAAAACCCATTTTCTGGGGAAAAATTCAAGCTGGCTGCAGAAATTTGCATAAGTAATGAGGAGATGAATGTTGATAGCCAAAACAATGAGGAAAATGTCTTCAGGTCATTTCAGAAGATCTTCATGGCAGCCCCTCCCATCAGAGGTCCAAAAGCCTAGGAGGAAAAAATGGTATCATGGGCCAGGCCCAGGGCCCCGCTGCTCTGTGCAGCCCAGGAACATGGCACCCTGTGTGCCAGCTGCTGCGGCTCCAGCCATGGCTAAAAGGGGGCAATGTATATAGCTCAGGCCATTGCTTCAGAGGGCACAAGCCCCAAGCCTTGGTGGCTTCCAAGTAGTGTTGAGGGTGCAGATGCACAGAAGACAAGAGTTGAGCTTTGGGAGTTTCTGTCTAGATTTCAGAAGATGTATGGAAACACCTGGATGTTCAGGCAGAAGTCTTCTGCAGGCATGGAGCCCTCACAGAAAACCTCTACTAGGGCAATGCAGCAGGGAAATGTGGGGTTGGAGTCTCCACACAGAGTCCCCACTGGGGCACTGCCTAGTGGATCTGTGAGAAGAGGGCCACTGTCCTCCAGATCCCAGAATGGTAGAACCACTGACAGTTTGCACCTTGTGCTTAGAAAAGCTTGCAAGTGTTCAATGCCAGCCTGTGAAAGCAGCCACAGGGGCTGTACCCTGAAGAGCCACAAGTATGGAGCTACCCAAGGCCATGGAAGCCTACCGCTTGCATCAGCATGCCCTGGATGTGAGACAAAGAATCAAAGGAGATTATTTTGGAGCTTTAAGATTTCATGAGTGTCCTGCCAGATTTTGGATTTACATGGGGCCTGTGGCCCCTTTGTTTTGGCCAATTTCTCCCATTTCAAACAGGACCATTTACCCAATGCCTATACCCCCACTGTATCTTGGAAGTAACTAACTTGTTTTTTATTTTACTAGGCTAATAGGCAGAAGTGACTTGCCTTTTCTCAGATGGAACTTTAGACTTGGACTTTTGAGTTAATGCTGAAATGAGTTAAGTTTGGGTGACTGTTGGGAAGGTATGATTGGTTTTGAAATGTGAAAAGAACATGATATTTTGGAGGAGCCAGAGGTGGAATGATATGGTTTGGTTCTGTGTTCCCACCCAAATGTCATCTCAAATTGTAATCCCCATGAGTTGAGGGAGGGACATGGTGGGAGAAGATTGGATCGTGGAGGTAGTTTTGCCCATGCTGTGCTCATGATAATGAGTTCTCACTAGGTCTGATGATTTAAATAAAAGTGCTTGGCAGTCCCCCACTCACACTGTCTCTCTCCTGCTGCCTTGTGAAGAAAATGCCTGCTTCCCCTTCACCTTCCACCATGATTGTAAGTTTCATGAGTCCTCCCCAAACATGTGGAACTGTAAGTTCATTTAAAATTTCTTTTGTTTATAAATTACCCATACTCAGGTAGTTCTTTACAGCAGTGTGAAAACCAACTAATACACCATCCTTGACTCACGAGTAGAGCTGAGAGATAGACCATGCCTCAATAACATTGTTTGAGTCTCTGAATCCAGTCTCACCTGATGCCAGCTTCACCTCACATCTTCTGTGGTTCATTAACCAATAAACTCCCTTTTTACTCACTGTCCACATTTCAGCAGGTATTATGATACTTACATTTGACTAACTTTTGACAAACAGAAATGCCTTCCTAATAACACCCTGAATCCAGGACATTGTGTGTCCAAACCAATCATCACTTGCCCTGAAGTAATACATACACTGGTGTCCTTGCCACCAGAATCCTTCCAGAGAAGCACAGGTTTTATGCAAGGGGAAGCATTTAAACTGAGCCACAAAAATTGAAGTGGGAGGTTCAAAACTAAGAGAATAATATGAGCAATGGTTACCACCAAATTTCATCTTCTATTGTTTTGTACACAAACTCTGAAAAGCTTATTTGAATCTCTATAACCATGATTGTCCACGTTAGTAAATTAGTATCTTTCCAGTCCAAAATTGTATTAATTTGCAAGAAAAATTCTAAGATATCCCTAATCCACAGATTGTACCAAGTCATTCTTTTATTCACACTCTATCCTAGTTAATTTATTAGTGTACCTTCTACTTGGTATTTACTACTTCCTAATCACTATTAGAACTGCTGTTCTGCTTTATCAGCAAAATAGTTACATTTGTACTTGTAAAGTATTGTTGTTTGTCTCTGTTGCCAATATTTCTATAAACTTATTACTGAAATAATCTATAGAAAATTTGGGCCTATGGTCTTTCACATTAAGCAAGTGAGAGACTTCGAAGGTTTCCTGAACAAGGAAAGAGTAGAGTCTCTTAGAATTTTTATTGGCAGCAATATGAATAATATATTGGTGTGAGAGAGATTATAAATTGGGAGACCATTCTGTGGGTCTTAGTTCATTAATTAAACCAAGACATATCTTAGGAACATTTTCTAAAGATCAGGCATTAAGCCAGTTAACTAGACAAATTATGTTAAAGATAATGTGATTGAACACTTGAACCTGGGAGGCAGAGGTTGCAGTGAGCCGAGATCACGCCAATGCACTCCAGCCTAGGTGACAGATAGAGACTCTGTCTCAAAGAAACAAACAAACAAAAAAGATAATGGGACTCAAAACTAGCACAGAAGCAGTAGGAATGCAGAGGAGAGATGTAAAAGGTATGTCAGTAAGAAAAATAATAGGAATCAAAAACTGATAAAATATGGAGCTATAAAGAGCAGTGCTCAAAGTTATGTAGCTAGTACTTCTATGTCAAACACTATGGGAATGAGGCCAAGAAGGTTTGATTATTGGTACATAGACCAGTTGGTTTTACTTATTTGGTGGTCAAACATTACAACTCTAACCTTTGCTAGGCAACTAAGAAAGATAATCTAAGGTCGAGAATAACTGTACACATAGATTGATGCAAATACAGCATCATCATCTCTATTAGATAAAATGAGAGGAAATTCAGACCTTTTATTTATGGATAATAGCATTTCTTTCTTGAAAGCCAGCCTATTGCAAAGCCTGGCACAGTGTCGGTGCTCAGTAGTGCTGTGGGATGAATAGATGAAGGAATAACTGAAGGAATGGCAGAAAAAGCATGGAAGACAAATTCCATTAATGGTGGACTGAGAACTAACACTAATATCATCTTCCCACTTCAATTCCTATGAATAAGAGAAAAAGCATTTTTTAATATAAATTAATGTAGTGCCAGAAAAAAAAGTTTCATTCAACAGAAATAAATAGAAGAATCTCTGGAAGTCAGAAAGCAGAAGAATTATATTAATAGAAGAAATCATAACCCAGAACATATACAGAGGAAGGTCCACTATAAAAATTTGAAGTGTTTCTGGGGAATGCTAGAAAGAAAGGGACAATGGAAACAAGTGGCACAAAGTATTGGAGAGATTGATTAAGGGGTCACTGCTACCATGCCTCTTGGCCAAGCATTAAGCAGCAGAGGCATTTGCTCTTAGTCTGAAGCAATCAGAGTCCTTTGGCCTGACAGGTGGGACCTTGCCCAAGGAGTCTGAAGACATCCAGGAGAGAACCCTATGCTCCCACATTCAAAAGACAAATTAGTGGTACACCCTGCCAGCATTTCTGGCTCATTCCTCATAATCCCTAGAGATGGGCTACAGAAAACAGGAATGGCATCCATAGATATGCTGAGAGAATTAATACCATGAAAAGGGGGCAGTTCACTCAACAAATATACTGATAGGAAACAGAATATAAGAGCCAATAGAGAAGTTTTTTGTTGAGAAGTATAATCAATATATTCAGAGTATACAAAGTATAGACAAAAAATAAATAAGACAAAAATCTTGGGAATCAAAACTATGATACTCAAAAAAAAGGATTTCAGAGAAAGAAAACATTGAGATTGGAGGTAGGAAAATAATCAAAGAAATAATACAAAAACATCTTAGAGTAGTTAACAAAAGTAAGTGATCAGATCAAAAGAGCCACAGCATACCAAGCAGGGTGTATTAAAAAGATCCATGTCTAAACAATGGCAAGGACTTTGATAATTAGGATAAGGCAAAAAATTTGAAAAATCTCCAGATATCATGTATATGTATCCTAGAAAGGAAGGAGAATCAACAGGTGTTAGAAAAGTATCAATAAAAAGATAGAGAATTAAAAATGAGCAAAGAAAATAAAGCTACCTGACTTATTTTAAGAATCCAGTAACAAGTTACCACAAAACCCAAACAAAAATGGTACAAAAAAAAGAAAATGAGAAGCCATTCTCATTTATAAACATAGATGCAAAAATCCTACATAAAGTATAAGCAAGTCAAATCTATGTGTAAAAAATTTAAAACATTATAACTAAGTAGAGTTATTAAGCAAATGAGAGAAAATATCTAGGCAACACTCACATGCCGACTGGAGCAGCAGTTACTGGGGACACTCACAGTCAGAGCTGTGAGAGGCCCTCATAAACCACCACATTCTAGGGCCATGCTCAGGGATCTGGTAGCACAGAACATCAGACTCTAGGAGAGGGACCCCTATCCTTGAGCTATGAGGCTGCAAGATTAGAGAAGTACTGGCTTCTTCCCTGGTGTGACCATAGTCCATGAAACCATAGCAATATGGTGTGACAACCTAGCATTCATAGTTTGAGGGGGCATCTGCCCTTCCCTGGTGTGGCTCGGGGGCTGAGATCCACACCTTTCAGTTGCAGCTAAATGACTCAGCAAGCTTAGAAAGGATGAAGTGCAAAAATGTTCATAGCAAGAGTCAACAGCCATCCCCTGACATGACTGAGAGCTAAGTGTCTAACCCTTGTGATTAATAAAGATTGGTTGCCTGAGTCATTTCCTATCGGGGGAAACCAGCCCCCAATATTCAACATGGATCCTTTTCTATTTTCCCTAAGTGTCGGCTGGTCTGAGAAATAAAGGGAAAGAGTACAAAAGAGAGAAATTTTAAAGTTGGGTGTCCAGGGGAGACATCACATGTCGGCAGGTTCCATGATGCCCCGCAAGCCACAAAACCAGCAAGTTTTTATTAGCGATTTTCAAAAGGGGAGGGAGTGTACGAATAGGGTGTGGGTCACAGAGATCACATGCTTCACAAGGTAGTAAAATATCACAAGGCAAATGGAGGCAGGGTGAGATCACAGGACCGGGGTGAAATTAAAATTGCTAATGAAGTTTTGGGCATGCATTGTCATTGATAACATCTTATCAGGAGACAGGGTTTGAGAGCAGACAACCGGTCTGACCAAAATTTATTAGGTGGGAATTTCCTCGTCCTAATAAGCCTGGGAGCGCTACAGGAGACTGGGCCTTATTTCATCCCTCATCTACAACCGTAAAAGAGAGGCGTTCCCAAAGTGGCCATTTTAGGGACCTCCCCTTGGGAATGCATTCTCTTTCTCAGGAATGTTCCTTGCTGAGAAAAAGAATTCAGTGACATTTCTCCTATTTGCTTTTGAAAGAAGAGAAATATGGCTCTGTTCCACCCGGCTCTCAGGCAGCCAGGCCTAATGGTTGTCTCCCTTGTTCCCTGAAAATCACTGTTATCCTGTTCTTTTTTCAAGATGCCCAGATTTCATATTGTTTAAACAATTTGTGCAGTTAACACAATCATCACAGGGTCCTGAGGCAACATTCATCCTCAGCTTACAAAGATGATGGGATTAAGAAATTAAAGTAAAGACAGGCATAGGAAATCACAAGAGTATTGATTAGGGAAGTGATAAGTGTCCATGAAATCTTCACAATTTATGTTCAGAGATTGCAGTAAAGAAAGGCATAAGAAATTATAAAAGTATTAATTTGGGGAACTAATAAATGTCCATGAAATCTTCACAATTTATGTTCTTCTGCCATGGCTTCAGCCGGTCCCTCTGTTCAGGTTCCCTGACTTTCCACAACAGTTTCCATTGTGATTTACAGTAGTCCAGCACCTTTTCTGTGTGGCCAACTACAGAGGGTCATCTTGGAAAAGGTAAAATAATTAGCACTTACAGCTGAAGGGTTTTCCTCAGAAATGCAGGGGTAGTTTCAGATAAGAGAAAGCTACCAATGTAATTTGTATTTCTTTGACAGACTTAATAGCAGCATCGTAAGACCATTCCAATAGATGCCAAATGTTTTAAATTTATCATTTCTCCATTCTTACTAAATTAAGAGTAAAAAGAATTTCTACTAAAAACCTACAGCAAATATCATACTTAAAATGAAATTTTAGAAACTTCTCTTTAGAGTTAAGTGTATGGCAAGATGCCTACTATCAATCAACTGCATTGTCCAATCCAATGCAGCAATATGAGAAAAAAAAGTGGTCTGATGATCAGAAAATAAGTGTACAATAATTTACAAATATGATAGTCTATATTAAAAATCCTACAAAAGCTACATGTAAACTATTAGAATCAATAGTAATTCACCATTTGTGTTGGCATAAGGTAATCATAAAACACACTAAGATACTCATTTCTTATAGCAGAAACCAACTAGAAAATAAAACATATAAGAGATCCCAGTCGTGTTATCAATAAAACTCATAGAGCACCTTGAAGTAGGTCTTACAGAAATTTGCAACACTTTTATAAAATATTGTATTATATTACTAAATGACATAAAAATGAATAAATGGAGACTTAGACCACATCCATTGAGTGACCCAACAACATAATAGTGTTAATGCTCCCCAAATTAATGTAAATGTTCCATTAAATATATTCATACCCTATGATCTAGTAATTCAACTTCCAGGAATATAACCTATAAAAATTCCCTCAGAGACATATACAAGGAAATTCTTTGCAGCACTGCTTGTTACTTGGAGAAGGAATTCAAATGTTGTTCAGTTAGGAAATGCATATTCATATGAAGGAATAGTGTACCACAGTTAAAAAGAATAGAAAAGATATGTATATATCCTGCCCTGCAACAAATACAAGGGTTTGGATGCAAATTAGTCCATGCATAATTAAAATATGAAAATAAAAATTTACATAAATAAAAGACTAGTGCCAGTATAACATATAAGTTATATTTATTCATATGCCATATTCCCTAACAGGTAATGTAGTAAAGAAATAAAGTTCACACTTTCTCACAAAGAAAAATCCTTAGTAATATGTAAATATTTTAATATAAAGGCTGAAAATTCTACCTAGTACTGTTAGTGCATACAGTAGATAGTTTAGTGGCTTCAGAAATTATTATGCATTACACAGCATTAAGCTATATTGTGATGCTGCAAGTGCTGATGAAAGAGTTGCCATGACATTTCTCTCTGTGTTAAAATTTTGTTTTATTGATGACTAAAGCTACACTCATTATCAGATTTTAAATTTTGGTGAAGCCAGCCTCTATTAGAAGTGATATCCCTCAAAAGACATACACTCCAAAAGAGGTTGTGGGAGCCCTGGGCTGAAGGCTGCAAAAGTGTGACTAGTTGTGAGGTTGGTGAACATATTTGAGAAGTCTTCATAATGCTAATAATTTCAGTGGGATTGTTACTGTTCATGTTGGCCCTCTGGTGTGTTAGTGAATAGGTTTTGAGTGGTCTGTCCCTAGTTATCTATAGACTTAATTATCTATGGGTCTAATTATCCCACAAGCTCTGTTATTTTTAGTGCACGATTATGCAGAAGATGAGAATTTTCAGGAACGCATATATCACATCATAGCAAAAAAAATCCAAAAGGATATATCTCAAAAACGATATTAAATTTAAAAGATAAGTTATAAAAAGTTATTTAGATGGTATCTCATAGTTGGCTTTTAAAATTCAAAACAAGATTATACAGCATACATAAATATCTATATATTTATTATGTTCATGGGTATTTAAAACAACAGATAATTCATCCCCAAAAAAAACACACAACTCCAGTCTAATAAGAAGACAAACATCAGAGAAACCCAAATTGACTTTTTACAAAATATCTGACTAGTACTCCTCAAAATTATCAGCTTATGAAAAAACAAGGAAAGACTGAGAAATTGTCACATACCAGAAGACACAGGATGACTAAATGTAATGTGGTATCCTGGATTGAATCCTAAAACAGGAAAAGGACATGAGTGTAAAAACTGGAAAAAGACTGGAGTTTGGTTCATAGTAATGTACCAATGCTGTTTTTTCAGTTTTGACAAATGTACCATGGTAAGGTCGGATGTTAATATTAGGGAAAGTTTGGTGAAGGGCATCTGGGAACTCTCTAGAGCAGCATTTCTTTCTTCTACATCATGTTCTTATATAATTAACAGAGCCAGAGTCAGTTCTGGAGGGGATGACTCCATTTAAGTAAAAAATAAATAAATAAAATGTGCTTACTACTCAAATGTAGCTTCAAGATAAGACCCCCTACTACCTCCTGTTGGTCATCACTATACTCTATTCAGCCATAGCACTTGTTTCTGTGTAACGTGAAACAAGTCAGTTATGACTTGTAGGTGGGGGGATGACAGCAGTGTAACACAGACATTGCATCTTTGTTTTTCTCAGCAAGTTGCTATTTTCCACAACCAAGCACCAGCAATGATCACAAAATACACTAACACTGGGGAACACAGCCAGCTGGAGAAATGCAGAACCGAATATTCTTCGTCTCTGACCATCTGGCCATGAGCTCCATCTTAGAAGTAAGTACCATGCTGTACCCTCTGATCATGATGCATCTGGCCTTGTGTTTCCGTCACTCAATCTTTCTTTATATGCCTTTCTATCAGGTGAGATTTACCTGTTTTTTTTAAGGTAAAGTTCAATATTTGGTGTATTATGTCTTAACTTATTCATGATAATAGTTTTATTAAGATAATTACTATTTTTGAAATTGCTTCAGTTACATCATTGCATCAATTTTGAATGATAAGTTCCAAACCATATTTTACGCATAATACCTGTTATCTTTTACATAACTTTGGAGAATAGGAGGTTACTTCATAACATGCTATGTTATAGCAGAAATGCTGGCATTGAGAAATTTTCCCAAAGAGACTTCAAATCTTATGAGATCATTTACAAGGGGTTTTCTGCCTTTAAGATACGGTGAAAAAACATATGCCAGCTTCTGACCTGAAACTATCTACAGAAAAAAAGGTGGGATTCCTGGAAATCCTCAACAAACAGCTGTTTCACCTAAAACCTGCTAATGTAAGTCTCTTAGTGGTAGAATGCCATGGTAGAAATATTGTATAGGAGTCTTCAGTAGAAATTTGAGCAGCAGATTACATAAATCTGTAAAGGTTTACTAAAAGGATATTTCTTATGAGGAACTAGAACTAGGAATACAAGAAATTCTCTCTCCATCTTTCAATCCTGCTGAAACTGAAGGAGAACCTCTCAGTTTTAATTCAAAATTATAAATAGAGGAATAATCCACCCAGTCCAGATTAGGTCAGGAGATCTCCATTGATCTAATCAGCTGTCGTCAGGATTTAAGAGTACATCATAGAAACACGGCTGCCAGAAACCATCCTTGGATGTTGAGTAGGGGATCTGTTATCAGAAGAAAAGGTCCAAAAAGACCCCCGAAATACATCCATTATAGTAGGCATCAGAAGATCTGCCAGAAGAGTGATGATGAGTGAATGCTCAGGAATGCTCACTAATAAATAGCAGATGAAAGCCTGCTTTGCAACCATCCTGCCCAATGCTCTTCTTTATAATTGATTACCTGAGACACCAACAATCCTGACATTCCCCTTGCAGACTCTGGATTGAGCTGTTCTCTCTCTTCTTCAAAGACCTACTCAGTCTCCTGGGCTTCTCACTCAATTAGCTACAGAATCACTGTGTCTCGTTCGTTCCACTCCACTTATTTACTGTTGCTCCTCCAAGTAAATTCATAGACTTTTTCATTTTAAATTTTGTTTTTGGTTTTAGTTTCTGCAATAAGTTCCAATGAAATAGACATAAGAAAATAAAAATAACTAACCTGAGAAGTGTCATGAAATCTGATAAAGCCCTCATAGAAAGAGTTGTCTGGAATCAAATGTCATTTGCAGGCATCATTCTTTACTAGTTTTATGATTTAGTCTTATACTCACCAGTAAGGTCTGTATTAGTTCATTTTCACACTGCTATAAAGAACTAGCTGAGACTGGGTAATTTATAAAGAAAAGGGGTTTAATTGGCTCATAGTTCCACAAGGCTGGGGAGGCCTCAGGAAACACAATCAAGGTGGAAGGTGAAGGGGAAGCAAGGCACATCTTACATGGTGGCAAGAGAGAGCAAAAGAGCAAAGGGAGAGAGTCACATACTTATTAAACAACAAGATCTCATGAGAGTTCTATCACAAGAACAACAAGGGGGAAATCTGCCCCCATGATTCAGTCACCCCCAACCAGGTCACTCCCCCAACATGTGAAGATTACAATTCGAGATGAGATTTGGGTGGGGACACAAAGCCAAACCATATCAGGGTCATTTCATCACCTCTGGCTATAGAATTCAAGAGTCATCTTACATCCTTCTCAGGAAGGAGGGCTTAGCCTATATACCCATGGCCAAGCTACTCCAATTCCAGGAAATTTATAAAGCACAGTGTTCAGTATCAGATACACACCACAGACTTAGTGTTGAGTCTGTGCAGCATGACACACAGGGCAACTCTGTTGGTAATTCCCCTGGAAGTCCAAGGTGGCAAATTCTGTAAACTAATTTGTTTCACTCAAGACTCACATTCTCTTCTAGCTTACCTTCCTAATCTGTCATACCTAGAAAGTTAAAAACTACGTTGCCCAGAACTTTTGCTGCTAAGGCTCCACATGTGACATAGGTTTAGCTAAGCAAAGACACTCACATGATATTTGGATACACAAAGAATTTCCAAATCCATTTGGAAATCCATTTTCTAGATCCTTGGATTCCGTGTAACTTGTTTCTGGAACTGAGCCATCTGAGCACAAATCTGTTCCTAAGCCTTCTCAGAAGCTGTTCTTTTCTTGCTCCTGTTTCTTGATGACCCTTCTCCCACTCTACTAAAAAAAAAACACAACCAACGGTAGCTTTCAGACTACTTAGACTTTAGAGTATATGCCTTTCTCTTCAAATGGATAAAGCTTAAACACAATGTCTAATAAAGTTAGTGGAACAATTTCTGATATTAATACATAATTCTGATTTACTTATACCCAAAATCCAAACTCCAGAATTAGATATATGTGTTCACCCACATTTTCTGAAGAAATATCATGCTTTTTATGGTAAGTCTTGCTTCCTAAAATTTTAGCCTTGATTTTAGTAATCTATGCACAAGATTCTTTCCGTAATTTGTAACTTAGTAGTTTTCATAATAGTCTTTGGAAGTGCAAATCTAATTACTAAGATATATTCTTTGAAAATATAAAATTAAGTATTCATCAACAAAATTCTTTTGTATATTTAGTATAATGAAAAATATTGTGATGTATTTCCAATATTTGAATAATTTAATGTTACTAACATTCTGTAGTAAAATTTATTTTTTGGTATACAACTTTTTGCAGCCAGATGTGGTGGCTCACACCTGTAATCCCAGCACTTTGGGAAGCTGAGGCAGGTGGATCACCTAAGGTCAGGAGTTTGAGACCAGCCAGGCCAACATGGTGAAACCCTGTCTCTACTAAAAATTTAAAAATTAACCAGGCATGATGGTGGGCCCCTGTAATCCCAGCTACTCAGGAGGCTGAGGCTGGAGAATCGTTTGAACCTGGGAGGAGGAGGTTGCCATGAGCTGAGATTGCACCATCACATTCCAGCCTGGGCAACAAGAGTGAGCTCCATAAAAAAAAATTAATTAAGAGTTTTGATGGATTGAACTATGGTCCTTTAAAAATAGATATTAAAATTCTAACCTCCAGTACCTCAGAATGTGAGCTTATCTGGATATAGAATTGTTACCGATGTAATTAGTTAAGATGAGGTCATACTGAAGTAGAGTGGGCCCCAATCCAATATGACTGGTGTTCTCATAGGAAGATGGCCATGGGAAGACACAGGGACACAGAGAGAACACCACGTGACAACAAAGGTAGCAATTGGAGTGAGGCCACTGGAATGCCGAATATTGCCAGCAAGCCACCAAAAGCTAGGATAACACAAGGAAGGATTTCCCTACAGCCTTCAGAGGAGGCATGGCCCTGCTCACATCTTGATTTCAGATTTCTAGCCAGTGAGAAAATTAATTTCCGTTGTTTTCAGCCACTGTTTGTGGTATTTTGTTTTCTAATACAGATACATTCCACACAAATTTGATTTCAAATTTGAATTGCACTGTCACTTTCTAGTCAGAGGAGTTGGCATTATAAAAGATTTAAATGTTTTAAAATGTGCCAATCTGTACCTAAGAAAAAATCAAGGTGTTGAAGAAAAAAGACATGATGATTCTCTTAGACACAATAAAAAGCAGCAGTTTGGGGTTTTTATAAAAGAGTCAAGTTCTGGTAGGGAGGTTCCAAGATGGTCAAATAGGAACAGCTCCAGTCTACAGCTCCCAGCATGAGTGATGCAGAAGATGGGTGATTTCTGCATTTCCAACTGAGGTACTGGATTCATCTCACTGGGGCTTGTTGGACAGTGGGTGCAGCTCACAGAGCATGAGCCAAAGCAGGGCAGGACATTGCCTCACCAGGGAAGTGGAAGGGGTCAGGGAATTCCCTTTCCTAGCCAAGGGAAGCTGTGACAGATGGTACCTGGAAAATCGGGACACTCCCACCCTAATATTGCACTTTTCCAATGGTCTTAGCAAATGGCACACCAGGAGATTGAGATTATATCCCATGCATGGTTCAGAGGGTCCCACGCCCACAGAGACTTGCTCACTGCCAGCACAGCAGTCTGAGATCAAACTGCAAGGTGGCAGCAAGGCTGGGGGAGGGGCGTCCACCATTGCTAAGGTTTGAGTAGGTAAACAAAGCAGCTGGGAAGCTTGAACTGGGTGGAGCCCACCGCAGCTCAAGGAGGCCTGCCTGCCTCTGTAGACTCCACCTCTGGGGGCAGGGCATAGCTGAACAAAAGGCAGCAGAAACTTCTGAGACTTAAACGTCCCTGTCTGACAGCTTTGAAGAGAGTAGTGGTTCTCCCAGCATGGAGTTTGAGATCTGAGAATGGACAGACTGCCTCCTCAAGTGGGTCCCTGACCCCCAAGTTGCCCAACTGGGAGGCACCTCCCAGTAGGGGCAGACTGGCATCCCACATACAGCTTGGTGCCCCTCTGAGATGAAGCTTCCAGAGGAAGGATCAGGCAGCAACATTTGCCGTTCTGCAATATTTGCTGTTCTGCAGCCTCTTCTGGTGATACCCAGGCAAACAGGGTCTGGAGTGGACCTCCAGCAAACTCCAACAGACCTGCAGCTGAGGGTCCTGACTGTTAGAAGGAAAACTAACAAATAGAAATGACATTGACACCAAAACCCCATCTGTACAACACCATCATCAAAGACCAAAGGTAGATAAAACCACAAAGACAGGGAAAAACCAGAGCAGAAAAGCTGAAAATTCTAAAAGTCAGAGCGCCTCTTCTCCAAAACAATGCAGCTCCTTGACAGCAACGGAACGAAGCTGGATAGAGAATGACTTTGATGAGTTGAGAGAAGAGGGCTTCAGATGATCGGTAATAACAAACTTCTCCGAGCTAAAGGAGGATGTTCGAACCCATCGCAAAGAGGCTAAACTCCTTGAAAAAAGATCAGATGAAAGGCTAACTAGAATAAACAGCACAGAGAAGATCTTAAATGACCTGATGGAGCAGAAAACCATGGTATGAGAACTACATGATGCATGCACAAGCTACAGTAGCCGATTTGATCAAGTGGAAGAAAGGGTATCAGTGATTGAAGATCAAATGAATGAAATGAAGTGAGAAGAGAAGTTTAGAGAAAAAAGAGTAAAAAGAAACAAGCAAAGCCTCCAAGAAATATGGGACTATGTGAAAAGACCAAATCTACGTCTGACTGGTGTACCTGAAAGTGAAAAGGAGAATGGAACCAAGTTGGAAAACACTCTTCAGGATATTATCCAGGAGAATTTCCCCAACCTAGTAAGGCAGGCCAACATTCAGATTCAGGAAATACAGAGAACACCACAAAGATACTCCTCGAGAAGAGAAACTCTAAGACACATAATTGTCAGATTCATCAAAGTTGAAATGAAGGAAAAAATGTTAAGGGCAGCCAGAGACAAAGGTCTGGTTACCCACAAAGGGAAGCATATCAGACTAACAGTGGATCTCTCAGCAGAAACGCTACAATCCAAAAGAGAGTGGGTGCCAAAGTTCAACATTCTTAAAGAAAAGAATTTTCAACCCAGAATTTCATATCCACCCAAACTAAGCTTCATAAGTGAAGGAGAAATAAAATCCTTTACAAGCCAAGCAAATACTGAGAGATTCTGTCACCACCAGGCCTGCCTTACAAGAGCTCCTGAAGGAAGCACTAAACATGGAAAGGAACAGCCAGTACCAGCCACTGCAAAACACATGCCAAATTGTGAAGACCATCGATGCTAGGAAGAAACTGCATCAACCAACAAGCAAAATAACCAGCTAACATCATAATGACAGGATCAAATTCACACATAACAATATTAACCTTAAATGTAAATGGGATAAATGATCAAATTAAAAGACACAGACTGGCAAATTGGATAAACAGTCAAGACTGATGAGTGTGCTGTATTCAGGAGACCCATCTGGCGTGCAGAGACACATATAGGCTCAAAATAAAGGGATGGAGGAAGATCTACCAAGCAAATGGAAAACCAAAAAAAGCAGGGGTTGCAATGCTAGTCTCTGATAAAACAGACTTTAAACCAACAAAGATCAAAACAGACAAAGAAGGCCATTACATAATGGTAAAAGGATCAATTCAACAAGAAGAGCTAACTATCTAAATATATATGCACCCAATACAGGAGCACCCAGATTCATAAAGCAAGACCTTAGAGACCTACAAAGAGACTTAGATTCCCACACAATAATAATGGAAGACTTTAACGCCCTACTGTCAACATTAGACAGGTCAACAAGACAGAAAGTTAACAGGGATATCCAGGAATTGAACTCAGCTCTACACCAAGCTGACCTAATAGACATCTACAGAACTCTCCACCCCAAATCAACAGAATATACATTCTTCTCAGCACCACATCACACTTATTCTAAAAATTGACCACATAGTTGGAAATAAAGCACTCCTCAGCAAATGTAAAAGAACAGAAATTATAACAAACTGTCTCTCAGACCACAGTGCTATCAAACTAGAATTCAGGATTAAGAAACTCACTCAAAACTGCTCAACTACATGGAAACTGAACAACCTGCTCCTGAACGACTAGTGAGTACACAATGAAATGAAGGCAGAAATAAAGATGTTCTTTGAAATCAACGAGAACAGAGACACAACATACCAGAATCTCTGGGACACATTCAAAGCAGTGTGTAGAGGGAAATTTATAGCACTAAATGCCCACAAGAGAAAGCAGGAAAGATCTAAAATTGGCACTCTAACATCACAATTAAAAGAACTAGAGAGGCAAGAGCAAACACATTCAAAAGCTAGCAGAAGGCAAGAAATAACTAAAATCAGAGCAGAACTGAAGGAGATAGAGACACAAAAAACCCTTCAAAAAATCAATGAATCCAGGAGCTGGTTTTTTGAAAAGATCAACAAAATTGATAGACCGCTAGCAAGACTAACACAGAAGAAAAGATAGAATAATAAAATAGACACAATAAAAAAATGATAAAGGAGATGTCACCACCGATCCCACAGAAATACAAAATACCATCAGAGAATACTATGAACACCTCTACGTAAATAAACCAGAAAATCTAGAAGAAATGGATAAACTCCTGGACACATACACCCTCCCAAGACTAAACCAGGAAGAAGTTGAATCTCTGAATAGACCAATAACAGGCTCTGAAATTGAGGCAATAATTAAAGCCTACCAACCAAAAAAAGTCCAGGACCAGATGGATTCACAGCCGAATTCTATCAGAGCTACAAAGAGGAGCTGGTACCATTCCTTCTGAAACCATTCCAATCAATAGAAAAAGAGGCTGGCATCATTCTGATACCAAGGCCAGGCAGAGACACAACCAAAAAAGAGAATTTTAGACCAATATGCTTGATGAACATTGATGCAAAAATCCTCAATAAAATACTGGCAAACTGAATCCAGCAGCACATCAAAAAGCTTATCCACCATGATCAAGTGGGCTTCATCCCTGGGATGCAAGGCTGGTTCAATATACGCAAATCAATAAATGTAATCCAGCATATAAACAGAGCCAAAGACAAAAACCACATGATTATCTCAATAGATGCAGAAAAAGCCTTTGACAAAATTCAACAACCCTTCGTGCTAAAAACTCTCAATAAATTAGGTATTGATGGGATGTATTTCAAAATAATAAGAGCTATCTATGACAAACACACAGCCAATATCATACTGAATGGGCAAAAACTGGAAGCATTCCCTTTGAAAACTGGCACAAGACAGGGATGCCCTCTCTCACCACTTCTATTAAAAATAGTGTTGGAAGTTCTTGCCAGGGCAATTAGGCAGGAGAAGGAAATAAAGGGTATTCAATTAGGAAAAGAGGAAGTCAAATTGTCCCTGTTTGCAGACGACATGATTGTATATCTAGAAAACCCCATTGTCTCAGCCCAAAATCTCCTTAAGCTGATAAGCAACTTCAGCAAAGTCTCAGGATACAAAATCAATGTACAAAAATCACAAGCATTCTTATACACCAACAACAGTCAAACAGAGAGCCAAATCATGAGTGAACTCCCATTCACAATTGCTTCAGAGAGAATAAAATACCTAGGAATCCAACTTACAAGGGATGTGAAGGACCTCTTCAAGGAGAACTACAAACCACTGCTCAAGGAAATAAAAGAGGATACAAACAAATGGAAGAACATTCCATGCTCATGGGTAGGAAGAATTAATATCGTGAAAATGGCCATACTGCCCAAGGTAATTTACAGATTCAATGCCATCCCCATCAAGCTACCAATGCCTTTCTTCACAGAATTGGAAAAAACTACTTTAAAGTTCGTATGGAATCAAAAAAGAGCCCGCATCACCAAGTCAATCCTAAGCCAAAAGAACAAAGCTGGAGGCATCACACTACCTGACTTCAAACTATACTACAAGGCTACAGTAACCAAAACAGCATGGTACTGGTACCAAAACAGAGATCTAGATCAATGGAACACAACAGAGCCCTCAGAAATAATGCTGCGTATCTACAACTATCTGATCTTTGACAAACCTGAGAAAAACAAGCAATGGGGAAAGAATTCCCTATTTAATAAATGGTGCTGGGAAAACTGGCTAGCCATATGTAGAAAGCTGAAACTGGATCCCTTCCTTACACCTTATACAAAAATCAATTCAAGATGGATTAAAGACTTAAACATTAGACCTAAAACCATAAAAACCCTAGAAGAAAACCTAGGCATTACCATTCAGGACATAGGCATGGTCAAGGACTTCATGTCTAAAACACCAAAAGCAATGGCAACAAAAGACAAAATTGACAAATGGGATCTAATTAAACTAACGAGCTTCTGCACAGCAAAAGAAACTACCATCAGAGTGAACAGGCAACCTATAAAATGGGAGAAAATTTTTGCAACCTACTCATCTGACAAAGGGCTAATATCCAGAATCTACAATGAACTCAAACAAATTTACAAGAAAAAAACAAACAACCCCATCAAAAAGTGGGCAAAGGACATGAACAGACACTTCTCAAAAGAAGATATTTATGCAGCCAAAAAACACATGAAAAAATGCTCATCATCACTGGCCATCAGAGAAATGCAAATCAAAGCCACAATGAGATACCATCTCACACCAGTTAGAATGGCAATCATTAAAAAGTCAGGAAACAACAGGTGCTGGAGAGGATGTGGAGAAATAGGAACACTTTTACACTGTTGGTGGGACTGTAAACTAGTTCAACCATTGTGGAAGTCAGTGTGGCAATTCCTCAGGGATCTAGAACTAGAAATACCATTTGACCCAGCCATCCCATTACTGGGTATATACCCAAAGGACTATAAATCATGCTGCTATAAAGACACATGCACACGTATGTTTATTGTGACATTATTCACAATAGCAAAGACTTGGAACCAACCCAAATGTCCAACAATGATAGACTGGATTAAGAAAATGTGGCACATATACACCATGGAACACTGTGCAGCCATAAAAAATGATGAGTTCATGTCCTTTGCAGGGACATGGATGAAACTGGAAATCATCATTCTCAGTAAACTATCGCAAGAATAAAAAACCAAACACCGCATATTCTCACTCATAGGTGGGAATTGAACAATGAGATCACATGGACACAGGAAGGAGAACATCACACTCTGGGGACTGTTGTGGGGTAGGGGGAGGGGGGAGGGATAGCATTGGGAGATATACCTAATGCTAGATGACGAGTTAGTGGGTGCAGCACACCAGCATAACACATGTATACATATGTAACTAACTTGCACAATGTGCATATGTACCCTAAAACTTAAAATATAATAATAAAAGAAAAAAAAAAGAAAAAATTAAATTCAGTTATTGGGGTTGGCTTAGACAGCCTCATAAAGATTAGCATTGCTAACTAGTTTCACTATTTTCCTACTGAAAAACAAAATTTTACATAAATATGGAAACTATTATAATACCTAGTACACTGTTGATAGGGAAAAAGAGTTTACATGCCAATTGCAATTTTACATTGCCCTTATATACATTCCCTTTTCTGACATTATTGTAGTTTAAATAATGAATGAAATAACCAAATAATAATTGTAATGATGATAATAATGACAACAGCAAACAGTTCTATAGCACTAACCACATGCCAGACATTGTTCTACATGCATTCTCATATTAACCCAAATAAGCCTTCCAACTTGGAGTAAGAACAACATTATCTCCATTTTACAGACGAGGAAACTGTGGCACTGAGAAATTGCTCACCAGGTTATAATAAAGATTGTGGTAGACAAGGTATGCCTTACCAATAGGAAAATCCACAGATGTTTCCAAACATTCCCAGTTAATTGTGTTCATATTATAGAGAAGAAACTGCATGCAAAAAGTACTTCATGATATTATTTTTAAATTTTGAAAACTTTTATTCACATTTATTTGGCTTACACTAGAAATGGGACTAAAGTTCTCTATAAACAAAATAGTTGCCCAGGCCAGCTTTGTGGCTGTGAGAGCAGTATAGTTACACACCCAGCCCTGCTCTTAGACGGTCCCTGTGTTTAAAAGATCCCACGCTGACTTTAATACTCAGTTGTCACCATCTTGAAATACTTAATTTTTTTAACAAAAAACTTTACATTTTCATTTCGCACTAGGCCCCATGAATTCTGTAATTGGTTCTAATTGTTACAATGACTGTGCAAAAATGAAGTTTTATGTCTTTTGCCCAGGCTTTAAAACTTATTTTAGCTTGAGAACATGATTTTATTGATAAACAAGCTTTGGTTGCAAAAAGTAGAGTTTTGACTTTTAGGGAGTATTGGATGTTGCCATTTAAATTGTAAATATTATAAAATCAAGGGAGTTAAACTTGCATCTTTTTAAATTGATATGTGAGGAAGTGGGATCATCTGATCTCCAGCTAGTTGCTGCATTCAGAAATAAGATGGTTGTCATGGGGATGCATAATAGCATGTTTATTTGGATTGAATATGAAGTCAGAGTCAGACTTTTTCTGACAGAAAAGAAGTTGATTTGGCTGACTGGTTTGACAATGAATAGTGGCTTTGCTCATTAAATAAGGTAAACATATGTCTCAGTTTTCCCAAGGCAGTCGAGGTTTGTCTGTTGTCCTGGCATAATTAGTAGCCCACCATCATTAAGTTAAATAGTAGATAATTTCCAAAAATTGAGTTAAATCCCTAGATCTAAGATTTTTCACTCCTCCCCAAAAAAGTACATAATAAATGTATATTATAAAAATATTATATTAGCAAAGGTATATTAAAATTGATATCTAAATTTTGCTAAACCTTCAAACAGTTACCTCTAAAAGGCAGTAGATAAAAATCAAGGGTCATTTAATAAATTTTAATAAGTTTAAGGGTCATTTGCTAAGTCTTGATAAACTGTTATTAACATAATTCCAAAAAAATCAAAACTTGGAAAACATCTTTTTGCAAGTCAGGTGGCTTTTTATTTCTTTGTTTTCAGCAAATGTAGAGAATCTGTCCCTGACAGAACATTATATGTAACTTTTATGGTAGAGAATTTGTGATTTGGGGCATATAACTTGGAAGGATTTCAAAGAATTAAGCAAAGGAACTAGCATAATTGTTCTGATCCCATCTACTTATTCACATGAACAAGATTTCTCAGAAATTACATTTTTTAGAGAGGGGAGGAAAATAAAACTGATGTAGAATGCAACTCATCACTGCTATAAGTAATATCCATGTACAGACATATCAACTACAGTTGACCCTTGAACAGCAGGGGGTTGTACTGTGTAGGTACAATTATAAACAGATTTTCTTCCACCTCTGTCACCCCTGAGACAAGACCAATGCCTCCCCTTCCTCCCCTTCCTCAGTCTATTCAACATGAAGATGGTGAGGATGAAGACCTTTACAATGATCCACCTACTCTTAATAAATAGTAAATATATTTTCTCTTTATTATTGTCTTTTTTTTTCTTTTTTTCTTTTTTTTTTTTTTTTTTTTTTTTTTTTTTTTTTTGAGACAGAATCTTGCTCTGTCACCCAGGCTGAAGTGCAATGGCACGATCTCAGCTCACTGCAACCTCCACCTCCCTGGTTCACGCCATTCTCCTGCCTCAGCCTTCGGAGTAGCTGGGACTACAGGTGCCCACCACCACGCCCTGGCTCATTTTTGTATTTTTAGTAGAGATGGGGTTTCACCGTGTTAGCCAGGATGGTCTCGATCTCTTGACCTCGTGATCCACCTGCCTCAGCCTCCCAAAGTGCTGGGATTACAGGCATGAGCCACCGTGCCCGGCCCTCTTTATTAATTTCTTAATAACATTTTCTTTTCTCTAACTTACTTTATTGTAGGGATACAGTATATAATAAATATAACATACAAAATACATGTTAAGCAATTATTTACATTATTGAAAGCCTTCTGGTCAATAGTAGGCTGTCAATAGTTAAGTTTCTGTGAAGTCAAAAGTTACATGCAAATTTTTGACTGTAGGGGTATGGGGTGGGGACCTAACTCCCACGTTGTTCAAGGTCACCTGTAATTGGAAATGAATAAAACTAGTCAAAGTTTGATGAGGAAAAGATTTGCATAGTCTTAAGGTATCTTCCCACAAATTCCTTGTTAATTACAAAGCGGAAATGTGTAACTTTATAGTGGTGAAACCTAGCAGATACCACATTAGTTAAGTAAGTGATCAAATTTAGTATTGTCAATAACACAACCAGGCAGCTTAACTTCAAAATGCATTTTAAAAACTTTTTTTTTCAAGGTTGCAAGATGCAACCTTGAAGCTTACAGCAGAAACCTTGTTTTTCTTCTCCTTAGTCTTTTTTCAAGGTTGCAAGATGCAACCTTGAAGCTTTCAGCAGAAACCTTGTTTTTCTTCTCCTTAGTCTTAACACACAGCTTTGAACTGTACTTTCTTTAAAACACCAGGTTGCTCCCTTTCTCACCATACACTCTTACACCATGCACATTTATCTAACTGTATGCTTGTATCTAATTATATGCTTACTTAGAAGTTCCAGGGGCTAATCTTGAGACAGACAAAGCCTGGAAATCCAGCTGCAGAATTCCAGCGATTAACTCAAGGCAACTAGTCAACAACATGGCCATTGTTGAGATGATGCCAGCTCACGCTCCAGGTGGACTGAAATCCAACATAGCCATCGAAACAAGACACACAGACCTGAGCTCAGCACAACTCCTGCATGTCTCCCCTGTTAAGTCCCTTCTTTTTGAAACCTTGCCTTCTCCCCAGTAGTTCAAAGTGGTTGCTTTGGTTGGGAATCTGGCCACCTCCCCAGTACTAGTTTTGGTTAATAAAACCACTTTCCTTCTTCCAGACCTCACTCTTGTTAATTGGATTCTGCAAGCAGCAAGCATCCAGACATGCATTCATTTATAATAATGGGACAGATTCAAATTGTGTACCACTGACTAGATGTAATGAGGAGAAAAATGCAACTATTCTGTGATATTACTGCCAAAAAATAACTGACCTGATTCTAATCACAAGGGAGCACCCAACAAACTCCAAAAGAGGAACATTCTCCAAAGCAATTGGCCTGTAATCTGCAGAAGTGCCAATGTCATGAACATTAAGACAATTTGAAGAACTCTTTCAGAATAAAGGGGTCTAAAGAGACATGATAACTAAATGCAATGTGTGATCTATATTGGGTACTTTTGCTTTAAAAAGGACATATTTGGAAGAATTAGTGAATTTGCAGAGGGTCTGGGGATAAGATGGTACTAATATATTGGTGCTGATTTTTTTATTTTGATTGTTGTTATGTACTTGTAAAGGAAAATATCCTTGCTTGTAGAAATTATACATTAAAGTGTTTAACGGTGTCTTAGACACGCAGTGCCATGAGCAGTCTGGGTATCCATTCCTGTTGGAATGGAAATACCACAAACTAGGTAATTTATAAATAATAGAAATGTATTTATCTCAGCTCTAGAGGCTGGGAAGGAAGTACAAGATCAAGGTGGCAGAAGGTTTAGTATCTGGTGAGGGCCCAGTCTCTACCTCCAAGATGGTGCCCCAAACACGGTGTCCTCACATGGCAGCAGAAATGGAAGAGGGAACAGGCCTAGATAATTCTCTTGACCCCTTTTATAAGGTCAGTAATCTCATTCCTGAGGATGGAGCCCTTATGACTTAATCACCTCCTAAAAGCCCAACCCCTTAATACTATCACATGGCAGCTTAGATGCCAACATATGAATTTGGGGGGGACACATACATTCAAACCTTAGCACAGGTAATAGGGTATCACATTGGCAACTTATCCTTAAATGCTTCATAAAACAGAAAGTTCTTTGTATTATTCTTAGGGGAAAAAATAATTACCTTCAATGACTTCCATGTCACTCAGCCAAAGTCTTCTACAGTGGCCTTCAATTCCCTCCATGACTTTCCTCTATTGTCATCTTGTGCCCCATTTCTCTGGATTTTCCCCGTAATCTGCTCTAGTGACACAGATTTTCTTGCTTTTCCTCAAACCCATCAGGCACACTCCCACCTTAAGGCCTTTGCACTAGCTATTCCCCCTGCCTGGAATGTTCTTCCCCAAGAAATCTACCTGGTCAACTCCCTCATCTCCATCAAGTTTTACCCAAATGTCATTGTTTCAGTGGGGCCTACAAGGACCACCTTACTTTTTTTAATTTTACTTTAAGTTCTGGGATACTTGTGCAGAACCTGCAGGTTTGTTACATAGGTATACATGTGCCATGGTGGTTTGCTGCACCTGTCAACCCATCATCTAGGTTTTAAGCCCCACACGCATTAGGTATTTGTCCTAATGCTCTCCCTCCCCTTGCCCCCCACCCCCCGACAGGCCCCAGTGTGTGATATTCCCCTTGCTGTGTCCATGTGTTCTCATTGTTCTGAATGAGAACATGCAGTGTTTGGTTTTCTGTTCCTGTGTTAGTTTGATGAGAATGATGACTTCCAGCTTCATCCATGTCCCTGCAAAGGACATGAACTCATTCTTTTTTATGACTGTATAGTATTCCATGGTGTATATCAGTTACATTTTCTTTATCCAGTCTATCATTGATGAGCATTTGGGTTGGCTCCAAGCCTTTGCTATTGTAAATAGTGCTACAGTAAACATACATGTGCATGTGTCTTTATAGTAGAATGATTTATAATCCTTCAGGTATATACCCAGTAATGGGGTTGCTGGGTCAAATGGTATTTCTGGTTCTAGATCATTGAGGAATCGCCACACTGTCTTCCACAATGGTTGAACTAATTTACAGTCCCACCAATAGTGTAAAAGTGTTTCTATTTCTCCACATCCTCTCCAGCATCTGTTGTTTCCTGACTTTTTAATAATCGCCATTCTAACTGGCATGAGATGGTATCTCATTGTGGTTTTGATGTGCATTTCTCTAATGACCAGCAATGATGAGCTTTTATTCATATGTTTGTTGGTGGCATAAATGACTTCTTTTGAGAAGTGTCTGTTCATATCCTTCGCCCACTTTTTGATGGGGTTGTTTGTTTTTTTCTTGTAAATTTGTTTAAGTTCTTTGTAGATTCTGGATATTAGACCTTTGTCAGATGGGTAGCTTGCAAAAATTTTCTCCCATTCTGTAGGTTGCCTATTTACTCTGATGATAGTTTATTTTGTTGTGCAGAAGATCTTTAGTTTGATTAGATCCCATTTGTCAATTTTGGCTTTTGTTGCAATTGCTTTCGGTATTTTAGTCATGAAGTCTTTGCCCATCCCGATGTCCTGAATGGTATTACCTAGGTTTTCTTCTAGGATTTTTATGGTTTTGAGCTTTACATTTAAGTCTTTAATCCATCTTGAATTATTTTTTGTAAAAGGTATAAGGAAGAGATCCAATTTCAGTTTTCTGCATATGGCTAGCCAGTTTTCCCAGTACTATTTATTAAATAGGGAATCCTTTACCCATTGCTTGTTTTTGTCAGATTTGTCAAAGATCAGATAGTTGTAGATGTGTGGTGTTATTTCTGAGGTCTCTGTTCTCTTTCCCTTGGTCTATATCTCTGTTTTGGTGCCAGTACCATGCTGTTTTGGTTACTGTAGCCTTGTAGTATAATTTGAAGTCAGGTAGCATGATGCCTCCAGCTTTGTTCTTTTTGCATAGGACTGTCTTGGCTATATGGGCTCTTTTTTGGTTCCATATGAAATTTAAAGTAGTTTTTTTCTAATTCTGCGAAGAAAGTCACTGGTAGCCTGATGGGAATAGCATCGAATCTATAAATTACGTTGGGCAGTATGGCCATTTTCACAATATTGATTCTTCCTATCCATGAGCATGGGAAGTTTTTCCATTTGTTTGTGTCCTCTCTTATTTCCTTGAGCAGTGGTTTGTTGTTCTCCTTGAAGAGGTTCTTCACATCTGTTATAAGTTTTATTCCTAGATATTTTATTCTCTTTGTAGCAATTGTGAATGGTAGTTCACTCATGATTTGGCTCTCTGCTTGTCTATTGTTGGGGATCACCTTATTTTAAAAGGAAAAAAAAAGTCAGTCTTCTTTTCACACTCTTCATTCCCAAATCCTGCTCTAGTTGTTTTGTTTTTATTTCTCCAGAGCATTTATCCCCTTTTACAGACCACATAATATAATTTTATATTACGTTTATTATTCATTGTGTTTTTCTTATGCTAGAATATAAGCTTTATGGAAAGAGAGATTTTTGTTTTTTTTGTTTTCTTCGCTGATTTTTCCCAAGTTTCTAGAACAGTATATGGCACATAAATATTCATGGAATAAATCAAAGAGTTTCCAGTTCTGGGTGTAGGATCAAATGTATTTGAAATAATATTTTGTAGTTTTTATTTTTTTATTTCTCAAAATAAAAAATTGGATTTTTAAAAAGGAAGCAAAGAACAGGACTTTCATTTCTGTCAATATAATAGACTGGAAAAATTCAAACTATAGAAGGTTTACAAGTACTGGTAAAAAATAACAAACATAATTTTAAACGCATAGTTAATCTACAAAACGGCAAAGGAAAGCCCCAAGAAACAATAAAAAATGAGCAGGAAAGCCACAGTGAAAGATAATAAGAGCATGGGGTTATCTTACTTGCCCAGGTCTTGGCTTCAGGGGCAAGAGACAAGACCTTGCGTGGAGTGGGAACTGAGACCTAACTGCCTGCATACACAGACACACATACACACACACACACACAAAGCCAAGACCATCAGAGTGCTACATCGTCACTGAAATAGTATGGAAACATAACAGTATAAGTCATGCTTTTTTTAAAATTTAGCCTTGGTTAGAAAAATAAGCCCAAGTAAAAACTAGATGCCTCAATTAACAATTGTTAATGAAGAAACATTTCTAAAAGGGAGGGTGGGATGTTGTTGACTTCTGTGATTTTAAAAAGTCAAGCAATGATAGCCATCACAAAAGTGAAGTAAATATGTACTTCCTACCATAAAAGTTAATATTCCCCCCTCAATCACATGAGATAAATAGAGTAAGTTTCTATTCCTTAAAACCAACGGAGCCCAGAAATAGAGGAAATATTCAAAAAAACAAAACAAAAATCTGCATTGATAGGGTTTATCAAAGGGATAAGCCAACAAAAAGATCTCCCACTGTCCAAAACTAAGTGATGAAATAAAGTACTATTTAATTATAATCCAACATATAAGATAAATATCCATGGTCAGTATTGATATAAATATATGATTGAATAAACAAATGGAGAGAAGAGACAAATATCCAGTACAGAGCTCCAAATAATTTATGTACACACTTAATCTCCAAGGAGGGTCAGTTAGCAAGGAGGGGAAACTCTCACTCCTTAGGTGTGAGCTGCACACATGGACATTCTTCCAAGAAGTGCAGAAGTAAGGAAAAGAGGGGCGGGAAGAGGAACTTTAGAGTAGAGAGACCTGACAAATATCATCCAAACCAGGTGGTCAGGGTCAACATCAACAGTCACAAACCATGCTGATAGGTTGTTCTTTTGATTTCATGTGATGAAAATGGCACTTTACCTCTGTATCTTCCTACTAGAAACCCTTACCCAAGTCTAATCATAAGAAAAACATAAGGTAAATCCCAATAGGAGGACGTCCTACAACCTACCTGACCGGTATTCTTTAAAACCACCAAGGTTGGTTGGGCGCCGTGGCTCACGCCTGTAATCCCAACACTTTGGGAGGCCGAGGCGCACAGATCTCGAGGTCAGGAGTTTGAGACCAGCCTGGCCAATATGATGAAACCCCATCTCTACTAAAAATTAGCTGGGCATGGTGGCGTGCGCCTATAGTCCCAGCTCTTTGGGAGGCTGAAGCAAAAGAATCGCTTGAATCCGGGAGGCAGAAGTTGCAGTGAGCTGAGATTGTGCCACTGCACTCCAGCCTGGGTGACAGGCTTTCTCGGGAAAGCCTGAGAAACAGTCACAGCCAAGAGAGACTTAAGGAAACTTGACAACTACATGTAATGTGGTATGCTGAATGTCATTCTGGAACAGAAAAGGGATACTAAGTAAAAACTAAGGAAATCTTAATAAACTACAGACTTTAATTCATAACATTGTATCAGTTTTGATTCACTCACTGTAACAAATGTACCATACTAAAGTAAAATGTTCAGGAGAGGTGAAATTGTCAGAAGGAGGGGCTGAGGGGGTATGTGGGAAATCTCTGTACTAAGTTCTCAATTTTTGTGTAAATCTAAAACTGTTCTAAAACATAAAATCTATTATAAAAATAGTGTGAATAAAAATAAATGGAGCTTAACAATCAATATCATTATTTTATTACATTTATTGAACTGGGAAAAATTTTACCTTGAGATTCAACGATAATTTATGGGAGCATGTTAAATGATGTCATGGAGATCCAATCAGTAAAATGACCCAGTTTTCTCCATAAATTTCAAGGAAAATAAGTGACAAATGGGGAGTAAATTAAAGGTGATTTAGGAGACATATAAACCTATGAAATGTGAGGACCTTTTTTGGACCCTGATTTAGAGAAGTAAAATTCCCTGTCTCACTTTACTCAGTGTCTCACTTGTGCTTCCTGGGTTCTCAGGCCAAATAAACTGTCTGGCGGGGCACAGTGGCTCATGCCTGTAATCTCAGCACTTTCCGAGGTGGAGGCGGGCGGATCACCTGAGGTCAGGAGTTCGAGACCAGCCTGACCAATATGATGAAACCCCATCTCTACTAAAAATACAAAAATTAGCTGGGAGTGGTGGCTTGCACCTGTAATCCCAGCTACTCAGGAGGCTGAAACAGGAGAATTGCTTGAACCTGGGAGGCAGAGGTTGCAGTGAGCCAAGATCGCACCATTGCACTCCAGCCTGGGCAACAAGAGTGAAACTCCATCTCAAAATAAATAAATAAATAAATAATAAAATAAATTAAAATAAACTGTCTGTACCCAAGCCCATGTCTCAGGGCCTACTTTTGTAGAAACTCAAAGAAGGACATTCATCATTAAGAAATTGGTTAAATAAATTATGGCATAACATATAATAACTTACTATACAGTAATTTTAAATAGTGAATTAGATCTACATGTGTTGACATGGAAAGATCTCAAGACACTTTCTAAAACGATTCTTTTCTATAAATGAATTAAAATAATACATGCATATGCACTAGTATGTAAATAATCATTTTTCTAGAAGTTTACTTCGAAAATTAACAGTGATTACTTCTGAGCAGTGGAAATTCTCTACACCAAATGTATTGTGCTGGCAAGCTGGCTCACTGATTTAAAAAAAAGAAAAGGTCCTGATTTATAGCATTTACTGATTTCCATGGTGTAAGTGCTCTATACCACTATGTCTAATTTCAACCCACAGATGATTTAACAGGCTCCTAATAATTACTGAATAACAATTCATTCTTGTGAGCCCATATGGGTCACCTTCAATACACTACTGGGTGAAAATGTGCATTAATATTATAATTTCGTATGCTAGTTGAGTTTATTTGAATTATACTTTTAAATAGATTATACTTAAAAATAAAAGAAGAAAACTGTTGAACACATGCTAAGATTTCCATTTCTAGTTCTTGGTTACACATAGCCTTGGAAATAAGCCCAGGCCCATATTCCCCGGCCACAAAGGAAATCAGTTAGCAGAGATTAAGATAAAGAAAATGTGCCTTACTATTCTCTTCCTTTCTGAGCTTTCGTTAGAACCCATGTCTATGAACCAAAATAAAAGGAGAAGAAGAAAGGTCATCATGCAAGGGAGGTTCTTATGGGTATTTCCTTGTGCTCTTCAGTTTATTAAGAAGGTGAGATCATAAACAGGAAGAGAAATGAAGAGCACTGGGAGAGGTAGACAGGGACATTACAATTTATACGTGCATTTTTGTGACCCCAATCATTTTTGAAAACTATCTCAGAGCCATTTTCTTTTAAAATGGCTACTACTGCCAGATAATAAATCAGGTAATTCTTGAATTTGCCCTAACCCTCTTATAATCATCAAAAGCCTGTCTTCCTCCTGATTACAAAAAGATTCAGTAGGAAAGAGCATTTAATTAGAAATCAAGAAACCTGCATTATCATCCTCACACAGGTACTGTTTTGCTGCAAAAGCCTCAGCAAGTCACTTAACCTCTCTGAGCCTCTGTTGTCTTCTATAAAACAAGAGCTTTCAATTATAAGGTTTCTGAGGACTTCTTTGGTTTTAAAAATCCTATAATTTTCTTATTTCTACTGGTCAAACCCTCTTAATGAAGCTCATTCCTCTCAAGAACTTGCTTAGATCCCCTGAAGTGTTCCTGGATAGAAAGAGAGCAGACAGAGCCAGCGCCTCCGTGTAGACAGCACTGCTATAGTGCCAGGACCTGAGACAAATAGGAGGGGCATCCCCAGGAGGCAACATGGGGACCTTGCTCTGGACCCCAGTGCCACATCTGGGGTTTGGGAAATACTTCATCAGCACCCACCAGCCCAGGACACTAGGACTGAAGGCCCCACCACATGGATAGTGTTAATTCTTCTGTGACAACACAATGCCTCTCCTGCTAGTATCTACATTATCTCCTTTCATAAACTAGTTCTTCATGAAGTCCCCACTGAAGGAGTGCTGTTTCTAAGATCATCTTTGCCTCTGTCTCTTCAAATTATTTTTTTTTTGAGACGAACTCTCGCTCTGTCACCCAGGCTGGGGTGCAGTGGCGTGATCTCAGCTCACCGCAACCTTCGCCTCCTGGGTTCAAGCCATTCTCCTGCCTCAGCCTCCTGAGTAGCTGGGATTACAGGTGCCTGCTACCACATTTGGCTAATTTTTGTATTTTAGTAGAGACGGGGTTTTGCCATGTTGGCAAGGCTGGTCTTAAACTCCTGACCTCAAGCAATCCACCTGCCTCAGCCTCCCAAAGTTCTGGGATTACAGGCGTGAGCCACTGCGCCTGGCCCAACTATTCTTTCTTCAGGATCTTCCTCCCTGGGGGGCTTTCATTCATCAGAAATCAACAATACCTGAGCTTGGCTCTGAGTCGCATAGATATAAAATAGGAATATGGAAGCCTTGTGACTCTTGACATGGGGAGAGAGAGAGAAAGAATATCTAAAGGGGATGCCATTATTACTGTGGTTCCTGGTGGCAAAGGAGAACAAACTCCAGCTCACGGTGAGATCGGAGAAGATTCCGACACTGGGAAAGGCCAACAGCAGCTTCTTCAATTGTAGTTTAAAGTCTCTTAAGTCTTAGTTACTCTTTACAAAGATGAAAGCCATTCTCCTGTGGTTTGTGGGAGAAACAGAACAGTGAAAGTAATTTTCTCTAAGAGCAGGGGCCTCACTCTGTCACTAGGATTGTTAAGGAGCATAAATCCCTAGCAATAATTGCAAAGATCTTTATGTCACTTTTCAGAGCATAAATGTCTTTCAGCACATTATCTAATCTGATTTCACAACAAGCTGTGAGTTATTGGTGTCATAGGAAAGACTGGAGAGGGGAACAGGAGACCTGGATGCAGGCCTGGATTTAATCACTTATCAGCTGGTGACTTACTTGAGCTACTTGTCCTCAGGCCATGCTTTACCTTCATTTTACAGATGAGGAAACTGAAGCTCAAGGGGCTAAGTGACTTGTTCTTACCCACAGGTGACAATATGGGACAGACTGGAAAGAATGAAGACTGAAGCAAGAGCTTCTTTATTATAGAGTACGACATGAAAATAAAAATGATAAAAATAATACACAAAGGCTGCAATAGGCAAAGTGGGCAGAAAGTAGGACTACAGAGGTTAAGGAGATGTGAAGTCCATCACTGAAAAATTAGCACAGGTTATTTATCAGAGAAATGATAGCTGTGTGAATGCCAATCCAAGCAGAATCCATAAAGAGCAGAATAGGGGGTGACTGTGCCTCACCTATGTGACTTCCTCTGAGCCCCAAGTATGACGAATTGCCTTGAGGCTGCCAAAGAGTCACAGGCCCCCACCTGCCAGTCACAGCCAGTCATCAAGAGTCTTATAAAGGGGGTCATTGAGTTACATCCTATGGTTCCTCTGGTACCTCAACTAGTTAAGAAGGGCAGAGGCCTAGAAGTGCAGAGTCCAGGAACCTAAGAATGCCTTGTTTCACATAATATCATTTCATTTTTATACTAAATCTACTCTTAAAGGTTTTAAGTCATGCCTCTTAGTTGTGATGAAAGAAGAAAAGGTGATTTTTATGCCCAGGTATCAGCTGCCTATCTAAAGATTTCAAGCACACTCTTCTCAAGCTTGTTTTTTGCATCCTGAATAGTCCTTGCTGTGGTAACCATTTACCTGAAAACTTGTCCTTCGATAGGACCCTTCCCTCTGTTCCACCATGCTAACACCAGGGAATGGGCTAAAAGGATAAGGAGGCGCTGAACCCAGAGTCACCATGGCCATGTCCAAAGACTCTGACAGCAGCTGGGATGGAAGATGAGGTGGAGGTGGGAATAAGCTGGAACACTACTTTGCACCCTCAGGGGGCACCATTTACACCATATTCCTGTACTGGGCAGCCCTCGTGTGAGCCCATCTTTCTACTTCCTGCTTTCCAGTTGCTATCTCCCTACCTTGAGTTTTATTCTTTTGATTTTTTAGAGGCAAAATTGCAAGGTAAGGAAAATATATTAATGTGCAAATTTTTTTCAAATATAGTCTTTTGGGAAGTGTAGTGGGTGAGACTCAGATTTACACTAAGGAATGGCAACGTTTGCCATTGAAGACCCTATCCCAGCCTCCATGATGCACAAGTAATCATCATGACATGATTTGGTGCTGACTCAGGGAAGGAAGAACCATTGATCCTAACATCTCTCTGCATCACCTGAGTATTGATTCCTGTGTACAACTTGCATTGTACTGGGTTAGTCTCTCCCCATTAACATTTACAGAATGTGATTTATGTACCTCAGAGAGTCTGATCCATCTTACTTTATATGACTAAGTCAAAAGAAAAGTTCAGAGGCTATTCTTAGCATTTAAAAAAGTAAAAGACAGCTGTTCCACATATGCACCATCCCAGTCAAATGACAATATACAGAGTACACATAGACTGAGGGGATGATAAGCACACGCATAGTCAGGGTGAGCTCAGTAGAATGGTGAGGGGTTGCGCCAGTAAGAATTGCATTCACCTGGCCAGGCGCGGTGGCTCACGCCTGTAATCCCAGCACTTTGGGAGGCCAAGGCAGGTGGATCACCTGAGGTCAGGAGTTCAAGACCAGCCTGACCAACATGGAGAAAGCCTGTCTCTACTAAAAATACAAAATTAGTCGCGTGTGGTGGCGCATGCCTGTAATCCCAGCTACTCAGGAGGCTGAGGCAGGAGAATCGCTTGAACCCAGGAGGCGGAGGTTGCAGTGAGCCGAGATCATGCCATTGTACTCCAGCCTGGGCAACAAGGGTGAAACTCCATCTCAAAAAAAAAAAAAAAAAAACAAAAAACAAAAGAAAACAGAATTGCATTCACCTGTAGTGTCAGAGATCCAAATACAGTGGCTTAAGCAGAACTAGGGGGGCTCATCTTCTTCCATAAAAGAAGTCAAGATAGAAGGCCCAGGAAGTGGTTTTGTTGCCCCATAAAGTTATCAAGATCTCAGATCCCCTCCAACTTATGGACCAACCATTCTTATTAAGTGGCTTCCATTCTCAAAGTCACAAGATGAATGATGAAATCTCACCAACCTAACTGTTTTCAAAACTAAAGGGGCCAGTAGGGGAGGGAAAATGGAAAGACTAAGGTCAAAAGATTAGACCCCAGAATTTTGTCTCACTTCAAGGAACACCCTCAGAAATCCCACCCAAACCCGTCTGTTTAAATCTCATTAGCTAGAACTTAATCATATAACAAAATGTTATAAGAATGCAAGGGAGGCTAGGAAATGTTGTCTCTTAGCTGTGCATAAAGTACAACCAGGGTTTATTTCTAGGAAGAATAGAAAAACAGATATTGAGTGGCCAAAGAGTGGGTGATGTCATAGCATTGTATAATCTGTGTGAAGTCAATGCAGTGGGCCATGTGATCTCAGCTGAGCTCAGTGCAAAGTGGATATGAAATCACTAAGATGGTGAAGGGTGTGAGCTTAGCAGAAGAGAAATGTACAGAGCCAACTGTGAGAGTGACAATGTGGTGTGTGATGTATAACCTATGGGGGCTCAATGGGAAGGTGAGGCTGTGCACAGTCAGTCTGGGTTCCTGGGATCATTCAAGTGTAAAGCAGAGTCATGCAGGGTCAATGAGATCGTGAAAAGTGTGCACAACCAGTATGGTCTGAATGAGTCGGTGAGGGGTGTGCACAGCTGGTGTGAATTCAGAGGGCAAATTAGGTCTGCTTGGCCTGTAGAAATGCACGTTCATTAAAGCCTTTATTTCTCTTGCAGCTCTTTGAGAGCATCCTTTCATAATAACTACTCAGTAAGATCAGGGAAACTTGGAAATATCCTGTGGTCATATAGAGAGGCCATGCCCACCCCTCCATCTAGATAAGTGGTTTGTAATTAGGGCCTGCCTTCATGGGGCAGATGATACAGGTACAGATACAAGTATAGGTGGTTCCTCTTGTCAGTTCCAACCAGGCGCCACTTTGCTGCTGTCCTTCTATGGCCAAGTTTCCTCCGGTTAGCAGGCTTCATACATCACAACAGGCAGGTTTATACACCTTAACCCAAAGCCAGTACTGCTAACAAATTACCTTGACATGTTGATTGCTTGCCTTAACTCACCCTGGAGGCCTCCAGAGGCCTTCTTCACATCACCACAAACACTTCCAATTAGTGCATTGGTTTATCAGGAACTCTTTTCTTGGTGCTCTATTCTGCTCTCCATGACCTTGGTTGCCTGAGTGATACATCCTTTAATTTGTTCCTACATCTTGCTTGGATTTTCCCCTGCTCATCTCTGTCTCTGCTTATACAGGATGTGTTTTATTGCCACACAGACTTAGCTGGTAGCCTCTGTGGCATCATCCAACACTGATGTCCCTCAGTCAACTCTAGAACACCCATAGGTGGCCTCTGTAAGAGACGTTTCCAGGAACAGAATGCCAAACATACTGTTTATCAGAGTTCTTGAGTTGCACAATGGGAGGAAATTGTTGCTTAGGATTTCAAAGGACACCAGAGAATTTCAACACACACCTGGAATGGTGCCCTGTTGCTTGTCCAGTCAATGCCAAGTTAATGATGGGAAGGAATAGCTGGTGTGTCACGTGATTGCCAAGCACTGTCGCAAATCCTTCCTGAGGTCAACACTCCCAACCCCGCCAAACTCTACAGCTCACAAATCAGCTGCAAGTGGAGCATAAAAAATGCAACATTGTGGAATTAACTACTTATGGGCCACACCTGAAATTGCCTGATTTTGGTTAAAGAAGTGGTTACAACACGCCCTTAAAATCATCATGAGCTTCTAAGAGATGACAATGACTCATAGATTTATCTGTCATGATCAGTTAAAATTCTAGACATAAACTCAACCTGAATTCTTAAGATCAATGGTTCGAAAGAACTGACATTTGAGAATCCATCCCATTTTACTTTGTAGATGCATTGATACATTTGTGGAAAATGACAAGAAATTAATCTTGAGCTCCTTTGCCCAAGAGGTTACCCATAGTTGTATACTCTCAACATACCTGCAAGACAACATGCCAGAGCTATGCCAGGATCTGATATTATTGAGTCTGGTTTTCCCAAATGAAGATCTTGATTTGGATTAGTTATCTTGAATGTGGAAATTCTCCTTCCTTTAATAATATCCTATTGAAGTAAGTTAGGATTTCACACAGGTAAAGTTACTACAGCTTTAGTAACTTTACCTACCACAATTTTAGTAACTTTACCTGTGTGAAAAACTGACTTTTGTTCACTTTTGGAATAAAGAAGGAGCAGCAGAAATTATTACCCATGAATCCTATATAAAAGATCCTGTGTCACAGAAATGTGTCTGGTCTTCTTCGGAAAGGTAGACCGACCCCAATTTCAGGACACCGCAGGAATTCAATATAAATTTGAAACTCTATGTTACAATTTACAGAGGTGTAGCTAACTCAACAACTGGAAAGAATAACAATTACTGCCTCTTGTTTACAAAATTTTTTTCTGTTCAAGACTTCTTCGAACTCTTATTACATAAAGTCAACTCCATGATCAGAAAGGCCATGAGAATTGTGCCAAATGCTAGATGAAGATGTGACTTTCTCAACCCCTTCACCAGTCCTCTTGTTTACCTGGTTGCCCAATGAGATCGAGTCTCTCTATTGGATCAAGACTGGTGTTGACAAAGAGTCCCAGAGCCAAGGTGGGAAGCCAGGTAGAAAAATACAACAAGTCTAAGAATTACAGGCAGGACTGGGAACGGGAAAAGTCAAAAAGGCTCCGAGCCAAATGAGAAGTCAGAAATCACATGCATATCAGGAGTCCAGGTTAAGTGTGTAGGTTAAAAATCAAGCCAGCAGTTAGAAACCAGGAAACCCACAGGCACCAGGGAGCAATGCAAGTCCAAGGGTCAGAAAACAAATAAAAGGCCAAGACAGCCAATTAAAAAGCACCATCATGATGAACTTCACGAAAGTCCCTGCTGTTTCAGGGAAGAAGGCTCTTCCTTCATTTCTGTGGGAGATGTGACCATGCGAGGTTGTGCAGGTAGAAGCCGGGGATCCATGTTAAAAGAGTGGAGTCAAATGAGAGAGGCGCTGTGTCTGGAATCATGCTGAAAGACGCATCATGATACCTCTACACAGTGCAGTAATTAGCCACCTATGTCACATCAGGATTTCAGGGCTCACTGGCCAAGAACAGCCACATCCCTGTCAGTACCATTTTTCCACCTCCTGGCACCCTTTCCCTTCTGGTTCCCAAACCCAAAAAAATTCATACTGCCCAACGGTGATCCAAATCCTTCCTGGGAGGCACAGTGCTCAGACTTTCCCATTTCCTAAAGCCTTCCAAGTGAAACAAAGAAAAAAATAATGCTTTTTTTTTTCAATTTGGACAGCATATCACAGATGCTAAGAGGAAGCAAGTGTATCAAACTCTGAATTTAAATGATAAATATCCTTAGCTATTGTAAAGGTATTTGAATTTGAAGGAAAGAACTAATTAATACAAAAGTGCCTCTAGAACTCTGCGCCGGCGTGTTGGAGGAATAAGGGTTAAAAACAAAACATCTCTCTTTAAAAAAAAAAATTACTTAAGCATACAACTTGAATTATAGTTGTAAAAAAAATGTTGGTTTTCCTTCATGTTGAAACGTACTTATTAATCAAGACTTCTAAAGACTCTGTTTAAAGGTGATAACTGATTCATCTCCCTTATCTCCCTTTTTAATCAGGTGTAGTTCTAGGAATAAATGCAGACAATTTGAATTTTAATGACTTCCAACAAGTGATATTTGACCACATAAAAAATTCAAATATTTCTGTTTTCTAGGACAAAAGATAAATTATTGCAGAGGCCACGCTGCACAACAAAAACAGCACGGGCTCAAAATTGTCTTGGCAAGTCCCTCCTCATCACCGGTCCCAGTATCCTCACAGAGATAAAAATACAGACTTTGCAGGGCCAGGCGCGGTGGCTCATGCCTGTAATCCCAGCACTTTGGGAAGCCAAGGCGGGCAGATCACTTGACGTCAGGAATTCGAAACCAGCCTGGCCAACATGGTGAAACCCCATCTCTACTAAAAGTACAAAAAAAAAAAATTAGCTGGGCATGGTGGGGGGCGCCTGTAATCTCAGCTACTTGGGAGGCTGAGGCAGGAGAATAGCTTGAACCCAGGAGATGGAGGTTACAGTGAGCCAAGATCATGCCACTGCACTCCAGTGAGACTCTGTCTGTCTCTCTCTCTCTCTCTATATATATATATACACACATTGTACATATACATATACTATATATATTATACATTGTATATATTGTATATATGTATACAATGTATATATGTATATATACATATATATGTATATGTATGTATATATTGTGTATATATACAATGTATATATATGTGTATATGTATACAATGTGTATATATGTATACAGTATATGTATATATACATTGTATATATTGTATATATGTATACAATGTATATATTATACAATGTATATATATACACATTGAGAGAGAGAGACTTTGCAGAGTTCTTGCGAAGATGAAAAATTATGCATGATAAGTATCTAGCACACTGTAGCACATCATAGGTGTTCAATGAATAGTAGCAACTGTTACTTTTATTCCACTTACCTAACAAATGCCCAATCACTTTATGTTGTAAACACACTTCTATCTAATCAAAAGAGAGAGTAAAGCAGGAAGAGCATCTAGGTGCAGTGGCAGAAATTCCAGTGTAAGAGTAGAAAACTGGGTAATGATCCCATTTTCATCGCCAGTTAGTTGTGTGTCTTTGCAAGTCACCTAACTTCACTCAACCTCAGCTTCCTCATTTGAAAAAAAAATGAAAGATTTGAACATATAACTTTAGTCACTCCCAGATGTGAGGGTCTCTGCCACTGATTACCTTCCCTAGCAGAGAGAAGACTGGTAAAAGATTGTCCCTGTGTGGGGACAGCCTATCCCTAGATGATCAGATGTTTGCCCAACGCAGCTCTGAACTCACCCTTACACCTACAGTTCCCAATCCTGCCTCTCATCTTTGGACCTTGCTCAAGAGCACAAATGAATTTCTACTCCTAAGACCAGACATAAACACTAATCACTAATACATGCTCATCCAAAGATCTAGGATAATTTGCTTTAGTTACCTGTGCCTCAGTTTTCTCCTCCGTAAAAGTAGGAGAGCAATATTCACCTCAATGAATTTTTATGAAGATTAGATAAGACATGTTTGTGAAAGTAAGTTATCGCCTGTACAGCATTGTACAACACTAACATAGCAACTATGATTATTGTTGATTTACACTGTTGGAAACACTCTATGGAAAACAGAAGAGAAGTTGCATTGAGTCGGGACACCATGGTTCATCCGTCTGAGCTCCTGCCTTCTGTGGGTTTTCTAAGCATAGAAGAATCAGGCAGAATGGCATTGAATTCTGCTGTAATCAGATATTGATTTTCTTCCTAACTGAGAAAGGAGGATTATTTAAACTTTCATTTATAGGAAACTGGCAGGAACCTGTTTAAATGGCCCAAGTAAGTTTTCACCTCTTTAGCAATATCCTACCCATGTGATCAGAGGTTTCCCTATTTCAAGAGGTAATTGCAGAATTTCAGGAAAGCCACCTATTACTAATTGTAACAAATCCATCAATCTCTACAAAGAACAACAGACCTGTCCCTCCAGAGCCCCACTCTTAGGCTTTGCTGGGCTTACTGCTCCATGGATCACCAGGCTCCTGTGGTCACAAGGAGGCTGTAAGAAATGCAAGGCCATCTAAGAGGAAGTTGAGCATGCTGCTGTGTTCCTCAGGGATGTCCTGAAATGCCCCCTGTTTGCAGTGTTGTGAAATGTTGTAGATTCTCTTCCAGAATTTTCTCCTCCATACCAAAGTCTAAAAACTATTTGTTGATAAAGGTTTTAGGCAATTACTTCAGAACATAGCTCCATGTGTTGGGTTTTCTGAGCAGTCAGCTATGTAGAAGCTTCAGTTAGCATTCTTTCTCTCTCTCTCTCTCTCTATCTCTCTCTCTCTCTCTCTCTCTCATCCTTCCCATCCACATTTGCAGGTAGCATGCCCTTGGCAGCGTTGATCCCATAAACAGAATAGTAAGCAACTACTTGCCTGGTGTAATTTGAGATGTGGCACAATCCCCCTGCTCAAAATATCATCCCCACCAAATGCCACAGGGCCTAAAATTCCCAGTATTCAACTCACGGCAGCTAATCTTCTCTTGCTTCACCCCATCATCTCTCCTAATACCTGCACGTGTGAAGCATGTCCATCCTTCCGGGCCTAACTCAACATCACTTTTTCCTGAAGCTTTTGTGATTGCCCAGTTGGAAGTGATCTCTCATTCCTCTGAACATTCAAAAAGCTTCACTTGTGCCGCTTTTATGTTACATATTACTTTATATTTAAACACATGTACTATGTCCCACCAGGCATAATCTGGAGATTCAATTCCTCTGCTGACTCTTATTTATCTTTGTACCACCATCCCATCCTCAAGTAACCAGACCCAGAGCTGACAGTTAATAAAGAATCAGTATCTGACCAATGGGTGCTATATGGGTGAATGAGGAGTAAGACACAGCTTCTCCTGGGCTGAGATTTTGCTGCTCACTAGCTGTGTATACTTCAGCAGTCACTTCAGTTTTCAGAGCCTTATTGTCTTCCTATAAAATAAGGTCATTGAAGAGTTATAAAATTCCAGAGCTCTCTCAGCCATCATTGCTAATCTACTGGATGATCTTACAGCTCACACTGGTTCAGCAAAAGCCCAATATTATTTGCATTCACTTTTGGAAATGGCTTGACAAAATATATACTGTATTAAGGTCTTTAAAAAGGAAAAAGGTAAATTTTTAAAAAACAGTAAGATAAGGCCAAATAAAAAGCAAACACACAGAAATAAATTATTGATGGTCCTATTTACTTACGAAGTAGGACATAAATTTAGCTTTGAGCTTCATAGCAACCAAAGCAAAAATGTATTAAAGTAAAAGTCTATTGATTGCTCAAGAAAATACAGATTTTCCTGTTACTAAATTCAAAAGAAATTGATGTAGTAAACTTTGTACTCAAAAATCCCAACAATGAATATGCCAGAAAGTTTCATAGAACTATTTCCTGCAGTATTCTTTTACAAGAGTGTTCCAGTTATCTATCGCTGCACAACACCAAAATAGTGGCTTAAAGTGACAGCATTGTATATTATTATCTTACTGGGGATAGAGGGGCTAAGCTAAGCAATTCTCACTTACAGTCTCTTACAGAAATGTAGTCACAAAGTGACTGGGTCCGAAGTAACCTGGAGCCTAAGTTAGGAAGATTCAAACAGCTGGAGGCTAGAACAGTTGGTCCTCTTCAGATACCTCTCGAGGTCCCTCCATGTGACTCCAGCATGGCAGTGTTAGAGCAGCTAGAACTCTTACATGAAAGCTCAAGTGCTGAGAGGGAGACAACCAAGCCAACTTTAGCACCTTTTATGAGCTAGCCTCAAAAATCACATAGTATCACTTCTAACACATCCTATTTGCTAGAATCAAGCCACGAAGACCAACCTATATCCAAGGGAAGGGTATTTTAGTCTCCATCTTTTGATGCGGGAGTGAGATCCAAGAAAGTGAGAATATGTTTTAAAACCATGATTAAGGAAAAAATAGAAATTTGCTATTCAATAAATGCTATTCTTTGGAAAGCCAAAGAAGAAATACTTCAGCTTGATTCAGGGATAAAATTTAGAATTACAGAGTTGTGCTGTTCAATATGGAAGCCACTGGCGTGAGTGGCTATTTAAACTTCATTAAAATTAAATAAAACATTTTCAGTACCATTATTTTGTTTTAACAGCCACATTTCAAATGCTCAATAGCCACACATGGCTAGTGACTATTAACGACGGACACACAATTACAGAACATTTCCATCAATGCAGAAAGTTCTATCGAGCAACAGTTACCTAGGATAATGAAAGAACAATATATCCTTAATAGAGGCTGAGGTGTAGGGAGCATTACTTGAGCCCACAAATTCAAGGTTACAGTGAGCTACGATCATGTCACTGCACTCCAACCTGGTGACGGAGCAAGACCTTGTCTCTAAAAAGAAAAAAAAACTATATATTCAGCTGTCAATTAGAACTGCTAAGTCTTCTAATTAAGCTTTTGGTAGGAATTGGGCAAAAGAGATGTCCAAACTGTAACATTTGACAAGACTATGAACTGCATAAAATCTGTGTTGCTAAAAAAAGATAGTCCATATGCCTTAAAAATCAACCAAGTAGGAGGTAGATTCACTTCCCTTAAATAAGACGAAGGTAGGCCTGGGTGGTTGCTGTCAAAATGGGCAAGTTCATAAAACCTGGGAAAGTAGTGTTGGTCCAGGCCAGACACTACACCGGATGCTACTCTGGATGCAAAACCATCATCGTGAAGAACATTGATGATGGCACCTTAGAATGCCCCGTCAGCTGTTCTCTGGTGGCTGGAATTGACTGTTATCCTTGCAAGGTGACAGCTGCCATGGGCAAGAAGAGCACCCAGAGGTCAAAGACCAAGTCTTTTGTGAAAGTTTATAACTACAATCATCTCATGCCCACAAGGCACTCTGTGGATACCCCCTTGGACAAAACTGTCATCAACAAGGATGTCTTCAGAGACCCTGCTCTTAAACACAAGGCCCAAAGGAAGGCCAAAGTCAAAATCAAAGAGAGGTAAAACCTGGGCAAGAACAAGTGGCTCTTCCAAAAGCTGTGGTTTTAGATGTTTTGTTTTGGTCATTAAAAATTTAAAAAATAAGTCAGGTAGTGTGATGCCTCCAGCTTTGTTCTTTTGGCTTAGGATTGACTTGGCAATGCAGGCTCTTTTTTGGTTCCATATGAACTTTAAAGTAGTTTTTTCCAATTCTGTGAAGAAAGGCATTGGTAGCTTGATGGGGATGGCATTGAATCTGTAAATTACCTTGGGCAGTATGGCCATTTTCACGATATTGATTCTTCCTACCCATGAGCATGGAATGTTCTTCCATTTGTTTGTATCCTCTTTTATCTCCTTGAGCAGTGGTTTGTAGTTCTCCTTGAAGAGGTCCTTCACATCCCTTGTAAGTTGGATTCCTAGGTATTTTATTCTCTCTGAAGCAATTGTGAATGGGAGTTCACTCATGATTTGGCTCTCTGTTTGTCTGTTGTTGGTGTATAAGAATGCTTGTGATTTTTGTACATTGATTTTGTATCCTGAGACTTTGCTGAAGTTGCTTATCAGCTTAAGGAGATTTTGGGCTGAGACAATGGGGTTTTCTAGATATACAATCATGTCGTCTGCAAACAGGGACAATTTGACTTCCTCTTTTCCTAATTGAATACCCTTTATTTCCTTCTCCTGCCTAATTGCCCTGGCCAGAACTTCCAACACTATGTTGAATAGGAGTGGTGAGAGAGGGCATCCCTGTCTTGTGCCAGTTTTCAAAGGGAATGCTTCCGGTTTTTGCCCATTCAGTATGATATTGGCTGTGTGTTTGTCATAGATAGCTCTTATTATTTTGAAATACGTCCCATCAATACCTAATTTATTGAGAGTTTTTAGCATGAAGGGTTGTTGAATTTTGTCAAAGGCTTTTTCTGCATCTATTGAGATAATCATGTGGTTTTTGTCTTTGGTTCTGTTTATATGCTGGATTACATTTATTGATTTGTGTATATTGAACCAGCCTTGCATCCCAGGGATGAAGCCCACTTGATCATGGTGGATAAGCTTTTTGATGTGCTGCTGGATTCGGTTTGCCAGTATTTTATTGAGGATTTGTGCATCAATGTTCATCAAGGATATTGGTCTAAAATTCTCTTTTTTGGTTGTGTCTCTGCCCTGCTTTGGTATCACAATGATGCTGGCCTTATAAAATGAGTTAGGGAGGATTCCCTCTTTTTCTATTGATTGGAATAGTTTCAGAAGGAATGGTACCAGTTCCTCCTTGTACCTCTGGTAGAATTCGACTGTGAATCCATCTGGTCCTGGACTCTTTTTGGTTGGTAAGGTATTGATTATTGCCACAATTTCAGATCCTGTTATTGGTCTATTCAGAGATTCAACTTCTTCCTGGTTTAGTCTTGGGAGAGTGTATGTGTCGAGGAATTTATCCATTTCTTCTAGATTTTCTAGTTTATTTGCATAGAGGTGTTTGTAGTATTCTCTGATGGTAGTTTGTATTTCTGTGGGATCGGTGGTGATATGCCCTTTATCATTTTTTATTGCGTCTATTTGATTCTTCTCTCTTTTTTTCTTTATTAGTCTTGCTAGCAGTTTATCAATTTTGTTGATCCTTTCAAAAAACCAGCTCCTGGATTCATTAATTTTTTGAAGGGTTTTTTGTGTCTCTATTTCCTTCAGTTCTGCTCTGATCTTAGTTATTTCTTGCCTTCTGCCAGCTTTTGAATGTGTTTGCTCTTCCTTTCCTAGTTCTTTTAATTGTGATGTTAGGGTGTCAACTTTGGATCTTTCCTGCTTTCTCTTGTGGGCATTTAGTGCTATAAATTTCCCTCTACACACTGCTTTGAATGCGTCCCAGAGATTCTGGTATGTTGTGTCTTTGTTCTCGTTGGTTTCAAAGAACATCTTTATTTCTGCCTTCATTTCGTTATGTACCCAGTAGTCATTACTACAAGGCTACAGTAACCAAAACAGCATGGTACTGGTACCAAAACAGAGATATAGATCAATGAAACAGAACAGAGCCCTCAGAAATAACTCTGCTTATCTACAACTATCTGATCTTTGACAAACCTGAGAAAAACAAGCAATGGGGAAAGGATTCCCTATTTAATAAATGGTGCTGGGAAAACTGGCTAGCCATATGTAGAAAGCTGAAACTGGATCCCTTCCTTACACCTTATACAAAAATCAATTCAAGATGGATTAAAGACTTAAACATTAGACCTAAAACCATAAAAACCCTAGAAGAAAACCTAGACATTACCATTCAGGACATAGGCATGGGCAAGGACTTCATGTCTAAAACACCAAAAGCAATGGCAACAAAAGACAAAATTGACAAATGGGATCTAATTAAACTAAAGAGCTTCTGCACAGCAAAAGAAACTACCATCAGAGTGAACAGGCAACCTACAAAATGGGAGAAAATTTTCGCAACCTACTCATCTGACAAAGGGCTAATATCCAGAATCTACAATGAACTCAAACAAATTTACAAGAAAAAAACAAACAACCCCATCAAAAAGTGGGCGAAGGACATGAACAGACACTTCTCAAAAGAAGACATTTATGCAGCCAACAAACACATGAAAAAATGCTCATCATCACTGGCCATCAGAGAAATGCAAATCAAAACCACAATGAGATACCATCTCACACCTGTTAGAATGGCAATCATTAAAAAGTCAGGAAACAACAGGTGCTGGAGAGGATGTGGAGAAATAGGAACACTTTTACACTGTTGGTGGGACTGTAAACTAGTTCAACCATTGTGGAAGTCAGTGTGGCAATTCCTCAGGGATCTAGAACTAGAAATACCATTTGACCCAGCCATCCCATTACTGGGTATATACCCAAAGGACTATAAATCATGCTGCTATAAAGACACATGCACACGTATGTTTATTGTGACATTATTCACAATAGCAAAGACTTGGAACCAACCCAAATGTCCAACAATGATAGACTGGATTAAGAAAATGTGGCACATATACACCATGGAATACTATGCAGCCATAAAAAATGATGAGTTCATGTCCTTTGTAGGGACATGGATGAAATTGGAAATCATCATTCTCAGTAAACTATCGCAAGAATAAAAAACCAAACACTGCATATTCTCACTCATAGGTGGGAATTGAACAATGAGATCACAAGGACACAGGAAGGGGAATATCACACTCTGGGGACTGTTGTTGGGCGGGGGGAGAGGGGAGGGATAGCATTGGGAGATATACCTAATGCTAGATGACGAGTTAGTGGGTGCAGTGCACCAGCATGGCACATGTATACATATGTAACTAACCTGCACAATGTGCACATGTACCCTAAAACTTAAAGTATAATTTAAAAAAAAAGAAATATGTAAAAAAAAAAAAAAATTTAAAAAATAAAAATAAAAAAAGGAAGTCGAAAAATGAAGGCTCCTAACCAAGAGCCAAATGGCTGGCCACCTTGCCTCCATGTGGGGGTTTTCAGTGGAGGACCTGTCAGTAAGGGCAAAATTTTCCTCCAGTCTTTCACACACTGTTTTCTCAAAACATTTGGGGGAAAGAAAGATAAAATCAAAGCTACAAAGTTCATTCCCTCACTCTTTAATTCAACATTTACTGAGTAGGCATGGATGCTACGACTTGTATCTGAAAAAAAAATGAAATAGATTTTACTAATCTCCCAAGCCTCAGAAATAAACAAACAAATGTCAATAACATGCCCAAGGAATATCTACTTTTAAGTAGCGTCTTTCTACTGAAACCACCAGAGAAAAATAGTTGCAAAACGTACCCTTAAGTAGCTGAAAGAGTCGGCCAGCTATATATAATCTTTAGATATAAGCCAATTAAATTACAAATACTATCTGCCAAAAATGATGATTTTGAATATAGAAAAGTTGAATTCAAGCCACTCTATTTTCCAGTAAGATAAAGAGGCCATTTCTTGTTAGTGACAATAAAATTACATCACTAGCATAGACAGTAGTTATTTTTGTACTTTTTATAATAAGGGTATATGCAGCTAGATCATGCACAAGTTGTTTCAAATTATTAAGATACAAATTAAAAAGAAGAGTTGGAGGAAGCAGAGGCAGAACACAGTTTCATTTTTTAAAGACTGGAATTATCTGATCTGTCAGGAAACCATTCTCAGGAACACTTTTTGTGGTATAAAGTTCAGACTCTACATCAGTTACCAGATCTTACAGCCCAGCTGCATTACATATCTTCTCCTTCACCCTCCCCACCCTCTCTCCACCTTTTACCCTGCTCTGTGCCTCAGGAGGCTGACTTGAATGGGCTGCATCAATGGGCTCCCTCTACTTAGCCCTTCTAAAGGAGTTCAGCCAACGGGAGGCACCCACAGGAGATTAGAGACTGGGAGAATAGGAAGTTAGAGAATTTAACCCCCAGCTTCCTCCCTACTGGGCCACCATGGGTTGGCTGCATTCCTCACCCAAATGCTGATGTCAAGCAGATCTCTTCATATGGCCCCACTCTCCAAATCCCAGTAACCCCTCACTTCCTTTGATTTTTCACCCATGAATTGCAGTGGCTCCCTGCTATTATTGCTAGCCTAAGGAACTATACCCACCTCTCGTAGGTTTTCTTCAACTCTGCCTGTACCTTTGTATCTAGTTCCTTTTTTCTTTTTCTTTCCTTTTTTATTATTTTATTTTTTTCTTTTTAGAAGGAGTCTGTCTCTGTCGCCCAGGCTGGAGTGCAGTGGTGCGATATCGACTCACTGCAACCTCCCGCCTCCCAGATTCAACTGATTCTCATGCCTCAGCCTCCCGAGGAGCTGGGATTACAGGCACACACCACCATACGTGGCTAATTTTTGTATTAATACTTTTAGTAGAGACGGAGTTTCACATGTTGGCCAGGTTGGTCTCGAACCCCTGACCTCAAGTGATCTGCCCGTCTCGGCCTCCCAAAGTGCTGGGATTATAAGCGTGAGCCACTGCACCTGGCCTGTATATAGTTCCTTTCATTAAAATCTGCTTAGTTACTCGATTCGTGTGCACTGTTTCTTTATAAGCCCTGATGATACACGAATTCATTACTAGTTTTTAATGCCCAGAGACCAAAGAAAGATCAATTAAATATATAAGCAATCTTAAAGTTATTCCTGAAAGATTTTTCCAGCACATCATAAAGGGTATAACATGATTAATAATGGAATATTATACCTAAATCCAACCTGTTCCTCAGGAAATATTAAGGAAAAAAATGAGAACTATAATTTATGAAAAACGTTTAAATGAAAAGTCTGCCAAAATAATGACTCCATGATTTCATAGAGCAATATTGTCCTTTTAAAAAGAAACAAGGGGCAGGAAAGTTTAACCAGACAAAATTAATAAGAGTAAACAAATTAGCTCTCAATTAGAGCAGAACTTGAGTAGTTTGGGTGGTAAGAAGTCTTTGTAATCAACAGCAGTACATGAGAAGTAATATCAGGATGCAATCAGCAAATAGACTTATTATCCCAAAGATAGGTGAAGTTGTTCTGGAGTTAAGTCTCTGAAGCTACCCTGGCCCTTACCACTGCAGTGCAGTGAGTGAACAAAATTCTTAAAGTCAGGCAAATCTGCTTTTAAATATCCAAGTCAAAACCATTTACAAAGTGAAGGAAATAATATTTCCAATGTAGAGTAGTCATAAGGATTAAATAGAAAAATACATATAAAATACGGCTGGGCGTGGTGGCTCACGCCTGTAATCCCAGCACTTTGGGAGGCCGAGGCAGGTGGATCACGAGGTCAGGAGATCGAGACCATCCTGGCTAACACGGTGAAACCCCGTCTCTACTAAAAATACAAAAAATTAGCTGGGCGTGGTGGCGGGCGCCTGTAGTCCCAGCTACTCGGGAGGCTGAGGCAGGAGAATGGCGTGAACCAGGGACGCGGAGCTTGCAATGAGCCAAGACTGCGCCACTGCACTCCAACCTGGGCGACAGAGCGAGACTCTGTCTCAAAAAAACAAAAAAAAAAAGAAAGAAAAATACATATAAAATACCTAGCCCAGTGCCTGATTTGTTCAAGTCATTAAGAAACGGAAAGTCAAAAAGAAATCCAACAGAAGGAAACCAAAGACTTACATTCCAAGACCAGCCTGAAAATCAGCAAGTAGATTAGAAATATATGTGAAGGAATAGGTTGACAAAGTGTCCCAGCCAGGCTTCTGTGGGTCATGTAGATTTCGAGGACCTCTATAGTGGATGAATTCCTTTCTCAAATTCCCTTCTGTAAGAAATAATCACCTAAGAGAATTTTCTCCTTCTCTGTCCCGGAAGATCTCCAGCTTTCCTTCTTTTTCTTGCACTTTATGTTTCAGGTTAATTAACGCTTTCCCCAATGTACATACTGATCATTTCTTGCTATCACAAACTATCCTAGAGGCCAGCATAGTTCAAACAGGTACTGGACTGAAGTAGACACACCATTGGCAAGTGGGTGCCCTTCCAGCTGGCTGGAAAGTTTTCTGGCACTTTGTTCCAGGAGTGTCCTGAGTGCAGTGCCCAGCCAGGTCCTCTGCTCAGTCTTTTGAGATCATCCCATCTGAGTGACTAAACATTGCCTTTGGGTGGGTGGGCCACACCCAGGACCCGGAAGTAAGATCATCATTTCCTCACAAAAGGGAATGCTTTTTCCTTCCATTCTATTCTTTGTGTTATGCCACAGACACATGACTGACCCTAAAATTCATATTTTAACAGCAATCTCTAAGATATAAAGATTCTTCAGCAGGACCTTAAGGAAGTGGGAGTGAGGACAAAGTGTTTGGACATATGAGAGAGGAAGAGTGTTCCAAAAACTAAGACACTTCACAATGTGTTGGATAGTCCCATGAAAGCACATGTGAGAGAACCTTGAAGACTAATCAATTCAGAAATTCCAGCCCCTCCTTGGAGTTGGTTTACAGACCATGCAAACGTAGTCCCAGTTCCCCGAGTTTTCCTGATTCTGGAGTTGCTGTTTCATAGATCCTCAAGAGGAAATTCCTAGTAGACTCCTCAATAAAATATTACATGGTGAAGAGAAAGAACACAAGTAAAAGGGATCAACATGTAGCAAACACCTACTATGTGCCAGGCATTGCACAGCATTTTTTACATGTTATCTCAGTCAATCCTGATAGTAACCCCATCAAATAGACAGTGTAAGCCCCATTTCACAGGTAAAAATGAAAAGACTCTGAGAAGTTAGGTAACTTACTTAAAATTAAATTGTAGAACAAGAATTCGCACCAGATCTTCCTGTTTTGTAGCCCATTCACATTTCATTCTGCCACACATTCATCAAGGACGTCATCTATTTCTCGGCATCTTTACATGTAGCTATAAAACCCTGTAACACATTCTGTTTATTCTGGAATAGGCTCTTCATCTGTTACACAAGTTGCCGAAAGTGTCAATGACTTTTAGAAATCAGATAACCCAAATGTATAGTATCCTCCATTCTACTATTTTCTACATGTAACTGGATGCTTGACAATGAACACCTGTATCAGTTGTCTGCCATTGCATAATAAACCAATATAAAGTTAGCTGCTTACAACAACTATTTATTATATATCATGATTCTGTGAGTCATTTGGGCCATTCTTCCATTGGTCTTACATGAGCCTACTCACAAAGCTGCATTTAGCTGGTAGGTTACCTGGGGATAGGTAGAGCTTGAGGCCACAGGGCCTCTCTCTACACATGGTCTTTCATAACAAGCTTTTTTACAACATGGTGATCTCAGGGCAGCTTCCAAGATAACAAGCCTCAAAGTGCTAGCATTTTACAAGCTTATGTCCCAAGCCTTTGGCCAAACCCCAAATCATTATGGGAGGGGGCTAGGGACATGAATACCATGAGGCAAAATTCACTGAGGATCATTATTGTAACAATGTACCGCAGCTGGCTCTCTGATCCCAATGACTGACATCCCTCCCATTGCAAAATGCATCACTCATCCCAAAACCACCAAAGATCTCATCCAATCATGGCATCAAACTACAAGTCCAGACTCCTTATCTATCTCAGGTCCAGGTGTGGCTGAGGCTACTTGGGTGCAGTTCCTCATGCAGCTCCACAGGTGTGGCTTCTCCTCATTCAGGAACCCATGAATTTAAAAAAAAAAAAAAGTTATTGTCTCCATGCATACTCATCACACAATTGTGAGAATGGTACACTCAATGGATACTCCCATTTAAAAGGGGGAGGAACAGAAAGCCACAAAGCCTTCTGATCCATAGCAATTCTGAAATCCAGTCATAAGTGTGGGGAAAAGCAGGAGAGATCAGATTGTTACTGTGTCTGTGTAGAAAGAAGTAGACATAGGAGACTCCATTTTGTTCTGTACTAAGAAAAATTCTTCTGCCTTGAGATTCTGTTAATCTATGACCTTACCCCCAACCCCCTGCTCTCTGAAACATGTGCTGTGTCAACTCAGGGTTAAATGGATTAAGGGCGGTGCAAGATGTGCTTTGTTAAACAAATGCTTGTAGGCAGCATGCTCCTTAAGAGTCATCACCACTCCCTAATCTCAAGTACCCAGGGACACAAACACTGCAGAAGGCCACAGGGACCTCTGCCTAGGAAAGCCAGGTATTGTCCAAGGTTTCTCCCCATGTGAAAGTCTGAAATATGGCCTCATGGGAAGGGAAAGACCTGACCATCCCCCAGCCCGACACCCGTAAAGGGTCTGTGCTGAGGAGGATTAGTATGAGAGGAAGGCATGCCTCTTGCAGTTGAGGCAAGAGGAAGGCATCTGTCTCCTGCCCGTCCCCGGGCAATGGAATGTCTCGGTATAAAACCCGATTGTACGTTCCATCTACTGAGATAGGAAAAAACCACCTTAGGGCTGGAGGTGGGACATGCAGGCAGCAATACTGCTTTGTAAAGCATTGAGATGTTTATGTGTATGCATATCTAAAAGCACAGCACTTAATCCTTTACCTTGTCTATGATACAAAGACCTTTGTTCACGTGTTTGTCTGCTGACCCTCTCCCCACTATTGTCTTGTGACCATGACACATCCCCCTCTCGGAGAAACACCCACAAATGATCAATAAATACTAAGGGAACTCAGAGGCTGGCGAGATCCTCCATATGCTGAACGCTGGTTCCCCGGGTCCCCTTATTTCTTTCTCTATACTTTGTCTCTGTGTCTTTTTCTTTTCCAAGTCTCTCATTCCACCTTACGAGAAACACCCACAGGTGTGGAGGGGCAACCCACCCCTTCACATAAGTATATTGCAGGACCTTCTACTCTAGGTATAGAAAACGGTTCTTGAATACAGCCTGGTTTACCTACTTCTACTCTCTGGAAGTGGTTGCCTCTGCTTTCTCCAAGATGACCCATGTTTTCAATAAAAATAGCCTGTGTGTGCAGCTGAGTGATTTTCTCATCTTACCTCCTGTTTCTATTTATTTTGAACTTCCTGTACATTAGTTAGTCTAAACTAATCCAATACCTTTCTATGTGGGCTTTCTATATGCCAGGTGATAGTCCACTTGACTAGACAAAAGCTATACCCACAACTATTTTTGAGATAGGCCTCTACTTTGGTTCAGTATGTCAATGTGCCGTGGAAAAAATGCCCTTAAAATTCTTAAAAGCCACTTTGCCTAGCTGAGAGAATCTAATAGTCACTATTTTAAATCATTCTGTGGTCTTAAGAAAGTCTTGTAGCCACACCCTTGATTTAATTTGTACCCTGAGAACATTTCTAACTTTGAGAATCTTTTGGCAGTAGGAGAGACTGGAAATGTGAGACAGTTTTATTTCTCACCTAGCGTATCCTGGGCACTCCATATTTGCTTTAAATTCTGCTTGCAAATGGAGCAATTCATTTTTTTTTTTTTTTGGTTCATCTCTCTCTTCCTATACCCTATTATCTATCACCTTTAAAAAGCTAATTGGCCCCTTCAGCATTCTAAATGGAAACTTCCTTAAGCCAAATCTACAAGTTAATTAAGTACATTTTTTATCTTCCAAGTTTCTGAAGATGACAGTGTTGCCAGTTATTCTACTACTATATAATGTGATTTGCCCTTTATCAGCCTCCAGTAGCAGTTTCCTCTCAGGTCCTCAGGCTCCACTAATAATCTACTCGCTGCACCTACTGCCTCTTCCAGCCACTCAACCCCAAAGCCAATGCCACATAGTTTAGCTTTTTGTTACAGCAACATACCATTTCTGGGTATAAATTTTTATATCTGGCCGGGCACGTTGGCTCACGACTGTAATCCCAGAACTTTGGGAGGCCGAGGCAGGCGGATCACCTGAGATCAGGAGTTCGAGACCAGCCTGGCCAACATGACAAAACCCTGTCTCTAATAAAAATACAAAAATTAGCCAGTCATGGTGGCAGACGCCTGTAATCCCAGCTACTCAGGAGGCTGAGGCAGGATAATCGGATAATCACTTGAATCTGGAGAGTGGAGGTTGCAGTGAGCTGGGATCGCGCCACTATCTCAGCCTGGGCCACAGCAAGACTCCATCTCAAAAAAAAAAAAAAAAAAAAAAAATATATATATATATATATATATATATATATATATATATATATATATATATATATATAAAATCAGTTTTCCATTCCTATGAAGTAAATGACCATATATATATATATATATACACACACACATATATAGAGAGAGATAGATATAGATATAGATATAGATCAGTTTTCCATTCCTATGAAGTAAATGACCCCAAAATTTAGTGGCTTAACAGCAATTTCTATTTCTCATGATTCTGTGAGTTAGCTGGGTCACTCTTCTACTGGTCATACCTAGGATCATTCATGCAGCTGCATCCAGCTTGGGGACTGGGCTCAACTGGCCTCTCCTACCATACGGTATATAATTCAGGGCTTCTTTATAGCATAAAGGTCTTAGGGTTCCAAGATGACAAGACCCAACATGCAAGTGCTTATCATACCTCTGCTTCTATCACATTTGTTTTATTTTATTTCATTTTATTTTATTTTATTTTATTTTATTTTATTTTATTTTATTTTATTTTATTTTTTGAGATGGAGTTTCACTCTTGTTGCCCAGGCTGGAGAGCAGTGGTACAGTCTTGGCTCACTGCAACCTCTGCCTCCCGGTTTCAAGCAATTCTCCTGCCTCAGCCTCCCAAGTAGCTGGGATTACAGGCATGTGCCATCACGCCCGGCTAATTTTGTATTTTTAGTAGAGATGGGGTTTCACCATGTTGGTCAGGCTAGTCTCAAACTCCTGATCTCAAGTGATCCACCTGCCTTGGCCTCCCAAAGTGCTGAAATTACAGGCATGAGCCACCGCGTCTGGCCCACATTTGTTTATATCACGTTAGCCAAAGCAAGTACAAGGCTGAGTCCAGTACAAATGTAGGAGAGGCATGTATAAGGGTGTGGATACTAGGAGGTGTAATCCATTCAGGTCATTGCTATAACAATCTGCTCCAAAACCAAAATGTAAGTTTCATGCTTTTATCTGCATCTTTAGTCAAGTATATAGCCCAATATTTTGTTCACTTGGACTTAATTGGCATGTTTGTTTAATTGAATTAAAGAGGTAGAAAGTTTTAGAAACACAAGGACCAGAAAGGCTGAAACTATTATAGTTTTGGAAAGCCAAAAGACTATAGAGCAAAGCTAACCATTAAAAAACATTTTCTCACCATTTTTCCATATTCTTGTGAATCAAATATGTTTTCTGACCAAAGGGATTTAGGGTATCATAATTTTCAAATAAATGACTGACTCATCAACCTTGTCTCTGTTATGGTCATAGCTATTCCAGAAATAAATTCCATGTGAATTTGCAAATTTTCTCATCCTAAATAACTGTTTGAACATCTGAATAATCACACAATGTAGATTCCTCCGTATTTGCACAAGAGAAAAAGAATTAAATAGAATTACTGGCATTTCAAACCCAGTATTTGAATTTTGCTAAGATTAGACGCTAGACTTGATTTGTCTTTCCCATCTGAGGATATAGGTATATTTAGTTTTTCACTAAAATAAAGAGAATCATGGCTGTGTTTTAATGGCCTCAAAGGTTCTTTTCCTAACAGTCATTTTCTCCAGAAGAGGTTGAGGTTTTTCATCAACAGTAGTGGATAATGATGAGCACATTTTGAAACTGACTAATGATTAATGATATCTTCCTTTCAAGGATTGATAGACCATAAAACTCTGCACTAAAGGACACATTCTTCCCTTGCTACCAATTTTGAGTCTAAGAATCCAGGTATGTTTGCACTATTTTTTCCCATGAAGCAGAATATCCCATCAAAGTGTAACAAGGGGATTCACTGAGAACTCAATTTGCATGTGGTGGTTTTTTTATTTTGTTCTGTTCTGTTTTGTCTATTTGCTTGCTTGTAATACAACTACCCCTCTGCCTAAGTTTCCAGTTCTAGCAAATGATGTTCCTACCCCAACGTAGGGGACAGGAGGGGTTCCTGAACCTATTTTTTGGGACCAGATGGGGCCAGTAATGCATTCTCTATTTGAAACTCCTGCTACCAATTGGTCCTGATAAGTATGTGCAGCCTATTGTGATGCTGATGATAACAATAGCCAGTGTTTATTGATCCCTCACTGTGCCAAGCATTGTTCAAAGCACTTTATAGTATTAACTCATTTAATCGTCACAATTCTCTGAGGTAGGCATTATGATTTATTTCTACTTTATAGAGAAGGGCACTGAGGTGTAAAGCAATTTATTCGGGGTTAAATAGTTTCAAATGGCAGAGCCAGGATTTGAACCCACCACCAACTCTATTGCTTCAAAGACGCTGGGCTCAAGCAGAATTCAGAATTTTTTCCTACATCTGTGTCCTTGGGACTGTATCCTCAGTAGGAAGTCACTGATACTCACAGGCTTCGATGTTAGTTGACCTATCTGACTTTCTGATGCTTTGCACAAATTGTTAATAGAAAGGCAATTATCAATGACATCTCAGCCTAGATTGTCTCCTTGATTGTTGGGGAGACTATATTATCCTAGAATCCAAATGGGATTTCTACCCAGGCCACTATCTGTGCTGATATGTCATGGCCTCCAACCCCACAAAGCTTGAACTCTCATGTGCCACGTGCCCTCCCTAGTCACCACCACCATGTCCCACCCTTACACACAGTCAATCCAAATGTGTTTCCTGAGGGTGTACTGTATGTCAGGCTCATAGTATACACAGAAGATAGACCCACATACTGGGAGCTTTCATTCCCAACAGCCCAGACTTCCAATTTGAGAAACATGATTACTTTGGGGAAACACCAACCTGGAAGTCATTGGTGGGGAGAAATGTTTTAGGAAAGATTCAGACTAAACCACCTTTGTAGTCCCTTCCAACCCCACCCCCATCCTCTTAATTTCTCTGTAAGGCAAGCATTTATTAGTTTGATTTCAACACACACACTTGTACCTGTAATTACTATATAATGTCTGTTTACTTTTTTAAATGAAAATGAATTTAAATTAATCTTGTTTTGTGAATTTCAAGTCACCCCCTGAGATAAATGAAGACACTCCAGGGTGTCATCAAACCAGTGCTGGGAATCCTACTCTACAAAGTAGAGAAGAGAGCTCATTAAACCTCGAAGGAGCCAGAGGGGAGACATGTATATAGACATAGAGCACACTAAAAAGAGAGTTTTATATGTGCATTATACACACACACAAATACACGTGAAAGGTGGTACACCAAAATGTGGTTATCTTTAGGTGACTTGTTCCTCGTAAACTTAATATGAATGCCATTCATGACTAAGCTCTCTGCACCAGAGAGGAGATCCTGGGAGCAACATTTCCAAAATCCTTCCCATAGATCTTGAGTGCCAATGAGAGGCACCTGTGTAAGATCTGGAACGAAAAGAGAGACCATCGTTTGCCAGAGATAGGTAAGTGCAGAGGCAGATGAGAGGCTGAAAACAGCGTCCAGGTGAATTTCTTGGGATCCCCCCACATGAGTGCTGGAGTCTGAGATCATTGGTGGGAATTTCCCGGAAGTTCCTGAGACTTACAGTGGAATTGCTTCCAGGCAAGATCTTAAAGAGAATCTCATTTAGATGTTACCAGCTCAGATCATCTGGTACCTTTGCTACTCAGCCCACCTGCCAGGTATGTAAACCTTGAATTTCTCATATTGCTTCCTTTCATACTAGGAGAGCATAGAATGGCTTCTCCTTTCCTAATCAAACACCAACTAATATAAATAGGTAATAGGTGATGATTTTTAACATTTTGCATGTGTATGTGTTTTAATGCTTTTACAATAAACATATTATAATATAGCAATAAAAGCTTTAATATGTGTTTAATATATAATGTCATAAATATTCTAATACACATGCTGCAGAAGCTCAGAAGAGGGACACAAAACATGAATTGGAGCAGGGAAAGCTTCCTAGAGAAAGTGGTCTCTTTTCCCAAAGTGAAACTTAAGGAAGTTGAGATGTTGCTGCAGGCCAAAGGTAAGAGCAGGGCAGGAAAAAGGCACAGCATGGGCACAGGCACATAGGAGAGCTCTGCTCCTCTGACTGACTACACATTGTTCATTGTGACAAGACAAACACTTCTGCAGAGGAATGAGGTAAGGTGAGGCTGAAGGAAAAAGCAAGAGGCCTCATCCTGGAGGGCTTGATATACCAGTCTATAAATCTTGGGGGTTTGTTCTTGAAGACAATAAGGAGTTATTGAAGAACTGGAAAAGTAACATCCATGCTCTGTAAAAGTCTCTGCAGGTTCACAGAGGGGAAATGTGTAGAGGCCGGAATACAGGAGGCCAGTCCAGGGATCCACAGAGATGATGGGTCCTAAGGAGGTTTTGGGGGATGGGATTTGGGTGGGAAGAAGGTCTGCTACAGAGGGGAAAGGAGGGCTTGTGTGAAAAAAGGTTGTCCATGGTGCCTTCTTTCCCCTAAGCTACAGGGAGGCTAGAGACATTTAAATTGGAGGATAATGACTGGGGCACTTTTTGCCTTGCCTGGAAACTAACGTAAAGGTAGGTAGAGTAGGAAGCAATGTTTCAAGCATTCCTCTAGAAAGGAAATCTGGAAACCAAGCCCTTCCTTGGAACAAAAAACAGGAAAGGTACATGTACATTAAGCCTGTTTTTCTTGGACATCTTTCTAACCCGTAGATAAAGCCAATGTGTTGTTCTAATCCAGGATTCTTAGGTGGTTCTAATTGACCTCAAGTTTTCACCCAGGCCAGTTAGGCCCCTTTGAGGCCTCTCCCTCTGCTGATCAGCTCCTCCACCCATATCCCTGCTCAGCTAAAACTTCTCAGCTCCAGAGAAGAGACACCTGGAGATCAACTCACTACCTCTGTGACCAGACCACTTTCTGGATGCTGCCGATGACCAAAGGAAAAACAGAGCTGCAGGACAAACAAGTCTTACACCAGGGCTTCTTAGTCATAGGTGTGCTTATGAGCCACCTGAGGATCTCACAGGTCGGGGGGCCTGAGATTCCGCATCTATCACAGGCTCCCATGTGACATCAACTGTGGATCACACCTTGAGAAGCACTGGTCTAAAGGTGGTGGAGGGAGCAGCCAGGAGTTTAGAAGGTGCCAAAACGAAACCAGATGCTGACAGTTTGTGAGTTCCATTGGTTCATCATATTTGTTGCATCTACACTGGAAAATGAACCTATGCGGCCTATAGTTTTAGAGACCGAAAAACTTAAAACAAAGGGGAAAGAAAAAAAGCAATACACCAGTTTAGAAACTCCAAAGGTTTAGTGCTGTGATGAGCATATTAAAGATAAGAAAATAAAGTAAATAAAGGCAACTATATTGGTTTTCTATTGCTGCATAACAAATTGCCACAAACATAATGGCTAAAGAAACACCATTTATGATGTCAGTTCTGTAGGTCAGAAGTTGGCCACAGGTTAGCTGAACCTAAGCTCAGGGTCTCCTCAGGCTGATATCAAAGTGCCAGCCAGGCTATGGCTCAGCTGAGGCTCGAGGCAGCGTAAACAGAAGAAGTGAGAGAGTCCACCAACATGGTTTTGATCACAGAAGTGCCTCTTCCCTAACTGAATGCTCCCTCTTGATTCCACTCTCACCTGCCTTTGTTGAATGGCTTTTCAAAAACCAAAGCCTAGTCCCCACCTCCCTCCCCATCTCCAGCTCCCATGATGATAGCATCTGATGTGAGGCAGCATTCCCAACACCCCAACTTAAACTTTTAATGTGCTCCTGGGATGATCTAAAAAAAAAGAAAAAAACACCATAATTTTAAATGCCATAAAGGCAATTGACTTGTCAAAAGTACAAGAAATCAACTAGTAAATTGGGAGATTTCAGTTATGGTATGTTCTGCAACAGTATACGAATCACAAATTTTTCAACAAGACAAAAAAAAGAGAAACAAGGAAAAGCTATCAGTGCCATCTTGTGGAAAGACCTATATTAAAATGTCCAAGGTAATCTGACCACACCCCAGACCATTTCAGCGCCTCTACACCCAAAGCTGACACACATCCAACTGACACCAGGGTAGCTTCACTGTTTGTTTGCAGGTAATGGTTCTGGTAGAGGTTCCATTTTAATTGCTTGTTTCTTGTGCCATGACCAATCATTAAATAATTTGTATATCATCTCTAACCATACAAATACCACAGCAACCTATACCTCCAACACCACACACACACAAAACTCATGCCCAGACTACTCTGGTTGGTTCCCCCACAGACAGCATGGTTCTCCAAATATGGAAAATTTGCATTGATCTATCACAACATTCCTGCATACACACACTTAGACCACAACTGCTTACAGTATAATTCTTTCTTTTTGAATTAACCTTTGTTTTAATTTTATTTTATTTCTTGAGTTTATTGTAAGTTATTTTTCTTCTTTCCTTCAAACTGAATATTTTTATCTATATTAGTTACATATTACTGCATAATAAATTACCCAAAATTTGATGGCTTAAAAGAATAAATATTTATTATCTCACAGTTTCTGTAGGTAAGGAATTCAGGAGAGGCTTAGCTGGGTTGTTCTGGCTCAGGGAATCCATGAGGCTATAATCAAGATGTTGGGTAAATCATCTAAAGTCTTCATGGGCTGGAGAATTCACTGCAACAGTAGTGAGCCACTGACTTGATGGTGGGTAGGAGGCTTCAGTTCCTCACCACATGGATCTCTCCACACAGCTGCTTGAGAGTTCTCACAACATGGCAGCTGGCTTCTTCCCAAAGCTTCCCATGGCAGGCCTTCTTTCCAAGACAGAACAAGGCAAAAATTAAGTATTTCATGATGCAGCCTAGGAAGTCACACACCACCAGTTACACAATATCTTACTGGTTGCAAAAATCAGCCCTATCAATGTGGAAAAGCACTACACAGGCATGAAATGGCTCATTGGGTACCATCTTGGAAGCTAGCTGCCATACCATTTCTTCTTAGGTTCAGTTTCCAGATTATCAGATCTTAGGTGTGAAGTGTGTTTAGACATTAAAAAATCAGAACACTGAGGACACTGAGAATTCTGACTGTAGTCCAAGGGCCACAGGAACCTGAACCCAAGCAATCCTTTGCATTGGTGGAACACAGGGACCTACCTGGAGGAAGAAATTCTCTGACTCCAATTGCACCCCTAATTGCCACTAGCATCAAGCCAAACAGGGGACTGGGGCCTCAATATGAACAAGAACTAAGTCAAAACATTCTTATCAGCTGGAAAAAGGGAAGCTGAGATGCCCTAAAAAATGTTCTGTTAAGCCTTATTTTTTACTTTTAAGTTCAGGGGTACATGTGAAGAATGTGCAGGTTTGTTACATACGTAAAAGTGTGCCATGGTGGTTTGCTGCACAGATCATCCCATCACCTAGGTTTTAAGCCCAGCATCCATTAGCTATTCTTCCTGATGTTCTCCCTCCCCAAGTCCCCACCCCAGACAGGCCCCAGCATTTGTTGTTCCCCATCCCCATGTGTCCATGTGTTCTCATCATTCAGCTCCCACTTGTAAGTAAGAATATGCAGTGTTTGGTTTTCTGTTCCTGTGTTAGTTTGCTGAGAATAATGGCTTCCAGTTCCATCCATGTCCCTGCAAGGGAATGATCTCATTGCTTTTTATGGCTGTATCATATTCCATGGTGTATATGTACCACATTTTCTTTATCACTGATGGACATTTAGGTTGATTCCATGTCTTTGCTATTGCGAATGTGCTGCAATAAGCATATGGTGCATGTATCTTTATAAAAGAATGACTTGTATTCCTTTGGGTATATACCCAGTAATGGGATTGCTGGGTCTGCTGAGCTTTTCATTGGACAGTAGACAAAATGGAAAGAAAAATCCCTCTCTTCATAAGACATTTCTGGTAGTTCCAATTCAAGCTTATCTTTCCCCCACTGACTTCTTTTGCACTTGTTTTTACTGCACAATTAGCTTTTTAATATGTATTATCTGATTGTCTTTGATGAGCAATTTAGTACTTTATTATATGTCCTGAGAATAATTACATCAGAGTCTAAATCCCCCGCAAGGATGTTGTAAATTCCTTGAAGTCAGGGAAATTTCTTAAGCTTACTACTCAGCCCACCATCAGTGTCAATAGATTGTTCTCCAGGAACACGGCCCCTCCAAAGCACTCAAATACACAAGCCATCACACACATGCACACTACAAGAGCAGTGCTCTATAAAGAACAAGCTTTATTTGTCCCATTTCACAAAAATAGTAATTAGACATAGCCAAGATCATACTGACACAGCCATTCTTTATTTAAAAGCACAGTCAAGTAAAAAATACACTTCAAAGAGATACTACCCAATACTCAACACAGTCCTCAAACTTGTGCATTTAAAAAGAATTACAAATACACATTGCCACATGGTCCGACAGACTCACATTCACTCCTAGAAATGTACCTTCACGGTCTTGCCAATGCATTCTTCTTATTAATTTCCCATTCATTTGTTTACTTAACATTTTGAGCCCTGTGGCTCAGGCTCCATATTAGATGTGTGGAATTCAAAAACGGAACAACGCATTCTTGCCTCCTCTGCAAACAAGTATCCTCAATCCAATGACATTACTATACTGAGAAGACATATTTATACAAGGTGAGATGGGAGAAAAAAAAAAAGCCTAAATCTTCCTGAGGGTCAGGTAACTCTGTACAGAGGAGAGAATAAAAGAAGGTCAGTATCATGTATGTGGGCAGACAAGAAGGTGGTTAGTTGCAGAAGTCCTGTTAATTGCAGAAGTCTGAGCCAGGAAACCATCAGAGAGGGTTTTTCCTTACAGTTTGAGGCCCCTTGGGCCCAAGACAAAACATCATATGGCACCCTTGACATATGGCACCCTTGACAAAGCTTAAGGCAGGGACCCTGGGCCCTTTCCACTCTGGGTCTGCTGGAAGGGAAGGGCAGAGCTTCCTAAAAAGGGAGCCAACTGGCCTCTCCACATGGAGGCCCTAATGGTTTGATGGATGCACTGCTAGCCCTGCAGAAACCCACAAGAGGGAGAGAATCATTGGTAGGGGACTCAGGGAAGAGGAAGATCTCGGTCTCCCAAAAAAATTTTCTCTTTCTGGAGAATATGGGCTTCGAGCTGGATATCAAGGAGGCAAAGAAGGAGCACATAGGAGGGTAGGGAGTGAAGTGGAAACTTCCCTGGTGAGTAGGGGAAGCAAAGAAAGGAGAACAAGGCAAAGGGACTAAGAAAAGATTAACTTACAAGAACAAATGCTAGAGTCTTGTCTCCAGAGGTAGTGCAACCAGAAATCCTGAAGAGCAGTTGAATTGAGAAGAGAAGTGGGAGGTCAGGGGGTTGGGGGAAGAGGTGACTGGTGGCTGAGAGGCCATGGCTGGGAAAGAGAGAAAGGAATAAACTGGGGAGGGCTGGTAACCTTGATAGGAATTTATGTAGGAAATGAGAGTGCAAACAGGAAGGGCTTAATGAGGGCTGTGATTGTCTGGAAGGAGAAAAAGGGGAGATTTGGCACCTCCTGGAACCTGGGGAAAGTAATTGTCTGGGTAAATGGTAAGTGTATTTCCCACAGGGTCAGAGCAGGCTTTGATCTTTAGGAGAAGACAAATTGCTTTCCATCTTGCTGAAGCCAAAGGCTTAAATGGTCAGACGTGTGTCATAGGTGGGTGCAAAGGGAAGGAAATATAATACATCCTCATGGCCAAGTGCCCTGGGCTTGGATCACTGTGTCCTTGGCCAAGTTAACCAACTTCTTTAAGCTTCCAATGATTCATGTACAAAAAAAGATACAAAAATACCTTTCACATGTGGTTCTTCCAGAAAGCGCTTGGCACAGGGCCTGGTACATAAACAAATTCAATAAGGGTTAACTATTTTCATAATTACAGTTAGTCTGCATCGCTAGAAGCACATTATTCAAATGAGGATATGGACTGGTCAGATGACAGTGGAAACGGTGTTCAGATCTAGGGGCCCCCACCTAGTAAGAACAACACTAATCAACTCTAGCCTGCCCAGGGGACAGTGACCCAGAGAACTAGGAAACCTTGAAAAATGAAGAAATATGAAATACTAATAAAAATTAAGAAAACCCACAAGCGTTTAACCCAGATAATATTTGGGGACATGAGGGGGTTATGTGAAGAGAAAACAATGTTCCATTTAACTTTAGGAAATGGCGATATTATTAAAGATTTTGGAGGCATTAGTCATCATCCTTTGGTCAAGTTTATTAACCTCTCCAGTGCCTCTGTTTTTTCATCCATAAAATGGGATTCACTAGATCACCTATCTTATAAGATTACTGTGGCAATTAAATGAGTCAGTATGTGCTAAGTGCTTAGAAGACTATCTAGCACATAATAAATGCTCAATAAGTCCTGAGGAGCAACTGGATTGACAGGAGAAGTTGGTGCTGGTTATTATTATTACTATAATTATTACCCTGGGTAAGTTTTTAATAGTTCCAGCAATGAAAAAATGAGAATAGCCTCCTTGCAGCAGTAATTCCCTCTTACTGGAACAGTTCAAAAAGTCGCTGATAACGACCAGTCAATCATTAGAGAGGAGACTCCTCGTCCTGGGAGAAAGCCGATTTGTCATCTCTTAAACCCCAGGGCATCCAGCGTGAAGGAGGTAGAACTAGGCCGGCCCGCGAGGAGGCAGGGGCAGGCGCCAGTGACGCAATGACTGCAACATGCCGCCAGGGTGCAGCAGAGCCCGACCCCGGGTTGTTCCATCCGCAGCAAACAATTCCTAACTCGCTCCAGGTCTTCCTTCTTAGCTGAGTGGGTTGAACCCCGTGGAAGTAACCCCCCGCCCATTATGATGATCCAGCCAATCACCGCGTGATCTGCTCGGACGGGGCGGGATCGCGGCGCTTCCCTCGGTCGCTCAGAGACTGGGTTCCGCGTTCCAGCCCCGCCCCAGGTTCTGGGCCAATCCCCGCGGCTGGGCAGAGCGACCCGAGGGCGGCGCCCTGCAGACCACGTGGCCCGGGAGGCGCCGAGGCCAGGTAGGTGGTGAGTTACTTGGCTCGGAGCGGGCGAGGGGACGCGTGGGCGGAGCGGGGCTGGCCAGCCTCGGCCCCCATGACCCGCTGTCCTGTGCCCTTTCCCAGCGATGGGCGTGCAGCCCCCCAACTTCTCCTGGGTGCTTCCGGGCCGGCTGGCGGGACTGGCGCTGCCGCGGCTCCCCGCCCACTACCAGTTCCTGTTGGACCTGGGCGTGCGGCACCTGGTGTCCCTGACGGAGCGCGGGCCCCCTCACAGCGACAGCTGCCCCGGCCTCACCCTGCACCGCCTGCGCATCCCCGACTTCTGCCCGCCGGCCCCCGACCAGATCGACCGCTTCGTGCAGATCGTGGACGAGGCCAACGCACGGGGAGAGGTCAGCGGGCGGGGTCAGCGCAGGGAGGGAGGGGCCTGGAAGGTCAGCGGGGGACACGGGCGGAGCTGGGGAGACCGGGCCTGGGATAACTTAACTGGGCTCGGGGAGGCAGACAGTAGGGCCGGGAGACTGGGAAGCCAGTGCGGGGGAGGGAAGCGCTAAACGGAAGGAACTAAAGAGAGGGCGAAGCAGTGCGAACTGGGCTTGAGGAGAGGCAGTGAAAACCAGCTAATACTGTGAGTTGTGAAGGAGAAGGGTGTGGACAGACACCTGGGAGAGGTGGGGGTTGAAGTCAGGTGGAGGCTGTTTACCATTTTCTAGAGTAAAGCTGTCCAAATATAATGGAACCTAAGTGGCTCCATGTAATGTTAATTTTTCTAGCAACGGCATTCTTAAAAAGCAGGGAAGCAGATAAAATTAACTTTGGTGATCTTAATGAGATATTTTCATTCTTTTTTCTACTACCTCTTCATACCCTGTTGCGTTTTTCACACTACATCTCAGTTTGGACTAGCCACATTTCGAGTACAGTAGCCACAGTAGCCGTGGCTACTGTCTTCTGTATTGAACACCACAGGTGGAGGGCTGTGTAGAGGTGGACAGCTCTTGAACCAGCCAGTGCAGAGGCCTCCTAGCCACCTAGTGCAGGGACAGCCCTCCCTGACTTTGCTGCAGAGCCCTGGACCTGGCACAGAAGAAGGAGCTGTGGGGAGAACCAAGTGAGGGGCAGGAAACAGTTGTGGGTGGGGGAGTTGAGTGGCACCCATCGAGCCCCCTCTTCGTAGGCTGTGGGAGTGCACTGTGCTCTGGGCTTTGGCCGCACTGGCACCATGCTGGCCTGTTACCTGGTGAAGGAGCGGGGCTTGGCTGCAGGAGATGCCATTGCTGAAATCCGACGACTACGACCCGGCTCCATCGAGACCTATGAGCAGGAGAAAGCAGTCTTCCAGTTCTACCAGCGAACGAAATAAGGGGCCTTAGTACCCTTCTACCAGGCCCTCACTCCCCTTCCCCATGTTGTCGATGGGGCCAGAGATGAAGGGAAGTGGACTAAAGTATTAAACCCTCTAGCTCCCATTGGCTGAAGACACTGAAGTAGCCCACCCCTGCAGGCAGGTCCTGATTGAAGGGGAGGCTTGTACTGCTTTGTTGAATAAATGAGTTTTACGAACCAGGGCACGTTGCATGGTACTTTATAAAGCATTCCCACACATTAACTTACTTCAGCCTCACTGTAGCCCTGTGATACAGGAAAGACAGATGGGCCATCTCTGTTCTTTGGATGAGGTGGGCAAAGCTCAGAGAGGCCCATCTTCAACACTTCTAGAAAGTGGAAGGATGGGCCAGAACAGCAACACACGTCTTCAATCCCTTGAAGATGCTGAAATGCTATGTATCTGTTCCCTGACAATATTTGATGTGTTTTCTGGGGGAGCTAGTCAATGAAAAGGATTCAGGTCCAGAATAGCCTGGCCTCCTGGCATTCCCAGGTCTCTGATGCTCACAGGCCAGGAGGCCCCTCCGTGTAGGCCCACCTGCTGCACACGTGTCACCCTTGTTTATCTGGGGGTAGAGACAGCCTGGATGTCACACTCACAGATAACCACCATCTCCACCTCCACAGGGCTGGTCACCTCTTACCAACCTCAGGTGCTGCTCAGCTCATCTGGGCTCTCTGGCTCATTCTGCTGCCCCACAACCTCAGGCCAAAGGACCTGAGAACAGAGCCAATCTAGGCAGTTATGCAGAGCAGATATTTAACAATTAAATGAAGAGTTCCAGGGCTCTAAATCTTGGCCATGTTTCTCAGATGTTATCTCCAGTTATCCCCTATTGGACCCCATTCTGCCCCCTTGTTGGGCCCTGTTTTGCCAGCACCACTACACTTTTGACTTATGAGAAATGGGAAGAATGGCATATATCCGCCCAATGGACTCTTTACTGTAGGTCTGCCTGTGGTCTTTTCTGCAATAGCAGGCTGAATAAGATAGAAATTCACCATAAAATATGTGAGTTCCTGTACGTACCTGTATGAGTTCTGTTAGATCTGGAGGCCGCACAGTGGAATGAGACATAATTCCTGCTCTCAGGAGCTCAGCCTGCTGGAGAAGATGGGCACAGATAGAGTCCACCACAGACAATGGATGCTATTGTAGACATGCATTCCAGTTCCAGTGGAGACATAGAAGAGTGGGGAGTCAAGGGTTCCCCTGTAGATCTCATCTTTTGTATCATAGACCAGAGACAGGCCTAGCCAACTGGTCCTCCTTTCTGCTGCTTTCCCCCTTCCACCACTAACCACCCAGTTCATCCCTGTCCAACTCAACCTTAAACAAGAGATATCAGCTGAAGTCTTGCCAATCTAAGGCCATAAGATGCCCTCTCCCCAGTTTAACTTTATTTGTCAAATCTGAGTGATCAGTTCCTTCAAGCTTAGTCTCCACCTAGCCTACTCAAGTGAGGATGTCTCCCAAAGAGAAGAAACCCACACATTCCAGGCATTCCAGCTGCAACAGAGGAATGAGAATGCAAATAGAGGATGCACTGAAACCCTTACCCTCCTGTCACCAAAAGTTCTGTCTACCCTGCTCTCCCCCATCCACCCCTCCCCCAATAGTATGGCCCCATTCTGTTTCTGATGCAAACCAGAACATCTTCCAAAGGGGTGTGTGTGTATTTTCATGTGAAGGGAGTAGGGCATGAAGGGTGTGAATGGGCCACTTCCTGAACCTCTCCCCTCCAGTCGGAGGGCTTACCAGGATGGAGAGAGAGAGAGAGAGGTGTGAGGCATGAAGCTTCCCCAAGTTCGTGTCTCCACTCTGATCCTCACCTGCTAGGCCATACAACCAATCCTTGCCCTTTCTGCCTCTGTTCCTGTGTCACTCCATCCTCCCCACATCTCTGCACTGTGGAAGAGGAATATGCCCTTCCCTTCCTCCCAAGGCTCCTGCAAGGGAAACAAAATTTTGCTAACCCCATTAAAGCCCTGTGTACTGCCTCCATCCCCATAATTTAAGCAAGTCTCCTCTGCCTCAAGAGTTCCTTAGGGAAATACACGTATAATTAAGTGCTTAAGGAAACTGCTTTTTAAATAATAAGAGTTGGCTTGAAATGAAAAACTCTGCCCTTATCCTTCCATCTACCTGGTGGGTTAGCCTGTGGCTTCCTTTGGGCTCGTTTCCACTCCCAGTTGTTTTTGTCTTCTCACCAAGCCCTCTTATGTCTATGGCTACCAATAAGGGGTAACAGACGAGCCATGTCCCTTCCCTTTCTACGCTGAGATAGATGATCTGTGCCACCATCTAAAAAGAACATTCGCCTCAAACCAGGATATCTCAACGATTGGCGTTTGAAAGTGGGTGATTCTTTGTTGTTGGGGCTGTCTGTGCATTGTTGGATCTTTAGCAGTTTGCCCGGCCTCTATTCACTAGATGCCAGTAGGATACCCCTCCTCCCCCCAGTTGTGACAACAAAAATGTCTCTAGACATTGCCAAATGTTCCCTGGGGGAGCAAAATCAGCCTCAGCTGAGAACTGCATGAGACCAACAAGCACTGGATGCAGTCATTGGCTTTCATTTCCTCTGGGAGTGGAGGTGGGAACATACTTGGTAATGTCTCCTGTGGATGCACACATCTTAATGGGACAGAAAGGACCAACTCAAACCTCCTACCTTTTCAAGCAATGTCTGGTAGCCATCCCTGGTCCGTCAGCCTTTTTCCTGGCTGGTTTCCCAAGACAGTGATAGACACCGCTAACTTTCCATATTCAGGAGACTTTGATTCTCAATGAGCTGCTGATGGGCACAGCTGCAGTAACATCTACTCCCACCCCCATTTTTTTTTACGTTTAATTCATGTTTATTCTCTGGTACGTGATCAGAGTTCTCTGGTGAACGGAGGCTTCTCTATCTGGAAAACATTCCTTCATATCATTGGGGCTCTGCAGTAGTCACCTCTTGGGTTCCCCTTTCAGAAAATTATCCAGTTGCAGAAACAACTGGAAGCAAGTCAGAAGGAGCACCAGCCTTAAACCTTAACCTTAACAAGCACCTTCTCTGAGAAGATTCCTCCTCATCCTTCCCTGACTGGGGCCCTTTTGCTCTCTGGGTTCTGGATTCCATGACTGCTTCATAAGCCATGTATCCCAACATAGGTGTCCTGCTCTAGAGAGGACTGGAGTGGGGAAATAGGCCACTGAGGCCTATTTCCTGCATACACTGCATACACTGAGGCTGGCACACACCTCCCTTGGAGCCATACTTGGTCATCACCCTTACATCCTGACCCATTCATAACACCTGGGGCTCCTGTCCACAGGAGGCTCATCACTGCTCTTCCTCTGGCTGAGGAGGTCCCACCTGCCCCGCATTATCCCCAAGACCTAGTCTTCCCGGGGCAATGGTGAGCACATTACCTGGGGCAGAGATTTGATCTAAACCATAAACCATTTCCCAGAATGAACTGCACCCGTGTGCCAAGCTTCAAATCAAATGTTCTGCTGTCTGTATCCTGCCATTCTTTCTGAGAATTTGGTGTCACAGGATTGCTTTGTCACAAAACAATGTCAATTACCACAAATGCATTTTGCATTTTGTCATGACCGTACTTTTCTTACTTATAGGATCATAATTGCCATCATTTACAAAGTGCTTACCATGTAGCAGGTGTTTTACATACATTGTGTTATATTATTTTATCCTTACAACTCTGCAAGTCATGTATTTCCCCCTTTTTATAGATGAAGGGACTGAGATTTAGAGAGATAAATAACATGCCCTAAGCCACTCACTGTTGATGGAGCTGAGATTCAAACTCAAGTTGTAACTTCAGAGCTCATGTTTCTTTGGCCAGGCATCCCACTTGCCAAGACTTTTCCTGGCTTCAGCCCATAAAGGCATCTACCTTCATGATTAGAGCTTGGCCTCATGGGCCGTCTCATCAACATGGCTTCCAGTGACCACCCTTTTTATTCTCTTAGGAAGCCAAAGAACAACGCTGCATCTGACACTCACTTCAATAGCACCTGAATTATGTGCTTCTCCTTAAAATGTGGCCCAGTGACATTTTGGGCTGGATGATAAAAAATAAAAATAAATTAAAAATGTGGCCCGAGTATTTAAGAGCAAAATATTGACACTGATTTATCAGGGTGGTTCTCTCACATCCACTATTATCTAATTCAAAGCAAACAGATATCCTTATCTGGCATGACAGTCTTAAGGCCTGTGTGTCTGGTATCAAGCCCTCAAAAATGTCTTTTTATGTCTGATGATTTACTGAAAACCCTAATACCCTTTCTGTTTTCTTGTTGCTTGAGCCCTTAATGCGTGCCAGGCACTGTGCCAAATGCTTTACAGACGTTATCTCATTCCATCCTCAAAAAAGAAAAGAAAAGAAAAAACAGAACAAAACAGAAAATACCCTGTGAACAAAGCATTACAATAACCAGTGCACAGATGGATAAACTGACCCAGAGAGTTTAGGTGATCTGCCCACAGTCACCGAGTTGAGCAGGATTCAAACTTTGGGCTGTCTAGCTGTAAACCGCCGGTTGCCTTCACTCTTGGGAGGAGAGAGAATAGACTTTGTTGTAATTAGAAAATATATAACAGCATCTCGTATTCCCCAGAATGGAGTCATCTGGACTCACAGGGCCATCAGTGGAGCTCTCCAATCACACAGCTTCCCCAGCACTGCTGCTCAATGTTCAGTGGCATAACTCTGACTTGGGAGCGTGCAGGCTGCCAGCACAGTCATCATCTCTAACAGGCTTCTGCCTCAAGCCTCCAACACCATCAAAAATATAATCCCCTGTTGACTTAGAAATAAATTACATAAGCACTTCTTCCATTACTTTAAAATTTTTCTCTGGCTATTATGGATTCGAGGCATGCTCTTGAGAAGTCAGCTTGTCCAAGCAAGCAGAAATTTAAGAAACACTTTGGTGCATGTCCATGCCTGAAATTGATGACTTATTTGCAACCTTGATAACAGAGTTTCTTGTGCCAATAAATTGCTTAAATTGCTTTGACAACTCTTTCACCCTATTTTTCCACTGACTTACTCTGTCACCACAGATATATAATCATGAAATAAATTAGTGATGTTTTCAATGTGTGGCATTCAGTATGGCAAACAGTTCTGGGATTATTTCCCTGCTAGCTTTTGTCAACAAAAAGAGTCAAACTCTAAAATATTTTAAGAGATTTACTCTGAGTCAAATATGAGTGACCATGGCCCGTGACACAGCCCTCAGGAGATCCTGAGAACATGTGCCCAAGGCGGTCAGGGTACAGCTTGGTTTTATACATTTTAGGGAGGCACAAGACATCAATCATCAAATGCATTTAAGAAATACATTGATTTGGTTCAGAAAGGTGGGACAACTCAAAGCAGGTGGGGAGGAGGCTTCCAGGCTACAGGTAAATTTAAACATTTTCTGATTGACAATTGGTTGAGTTTGTCTAAAGACCTGGGATCAATGGAAAGGAAATGTTCAGGTTAAGATAAAAGATTGTGGACCGGGCACAGTGGCTCACGCCTGTAATCCAGCACTTTGGGAGACCAAGGTGGGCGGATCACGAGGTCAGGAGTTGAAGACCAGCCTGGCCAACATGGCGAAACCCCGTCTCTACTAAAAATACAAAAATTAGCTGGGCGTGGTGGCATGTGCCTGTTATCCCAACTACTCGGGAGGCTGAGGCAGGAGAATTGTTTGAACATGGGAGGTGGAGGTTGCAGTGAACAGAGATGGCACCATTGCACTGCAGCCTGGGCAACAGGGTGAGACTCCGTCTCAGAAAAAAAAAAAAAAAGATAAAAGATTGTGGATACTAAGGTTCTTTTGAAATCTTATAGTGGCTGCTCTTAGAGATAATAGATGACAAATGGTTCCTATTCAGGCCTTTAAAACGTACTAGATTCTTACTTAATCTCTTCAGGATTGGGGGGCCTGGAAGAAAAAGATCTAGCTGTGTTAATAGAGATTCTTTACAGATGCACACGTCCCCCCACAAAGGACAGCTTTGCAAGACCATTTCAAAATATGGCAAAGAAACATGCTTTTGGGGTAAAATAGTTTGACCTTCTTCTTTGTCACATCATGTTATGCCAGAGTCACATTGGAAAGTAAGTCACAATATATAGGGTTAAATATAACCCATCTGATGAGAATTTGTGGTTTGAAGGTCATGAGTCCCCAGGCCCCTTAGATAGGAATTTGGGCAAGATAAAAAAAAATCAGAGCTCAGTCCTCACTTTTTAAATTATTATTGTTTTTATTTTTCTTTTTTGAGATGAAGTCTCACCCTGTCGCCCAGGCCGGAGTGCAGTGGCACAATCTTGGCTCACTGCAACATCCGCCTCCTGGGTTCAAGTGATTCTCCTGGCTCAGCCTCCCGAGTAGCTGGGACTACAGGCACCCACCACCACGCCCAGCTAATTTTTTGTATTTTTAGTAGAGATGGGGTTTCACCGTGTTAGCCAGGATGATCTTGATCTCCTGACCTCATGATCCGCCTGCCTCAGCCTCCCAAAGTGCTGGGATTACAGGCGTGAACCACCGCACCTGGCCAGTCCTCACTTTTACAGTAAACACACCAATGAATCTTCTTTAATAATATACATTGAGCGTTAGCGACTCTACTCCAAACTCAAAGGGACCCCATGGGAAACATTAATCCATGCACCATCCCACAGGTGACACCACTTATCTTCTTCACTAGATTTTGTGTGCCCTTGGGCTCCCCCACCCCAGTGAAATTCACTGATTTGCATGTTTTCCATAGGTACACTTCCTGAGATCTAGCTGGGGCTGGGTGCAGCCTAGAGCCATGGAATAGAATTAAAGTAGCCACACTGGTATCAAGCCTACAGGCAGAACCATGCCGTTCTTGACCACGACCTGTAAGGACCTAAGGAATCCAATCATTTTCTTCATCTCCTTCCTCACCTTATATACTCCTCTCTCCCACAGGCTTTGTTCTCTTCTCTCTGCCTGTGTTGGTGGTCTGCAGAACCACTCTCAGGTTGGATGTTTTGCTAGAAGGACTCACAGAACTCAAAAAAGCTATTATACTCTTTTCTTTCCTCTCAAAATATTACCCTGTCTTGATATACTCTCGATTATAGTATATTACAATGAAAGGAAGTGGGTTAAAATCAACAAAAAAGAAACGTACGGGCTGGGTACAGTGGCTCACACCTGTAATCCCAGCACTTTGGGAGGCTGAGGCAGGTGGATCACGAGGTCAGGAGATCGAGACCATCCTGGCTAACACGGTGAAACCCCATCTCTACTAAAAATATAAAAACATTAGCCAGGGTGGTGGCACATGCCTATAGTCCCAGCTACTCGGGAGGCTGAGGCAGGAGAATCTCTTGAACCCCTGAGGTGGAGGTTGCAGTGAGCCAAGATCACACCACTGCACTACTGCCCTCCTGCCTGGGCGACAGAGCGAGACTCCGTCTCAAAAAAAGAAAGAAAGAAAGGTACATACAGCAGAGTTCAGAGGAAACTAGGCACAAGCCTCCAGTTGTCCTTTCCCAGTAAAGTCACATGGACAGTGCTTAATTCTTCCAGCAACAATGTATGACAGCACATACAAAATATGGCCAACCAAGGATGTTCACCTGAGCCTTGATGTCCAGCATTTGTTTTTAGTTTAGTTTAGTTTAGTTTATTTAGTTTAGTTTAGTTTAGTTTTGTTTTGTTGAGGTAGCAGGGGGTCAGTCACGTAGACATGCAGCATTCACATAACTCAGTCTCCAGCCCCAACACAGGTCAGACTGAAACAATATGGCCCGAAGCAGCCTAGGCATATACAAACAGGTGCTCACCATAAGTCACATTGTTAGCAGAAATCATCTGGCCTGGCTCATGGTCTCAGGTATACAAAGACACTCTTACCATGCAGGATATTTCAAGAATTCAGAGGTCTCAGAAGCTAATCAAGGGCAGTCTCAACGACCCTTGGAATGTGCAGGGTTTGGGCAATCCAGGCCTGCTGAGTTGATCTTTTACTGCACACTACTCCACACTACTTTTCCTGCACACTTTTTGTGCCCTCTCCACGTGACAGCCTGGGCAGGTGGGATGCTTTGCTCACCAGCTCTTTGCCTAGCTCCTAACTCCTACTGACCCCTACTGGTCATAGTTTAAACATCACTTTTTCAGGAAAAGGTTTCCAACAGGCCCCCATGTATTCCCAAAGTATCTGTCCTACCTTGAGGCCCTTTGCTCACCAATAATAATTCATTTAGTCATTTGATGTTACTCTGTATGCTGCTACAGTCTAAGGACCATGTGCATACCTCTAGCACAGTACAATGCCTGGCACATCAATATTCAATACTCAATAAACAGATGATGACTGACTAACTGATGTGCTGTCACTTACCTGGGTATCTGCACATAGGTGAATAAATGGGAAGAAAATAATAAATCTAGGGAATGGATAATCTAGTGGAGGAATACATGACATATGTACCCTCCTAAGTGTAAATGCAAAGTTGGATACAATTAGCCAATATGCAATGCATAAATACTTAAGCAATGGGATAGTGATTAAAGAGATAAGAGGAGTGAAATTCAAAAAGTTGAACCTTCAAAGAGATGTGGAGAGTGAGGTTGGATAGCCTAAGGGATACACAAATGCTGGATGTTATTAAAAATACCAATGTTATGTGTTGGGTGCAGAGTCCATATGGGGAGCCTTAGACAGAGGGAAGAATAGGACAAATAAGTATCAGTGAGGGGAGGAAATAATATGGGGAGTCAACTGGCATAGATGAAGTACAAACCTCATCCAGTGGGTAGCAGGAAATGCATGGTTAGGTGAAGATAGTGAAAGGGCAGCAAAAACTCATGCCAAAAAGGTTTGGATCATATCTGATAAACAGTGTGGAGTCACCACAGTTTTCTGAGTGGAGGACATGTCACTAGGTCCAATTTTCCTTAAATTACACTCTGACAGAATGGCTCCGTTACTTAGCCACAATATGGCGCATTATGATTTAACACTGCCAAAGAGAGACAGGGTCTCACGGCTGCTGATTTTTAAGGCTTTTCAGAAGATAAGAGTTAAGTAAGAACCTGCTTTTCCTGCTTGCTGGAAGTTAATGACTTCAATGCTTTGCAAAAGAAAGTAAAAGGGTTGTTAAGTCAGAGTGCTCACCCTCTGGACCTGCAGGTTATGATTTTTTAATGCTTTTCAAATGGGAAAGGATCTCAAGTGAGTGTCATCCCTGCCTGCTAGAAATATATGTCTTTCAGACGGCAGCTGGCACAGCCTCCTGCACACCCACTGCTCTGCCTGATTCACTGCATTCACATTTTAAATCTTGGAATGTTGCCATATCTCAGTCGACCCAATTCACAGGTCCACAGAGGCAGCGACCCCAGGTGCTGCAACTCAGTCCAGCATTTCTCCCTATTGTCCCAGGTCAGGGGGTGTCCTGAGCCTTCAAAATTTTTGCCTCAGTTACATCCCTACTCCCTCCCCTTCTCTGTCACTACGTCTGTCCACTTACCCTCAAACCTGTCTTCTCTTCTCCAAATAGTGATCAATTTGTCAGGTACTAAAAAGCCACACAGATCAGGTGGTATGTTTTTTCTGTAAACAGAGGGCATGATGTGTGCTGAGGAGGGGAGGCCTGGGGACTGCAAAGACAGCTCCCCACAGAGGAACACCCCAGGTCCTGGAAAAGTCAAGGCAGCTGAGTCTGGCAACTCAGGCATCTCCTGGTCAGCACTGTTCACCTGAAGACGTAGAAAATCACAGACCAGCACGGGCACCAGGGAGTCCTCTCCTGTCCCTCACAGGGGACTGCAGAGCCCAAGATGGGACTGGGAAGAGGGGACAAGCCTGGGTCTCCACATTCTGTTCTGCAATCCTGTGGTCCCAGATCTGCCCTGGCACCGTGCTCAAATTCCTCCAGGGACAAAGGAAGGCTGGGAAGACATGGAGGGTTCCAGGCCCATGCAGGGGTCAGGCCACACTCCTGAGAGGACCCTCAACCCACCCCAACCCACCTCTGCTCCTTTAATAACCTGGAGGCCACAAGGGAAGTCAATGGGATCCCCAGGTGAGGCAAATCAGAAAGAAACCAGGACACTACAAATAATAAGAATGACAACTATAAGATATGATTTTATATACAGCAGGATTGGACACACATACACCACCCTCCTCCCACACACACACACACATCCACACACACGGACACATTCACACACACCAAATCAAAAAATACTAAAGTTAGCAAGGCTAAGGGGAAACAGGAACTCCTAAACTGCTGAGGATATGTAAATCAGTATAGTAACCTTGGAGAGTGATGCGTTGATTAGTTCACCCCAAAATCCAGCCACTTCACTATACACATATATATATATATTTGCAGACAAATTCTACATTTGAGTAAGTTAGCGACATGTATGAGGCTCCTCACTTATTCACTAACGCAACGTGTGTTGTATTGAGCACCTACTATATGCCAGCCACAATTCTAGGGTCTAAAAATTGAGTGTTAACAAAAAGCAAAATGTCTGCCTCCATGGAGTGTATATACAGCTTTGTTGAAATAGCCAAAAACTGAAAACAACCTGAAAATATATTGCTAGGAGAATGGACAAACACTCAACTAGAGATACCAGTATCAAGACAGATGTATTTTGGAAACAGTGTTGGGTGGGTAGGAAAGAAACTTGCAGGTACAAAATACTATTTATATGAATAAAAACAAACAATACTATAAATTGTGTGTTGATACATACATATGTTACACAAATAAATGGTCTGGACACCTACCAAACTCAGAATCTTAGCTGCCTCCAAGAAAGGAGAGAAAAGACCAGGAAGGAGAACTTCAAGTTTAACTGAAATGTGCTTTATTTCCTAAAAAGAAAACATCTGAAGCAAATGCATATGTGAAAATGTTAGCCATGTATATTTAGGATGTTAAGCATATAGATGTTTGTTGCAGCACATTGGGTCCTTTTTCATTTTAGTTCAAGATAGGGAAGCTTTTGTTTTGTATTGCTTTAAAATTTTAGAAAAGAATTAGGGGAGAGGAGGATTAAGACCCCATCTCCCAGTGACTCAGGTGCCAGACACTGCTCTAAATGTGCCTCTGGGATCCTGACCACCAGCCACTTGACCATTGGACAGGACAACTGGGAGAGAGAAGAGCAGAGTCCCCCTCCTGCCGCTGCTGCCCTAGATCTCAGCAAACTGCTGGGTGCCTGCTCTGTCCCCCTCCCCACCACCAGCTAAGTCAGTGAGAGTGTGGAGCTCCGTAAATTTACCCACACTGCCGTGGGAGTGGAAATTTGCTCAACCACTTTGAAGAGCAATCTGGCACTATCTAGTAAAGCTGAAGAGACACATACTCTATTATTCAGAAATTCTGTTTTTAACATTTTACCCTAGAAAAACTCTCAAACATGTGCCCAAGGAGACGTGTGCAAATATTCTTTGCAGCGTTGTTTATAATGGCCAAAAATCGAAAATGGCACCATTATCCATCATTAGAAGAGTAGATAAAATCAGACTTGTATATTCAATGAAATACTATTCCACCGTGGAGATGATGAGAGCCACACATGTCAGTGTGAATCCATCTCACAAACAAGGCTGAGGAAAAGGGTGAGTTGCAGAGTCCTCCACAGTGAAATACCATTTACATAAAATTGTGACTATTCCAAACAGTACCATATATTGTTGATCAGTGCAGGTGTATGTCGTGAAAGTATGGAAACACACTTGGGAGGGATGAATACCAGGTTCAGGGGTTACTTATGTGAAGGGAGAAAGAATAGAATTGGGGAGGATTATATATGGGACTTCAGCTGATACTGCGCTATTTTATTTCTTTAAGAAAAACAAAAACTTGAAGCAAATATGGCAACATTTTCAAATTAAAAACTGCTGGGTGATGAGTACCCGAATGTTTCATATGTTCTTTCATATGCCTTTTGCTTTTGAATATTTAATAATATTCATTTATTTATTTATTATCTTATTTGTTGATTTATTTAGAAAGGGCAGGAAGAGAGGTAGTGGGTAGGGGAAGAGCCTCTGAGACAAAGGGAAGAGTGGGCCAGGTGCAGTGGGTCACGCCTGTAATCCCAGCGCTTTGGGGGGCCAAGGAGGGTGGATCACTTGAGGTCAGGAGTTCAAGACCAACTTGGCCAACATGGTGAAACCCTGTCTCTACAAAAAATACAAAAATTAGCTGGGCATGGTGGCAGGCGCCTGTAACTGCAACTACTCGGGAGGCTGAGGAAGGAGCTTGAACCCGGGAAGAGGAAGCTGCAGTGAGCCCAGATCGCGCCACTGCACTCCAGCCTGGGCAACATAGTGAGACTCCGTCTTAAAAAAAAAAAGGGAGAGAGAGAGAGAATGAGAGAAGAGCACCTAAGAGAGAAAGGTGCTCCCTGTGTTGACAGAGCTGAAACATCAGCCAGAACATAGTAAGAGGGGGCATAGCCTCAGGGCAGGCCAGAGAGACAGGGCTGGGCATGCAGGGCGCTATAAAAGAGGGGATGGTTTATTCTTAGTGGAATGGAGAGACATGGAGGTGGGGGTGGCTTTAGCCAGAGGAGTATTTACACTGATCTGTTTACACTGATTGGGTTACTTGTGTCTGCTCTGTGCAAGATGGAAAAAAGGAGGGTAGGAACAGAGGCCAGGAAAAGAATTAACAAGCCTTTACAGTAATGTAGGCAAAGGACATTGGGGAACTCCATTGTAATGGAGGCAGAAAAGATGGAGAGAGTAAGGTGAATTTGAGATATATTTTGAAGAGGAATCAATAGAACTTGGGAATCGGTTAGGTGTGAAGTATGACTCTGAGGTTTGGATTTCAGTAACTGGTGGTGCTGTTTACTGGCTGAGAAGACTGGTGGGGATGAGAGCAGGAACCATGGCCAGAATTGTCTGTGCATCTGTTCATTCGTTCCCAGCAAGGAGGAGAGGGACAGAGTTTTATTTTGGACATGTCAAGTTCGAGATGATTGTGACCCACCCAAGTGGAGGAGTAGAGCTGGGCAATTGCATATTCAGGTCCAAGATCCTCGGGAGAGGTTGAGCCAGATCAGGAGATATAAATTTGGGTGTCGCCAGCATATGATTTCAAGCCATGAGAATAGGGAGACAGTGTAAATAGCAAACTCTGAGCATCCCTGCATTTAGTGTCAGGAGAAAGAGGATGATCCAGCAAACAGACTAAGGAGTGGCCAGTGAGGCAGGAGAATCAGGAGAGGGGGACGTGATGCATGCCAAGACAGAAAAGCATTTCAGAGTGGAACGTGAAATGTCAACAGTTCAAATGCAGAGTGGCCAAGTCAGCAGAGGGCAGAGAATCCCCTGTTGGAGCCAGCAACACAGGAGCCTTTGTGTCGTTAGCAAAAGCAGTTCAGTGAAGTGGTGGGAGCTAAGGCCAGATCACCCACTATTAGGGAGTGAGTAGGGATTGCAGAAGAGGAAAGAGTGAGTATGGGTGAGTCTTCCGGCCCAAACGGAAGGGAGGAGAAAGATGGGGAGGAAGCTGAAAAAGATGAGTGAGGCAAAGGAGAGGTTTGGTTTGCTTTGGATGTTATTGTGCATGTCCGTATACAGATGAAAAAATCCAGTGGAGAGAGAAATTGATGGTGGGAAAGAATGGAGGGAATGAGTGCAGGAAGGAATACTTTGAGAAGAGGAATGAGTAGGGAATCCAAGCCATGCAGCCTCATTCAGCAAAGTCAGGATTCTAACTCAAGCCTGTCTGATTCACACACCATGCTCATTCCTAGGTGCCTCTTTCACTCACCCATGAGTGTCCAACTCCCAGGGTCCAGTGCAATAAATCCTTTACCACTATCTCCTCTAAAGACACAAGTTTTATAGTCTTCCCATTTCCATCTGGGTTCCGCATCTACCCAAGGAACTGGAGGAGAAAACAAGCAAACTGAAGAAAATTAAATCTGACCTATTTTATGCATTCTATATAAATGCATGAAATAGATTATGTTTGACAGTGGTAAACAGAGAACCAAAAAAAAATCCAATTTATCACTTTAATTATATATGCATTTCTTCCTCAATCTCCAGCCAAGAATGAGCCTCCAGCCATTTTCAGTTCTTTCTGTGGAGCCATTCCCTAATTTCTAAAGCTGTTTTTGGTAACCACAGATTTCCACTCAAGGATGTTTTATCTGAAGCACACTGAAAACTTAACATGCTGCCTATGATGGCACATACGAGGAGGAGGAATGCAGTGGGTATGTATGAAATTAAAAGTAAGGAAATAGAGGGGAGTGTGGAGTTCTGATTCAAAGGAATAGCGTGGATTAAATTGATGTCCCTGTAAAGAAATTGACATTCTCCTATTGCCACAAAGGAAAGTAATAGGTGCTGAGTTATTTGGATACTGAGCTAATTCAGAGTCAACCAACCACCTTTAGTAAAGTAACCTTACCCTAAAATCTACTTATTCATGAATAAGAGAGGGTAAGAGGACCTGAAGGAGGGCAGGTGAGAAGGCAGTTAGCAGCCAACACACTGACTGTTGCTGTACATGAGCAGGATCAGGGAGAAGGGGGCTTCTGCCTTATTGCAGTCTCCATCCCACACATATGTGTCGAACATCTGCTTCCAGGCACTGAGGGTACAGCAAAGAGCAAGACAGAAAAGGCCCTTGCGTTCAGAAAGCTTGCAGTCTCTTGGTGAAATGCACACAAGAGGCAATTACAGTGCCAGGGGTAAGTGCTAAATCCTCAGACAGGGGAGGTATGTGCACCTAACTCAGCCTGGGTGGGGGACAGTGGTCAGGAAAATGTTTCTGCAGGAAGGGTTATATAAACTTTTAAATCTAAGACATGACCAAGATTTAGCCAGACTGGCAGTGAGGGCAGGCAGTCGGGAGATAATAAACAAGAAAAACATAAAGCACATATGTGTGCCCACAAATACACAATTTCGATTATCTTAAAGGGTCATGTGAATGGCAACATTGTTGCTGCTTTATATTGCACTTTGGGGAAAATCAGAGTCATGACAAGCCGTTTCTGACTCGCAATCAGGGTTAGTGGTGCTGTTGGATAATGTAGGAAACAGAAAAGGACCAAGTTGGGAGGTAGAGGCTGGGTTCAGCCTTGACAGGTTGAGTAAAAGGAGCTTCTGAGACCTCCACATGGAGCTCTCAGGTAAGCAGTCGGATACTTAGATCTGAAACTCAGGCTTATGGCTTGGACTAGAAAGATACATTTGGGAGTCATTGGATTAGAGGTAGCAATTTAAACCATGGCACAGATGAGCACCCTCCCAGGGAGAGAAACACTCTCACTAAAAGGGAAAGTGAAAAGAGAAAAGAGCATGGGGCCAGGGGATGAAGAACTTCTTCATAGCCACTAGAGGAGGGAGGCTGAGCCTGTAGAGGAACCCGGGAAGGTGTTACTGGGAGAGATAGTAGGAAAACCAGGAGAGAGCTGCTTCACAGTGGTTTAAAATGGAGGGAGTAACCCACAGTAATGACATTAGCATGCACCCAAAAAAAATGAGGACAAAACCTGTCCATTGGATAGACCAGAGATGTGAAGGAATCACATGTGAAGCCAAATTGGAATAGGTTGAAGACGAGTGAGGAGTAAGCTAACACACACCAGTGCTTGCCAAACCCTTTTGCTTTGTGGAACATATAGAAAATTATAGCTCAGTGGACATTGGCCAGCTGCACAAGGCTGCCCCCAGCTGGAAGTGTGGCCCCACACAGATGATCTGAGGGCCAAGGAAATCAATATTTTATAACACCTATAGCCATTTGAGATACACCAATGTGTCTCGGAATACCAACTTGTAAGGTCTACCATAGACCACTTTCTCAACTAGAGTGGCTGTGAATTGGGGCTCCCAGGGGGTGTGGAATCAAGGTGAGCTTGCTGGCTTGGTTTGGTTTGGTTAGAAGAGTTTTTAAGATCTTAGCATCTTTCAGAAGCATCTATGGAAAAAATTCGGTTGAGCTGGGAGGACTGAATTCATGAGAGAGAAAAGGGTAGTATAGCATTGGTGGTATAAGGCTCCTCAGAAGTCAGAAAAGAATCCAATTTCAGGTGGAGGGTCAAATGTACAAGATACCATGTGTGCAAAAGTGTAATTCTCTCCACAATACTAGAAATTGGATGTCATTATTACTGTGTTACAAATTTAAAACCTGAAGCTTAGTGAGATTAAGTCACTGCCCCAGGTTCCTTGCCTAGTAAGCTGCATAGCCAGGACTATAACCTATATTTTTCTGACTCCAAAACGCCTAACAATTATACTTAGGTGCTAGGCCTGGAGACGCAAAGATGATGCCTTTGAAGAGGTCATATGCTAAAAGTGTAGAGAGACACTAAAATAAACATAACACAGTGTGATAAATAGAATAATGGAGACACGGGGGAAAATGCTTTAGGAACCACGAAGACTATACCCCAGTATAGGCCCGTCAATTCCTGAACTCATGGAGGCAGGGGTGGACTGGACATACAGCAAGGGCTAAAAAGAAATACAAATACCTGGATGGATGGATGGGTGGGTACACAGAGAATAAGAGTTCAGTATGAATAAAGATTCCCTCCTTAGGGCAAGTGTGGTTCATGTGGCCACAAGAGGTCGCTCAGATCTGACACAAATGAAGCTTTTTTCCATTGGTGCTGCCATGCTCTCTCCAGAAGCTTTCTGGAAGGAAGGGGTTAGAATGGAGAGAGGGAATGAGGGTGGTGACCAGATGCTCCATAGCGTTTTCTGCCCTCTGTAGGCCAGACCCAGAGCTTCATGCCCAGGCTGGCTCCATTTTCACCCTACTCCTGGTCATTTCCACTCCTGTCCTAAGTTCTAGGCTTTTGATATGTTTCTCCAATGTGTTCTGTCTTTCAGATGTAACTCAGAAATGGTCTTAGGTTTCTCGTTAGGCCTGTAGTTCCAGCTGTGGATGAGACTCCAACCCCAACAGGCTTTCTGGCTGAGTGCCTTTGTACAAATTACTTCATCTTTCTGGGACTCACCAAAAACACTAAGGTTGGGAGGAAGGGTCTGGTCTTTAAGTCTTCCTGACCCACACTGCTTACAATAGCTCACCTTCACCGAACACTTCCTACTTGCTAGGCATTGGTCTAAGCCTGCAATATCCAAGAAGGCAGACACTTGTCACATGTAGCTGCTTAAATTTTTTAAATTTCAACTAAAGTAAAAACAATTAAAACTTCAGTTTCTCTGTGTCATGAGTCAATTTCAAGTGCTTAATAGCTCTCTGTGGCCACTGAACTGGATAGCCCAGAAAACATTTCATCATCACTGAAAGTTCTATTAGATCTTGCTGTCTGAGAGCATCTTATGTTTTTAATCTTGTTTAACCTTCATAGCAACCCTATGATGCAGGTGTAATTATGTATCCACTTTAGAGATAAGGACCCTGAGACACAGACTGGTTAAAAAACTTACCCAAGGTCTCTCACCAGATTCATATCCAGAGTGAGGATTCAAGCTCAGATATTTGGCTCTAGGGCCTACCATGCAGAGCTGTCCCCTACCCCAAGCTCTCTTGCTCTCCCGTCTCGCCTCCGGAACTGGAATGACTTATCCTGTTCCCCAAAGGCCATTGTCCCTGACTACTGCCGCCCTGACAACTGACTCTTTGAGTGATGAGAGCACCTGGGCCTGGAGCCTCTTCTGGATGAGGATCCACACTCTATTTTCATCCCACCTCCTTTTAGCCCCTGAATTCCCTTAGAGTATTAGTGTTAGTATCATGGGTTTTAATATCTCCACTAACCCATCCCATTCTCAGTTCAAGGTCAGCCTGAGTCCTGGAAGATTCCAAACCTGGGCAGCAGCCCTGTTGCTGTTCCCTGAGGGTCACCTTCATCCCCAAGGGAACAACATGCAGCCAGCTCAGCTCAGGCTCAGCTCACCAACACCTTTGAAGGTGCAACAGCATCTCACTCTGCAGGGGAAGTGCGAAAAGTCAGATGCAGTTCACACTCTCATGCCGCTAGAACCCGGTAGAAGTTGCCAGGGCAGAGGCTTCATCCGTTCTGTGTGCAAACCACAAATGTTTGCAAGCTAGACCACTTGCGGTTATCCCCTCTGTCTCCTGCCCCAGCTGCTGCCCTGCAGGGACTCCACACACCCACAGGACCTGCAGCTGAACGAAGTTGAAGACAACTCAGGAGATCTGTTGGAAAGAGAACGATAGAGGAAAATATATGAATGTTGCCATCTTTAGGTGAGTGGACAAGATTTCTACTTCCTACTTTACTTCCTCACTACTTTTCCCTCTTTCCTAAACAACTGAGTCACCGAAAAAAATGCCTGGCAGTGTCAAATTAGTTTCCCACTTCCACTGAGTCAGACAATCTAGGGCAAGAAAACTTAGAAAATTCTCTCTGTCCATTCCTGGCCTCAGCAATAGGCACATCAAATTCCATCAGACTATGTAGAACTTCTCACTTAAAGATTTCCAGGAAGAACTTTACTGTCAGAAAATGCTTAGCCAGGCATGGTGGTGCATGCCTGTAATCCCAGCTACATGGGAGGCTGAGGCAGGAAAATCACTTGAACCTGGGAGGCGGAGGTTGCAGTGAGCCAAGATTACACTCCAGCCTGGGCAACAGAGCAAGACTCCTTCTCAATAAAAAAAAGAAAAAAGAAAGAAAAGAAACAAGAAAATGAAAATGCTTCCTAGTATTTTGCCTGACTCTGTGTTTCACCGTGAACTCCCATGTTCTGTCCACAGAGGAGATGAGAATGTGTGACCTCTTTTTCTGTTGAGGGAACATTGAATAATTTCCAGTTTTTATCTATTACAAATGATGCTGCTATGAGCACTCTTGTATATGTTTTTTCAGGCTTATATGTATACATTTCTGTTTGACATTTACCCAGGAGTGAAAATGCTGAGCCATCAGGGATCCCTGTGTTTAGTTTTGGTAGATTCTGCCAAGCCATTTTCTAGTGACTGTACCAATTTATATTCCCACTAGTGGTGTACAAGAGTTCTAGTTTCTTCACATCCTCACCAATACTCAGTAGAGGATTGCATGGGGAGGGTCACGGGCTCCCCCAGACCCAGCTCAGTCTCAGCTGGTATCACTCCCTTATTCTTATGGAAGGTGTAGTGGTATCTTATTATGGTTTAAATTTGCATTTCCACGGTGATTTATGATGTCTAGCTCCTTTTGCTATGTTGATTTGACACGTGGATATCTGCTTCTGTGAAGTACCTATCCAATTATTTTTGCCCATTTTTCTAGTATGTTGTCTGTCCTTTTCTTACTGACTTGCAGAAATTCTTATATTTCTTCTGTGGGCCCTTTGTCAGCTACATGTATTTAAACTATCTCATCACACCACAGCTTGCCTGTTCCTTCTCTTAATGGTGTCTTTTAAGGAATAGTTCTCAAAATCATACTGACAGTCTTAAAAGCCTCAGATGCCGAAGCTCCATCTGTGTTCTACTCCAGACTCATCGATGTCTGATTCCCTCCTGAACTGAGGATCCTGTGAAGCATCCTCAGGGCTCCACTTCTCCATCGCATTGCAGCATCCACACACATTTACCTCTGGAGACAGGAGCTCCTTGGAAGCTGGGAGGTCACTCGGTGGTCAAGGGGTAGATGATCTTAGTTTTACAGTGCTGCGCTGTCTCCCAGGCTGAATGACGCTGAAGCCAAGCAAATTCGGGCAGTCTCTGGACCTTTCTAATGGAGGTGTCCCATAACCATGTTCCATCCTAGTTCCCTGGCATAGGCTTGTTGAAGCTGCAGAAAATGTCAGGGATTTATTAGTGATTTACCGACTCCTTCATACTTAGTGTTCAGGAAAATTTATTCATGTAATACTTCTTCAACCAAAGAGGAAATATCAATTAGAGCTTTGTAAGTTTCTTTTCCACTTCCTATTTTGGCTATCAAGCTATAGCACCACCCAGCTCAGGCCACCCACCCACCTTCGGTCCTGAGGCCTGGTTGCTCTCTGCCGGCTTCGCCCTGACCTGTTTCTGACCTGTGTTCCCTCCGCTGTGCCAGAACAGGCCCCATGCTGCTCTGGACGGCTGTGCTGCTCTTTGGTAAGTCAACGAGCATGGGCATCCCCTCTTGGAGCACTAAGGACCGTAAGTCATCCCTGAGACACCAAGTTCCTCATCTTACCTTTCCCAATTCCAGTGGGTTTGTGGCTGGAGCTCAAGACAGGTGTGTGCACCTGGGCATGCTTGGGAGAGATGGGCACTGGGGTAGGAGAAACTCCTCAGTGTTTCCTACCCCGTAGTCCTGGGTCCTTGGCAGCGCAGCCCTTTGATATGTCAGAGATAAATTAGGGAGGCAGAAAATCACATTACAAAGTCCCCTAACTTCCCAATGACATTTCTACCTTGTGACATCAGGTTAAAATACTAATCAGAGCTGTCTCAAAAGGAAATGGAGGTTGCAGGAGGGAAGGAGGCTGCTGGGGGCAACAGGGAAGGAGTCAGGGAAATGAGGGGAAACAGTCCCAGGCATTTTGCTCAGCAATGGGAGGTGGAATTTTACAGGGTGACATATTTTTATGGAGCCTCAGCATTTTCTTAGAACCAGGTAACAATGGCCAGACCTCTCACCTGGTTGAAAGGCCTGTGCTCTGAGTAACCAAAGCCCTTTTCAAATTGACTGTCTCTCTTCCGCCTACATCTTCTCTCTGTTGGGAGCTGTTTCAGATCCATGGGGCTGGTTTGAAGAATCAACTCCATTGTCTGATCCATGTCTCTCTCTCTCTTCTCTCCATTTCTTCTCATGCAGGCTACTTGTAACTAAGAGAGCTGGTCTAAGGGTAGAGGATTGCACGCAGAGGGTCACTGGGCTCCCCCAGACCCAGCTCAGTCTCAGCCAGTGTCACCCCCCTTATACCTAAAAGAAATAATTTGGCATATATTTTGTTTCACTTTACAGTTTCCAAGTGGACCTACTTTTTGTTTAATTCTTGGTCCCAATAGCTTGCTTGCTATTTGTATTCCTTGAACTAGAAAAGCAAAACTGTTCCTAAATATAACCTCTTCCTGGACAGAGTTTGTGAGAATTTGACCCTGTGAGGAAAATGCCCCTTCCACTCAATGTTCCTTCTCCAGCATAGCATGCTACTCGTGTGTTCTATGAATGGCCATTTGGACAAATGAAAAGGTCTAATGCTCACACTGAGGCGGGGACAGGATAGCCTAATGCCTGGATATACTCCAGGCAGAAGACTCCCAGGGGCAAATGGCACTACCGGCACTACCTTGTAAAAGGAACAGCCCTTGGACTTGTCTAGATACAGTCTGAGAGTGTTCCAGCTTGGAACCCAGGACGAGGATGACAGACAGCAAATGAGGAGAGGAAGGGAATCAGTGACCGGCTGACTGGTGCACAGTGTAATGGAGAATCCAGCACCAGCAAATTTGGTCCCACTTGATGCTCAGGGACCCTGGAAAAACAGCCTAAAACACAGACACTGGGGCTGGGTGTGTAGCAACATTTATCTTACCATAAGTGTAGAGCTGCTATTTCCTCTCTCAAGAGCAGGGTGTGGTCATAATAAATTGGTGGCTATTACTATTATTGGCTGTCAGGGCTCCGGGAGGAAAGGAATCCTGACATTGAGCATGTGGGGACCTGGCTGAATGTGAAATATGTATTTAAAGTTTGGGAAATTAGGCTTAATTTTCTTCTGAGCTGAACATTAGCCAACTTCCCTCCTACCACTGGAGGCTGCTCCCCGCATTCTCACACAGCGTCCATAGGAGGTGTCATGGGGTCCCATACAGCCCTCCCAGCAATGTGACTGCTGCAGCTTGGCACTGCAGCCTGTTCCACAGTGCTAGAGCTCAGTGGTGAGAGAGTTCTTCATGTTGAGCCGAAATCTGCCTCCATGATCCCTCTAGTTTCCATTTCTGTCCTATAAAGTAACTCAGAATAAGTCTCCCCCTTCTTTTAAGCTTAGCCCACCAAGTATTTTGTGTCTTTCCTCTGTTGCATCTTTCCCAGATAAATATCTCCCGATCCCTCAGAAACTTTAAGAGGAAATTATCCTGCTCCTAGAGTTGGCAGGGGCTCCTGCCTTCATTTTTCGGAATTCTATTACGCAACTTGGTTTGACCATAGCTCTTGGCCACTTCATGATACTGTCACCTCATCTTCAGCCTATAGCTAATGGAGGTCCCTGGGCCCTCATTGCAGGAACTGCTGTAAGCAGGTGTCACCCCCTGTGTATGTTCCCAGTTGGCTGCTGTTTTGATTGCAGAAACCAATTTTGTAATCCCACCTCCAAGATCTTGCAGTACCATGGGGAGCAAGTCATTGAGATTTGGGGACAGGAGCTCATTTTAAGTGCATCTATGCTTCCTGAGTGCCTTCTGTCTTGTTTTTGGCTTCAGTAGTCTCAACCCTGTTTGTTTAGCACTTTGTAGCTGCACAATTGTTTTCCAGTGAGGTGGGGAAGGGAAGGAAGACATAACTACAGAGTAAGGTCTCTGTCACTCTGAGGTCAGGCCTTCTTTCTGCTTTCAGTTAATGTAGTAACCACTTTCCCAGGCAGTGGGTCAACATAACCTTCACAACTACACTGTAAGAAAAAAATGACTATTATCATTTCTATTATGTGATATGACAGAATGAGATATTGAAGGCTCTTGGAACTTAGACAACTTGTTCAAGGTCGTACAGAAAGAGGCAAATTCATGACTCAAGTCCAGGTCATCTGATTCCAAATCCTGCATGCTTTCCACTACACCGAGCTCATAGATGGGGGTTAGGGGTGGAGATGGAGGGATGATAAAGAAGAGACTCATTGTTCTGCACACTCTTGAGAGCATATGACTGAGCTGACCCTGAGCTGAATAGAGAATTGAGCTGAAAGATTCCACCTGTGTCCAAAGTAGTGTAGAAAGCAAAGATGATACCATGTGACAGAGCCAAACATCTGCTCTTAGAGGGTTTTCACCCACCCTTCCCAAGGCCATTCTTGCATTTTTTTTTTGGTGTTATGTAAAATACCTAGGACATGCCAGCAATGCAGGACACAAGTAAATGTATGAGGATTGGCTGGACTGACTGCACTCAGCCCTACATTCATTCATTGTTTCACACCTTGCCCCAAAGTCCAGAAGATTCTTCACTGCTTCATATCCAGCTATGACCTTCAATTTCAGGTCTTCCATTGTTTGGGCTATTCAAACCTATCTAACCATATCTGTCATCATTTTGTGAGTTGGCCCCTCTTCCCAGGTCACCTGTTCTCACACATTCACTCATTTAAAAACATGAATGTAGCACATCCAAGATGCAAGCATGATGTGGGATGCATCCAGTTTGTTTGTAGTTCTCTCATTCATCCATGCTGCCTGATAATGTCTCACATCCTTTAATGATTACTCTTTCAGGGGACTTATCCTCCTCAGTCTGGTCACTTCCATACCCTTTTTGCCAGAGCTCTGTGGAGAGATGGGACCACAAGAATCAGGTCCTGCCCTTGCTATATGGGTTCTCCTGTAGATGTTGGAGGTAGGACCCTCAGGCACATTCGTACAAGAGTCTAGTCCTATGTTTTCTACTTTTTGCTTCCCACCTCGTACAATGGGATGCAAAGGAAAACATTCATGCATTTATTCAGCAGATGCTTACTGAACACAGACTATGTTCCAGGCACAGGTCTTGGGCATAGAAAATATAGCAATGAGTAAAATAAGCAGAGTCCCTGCTACTATGGAGCTTATATTCTAGCCAGAGAGAGAGGTGATAACATGTAGGCAATTTAATGAATAAGATAAATTCAAATAGTGATAAGTGTTTTGAAGATAATACAATGGGGCATTGTTTTAGTGATTGGGGAAAATTCTTTTGATTGGAGTCCCAGGGAAGACCTGTTTGAGAAGGCAACATTTGAACTGTGATAGGGCAAAGAGTTCTAGGGAGTACGTCCAGCACAAACGTTGAGTAGTCAAGTGGCCGGGTGGTTGGGTGGTTGGGTGGTTGGATGGTTGGATGGTTGGGTGGTTGGATGGCTGATGGCTGGGTTGTTTGGTGGTTGAGTGGTTATGTGGTTGGATGGTTGGATGGCTGTGTGGATGGGTGGCTAGGAGGTTTGGTGGCCGGGTGGTTGGTTGAATGGGTGTAAGTCCCCATTGCTGAAGTGACAGGCCTCCTTGTCAGAAAGCTCTTTTTGCTACTTAACCTAATTGTGTTACTTTGTTCTCTTGCAGTTCCCTGTGTTGGGAAAACTGGTAAGTTGTGTCCATGTCTCTTCTAATTCAAAGTATGTCTATGGGCCAAAACTTACTGGATGGGAACAGGACAGTGCCATGGGGTCCCCCAGAAACATCTGCAGAGCAGCACCAGACTAGGCCCCTTCCTCAGGAGTCTTGGCCAGTTCCTAGGAAAAGGAGGAACTTGGAACTCCACTAGTCTAAGGCCAAGGGTAGTCCTAGGGTGACACAAGCCTCAGCAGTGGGACTCTAGGCCTCTATCTTATACCCTTAAAAGTGTCTGTGGCCTCTGTCTTCTCTTCAAGTGGTTCTGGAGCTCTTATATTCTCAACTCAACAAGACTGGGACTCCCTTCCTTCCTTTTATGTTCAGAGAAGCAGCAGGCACCTTTTTCTGCTGATCAGTCTTCCTTCCTTCCTCAGATCCCCTTCCCTCCAGCCCATTCTGTGACACTGACCTCCATGGAGCTTTCTGTCAAACAGGAAAAAATTCTGATCTATGAAATCTTGACCTCCAAGGACATATTCTGTGATTCCAGGGGGAGATAATTCAAACCAATACTTAGTGCTGTTAGAAAAAGCAGTAGTGGAAGCAAGACCTGCTGTTCGGTAATGCGGTGAGCATCGTTACTTCCAGGGTGAGGAGAGTGGGTCCTAAGGATCCAGAAGATCCAGGCAAGAGCAGGATGTGCTGGGGCTCCCTAACTGTTACTCCTCATTAGTCTCAGGCCATCAGGCCTGCTCAGAAGGCTGTCTGGGAATGGGGGTGTCTGGCTTATCAAAGAGATGATACAGGCTGGGGACAGATACAGGCTGGGGACAGATACAGACTGGGGACAGGCTCAGCCTGCCCTGCAGGTGATGGTGGATCCCTGGGAGCTCTTCTCCTGCTCACATCAGTGCACAGAATACATTTTAGGAATAGAGACAGAGAGAACAGATCCCTTCCATAAGAGTGGTGGAAGATGAAACGCCCTGCTGAGGGTAGAGATGGAGGCTGGGCCTAAGGAAGCCCAATGAGGAAGACAGGAGGGAGAGAACTCAGGCTGTGGCACCTCCAACATGCCCCACCAGCTGCTTTCTGGTGGACACAGATGCTGCTATTATCAGAAGTGAAGGCTGCAGAAAGTGTCACATTAGGTAGCCACAGGAGGAGAAGCCAATCTAGGCTGGAGGGAATTGAGTCAGGAGGAATGAGGCAAGACAATGAACAGAATGAATGCAATTAAGCCAAGCTTGGCAAGGCAGACAGGAAAGTGCAATATAAAAGAAGACAAGGAGGGTGGGTGGGAGGAAAGCCAGAGAGAAGACACAGGGAGAGGAAAGAAGGGGAGGGGAAGGGAAAGGAATAAAGAGAAAGAGGGAAGAGGAAGGAGAGAAGAAGGAAAGGAAGGAGGAGTAAAGGAAGTCCAGGTCCTGCCCTTCTCTGGTCGGCATGAAGGACTGGAGACAGTGACACCATACCAGTGCCATCCAAGGGCCTCCATCCCCAGCAGGAGGCCTTAGGCTGGGGGACAGAGGGAGAGAAGTGACTGATGGGACCTGTAGCTCCAGGGCTGCCCTGTTCCTCTGTCTCGCAGTCTGGCTGTACCTCCAAGCCTGGCCAAACCCTGTGTTTGAAGGAGATGCCCTGACTCTGCGATGTCAGGGATGGAAGAATACACCACTGTCTCAGGTGAAGTTCTACAGAGATGGAAAATTCCTTCATTTCTCTAAGGAAAACCAGACTCTGTCCATGGGAGCAGCAACAGTGCAGAGCCGTGGCCAGTACAGCTGCTCTGGGCAGGTGATGTATATTCCACAGACATTCACACAAACTTCAGAGACTGCCATGGTTCAAGTCCAAGGTGAGTCACCAGCTTGGGAGTTTGTGGGGCAGGAGGTGCTGCTCAAGGGTCCCGTTTCTAGAGGTCAGTAGCTCTCTGGGCTGGACCCCTGTCTCTGGCTGCCCCTCATGCTGGGCCAATGTGTGGGGCCCCGAGGTTTCCCAAGATGTTGTCTCAATACCCCCCTCTCCCCACCATGGGGGACACATGTAGCCAGGGGAAGGAGGGGGGAGATTCTTGGGAAGGGGGCACTGGGAAGACCCTGGACCAGTCCAGGCTCACCCTTCCCCTCTATGGACTAGAGGACTTCGAAGGCCCCCTCTGCCTCTGACTTCCAAGATTCCAGAAGGGCCTGGCTATGTGGGAGTCATTTCAGAGTTTGTGGGTGAGGGTAAGAGGACGGGTCCTAGGGATGAAACTGCCTCCCATCGGGGTCCCCGGGCTGCAGCCTGAGATGAGTAGAAGCTCAGGCCTCAGCCTCCTGGGGCTTCATCATCCAGGACTCCCCTCCTGAGTCCTGGGCCTGCATCTCCCCAGAGCTGTTTCCACCTCCTGTGCTGAGTGCCATCCCCTCTCCTGAGCCCCGAGAGGGTAGCCTGGTGACCCTGAGATGTCAGACAAAGCTGCACCCCCTGAGGTCAGCCTTGAGGCTCCTTTTCTCCTTCCACAAGGACGGCCACACCTTGCAGGACAGGGGCCCTCACCCAGAACTCTGCATCCCGGGAGCCAAGGAGGGAGACTCTGGGCTTTACTGGTGTGAGGTGGCCCCTGAGGGTGGCCAGGTCCAGAAGCAGAGCCCCCAGCTGGAGGTCAGAGTGCAGGGTAAGTGCGCGAGAGAGTGGAGATGCCCCCAGGGCCCTGGGCGTCAGGCAGTGGGATCCCCTGGGACTAAAGGAGTTGGGGGAAGGGTCCCCAGGAGAGGAGGGAGCCAGGGTCCTGGGTGGTCAGGCTGAGCCTCCCACCCCATGTGTGTCCCAGCTCCTGTATCCCGTCCTGTGCTCACTCTGCACCACGGGCCTGCTGACCCTGCTGTGGGGGACATGGTGCAGCTCCTCTGTGAGGCACAGAGGGGCTCCCCTCCGATCCTGTATTCCTTCTACCTTGATGAGAAGATTGTGGGGAACCACTCAGCTCCCTGTGGTGGAACCACCTCCCTCCTCTTCCCAGTGAAGTCAGAACAGGATGCTGGGAACTACTCCTGCGAGGCTGAGAACAGTGTCTCCAGAGAGAGGAGTGAGCCCAAGAAGCTGTCTCTGAAGGGTGTGTTTTGTTCTCCAACAGAGCTTTGAGCCCCAGCAAGCTGGCAGGGGTCAGATCTCACCCTCTGTGTACCTCCCATCACGACTGGCACAGTGCTGGACTCATGGCAGCCACTGCATGACTGAGCATGGACCCTAATTAGTCCATCTGTCCACTGAGCCTGGCAGAGAAATATTGAAGTCCATGGAGAGTGGGGAGCCTCACGGGGGGAGCAGTCACGTGGTCACTCGTGGTGTCACCATCATCCTTGCTGCCATCCCCTGAGCCATCCTTCATGCCCATCTATGAGGCTCCCCCAGGCCAGACGGTTCCCCTAATATCAGTCATTCTGCCTGTTCTGTGCCAGGCTAGAATGCATTTCCGAATTTTATCTTCAGTGCTCATGGCCACCTTCTTCTCCCTGCTCCCAGGTTCTCAAGTCTTGTTCACTCCCGCCAGCAACTGGCTGGTTCCTTGGCTTCCTGCGAGCCTGCTTGGCCTGATGGTTATTGCTGCTGCACTTCTGGTTTATGTGAGATCCTGGAGAAAAGCTGGTCAGTAACTCCTCTTGGCTTTCTTAGCTGCTGAATCCCTGTGCCAGGCCCTGCCCAGACTTTGGAAAGCCAGAGTCTGACAGGACCAGCCACTCTCTTCTCCTGGGTGTGGAGTGGCAGGGGGGACTTCTCTTCCTGTGTCACACAAAGGGGCACATGGAAGGACAGTTAATGCTTCCAAAACATATACACACATGCACTTGCTCACATGCTCACAGTCATCCAGAGATGCACACAAACACACAACCGCACACTCAGGCATGATTAGAACATAAACCAAGGAATTATTACAAGCCAAACGTGAGGTATGTCAGTATCCTTTACATTTGGAAGACAATCTGTGGCTAGGAATATGAGCAAAAAAAAAAAGGCCTCCACCTCTCTCTCTCATTGAGCTCAGCAGAGCTCTGATCTGCTTAGCAGAGGAGAAAGAAGACAGAACTACAGTGTGTATGCATAGGCTCACTCACACACACTCATCTTGTACAGTACTTTACTGTAGCAGAGTGTGCAAAGGATATTAACTATCAGAAAGGAAATATGATAGACAAGACTGAGCAATGGCCTGTTCCCAACACTACCATTAGTTCCATAGCCTTGAGCCAGTTCACTGTAAGACTCACTAAATCAGCTTCCTTTCCAGGGATGCTGTAAGGGTTTAAGTTAATGAGATAACATTTATCTAATACCTCATGTATTAGACTGGCACATAGTGGGTGCTCAGTAAATTCTCATTCTAATCTGAGAAGATCACCCCAGCAGGTTCCCAGGCTGCCCTTTCTCCTCTGTGCATTCTCTAATGCTTCTAATCAAAATCACTGAAAATAAAAAGGTTGGTTAAAATTCTGATGTAGAGGAAAACAATCAGATAAACGACATTTCAAGTTATCTATTTATTTTGATATTCCAGACTTTCTTCTTCCTGTCACAGTCGTGATAATTAAGAATGAATGTTGGCTCTCAAAGCAATTAGTTTGGGGGGCCACGCATTTATTCCAACTCTAACCTTTGCTCGCCTCAGGCCACACACATATAAGGAATGGCTACCAGTGCCAAAGCTATGATTCCTAGTGCTTCAAATCCACCTACAGAGGTTCAAATCAACCCCACTTCCTCCTCTGCAGGGGCAATGTTATTTTCTGCTTGTCTAGGACAAAAGTGATTGTTCTCATAGACCTCCAAAGCTAGATGTACTTATTTAAGTTTGCAGCTCCCTCTGTTGAGAAATTTGGGATGAGTTTTCTAGGAGCTGGACCAGCCTGATAATTAAGGAAGACCACCCAGTCATATGTTCAAAGCATTCCTTCCTGCATCCACCAGGGTACCTGAAAAGGTCTCTTCCCACCCCTAGTCCCAACACTCTGCCTCACCAGGTGCCTAGTTAAGGCTTGGACCAGACTTCAACTTCCTCTCCCCTTTTGAATATGTAGTCTTTGTCCATACAACTTCCCATCCCCACCCTTCTCACTAGTCTTGAGTCTGGATTCAATACAGGCTAGACTTGCTTTAAGGTATTCTTTCATAGTGGGGGAAAAGGAGAGGATGCCCAGAGCTATTGGGGAGGCAGCCGGAGTAGGGAACCACAAACCAAAGATCTGTGAGTTATGCTGTCATTGTGTCTAATAAATCCTCCTCCAAAGGGCCCAGCCTGGCCTCGGTAATACAGGTGTTTCTGTTTCTGTCCACTCACCTCTGAGTCAAAGCATTAAATGCAGAGCAATGGCAGAGTAATGTAGCACAACTGCCTCCCTCCCCAGCCCCAGACGAGATGGTGAAAGAGTGGTCACTAGTGAAAGATCCTCAAGAACAAGATACCTTTCACAGGGAACAAAAGAGCATCCTCTTGATGTAGAGATTATAAACCATCACCACCACACCCACTGCCAACCTTGGAGCAGGTGGGCTTCATTTTACTAAGGAACCTGTCTCTCATGCAAACAGGACTGCTGGTGGTGATCTTAATATCTCAGAATCTCAGGCGCACAAAATATTCTTTAGAATATTGCTCAGAAAGTCACTTTCAGGACCAATTCCTTAGCTACGCAGGAAAAACAGCCAGATCAATAGCCTTGTTCTCCACACCCAGCTCTGGGAGACTCACAACCATTTCCAAATAGCATAGCTGTTCTTCAGCAAACAGAAATATGCCACCGCCAAAGACAGTCTACAGATGTCATGTCCAAAGTCAATTTTTAGAACATTTGACCAATGATGGTGTTACTGGAACAAGGATATGGTCATGCAAGGGGTCCACTTCAAAGTAGCACTCACCTGCATGTACAGGTTCTGCTGTGCTTGTTTAAAAGTGTTCCTTTTACTACCAGTTGTCACACATCCCGTAAAACAAAGTTCTGTCAAACTCATGGAACTCTTCATTGAATGGAGACTTAGAAACTGAGGCTCATTTCTCAGCCCTGACGAATGAGCGTTGGAGAATGCTTAATCACTGGGGATCTGTCTAAGTCTCCATAAATCCCCTCTTGATTTTACAGAAGGAGCCATTTCCACATATCCTACCCAGTGATTCTGATGCTTTCTAGCTCTTAGAGTAATGAGTATTTCTTGGGCACCAGGCATGAACCAAGTGTTCTAAAATCTACATGTGACTCAATTCCTATCCCAAGAGTTACCTTTAAAGTTCTGGAAGCACCTGCTGTTCCAGAGGCAGCATGCTAGTAGAGAAAAGGCATGCAAACCTGGATTAAGATTCTGTCTCCACTACTTACTGTGACCTTATAGAAGTCGCCTCTCCCAGCTCCAGTCACCTCATCTATGAAATGGAGATAAAAGTATCAACCTTTGCAAGATGGTTGTGAAAACCATTAGACGCCAAAGAATTAGGAAGAGAGGTGTTTTTGAAATCCAACTATGTGCTGGTCACTGGTTAGGTGCTTTACTAGGAAGATTATATTTTATTTGGATTGCCTGGCCCAGTGTCTGGCATATAGTGTATGGTCAAAGTTATTAGCTTTTTTCCTTCTGAAAAGCAGCTTGACTGGTAAGCCTAGGCCCTCTTCATGCAAAAATGTGATCCATTCTTGCTGACCTTACTTCCTCCTAGTTTGTGATTCCCATGGAGCCATCTAGGGTATTTTTCAAAGGAAACATCCCATAAAAATCAACCATGTCCAGACCTGTGAACTAGCCCTCCTAACCAAACCAGCCTCAAACCTCCAGCGGCCTCCTTGTCATTCTTGCTCACAGCTTTCCTGTCCCCTGTCCCACCTGCCCTCTAAGGGACACCCAGTGAATCATGCCCTTGTATCTCCTAGGGCCCCTTCCATCCCAGATACCACCCACAGCTCCAGGTGGAGAGCAGTGCCCACTATATGCCAACGGTAAGGACTTCCAGCAGGATGGTGGTGTGCCCATGTGGGCCAAAAAGAGCTTCTTAAGGGAAGTAAGAAGGGAGCTCTCCAGAGCCCTGTATCTCAGGAATTGGAGTGATCTGGGGAAGGAAAACAAACAGCTTCTAGAAAGGGCATGAAGAGGGAGTGCTGTGGAGCTGGTGGTGGGAGAAGGGGGTGGGAAGGGAGCCAGGGCTGCAGGAGACGGGGCAGGGAAGGTTTGGACCAAGGGTTGGCAAACTTGTGGCCCATGGGCCAAACCCAGCACACTGCCTGTTTTTGTAGATAAAGTTTTACTGTAACACACACATGCTCATTGGTTTATTTTGTTTGAGAGCTTTCATATTACAGAGTTAACATTTGTGACAGAGATTATACAGCTCACAAAGCCAAAAATATGTACACCTTTTTTACAGAAAAATTTTGTCAACCTCTGGTTTAAACAGTGTCAGGGCTAGGGAAGCTGCAAAAAAAAAATGTTAAGGGGGCCTGACTCCCCTTGCCATGATGGCTATCCCCACATTAGTGACCAACCCTCATTGCCACTTATCACCATAACAGAGCCCCTGATGGGCTTCTCTCCATGTCTTCAGGACACTTATGACATGAGGTGGGAGAGTCAGGAGGATCCTATTTAAGCCTCATTCCTTCTTCCAGTGCATCACCAGAAAGGGAAAGATGAAGGTGTTGTCTACTCTGTGGTGCATAGAACCTCAAAGAGGAGTGAAGGTGAGTGATCTCAGGCCAAACTTGGTACCTTTGCAAACAGAAGTTTTGGACCTACAATGAGAGTATCACTACCACTGTCATTACCACTTTTATCATTACTGTGACCACCATCACTATCACCAAGACCATCATATTTATCTCCATTATTGTCACCACCATCTCCTCCTTCACTACCACCTTCACCTTCACACCATCATCAATGCTACCATGACCACCACCACCTATCTCCTCCACTACCACGCTCACCACAAACACCACTATGACCACTATATTCACCATTCTCAACATCATCTCCTCCACACTGTTACCATGATAAGTGCAGGGAGTTTTTTGCCCTTTCCTGAACAATGTGAAGGACAAAGAAAAGAGAGAAAAAATGATGTAGTCTTCCTTTGCTCCAGAGTCTAAGTCTAAACAGGACAGTCTCCACTATAAGATGGAGTCAAGAAGACCATGGGCTCCAGCCACAGCTATCAGAGTCAGTTGGCAGAGATGGGGGAAAGGCTGGTCCTTTAACAGAGAAATAGGCCATGTGGCATCATGAGAAGAATGTGGGTTTCTGAGTCTCAGAACTGAGTTTGAAACCTGACTCTATGTACTTATTCACTGTTGACTTGGCAAGTCAAGTGTCCTCTCTGGGCCTAATCTGCAAAGGGGAGACAATGCCTGCTTTGCAGGACTACTGTAAGTTGTTAGGAATAGAACCTAGGTTCTAGAAACAAACCTTAAAAATTGTCTACATGTAATAGATGTTCAAAACAGGGAGTTTTGTTGTTGCTGTCGTTTTAATGTCTTATCTGCCCTGCTAATTCAGTTCCTAATCTGCAAAAATGGGTTTGAATTGGCGTAGGGTTTCTGCTCCTTCCCATAAATGGCAGTAGGGGAAATGAACAGTCAAGGAGTCTCTTAATTGAAGGGCAGTTCCCCCAGGACCTGAGGTCACACAGCTGGTGTGTAGTCCAGCTGGAACTAGAACCCAGGTCTCCCAATTCCAGGTTGAGGAGGAGTGAAAGGAATCTCCCCTGGCTGGCTTCCCTGGCTTTCTAGAGGAAGATAGCCAGCCAGGAGGGGTGGGAAGGAGATGTACTTGCTGTGGAGCACAGAGACCTGACCTGAGCTCATTCTTTCCCCACAGCCAGGTCTGCTGAGTTCACCGTGGGGAGAAAGGTGAGCTGGGATCCCTGCTCCTTTCTCACCCTCTCTCTTACATTTGCTTCCTCATCCTGAGCCAACTCTTCCACAGGACAGTTCTATCATCTGTGCGGAGGTGAGATGCCTGCAGCCCAGTGAGGTTTCATCCACGGAGGTGAATATGAGAAGCAGGACTCTCCAAGAACCCCTTAGCGACTGTGAGGAGGTTCTCTGCTAGTGATGGTGTTCTCCTATCAACACACGCCCACCCCCAGTCTCCAGTGCTCCTCAGGAAGACAGTGGGGTCCTCAACTCTTTCTGTGGGTCCTTCAGTTCCCAAGCCCAGCATCACAGAGCCCCCTGAGCCCTTGTCCTGGTCAGGAGCACCTGAACCCTGGGTTCTTTTCTTAGCAGAAGACCAACCAATGGAATGGGAAGGGAGATGCTCCCACCAACACACACACTTAGGTTCAATCAGTGACACTGGACACATAAGCCACAGATGTCTTCTTTCCATACAAGCATGTTAGTTCGCCCCAATATACATATATATATGAAATAGTCATGTGCCGCATAACAACATTTCAGTCAGTGATAGACTGCATACACAACAGTGGTCCCATAAGACTGTAATGGAGTTTAAAAATTCCTACTGCCTAGTGATATCATAGTTGCCTTAACATCATAACACAACACATTTCTCACGCGTTTGTGGTGATGCTGGTACAAACAAGCTACAGCGCCGCTAGTCATATACAAATATAGCACATACAATTATGTACAGTACACTATACTTGATAATGATAATAAACAACTATGTTACTGGTTTATGTATTTACTATAACTTTTTCTTTTTGAGACGGAGTTTTGCTCTGTCGCCCAGTCTGGAGTGCAATGGCACAATCTCGGCTCACTGTAACCTCTGCCTCCCGAGTTCAAGCGATTCTCTTGCTTCAGTGTCCTGAGTAGCTGGGACTACAGGCATGCACCACCACGCCCGGCTAATTTTTGTATTTGTTAGTAGAGATGGGGTTTCACCATGTTGGCCAGACTGGTCTCGAACTCCTGACCTCAAGTGATCCACCCGCCTCGGTCTCCCAAAGTGCTGGGATTACAGGTGTGAGCCACCGCACCCAGCCCTGTATTTACTGTAACTTTTTATTGTTATTTTGGAATATATTCCTTCTACTTATTTTTTTTAAGTTAACTATAAAACAGCCTCAAGCAGGTCCTTCAGGAAGTATCCAGAAGGAGCCCTTGTTATGATAGGAGATGACAGCTCCATGTGTGTTATTGCCTCTGAAGACTTTCCAGCGGGACAAGATGAGGTGGTGGAAGACAGTGATATTGATGATCCTGACCCTGTGTAGACCTAGGCTAATGTGTGTGTTTATTTATGTCTTAGTTTTTAACAAAAAAGTTTAAAAAGTAAAAAAAAAATAATAATTTTAAAAATAGAAAAAAGCTTATATAAAAATATTTTGTATAGTTATACAATGTGTTTGTTTCAAGCTAAGGTTTATTACAGAAGTCAAAAAGTTTTAAAAACCTAAAAAGTTTATAAAGTAAAAATGTTACACTGAGCTAAGTTTCATTTATCACTGAAGAATTTTTTTTTTTTTTTTTTTTTTTTTGAGACAGAGTCTCACTCTGTCATCCAGGCTGGAGTGCAATGGTACAATCTCAGGTCACTGCAATCTTTGCCTCCTGGGTTCAAGCGATTCTCCTGCCTCAGCCTCCCGAGTAGCTGGGATTACAGGCATGCACCACCACACCTGACTAATTTTTGTATATTTAGTAGAGATGGGGTTTCGCCATGTTGGCCAGGCTGGTCTCGAACCCCAGACCTCAACTGATCCGCCCTCCTCAGCCTCCCAAAAGTACTAGGATTACAGCCATGAGCCACTGTGCCTGACCTGAAGAAAATACTTTCATGAATTTAGTGTAGTCTAAGCAGTGTTGATAAAGCCTGCAGTAGTGTACAATAATGTCCTAGGCCTTCACATTCACTCACCACTCACTCACTGACTCACCCAGAGCAACCCCAGCCCTGCAAGCTCCATTCATAGTAAATGTCCTATACAGGTATATTTTTTTCATCTTTATATTGTTTTTTACTGCATTTTACCTTTTCTGCGTTTAGATATGTTAACTACAAAAATACCATTGTGTCATAGCTGCCTACTATATTAAGGTTTGTAGCCTAGGAGCGATAGGCTATACCAAAAAAAGAAAATGAAAAAAAAAGAAAAGAAATGAAAAGAATAGGCTGTACCATGTAACCTAGGTGTGTAATAGGCTATACCATCTGGCTTCGTGTAAGTACACACTATGATGTTTGTACAGTGATGAAATTTCCTGACAACGCATTTCTCAGAATGCGTCCCTGTCATTAAGTGACTCATGCGTGACTTTGTATGTGTGTATGTGCCCGTGCGCTTCTATTATGGTCCTCAGTCCCTTTGAATATGCTTACCTTGACCCTGAAAAGAAAGAGCATCTGCTGCCCTTTCAGAGCACTTGGCAAGTCAGAAATGCTTCCAGATGTATTTGCATGCACTTATTTTAAAAAGAAAAAAAAAAAAAAAGGCTGGGTGCGGTGGCTCACGCCCTGTAATCCCAGCACTTTGGGAGGCCTAGGAGGGCGGATCACAAGGTCAGGAGATCGAGACCATCCTGGCTAACACTGTGAAACCCTGTCTCTACTAAAAATACAAAAATTAGCCGGGCTTGGTGACGGGCACCTGTAGTCCCAGCTACTCAGAGGCTGAGGCAGGAGAATGGCGTGAACCCGGGAGGCGGAGCTTTCAGTGAGCCGAGATCACACCACTGCACTCCAGCCTGGGCGACAGAGGGAGACTCCGTCTCAAAAAAAAAAAAAATAAAAAGAGAAAGAAAGAAAAAAAGAAAGCCAAGTATATTTTCTCACATTGTAATTTTGCCTTACTGTCTGTTATTTCTCATTGCTGGCCCCTTTCTCAGTCCAAATGCCAGTTGGTGGAGAGGGAAAAGAAATGAATGAAAGCATCACTGTTGTCAAGTGGTTATGCCAGCAGGAACCAGGTTTACCCCGAAACATTGTTCTCTCAGAGGAATAGGAAAACATTTTGAATCTCTTTCTATTTTGTTCTTAAAGGTTGGTTCTTGGGATATTGATGACTACTGTCTGAGAGGTGCTGTGGGGAGATTTTCAGGATTGTGTGGTCTTTGAGGGGGGTGTTTTTTTAAGACAACATTGACCACTGTCCACTGTCCACATGATCATTGTAAAATTGCAATGCCGCATGCTAGTTGGTTACATAAGACATAATTCCAGTGATTGAAGGTGGTTACACTGTATGGTGGTGTGTTCAAGATGGCACTGGCATCTTTGAGCAGAGCCTGGCTATGCAGCATCATTTGAGTTTTTTAAACACCCTAGAGGTCTGGTTGTTGTTGCTGTTGTCCTTTCCTGTGAAAGTCACAAGAGAAGTTACAGTCCAGGTGAACCTGGAGTTTATAGGTTGGTTTTGTTTCTGTTATATATATATATATATATATATATATATATATATATATTTTTTTTAACATTTACCTGTAGTGCTATAGCTGTTGATACTATCACCTGCATGCTATTTCTAGTGAGTGCTAAATACAGTATGGTCCAATGACAATAACAGCCCATGGTACTGCCAGGACTGTCCGTGAGCTTATCAGTGAAAGCCCCCATGTGGGTGGAAGAAACCTGTCATTTCCTTCTTACATGTGTTTGAAATACTAAATGAATAATTTGTTCTTCTTAGGAAAAAATGATACGATAGTAAAAATTTTTTTTAATTAAGGGTTTTATATAATGGATATGCCCCACCTCTCAAACTAAAAAAAGAAAAGAAAGAGCATCACTCCACACCCCAGAGGGCTAAGCCCAGGGCAGCTCTGAATGCATTTCCAGCTTCCAAGCTTCTGGTGAGCCCATGAGTGACCACAGGGCTGAGGAGCCTCTCAGAGGTTCAGCAAGACCAAGGTCAGCCAGAAAAGCGCCTGGCCCAGACAATGTCATAGAATCCTTGACACCAGAGCCAGAGCCCCACAGGCACTGAGAGCTCTGCCTTTCCACACAGCCCCATTCCTGTTCAAATTTCTTCCAGTTTACCAAAGACAGAACTGAGGCTTGCCCAAAGCCCTTGTTTGTGGAGTACATCAGAAAACTCGGTTACCTCTTACTTGTTTAAACAGATATATGATTGTAGCATCTAGTTTTTTGTTAATAGAGGTCTATCAATTGGTTTCATATTGTTCATCAATATCAACGATTTGCAGTACCTGATAGTTTGATTTGGTTTGTTCAAAGAGTCCATACTCCTTGATGACTAAGGGTGGTCAATAAAGGATTGGTTATACTTGTTCCTATGAGGCCCTGGCTCCAGCTTCATAGGTCCCTGCTCTGGAAGCGGAGAACGTAAGGTTCAGCTTACAGATGCTGGAGTGCATCAGACCCCACCCACCTGGCTGACGAAGGAGACATTAGTGTTACCAGGGATCTCCTGGCACCATGGAGCTGAAGGCATCTAGCATCTCCCCTGGACCAGCTGTGTTGACATCCCCTTGGAGCTTGTTAGAAACACAGATGCTCAAACTCAACTCCAGACCTGCTGAATCAGAACCTGCATCTCAATAACATCTGCAGGCAATGTGTATACCCATTAAAGTTTAAAGTTTAAAAAGCACTGGTCTACCTACAAGATACAAACTTCATCGGAGTACATCCAACCCCTCCCCATCCTCATCTTTCTCTTCCTCATCCTCCTCTTCATCTCTCTCATAGATGTCCAGTCCATGTCCAGAATACCCCAGGGCCCCTCCCATTTGTCAATAATCAGAGACCCCCCTGGGAGGACTGAGAAGCACAAGCCAGGTAATCTGGAAGCTCAACGTTCTCACTGGTCACTCAGGGTGTACCAGCAGAACCCAAGGCCTTGCCACTCCCTCTATAAAATAATGCCCCCTTGTAAAAAGTGAAAACATAGACAAGACAGCTCATGAAGGAAAACTGATGATGGAGACTTGGGAGGAACCAGCCCTTCCAGATGTCCCCATAGTCCACCTCCTTCATGAGTTTTCCTATCTTTCCCCCTCCCTGTCCCACACCAGTGATATTCAATGCGTGGTCCACAGCTTCGTGCCAGCCTGTGAATTGATTTTTACTAGTCCGTGACAAGTTAAGTAGAAAAATTGAAGCAAGAATTTAGAAACTTTTAGAGCAATCTGACAAAGTAATTTTATGTTTGTTTAATACAATCATAAAAATCAAGGCTTGTATTTTATATGTCTTCTTAATTTCATTTTTCTAGTAGTTTTATTCTATTGTCTCTACAAAAGTATAGGCCTGCAATGAATTGGAAATTAAAAAGAAAAACAGGTCCTTCAAGACAGATAGGTGAGAAGTCGTATCCTACACACAGACACGCACACACACACACACACACACACACACACACACACACACTATTGGCCTGGCCTCTCAGGCACTTTTCTCTCTGCCTAGAACACCTCTTCTCTCCACCCAGCTCTATTTGCACGGCTGAAAACATCCTTTTCCCTTTGTTTAGAAAAGAATGAGCCGGGATTTTTCCAAATGACCAATTACTAAGAAAATTGAAGAAAAATAAAATCTCAAAAAATAACATAAAGTAGAGATTTCAAAGGAGGCCCTGCCCTTTAGCCCAGATTCACTGGTTTCCCTGATGTCAGCCCATGGAGTCCCAAAGCCCCATTTCCAGTCCTCAGTTGTCACAGCAGGAACCTGCTTCTGCTCTGCAGGACACTGGTGGGCTGCGGCCATCTCCAAGAAAGAATGGGGACTTCCACCGTTCTCCAGAGACAGACCCTGCAGACACTGAGGAGAGGTTCCTGGGGAGACCAGAGAGCTGCTTCCCTACTTCCCCTTTTCCATGGCCCTCTTGGCCTGCCACAGGCACTGGCCACACTAGCCACGGGACTCCCCGCCAGTAGCCTCCTCAGTCTCAAGGCTCTGCCCTGTGAAACATTGCTTCTCGCTTCAAGTCAAAGCTAAATGCAAACACTTATTCAGCCACAGTGACTTGTCTGTGCCTCCTCTTAAGGACCTGGGTTCTATGGGGTCACATTACCTACAGGGTAAAGAGAGAGAAAAGAACTCTAGCTGGGGAGAGTGGAGAGGCAACCTGGAGCTGCTCCTTAAGGGAGAGAGCAGGAAAGAAGCCTCCATCTGGGAGGGAGCCTTGTGGCTGCCGTCTGGTGGCGCTCTCAGGTATTTGAGGTCTTGCGCTTGCTTAGACAGTGATCTGACCCATTCACTGGACAACTTCAGTGTAAGATATGATTAGACACCTGTCCTTGTTTTGTATGTGAATACACAATCTAGATACAAGCAATAACATTGAAACGTGGCCCTTCTCTAAACCTGGAAGGTTGAACACATTGGGATTTCTTTCAATTCCAGGTTTGTTCTTTTAGATTTGGCTAAGAAGTAAGGCTTTATTTAAATAAGCATCCATCCACCAAATAGCTCTGTGTCCGTCAACTTCATATCGACCGTGATAACAGTGACTACTGACAGAGTGTACAAGATGAGAAGGACCCAGGCTTTTCCCTCCAGTACTGGGATCTTTTGCGTCCGGCCACCTGTTCACATCTCCCTCTGCACTGCTGAACAGGCTACAGTTGGCAGGACCTGCAGCCGACAGCACGTCTGCTCCTTCAGCATTCATCACTTGCTGTGCCTTTGCTCAGAGGGGCCCTTCTCTCAGGTTCTTTGGAAGAATAACCCAGGTTGTACTTATTCTGGAATTCTTTCCCATATGGGGCACAGATTCATATTGTGACTGAACCTCTCAGGAGTATCATGATTACTGGGACCATCAGCTTGAGTTCTTAACCCCATGAGGCTTACACATGCTCGATGCTCTTTAGTGTTTGTTGGATGCATTAGTGCGCACAAGATGGGAACCAGGTGTTCGATGAGTGAGTGAATGCCTGCATGAGCTTCCAGTTTCCCCCTCTCTACCTCAGGAGAGCGCAGTGTGGTTTTGTCTCTGTTTTATGCAGGCTTCCTTCAAATCTCTGGGAATGTGTGTCTTTGCCTCAAAAGCAGACCAACCTAAACCAAAGACCCCTTCCATCCAGACTCCTGCAGGCTGTTCCATCCCACTCACTTTCTCTTCTCTTTTCTCTCCTCGGTTTCTCCCTCTCCGGCTGTGTGCAACATGCCTCTAGTTCATCCAAGACTCCACTCCCTCTACTTATCCCCAGCAGCGCCAGGACCAGGGTGAGACTAGAGAGGCACCTCAGGCACAAAAGTTAAGGAGGCACTCAGGCTCACAGTGGTGCCAGTGTCATCTCATGAGAAGTAAGGCCATTTCGCATCCATTTCCCATCTGCAGAGGCTAAGCAACAGTGGGCGTTTCTAAGAAGTGACAGAGACAGGCTTCTTCCAGGGTCTTCTCCCTCTAGGCCAGTCTTCCTGCCATGTCATGGCACTGCTGCCTAAGCTGACTAGCCAGGGAGGGGTGCACACCGGCTTCCCTGCCCCAGGCAGCCTCTTGGTCTGTGGCTCCTCGTGGCATGGTGCCTGCTGACAGATTAAATGAAAGCAGACACAAAGACAGGGCTTAGGTGGGGTCCTACCTTCCCCTTTCAGTCCCCATCCCACACCACGCCCTCAAAGCAGTGCCCAGAGGCCTCCCCACTCCCTAGTAACACCTTCCTCTTTGGCTCCCACCTTTGGCTCCCGAAAAGCCTGCTGAATGCCCGCTCCTTCTGCCGGCTGCTTTGCCTCTGCCTCCTTTCCTGCCTGGCTCCCCTTCTCTCCCAGCTCCTCAGGCACCCCACCTTTCTTTCCCTTCTCCATCTCTCCTCCTGGGAGAAGTGTGGCCCCATTCTGCCCCCAGCACAAAGCTTCACCCAAATTCCACCCCACCCTGGATCTCCACACCAAGCGGCTCAGGGTTAATGGTCGAGTTCAGGAAGCTTATGTGGCCTTGGTCAACACCTGCTCCCTCACCCCCAGCCTGAAGTGAAGGTGGGCTAATGGTGGGTGCAGGCTGTTCCACCTGGCAGATGGAGCTACTATGCCTGCCTCGGCGACCAACGCAGCAGATGCAGCCGAGAAGGGCCCCAGGGAGTGGAGTCGCAGCACCGGCTGCCAGCTGCTCTCTTAATTAAGGAATGTGGGGAGTGGCCCCTTTGAACTCACCAGCTAATTTACTCCTGTGCACTCCCCTCTGTGGCTGGGTAATTAATATGGTGTGAACCAGTGATTAGCAAGTAGAGAGAACCTGCCTGCCACAGACTTAACCCTTCCCTGCATCTGGGAAGAATTGCTGCCTTCTTAGTTCGTCTTTCTCCAGTGGTCACATGGGCAGAGAGTTTTTCCCTTTGGGGAGGTGGGATATTTTTCAGTCTCCACTCAACCTCCTCCTACCCCCTTTCTCAGCTTCCCCAAAACTCCCCTCAAGGAAAAGGGCTTCGGGTGGGGGAAGGGCTGCAATTCATTCCTTTGCTTGGATGGACCACTATGGGTGACCAACTCTGCGGAGTGGGAACGTAACTGCCCACTGTCTTCTCCAGAGGAATTCGGGACCTGGCTCCACATTGGCCCCATACCTGCATCCCACAGCCCTCCCAGTCCTAGGCTTTGACATTTTAGAATCATTCAATTCAATCCAACAGATGCATGGAGGGCTTTGCCTCATCGAAAGCCTGTCCTTGGCAATATACAGGGTGCAGAAATGAAGGAGATCCCTCCCCTCATGGAGCTCCCAGTCTGGGAGCAGAGAGTCAGAACAGGGGACTGCCCAGCCTGAAACATGCCTTTATCTGATTTACCCAGGTTTCCCCACTTCCCTCTCCCTGGCCATTTAGTAGCAATAGTTAGTATTTGAGTGCTAACTGCACCCGACCCCAAGTTAAACCTTCACATGTGTTCATTGGCAGTACTAAGAGGTAGGTATTGTTATTGCTCCCCATTTCACAGATGAGGATACTGAAGCACAGGGAAGTTACTTGGCTCAAGGTTTCACAGCCAAGATTTGAACTCAAGAAGTCTGAATCATGCTTGAGTTCTGAACTCCTACCCTCATCTGATTGTATTCTTAAGTCTCACCTCAAACACCACCCCCTCCACAGAGCCCTCCCCAGACCCCCACCTGCCCTGGCAGGGTCAAAGGTGTCCTCCGGCTCTCACAGCCTCCAGGGCACACATCTGACATTGTTCTTGCTACACTGGTTATAATTATTGGTTTATATATACCATCTTCTGTGAACTCCTTAAGGTCAGGGGCTGAGCCTTTCATCTCTGTGTCCCTAGGTCCTGGCACCTAAGTAGATGCTCAATAAATGCCTGAGGAATGAATGACGGAATTGGCAATGGAGTCGTAAATGAGTTCCCTCCCTTGCCCTCTCCACCCCCATGACAGGCAGCTTCCCAGTTCTGCCCTTTCCTCAGTACTCTAGACATTTCCTTCATATGCAGTCCCTTCTCCTTCTCACAGGACCATCACAACAGACAACAGCTGTTGTTCAGGTTCCCTGGCCCCTTTGTTCTCTCCAACCTGCCCTGCCTGCTGTCCTCCCACTCCTACTTAAAACATGCAACAGCCCCTCTCTTCAAGCAGTGCTTCCGGAGCGGTCCCCCAGTCCACCAGCCACAGACTCACGCTGAGTGGGGTGCTTGTTACAACCACAGATTCCTGGGCCCTAGCTCACCCTGATGGCATCTCTGAGAATCCAAGTGCTGAACACAGTTGAGAGCCACTAGTCTCCAGAAGAACTTAACCCAGTTTTCAAGGCCTCCACAATCTGCCCCCAACCTCCTTTTCCATTCTTCCCACCCAGCCCTAAAGGATTCCTGTCTGCTGTCCCTTGTCCTCTGTGGAGCCTACTTGGTATTTTCCCACAGCCACATCCCTGCACGCTCTGCTCTCCCCTCCTGCCCAGAGCCCACCCCCAACCTCTGGCTCTCTCCTTTCCTCATATTATCTAAACCATGCCCATCTTCAAGGCACAGCTCAAATTCCACCTTCTCAAGAAGCGTCCCCTGCCCAGATCCGCGAAGCCCTCTTTCCCACCCACTTCTGAGGACTGACTACCTGTTTGCACAAAGTGGTGTCTGTCTGCAGATAACCCTTCACTTTCCTTGGTGTACCTATCTCTACATTTTGGTTGTGAGTACCTGGAGGGCAAAAACCTTATCCCAAAATCCTCCTGCTCACCACCCACCCCCACCCCATCCTATATGCCTAGTTCCTGGCTGAGTCCAAAGCTCAGTGTCCAGTTTGATTGACAGGCGAGAGGCTGTGCAGGACCAGATACGATGAGCCACACTCCAGACTAGCAGGAATTTTCCTCAGGGGCAACACGTCCTCTAAAAACCTTCACTGGCAAGAAACCAAGAAACTTGAAGTGAGAAGAGAAACAGGATGAGGAGGGGATAACTGTGGCAAAATAGACCACACTTCAAAGGCTGAGGTTCAAGTTCCAGCTCTGCCTCTCTGTGAGCTCTGCAAGGGGCCTAACCTCACTCTGGTTTTCACATTTTCCCATTTCTAACCAGGTAACAAGATGATCCTCTCAGAGGAGAGTTGCAAGGCTTACATAAAGCCAGATGTGTAGCCATGTCTAGAATGTACTCACTCACTTAACAAATACTCATGAAACATCTGTAATGTGCCAAGCACTGAGGGCAACACAGAAGGGAACAAAAGACTGGCTAAACAGTCTGTGAAAACCAGAAAACTGTCATCAACAACACAGCAAGAGTAAAGAGGGAGGTGTGGGCATGCACAGGACACAAGGAGAGGGCCTCTCACCTGCCTGTGGTCAGGAAGCCTGGAAGGATGTCCTCGCCGACTGCACAGCCATGTTCTGTTTGCAAGGATAGAGGGAGCAGCATGCCTAGTCGGGGTGGTGGGGAAAGTACAACACAGGGAAGTGTGAAATCAGTAGTTCTGAGAAGGAGGCCTTCTGGCTTGGGATGGCTGGAGGGCAGAATGACTGTGGGCGACCAGCCTGGAGAAGAAGGCCTGACTCAGGAGGGCCTGCATGCAGAGCAGAGTTAGTCCTCATCCTCAGGTCCACGGGAGGCCACAGAAGCATTTTAAGCTAGAATGAGGATGACAGATAGTAGTGAGGCAGGCTGAGATGCAGGAAGGCCAGCGAGATCCAGCAAGGAGGATGTGGCTTGTGTGGGGGCTGTTGTCGCCACGTGTTAGCCAACCATGTGCATGTGAAAGAGGCTGACTTACAAGAATCTGCTCCTGTAAGCCCAGAGAGGCCCAGGGACAACTTCCACTTTATTCTGGATGTTTTCACTTTTGGGACATCCTGTTCTGAGTCAAGATTCCTCCTTCTGAACATGGGACTTTCCAGAAGGACCACAGCTCCTCCCGTGCATCCACTCGGCCTGGGAGGTTCTGGATTTTGGCTGTCGAGGGAGTTTGCCTGCCTCTCCAGAGAAAGATGGTCATGAGGCCCCTGTGGAGTCTGCTTCTCTGGGAAGGTAAGTGGGGCAGGCAGATAGCCTGTCCTCGGAGAGCTGAAGGCCCCTCCCCAGCTGCCTATGCCAGACGTCTGGGCAGGGATCCCTCGACCTGGGTGAGAACCCAGAAGCTGAGGGTGGGTAGGAAAGACTAGAACAAGCTCTTGGGCAACATTTTAAGCTAGGCAGATACAAAGAGATGCAGGGTCCTGGGAGGGAGGAGGTGGCAGCTTGAGGGGTATTCTTATCTGTGAGACATGAGCTGTTTTGTGGCCCAGAGCAGTAAAAACGGAGCCAGTGGGTGATACTGCTGGTTTGGAGAGAAAGTCGGCTGTGAGAATGGTGAGGACCCGGCAGTGTTAGCATGCAGAAACTCTGCAGAGTTTGAGGAGAGTAGCAGAGGGCAGGGCAGAGCAGGGTTCCCCACAATCAGCAGAGTGTGTTTTCAACAGCCTGTGGGGGAGCTGAGGTCCCTCCCTACAGGCCTTTATAAGGGGAGGCAAGTACTAAGTAGGGATGAGAGAGGCTAAATGTGGCCCACGTGGACTTAGGGGTGGCCGACGGTGGTGTGATGTTGGGATGGCTGATACACGGGGTCTCCTCCACACCGGGCGATCCCTCTATCCATCTGATGCCTGAGTTCCCTTCCTTGGTCAACAAGCAGCCAACATGACATGGGTCAACACTGCCGGGCCATGGATGAGGGTTTATGGGGTGCAGCAAAGATTAAGATGATATTGTTTACATCAGAGGCTCATAGGGACTTTGGGTTGCTTTGTTTCATCTCCTTGCCTGAGTTCCTGGCCCTGAGAGCTCCAAAGCCTGCAGATTTCTTCAATATTTCTAAACATGTGCAGGAAATCACACCTTAACCTCAAAAAAGGCCTTGGTCTGTTTGGTGAGACAAAAATAATTTGCCTTTTTTTTTTTTCTTTGAGACGGAGTCTTGCTCTGTCACCCAGGCTGGAATGCAATGGTGCATCTCAGCTCACTGTAACCTCTGCCTCCTGGGTTCAAGCGATTCTCCTGTCTCAGCCTCCTGAGTAGCTGGGATTACAGGTCACTGCCACTAAACCCGGCTAATGTTTGTATTTTTAGTAGAGACAGGGTTTCATCATGTTGACCAGGCTGGTCTCAAACTCCTGACCTCAAGTGATCCGCCCTCCTCAGCCTCCCAAAGTGCTGGAATTACAGGCATGAGCCACCACACCCAGCCCAAAAATAATTTTTCAAATGGCCCTTAATGATCAAAGATCTGTGTGACTGACCTGGTACAGACCCCTTATTTTTCAGTGGTACTGAAGCCTGGGGCAGGGTGATGTGTGGAAGGGCACACAGCTGATCTGTGGCAGCACCAGGAGGAGCAGGTAGGAGCAGCTAGGTCTTGGCTGACATCCAGTGCAATTCTCTTTGTGTGTTACATTCCTGCTCTGCATTAACACTGAAGTCATCTCCAGTGTGAGAGGAGGTTGTTGGGCCTGGAGGACAGTGAGGCAGAGGGGGACCGGAATTATCATGGCCGACTGAGCAACCATCCAGATCATGTCTCATTGACCAAAACTTCATCACCTCTTATTCTTCCCTACACCCTGTGCCAGCGACAGGCATAGGGTCAGTCCTCAGCAGGGTAGGTCATTTATTCAATACCATTTACTAGGCTTCTCCCACAGTCTGTTCTTAAACAGTGGTGGGCACTGGAAGCAAACGATGGGGAGAAAGAGCTCACGGTCTAGTGGGAGATGCTGACTCATAAACAGGCAATAAGAATAGAGGGATAAGGGTAGTCAGCATGGTGGCCCCAGGCCACTGTGAGAACACAAGAGAGAATATGTAACCTCTCTTGGTTACATTACCTATGAGGGATAGGGGAGGTCGGAGGAGGCAGTGATGCTACAAGAGTGGGCAGAAATTAGTCAGCAAAGGAGTCAGGGGGGCACTTCAAGGAGAAGCGTCTCCCATACACGTCTGACTCAAATATAGTCCCCCAAAACAGCATCTTGCTTTCTCACCCCCTGTCTGTTTCTCCTCCTGTTCTGGATCACAGAGAATAACATCCAGTGGATCCCAAGGACCTGGGAGCCGTCCTCGACTCCTTTTTCTCCTTCACTCCCCAGAGCTAATCTATTACCAAATCCTACTGATTACACACCATCTTCGTGTTTCTCAATTCCTCCCACTTCTTCCCATCCCGGTTGCTCCCTTCCTCAATTCAAGTTGCCGTCACTTCTCCACTGGACTAACATGAACAGCCTAAGTCCTGCCCACCTCCAGTGCATTCTCCACATCCCTGCTGGAGTGATCTTTCTAACCATGCATCTAATCCTGTTACGCTCCTGCTTAAAACCTACCTGAGACGCCCCATTGCTCTACAGATAAAGCCCAAACTCCAGTATTGCTTTCAGGTCTCTGCATGATCTGACTCCTACCAACTCTGCAGTGTAATTTCCTACTCCTCACACAGAGAACTACTCTCAGTTCCCCTGGGCACCAACTCTCCCCCTCCAGGCCTTTGTCAGTACTGTGCCCTCTGCCGGTGACACTTCCCTATCCTGCTCCAGGCCGCCCTCGGCTTGGCCTGGCTGATTCCCATTCCTCTTCAAGGCTCAGCTTAACAATTTGTTTTCTGAGCCCATCAAGGCTGGGTGAGATCCCCTGTCACCCTACCTGTGTTCTCCCAGGGCATCTCATTTTTCCCTTCATGGTATTTAACAGAATTCATTTTTATTGATTTCTTGAATGTCTGGCTTCCTCTGTAAGTTCCATGAATGCAGAGACTGGGGTTATCTTCCATATGTTTTATCCCTGGTACCTAGCACAGTGCAACCTCAACTTGAGTGGAGGGAATGTCAGTGGAGGGGCCCCAATTCACCCTATAGCAGCTCAGATGCATGCAAAGAAGGATGAGGAGTGTGGGGCAGGCAGAGTGACCAGGGGCTCTGTTCTTTCAGCCCTACTTCCCATTACAGTTACTGGTGCCCAAGTGCTGAGCAAAGTCGGGGGCTCGGTGCTGCTGGTGGCAGCGCGTCCCCCTGGCTTCCAAGTCCGTGAGGCTATCTGGCGATCTCTCTGGCCTTCAGAAGAGCTCCTGGCCACGTTTTTCCGAGGCTCCCTGGAGACTCTGTACCATTCCCGCTTCCTGGGCCGAGCCCAGCTACACAGCAACCTCAGCCTGGAGCTCGGGCCGCTGGAGTCTGGAGACAGCGGCAACTTCTCCGTGTTGATGGTGGACACAAGGGGCCAGCCCTGGACCCAGACCCTCCAGCTCAAGGTGTACGGTGAGTGTGTCTGACACTGGCTGCCTGGCCCTCTTCCCCCACAAAGCACCAGACGAGCATCCTGAGTCATAGCAGCCAGGGAGAGCTGGGTTCCAGAAAGCTCTGGTCTCTGACCATGTTGCCGACTCAGGGAACAGCTGCTCCCTGGCAGTCACGTCTAAGAAAATTCCTCCTGGCTGCAGCAGCCAGGCTTTGCCATTTCACAGTGCTTGCCTGAACTCTAGCTCAGTCTTTTCTTGGCTCAGTGGCCTTGGACACAATGCTTAGCCTCCCTGGCCTTCACCTTTCTCCTTTGTAAATGGGCATTGTAATATTACCATGTAGAGTACCCACAGGATGAAATGCAGTGGCATTTGCAGTGGCATCCAGGACAGAGCCTGGCCTGTGCTTCCTCAGTTCTAAAGGATCATCATAGACTATAAGATGTGCCACTAGTCTATGTAGTCTATGTAGTCTGTGTAGACTATGTGTCATTAGTCTAAAGGAAAAAAAATGATGTACCATACTAAACTATGACATAATGGGTTTATTTAAAAATCAAATTATAATGAAACTGTAATTAAAAGTATAGAATTTACACATTTCTTAAAAGGGCTTCTTAGAGAGATCTTAACTATATATGATTCATGGGTTCTCTCAGTCATTCATCATTGCAAAACAAACCATCCCAAAACTTACTGACTGAAAACAACAACGATGTTTACTTCTCATAATTCCGTGGGTTGGCAGGCCCAGCTGGGTGCGACTTCTGCTTCGCATGGGTCTGCAGAGCCATTCGCGCAGCTACATTCAGCACCTCGGTTGGCTGCATGGACTGGGGGCTGCGTGGGCCTTGTTTCCCAACAACTCCACCTCCACCTCCACCACAGCCACCTCCACCACCTTCATCATTTGTCTTCTGGTCAAGAAAGAGTGGCTTTCAGCTCTCATTTATCTACCTAATGGGCTAGAAAAGAGGCATGGGTGACCCTAAATCACTGTTTCAGTAAAACCTTAGAAATTTAGATAGAGTGGAAGAGAGGGGAGTCCAGATTTAAGAATGGAAAGCAGAGGTAGCAGCTGGGAAGAGGGTAGCCATGAGGGAGATAAAGATTGTAAGCAAATTGGGGAGATGTCTTGAATCCCCCCGAGACAGCTAACTGGCTGTCCTTGGGCGAGCCACTCAGGGTGCCGATGCAATTGCAAGGTGCCTTTCTGGATGCACGCAGCCCTGAGCCTCATCTTGGCAAGCAGAGTGCTGGCTGGATTTCAGCACCCCCCACCCCCTGCCACCTGTTACCCTGTGACCCCCCTTAGCCCAATGTCCTTGTGTAGTGAATAACCTACCCCACCATACAGGCAGCCCTGGAGCCCCTCCTCTGATCTGAGTCTCAGCTGCCGCACATGTGAAATGAGGACATTGAATGTGATAATACATGCAGCACCCACACCACTAAGCTCTAAAATGCCTTGTTCTCAGCAGCTGAATTACAGATTTTAAGGAAATTGCTGTTTTATTGCTTCCAAATACATAGCGTGATTAGAACTAATTGCACGAAGCTGCCAAGCAGCCGTCCTTAGGAGTTCTGCTTTGACAATAGATAAGAACGATTTGAATTAGCAGATCAGTTACTAGAAATGTCAATGGGTGTTTCTACTGTGCTTGATCGTGTTTGGAAGCAGCTTGTCCTCTTAAGTGATGTAAATATCCCCCCTGTAATCTTTGTTTATACTATTAGTGTGCCCAGCAAATCATTTCTCTTTCATATCACAAATCCCACCAGACTGAACTGGCATTAACGAGGTTTTTCTCTGCTTGACTTTGGAATGCTGTCAGAGACTGAGCCCTCCTGTTGTCACCAGAATGCTCTCCCACTGGCCTCATTTCCACTGAGACTCAGGATTTACTCATCAACCTGTATAGAAAGGGGAATCCATGGCTAGGACACCAGGATATCAGTTTGTTCAGTGACCAGATATCGAGCACCCACTATTTGCCAGCACTACAGAGCTAAGTTTACTAAGCTAACAAGACAGAGCCCCCACCTCTGGGCCCCTCCTTCACAGCATTTTGCACCCTCATAATTATTTAATTAATTATTCATAATCATTTTGTATTTGTCTTTCTCACCAAACTGTAAGCTCCAGAAGGCTAGGAATGTGTTTGTTTTCTTGCCTGACTTAATAAATGCTTGTCATCTCTTGTTGACTGACTGACATATTGTGAGAGAAATACTACAAAAAGAGATAGAGTGCTTGGAGAGCTCAGAGCCATGCCTGGGAAGGCTTCACAGTCAAGGCATTAAGCAATGTGTTCAAGCTGGGCCTTGAAGGATGGGTAGAAGTTTTCTAGGAGGACAAGAAGGGAAAGGCATCTGTGTGCGCAGATGAATTATGTGAAAGCATGAAAGATATTCAAGAGCATGACATGTTTGGGAAAACTGCAAATTAATTAGGATGAGCAGGGAGAAGCAGCAGGAGGTACAGCTGGAGAGATGGGCATGAATCGTTTCCTGAAAGGTTTTGAATATCAAGCTAAGGAATTCAGCTTCTGTCCTGTGGGCAGTGGAAAGCCAGACAAGATTTTGGAACAAGAGAGGCCTAGCCAGAGGTGGCATCTAACCCTGGGTAGATCCCAGAGCCAGAGATGTGGGCCCTGCCCAGCATCCCTGAGACCCATACCAGCTGTACTTTTCTTTCCCAGATGCAGTGCCCAGGCCCGTGGTACAAGTGTTCATTGCTGTAGAAAGGGATGCTCAGCCCTCCAAGACCTGCCAGGTTTTCTTGTCCTGTTGGGCCCCCAACATCAGCGAAATAACCTATAGCTGGCGACGGGAGACAACCATGGACTTTGGTATGGAACCACACAGCCTCTTCACAGACGGACAGGTGCTGAGCATTTCCCTGGGACCAGGAGACAGAGATGTGGCCTATTCCTGCATTGTCTCCAACCCTGTCAGCTGGGACTTGGCCACAGTCACGCCCTGGGATAGCTGTCATCATGAGGCAGGTATGCTAAGGGCCAGCAGTCAGTGGTTGAGGGCTTATGAAGCATCAAGTCCACCTCTAACCCCACCCCTCCATGTTCAGCACCAGGGAAGGCCTCCTACAAAGATGTGCTGCTGGTGGTGGTGCCTGTCTCGCTGCTCCTGATGCTGGTTACTCTCTTCTCTGCCTGGCACTGGTGCCCCTGCTCAGGTAGGAGTCCTGCAGGTGCAGGAGGTAGGTGGAGGAAGTGGAGTTCCTGGGGAGGAGGGGGTCTTGGACCTCCTCCTATTTAGGCTTCAGATGGTCTGCCCCTTCCTACCTCTCCCACCTCATCTCTTGGCCTTCTCTAGCTCATATCTTGGTTTACAACCAGACTCAACTACTTGAAGTCTCTTATGTGGTTCTCCAAATGAACTGTTCTCTCACATCCATCTGCAGACCTTTGTACATTGTATTCCCTCTGCCTGGAACACACTTTCCATGATTTCCCACCCAGCCTCCCCCCTTCATGTGGCTATCTCATACTCAGTCTTCAAGGTGTGCTTGCTCCAGAAAGCCTTCCCTGATTGCCCCAATACTCAGGCTGATTAACATCCTTTCTTCAATCTCCATTGCTTACCCCAATCAGAGAACTACTTACATTTACTTCCCCACTGAATTCTGAGCCCTTAAAAGGAGGATGCTGGGTCAACACTGGGCATGTCAGTGGTTCCCAGAACACAACTCTTCCTGAAACATAGCTGGTATCGACAAACATTGTTGAGTGGGAGTCTAAATGACTCCGAACCCCTTCTTGCCTGAGATTTCTACAAAATGGCTCCCTAAGATAAGCTACTCCCTGGCCAGTGGCTGATAGGGTTGCCTTCTTGAGAAGAGGAAGGAAGGGGAAACTCCAAGATCAGACCTGGTTCTAAGCTCTACATACAGCTCAGTCCCTTCCTCTGCCGCAGGATGCCCTGCCCCTGAAAGAACTACCCGACTGACCAGGGCTCCGTGGTCATTTCCATGCCAGGCTGTCGGAGCTGGCTTGTCCCAAGGTGGAGAAAGGGAGTCAGCAAGGAGGAGTCACTGAGCCCTCACTATGGTGGGTGTGTCCCAGAAGGCAGGGTCTGGGTCCAGCCTCTAAGCATGGGGACAGGCAATGCTGATTCCTGTTCATTCTCTCCAGCAGAGAGAAGGGCAAGAGGGAACAGCTGAGCCTGCACTCCACCTGAAGGCCCCATCTGCTGTGGGAGGGTATTGCCCTGGCCCCTGGCCCCTGGCCCCTGCCCCAAGAGTCCCCAGGATTTGTGATAAGAAAGTGGAAGCCAGGAAAACAGCAGGGAAAAAATACCTTTATTGAGATATAATTCACATAGCATACAATTCACCTATTTAAAGTATACAATTCGATGCCTTTTAGTGTATTCGCAGAGTTGGGCATCCACCTTCACAACCAATTTTAAAACATTTCTATTACCTCCCCCAAAACCCCATAACCCCTTAGCCATCACCTCCCAAATCCCCCATTCCTCCCACAGCACTAGTCTGCTTTCTGCCTCTATGCTTTTGTCTTTCCTGGACATTTCATATAAATAGAACTATACACTATGTGGCCCTTTGGCCAGGCTTTTTTCACTTAGTGTCATGTCCTCAAGGCTCATAAAATAGCATCTTTGGCCACTGAGAAGGGACCCAACAACCTGGGATAGTAGAAAGCTCCATGCAGGGAGTCCAGAAGCTGGTTCTGGCTCTGCCTCATGGCTTCTGTCCAGTGATTTAACTGGGTCCACCACAGTCCTAACTTTCCATACCTTCTACAATTAAATGTATGGCATAGTTGCAGGCCAAGGTTAGATACTAGGAAGAATTTCCTATTCTTGAAGAGCCTCCCTTTCCAGGGTGTTGGAAGACCAGGAGAAATGTTCCTTTACCTAAGGTGACCTTGGGCTAACACACTGAGGATTCAGAGGCCTGCAGGCAGGCCAAGGATTCCAAGACTCCAAACACTGGAGGGGTAACTTTCTTTCTGATGTCCTTACCAGGGAAAAAGAAAAAGGATGTCCATGCTGACAGAGTGGGTCCAGAGACAGAGAACCCCCTTGTGCAGGATCTGCCATAAAGGACAATATGAACTGATGCCTGGACTATCAGTAACCCCACTGCACAGGCACACGATGCTCTGGGACATAACTGGTGCCTGGAAATCACCATGGTCCTCATATCTCCCATGGGAATCCTGTCCTGCCTCGAAGGAGCAGCCTGGGCAGCCATCACACCACGAGGACAGGAAGCACCAGCACGTTTCACACCTCCCCCTTCCCTCTCCCATCTTCTCATATCCTGGCTCTTCTCTGGGCAAGATGAGCCAAGCAGAACATTCCATCCAGGACACTGGAAGTTCTCCAGGATCCAGATCCATGGGGACATTAATAGTCCAAGGCATTCCCTCCCCCACCACTATTCATAAAGTATTAACCAACTGGCACCAAGGAATTGCCTCCAGCCTGAGTCCTAGGCTCTAAAAGATATTACATATTTGAACTAATAGAGGAACTCTGAGTCACCCATGCCAGCATCAGCTTCAGCCCCAGACCCTGCAGTTTGAGATCTGATGCTTCCTGAGGGCCAAGGCATTGCTGTAAGAAAAGGTCTAGAAATAGGTGAAAGTGAGAGGTGGGGGACAGGGGTTTCTCTTTCTGGCCTAAGGACTTTCAGGTAATCAGAGTTCATGGGCCCTCAAAGGTAAATTGCAGTTGTAGACACCGAGGATGGTTGACAACCCATGGTTGAGATGGGCACCGTTTTGCAGGAAACACCATATTAATAGACATCCTCACCATCTCCATCCGCTCTCACGCCTCCTGCAGGATCTGGGAGTGAGGGTGGAGAGTCTTTCCTCACGCTCCAGCACAGTGGCCAGGAAAAGAAATACTGAATTTGCCCCAGCCAACAGGACGTTCTTGCACAACTTCAAGAAAAGCAGCTCAGCTCAGGATGAGTCTTCCTGCCTGAAACTGAGAGAGTGAAGAACCATAAAACGCTATGCAGAAGGAACATTATGGAGAGAAAGGGTACTGAGGCACTCTAGAATCTGCCACATTCATTTTCAAATGCAAATGCAGAAGACTTACCTTAGTTCAAGGGGAGGGGACAAAGACCCCACAGCCCAACAGCAGGACTGTAGAGGTCACTCTGACTCCATCAAACTTTTTATTGTGGCCATCTTAGGAAAATACATTCTGCCCCTGAATGATTCTGTCTAGAAAAGCTCTGGAGTATTGATCACTACTGGAAAAACACTTAAGGAGCTAAACTTACCTTCGGGGATTATTAGCTGATAAGGTTCACAGTTTCTCTCACCCAGGTGTAACTGGATTTTTTCTGGGGCCTCAATCCAGTCTTGATAACAGCGAGGAAAGAGGTATTGAAGAAACAGGGGTGGGTTTGAAGTACTATTTTCCCAGGGTGGCTTCAATCTCCCCACCTAGGATGTCAGCCCTGTCCAAGGACCTTCCCTCTTCTCCCCAGTTCCTGGGCAATCACTTCACCTTGGACAAAGGATCAGCACAGCTGGCCTCCAGATCCACATCACCACTCTTCCACTCGATTGTTCCCAGATCCTCCCTGCCTGGCCTGCTCAGAGGTTCCCTGTTGGTAACCTGGCTTTATCAAATTCTCATCCCTTTCCCACACCCACTTCTCTCCTATCACCTTCCCCCAAGATTACCTGAACAGGGTCCATGGCCACTCAACCTGTCAGCTTGCACCATCCCCACCTGCCACCTACAGTCAGGCCACATGCCTGGTCACTGAATCATGCAAAACTGGCCTCAGTCCCTAAAAATGATGTGGAAAGGAAAGCCCAGGATCTGACAATGAGCCCTGGTGGATTTGTGGGGAAAAAATACACAGCACTCCCCACCTTTCTTTCGTTCATCTCCAGGGCCCCACCTCAGATCAAAGCAGCTCTGGATGAGATGGGACCTGCAGCTCTCCCTCCACAAGGTGACTCTTAGCAACCTCATTTCGACAGTGGTTTGTAGCGTGGTGCACCAGGGCCTTGTTGAACAGATCCACACTGCTCTAATAAAGTTCCCATCCTTAATGACTCACTTGTCAACTAGTGGACTAATTAACCCTCCACCAAAAAAACACAAAGTGCTTCTGTGAGACCAATTTTGTGCTAATGAGCATTGAGACTGATGCTTTGTAAGTCACACCACAACAAATATTGATTGAGGGCGCTGCATGTGCTGGGTACATTTCTTGGCACTTGGGAATCAGTAGTCAAGCGAAACCCTTGCCTTTGAGAGTTTATGGTCTGGATAATATAAATAAACAAGTAAGCATATGTCAGATGTTGTTAGTTTCTGTTAAAGACAAGGCAGAGTAAAGGGCTAGAGAACAATCTGTTGGGGAGACAGGGTCTGTCTTAGATAAAGCAATCAGATGACACCCTCAATGGGGTGACATTTGAACAGAGGCCCAGTGAAGTGGAGGAGTGAGCATGCAGTGACAGAGTGTTCCAGACAAAGAGACCAGAAAATGCAACGGCCCTAAAATGGCAGCATGGTTGGTGTTTGCAAAGAAGAGAGTGGAGGCCAGAGGGGCTGGATCCAAACAAGGGAGAGAGAGGGGAAGGACAAGAGTACAGAGAGATGGCCTGGGGCCACATCATATGGGACTTCGTCGGAATGCCCCTTTGTTGGAGTTACAATGACAGAAAGAACCCCTCGAGAGTCCAGATATCAGACTCCTCCCAGAACACCCTCTACCTCATTGCTCCAGGATGCTTGTGGTCAGGTGAGAGCCCTCTCCAGATCTTCTTTTGCTTTTCCTCGTTTTCACTTTATTTTCCTTGAGCAATAGTTTTTGCATCTGTTCTCCTGTACAAAAGACAAATACAAGAGCTGCTAGGGCAAAGGGCTCATGAAACATGATATCAGAGAGAATAGGAAAGGGGAATAGCATAAGAAAAGGGTTAGAGAGGACATTTTTCTCATCAATGGAGACATGAACATTCAGTGCCTCATTTTTAAAAAAACTGCTGCATGAGCTGAGATTGTGCCACTGCACTTCAGCCCGGGCAACAGAGTGAGACTCCGTCTCAATTAAAAAAAAAAAAAAAAACTGCTGCAAACATTAATGACACCTGTAGCAAATCTTTCTTCCATGTGTATTAAGAACTAGCACCTGTTCAGTTAATCACTCTTGGTTACTTACTGATCTTCAGAGGAAGCATCATCTCCTTCCAGATTTGGCTTCATGGCTACCTGCATCTGTTCTGCATGCAGCCTGAAGGAAGGGCCTCTAAAATGACAAAAAATAACTATCCCTAGATCTAGGAAAGTTATGGTGGCTGCCTCCCCTTGGGCTGTGCCTTAGTCAACATTATGTGCCAGGAGGGGCAGGCTGAGCACACGGGTAAGTAGTGGGGAGACTCCCACAGCATGACTAGTCCAGGTCCAGGTCTCGAAGCCACACTTTCAGGAAGACACTGAAAAACTGGAGTGTCTGGAAGAGAATGACCAGAATGGTGAAAAGTCTAAAAACCTTACCATATGAGAAATGATTACAGAAACTGGTTATGTTGGGCCTAGAACAAAACACTCGCAGGAGCATAGGTTCTCAAATATTTGAAGGGTTATCACATAAGCCCAGACCATGTAACTGGGGCCAATGGAGCATATCACTAAAAGGCAGATATTGACTCATATGAATAATAGGATCTTAAAGCTGGAAGGAAATCTGTGGTTACTCAGTTCAAGTTTTTTTATTTCTCATGTGGAAACTGAAATCCAAAGAGAATGTTACTCCTCTGAAATTACATAATTAGTGGCACAGTCAGAATTACCTTTAGATTATCTAAATCAGTCCAGTCCCTTCTACTGCACCACACTACCAAGGAAGAATGTTCTGACAAATGGAAAAATCCAAATATGAAGTAAACTGTTTCAATGAATCTGCTTAAGCAGAAACCATCTCAGAGCAATACTTTAGAAGATTTAAAAATAACAGGAAAACACTTATATCAGTCAGGGTTCTTTGGAGGCAAGCAACAGAAACCAACTCTGGTTTTAACTAAAGTAAAAGAGGAAATGTATTAGAAAGATGTGAGTAACTCAGAGAACCAAGGAAAATGTTGACCGAGCCTCAGAAAAGACAAAGCCAGGTAGCCTTGAGGATGCAGGCCTCGGGGCCTCCGAAAATAGTTCTGTTCTGTTTTCTCTTCCCCAGTTGCTCACTGAAGATTCAACTCCCCACCAACAGAGCCTGATTGGCCTATTTGAGGCCAAGGGCCCTCCTCTTTGATGGGGTGGGGAGGAGCTGTAGAACTTCTTGTCAGAAGCATTAACTGGGTTAACAAAATAAAGTACAAAACAAAGTTTGAACAGGTATCTGTAGAACAGGAAATGCACCCATCCATTCATTCAGTAAGCACTTACTATGCACCTACTATGTGTCAGCACCAACTGGGATACAGGAATTACTAAATAGTAGCATCACAAGCCCTGCCCTCAAAGAGCTCACAGACTGGTAAGAAAGCAATGTGTCAACAAAGGATTCCAGTGAGTTCACAGGCACACAGCCCCTAGCATGAGCTCAAAGGCACCTCCTGGCCTGTAAGACCTCAGTCCCCAAAGACAGCCAGTCAGGTCCCCACGGGAAACGGTAAAAGGAGAAAGCATTGCCTGGGAATAAAACTTCAGCTGGCAGGAACTGAAGACAGCATGGTATGGTGGTGTCCTGGGGCAGGCTTTCCCACAGCAGCATCACACTTTTGTTTAACTGTGTTCCCTGAACACCAGGACATCTCATGCTGGTAGCTTGTCTTCAGGTTTCCCTTGAGATGGTACAGAAAAGGGAGAGCCACTCACAAGGGCTAGGGGCTGGTTCCATCCTCCTGGTGGTGGTTAGGGTGGTCCTGGCTGGGACGCCTGGACTGAGATGCTGATACTGTCTCATCTGCCAGCCCACCCTGTTGGTCTTCAAGCCTGTACCCACTGGCTGGACCTGCTTAGACTCCTCAGGAGTCTTCCAAAGTCAGGTAAAGCCATTTAAACTCTGTCTAACCAGAGAGAAAATGAAGAGGTCGGAGCTCTGTCTGCTGGCTGACCCACTCAACCATATGCCCACCTGCAGTTAACCACTCAACCATACGCCCACCTTCAGTTGGCTTAACTGCAGGAGCTCAGAGCTCCAGCATACTCACTGCAGTCCTGCTCCCAGACCAGGGAGCCACTACCCCCGCTCCCACCCCCCAGCAAAGAAGACACAACCAGTTGGTAGCCTGGACCTCTCTCTTCGATGCTCAGAAATACCCTGGGATCCCTCCTGCCCCTCATTGATAACAACCTGACAGCCTAACAGTCCCAGAAAATCCCTAACAATCCACAGACACCCAGGGTGCTGGATGCCTCCTGAGCACTGAGCACAGATCCCCACACGTAGGGATGCCTCCGCATGAGGACATGAGAGAGGCAGATGGTGGAAGGACTGACCACAGGCCTGGCCACTCCCAGCAGAAGGACAAGAAGTGCAGGGGAAGGCCTGAGCCTCTTGGCTTACCTGTTGTCCTGAGGCCTGGGCAGTCAGGAGAAGGTAGAGCTCTCATCCATGCACTCACCTGAGGGAAGTCTACACCAGAGGCCAGAGTCACCAGCCAGAGCCTCAGCCAGCTCCAGCCAGCTGCTAATGGAGCATTTATTCTTCTGGAGGCTGCGTCTAGAAAGGACAAGCCTAACAGGATGCCTGTCGGTCTATTCCCTACCTGATTACCCCAGGAAGCCACAAGCACAGACAATATCACCCCTACACCAAGGCAAGAAGGCTGCTGCCCTGGCCTGTACTACAGAAAGGCAGCTCTGGCTCTCCTCCATAGGCAAGGAGACAACGGTGCATTCACCCGTAGCTGCCTCTCCCCCTTTTAGATCACACTTCAGAAATACAGATGGGAATTCTGAAGATGGACTAAAATGCCTACCTGTATCCTGGGTCTGAAGGTAGCTGAGGGGCAGTTTATGGACAAGGTGTGGAGGAAGCCCAGGATGTGCACAGCTGTGGGCACAAGGCTCTTCACAGTGTGGGCTGGAGCTGCAGGTGAGAAGAGAAAGGATCTGATTTAAGGCCTGGGCAAGGGAGCCAGTTCTTCCTATGCTGGGAGTTCTGGTATGAAACCCCAAAGAGTCCAAGATTTCTGAATCCAAACCTGGCCTTCCAGGTCATTGTGAAGGTATATTTGTCAAGCTAGGAGAATAGAACATATTTTACGTAATAATGTGTTAGCTCAACTTACAATTACAAATGTTATGGGTGGGCCTCAATATGCGGACCCCTCCCCCTGGACTTTTTCCATCATAATTCCCTCCCACCCCCTGAAACTGACACCTCCCCCATGACTAAGAGCAAACCCCCAGCTCTCGCTGCAGCTCAGAAGGAGCACAGCAGTGTGGGTCTGGAGTCACACTCAGGACAGCGGGCTCTGATTTCCTGGAGAACTGATTCGCGGGTCCACAGCACTCATTCTCTCAGCACGTCTTTAGTGAGTACCCACTCCATGCCAGACACACTAGGAATAGAGCTGTGGGCATGACAGGCGAGTCTCTGCATTCATGAATCTTGCAGACTTGTCAGGCAGAAACAGACACTGTACAAGTGTACACAAATGTTTAATTAAAACTGTGCTAATCTCTATAGAAGAAAATAGCTGAAAACCAAGAGCCAGAATAACAAGGGATCAAAATATAGCTGGCGGGAGTACAGAGGGAAGGGCCTCCCTGAGGAAGGAGAGTCAAGCTGAGGCCAGTGGGGAGAGGAGGAGTCAGCAAAGCAGAGTGGAGGAGCTGCCATGCTGGGAATGAGCATCCATGAAAGCCCTTCCAGAAAGATCTCTGCCTGTGTAAGCATCTGGGGGAAGGTCCCCAGGGCCAGAGGGCAATGAGCAGGAGGGACTCTGGGAGGAGAGGACGGCAGAGGTCAGATCATGCAGGGTCTGATAGGACATGGAGAATTTAAAAGTTAATTATAAATGTAAAAGCAGACCACTGAAGAGCTTTAAGACAGGAAATGACATGATCAGACTCACGTTTTAAAAGATCACGCTGGCAGCTGCATGGAGAATGGATTGAAGGTGCCGAGAGTGAAGGCAGGAAAATGAAGTTATTGCAGGAATCCTAGGAAAAAACCATCATAGCTTGGAATGAAGGTGGGGAGAGAGAGGGAGACAAGTGGATGGCTTCAGTGCATATTTAGGAGCTAGAAGAGAATAGACAAGACTTAGTATCCTTGGTTGAGGGAGGGGTCAAGGATGACACTGAGGTCTCTGACATGAGTAACCAGGCAGATGGAGGTACCATTTACCAAACCTGGAAATACAGAAAGAGTTAGTTTTGGCTGGGCGTGGTGGCTCACGCCTGTAACCCCAGCACTTTGGGAGGCCGAGGCAGGTGGATTACCTGAGGTCAGGAGTTCAAGACCAGCCTGACCAACCTGGAGAAACCCCATCTCTACTAAAAATACAAAATTAGCCAGGCATGGTGGCACATGCCTGTAATCCCAGCTACTTGGGAGGTTGAGGCAGGAGAATCACTTGAAACCAGGAGGCGGAGGTTGTGTTGAGCCAAGATCACGCCATTGCACTCCAGCCTGGGCAACAAGAGTGAAACTCCATCTCAAAAAAAAAAAAGAAAGAGTTAGTTTTAGGGTGAAGTCAGAAGTTAATTGATCCTTAATTATCAGGGAAGAGGGGCTTTAAAAGGAACAAATTCTTGGAGGCTGAGCAATATATTGGGTTGAATCATATGAAAATTTCATTTTTTAAGTGTAAAAATAGTCAAACACAGGTAATTTCATATGATTCAATCTAACAATTTAAATGTAAGATGACTTGAGGAAGAAAAGTCATCTCTTCAGCTGCCCTGACTCCACCTCCTATAAGGACAACTGGGACATGCCTGTAACCTAGTAGATGTTGGCAGAGCTCCTTCAACATGAACCTGGGCATGGAGGGACTGCAAGACAAGAGGGCCTCCCACAGCACTCTCAGCCCACACTGGTCGGGGGCCATGGTGTCCTGGTCAGCTTCTCTACCACCTGGACTGAATCCTGCCTGCCCAGCTCCAGAAAGTCCTGAAACATTCAGGAGCCAAGGTTCAGAATGGCAGGGAGTGATGGAACTGCCTCAGCAACCATGGAGAACTGTCCTTGACCCCAACCCCTCTGAATCCAACCCACCTCATGCCTAGTCCTGCAGCATTCAGAGCCCCATATAGATTGTGGAAGTGAGGCCCCTGATGCTGTCTGAGGAGCCTTTCCAAGCAACAGGGGCAGTGACTTGGCCAGGCAGGCATGGTCAGACACAGAAGGGCAGTGCATCAGTCATTCCAAAGTTGCTGGCTTCATAGATACCGTGATTGTCCCTATGCCCACCCCTGCTGGGGAGCATAGCAGCTGGAAGACTTCTTTCCCTCTCAGCCAACCTGGGCCCTCAGAGGCCTTAAGATGGAGATGACTCAGCTATTGGCAGCGCCAGCTCAGCACCCTCGATTCCAGACAGACTCGGCTCTTCTCTGTCCCTTGCACCTGACATACTCATGTACTCTGCCCCTTTAACCAGGCTTCCCCCTCTGCCTCCCAGCTGAGAATATCCTTCTTTATCCATCTTGGTCTCCAGCCATCACTTCCAGGCTCAGCCCCAGGCACTCCTCCTCTCAGAAGCCTTTTCCTCAAGTGGTCTCATAGCATCAACTCTCCCAGCTTTGCATGAGCCTGAATCAACAGTTGTGTGCATTGTTCTTTAATTTTTCTAAATGAGATTAATCATCTCACTTGGAAGGCTCCATGTTCCTAGAAGGATCAGGTTTAACACACAGTCCTACTGGTGACACTCAGTAAGCACATCGCCAAAACACACTTTTTAACGAAGTGGTTAACTCAGAGGGTGGGGAACATGCAGCTAGACAAAATGGGCATTCTCCAGATATCTCCTCCACTGAGGAAGGCAAAACTCTCAGGCCAAGAGATTCCACATCTGCACCTCCTCTTCCAGGCAGTATAATCAGTCGGCTGGGTTCAGACAAACTTCTGCACCTCTTAGGGACCTCTTAGCCACCCAGGAGGAGATAGGCAGCTCCTTACTAAAGTCTCACCTCCTGGAGATGGGGGTTAGCTCTTCCTGCTGCAGTTTGCCTGTCTCCTCCATCCCCTTTCTTTCTTGGAAACAATATTTATTGAGTGTGTGCCATATGCCTGGCACTTTTTAGGAGCTTAAGTACATTAGTGAATAAAGCAGACAAAGACCCTTGCCTTGTGCCCCTCCTTGTGGAGCTTGCAGTGTGGGGAAAGGCGAGGACAAGTCAATTAGCAAACATCGTAACAAATAAATGTTACAGCATGTTGGAAGAGGATAAGTGCTACAGATTAAAGGGAAAAAAGCAGTGTAGGAGGGGGGGATAAGGGCGATGAGGAGCGCAGGCAGGTGGGTGCTGCAATCTTAAACGAGGTGGCCGTGGTAGACATCACTAAGAGGGAGAAAACTGAGCAAAGATTTGAAGGACGTGAGAATTAAGCCATTGGGAAATCCAGAGGAGAGCCATTCTGGGCAAAGAGAACAGCCAGAACAAGGACCCTAAGGTGTTCAAGAAACAATGAAGAGCCAGTGATGCTCAGGGGAGAGAGCCAGGAAGAAGAGTGATCAATTAGGTCAGAGAGGTGACATGGATGGCCTGGGGCACTAGTGTAAGGAACTTGATCTTGGGAAGCCATTTCAGGGGTTTGAGCAGAAGAATGATTTAACTATTCCTCTGGCTTCTCTGCTGAGAATGAACTGAAGGTGAGAGAGAGGAAGCAGGGAAATCAGTCAGGACACTGCTGCCGTAATCCAGGCAAGAGATGAGGGTGGCTGTGAGCTGGGAGGTAACAGGAAAGAAGGGTTTGCTTCTGGATTTGCACTGAAGACAAAGCCAATAGATACAATCACCGTATCTATGAAGCCAGCAACTTTGGAATGACTGATGCACTGCCCTTCTGTGTCTGACCCTGCCTGCCTGGCCAAGTCATTGCCCCTGTTGCTTGGAAAGGCTCCTCAGACAGCATCAGGGGCCTCACCTCCACAATCTATATGGGGCTCTGAATGCTGCAGGACTAGGCATGAGGTGGGTTGGATTCAGAGGGGTTGGGGTCAAGGACAGTTCTCCATGGTTGCTGAGGCAGTTCCATCACTCCCTGCCATTCTGAACCTTGGCTCCTGAATGTTTCAGGACTTTCTGGAGCTGGGCAGGCAGGATTCAGTCCAGGTGGTAGAGAAGCTGACCAGGACACCATGGCCCCCGACCAGTGTGGGCTGAGAGTGCTGTGGGAGGCCCTCTTGTCTTGCAGTCCCTCCATGCCCAAGTTCATGTTGAAGGAGCTCTGCCAACATCTACTAGGTTACAGGCATGTCCCAGTTGTCCTTATAGGAGGTGGAGTCAGGGCAGCTGAAGAGATGACTTTTCTTCCTCAAGTCATCTTACATTTAAATTGTTAGATTGAATCATATGAAATTACCTGTGTTTGACTATTTTTACACTTAAAAAATGAAATTTTCATATGATTCAACCCAATATATTGCTCAGCCTCGTGACCCAGTGGATGTGGTGGGAGAGTGGTGAGAGAGAAAAAGGAGTTAAACAAGGACGGAGTCCCCATCAGCTGAGACAGGGAAGACAATAGGTGGGGTAGAGGCAGTATGTGGGACATGCTACATTTGAGACATCTGTTAAACATCTAAGCAGGTATGTGAGTGTGGAATGCAGGAGAAAGGGCTGGCCTGGCTGTATAAATTTTGGGTATTATTGGCATGCAGGTCTTAGGTGAATAGGTAGAGAGGTGGTGGGGGACTGGGGAGGAGATTATTCCCATCCTCATTCCTCACTTTCTCAGACTGTGTGCTACAGTCTCGGGACGGCTAATGTTTATTGAAAAGACAGAAGCAGATTTCCCCACAGGAACAACGTTGTAATAGCAGGTTAGGCTCCTGACCGAGGATCTGTTGCTCAATGTTTTCATGGCAGTGATCACAAACATGGCCTACCTTTAAGTCCTTAGTAAACTGTGAGTGAGAAGCCTGCATGCGGGACAGGAAAGAGCTTTCAACAGAGTCTGTTAAACTGTGACCTATCCTGCAGAGCTGAGCCTGACATGGCCCACGCCCTATGCCTGGGAGGCCCAGAGCTCCTGTGAGGCTGTTCCCCAGGCCCTGGCTGACTCTGCTCACCAGGTGATGAGCGCGCTTGGGGAGGGCAATGTTCACATGCACCTCTGAGAAGGATCTGGGAGAACACACGTGGCATTTTCCACCTCATGTCCTGGAGGTAACCACAGGCATTAGCTGTTGTCATTAGACTCCTCCCTAAGCTGAGGGAGCAGTCTCTAATACAAACTTTGTCCGCCACATTAATTTTAAGACAGGTCAGCGCAGAGAGGCATTCTGAGTTCTCAAGAAAGTAGATGTTGAGAAGGGAAGAGACACAGCCCCGGCCCTCAGGGGTAAACCTAGTCTGATGGAAATGGGAGGATAACAGGATACTCCCAAGACAGGGTGAGGATAACAAACACTGTCTGGGAGCAGGCAAGAGACTGGGATAAGAGGACAGGGTAAGGTCAGTCTGCCTTTCTGAAGAAAGAGGACAAGGAGAGAGAGGTAGGGGAGTTTCACGGACCAGCCTTGGCAAAGGGCTGAGGTGAGGTGGGGACGGTGCTGGGACAGGGACTTGGAGCCACAACCCCAGTGTTTGGGGAGGCACAGGAGCCAGTTCAGGTGAGTGACTGCAGGGAAGAGCCACAAGGCTGCAGATGGCATCTGGGCAGAAGAAGGGGGCAGACCAGGGGGCATCTGAAGGGACTGACAGGAGGACGCTTCCCAGGCCAGAGGCAAGCCAGAAGTGGGGCCTGGATTGGGCTAAAGGAGTTCACTTCCAAGGCTGAATGAATTCTCCCAAAAACGGTGAAGAAAATCTATGTGCCCTCCCACCCACACACCTGCCAGGAAGGTCCCTCCTCAGCTCTGGGAAAGCTGTGTGGCAACCCTTCAGGAGGGACCCTCCACCTGGGAGGGGTTGTCAAAGTCAGGGCTACAGAGGGCACCACAGTGAGCCCTGGGCTCAGAGGGAGACCATCAGGGGCCTGAGTGCCAGGAACTGAGGTCAGGCAGATGGGAAACGGCACGGGAGAACGCACCCTGGCCCAGGTGGGCCACCCTGAGGATTCTGGCAGCTTATCCCCAGACTGACTCTGGGACCCTGTCGAGCTTGTGTTTCAGGTGCTTCCTGTTATCATTAGGATTATTATTACTAGTGAGGATTCTTGTCAATATTCACACCTGCATGTGGATTCCAGGACTCAGAGGCAAGTCCTGGTTCTCCTCCTTCTCTACTGGTGGCTTTCTGGACTCCTTGCCTCTTCCCCCAGATGGTGAGCCATCTCCAAATTCAATCCCAAGGCTTCATTCTTTGTACTCCGTCCCCCTCCCTGTGGACCTCCCACTCCCCCAGCCTCTGCCGTTGACCTCTGTGTGGTTAGATCCGTGCCTCCAGGCCTGTCCTCTTGTGAGAGATGCAATTACTTTCTAGGGGTGTGGAGGGTTGAGGATCAACCATTTGCTGAGCCGTATGTTCCAGGCTCTGTAATATACCTGTCACACAAAACAGCCCTATTACTATTCCATTTTACAGACAAAGAAATTGAGGCTTTGGAAGCTTATTAAATAACTATAAACCCACATCTGTCTGGCTCCAAAACTGAAGCTTTTTTTCTTTGCAGATGGGAACATGGTTAACTCACAAACATGTATTACAAGTTTTCTTCCTCCTCCCTTCTTTAATTCCTCAAGAAACCTACACAGGAGTCCACTATCACCTCAAACTCAGCCTCTGCGACAATGTGATCAGCAGTTTCACCCCATCCTCCTCTGCTCAATTTCCTGCCTTTGTCAAGGCTTCAGTCTCCTCCTTGGTGCTCAGTGTCCCATCCTGCCCATCCTGCTGAAATGCATCTAAGAAGACTGGGGAGGGCAATGGCCACAGAGGGGTGGCAGAAGGCCATCCTGTCCACTCCCCACCGGCAGGCACAATGACCACGCCCAGCTCCTCCAGATTCCCCAAAGTAGCCACTATCCCCACCTTGTCTGCAAGTTCCCATGTCCTCCACACACCCCTCTACTGCACATTCTTCCCAACCTAACTGCAAAGAACTGAATGGAATCAGTTTTGTTTCCATACACCAGGAATAAATAAAATGGTTACTCCAGATGGGCTGAATGAACGTTGAGTTAACTCCAGAATGTTAACTGTTAACTCCAGAGCAGGGGTTTCCCAGGTTCCCACCAAATCAGGGAAACGAGCCATGAGGAGACTCCCTGGGCAGCTTAGTGGACAGGGCTACAGATTCAGTCCCCTGCCTCCAGGCAGGCCCCAACCTAAACCCATAGGAGTGAAGTAGTTTTTGTAACTCTGGAAGGATCATGATTGGGTAATTCCCAAAACTTCCTTGTTCCCAGAGAGGCAAAATAATAATAATTATTATTATTAACCCCTCCCCAGAGTCACCGCAGTCTGACTGGGCCTTGAGTAGCTGAAATGTAATTGAGCAGCATACATGGTAATAGTTACTCAAAGAGGAGCACACAGGCCGGGTGCGGTGCCTCACACCTGTAATCCCAGCACTTTGGCGGGCAGATCACAAGGTCAGGAGATCGAGACCACCCTGCTAACATGGTGAAACCCTGTCTCTACTAAAAATACTAAAAATTAGCTGGGCGTGGTGGCGGGCGCCTGTAGTCCCAGCTACTCGGAAGGCTGAGGCAGGAGAATGGCGTGAACCCAGAAGGCGGAGCTTGCAGTGAGCCGAGATTGCGCCACTGCACTCCAGCCTGGGCGACAGAGCGAGACTCCGTCTCAAAAAAAAGAAAACAAAAGAGGAGCACACAGAAGAAAATTCCGTGGGACTCCATATGACTCATGGTCTTGGGAATTAGGGGCTTAAGAGAAGATGACTAGAGGATGACTTCCTAGAGCCTGGGGAGAGAGTCAGAGAAGGAACTGAAACAATGAGGACTCACAGGCATCTCTTGAATAGATTTCCCATGGCTAGATGCCCTGGGAGACAAATGTAGGCAAATTCTGTGGATGCCAACGCAGGTTTCTGACGGCTATCAAAAGAGTAACCTGGAACCAAGGGGATACAAATTCTCTCAATAATTCTTCAGTGACCTGAGGAACCAGAATTCAGCTCCAGCAAGGCGGGGGAGAGATGGAAAAGGCGGAACTAGGAAGTAGGATGAAGACAATTTATGTAGTATTTAATAGAAGTAGCATAACTTTGTGCTGTTTGCATCTCTCTAGAAAAATAGAGAAAAATCAAGATGTACTTGAGATTTCCATTCTTGAGGCAACACTTGTGTGCCCAGCGTTCTGCTTGCCTGGGGTGACATGGTCCACCTAACTTTCCCAAGCCAGTTGTTAAATGCAGCCATTATTAAAAAGTAAATTACATACATTTATAATTAAATGATATTAAAACAAAGGTGATAAGTACTCAAAACTCACCACTTCCTGATGACTTTACTACAGTTCACTATTACCTAAGCTCTTAAAGTTATTTACTTCCTCCATTGTATCTGTATCATGGAAATACTATACAATCATGTGCTACTAAACATTTCTCCCAATTCCATGCCAGTCACATCATGTTGGTAGCTTGAATTCAGCCATAGTGGAAGCATTGACATCATGGAAATCAGCAAAGGCTACAAATCAGGGCTTCCCAGTCCCTACCCCACCCTACACCCTACTCCCAAAGCCACTGTTGAACATATGTCACCACAAGTGCTCTCCTCCAGCACTGAACAAGGTTTCATGCAGGAGAAATGAACAAAAAACACCAAGGCATCCCTGAAGCAAAATTGTTCAAACAGAAACTTCCTTCCCTCGTTCTCCTGGGGTGGTAAGTACAGTGACGACTGTGATCTCAGCATTGGATTTAGGAAATCTCTACCTTCCCTGTTGACTCACCCTAACAGGAAGCTGTTCTCAGAGTCTCTATAAAATCTCTCTTGCTGCTCTTTAGTGAGCCTTTCTTGCCAGAGCCTCACTGGTCCCACCCCCCAAATAGAGGCCAAGTCTGATCATGGCTCCCTTGTTCCTGGAATAGGGAAGATTATATCATTCAACAACCTGCACAGCCAACTGGCTGCCTCTGTCCCTCAGCACCTTTCAGGAAGCTAAGCTGGAGGCTCCTCAGACAGGGAGCACCCTCCCCAAGTCATCCTATACCATCCCCTGCCTTAGGGGATATTTTGCCTTAGGGCAAAAATATGCCAGGCACAGTGCCCTGCTGAAGATCTCTTCATCTATGACAAGTCGTCTTATAGGTGCTCATAAATATGACCAAATAAATGAAGGGATGGATGGTTCCTGGAGTTCTCTGCTCTTCTCCTTATTTAACGTCCTTTCCCTATACCTCTTCCCATTCCCAAGAACTCCCCACCTTCCCACCCCCAAGACAGTGGTCTCTGGTTCCTTTTGCCTCATTACTATCTCTCATGTCTCTCAGCACGCTCTATAAAAGCAGAGCTGGCAATGCCATCACCCCTTTGCAAATACCCAAGTCATCTTGAGGGTTTCCTAGTTATGTGTTACTAAGAAGTGTTTAGGGGCTTCCTAAAGACACTTTGAGGCCCATGCACACCCCACACCTCCTGTGGCCCTAGAATAGGAGCAGGAAAAATGAGGAAGACTAGCTTCTCCTCAAGAGAAAAGAGACAAAGAGAGAAGAAAGAGGCTGGGCTCTCAACAAGCAAGCAGCTGGGGAAAGGAAAGTAGAACGAAGTGACCTTGAAGTACTGTGCTCTTCTGAACACCTCCTACCAACTAGACCAGACAAGTGTCCAGTTGTGTCCCTGTTGCAGCCATCCTGTATGGAGTGCAACCACTTTGTCCACTAGAGGCAGCTGAATTAGAAATACAATGCTCTGGGGTCCCTAAGAGTAGAACTTGGATCAAGGGATAAAAGCTATATGGGGACAAAAACCGGGTTCAGAGAAATGTTCTGTTGAATATTGACAGTCAGAGGCCAAGTGGCCTGCCTCGGAAGGTAGTGAGCTGCCATTGGAGGTTGTCAAGAAGACGTTACATACCCTTTGTCAGGAATGCTATAGAAGGAATTCAAATGCCAGAGAAACAGCCTGCTGTCCTGGAATCAAACATGCCTAGATCAAATCCTGAATTATCTTTATTATCTTTGTTGCCTTGGTCAAGATACCTAATCCCTCTGAGCCTCAGTTTATTCATCTGTATAATGGGGATAATACACAACCTCATAGGACTAAAGTAAGGAATAAATAAGACAAAAAATCAAAAAGCACCTAACACTTAATAGGTGCTCAATAAATGCCAATCCCCTTCCCACCAAAAGGGGGAGCTGGGTTAGTTGGCCTTGAAGGTCTTTCTACACCAGAGAGTATGACTCTAAAACACTTCCTGGCTATTAAGAAAGAAGGCATACATCTGAAAGAGATAAAAGAAGTCAAGATTAGGTCAATGAGGGGAAGAGAAAGAAGGATGCTAAGAATGGTCAGGGATCATTTAGAGGTCATCCATGACAGAGCCGTGTTTCCTCTCAACTGACCTTCTAGAATAAAATGGAAAAGTAAGATTGGGGATTTAAAGTCCAGCCTGAGGGGCCTCAGTTTCCCTATCTGTATAGTGAAGGAGTAGGATTTTTTTTAGGTCAGACTTCAGAGTAATCATATTGAACTTTACTTCATAATGCTCAGTAAACACAGCTCATTATAAATCCAGCCAAGGCCTTTCCCAGCAACTCATGCAGCTATATAAAATCACTAATACCTGCAGAGTGCACATCCCTTCCCAAGGACAGGGGGCCTGGGAGAATGAGATGACTAGTTTTATGTGACAATGGATGTGAAACAGCAACAGTATTGACCGACACCGAATTAAGGGGAAAATATGAAGGAAAAAAATCAAAGACAGACAGACAGACAGACAGACACACATACACACACACACACACACACACACACACGCAGCAACCTGCCAAAAGAATAATATTGAGATCCTGGTTTTGATAGAACTAAATATAACATCTTATATTTCCACAAGCAAATTGCCCAACAAATTGAAATGGAAATATTCTAATGTTACTACAGACAGATATAATGTCAACAACTTGCTATTCTCCTCAATAATTCATTATAAACCAATTTAAAGACCTACAGTACATTGAAAACAACCACCAAAATATTCCAGAGTTAAGTGTAAACAAATAATATGAAAGAATCAAGAAGGATGACCAAATAAAATCAAGGCAGGCCAAACAAATGAAACACAAAGTCCAAAAGGATTCTGAGGAAGGTCTAAGCTAAGTTCTAACATCCCTGAAACAAGGGACCAAAGTGGTAAGGTAACACCATCCAAGTTGTAGCATGGAAATGATAGAACCCACACTACTTTTCCTGATACTTGTCTCCTAGCAGACATGAAACTGCTGATTTCAGGAACTTACCCTTTCAAATATATTTTTGCTACCAAAGCACAAATAATCTAACATAAAATGAACTCTTTAAATACAAATAAATTACATATAAAATAAGAAACAGCCCAGACAATTCAGATGTACAAGCACCTACCCTCTGCATCACTATACTGTCCTCATCAGCTCATCAAATACAAAATCATTCACATTCATCAAATACCCAGTTGAACTATGAGGTTCCTTCTTAAATCTTGGGCATTTAGGATGGACCTAACTGTTTTTTTTTAAGTTTAATCTTTCTCAGCACAGGAAATTAATCCAGCCAAGCTTCTCCTATTAATCATTTCTATTCCATATTAGAAATTCTTAAATTATAGGCAAGTGGGCATTGCATTAGCAAAGTAGATTCCAATGCCCAACAGAGATGATGTTGAACAAAGAAGGATTAGTAGAGCTTGTCTACTTGTCTGCATCCCCCTCCTTGCTGTGTGACCACCTGGTCCCTTTATCAACAAAGGAACATCTATAACACTGCCCACTTTACTTACTGTTTGCTTAGCAAATATATCCTTGGAACTTTATCTCAAACATTACTCTTCAATTAAGCACTCCCCATCTCACTAAACAAGAGAGGACGTCTTGCGCCTATTAACAAAAACAGTGCTTATTGATTTCCACTTTTGAACCAAAAATGACTAAAACATCCCCCAAAATACATTGTAAATATCATGACAAGGTGTTTAACAAAACAAGTGCTGGTAAATACTAAATAGCTCAATTAATCCCTATCTAGGAGTGGCTGACTACTTCAGGGTGTAAGAACGTGGAGCTGGATCTCAGAAAGGCCTAGATTCTCACCACAGAATATTCCATCATAAGGCAGTAACTGTAAAATATCTAAAAACTTTTTTTTTCTAGCATAAAGTAATGCTGCCACACTCATTCACTTGGTATTTCTCAAACATCTCCTGCAGAATGGGCTCTGCACAAGTTGACCAACTGCAGACAAATGAAAAAAAAAAAAGAACCACAAAAATAATTGTTCTAAAACACCAGCAGCATCTAGGTGAAGGGATTTACCATACTCTCCGAGTTCCATAATATATGCTATATAAATATTATTCCCCCTCCTTCCTGCACTTCACCCAGCACCCTAGAACTGTGGCACTTAGTTTTTTAATATAAGAGGTTGTAGTCTTATTTTCACATGTCCTTGTTTCTGTCTCACCGGATGCCTGTGCCTTCTGTGCTCCAAGGACTGGTTTCCTTTTAGCTTTCAGCAACATACAAAGACTCCCTAGACCTTCAGAGCACATTATTCTCAATAGAAAATCTTGACATGTGAAAACTTTGAATATTTAGAAATGGCAAGTGTATTGCACTTTGTCGGTTCCTCAGTTTATTTTACGGTCGTAGATATTCTGAGCTAATTCTTTTTGTCTTTGTTTTCCTTTTATCTGCACTTTGTATGTTGTTCAGAGGAGTTGCCCTGGATGGCCCCTTCCAGCTCTGACTGCCAGGGATCTAAGCAGGAGGGAGGAGAGGGGGCGTGGTCGAGGCGAGCGACAGAAGCAACCCTCCCCGGCCCTGGGCAGGGTTCGCCACCCCGTGCCCAACCTCCGTGGAACGCGGACAGCCACTTCGGACTCACGTCTCAATGTTTCTTTATTGTGCTAACACTGCTGCCTCAGAGCTCAGACCTCACACACAGAACAATTCGTCCAGACAGACCCCCACCCACCCGGCCCCCGGGGCCCTCTGCTTAGGCTGGGGACACCAGGCCTCCGGCCTCAGCCGCTCTAGGACACTCAGCCTCCTCCTCCCTCCCTCTCCCCCAAGCCTTCGGTCCCGGGGGTGCGGAGAAGGCTCAGGATCGCCTTCCTCCGCCCTCGCCCGCCCCTTCCCACTTTTGGGGAGGAGGCTCTGCCTCCCTACGCATTTCCTTAGGGAAATGCCTTCACCCCCAGCCGCCTGGCAGCCTGGGGCGAGCGAGGTCGTCCCCAGCCCCGACGTGTCCCCAGCTGCAGACAGAGAGCCCCGCGCCCTCCTCCTGGCTGGGGCGCAGCCCGGCCCGGCGCGCGCGCTCACACCAAGAGGCCGTTCTTGCACTGCACCGGCCCCTCGGCGCAGTCAGCCGGCTCCGCGCTCTTGACCTTGACGTAGACCGGGGAGGGGCCCGCTTCGCAGGCGGCGGCGGCGGTGCAGGGCGCCAGGGCCACGTCCTCGGGGCCGCCGCAGGGGGGAGGCGCGTACTTGCGGCGCAGGGAGCGGCTGACGTTCTGCGTCGGGTACCCCAGGAGGTGGGTGACGCGGCTGCCGCGCCCGCTGGCCTTGCACCCGGGCGCCACGGCGTCCTCTCTGTGGAAAACAACAGGCGGGCGGGTGAGCGGGCTGCTCCGCAGCGGGGCGTGGGCACGGCCTGGGCAGAGCCGGGGGCTCTTGGCAACCTCTTGTCTCCCGCGCCTCCCTCCACCTGCCCTCGTCTCTCTCCCTCGGCCTCGACCTACTGTCCTTTGTGACCCTTCCTGGGTCGGCGACCCTGCAGCGGTCCCGGAGCCAGCATCCCCATCCTCCAGACAGGGCTTGTCCACGCGTATCTGGAGAGCCCTGCAGGCAGCCCCCTCCAGGCCCCTGCAATCCCTTTCTGATGTTTCGCAGGCCCAGAAGAAGGTGCTTTTCCTCTTCTTCTTTCCTTAGCTAATCCTGACCTTGCTCGAGCAATCTCTCTCTTTCTCACCTCCTGCCCCTCAGTCTTCTCCATCTTTCCCTCCATCCCCGAGGCATTGCAATCATTAGCACTACTAGACTTGTTCTATTTTTATTTCTAGTTTGCTTCTAATATAAGTTATTAGCACTATTCTTATTATTAGCTCTTCTTAAATAATAATGTCAGAGTTCTTACCGGCGCAGTACAGGGGAAACGTGAAAAAACATAGGCCCTGCCCTCCAGGAGCTTACAGTCTAGACAAGACAGACAGGTGCGTAGGCAGGAGGGAAATGGAAGGCAGGGAGCAGAGGTGAAGACTGGGGTGGCAGGGGGAGGGGAAAGCCATGAGTTGGGTGGCAGGTCGACATGCCGCAGTCCCAGCACTCCGTGGCGATGGCGGGCAGGGTTGGGGTGGGGGGCCCAGCCGGCCGGTGGCAGGCAGGAGTGAGGTGGGCAGGGCGCCGGTTCCCTGCCGCACAGCAGCATGCAGCATGCATCAGGTTTTACCTGATCTCACTAGCCAAGTCGCCGCAGGCCCCTCCGCCGACCCCGCCGCCGTTGCCGTAGCCGAAGGCACCGCGGGCGCCGCCAGCCCCGGAGCCCCCGCAGCAGCAGCAGACGAGCCCCCAGATGCCTACGGCCAGGCAGCCCAGCGCGAGCAGAGAGCCCAGGACGATGCCGATGATCACGCCTATACGCCGGGAGTCTGTGGAGAGAAGTGGAGGCAGGTCAGGCTTTCTCACAGCCTGGCAGGTGCCTGAGGGAACAGCACCAGGAGGTGCCAGGTCAGGGGTTAATGGGAAAGAGGGAGAGGGACCCAGGGGGTCTCTTAGCCCTGGAACACCCAGTGGGGAAGATATGGGGAGATGCAAGTTAACCCCTCGTGTCAGCATGCTTCTCCCAGGGCTTCCAGCTGCTCTGGGCTCTAGAGCTCAGAGTGGAAGCTGTGCTGGGCGAGCTTGACCCAGCTCAATAGGGTCAAGATCGTACCCACTGATCTTGGCCCACTTGTAGGAAAGGGGCTGGGAGCCCCCACTGGCAAATGGATGGCAGTGGAAAGGCAGAAGCAGCTGAGGCTCCAAACCAGAGCCCAGCCTCCTCCAGTTCAACCCTCCCAACCACCCAGCCCTCAAGACTGCTGCACCTACCTGAGACCTTCACCTCCACCACACAAACACTGTAGCCCACGTTGTTGGCCACTGTGCACTGATACAGCCCATCATCTGCTCTGGAGATATCCTTCAACACCAGGTCCCCATTGTTCAGGCCTGAAAGTGAAGTGGAGAGAGGCCTGGTCTCTGAGAGCTCCCACCCCAACCTCAGTCCCTGTGGGGTGGGGGATGGGACACCCACTCTAGAAGAAGGGAAGGCTTATGCATGTGTGTACACCCACACCCACACACACACACACACACTCCACTCTCCAGGTGAGTCACCTTCCCCCTGCTGTGAAAGAGATGCAAGAAAGGACCTCTCTCCCAGCAGCAAGACAGGGACACCATTAATTCACTCTGACCTTAGGGAAATATGTACGCTCTCTGAGCCTTGGTCTCCTCCTTTGTACAGTGAGGACAGGAGAAGCCAGGGGAAGAGGAACTCTAAGGTCCCTCCTAGCTCTATTATTCTTTGTTTGACTGAATATTTTCAGCTTCTCTATGTACTAGGAGCTTTACACACCTCCCCCATTTAATCCTTGCATGCCCATGAAAGGTATATGTTAGTATTCCCTTTCCATATATGAAGAAATTAAGGCACAGGGAGGGTAAGCCACTTGCCTTAAACTTGGAGCCAGTCAGTGTCCCAGCCAGGATTCAAGCCCAGCTCTGTCTGAGACCAGGCTCCCTCCAAATTCGCCATAGTACTTTTGACTGACTCTCCACATTTGCCTTATCATCTGCTCTCAATAGCAGCTGCTGGGCCAGGCACGGTGGCTCACGCCTGTAATCCTAGCGCTTTGGGAGGCCAAGGCGGGCGGATCGCCTGAGGTCAGGAGTTTGAGACCAGCCTGGCTAACATGGTAAAACCCCGTTTCTACTAAAAATACAAAAAATTAGCCAGGTGCGGTGGTGCATGCCTGTAATCCCAGCTACTCGGGAGGCAGAGGCAGGAGAATCGCTTGAACCCGGGAGGCAGAGGTTGCAGTGAGCCGAGATCATGCCATTGCCCTCCAGCTTGGGCAACAAGAGCGAAACTCTGTCTCAAAAAAAAAAAAAAAAATAGCAGCTGCTGGGGCAGGCCCAGAGGGAGGGTCTCCCACAGGGATTCCAGGTTTGATTTGATGGCACTGATAACCCAAGGAAACCCCAACAGGTCCCAGAGTCCCTGATCTTCCACTCACCCCCGACTGCCCTCATCCAGGGCCCTCTCACCTTGGTTTATGGAGCTGTGGAAGGACTCCTGGTAGGACAGCTCTGAGTGGTAGCTGTGCTGGGAGGTGTAAGACCCAGCTCGATAGGGGTAATGGTGCCCACTGATCTTGGCCCACTTGTAGGAGAGGGGCTGGGAGCCCCCACTGGCATAGCACTTCAGCACCACATCGTTGCCATATGTCATGTGGCCCTCTGTCCAGCACATGGGCACTGCAGGTCGTGCTGCAAGGAGGCAGACAATTGTAAGCCAGGGCCCAGCCAAGAGACAGAGCCAGGCTCAAAGTGGCCAAGCTGCCCTTGGCTCTTAAGCCAGGGGGAGAGGAGCTTAGAGGAGTCTGGCCATACCTTGGACAGTGACAATGACCTTCCGGGTGGCCATGGTGGTCTTCTTCACCCGGCACTCATAAGTGGCTGTATCAGATACCTGCAGGTTCATGAGGTTGATGGAGGCATCGTACTGGCTTGGGTCTGAGGCTGCAAAGCGGACCCTCTGCTGCAGATGGGGAAGGCTGCCATGGTTGATCCTCTTGTCCTGGTAACTAAGGAACTGTGAAGAGGAGAGGAAAACAGGTGGTGAAACAGGCAGAGCCAAGAAGGGCCATGTGGATTGGCTGCTTTGGGCAATTCACTGAACTTCTCTGAGACTCTTTTCTCAGCTGAAAAAATGAGAATAATGATGCCTGAGCCACTGACCTCTTACAGAACTGGTGAGATCAGGTGAGATCAAGCACTTGGAAAGATATATGGTCAGACTGGGAACTTTTTGAAGGCAAAGACTACAACTTATCTTCCTTTTAGAATGGGATGGGAGGAGGTAGACTGACTGGCTAGCTTAATTCACAATTGCAGAGCTCTCATCCCCATTGCCTCATTCCCTGAAAGGCCTTGGGGGAGGTTCAAGGTCAGTCTTCTCCCTTTGGGATGTTGGCTGTCCAACAGGTAGACATCATGAAGCCTAGAGGAAGGAGACCCCTGTGCCCAGCACTCACCACGTTCTCTCGGTGGTGGGCGGGGTCTGAGTTGACCTGCATCCACTCGATGTCCAGCCCATTGGGACCATAGTCCTCAGGGTCCAGGACGTAGGGGCAGCCCAGCCTCACATTATCACCTTCTGCCAGGTACAGGACCTCCTGTCCATCCCCGTTGATCCGCACAGCAGACAGCAGTGCTAGGGGGAGGGCAGAGAAGATGGGGTGGTAGGAGCAGAAGCAGGGCTTCAGGAGGAGTCAGTGTCAGCCCTTCCCTTCATATTCTCTGTCCACGGCACCCAGAGGTCAGCAGTGCTTTCATAAAAAGGAGGGCTGCTCGTAGTGGGTGTGTATGTGTGTGTGCATGAATTGTCACAGGCATATAACAGCTATACATATAGCTGTTATATATGTAGCTGTTATGTATGCTTGTATGTATATATGATTATGTGTATGCATGTATGAATATGTACACGTATGTACATTGTATGCTTATGAGTATTTGTGGCTGCTTATGTGTACTGTGAGGATATTCATGTACATGACCACGTAGCGTGTCTGCTTATATATTTATATGATAGTGTGGATGTGTTTGTGTGTGTGAAGGCATGTGGTACACACAGAGTTGTTAAATGCTCTGATAGAAGAGCCTGGCTGATTAAATGTCACCTATGTGGGCTCTGTCTGGGCTGAGTGAAGTCCTCCTGTCCAGAGGCAGCGGGGTGGTTACAATGGCTTCTGGGACTCCTCTCCAGCCTGAGAAGCCAAAGACTAAGTGTGTCTATGTGTGTCTGTGTATGACAGTGTGAGTCTGTGGCTGTATGCCTCTGTGTGGTTTTGTATAGTGATGTGTGACCATGTGAGCTATGTAAGTGCTTAAAAGTGACAGTGTGTGCTTGTGCATGACAGTGGACAGCTGTGACCAGGAGCCTGGCTGTGTTCGTGTGTGATAGTGAGTGATGGTGTGTGCCTGGGACTATGGCCACAGGTATCTGTAGGACATTGTGAGTCTTTCTTGACTACACAGCATTGCGTACTGTGTGTGCTTCCTCTTATGTGATTGTGTGGCTCGCATGCAGCTGCCCCCACAAGCTGGCTTCCAGTGAGGCCCCTCCTGCCACTGAGTCAGTGGCAGGCAATCCTGGGTGAGGAGCCAGGATCCCAGGACCCAGGAGCTCAGGACTGAGCTCTTGTCCCTCCCTACCCTGAAGCCCCAGGCAGGCCTATCCCCAACCGGTTGGACCTAGAGAGGGATAAGACCGGGGGGTGTAGCCAGGGCCCCACCCTGGACACTCTGCCCTCCACCTCCCAGTCTCCAGCAACCCTGCCTCTGCAGGCCCCTCACCAGGCCTCACACACTCTCCGTCTGCGTTCTTTTTTGAGTCAACATGTCTTCTGGAGTCACAGCCCCAGGTCTCAGCAATCATTCTGTTCTATCATGTGGCTCAGGACCATGTTTACACATAGAGATCTCACACATGCACACACACAATTACACCATCACAGGCAAACAAATCGGCACGTGGCCCACTCTTACAAGGCTTCAAAATGCAGATACATACCTATATGGCCCCACCTTCCTACAAACACAGACACTATATAGATTCATTCAGACACAGACACAATCTGCACACAAACACAGAACATATTAATTCAAAAGACACACCCACCGTGTGTTCATATAGTCCCTGTATGTGTTCATTCAAGACCAGACATATCTATGGAAGCCCTGCCAGGAAGGCTTAGCCTGGCTCCAGAGAGGCCAGCAAGGGCCCTTTCAACACCCTCAACAGCTCAGGGATCCCTGAACATCCCCCCTAGGAACACTGGCTGGGCCATCAGCTCTGTCATAACCCAGCTAGACTCCAAGGTGACCCAGAGCAGGCAGGCTGACTGCTGGGGCTCTAACGGGACCTAGTGATGCCTCTTCCAGCTCCAGGCCAAGAGAACAACAGCTCATTCCTGAGATAAGGATCCTGCTGCCATCTGCCAGATCCTGAGGCTGCTCAAGGCAAGCCAGGGATGAGCCAGAACTCGGCTGAGAGCAGAGGCTCCACCCTGGAGAAGCACCGCTGGAAGCACCCACACAGGAAGGACTCTCTCCATGCCATAGGAGCCTGCCAGGCAGGATGGTAAGCATTCAGGGAGAGGGGCTTGGGAAGGAGCGACAGGCTGCAAGAAAAGCACCTCCACCCTGCACCAGGCTGAGAGATTCTTCAATTGTCCCAGACCAGGGAGCCTCACCCAGCTTTTCTATCTCCTTAGAAGTCTTCTCAACCTCCTCCCAAGGGTTCCAGCCTTTCCGCACCCCTCCCTCTCCTTGGGAAGTTGCTCCTAATGTCTCACCTTGATTCCTCTTGCTGTAGCACTAAGGAAGTACTACAGGGAATGTGAGAGGAGAGGCTGGAGAGAGGGAAGAAAGGCAAAGTGGAAGAGAGAGCTGGATGGGAGACTTGAGGAGAGACAGGAATGGAGGAATCACATGGGCTCTCCAAGGAAGAGGACAGTGGTGATTCTTTGCCCCCCAAAAGCACCAGAAACTGGCCATGCTTTACGGGGTGTCATCTCAATAGTGGTGCCTACTCTCTGCTTGCAAATTCTTTCTGAATCTTCAAGGTGCTTCCAGAACTCCTGATCTTCCCTCTGGAGGTAAGGGAGGGGAGAAAAGGCGGCTCCAGCTGAGGGTATTGATGCGTTAATGCAGCCAGTGCTGAGTTGTCCTCACACACCCATTGACACACCACACAGGGGGAAGTCCGGGTCCCCACAGCACAGCTGGAGCCTCCCGAGTGGACTCTGCCAGCCCTGCTCTCATCAGACAGAGAAGGGCTGCAGCTATCCTGCCGGAAATGTCATCATTCCCATGCAGGTGCACGCACCCACACACTCACATACACATTCACGCTCACACAAAGGCTGAAAATGTCACCCCGCCTTCCCAAATTCCTCCTTCATGCCCCTTCATCCCAAATCCAGACTGCAAGAGGGACTCGGAGCCCTTTCCAGTGATGTTGGCATAGAATGCCCCTTGGTGGAACTTGCCCCAACCTGGGCAGGAAGCCACAATGTCCAAACTTGAGCCCTGCCCTGTGGACCTGTCCTGGTGGGGTGAGAAGTCTCTGGAGTTGCCATCCCCACCACCCTCAGGCCTCATCCTAGAGTGGGGCACTGCCCTGTCATAGCACAGGGGGCCCAAGGCTGAGGTCTCAGGCCTGAGCTGTCACTGGCCATGATGGAAGAAACCACTCAGACTTACACCAGACTTAGTCTCTTGCCCTTTCAAGGCAAGTGACTTCCCTGCCCCTTGGCCCTGGCCTTGGGAGAGAAGGAGTAGCGTTGGGAATAGCACACAGTCTGATGAAAATTGATCCTTCCCAAGCTCCTCCTGAGCCCTCACCCAATGCCCGTGCTTACCCCTCTCCTACCCCACCTCCAGCTCCTGCAGAGCAATCAATCCCTCTCCTCCTAGTCACGGCATGAGCTTGCAGGGCACCTGCACACATGTGTGAGCCCGACAGGGGACATATAAAGATCCACTCAAAGACCTCTGCACTACAGACACACACCCTGAACATCAGGCACAGGGTCTCCTGGGGAAAGGTCCCCTGGTAATACCCACACCCGGCTGCAGCAGGGCAAGGGTGGGCAGCACCCTGCCAGGCAACTCAGGCAGCCCCAGGCTCCACTGTGAGCCCTTGCTGCCCCTTTCCTTCCCACCTAGCCTCATGCTGGCTACCCTGCCCCCTGCCCAGCCCCGTACCTGGGCTCAGGCACACGAGTAGAAGGTGGAATGCTCCTCCAACTCTCATGTCTCTAGGCTCGGTGTTTCCTCCGTCTGGGCTGGGTATCCCGTGGGGTCGTAGTGGTGGGTGTGAGGGGGTAGGTGGAGGGAGGGGGAGCTGAGGGCCCAGACACTGCCTGGGGTGGCAGGAAGGTGCAATGAGTGCCCAGCTGGGGAGCAGCTGGAGTTATTTCTATGGGAGGGAGGGGGCCTGGTCCCCGCCTTGGGGAGGAGTCCCAGGAACCCTAATTAGCAGGGTGACAGGGTGGCCTACCTGGGCATTACCCAGCCCTCACCCAAGCTCTTCCCTGTCCTAAGAGTGGCACAGGACAGCCAGCGGGACTTGTAATTAGGCACCTGTTAAACTTCACTTCCTCCTGGCCACATCCTCAGGGTGACAACAGTCACCTCATTTACAGCTTCCAAGGGCTCCCCTCACCACTCATTTGCTGCCTCCTTCCCTGGGGGAAGTGGGGAAGAGGAAGGAGAAGCCAGGCTTGGGAGAAAGAGTGGCCAGGACCTGAAGAGTTAATCCTGATCCCAGGGCATAGGGTTCCCCAGGAGTGTCCAGCCCACCTTCCCCCAGGCTTCAGGCCTTTCAAAGGGACTCAGGCCTCCTGAGCTGAAAGAGGAGAGAAGGGGTGTGTGCAGGAACAGAGTCTCCTCCTGGCTGTCCCCTCTGGAACTGTCCTCCACACCCATACTCGACTCAAGGCCATCCCCAAGTGTAGGGGACCCCTGGGAGCAGGGGTGCTATGGGGGGTCCAGGGTGTGTGCTAGGAGTAAGGTGACTGATGGGCTAGTGAGGGAGTGTTGGAGAGAACAGCGCCAAGAGGACCAGGGAAGGGGGTGCCTGTGTAAGCGTGTGCACCCCTCAGCAATGTCTGTGGGAGGGAGGCAGGATGTCTGTGTCAGGGTGTCTCTGTGAGGATGGCTAAGCCCCTCTGAGTGAACTTCTTGAGGGATCGCTTGGTGTCCTGGCTTCTCTGCCCAGAAAGAGTAGCCAGGTCTTGAGGGTTAATGCAGTCCCAGTATTAACTGGGTCCTTGAGACCAAGGACCCTCATAACCTGGACTGGTCATCGGGCTGACTAAACCAGCACAGTTCTGGGTAAGTTCGTGCTGGGGTGGGGAGGGTCCTGGTAGGCATGGGGAGCAAGTGAAGGGCCACCCCTTGTTGGCTTGTCTAAGGGGGACAGAATGGGCATGTGCCTTGTTGGACTCCATGGTGGGAGTCAGGACATGAGTGACCCCATTCAATAGCTCAACTCCCTCAAAGGAGTCAGGGACTGCCCCCATCCCTACCATGGGGCACAGAAAGGGCAGAGGAGGAAGAGTGTTAGGGAGAGTTATGGGGCTCAGGGATGCTGCCAGGGCCCACCCCTCTGGGGAAAAATAAGTCAGAACATTAAGGAAACACAAGGAGTCCACGCGTCTCTGCATTCCAAGCCGTTGCACCTGAACTCCCAACAATAACAGGGCGCTCTGAGACCTACCAGATGTACACAATGAATATCTTTATTTCCTTATTTATTTTTAGGTTTATGGGATTGTCCTGCTCCCTTTGAAGAGCAGGGATCATTATCCCCATTTTACAGATGGGGAAACAGAGACCTGGAGAAACATGGGGATTCAGCCAATGCGGCTGGTGCCTAAGCTGGGATACCCAGGTACCCAGGGTGTCAGTCCAGAGAGGTCCAAAAAATGGTCTTGGTGATCCTGTGGATTACTAGACCCACTCACGAACAAGAACCATGGAAGGTCAGGGTGAGTGGGAGGGAAAACAGGTCAGACCACGAACAGAGAGATTGAGGAGAAAGCAGTAACATTGTGGTTCCACTAAACTACAGTGCAGGCTTCAGATTTAATTGGGTTCTGGATGTGGGCTAATGTTAGAGCTGGGGTTAAGTTTGGGGTTAGTTGAATTATGAATGAGGTTGAGGTCAGATTTGAGGTTGGGATTAGAGTTAAGGTTGGGATTAGGGTTAGAAATACAGCTAGAATTGAGGCTCAGGTTTATGGCTGGGATTTGTGTTACGATAAGGAATAGAGTTTTAGTTTCATTTACAGCTCTGCCTGGGAATACAGTTAGGGCTAAATCAAAGGCTGGGTTTAGATTGATTTAGCATTGGGTTAGAACTAAGTTTGAGATTCACATTGAAATAGGCTGTGGTTAGGGTTGGAACATGGTTTAAAGACACGTAAGCAGCGGGAGTTGATGGGGATCAAAGATGAGGTTTTATTTCTAATATAGAAAGACTTCAGCCTCCATCTGCTAAATCCAGGTTTGGCTAGAATTTTCAATCCTTAGTGCGGGGAGACTACTAATGGCACATGTTGATTGGGGTCCCAAGACTTGGAGGAGGAAGCCAAATGTACACGAGCCCATCTAAGGGGTATGAGGCAACTAAATCCCATAGAGAATGGACCCTCTGAAGTCCTGCTCCACTACTAAAGCTCACCACCTGGCCAAGCTCCAGAAAAACATCTGGGGAGGAGACGCAGGAAGCTACTGACAATGAGTTGGGCTCTGACACCAAACCGAACTAGAAGATGGGGTCCATCAGAGGGAGTCTTACTGAGTGGGGAGGAGGGGTGGTCTGGATTTGGAGTCCTTAGGAGATGGGAGTTGGGAGAAACTGAGGGCCTACATGCTCCTAGAACAGCCACTTTATGGGGCACCACATGGGGGTCTTTCAAAGCCTGAAAGGGCAGAGTGCCATTGTTGTTTCCCCTTGACCCTCTGAGGCTTAATTGCTACCTTCTTGCAATTTGAGTCCTATAAAAGAAGCTGTCAGCCTTCCAGCCCTAAACCCTGAGCCCTGCAGGGTTTTCAGGGAGGGCAGCAGTGGGGAGGCTGTGGATGGGGTGAAGGCACTGGGGTGTCAGCATAGTTTCCAAAGCATATGTCACAGTCCTACAGTCCCCTCCCTCTGGGCCCAGCTCACAGTCCGTGTAAGTCTCTGGGCCTTATCCTCAGCAGTGGAAGAGGGCCCCACTCCTAGGAAGACCCCGTCCCAATTCCTCCCTCTCATTTTTCCCCAACCAGTCTCCAGCCCAAACATCTCATTTCCCCACCCACTTCCTTTTCAGGTTTTATAAAGGTCTGGTCCAGGAGACTACTGGGGTTCCCCCTGTGACCCCAGAGAGAGAGAAGAAAGAGATTGGGAGAGATAGTGATGAGTTAAGGGGCAAAGACAGAGACAGGGACAGAGGCAGACAGAAAGACACATGGTCTAAATGGCCCCTCCAGAGACTCAGAGGGATACAGAGGAGGCAGAGGGCCCAGGCCACGAGCTGGGAACCAATACAAATTTCCAAAAGGGCCCCTTGCTTTTTCCTAAGAAATCCATGACTCTCCAGGGAAGAATGGCCCTGCTTTGACTGGTATTTGCTTCTATTCTAAGACAGTAACAGAAAATCAAAGACTGGCTTAGAAAGGAGTAAACAGGGAGATACAGGAGGTAGGAAGAGGCTGGACAAAAACTCAGAGAAGGCCACAGATTGCTTACCAGATGAAGTGCAGCCCAGCCCCAGAACCTTTCTGGGAAGGACGGACAGAGGGCTTGGGCTGCCTACTCTTCCTCCAAAGCCTATTCTTCCTCCAAAGTCCCTTTCATGGCAACTCCACCCCACTCCTCTAAGCCCTGCCCTCCCCTGCCTGTACTTGCCCACCCCAACCCCTCTCAGTGGCCGCCAGACTCCCTGGGCTCAGGCTCAATCAAGCTCCCCACAACCCCTGCCTTGGCTGGCACTGCAATTTGACTCATTCTAAACTCCTCCCCACACAGTCAGCAAGCTCCTCAGCCCCCTCTCCCAAGTCCCCATGTAGCCCAGGGCTCACCCTGCAGCACCCAGGGAGGAGCTGTCCTGCAGAGGAAACCTCTGAGGTAAGACTCTGGGAGCAGAAGCTGTGAGTGACAATGGATAGGCAAAGAGTCACAGAGAAGCCAAGGAGCCTTGCAGCTGCTGTCTGTCCACCCAGCTTTCAGTGATGATTTGGAGGTGGAGGTCTGCCAGGTGAGGCCATGGTTGCATGAGAAGGGCAGGGGGCTCAGAGGTTGCATGGGTGGTGATGGGACAACGTCGGATTCTGGTTACAGAGAGGGATGAGATCGACATGTGGGGCTAAGTTTGAGGGTGTGGGTTGGGTTCGAAACTAAGGCTCAAATCAAAGCTGGCAGGGAAGAGCCGTGAACACAGGTGACACAGGGACTCCCCAAGCTCCTGCTTAGGTTTCCCAAACCTCAGTGGTTCTGACTGGTACACTTCAGAAGAAGTGGGATTCTAGGAGGAGCCTGGATATGCCCACATCTCTCCCATCAAGCAATGTCCTGAAGCTGACAGACTCAGAAGAGCAAGCAGCACACACATAGTCCCCATCAATTAAAGGAGTGGCTGGAGTTGTCACTACATCAACAAAGCACAAGAGCAAAGGGAGGCGATTGAATGCCACCAACTGAATTGTTAGCAAGAGAATGAGTGGAGGCGAGAAGAAATCGCTTGTAAAGGCTATGTGATTCCCTGATGACAGATCTGAGGAAGAATGAAGAGGCTTTGAAGATAAAGGTATCTTCACCTCGCCAAGATCAACCACATCCTGCAGAACCTTCATTCATTCAGCAAACAGCCAGGCTTTGTGCTAGGCCCTGGGGAAATGGCAATTAAGGAGACTCAGTCCCTATCCTCACAGAACACCCCATCTGACACGGAAATAGCTCCTGGCCCGCAATGTGGTAAGATGCAGTAATACGTGCAAGGCCCCTGACTTAGTGGCAATGATGTTTAAGCCGAGATCTGAAGGATAACTAACAACGGCGTGCCAGAGAAAAGAGTAGCGGGTGGAGAGAGGAGGCCAGGGGAATATTTCTGGGCTTGGTAAGTAAGCCAGGTCCCTGCCAGACATGGACTGAGAAGAGCAAAGCCAGGAGTGACAGCTGACGATTATTTTTTAACTGAGGAAGGAAGATCCTTGAGAACGGAACCTCTTGGGACCTTCTACCCAGAACACCAGAGCACCTCACTGGGATCAGAGCCAGGCCATCGGGTGGATTAAGCAACTAAAATTGATTGTCCTGAACCATGAGTCTGTCTGTTTATGGGGAGAGAAACTTTGAGATGAATTAATCCACAGGTCCAATGGGACTTTGACATTTTAATTTGTAGAAATAAAACTTGCCTTTGATTTTGCCATCTGGATTCCCCAAACACGTATCTACAGAGTGGAACTGTGGTGCCCCTTGACCTGCAGGGTGGCCCCAGGCCTGCCTTGCCCCGCTGGCAGTTGCCCAGGAAGGTGTGTAGGAGCTGGCAGGCGTCAGTACGAAGCTGCAGCTGGTGTGTGTCTCGTTCAGAGCCTTTCTCACTAAGCCCGTCCTGACCAATCCTTGCTCTGCCCTCTGTATTTGTTTCCTGTTGCCTGCACACTGGGATAGAAGGAGTCAAGGGGAAGGTGGTGCCACAGGGGCGGGGCTCAGAGGCAACAGAGCGCTGCTAGGGCTGCAGCGACAGCAGAAGTATTACCTGGCAGGAGAACAGCAGGCCCAGCCCAAGGGATAAAGTTGAAGATTCCCCACTTCTCCCAGTTTCCTCCCCTCCCTGAAATGCTCAGGAGAGCCCTGTGTTTCTATAATGACAGGCACTTCCCCTCAGAGTCAGGCTGCACAGCAGCCAGGGTAGGAGATATCTGAAGAAATATCATGTAAAAGGAGCCTGGCCCTGCCTTGTGTGGTCACAAAGAGCAGAACTCGGTCCACACATTGGATACACAGGAAGACATATTGACTCAATATTAAGAAACTTCTGGGCATCAGGGCGAATCTGAGATGGTTTGGGTTGCCTTTTGAGGTAGTGAGCGCCCTGTCTCTCAGGATGTACAAGCTCAGATTGTCCAACCATTTGACTAGAGTTTACAAAGGATATTCAAGCATCAGAGGGTCTTTGGGGTCCCTTTCTGCTTTGAGATTCTAAGATTTGGTGTCCATCCCCACTACCCAGGGAAGTCTTTCCCAGGGACCATGCAGAAAATTCATTGGCTCTGGACAGGTTCTTCCAGGCCCAGCCCTTCTGCTCCTCACTTCCATTCACCCACTTCTGACTCTTCTTTCTGGGAGTCTTCTGAGAAAGCCCTCTAAAATCTCAACCCTACTCCTGTCCAGCCTCAAAGTTGTCAAAAGGTATTGAGATGATGACTAGCCCTTTCTTAAGAGGACATGGGTGAGAATGCAAAAAGAAACACAGAGCTTGCGCCTCAAGGAGAATGTCCCAACTGGGAGGGATGTGAGGTTTGGGGCCAGGACAGAGGGAAGGTCTGAGCTATTTAAAGCCAGACAAATCAAGAATAACTCAGGAATAACTCAGCAGTGTCAGAAATGAGGACCTTCCAGGTAACCTGGGCATGATTTCCCCTGACATATCTCAGAGTCTGGTAGGGGAGGCAGGTTGCCATAGGCAGCAGCCCAGGAGGGGAAGAGACCTATGGTCTGCAGTGAGCCATCTGCTTCTTTCACAGTTCTCTGCCAGGCTACCACTCTTTGCAGAAGCAGCAGTTAGGAGGAGAGAGAGTGAGAGATAGAGTGAGGAGCTCACTGTCCCTGAGTCTCCACAGCCCACAAATCCAGACTTCTTGTCTGAGGTTCCAGCGTCTCCTTCCACCATCACCGAAACCACGGCCACTTGTCCTCACCCTGAAAGCCCTGTCTGTCTTTGAACTCTCTCAGCCCCTTTCATCTGAGCCTAATCCAAATGCTTTTACTGAGACCAAGTAATGTCCAGCTGTGACTCGAGTCACAGGTGGGGGTGCTGAGGCTTTCAGGGGTAGTAAAGGACATCCCAGCACCCCACTGAGTCAGGGACAGCATGGCTTAGCTACCAGGGCAGCTGCTGAGTCACATCCAGCTGGAGCTGCTTCTGCCGCAGATGCAAAAGTACTGAGACCGCCTCCAACCCACAACAGGCACATGTGGGCAGGTAGGACATAGGGCCCAGCCAGGAGCCAGGAGGCACATGCCTGGGAGGCAACTGCCTGCTGATCTGACTCAGTGCCCCGGCAGGGAGCCCAACCCCTGGATTCCCTAGAGTGGACTAGTTCAGTCTGACATTATAAGGGCTGGAAGACCCCCAAGGCAGAAGACAGGGGGCTGGGAAGTCCACGGGAAGCTAATATGTACCTTTATACATAAAATAATGTAAAAAGTAGATATGAAAAGATCAGATACCCATATAACAATGTCAATAATAGTGTTGGCAATTAAGAAAAAAGGCTTTATATTAACAAAGATGATGCAGCAAACTGCACTTCCTACTTATCTCTTACAGCCTCTCACACAGCCCTGTGTTGATTCAGTGGCTTAGAGGAGTACACAGAGCTCACCATCTCCACCTTTGAGCATGAGAAGGGGAAAGCTTAAACCTCCTCAGCAGAAAGCACCTCCACTAAAGGTCCAACCTCTAGCAGCAAGACTGAGCCTAGGAACCCACTGGAGTCCTCAGAAGAATGCCCATTTTCTCTTTGTCTCCAGGCCCTAGCCTTACTCTGCAGGCTCAGCTCACACAGTGTCCTGCTGAGTCTGCCACTACTATCATGCAGCCTAACCCCACCAGTCCCCACTTAACACTGGGAGATTTCTCTGTAATTATCCCCACTGCCATTTCTGAGTGAGATTGGTAGAGGGTTTATAAAAGATTGCTGAGATGTAGTTGACTGGCCTCAGATCCCAACTACCTGCCTGGCTCTCAAGAGTGTCAGGCATCTTAGAACTAGATTCTTACTGGTTCAGACTAGTTCTGGAGCCCATGAAAGCCTGGGTGTGACTTCTTAGGAATCCCAAGAGAAGAAATTGAAACTCTGTTCTACTTCATGGGCCAATTCCAAGATGGAGAACTCCTGATGAGAGTAAAAGGGTCAACCCTGAGGCAGAGCCCTGAGATTCTCTCCCAAACCATCTTCACTTGCTCAGAAGTGGCTATATTCTCTCTTCTCCAAAGCCAGACCTTTATTCACGTAACCTATAACTGCCCCTGTGTCCAGGCCCAGTCGACAGTCTCACTCACTTTTAGTAAGGCTTTGGGATCTTCCCGGACCCAAAGACCTACATTTTCACCAGCAGCAGCTCTGGTCAAATGCTGGCCTTACTGTCAACCTGTGATGTTGGCCCATTTTTGTCTAAGTGGGCTCAGAAGTTAGCAGTGGGTGTGGAACCCCCTTTCTCCTCAATCCTTTCTCCATAGTGGCCCATTTTTTCCAGCCCTGAGATGGAAGACTTAGGTGTGAGCCTAGGCAAACTCTTAAGCACCCAGGCTCTTTCTAGCTTTCCTGGGAAAGAGTGTCTCCTGAACTAGGCAAAGCCTTGTTCCCTGGTCCCTGCAGGCATCAGCTAAGCAACAGGTGATGCTCAGAGAGAACCTTTGCCAGTGCCCCAACTGCAGATGAGTCCCAGAATCCTCAGCGGCATTGCCATGTCTTCTCTCCCATCCGAGGCTGGGTACCACATCTTCCCAAGACCCCTAGGGAGGAAGGCATCAGCTTCCCTAGGAAGGAGGGTTGCAGTTAAAGGTGCTGAGCAGGGACGGTGAGAAAGCCTCTTTCCCAAACAGTTGGTCGGGCGGGGCAACAATCTTTCCTGGTGGAAAAGGTGGAGAAGGCACCTGGGGAAGCTGTGGCTGTCCTGAGGAAAAGGAAGCACAGGAAACAGCTTACTGACTCTCCCTGGGCCCTATGAAAAGAGGACTCTTGCCTGAGGCCCTTGTAACCTGGAGTTGTAAACATCCAGGATGCACCCAACAGATTCCTCACCTCCTCTAGTGCAGGGCCCATCAGGGAAGGCAAGACTGGGCTCTGGATTTGAGAGATGAATCCATCCCCAGGGGTAGAGAGGGACCTCAATGTCACAGCAGCTGGAGGAAAGCCCTTTCCCCTAGGCATACAAAAACAGGGTACATGGCTCCATCCCTAGAAGCTAGCAGTCCAGCCCCAAAGGGGCACCTGACAACCAGGTGAGAGGCCAAAAAGGCAGAGATGATTCCAAAGGTACAAGAAATTTGGTGGGAGCAGCTCAGGGGAGAAAACAGGAGCAGACCGGCATAAATGAGCAGCTTCTGAGTGGGCAGCAAGGTCTGTTGTGCTCAGTGAGTGCCTGAAATGTACCTGGCATGTGGTAGGCACTCAGTCAGTATCTGAATAAGTGAATGAATGATTAAAGTATAGTTTGGGGCAAAGTGAGACAAGTTAAAAACAGACGAAAATGGTTTGGGAGCCCCACCTATGGGAGTGAGGTGGACTGAGGAGAGCCCAGCCACAGGAGGGGCTGAGTTCGGGTGAGGGGACTGGACTGGCAGGGTGGGGAGTGCAGGGCTCTTGGTGTGCCCTAGTGGGGCATGGGCCTGTGTCTGTGTTGCAGCATTGCCTGGAATTGAAAGGGTTCTGGTGGGAGAGAGCTGAGACAGGCAGAGTGAGCCCCAGGTTCAAACTTCACTCCCTCCACAGATGTGATCTGAGTCATGGGTGTGATCCCAGTAAGAGCCTTGCCTCACCTGGCCCTGGTGCCTCCTTCACCAGCTCCGCCTGGCCAAGCCTTGCCCCAGCCCCCACTGAGAGGCAACTGTAGCTCTGCCTCAATGCCCTGAAATGCTTCTGAACTGGGCGTCAGGGTGGAGCTGAGACAAGATTGTGATCCCAGGGAATCACAAAAAGGCCAGGAGACACCAGGACAAAGGGACCTCCTGGCTTAGGAGAAACCATCATAAAAGAGCATCTTCCCATTCCCTTACCCTCAGCCCCACACCACCCACACTCGGGTTCCCCCCATCCTATTTTACTCCACCTTCAGTACCCTGTAGCAGCCACATTCCCACAAGAAAGCCAAGCTGTTCCTTAAAGTCAAGTAGATTTAATCTGTAACTATGAAATGTCTAGGTTAGCAGCAATTATGGATGCCCAGAGACTGGGCAGAATCTGTCCCCCGAAGGCATCCTGAGGGCCACGAAGGCTCCCCTCAGTTCACAGAGGTAGCTGGCAGGATGTTAGCTTTGCGCTCAGCTTCAATGCAGTACTTCTCGGGAAGGCCAGTGGCTCTGCCGGGGAAACGCAGGCAGGTATAAGGAAAGGTATTGGACCAGACAGGAGGTGGGAGGAAGCAGGCTCTGGGTGGGGTTTACAGAACCTGGGGGCCTGCACCCCCCAACCCTGCTCTCACAATCCACCCCCGAAACACACATTCATGCCAAGGCTCCAGCATCCTGCCAAGGAGCTCCCAGAGAGCCAGCAAGACCCCATCCCAGGACTTTCTGCTGGAGCCCCCTTCAGAGGGATGAGCCCTGGGTGGGGAGAAGAGCCTCTCCCTGAGCATCTCTGCCATGGCCCTTCACCCCCAAATCCCCATGCTTTCCAGCCTGTGGTGCCATCTCTTTGCGGGAGGGAAGAGGATTTGGGAAAGGAGGAGATTCCAGCGCACCTCAGCTCTTCAAGCTTTTTCCTCTTGATCTCATCGATGCGCTCACGGCGTTTCTGGGCCTCCTCTTTGAGGCGCCGGCCCTCCTCAAAGGTGGCAATCCGGTTCTGCACTTCCTTCTGCTGGTTCTCGCGCACCTGGCGCCGGAGCTCATTGGCATGCTGTAAGCGCCCTGTGGCCTTTTTCTCCTCCTCCAGCCGCTCCTTCTCAATCTGTTCTCTCTGAGCCCTGGGGGAGGGAAACAGGAATGGAATGAACTCAGCTGAGCTGGCCCAGGCCAGGAAAGGTGGTGGGGGAGCCTCCTGGGTGGGCTCCTTCAGTAGACATGCCTCAGAGACCACAGCCCTCTGGGCTCCAGCCCCATTTTGTAACTCAAGGATCAGCCCCCAAAAGCTGCTGCACATGCATGCCCCCTTCTCCTACCCAGCCAGGACTAGCTCCAGGGTCGCATGACTGTATGTCATGGGCATGCTTAGAAGGGCCCCCAGCTTGGTTTGATGCTCTGCTTTCACTGTTTTGAAATTCTTAATAATTTTTGAACAAGGGAGTCCACACTCTCTTGCTCTGTCACCCAGGCTGGAATGCAGTGGTGCTATCATAGCTCACCGCAGCCTCAACCACCTGGGCTCAAGTGATTCTCCCACCTCAGCCTCCCGAGTAGCTGGGACCACAAGAGAGTGCCACCACACCCAGCTAATTTTTTGTTTATTATTTGTAGAGATGAAGTCTCATTACATTGCCCAAGCTACACATTCTCAATATTCACTGGGCCCTGAAAATTATGCAACCAGTCTTACACCCAGGGTTTCACCCACTGGGAACTATTGTTCCTACTTCTCCCTGATAACAATGTATAACTCCTCTCCAGCTTATCCTGAGATTTCTTCTCCTTCCTTCCTTCCTTCCTTCCTTCCTTCCTTCTTCCTTGCTTCCTTCCTTCCTTTCCTGCCTCCCTCCCTCCCTCCCTCTATGCTTGGAAATGTAAAAGATGCATAAAGTGTCATGCTAGCTCCACCCTGGTTACTGGAAGGAAGGAGCTCAGCCTGATATCGCTCAGTTCTCTTCCTGATCCACCTCTCCAAATTTCCCTTAGAAACCTCTTCCACAAAAATACCTGATGGACCCTGACATCAGGGAGAAAATCACTAATGGCAACAGGAAAGGCTCAGAAAACACTCAAATGAAATGCATTCGCATCTCAGAAAAAAATGCATTTATAGGCCTTCTTAAGCTAACATCTAATTTTGTTCTCAACATAATTTAAAAAATGAAATGTAAAATCATCTTAGGCAGGAATTTCTCACCTGCTCTCCTCCCCTAGAGTCACCGATACCCCAACAAAAGGTACCTACAACACTGCTTCATTTCCTCATTTCCCTCTAGCTTTCTTCCAAGATCCACCATACATGCGGCATCCTCCCCACTCCCAGAAACTCTTTCCATCATGCAAACATCTCCTAAAATTCTGTGCCTTCTACAGAGACTTCCCAGTTTACCCGAAGAATACTGTTGGCTTCCTCAGCCCTCTGTATTTAGACACCAAATCCTGACTTCCCAGACACATCTCTGATAGCAGGGGGACTCTCCTCTTTGCCTTGCCATTGTTTTCCTATATTTAGAACAGTTTTCTATTGTTTCACCCTCTTCTGAGTGAAGGGGTAAGTGTGGAAAAGGGGGACTTGTATGTGTCACTAGAGAGCCCCGGTGGTGCCAGGCAGTTGAAAATCCAAATGAGGATGAACCTGGTCGTTCCATCGGGTTAGGGCAGTGATCACAGAGCCTAGCTACATTTTAGAATCACCTGGGAGCTTTTGAAACAGACTCATGCATGGGCCTAATCCCAGACCATTTAAATCACAATCTAGGAAGTGAAGCCTGGTCATCGTATTTTTCAAAAGCTCCAAGACATTTCTAAAAACCACTTGGTAGAGGAAGACAGCTATCTCTGCTTAGTCAACAGGCTGAGAAGTATGGACATCCCTCTGTCCAGAAACAAAAGTCCACATATAGGCCATAGAGGAGGCTGTGCTTTTGAGGCAGAGAAAGTTGGATTTGGGCTGTGGCAGAGATGCTTCTGAGTAAAGACACCAAACATGGTGGTCACATGGCCCTGGAGACACTAGGCCTAGATACTAACCTACAACAATAGGTGAAGTTGAACTTCTCCAAAAAGGCTGGTCTAGCTTTAATAACTGGCTAGTGCATATGCTTCAGGCAAATGATGCAAAGGAAAGATAAATGGGTCGGCAGCAAAAGTAGGACTTAAATTTCATTTCATTAATATTTATTAGTGCCTGTTAACAGCAACACAGATGTCCAAGGGCATAGAGGCCAGGGAGGAGAGAGGAGACATCTGGAAGGCAGTCTGTAGCCCAAGGGCAGAATCTTGGGGGGCATTTAGGAAGCTACTTTCTTCACTAGGTGTCCAGTGACCATGGCACAACCCTGGGGGCAGAGAAAATTACAGAGCCAAAGGGTATCATGGCAGGGGGGACATGCTGGGGCCTGCAGTCCAATAAAAGGCCAAAAATCTGGCTCTCGTAAGGATAGAGGCTCCCGAAGACCTGCTCTGCCTCTAACTAGGGGTCTGGGTAGCCTGGTCTGGCATGCCACTAACTACCCATTGCCAAGAGGAAGGACTTAGAGCATATGAACCAAGAAAGTGATGCTATACTGTTTAATCTCTACTTATCTGAGCATAATGTCTATAATTTTGTATCCCTTCAATTCGAATTTTGCTTGGCTTGTTTCCTTTTGAAAAATTCTAATGTTGTAGAGTCTGAACCAGAGCAAAAAGAGAGTCATTCCCAGTTAGACCAGGAGAACAGCCCCAGGGACCAGGTCTGACTGGTGGAAAACAGAGCAGAGAGGGAAACCAATGGGAGCTGTGACTGTTGACTGCTTTTGGGGAGGGAGCAGAACAGTGAGAGATGTGAACATTTAGCTTCCACTTATGTGTTGAAATTATCATTGAGCCAAAAGGGAAAACAAAAGTAAAAGGATAAATAGCTACCAAGGAAGAAAGATGGATTGATGTAGGTGCAGTCCATCCAAACACAAATCTCTAATACCTTTCCTGTGGAATGGGCAAGAGCAGTGTTTTGTTAATTGCTAATGTCCTCCATGGCATCCAGCACAGAGCCCTGCATTTCTGTGCTTAATATATATTTGTCAAATGAACGGCAAACAGCTCCCTTAAAGTCCTGCTCCAGTGACTCACAACCCTTAGTGTCTGAAGTTCTTTTCTCTATCTTTCCTAAACCACTCCTCTTGCAGTTTCATCCCCAATTTGCAGGGGCACATGGGTCAGAGGGCAGCAGAATGGACCAGAATTTTACCTTTATTTATACTTTTACTGTTCCAGGGTAAATAATCCCAGTCATCACCAATTCCTTAAGCAATTCCAGGTGCTATCTCCCAATTCTCTAATCACATAATTCTTGGCTCAAGTGATTTTTAAAAGTTTCAATCATCCATCTAGTTATAATGATCCCACCAACCCAGACAAGATCGACGAGCATCTGTTAACATGCCAGAAAGCTTCTCTCTATCCAATATGGACCATCCCTGCTACAGTACAAGGAAAGGAATCCAAGGTTCCCAGGCCCCTCCTACCGAAGAATCCTCTCGAACTCATCCCGGTCCCGTTGCACCTGAACAGCCAGAGCGTGCTCCTTGAAAGCCACCTGTTCGAGCCGACTTTTTCGCAGCTCAGCCTCTGTTTCCATCTTCTTCCGCGCATTTTCCTTTTCCTTTCTGCGCCACTCTCTGTCTGCAACCTCCTGGTTGCGCTTGGCCCGCAAGGCATCCTGGGAATGTTGGCAGGGGACCAGTGAGGGCACAAAATAGCTGGAAGTACAGACCAAGTGGCTTTAAGAAGATACCTACTTACAGACTCTGACAGTCTGCTTTGAAAAGCATCATGAATTTCTCTGGCAGCTAGTTATTCTAGGAAAAGATAAATGGAATCCTGTCATCAAACCTTTGGGTTAGAAGATAACCTGAGGGGTCATCTTGTCCTTCCAACCCACTCATCCCAGTTCTTTCCCTGTACCTCAGACATCTCCAGGCAGTCTTGAAATTGCTTCTAATTTTAAAAACTGCTAATGATGGAGATACCACAGGTTCCCCTGGTGACACATTTCATTGGTTGGTTAAGGTTGAAAGTTCTTCTTTATGGAGCAGCGAAAAACTTTCTCTTGAACCTTAAGCACAGGCTGCACTGCCCAATCCCTGCTGACACAGGCCCTGGGAGCAGGCCACCCCTTCCTTCTCAGACTACTGAAGTCTAGGTAACTTGCATCCTTTCCTCCGCATCTCCACCCTCAAGGCCATTCTACAGGCTGTCAAAGGGATGGATAGGCAAGGGAGTGGGAAAAGTAGAGGGAAGTCGAGACTAAGCAGGTACCTGTTCTGCCTGGTAATCCTGGGCCTTCTCCTGCATGGCCCTCAAGCGTGCGATCTCCTTCTCTTTCTCCCTCCGGATTCTCTCCTGCTCAGCCTCAAACTCTGCTTCTCGAGCCTGCCGGAAGGAAAGGCCTTGTAGAATAGTTGCCATTGCCCCAGCCTTGCAGAGAGAAACAAAACCCCTACAACAGACTTTCCAATATCTCCCCTACCACTTCCTGACTCCTTTTAAAATAGGACAAAATAAGGCCAGGTGCCGTGGCTCATGCCTATAATCCTAGCACTTTGGGAGGTTGAGGCAGGAGGACCACTTGAGCCCAGGAGTTCATGACCAGCCTAGGCCACAGAGAAAGACTCTGTCTCTACTAGAAATCTAAAAATTAGCCAGGCATGGTGGCATGTGCCTATAGTCCCAGCTACTCGGGAAGCTGAGATAGGAGGACTGCTTGAACCTGGGAAGTCGAGGATGCAGTGAATCATGATTGCATTACTGCATTCCCCTGGGCAACAGAGTAAGACCTTGTCTCAAAATAAATAAATAAATAAATAAATAAATAAGGTAAAATGAATTTAGCAATGCATGAATATAAAACAATTAGCATTTATAAAATGCTTTATTGTTTACAAAACACTTTCCTATGTGTTATCCTGGAGAGCCCTCACAACATTTCCTGAGACAGATATTATAGATGAGGAAACGGATGGTCAGAAAGATCAAGGGTCTTGCCCAAGATTGCACAGGAAGTAAACTACCTAACAGGATTTGAACACAGGTACCCTGACCCTGGCTTTCACACTCCTTCCACTATGTCATAGACAATTTTCAAGTTGCAAGGCTACTGGGCCAAGAAACAACTGGTCCTGTGCCTGTCTTGTAAAGTACAGCAGGTGGAGGTTATCTCATTAGTCCCTGGGCAAAGAGCCAACCATGCTTTGGGCAGTCCCACAGTGGTTACCAGATACTTAAAGAATGAACCACCAAAATTAGCTCCCTTTCCACCTCTCTGAAAAAACAGGTATATCCTTAAAAGCTTCCCAAGCCCGCTTCCCAACGCCATTCTTGAGCAATCGTAAGATGAATGGTGCAGGTTGGAGGCAAATGTGACATTTATAAAGAATCTTCCCGGCCAGGCATGGTGGCTCATGCCTGTAATCCCAGCACTTTGGGAGGCTGAGGCAGGCAGATCATGACGTAAAGAGATCAAACCAATCCAGGCCAACATGGTGAAACAGTGTCTATACTAAAAATACAAAAATTAGCTGAGCATGGTGGCGCATGCCTGTAGTCCCAGCTACTCGGGAGGCTGAGGCAGGAGAATCTCTTGAACCCGGAAGGCAGAGGTTGCTGCAGTGAGCTGAGATCGCACCACTGCACTCCAGCCTAGTGACAGAGCAAGACTACATCTAAAAAAAAAAAAAAAAAAAAAAAAAAAAACCTTCCTTGCCCTCATTCTACCTGCCCAGACTTCTGTGAAGCCCAGTGAGTTGTCCCTGTAAGTTGTACGGGGCTGTTGTCAAGCTGCTTCCTTTGTCCACCCTGCCCTAGATAACAGGACAGGGAACTCTGGGTGTTTCTACAACCAATTTCTGCTTTTAGCTCTGCAGGGGCAGCCCTGGCTGCAAGAATAGATACCACCGTGAGGTCGGTAAGGGCTTGTGATATACGTAGATACTTACGGTGGACTGTGGACATGCCCAAGTGCCTGATTCCGTGGCCAGTCTCCAGCCTCTCCCAGCTACACCTTGACAATGTCCTTTCCATGATAAAGACAAGATATACTCCTCTCTTGCTTAGAAATTCATGGCGACTCCTTATCATTCCACTCTTCCAGCTCCACTCAATGTCCAAGACACCCCAACAACTGCTCTTAGCTCTCTGTCATCTCACCACCCTCATTTCTTATTATATCCACTACCAACCCTCTGCTGCAGCCAGAAAATATGTGCACTAACTCCTACACAGAATTAGCTCATCATCCCCACCTTCATTCACTTGGGAAAATAGTGGTTGAGTTCCAATGGTACAGCATTATCCTAGGTATTTTCAGCCTAGTCTGACTGGACACATATTGAAGCATCCAGTATATTTTGAATCATCAGTGACCATTTCACAGGATTATTGTAAAGATTAAAAGAGATAACACGTGTAAAACACTTAGCACGGAGCCTATGCACAGACTAGGTGCTCACTAAATGATAGTTATGTGATTGTTATTATGTAGGAATCATCTATGTCCCCAAACCTGCATTCTCACTCTATTGCTTGCATAGAGTGTCCCCAGCATCCAATAAGAATACTAAAGCCAATAAGTGAGCTTCGCTGAGCTTCATTTTCTGTGGTTTGTATTCAGAACATATAGGTGTACCAAATATGCCATTCAAATTATACTCACACCCTCCCCCTGGCCTTCTTTAAAAATCACTACTATAGAGGAGCATAGAGAAGTACAATGTGTTTCTGTCATCATGGAATTTCAAAACTAGCAGGGCAGACAAGATCAACACATGAAGAATTTAATAACTTTCCTGCCACCTTGAGTACTTCCTCCTCTTTTTACATAAATCCATGTTCACTTTATCTATACCACTCTTAAAAGCCTTCTTCTACTCTCCAATCCCCGTAGATCCCAATCATTTTATTACTCAATTTTGCCCCAGAATGAGCTGACACATTCATGAGCTACATCCATCTGCAACTGTCTGCAGGTATGGCTCTCTCCTCCACTGTGCATTTGCTCTGTCATATAGGTTCTTTGGTGGGAGATGGGGGAAGACTATTTTCTGAGTCTAGCACCCAATACAGGATGTCCAATATAGGCATTTGCACAAGAAATTTATGTAACCGCTGACTCATGATTACCGGGGGTATAATTACGCAAGTCATGACAAATCCACAAAAAAACTCACTTTCACCAATAGTTTCAGTTTTCTTTTCTGCCTGCATATGGCCCTCATCCCAACTTCTAATCAAAGGTGTTAATGAGGTTAAAGCTAATTTGGTTGTCCTTTCTAGGCTGTCTCTGTTAACGAACAAGTGGACTGGCTAAGATGAAGAGACAAAGAAGCCAGGCCCTTGAACTAAGGATGTGCATCTTAGAATGAAGGTGCGGCTGCCTTCCACTGGAGTTCCCTTAGTTCTCAGGCCCTCCTCTCCCTGTGACAGACATTCCATTCCTAACCAAAGGTCCCAGAAACCAAGTCCCTACCATCTTCTTCTTGGTAAACTCCATCACCATCTGGTCTGCCAGCTTCTCCTGAGCCAGCAGTTCTGCTTTCTGTTTCTGGTTTTCATCATTGATGCGCTTAATCTCAGCTTGCATCTTCAGTTTTTGTTGCTGCCTTCGTTCCATGTCCTGCCAGCAAAAGAAAGAGAGCCTCAGAGTACAAAGAGGTAAGACAAGAAGCCACTGGCATCCAGGGATAGAGAGATGCAGACAGAGGAGGGGGCAAATGCATTGCCTGCAGTCTAGTGTCCACAACTATCCTTTGTTAAAGCTGTTTTTTCAAGGGTCATAAATACCCTCTTCAACCAAATGGCCTATTTACAGTCTTCATCCAACTTGACTTTGTGGCAGCCCCTGATGCTATTGATCTCTATATTTTCAGGAAGCAGAAGCTCTTAAAGTTCCATACAATTGCCTCTCACATGTTTTGCTAAATCCTACCCCTGTGGCTTTGCTCATGGTGCTTCTCCTGCCTTCAATGTTCCTCTCCCATTTAAACCTAACTTTCACTCTCCAGTCAATAGTGACGACTGAAATAATACATATTGCCTTAATTGAGTGCTTTCTATTTCTTGAGCACTGTACACAGACTATCTCTAATACCTAAATATGTCCAAAAATCCTAAAAGGTAGGTAGGCCTTGTTATCTCTCTTGCTCCAATAAAGAAACTGAGGCCCAGCATTGAAGTGACTTCCCCACCGGCCACACAGCTTATAATCTCCAGAGCTAAAATTTTGAAACCTGTTCTGTCTAAATTAAAGTATCAACCTTCTCTGGAAATCTTGCTTGATTGCCTCAACTTTCAATTCTCTCTCCATTTCTAAATTCTCTCTGCACTTAAGGTGGCGACACACCTCTTGCAAGGTGATCATACACTGCCTTGCAGGTCCCCACTCATTTCATATGTGTTCGCTCTGCCCCAGTTACAGGACAAGGGACCTTGTGTCACACATCCTCTCTTCCCCAACAACATGTAGCCCAATGCAAGGAAAATAGCAAATATTCGATAAACCATTGATAAATGAGGCAGGAAAGGTAGGACCAAAGTGAGAGGCATGTGAGAAAGGAAAGAAAAAAAGTTCTTAGACACAGGGAAACATTTGACGGAGATCAGAGTACCAATGTGAACAAGGTCGTTTTTAAGGAAGGATCCCCCTGCCTTTCCCAGACCTGAGCCTTCAACAGCTCTCAATGATCAGACCACTTCTGAGCCAAGCACATTCTCAGGTGCAGAGGGGCATCGGAATTAGGGGAACAGCTGGCCCCCCAATCACCTCCAATCAATCTCAGACTCCTTAAGTTCTTCTATTGATTAACTCACCCCACCTCCCACACTGTTTCCAGCTCCCTCCATTTCTCCAAAGACTAAATCCCTCCCTGGCCTTCCAGGTCTTCCTCAGCCCAGCTGCTGCCCTGATTCATCTAACCAAGGTAACTCTCCCTGTGTGTCTTCCTGTAGTGCTGGCTCTCTGCCAGCTTGGCTCACTGCCCAGTTCAAGGCTTCTTCCTTCAGGAAGGCTTCTGAACCAGAGCGGTATGGCAACTCTCTGCCTCTGAGGTCCATGTGGTGCGTGAGTCACAGACATTCCCTCTCTCTCTCACCATACTCATTTCTTTGCTCACTCCACTTTTCCCTTTCTGCCCCTCCAACTCTCTCGCTCCTTTTCCCCCTTCTCCCTTTCTTCCTTTCCTTCCTAACTGCTTCTCACTGATTTTAGGCCTGCTATTTGTATCCCAGACATCATTTAATCTCACTGGCCCTCAAAGCTAAAGATGCTGTTGATTTCTGATGTATGACATACATACAATCATGTATTTATTTACTTCTTTCCCTATTTATTTACTTTTTGGATTGTTGTTTTTGTTGGCTCATTTCAATTCCAAGACACCAAAGGACTTTCCCTGTTTCTTTTGAAGCCCTTCCAAAGCAACCCCAGATAAATTCCCTTCACTCTTTCCCCCTTTGTTAGCAAGGTGGGAAACGCTGCCCTTCGTACCACCATGAGATGATACAGTAGGTCTAAAGCTGGGAAGGCACAGGTTTCCTTGCTAAAGTTGCCCAATAATACTTCCTGGAGACTCAGGGAGTGCCTGTTAGAAGGACATTAAAAGGATAATGACACAACATCAACATAATGGTGCTGACTCATGGACTCCTAGAACTTCCTCAGTGAGCCCACTAATTCCCACTCCCCACATCTAGTTGGATTTTCCTGCCCTCACTTCTCACCCACTACCTTGCATATTTGCCCCATAACTTTCCTTCTTGGCCCTTTCCCACTCTCTCTCCCCTGAGCCAGGAAATGGAGTAACTTGGCCAGGTCTCTCATTGCCTTCACCCTGCTATTCTCCTTCTCATGCAGTTCACAGAGCTGTGTGCCCCTTCAGTTTCCCAACTACCCAGGTGATCTTCATTGCACTTCTCTAGCAGCTCCTCACACTGCAGATGTGATGAGAAGGCTTCATAATTACAAGTCTGCCCACCTGCAGCACTCTTCACGTCCCCCTGTCACTCACCACCATCAAATGCACTAGCTGATGACAACTTGACAATTCATAAACACAGGGGAGGGAGAGAATCGTAAAAGAATACGTGTTCCACAAGTTAAATGGCACCATGAGGAGGCAATCATACAAATTCAGAATGTGAGATATTCTTAAAGGCAACTGGCCTAGATGCTTCAAAATATCAGTGTTATAAAAATGAATGAAGAACTGAATGAATGAATGAATGAATGAATGGGGGAACTCTTCTAGATCAAAACAAACTAAAGAGACTCAACGGAATGCAATGTGCAAACCTTGATTAACGTCTAGTTTGGAAACAAGAGAGCCAGAAATACATATTTGGAACAATTGGGGAATGTGAATGTGGATTAACTATTAGATGATATTATGGAATCACTGAATTCAAGTTTTTGATGGAGGAGGTGATAATGGTATTGTTGACATGTAAGAGAGTGTCCATGTTCTTCAGAGCTGCAGGCTGAAGCATTTAGTGGCAGAGTGTCAAGATATCTGCAACTTACTTTCAAATAGTTTAACAATAAAATATATATATATATATATATATATATATATACACACACACCTAGAAAGAAACAAGCAACTAAGGTAAATGATTAACAATCATTAAATCTAGGTGAAGAGTTGATGGGTGTGATACAATTTTTTCAACTTTTCTGTGTGTGCAAAATTTTTCAAAATAAAAAATTGAGGAAAAAAATAAATTATCCAAGTGCCTGCCATGTCCCTCACTGTGCTAAAGGGTTTTATACATTGTTACAGCCCAGAGAAGGCATACAGAAGATGACTTTTTAAGTCTTCTTAGTTTGGGCAGGTATGTTGTCATTTCTTTTGCAATAAATATGCTTACTAATTTTATTTGGACTAACAGGAAGAAAAGGTTTGGCTTCACAACACAGTTAATGGCAATGGGATGCTATGTACTTTGAGTGAAGTAACAGCAGGGAGTCTGGAACTAAGATATTGCTACTGTTCATCTACAAAGTATATAATATCCCTAGGTGATTGAAGGAAGACTATAAAACATCCCTATGTTTACTTGTGCAAAGCATGCAGCCATATATTTCCTTTATGTGTCTATTCACAGTGATATGTCAGTCTTGGACCTCAAGTCCTTGGAAGGAAGGGACAATATCTATCCAAATCACTGCTCATCCCGCAGCGTGACACCATGGTGAAATAAATATTTAACATGGCAATAAAAAGTTGACGGTGATGATGTTGTGAAATGAGCATGTGCCTGGCAGAAAATCAGTCAACACCCTGAAACCCCAGAGTCTTGAAGGGTTTTGATGCTGCAGCTGGTGAAACGTGGCATTGTCTGTCTGGCCTGTTACCTTTAGATCTTCCTCTTGGAGCTGTTCCATATATTCCAGCATCTGCTCCTTCTCCTGCTCCCGCTGCTCAGCAAGCAGCGATCGCTCCTCCTGGTTCTTTTCCATCTGTTCCACAATTTGCCGCCTTCCTCTTGGAGAGAACAGTGCCACAGTGTCTTAGAAACCCCGGGTCCACATCTCCCAGAGTCCAACCTCCACCTAAACAACCCCCAAGATGGGTGGTGTCACCGAAACAATTTGACAAGTGCCCCCTAAACATGAATATGCTTCATGAGCCCAGACCAAAGTCCCTCCCCCAGGAAGGACCTCAAGGGTTGGCCTCCTTTCTCCTGAGCTCCTGGTTCCAGGGCTCACTCTTCCTGAGATTCTCCTTCTTTATTTGTTTGTCCAAGAGGGGTACCCCACTTGATAAAACACCTTCTACCTTCCAGTATATAAAGAGTTTCTGAAATCCTACCACCTCCCAATTCTTCCCAGAGTAATCATAGGAAGCTAGCTGAATAGTAAAAAGCCAAACAAACAAACAAACAAACAAACCCAGGGTGTACAAGCAATGTTGTCAGTGATTCCCTATGTGTTAGTGGGATGTCAATAAACTTGGAAGCATAGACCCCATGACATATGAGTAAAGGCTGGAAGAACGGGAGAAGACACATATTAGGATCAGAATTGAGGGGAAAGAGTATGAGAGCCACATTCAGATGGAGTGCTCGAATGGCTTCATGACTCCAGATGAAGTAAACAGGAGTAAAGAGTAAAAGGGTTACATGAAAACAAGTTTGGGCTCAATACAAGGACCAGCTCAAATCATTACAGTTGCCTAACAAGACAGAGTTTTCCTTTGCTGGAGCTGTTTATGCAGAAGATGGACAGCCACTTAGCCACTCAGTAACCTTTCACTGGGAACCTACTATAGTATACCAGGTACCTACCAGAAGTACAGAGGTGAATGTACCAGGTATAGTACACAAGACACAGAGATGAATGGTTCCAGAGAACAGGATACAGTTGGGGAGATAAAACTGCCATTCAGTGTGGTACAAAGATTATTTATAAAGGTAATTCATGTATTGTATGGTTGGCGTTCTAAATCTAGGACACTATTATTCTATAATTTACTTGCTCTGGGACTTGTCCTTTTCTGCACAAAATGAAGGGGAGACTGAATTTATTCATCCCAACATGAATTAAGCACCTATTACAGGCCAAACACTCTGCTAGGCTCAGAAGCTACAGAACTGGATACGAAAGGACCTGTCCGCAATGAGCGTAGCATCTAGGAGGGTCAGAAAGCCACAGCACAAGAGTGGGATGCTGGAGCATAAACACAGAGTGATGGGCACAGAGAAGGGAGCCACTAAGCCTGCCTAGTGACATGAGGGAGGTGACAGCAAAGCTATATATAAAGGGAAGGAGACAGCATTTTCCAGGAGGAAAAGGAAAGAAAAGGGTATTCAAAAAAGAGAAAACAAAAAAAAATTAAGAACTTGTCACAAGGCCTGGCATGTTGGGGGCCTGGGAAAAAGCACAGAGTAGATGGCAGGTAGGGGTGAGAAACGAGATTGATTGCAGCCAGACTGTGAAGTGCCTCCTAGGATTTGGGAAATAAGCTTCTAAAAATTCTGTGATTCTGGCCGGGCTCACGCCTGTAATCCCAGCACTTTGGGAGGCTGAGGCCGGGGGATCACTTGAGGTCAGGAGTTTGAGACCAGCCTGGCCAACATGGTGAAACCCCATCTCTTCTAAATACAAAAATTAGCCGGGTGTGGATGTGCATGCCTGTAATCCCAGCTACTTGGGAAGCTGAAGCAGGAGAATCGCTTGAACCCGGGAGGTGGAGGTTACAGTGAGCCGAGATTATGCCACTGCACTCCAGAGCCTGGGCGACAGAGTGAGACTCCCTCTAAAAAAAAAAAAAAGTTCTGTGATTCTATGTATCACTTCGTAAAGTTTTGAGATAATAAGTAGATGACAATAATGACCATTTCTCATCTCTTCCCTCTTTGCTAGGCTACATGGACCTAAAGATACATGGAAATAGCTTAGAGAGGGAGATGCCAAAACCACATCTTTACCTAATTCTTTCCTCCCTCCTCTTCCTCTCCAGTTCCTCCTGCCTTTGAATGGATTTCTGCCGCTCCACTTCCATCATCTGATCCAACCGCTTCTCTTCTGTGTCCAGTTCTTTTTGGATCTGCTGCTTCTCCAGGATTTGGGCATCCCGGATGGCATGGCACTTAGCATTGAGGATAATCTGGAGAGTGGAGATTAAACTGTAGCACTAGGCCTAGGGATGTGTAAGTTTAAGGGGAAGAAATGGAAACAGAATGCTATACTGCTGAGCATGCTGGAGGTGTGCATGACTGCTCACAAGTCCGGGGAAATAAGAATGTTCTTATATTTACCTTTCCCCTTAATATAGTTTAGCTCAAAGATTTACTGGCCTCCTGCTAGGTGCCAGGGTCTGTGCAAGGAGGGGCCTGGAATAGCATCTTTCAGGGAGCTACATCTTAGGGTTTTGGTGGTAATGGGTCACCCTTTGGAAATATGATGAAAGCAACGGCCCTCTCCTCCATAAAACTCACTTATACATGTACACACAAAATTTCTATAAAACTTCAGAGGTCCATTGTTCCACTTAGAGACCCATGAACTCCAGGTTGGACCCCTTGTTCTCCTCAGGGGAGCTAAGACACTCTTGCAGAGGCCAGGCCACAAGATTTTTAAGCTGGAAGAGCCCAACATGACACAAAAGGGATGAAAAACCACGGGCCCATGAATAAGAACCCAAAAGTAAAACCTTTAGAAAATTAAAGGAGGCATACATAGAGAAGATTTACCTGAGAGACAGAAATCAGAGGTGCAGGGATTGGGGAATCAGCACTTTTCATTTGGTAAGGAAGTGAACCACATGCAAATGAGTTACAACAGAATTCAAATGAGCCTCTGGTCTTTAGGCTCTCAGCCAAAGGAAAAGCTTTGGGTACTCCAAAAGCATCCAATTGCCTCGACCACCATACGTGGCCAGAACTGAACTAACAGGATGAAAATAAAAGTAACACTGCACATTTAATTTACCAATCCTCAGCCCACAAAGCCTCTCCCATCTACTACCTTATTTCATCCTGCCAATGATTCCACAAAGTAGTTTTACCACCCTCAAGTTACAAATGAAGAAAGTGAGGCTCAGGGAGGGCAAGTGACTTGCCCATGGTCACACAGCGAACAGGTGGCAGAGCCAGTCCTCACTGTGATCACTGCAACTACCACAGCAGGTGCAGCTCTCCCCCGCCCCACCCCTGCCCACACCCCCACCAGTCCCTGGCCTTGTCCAGTGCGGGAATAAGGGGAGGGCGGAGGGATGGCAGTGAATGCTCAGAGGGAAGGGAGAGACGAAGAGCCCACCTTGCTCATGTCCTTGAGCTCCTCCTCCTGCTCCATCCGCAGCTTGTTGGCTCTCTGCAGGAGGTTCTGGGCCCGTTCCTTGGCCACCTCCTCCAGGTCACTGAGCTTCTTGTTGTTGTTCCACACCATCTCCTTCTGTTTCATGATCTTCTTTCGTGTCATCACTGCATCCTAAGGGAGACCAGTCTGGCTCAGTGGGAGATTATTTCATGCGCTCTGTGCCCTGGGCGCTAGCCTGGCTACCACAGGTGACCCAGTACAATTTTGCCTTGGCCAGTGATGATGTCAGAGCCAAGAAGTTCCACAGCCTGGCTTCATTCTCAGCCCTCCCCTTGGCCCCGGCTGCTCCCACCTCTCATCTCAGGTATTGCTCTTTGGTCTCCTTTCTGTAATATTTCTTCATTAAGTACATAATTTGTGCCTCATTTCAGGGTCCCCTGATGAGAGTTCCCCAGTGCATTTTGATTCTGCCACCCATCTGCAGAGGTGAAGGCTTAGGGAGGTTAACTACCATGGTGGCTTCCTTCTCCTTCTTGAAGGCCTGGTCCCTGGCCTCAAGTTCTTCTCTGGTCAGGACATGGGATGCCCATTTGATTCGCTCAAACTCCTCAGGGCTGATGATTAGGGACTCCCCGGAGGGATCCTCTGTGGGAACACTGTCACAAGAATAAACAGAGTTAGGGAGGGGAGAGGGAAAGCTCTCAGCACCACACTTCAGGCTTCTCTGCTCTCTTCCCCTCTTCCCATCATGCCAGTGGACTCCCCCAATGGCAGAAGAGACGGCAAGTGTGCCATGGGTCCACTGGGGAGTAGATGTTCCAAGTGGGGGGTCAGGTAGCATTGAAGGCTAAAAAGAGACATTTTAAGTCCTTTTTCTATTAGGTCCTGCTCATATGTTACCTTCTCTGTGCAGCTGAGACCCCCCATCATGTCCACATGTGCCCACTCTGCCCCCCCACCAAGGACCAATAGATCACCTCCTCCTCTGAGCCCACACTGCACTCTGTTCTTACTGCCTGTATCACAGCCAATTGGGCAGCTCTGTTTCCTTTATGAGCTCCTTCAGGACACAAACTCTGTCTTAACCACACTGGTAGCCTAGTCTCTGGCATAGCGCTTGGTACAGAGTGAGAATTCAAAACAAAGCTGTTGAATTAAATTTTAAAAACAGATTATTCCTCAAGGATGACATAAAAACGGCAAGGGGACGCCAGACAAGGTTGATATAGATGCTAGTTAGAAACCTAAGCTTCCCTGCCCATCCAGCCTAGAGAGAAGCTTTGAACTGTAAATATTAATTAAAATCTGTGATCAACAATAGCCAGAGACATGTCTATAGACCTCTCCTTTCTAGCTATCCAACGCATTCAACAAACCAATCGCTAATTATAATGATTACAAGCAAATGACATATATTAAAGATGGGGGAGGGAGTAGTTAGGGGGGTGGGAAGAAAGCTGCTTCTGGGTGAGGCAGGTACATGCCAATTTGACAGGTACATGCCAATAAGACACAGACATCTGAGACAGGAAGTGAAACCTCATCTAATAAAACTAATGTGTGTGTGTTGGGGGAGGGTGGTCCAGGAGATGGACAGAATGAGTGAGTAGATTTGCAGCTTAGCCAAGATCTTGTGTTTCACAAAGCAACGTGGCCCTAAACAGCCTAGGATCTGGAGTGACCAGCAGTGATCCGAATCTAAGACAGCAGTTTATACTGCTTTCAGCATCCCTGAAAAATAACCAGCCACTTGTCCTCCAACGTGTTTTCAGGACTAGATGGCTCCAAGAAGGAACCCTTCCTCCCTTCCTCTGGCTCCAGGAGTGGCTGCAGGGCTCTAGCCACATCTGGCCACTTGATGCCACGGCTGACCAGACATGCTCAGTAAGGGGCCGCAGTCCGACACAGCTCCCGGGGTGTGTGCTAGATGTGCCTCTCCAGCTTGTGACACAGGTAGGATTTTCTGGGAATTAGGGCTTTTAGTGGGTGGAGCCAGGGCAGGGAGAACGGTTGTAGAGGGTGAAGCACTAACACAAGAGTTAAACCACTGAGCACAGTGTTGGCTCATGGCACATGGTTGAGCTAGGCCTAAGTCCCACAGGATGGGCTCAAGCCTGGGGGCAGCTCTAGTCAGGAAGTGGGGTTGAGCTAATCCCAAAGGAACCCAGGGAGCCCCTGTGAATTTCTTCCTATGGCCTTAGAGTCTGGGAGGAAGCCAGGGGGCTAATTAGGCATCTGGTCAGTTTCCCTTTGCTTCAGATTCTTAATGCAGCCGAAAGGAAGTGACTCATCTGGATCACTTCCCTTTAGGGAGGGTACTAATGGGGACTTAGAGAGGACTCACTAAGCACCTCCTCTCTACCAGTCCCTTAGCTCACACAGCCAGCTAGAAGTAAGGAAGGACAATGAAGCTGAGAATAAAGGACAGTGGCAATAATAGATACAACAATGGGAGAAACAAGAGAGGCCAGGATGGAGAAGAAAGAAAGAACTATCAAACAAAAAGGGGAAAACGAATAGGAAAGAAGTGGGGATTGGACTGACAGAATGAAACCAGGTGGGTTTACCCATCTCCCTACAAAGATCCTTAGCAAAAGGATGAGGACTGGACATAGAAGGGCAGGGGACGGTGTACTCACATGAGTTCTCGGACCATGTCCCGGGTGATGAGCTGGATGGTCTCTGGCTTGCGATCCAAGCCCAAAGCAGTGAGAGTTTTTTGAAGGGTATGCTTATCTCGGAGCAGCACAATGGGGCTGTCGCTCTGGCCCTGGGCTGGGGACTATGAGTTCAGAAAGAATAGCTTAGAAGCTTGTCACCCCCACTTCCTGCTGGTCAGTCCTAACTTCAAGGATAGAGCAGCGTGATGCCCTGTATCTGAGCATGGCTGGATGTGTACCGACCAGCTTTTCTTTTCTTTTTTTTTTTTTTTTTTTGAGACAGAGTCTTGCTCTGTCACCCAGGCTGGAGTGCAGTGGCACGATCTTGGCTCACTACAACCGCCACCTCCCGGGTTCAAGCAATTCTCCTCCCTCAGCCTCCTGAGTAGCTGGGATTACAGGCGACCACCACCATGCCTGGCTAATTTTTGTATTTTTAGTAGAGTCGGGGTTTCTCCATGTTGGCCAGGCTGGTCTCAATCTCCTGACCTCAGATGATCCGCCCGCCTGGGCCTCCCAAAGTGCTGGGATTACAGGCGTGAGCCACCATGCCCAGCCCTGACCAGCTTTTCTGAAAACAAGTCTCTTGTTCTTATACAGATATTCCTCGCAGAATGGTAGGGATAACAAGGAGTGGGGGTCACTAGTGTGTGTCTATACTTAGTCTAAAATCATCAGGAATTAAAGTAAATTTCTGTTCTCTAGGTTTTCCTCTCTCCATGAAAGATTTTCCTTTATGAAAGAAGAAATAATTATCTCTCTAGGACCACACAGTGGGTTTGAAGCAATATAATTTGTTACAGACTCTTACAATCTTTGATATTGGTAATTTTAAATTCTTTCTTACGATTAAATTACTTTAACCCCCACAAAAAGCCATATTCAGGGAGTTAGAAATCGCTAAATGACCTGCAGAGGCCTACCCTTAAGATCTAAGGGTAGCTCTCTGCCAGCTCATTGAGTTGGTGGTGAGGAGGTCAGTGAGTTAGAATTCAGCAAGAACACAGACTAACTGTGTGATTTTTTCTTTTTTTCAAAATTCTCCGACCCTGAAGGAGTTAGATAACAATTAAATGAAATCACCTGTTTCAGAAAATGTCTAAACACAGGAAAGGATGTGTCATTAATGCAGCCACTGTGCTCCTGACCAGAGGCAGGGGGATGGCCCCACTTGTCCTACCTCACTTTGCACCCACAGTCCCCTGTGTGCTGCTGCCACCTGGTGCCCATCTCTGCTTTCACGTGGGCACAACTCAGTCGTGCCACAGGCCACTTCTGCCCTCTACTGCCCATTGAGAGACTTCCTGAACTCTTACCCATCAATGAGGCCAAAGAAACTGGACAAGAGACAAGCATTTTTCTGATAGCCCCCTTTTGCCAGCCAGCATGACTACTCCTGGAGAACTCAGCCAATTCCAAATCTCTCTTTGCTTTGACTAGAAAACTCCACATGTACCCAAAACAACAACAACAATACAAATGTCTGTAAGTGAAATTGCATTTTGGCCAGGTGGGGAGACTTACGCCTGTAATCCCAGCACTTTGGGAGGTCGAGGTGGGCAGATTGCTTGAGCTTAGGAGTTCAAGACCAGCATGGGGAACATGATGAAACCCTGTCTTTACAAAAAATACAAAAATTAGCCAGGTGCAGTGGTGTGCACCTGTAGTCCCAGCTACTTGGGAGGCTGAGGCAGGAGAATCACTTGAGCCTGGGAAGTGGAGGTGGCAGTGAGCCGAGACTGTACCATTGCACTCCAGCTCCAGCCTGGGTGACAGGAGTGAAACCCTATCTTTAAAAAAATAATAAAAAATAAATGCATCTGTTGATCCTTTCCCTTACCAACAGGAAAACTGCTGCAGAGTGAGAGTCTTCTAAATGGATTAAGAAGCCTATCTCAATCCCTCTGGAGAGTCCTCTTCAATTCACAATGAAGATGTTGAAGAGCAGGGACAGACATCAACACTCCTCTCCCCACCTTCCCCACTGGCAGAGGCATTCAGGTCACTACTAGTGTCTCTCTTTCTCTTTTCCCCTTCTCTTAATCTCTCACTGCCCTTCTCTCCATGTCATATTCTCTTTTTCTCCTTCCCTCTCTTCCTTCTTACCTACTAAACTCCATATGTACCAAAATCAGTCAAAGCTCTACTATCTAGCTCTCTTTATCTAGACTAAAGGAGTTGTCCACCTCTTGGTCTAGATAACACTTGCAAATAAAGACCTGCTCGTTTCCCAAAGCTAAGTAATTGTTTTAGTTGAGCAACTGGGAAAGGAGGATGGTTTTGTGTTGTACTCTGATGCTATTATCCTTGGATGGAGCGGGGAAGATGTTGCTATTGTCTGCAAGCTTAGCCCATCAGCCCTGCAATGTTTCCATCATGGAGCTCAACTGAGCAACTATTGCACTCTCTGCAGCTGAGCCTCCCTTTTGACATTATAACAGATTTTAAACACTGTGAAGACATGAGAGATTCTAGGGTGGAAGAAGCTAGGTGTCCCTGTTTACATAGGCCCCACTAGATCCCAAAGCTCTGCAGCTCAGGTCTCAGAATTCCCCTTTGTCTTCAGTCTGAGAGTTACCTACGAGAGCAAGGTTACTCAGCAGAAGCTTTGCCCTGAGCTACATTTTTGGGCCTCTGCCTGCAGGTGGCATCAACTTGAAAGGACTTGTTGAGGATTACCTTGATATCTCCAAAGAGGCTCTCATCCACCTCAGAGCTCACGGCTTTGGTCCGATAGCGAGCCTTATTCCTTGACCTGTTGGAAGCGGCAGAAGAGGAGCTCAGGATGCCAGCTGTGCTTAGTGGCTGCAGGAAGAGGCAGAAAGTTTGGGTCATCAGTACTGAGTGGCATCCAGACCCTGGGAAGTCAACAATTCACCAGCCCATGCTGGGGGAGTGGGTGGGCATGTGAAAAAGAAACAGTTAGGGAAAGCGGCTGTGTAAACTCTGAACCATAGGGGACAAGGAGCAACAGATGGAGGGCATCCCCACAGAGCAGGGAAGGGTCTCTGCAAAAAAAAGAGCTCTGCATAAAGCAGCATTTGTGTAAAACAGTTGATCTCATAGAAGTACAGAGTAGAATGGTGGTTACCAGAGGCTGAAGAGAGGAAGGGGAGGGGCATGGGGAGAGGTTGGTCAGTGAGTGCGCAGTTACAGTTAGATAGGAGGAATAAGTTCTGGTGCTCTATTGCACAGAAAGGCCACTATAGTTAATAATAATGTACTGTATATCTCAAAAGAGATACACAATATCTAGGAGAGGATTTTGAGAAATATAAATGTTATAAGATTAAATGAGATGGCAAGGTCTAGTATTTGATAGCGCAATAGAATGACTAGAGTTAACAATAATGTATATTACTATATATAAATGTATATTAATATACATGTATACAATAATATATATAAATATACATGTATACAATGTATATTAATTTACATTGTATATTTCAAACTAGCTAGAAGAGAGAATTTTGAGTGATCTCACTGCAAAGAAATGACAAGTGTTTGAGGTAATGGATATGCTAACTACCCTGATTCAATCATTACACAATGTATATACATGTATCAAAACATCACACTATACCCCATAAATGTGTACAATCATTATGTGTCAATTAAAAACAAAACTGTTTTGTTTTTTGTGGGGTTTTTTTAAGAGCATTTCTGTAGTCCCTGAAGCTGAAGGCCAAGTCGGCCACATAGTATGGAAGTAAGGATAAAGGAAGCAGGAATGGCAGGAGGAGAGAAGCAACAGTTTCTCATTATCTGCCTAGTACCAGTTTCCCAAGAGGACAATCTCTTGTGGGGCAACTTGGGCTTGCCCCCTGAGACACGCACAGTGTCCCCTTTGCCTCCAATCTTTTCAGCTTGTGCTTCAAGTCTTTCTCACAAATGACGCTACTGTTTGACCTCCTTCGTGTCTCCACAATCTTACAAGGTTATGGTGGGACCACAGGATATAAAGGATGGAAAAGTGCCTCACCCACTGCTTGGCATGTGGTTGATGCCCAATAAACTTGAGGCAGTGGGTGAATGATAAATGATTACTAGCTATAATCAAGCAAACCAGTTCATAATACCCACTATTTGGCTGTTTCTCTCCCAAGACCCTTTTAGTGTGCCTTAGTCATTTTTTAACCCCCTACTAACTTCCTATTTTGGCAAATTCCCCATCTAATGAGTTGTGGGAGATAGTGCTCTTCTCCAACTACAGAAGCTGAAAACATCAAATATTCACCTCAGCCTGGCCAAGGGACCTAGGCTTAGCCAATGAGATGGCCCTGGACTGACAATGACTAGGGAACTAGTGGACCAAAAGGCAGAACAAGGAAAACCTTTCTGACCCAAACAGAACTGGCAGCCAGACCCAGCGTCTGGGCAACACTGATAACGATACCAGCAGCGGCACCCTATGTAAGGAATTGGCAGTTTTGGGGGTGCAACAGTGCATCAGGGTCCTTGCCAGACCAGTTCTAGGTTTTGATTTTGGTCTTGGTTCCAGCTGCAGAAACTTCTTTTGTTCCTATTTGTGAGCTCTCCAAAACCCTCTTAACACATTCTCTTTTACTTAAATTGGAATTCTGGCTCTGTTGCTTGTAACTAAGAATCTGACGAACACAACCTCCATTCCCAAAGGACAGGCAGCTTCATCTCAGTCCCAAGAGTAGACGTCTATCTCTAAAAGGTAGTGTCTACAAGGACTACTGGATGACTCCAGGCTTATGATAAAGCTGATTCAAACCTCACTTTGGAGGAGCCCACATGCCCCACACCTCTCTAAACTGGGCTACCTTGAAGGAATAGGCCAGGCACATTGGGTCTCCCCAAGCCTGGGAATCAGCAGCTGATAAAGGAACAGGGTAGACAGGGAAATATACCATGCTTTCCAGGTCCCTAAGCCCTGGACAGTGTTCTGAAAGCTCTCTCTGATCTGCCATTACCAACCAGACACCCCAGCACCTGTTACTCCTGTATCAGGTTTTCACACTCGATTGGACAATTATTTTCCAGCTGTCTCTGTGCTGTACATTGAACAATGCTATATGTGCATTTCCCTCACTGCCCGGCACAGCCAGCAAAAGGCTTACACAGGGAGTCTCCCTCTACAGCGTCAGCCAGCCCCAATACTGTAGAGCAGAAAAGCTTGGATTTATTAAAAGGTAAATATAGCAGCCCCAAGGATGCCTAATAACAGCCTCTGAAGGGTTATTATATGGTAGGTGGTGAGCTACGGCTCCCCTTTCCACCAAAAATAGAATAAGAGGAAATGAATAGAAACTTCAGTAGGTGGGATTGAGGCTAAGCATTGGGAATAACTGGAAAAGGTGGATGGCTTTGGATCATGAGTTTTGTATGTAATTAAGGGAAAAGGTGCAGTGCCTGGCACATGTAGTAGGAACAATATAGCAATGTGCATTTGATGAAGAATGAATAAAACCGAACAAGGTGACCTCTCAAGGACAGGACTGCAGACCAGATTGAGATGGATACTTTTCCGGAATACAACTGCCTGACTCCAAGTCACTCCACCATTCCATGTTTTCCAGATCACGTATGTGGTCTCCACTGTGGATAATAACGTATGTGAAAGGGCTTTGGAATACAGATGGAAAGTATTATTGTTTTCCATTTGTTTTCCTGTCTGTTTTCAAGGACTCCAACAGGTTTTCCCTTGTGCTGAAGTGTCCGCCAGACTGCAGGTTCCTCCAGGGCTGAGCCTGCATCTCCTGTTTCCTATGCCCTTGGTACCCAGGTCAAGAGGAAGTCACAGCAAGGACTGCCTGAGCCAGAACAGAGGAAGAAAAACAGATGACCACAGAAAAGTGGCCACTGAGCAGGACAGAGGGAAGCTCTGAACTCTAGGGTTGGGTGGTTGAGAAAACCTCATTGGGGAAATGCTGACTTTGAAGCCGCAGCCTTACACCAGGGTTAGAATAAACAGTTTTGCCAAGAGTAACAAGGATTAGAGAGGTCACTGTGTAAACATACTAGAAAAAAATGAAGAATCAAGCACAAATGTAAAGCTGGATCCCTCTGGGCCAGAGGCAATAGCGAAGAAGTTCTTTAAGGAGGTGACGGGCTGGTTTTCTTCTTTGCATGACCAAATAAATATTGCCAAGAAGCTGAACAGTGCCTAAGGAGAAGCACATCCAGTCCTGCTTGCAGGAAGATAACTCTTGAAGGGAAGGCAGCTGAGAAGGCAGGGGGTCTGGGGAAGATGAGGACTGGGGACAGATAAAGATGCCAGCCCTGCTTTGATATTTTCGTCTTGGTGACTCAGCTGACTCCCCCTCTCTTCATAAGCCATCCAACTCCTGGAGCACAAGAATTCAGCCACAGCTAGGAGCTCTATGAGAGACTCTGATGCAGAAAGATTTGCTGATCAAACAAATGATAATTTTGACTTACAGTCATTGATATAGGATGATCTCCATAACTTGTTAAGTTGTAAAGAAAACAGACTGTAAGAAACGCATAAGGCTGGGTGCAGTAGCTCATGCCTGTAATCTCAGCACTTTGGGAGGCCAAGGTGGGTGGATCCATCGAACTCAGGAGTTCAAGACCAGCCTGGGCAACATGGCAAAACCCCATCTCTACAAAAAATATGAAAATTAGCCAGGCACGGTGGCGTACACCTATAGTCCCAGCTACTTGGGAGGCTGAGGCGGAAGGATTGCTTGATCCCGGGAGGCAGAGGTTGCAGTGAGCCAAGGTTGAGCCACTGCACTCCAGCCTGGGTGACAGAGCAAGACACTGTCTCAAAAAATAATAATAATAAAGAAATACATAAGTATTCTTGGCCAGGCATGGTGGCTCACGCCTGTAATCCCAGCACTTTGGGAGGCCAAAGTGGGTGGATCACCTGAGGTCAGGAATTTGAGACCAGCCTGTCCAACATGGTGAAACTCGTCTCTACAAAAAATACAAAAATTAGCTGGGCATGGTGGCACACGCCTGTAGTCCCAGCTACTCAGGAGGCTGAGGCAGGAGAATCGCTTGAACCTGGGAGGTGGAGGTTGCAGTGAGCTGAGATCACGCCACTGCACTCCAGCCTAGGCGACAGAGCAAGACTCCATCTCAAAAAGAAAAAGAAATGTAGAAGTACTCTTGTAAAGATGTTTGTATGGCAGGTATGTGCCCAGAATGTATTACTGAAAGCATGTTCAAAAAAATGTTTAACAGTATGTCAGGAACCTTTACCATCTTAAGATGTTTCTTTATTGAATAATTTCCTGCAATGAGTAGATACCAATTTTATGACCAGAAAAAAAAAACAATAAAACAATTTTTATTTGAAAACAAAGCATAGCAATGGGCCTGGTGCCCGAACTCTGAAAGCAAGAGAGTACAGACCTAAAAAAGAAAACAAACAAACAAACAAACAAAAAAACCATAGCATTATATATTCTGGGATCCAGAATGTTTCACTCAAATTCAGCAAGACAAAGCTGGAATGGGGCTAGAATAGGTCAGTGTGAAGTTTCCCTGATGTAACTTCAACACCTGTCAACTAAACAGGTTGACATGTTCAGGAAAGATATGTCTTTTCCTAGATGTCTTACCCATTCTGAGATCTAGTTCTTCTTTTGCACAGTCTCCGCAGGCTGGCAAATTCAGGCTTCAAACTCTTGGCCTGGTTCTACTTCCCTTTCTGTAGACTTTGGTTACCAAGAAAGGGAGATTCCCATGCACGAGACCCCTTGCCTTTTACTCTGAGTGATCCACGCAATTATCCTCTTTCTTCAATTGGGACCAAGTTGGCCATCTGTAGGATGCCACCAGAAGATAACATCCTAGTCAGTACTGAGGTCCCCATCTCTCCTTCTGCAGGATTTTAATCATTATTTTTGTAAGAGTTCTGGAAGTCTGCCTAATTGTGACCCTCACCACCACTACTATCTCTTCTCATGCCTTTAAATATTCTCCAAACCTAGTGAGTAGCACTATACGTACACGAACACACACAGCTGGCCTGCCAGAGATCACTAACTTAGACCCACTGCTTCTCAAAGGTGTCTATATGCCCAGTCCTGTCCCAGGAATTACAGAGGGGCTCAGTGAGTGAGTCAAACCCCTGCCCTGAGTGGCTCCTGGATGGGGAATCCCTGATCTGGGTGCTCTGAAGCCCACAGGTCTTGCCCAGGTGCAACTTATGCCCTATGAGAGCTTGGAAATAGGAAATTTTTAAAAGAGGACAAAAGGGGAACTAACATTTACCATATGCCCTTAGACACCAGGCATGACAGTAGGTGTTCACATACATACATACGCCACTGTGTTTGTAAGGTGCTGAGAGAAGATGGGACACTGAATCAAATAGAATACATAAGTGAAAGGGGACGCTCCCCCACCCCAATTACAACACTGCAGGGAGTCCTCGAAAGTCAGGAACTGCTCTTTGTTGGAGACTTATTTAATAATTAACAAAATTCTTCTGAGGTCCACTGAGCCCCAGAAAAGCAATGCAGCCCCTGGGCCTGAAGTCTGTCCACAAGTACATCCAAGTAGCAACCTTTGCCACCTGTTGTGCCCCAGACATTCTAGGTCAGTTCCAATAACCCAAGACTCCAACACTTATCATCTGCCCTTCCCCTCCCCTCTGGGACCAACACACTCAAGCCCAGGCATCCCCTTCATGGTTCCTCCCAGGCTTTGCTGGCCTTCTCAGCCCTCAGTACCCTGACAGCCCTCCCCATCCCAGCAAACCCCAGGCTGCCAGTCCTGTCCCAATCTCTCTCCCGGGCCTTGCAAACCTGAGACCCTCCTCACTCACTCACTCATTTATTCATTCATTCATTCACTGCCAAATATTTATTGACTAACTACTGAGGGATACAAAGCCCTGCTAACAGAAGAAAAACCTGAGGCTCGGGCACATTAGATGACTTACCCACAGTCACCTTGCTAGTTAGTGGCAAAACAGGTACCACGACCCATTATCTGGCCTCCTCACCAGTGCTTTTTTTTTTTTTTTTTTTTTTTGAGACGGAGTCTCGCTGTGTCGCCCAGGCTGGAGTGCAGTGGCGCGATCTCGGCTCACTGCAAGCTCCGCCTCCCGGGTTCACGCCATTCTCCTGCCTCAGCCTCCCGAGTAGCTGGGACTACAGGCGCCCGCCACCACGCCCGGCTAATTTTTTGTATTTTTAGTAGAGGCGGGGTTTCACTGTGTTAGCCAGGATGGTCTCGATCTCCTGACCTCATGATCCGCCCGCCTCTGCCTCCCAAAGTGCTGGGATTACAGGCGTAAGCCACCGCGCCCGGCCCACCAGTGCTTTTTCCCACACCACATCCACAATCTTTGGTCCACAGAGGCCCCGCTGTAATGGCAACGGGGAGAGGGTTGGGGCATCCCTTTCTCCCCAACTCCTCCGCTCAGCGCGCTCCACATTTCCAATCGTTATCGATGCTATCCCTAATTCCTCTTTTGAACCCACCTCAGGATCTCCCTTGCTTCTTCTAGAGGTGTTCTCCTTACTCCTGGGCCCTCCTGACCCCTAGACCCAACTGTGACCTCCCCTAGGCCCCCACTTTCCCCACTCAGAGCCCCCACCCAATTCAGGACACAAGGGGCCCATCTGAGGTTCTCCCTCACCATCTCCTCAGCCACACGCCCTGACTCCGGACTTCTGCTGCCGCCTCGGCGCCGCCAAGGCCCTAGTGTTGACGCGTTACCTTGGCAACCACTAGCCCGCGTTCTTCGGCTCAGGCCCCGCCCCCGGCCCCGCCCCTCCCACCTCCAGCGGGCAGTTGCCTTGTGCTGGTGGCTTAGGAACCGGAGCCCGTCGCTCCAACCGTTGCAGCTCCACGCTCCAGCCCAACCGCGGCTCTGAAGGATTGACCCGCCCTGGCGTGCCCTGCTCTCCACTTTGGCTTTGGCCAAACTTTTCGGTCAGAACCCGAACCTAAAGAACTTACTATGGGCCGAGGGGGTTCTAACTGTCAGCGGCCCCAGGAGCCTGGCCCAGGGTCACAGTTTTCCCCTGGGACTTCACCTAGGTTGCTATGATTACTCTTGCCCCATTGCCCAGGAGGCGCCAAGCCAACCCCTGATGAGTGTAGTCTGCAGAGAAGCCAGCAGGATCAGGACAAACCAGTTCCACAGCAGGAGAGAATCTGGTCGGGTCAACAAAGAACTTCCAGCCCTGAGGATGTCTATGCAGTCTCAAGAGCAGTTTCTTAAATTGCGGGCCTCAAATCTGCAGCTAAGAATCACCTGGGAGAGTTTATTAAAAATGGAGGCCCTACATTAGAATAAGTCAAAAGCTAAGGAACTGACTTTGGGGAGCTTGTCTTTTAACACTTCCTAGCTGGTATGTATTGTTCTAGAAAGTACATAGGGGTTTTGTCATTTTTTCCAATTTGGTTTGGCCTCTCTACCTCCCAACTTGCAGGGCTGGCACTGAGCTCACTTTGGTAGGCTGCATGCTCCAAGCCTCACGAAGCTGTCCCACCAGACCAAGGACATTTGTCTTCCTCCAGTGCTGATTAGCTGATTAGCTAAGCTCTTGGTGTGACTCTGTGAGTCTCTGAGCTGCTTTCTCAAACCTCTCTCCAAACCCTCACAGCCAGTCTTTCTGAAGCTCTTACTCCAACTTGGGCACTGAAGGCTATTCACAAGCCCCGGGGGAATGGAAAGAGGGAGACAAGGTCACTTCTTGCTGCTTTTAAAAGGACTTACTCCAACAGGCTTCACATTCCTTCCCTAGATTTCCCAGCCTTTATCTCCTTTGGGATCAAGAGTACAAAATTGTGTCCCCTGCCCAGTCCCACCAAGTGTTGAAGGCTTAATCAGAGGGAGAAGGGAAGGCCTGAAGAGGAGGAGCACAGTCCCTGGGAGGCTTGGGACTGAGAGAAGGGGCTGTTTTGTTCGTGGGAACCTTCCTTACTAAGCCTTGGCATTAGAACCCCGTTCCCTGCAGCTCAGAAAGAAGGGAAGACAAGTAACCGGCCCACTGTGAATAAGGTGCTTCCTGTATTCACCCCATTCTCCCAGGCACATCTGCATGACATAGTTACTATCCGTGTAACCAAAGAGGAAACAAGCCAAGAAAAAACTGTCCAAATTGAAAATCTATTCTTTTCTCAGCCCAGGGTAACTCTCTGAAGAAAAGGTGCAAAGTTGAGGCAGAAAGGGCTGGGCGCGGTGGCTCATGCCTGTAATCCCAGCACTTTGGGAGGCCAAGGTGGGCAGATCACGAGGTCAGGAGTTCGAGACCAGCCTGGCCGACATAGTGAAACCCCGTCTCTACTAAAAATACAAAAAATTAGCCGGGGGTGGTGGCAGGCACCTGTAATCCCAGCTACTCAGGAGGCTCAGGCAGGAGAATCACTTGAAGCCAGGAGGGGGAGATTGCAGTGAGCCAAGATCACTCCAGCCCAGGCAACAATGCAAGACTCTGTCTCAAAGAAAAATTAAAAAAGTTATGGCAGGAAGGAGGGAATGACAGAGTGCAGTGTAAGGGACTTGCCTCCCAGCAGGCAATTACATGCCTGTAATCCCAGTACTTTGGGAGCCCAAGGCAGGAGGATTGCTTACATCCAGGAGTTTGAGACCAGCCTGGGCAACATAGGGAGATCCCATCTCTACAAAAAATCAAAAATTAGCCAGGCATAGTGGTACATGCCAGTGGTCCCAGCTACTTGGGAGGCTGCACTAGGAGGGTCACTTGAGCCTCGGAGGTTGAGGCTGCTCTGAGCCATGATCGTGCCAATGCACCCAGCCTGGGTGACAAGAGTGAGACCCTGTCTTGAAAAATAAAATAAATAAAATACAATAAAAATTTATCTCAAAGCTAACAATGCTTAAGCTTCAGGCCTCTCATTTACGTAAGCACATGTCAAGGCTCAGAGAAGAACCCTTGGCCATGTGTCTACAGGCATACCTTGGAGATACTGCAGATTAGGCTTCAGAGCACTGCAATAAAACTAATATCACAATACAATGTGAGCAACACAAATTATTTGGTTTCCCAGTGCATAGGAAAGTTACATTTGCACTATACTGTAGTCTATCAGGTGTGCAATGGCATTATGTCTAAAAAAATGTGCATACCTTAATTTAAATATACTTTGTTGCTAAAAAGTGCTAACAATCATCTGAGTCTTCAGAGAGAGTCATCATCTTTCTGCTGGTGGAGGGTCTTGCCTCAGTGTTAATGGCTGCTAACTGATGAGGGTAGCACTTGCTGAAAGCAGAGGTGGCTGCAGCAGTTTCTTACAATATGACAACAGTGAAGGTTGCCACATCAGTTGACTCTTCCTTTCTTTTTTATTTTTTTTTCAGATGGAGTTTCACTCTTGTTGCCCAAGCTGAAGTGCAATGATGCGATCTCGGCTTACTGCAACCTCTGCCTCTCGGGTTCAAGATATTCTTCTGCCTCAGCCTCCAGAGTAGCTGGGATTAGGTGCACCACCACACCAAGTTAGTTTTGTATTTGTTTGTTTGTTTTTGAGACGGAGTTTTGCTCTTGTTGCCCAGGCTGGAGTGCAATGGCACAATCTCCGCTCACTACAACCTCTGCCTCCCGGGTTCAAGAGATTCTCCTGCCTCAGCCTCCCAAGTAGCTGGGATTACAGGCATGCAGCACCACGCCCAGCTAATTTTGTGTTTTTAGTAGAGACCGGGTTTCTCCATGTTGGTCAGGCTGGTCTCAAACTCCCAACCTCAGGTGATCCGCCCGCCTCCGCCTCCCAAAGTTCTGGGATTACAAGCGTGAGCCACGGCGCCCAGCCGACTCTTTCTTTCATGAAAGATTTCTCTGTAGGATGTAATGCTGTTTCATAGCATTTTACCCACAATAGAACTTCTTTCAAACTTGGCATCAGTCCTCTCAAGCCCCGCCGCTGCTGTATCCTCTAAGTTTATGGAATATTCTAAATTCTTTTTTGTCATTTCAATAATGATTACAGTGTCTTCACCATGAGTAAACTCTTTTCTGTTTGTTTGTTTGTTGTTTTAAAGCTCCATCGTCAATGGAATAGGAGTAGATTCTACCCCCTAAGAAACAACTCCTCACCATTCCAGTTTTATCATGAGATTGCAGCAATTTGATCACAACTTCAGGTTCCATTTCTGATTCTAGCTCTCTTGCTATTTCCACTATGTCTGCAATTACTTCCTACACTGAAGTCCTGAACCCCTCAAAGTCATCCATGAGAGTTGGAATCACCTTCCTCCAGACTCCTGTTAATCTCAATGTTTTGATCTTTTCTCATGAATCATGAATGTTCTTAATGGCACCTGGAATAGCAAATCTTTTTCAGAAGGTTTTCAATTTACTTTGACCAGATTCATCAGAAAAATCATTATCTATGGTAGTTATAGCCTTACAAAATGTATTTCTTAAATAATAAGACTTGAGATTGGAAATTACTTCTTGATCCATGGGCTACAAAATGGATATTGTGTTAGCAGAAATGAAAACAATATTGCTCTTCTACTACATCTCCATCAGAGTCTTTGGGTGACTAGATGCATTGTCAATGAGCAGTAATATTCTGAAAGGAATCATTTTTTCTGGGCAGTAGGTCTCAACAGTGGGCTTAAAATATTCAGTAAACCATGCTGTAAACAAATGTGCTGTCATCCCTGCTTTGTTGGGCCATTGATGGAGCACAGGCAGAACCAATTTAGTATAATTCTGAAGGGCCTTAGGATTTTTGGAATGATAAGTAAGCATTGCTTTCAACTTAAAGGAACCAGCTGGCTGGGTGCGGTGACTCACGCCTGTAATCCCAGCACTTTGGGAGGCCTAGGCGGGCAGATCATTTGAAGTCAGGAGCTTGAGACCAGCCTGGCCAGCATGGTGAAACCCTATCTCTGCTAAAAATACAAAAAAAAAAAAAATCAGCTGGGCATGGTGACATGTGCCTGTAATCCCAGCTACTTGAGGCATGAGAATCACTTGAACCCATGAGGCAGAAGTTGCAGTGAGCTGAGATTGTGCCGCTGCACTCCAGCCTGTGTGACAGAGTGAGACCCTATCTCAGAAAAATAAAAAATAAAAAAATAAAGGAACCGGCTGTGTTAACCCCTAACAAGAAAGTCAGCCATCCCTTTGAAGTTTTGAAGCATTGACTTCTCTCTAGCCATGAAAGTCCTAGATGGCATATTCTTCTGTAGAAGGCTGTTTCATCTACATTCAAAATCTGTTAGTGTAGCCATCTTCATCAATTGTCTTAGCTAGATCTTCTGGACAACTTGCTTCAGGTTCTGCATCAACACTTGCTGCTTCACCTTGCACTTTTATGTTATGGAGATAACCTCTTTCCTGAACCAACCTCGGCTCGCTTCAAACTTTTTTCTTCCTCACTTCTCTCACCCTTCATAGAATTGAAGAGAGTTAGGGCCTTGCTCTTGACCAGGTGGACTTTTTTTTTTTTTTTTTTTGAGTTGGAGTCTCATCTGTCGCCCAGGCTGGAGTGCAGTGGCGCAATCTCAGCTCACTACAAGCTCCGCCTCCTGGGTTCATGACATTCTCCTGCCTCAGCCTCTCGAGTACCTGGGACTACAGGCATCCGCCACCACGTCTGGCTAATTTTTTTGTATTTTTAGTGGAGACGGGGTTTCACCGTGTTAGCCAGGATGGTCTCAATCTCCTGACCTTGTGATCTGCCCGCCTCAGCCTCCCAAAGTGCTAGGATTACAGGCATGAGCCACAGCGCCCGGCCCAACTAGGTGGACTTAAGGGAATGTTGTGGCTGGTGTGGTCTTCTATCCAGAGCACTAAAACTTTCTCCATATCAGAAATAAGGCTGGTTTTTTTTGCTTATCATTCATGTGTTCACTGTAATAGCACTTTTAATGTCCTTCAAGAACATTTCTTTTGTATTTGCGACTTGGCTAACTGGCATGAGAGGCCTAGCTTTCAGATTATCTTAGCTTTTGATGTGCCTTCCTTGCTGAGCTTAATCATTTCCAGCTTTTGATATTTTTTTTTCAAAGAGAGACAGGGTCTTGCTGCATAGCCCAGGCTGGACTCCAGCTCCTTGGCTCAAGCTATCCTCCTGCCTCAGCTCTTGAGGAGCTGGTACTATAGGCATGCCTTCTCACCTGGATCAGCCTTGGATTTAAAGTGAGAGACAGCAACTCTTCCTTTCATTTAAATGCTTAGAAGACATTGTAGGGTTATTAACTAGCCTAATTTCAATATTGTTGGGTCGAATACACACAACATTTATTGATTCAGTTTGGCGTTTATACAGGTGCTGTTTGTGGTGCCCCAGGACAATTACAATAGTAGTATCAAAAATCACTGATCACAGATCACCGTAACAGATATAATAATAATGAAAAAGTTTGGAATATTGCAAGAATTACCAAAATGTGACACAGAGACATGAAGTGAGCACATGGTGTTGGAAAAATGGTGCCGATAGACTTGCTCAGTGTTGTCACAAACTTTTATTTTGTAAAAACCACAATATCTGTAAAGCGCAATAAAGCACAGTGCAATAAAATGAGATGTGCCTATCATTCAATAACAGGAATAGGTAGGCCAGGCACAGTGGCTCACACCTGTAATCCCAGCACTTTGGGAAGCTGAGGTGGGGGGATGGCTTGAGCACAGAAGCTCAAGAACAGCCTGGGCAATATAGCGAGACTCCATCTCTATTTTTTCTTTTACTTTTTTTTTCTTATATTATTAGATGAAATTGAAGCCTATCCACCCCCATTAAAAAAAAAAATAGAGGATGGGAAGCTGAGGCAGGAGAATGGCGTGAACCCAGGAGGCAGAGCTTGCAGTGAGCCAAGATGGTGCCAATGCACTCCAGCCTAGGCGACAGAGCAAGACTCCATCTCAAAAAAAAAAAAAAAAAAAAAAGGAATAGACAAATTTTTAATAGAATACATAGGCATTTGGATTGTTTGTAATCTAATAAGAAGAAGGAAATTCCATGAATATGTTGGGAAAATACTAAATGTCTTGTTGATTTGACATAAACATTGACATTGGTGGAGATTGTGTAAAATTCACATTAGCACACTAAAGTGAGGGCCTATGATGAACTGGTTAATGAGTGCCATCAATTCAAAGAACATTTAGGAGCCGGGCATGGTGGCGCATGGCTATAGTCCCAGCTACTTGGGGGCTGAGGCAGGAGGAACCCTTGAACCCATGAGGTCGGGGCTGCAGTGAGCCGAGATCATGCCACTGCACTCGAGCCTGGGTGACCAAGTGTGACCATATTTCAAAAAAAAGAGAACATTTAGGATTAATTACTGAACAATGGTCTGAAATCATACAACTCATTTAAAAATTTTAATACAGATTTTCCCAAATTGACAGCTATCATAAAAATTGACATGATTTACAAAGAACTGTGAAGTGAAACATTCTAATCTGTAATAGAACTGTTGATCAATCCATGCCTGTGATATTTATCTATCATTTATCTATCAATCATCTATATATATAATTTTTTTATCCACCATTCCTGGCTCATAACTCCCATAGATAGTCTTTTGTTATAATGTTGGGGTGCTCTAGGCCTCAGAAGCAGGCCTCAGGAAACAGAATCTCTCTCTCTTTGATCTTCTTCTGCTCTCCTTTCATCTGCCCAAGGTAAGACTCTAATCTGGTTGTGGGCCACAAGACCCTCATTCCAGAGAGTCCTGCCCCATACCTAAATGAAGGAATGCTGCACAGAGAGGCCAAGAAAAATCTGAACAGACAGGTCCTGCCAGGTTTTCCCCAGTCAGTCTGTTATTCCCTTTTGTTCCAATCATATTTCTACACAATGTCCATGCTTCAATCATGCCTATCCAACGAAGTCTCCATAAAAGGCCCAAGAGAACAGGGTTCAGGAGCTTCCAGATAGCTGAAGACCTGGAGGTTCAGGTGTTCAGCTGAACCTGAACACCTGGTTGGAGAGGGGTGGAGAGGGCATGGAAACTCCACACTCCTTCCTCCATATCTCACCCTACACATCTCTTTATCTGTATCCTTCACAATATAGTTTATAATAAACCAGTGAACGTAAATGTCACCCTGAGTTCTCTAAGCTGCTCCAGCAAATGAATCGAACCCAAAGGGGGGTTGTGGGAACCCCAACTTAAGCCGGTCAGTCAGAAGTTCCGGATACCCAGACTTGTGACTGCTGTCTGAAGCAAGGAGCAGTTTTGGAGGCTGAGTACCCAACCTTTGGGATCTGACACTATCTCCAGGTAGGTAGCATGAATTGCATTCGAGCTGGTATCTGCTGCAGAATCAACTGCTTGTTTGTTGGTGGGGAGAAGACCCCCACATTTGATCACAGAAGCCTTCTGTCTGCCTTGATTGTTGTTGAGTGAGAAAATAAGGAAAAGAACTTTGAGTGTTTTTCCCACACTTACAATGCCAGAGAAAAGACTGAATTGTCTTTCTATGCTCTCTGTAGCAAATAATATGATAACATTGTTGTCATATGAAGAGACAAAGTGTATGCAGGCAACAATGTAAAGATAAAACTATTGTATTTTAGAGTTGCTTCAAGCAATTAATTCACACAAATCCTGTGTTACTTTTCTAAATCTTATGATGTTTATAGTATTTGCCAGGTTTTTTTAAATTTGTAATTTGTTGTGAATTTATTATTCAAAACAAATGTTTACTTCTGTAATTAATCTTAATAATTTTTTGTTGTTTTTCACAAATGGAGCTTTCGAAATTGTATAAGCTTCATACCTCACAAAACCAAGGTCCACCCTGATAAGTAGGGAGGCAACCTTCCCCTTCTCAGCAAAACTTGGCTCAAAACTGCAGCCATATCTGGTGCTGCTGGGGGTGAGGAGCGGGGGTGTCCTCACTCTCACCTCCCAACCTAGGCCAAGCTCCACTCACTCTTCTCCTCCCTGTTGTTTTCCAGCTTTTCTTTCCCCCTTTTCTATTTGTGCATCTTTAGAGTCCCTTTCCTTCCCCCAAGCTCTCATTTCACTCTCCTCCTAGTTCTTGATCCCATTTTCAACCCATTCTCACTGCCCAGCAAGCCAAGGACTGAGAACAAGGGGAAAAGTTTAGAGACTAAAGATGCCTGAGAAAGAGAGTAGGTCCAGATTCTCTGCCCAACCCTAACCCCACCTCGGGCTCCCTGACCCTTCCTACTCCCAGAGAAGTCTCAGAATAAAGCCTGATTGTCAGCCAGGGGCCAGGAGCTCAGATCCAAGACAGTAGCTGGGTGCGGAGGAGGCAGGAGCAGAGCCCAGCAATCTTGGGCTGGACTTGGTCCTGGCACCTCTACCTCACAGCCACTGGACCTGGGTGCTGGTCACCCCGCTGGCCCCCAGGTTCTCCCTGCACGGCGGAGGTGGGAGGGATAGGAATTTTGACCCTCTGATGAATAAGCATATTTAAATGAGAGGAGTCTGGGAGACAAGGTCCAGCACAGCCGTATGGTTACAATGAAAAGTCTAGCCTGTTACTTGAGCATGTCTCCTGTCTAAGAACAACGAGAAAGGAGACTGGTTCCCTGATTCTTGCTCTGTCCTTCCCGTCCCCTTCCCTCCCTCCCGTCCCCTGCCTTCCCCTCCTCTCTTCCCTGTCCCCTTTCTCTGAACCGCATTTAGGAAACTGCACCTCCCAGTGCAGGGATCAGAGATGCTGAGGCTGGATGTGAAAGAAGAAGGCAAAGAAACTGGGATGGGGATAGCAGGACCATAGAGTTGGAATGAGATATGGGGTTTCCACATTCCTGTGGAAGAGTCTTTGCAAGTGCATATAACTTGTGTTAATGTTGGTCTATTTCTCTCATGTTTCCTCTGAACTCCTTTGCTAACTACTGGGAATTCTCCAGGATAGGGGTCCCCCCTTCCTTTGGAACTGTCCGCATTGCCCTATATAGCCTCTGCTCCCATATTAGGGGTGCCCACCCCCCCAATAAAGGAATTCTGCAATGCCCATTCAGTCCTCAGTACAGCATCATTTCTTCTAGGCCTGGTTCCTAGTCAATAATTCCATCTAGGATATCCTAGAAGAAGTCTCCCTGATTTGTGTTCCCTGGGGGAGCAAAGTGAAGAAGAGAAGTGGTGACTAATTGTGGAGACAGATTAGCAGGTTTTGAACCCTGGCTCAGCCACTTAGAGCTGAGAGGCCTTGGGTAACTTGCTGAACCACCTGGGCCTTGTTTCTTAATCTGTGAGATAGGGTAATAGCCCCAAAGAGAGATACCATGAAGATAAGACCAGGCTGGAAAAATCAATTTGCACAGTGTCTGGCTATTTTCTTTGCACTTCTTTCCCCCAGAGCATGGGAATATGGTGGGGCAGGGGGGGTGGGGGGTATTTGTTCTTAATGTAATATAAACACCATCAGGAATCAGAACATAAATCCTCCAAGTTGCATAGAGGCCTGAGAGGCTATTTCACTATTTTCATTATTCTCCTTCCTGGAACACTTGAATTCTCAAAACTGCTTCAAAGTATGGCTTAGAACATAAACAAATACTTAAATGCATTAATTATTTTATTCAACTATTTCCTGCCTTCCCTCTTTCTTCAAAACTTTTTCTGTTTTCCATTCTTGAAGACTGTCAGGGCTTCCTGCTACCTTCTGAGAGACCCGTGCATGCGGCACAGAGAGGGGAGAGAGTCTGAAGAACAGGAAAAAATTTGGAACCAAGGAGAATGAGTAGGGGTGAATAAAGCTGGGGCAGAGATGTTAGGGTGAGGGTGGTAGTGAGGAGTACTGAGGGGTGCTTGCGGCTAGAGGCCCTAAGTCTAGAGAGCAGAGGGAGGAAGGAGGAGAAAAGGGGACACAGGCCAGGCCACAGTATTATTGGTGCCCCTACTCCCAGGGAGGGGGAATTAGGCCATGAATGAGGAGTTGAAATGCCAGAGTAATGACAGACAGAGCCCCAGGCTCTGACCAACCCCCTTCCCCACATTCCCATAGTGCGATATCTCCTAGACCAAAGAGAAAGACATTAACAAATCTGCAGCCTCCCTGCCTTCTTGAAAACCACATCTCCACCATCTTGCCCGCCCCAGGTCCTTGGGCCAGCCTTGCCCTGGTATCCTAGACACGCCTCTGCACGCCTGGCACCAGCTTCCCCTCCTACGTGACCAGCACAGGCCCTGGACTGGGTGGCGGATGCTGAGATAAGGCCAAGGAGGGGGAAACCACCAAAGCCAGGAAGTTACACAGCCTGGTTCCCCTGGCAACCTAGCCACAGTCACCAAACAGTGCAGGGTAGGGGGTAGGGCCAACTCTTGTTCAAGGCCTCAAGGCCAGGGCCTCTCAGACCTCAATTTTCTTGCTGGCTGGAGAGACTTCTCCCCCGAATATCCTAGGTCACTGCTGCCTAAGGATTATGGGGGAAGTCTGTTTAAATGCAAATTCAAGATACCACCTCCACTACCTCTGCCACAGATTCTCAGTCCATAGGTCTCATAGGTCTAACTGGAATCTGCATTTCTTTTTTTTTTTTTCTTTTTCCATTCATTTAACACATTTATTTGTGGAAAGCCTACTCTACCAGGCAGCATGGGGAGGCCCAGCAGGGTATTAAGATAGTCACAGTCTTGCCCATGCAGAGAGCACATCCCTCAGTGACCACTGGGCCTTGTGTCTCTATGACAAGACCACATCATGGAATCTGCATTTCTAACCAGCAAGCCAGGAGAGTCCAATGCTGTCAGTCTGAGGACGTCACTCAGAGAACAGAACAAGTTTTAAGAAGTTGAGATTCCTTGTAGCAGGGTTAGGAGAAAACATACGATAGGAGCTGGGGTATCCCACCACCCTGTGTCCACTGTAGTCTACAGCCAAACTCATCTCTAGGGGTACACTTGACTTTGGGTATTTTCAACATCAAGTGAGTGACCAGGAGTCCAGAGACCCAGAATCTAGTGCATACAGAACCAATTCAATACAATGAACTTGGACTGAGCTCCTTCTGGGCCTGACACTGTCTGTTCTGAGACTTGTGAGCCACACAAAGATACATAAGGCATGCTTTCTACTCCCAAGAACACTGGGACCCTGGGCAAATCACTTACAGTCTCTAGGCTTAGCTCTTCTCTTCTCTCTAAAGGGTATAAAACTACTAAAGCCCTACCAAGAGGCGACAAGCCTCTCTGGAATTAACAGATATGCTAATGCCTTGAAAATGCAACTCTCGGGTATCGTCCTGAGAGTTGTGATAGCTTTTATTGCTGGAGATAAATGTTGGCTGTCTGAGGAGGGTCCAGAGAGATCAGGGAGACTTGGGGATGGAAACCTCAAGTTGTAGGATCCAGGGGCTGGATCTCAGGTACTCTCCATTAGTTCCCATCTAAAGCTGCCAGATCCTCGCTTGCCTCAGAGGAGTGGCACCTGCAGAACTGAACTTCCTGCACCTCTTCCCAAACCTGACCTCTTCCTTCCTCCACTGTGGCCCTGGGCCTCCACTCACAGAGAAACCGTAGCTCAAGTCCGTTGCAGGCTGAACCCTTCCCCAGGGTCAGCCACCTCACAGGGGAGCCCCATGACAGGGTGAGCAATAGCTTGGGCTTCAGTGGTAAGAAGTTTAAATCTGTTTTTCCACTAGCTGGGTTCAGCAAGTTACTTTTATTCTCTTAGCTTCAGTTTCCTCATCTATAAAATGGGAGAGAGGCCATGGGCGGTGGCTCATGCCTGTAATCCCAGCACTTTGGGAGGCTGAGGTGGGTGGATCACCTGAGGTCAGGAGTTCGAGACCAGCCTGGCCAACATGGTGAAACCCCATCTCTGCTAAAAATACAAAAATTAGCCAGGTGTGGTGGCAGGCATCTGTACTCCCAGCTACTCAAGAGGCTGAGGCAGGGAGAATTGCTTGAACCTGGGAGGCGGAGGTTGCAGTGAGCCGAGATCATACCACTGAACTCCAGCCTGGGCAACAGAGCAAGACTCCATCTCAAGAAAAAGAAAAAAAAAAATTCAGGTCCTGCCAGCAATGATGTGAAACAGCTGACAGTCCCAGTGTCTGAGGAAGTGTTTATATAACCCCTTCAGACCTACCCCCAGCTCCATTGATGTTGATCTGTCCTTACCTGATCCCTGGTTCTCACCCTGACTCAGGCCTTTTTGCCCTTCCCCACCCCAGGCAGGAAAGAAATAGCCCCTCGCTCCACACTGAAACTTGACTTCTGACCACACAAAGCCAGGGACTGCTCCTTTTTCCAGAGCAGTCCCCCCAGCTGGCTCTCCTACTCCCCTGGGCTGATCAGGGGAGATGATCCCTGAGGTACGCGGCCTCAGCTCCCCATGACATCACCACCAGTCACCATCCAGGAATTCATCCAGAGCATTGAGAGGGAGGCAGTAGTCTTCCCAAAAAGCCCTATTTGCATTTCTCCAAAGGCAAATGTCACAGGTTTCCTAAATTATTGTGGCTTCTGGCCTGCGTGGTGGCTCACACCTGTAATCCCAGCACTTTGAGAGGCCGAGTTGGGTGGATCACCTGAGGTCAGGAGTTTGAGACCAGCCTGGCCAACACAGTGAAATCCCGTCTCTACTAAAAATACAAAAATTAGCCGGGCGTGGTGGCACACGCCTGTAATCCCAGCCACTGGGGAGGCTGAAGCAGAAGAATTGCTAGAGCCCGGGAGACAAAGGTTGCAGTGAGCCGAGATCGCACCACTGTACTCCAGCCTGGCCAACAGAGAGAGACTCTGTCTCAAAAAATAAATAAATAGTATGGCTTCTATCTGTGTTGTATCTCCCCTACAGAACTATGCACTCTTTGAGCAAAGAGATCATGTATTAATAATCCACATCCTCCATAAACCCTGACATAAAGTAGGATCTCAATAATTGTTAAATGAATGAATATATGAATGAAAAAAATGAGTGTGTATATGACGATTCCCAGGCAGAACTGCCCATTTTCCTCTGCAAGAAGATGCATTTTGTCCTATTATTGAAGACATTCCTCCTGACCCTTAAGAGATTCCAAAGGCTAATAACCTTCAGAGTCAAGAGGATCATTTTTCCTTGTCTAATCTAAATTTCTCTAGATGCAACTTTGGTGCATTTTCTTCTAATCTACCTCCCTGGCCACAGGGACTAAAATCCATTTCTTTGCAAGAAGACAGTTATTAATTCACCCTTTTAGCCTTTTCTTCAACAAATTTAATCCCAGGCCCTTTATTGTTCCCTCCCTGGGGTCCTATCATCCAGCACTTTCCCCATTCCACTGCTCCTTGGGCCTTCTGCCAAGCTCTCAAAGGCCTCCTTCAGCTGTGGAGGCAGGAATGGGACATATTATTCTCCACGGAACCATGTACAAACACACAGATGCCTACACACGCAGGACAAACACCTCTCTGCACCCATTATCCCCAATCCTTGGTAAACACATACTCATAGGCAGCCTCCACACACAGTCACAGATTATCTCCTCCCACCTGCACCGCACCCCACCCCCTGGCCCCCAGCCCTAGCCCTGAGAATTCTCACACACCTGGATGCACACTCACACGCATATGAATAGGCTGCAGAGAGCTACGCTTGTTACCCACAGGTGAGCCAAACTGGGTGGAGCATCTGAAACCTTCTTCCTTCTCCCCCTCTTCCTCCTCCTCTCTGCCTCCCTTCCCCAACTCTCCTTTCCATTGGCCATCATGGGCCAAGCCTACTTTCCCTCCACCTCCACAGTGATTTTCCACTTCCAGGCTGAAGGCAAGGAGCAAATGAACCCAAGCTGGCTCCTACCTCTTCCTCCTGCCCTCCTCCCATTTTTTTCCCCCAAATCCTCAAATCACCTTCCATGTGTCCAGAGCATGCAATCCACCCTCCAACCTCCTCTCCTCTATCTGTAGGAAATGCAGCTTCTTGGGTTTTTATTTTTTGGAAATGAATAATCTGGAAGCATTGGAAGCAGAGACATGAGCTGGGCTGTATCTCAGATATGATGAAAGGCTGGGTTGCTAGGCCCTTGGGCTGGCTGGGCACTGTGTTGCCAAGCCAGGGGGCTGAGGAGCATGAGGGTGGTGTCATGCTCACTCATTCATTCAACAAATATTTATCCAGCACCTACAACATGCCAACCACTACTCTACATGAGCAAAACCAACAAAAGCCTGCCTTTGTGTAGTTTACATTCTATGGGTGGGGACAGAAAATAAATAAGTAAAATATATTGGGTGTCAGGTGGTGATAAAAGAAAGCAGGAATGGAGCACGGGGTCCAGGCTGAGGGTGAAGTGTGCAGTTTTAAATGAGGTGATCAGGGAAGATGACGTCTAAACAAAAACCTGAAGGAGATAAAGGAGCAAGTGAGGGCAGCACCTGGAAGGAGATTGTTCCAGGCGGCAGGAGAAGCCCTGCAAGTGCAGAGTGTTAGGAGACACCTCTGTAGCGCGTTGAACAATGAGAACACGTAGACAGAGAGGGGAACAAGACATACCAGGGTCTGTGGTCGGGGAAGGGGTGTGGCGAGGGGAGGGTGAGCATCAGGACAAACAGTTAATGTATGCGGGGCTTAAAACCTAGGTGATGGGTTGATAGGTGGAGCAAACCACCAGGGCACACGTATACCTATGCAACAAACCTGCATGTCCAGCACCTGTATCCCAGAGCTTAAAGTTAAAAAAAAAAAAAAAGAAAGAAAGAAAGAAAGAGTTGAACAATGAGAACACATGGACACAGGGAGGGAAACATCACATACCGGGGCCTGTTGTGGAGGTGGGAGGCTGGGGGAGAGATAGCGTTAGGAGAAATGCCTAATGTAAATGACGAGCTGATAGGTGCAGCAAACTAACATGGCCCATGTATACCTATGTAACAAACCTGCACGTTATGCACATGTACCCTAGAACTTAAAGTATAATAATTAATAATAATAATAATAAAGAAAAATGTAAGAAAGAGAGAGAGACACCACTGTAGACAGCCACACAGAATAAGGTGTTGGGAGATGGCAAGAAAAGGCAGAACCATACACAGGCTGGTGCCTAGTCTGGGCCCCAGGGCCTGAAGTGGGGTCAGAGATGAGAGAAGCCAAGTTAAGGATGAAATTGTAACCTCAGGTGAGACAAAATGCTAGAAAGCAGACAAACAGAAAGCTGGAAAATGTTGAGATGCCACTGGAGGCCGGCTCCAGAAGGAAGCAGCTGAGTCTGCAGTTAGATGAATTAAGGGAACATTGAGATTCCTCACAAGGCTTGGGTGGTGGTGGGTGCAGCCAGAAGAAGGTGAGCCCAATGGCTGAGCCCCTCTCAAATACAGCTGGTGTCTCCCTTGAAAATAAGCTGTTCCAGGTAAAGGGGATAGGGCCACTGAAAGCATCTTGGCCCGTGTTCAACAGGACAGTGGTGAAGGGCATGAAACTGCTGGGCATCAGCTCCCTCTCAGCCCAGGGTCCATACACAAATGTTCCACCTTTTATTCCCCACACTTCCATTTCCTGAGCACTATGTGCTAGCATTCCCCATGCAAAGTGCTTTCCAGGGTTCATCTAATCCTCACGGCAACTTCACGAGGAAGGAATTATCATCTTCAGCTTACAGATGAGGAGCATTGCCCTGCCACCCACCACCACCTCTGTCCCCTAGTCCCTTGACAGCTTCACTTCTTGCTGAGCCTAGAGCTGCACAGGCTCAGCCAGGTTCAGAGCCAGCTTGATTGGATGCAAATCCCTGCTTCTCCCTTAATTGCTTTGTGGCCCTGGGCACATTCCTTGGCCCTTCTGAGACCAGTATCCTCATCTAAAGACAAAATGGGGAACACATTACAGTAATATCCACCTCCTGGGCGTTTGTGAGAATCTTCTGGGAGAAGGCAGTGGTTCTCAGCGCTGGCACTGTAACAAATGGCATTTCTCAGAGTTGTGAGGCGTGTGGCCAATAATTTATAGCTATAAATAGTTAAACCAGGGAAGGTGGCAAACGGCTTGTTGTTTTAGTATACATAGCGAATTCAATGTTTTCTCTGCAATGACATCACTCTCCCTGACTAGCATTCCACAAAGCCTTCCTGAATGAGAGATAAAGGATCTAATCCCCTGGGAATTTGCCCATAGGCTGCAGCCTATCTTATCTGTGCCACAGCCTGTGGGAGTGCAGCAAGCAAGCAAATACAGTCTCTCCCGAGGTGTGGTGTGGCAAGGCTAAGCGTGGTGTGGGGATGAGGCTGACAGCCATGGCTATGAAGAATTGGCATTGGGCCTCGCCCCTAGTGGGTGCTTTTTGGAAGAGGGAGCCTCAGAGAAGCAGGGGAACAAAAGGGGAGAGAACAAAAGCTCTGGATACAAACCTGTTTCCCTCAGGCACAGTGTTGTGGCTTTCTCCTCCTAGGAGACAGAGATACCCTCAGGTAGAAAAGGGGAAAGGGGCAAGGAAGGCCAGGCCTCTGGGTGAGGCTGATGGGGCTGGAACTTAATGTCAGACTGGCCCAGCGTCCCTCAAATTCCCCCTGGGGAGACACAGAGTCTGACTGGGAAGCCTTGGGGTAAAGGTAACACCTAGTGGTTAGAAACTATGGGTGGGGCTCCCAGCACTTTGGGAGGCTGAGGCTGGGGAGTTGGGAGATGGCAAGAAAAGGCAGAGCCATGAGGTCAGGCAGATCGCTTGAGCTCAGGGGTTCGAGACCAGGCTGGCCAACATGGTGAAACCCCATCTCTATAAAAAATACAAAAAATAGCCAGGCACGGTGGCTCACATCTGTAATCCCAGCACTTTGGGAGGCCGAGGCTGGCAGATCACCTGAGGTCGGGAGTTCAAGACCAGCCTGACCAACGTGGAAAAACCCCGTCTCTACTAAAAATACAAAAAAATTAGCCAGGCGTGGTGGCACATGCCTGTAATCCCAGCTACTCAGGAGGCTGAGGCAGGAGAATCGCTTGAACCTGGGAGGCGGAGGTCGCAGTGAGCCGAGATCATGCCACTGCACTCCAGCCTGGAGAACAAGAGCGATCATGCTACTGCACTACAGCCTGGGTGACAAAGCAAGACTCTGTCTCAAAAAAAAAAAGAAAAGAAAAAAAAAGAAACTGTGGGTGGAACACTCATGCCTCGGTCAAGGATAGGTGCTAGAGACAACCTGACCCAAAATTGATGATCATGGCCCAAGGCCACACCCTAGAAAGGAAGTTTTAGTCTCTCCCAGGCACTTAGTTCACAGGTGCTTAGGATCAATCAACACGGCTTCTTCCCTCCAGCGACCACCACCAACTCACTCCTGCTCATTCCCCAGCTCTCCACGTTTCCTCACCACTGCAACCCCCACCCTCACCACTCCAACACAGACCACCTCACCCCAAGCCCGCCTGAGGGACCTCTCACCTGGAGACAGCTTCACTTGCCAGGACTGATGGCTGTGCCAGCAGCCAGCCCCACCCTCTCAGTGACTGAGAAGCTGTTCCAACTGTAGAGGCAGACCCAGCCAAAGGCAGCAGGCAGGATTAGCCAATTCCATTGACTAGAAAGGGCCTTACTTCCCTGTGGACACTGCCTACATAGTCTGCATTCAGCTGTGAGGTCCTGTCCCCTCTCAATTCCAACCTACACCACCCCCCAAAGCAAGTGAGAATGAGGATGGGGAGGAAACTCAAGACAGGGGTTAGCACTGCAACCTCTCATCTCTGCCCTCCTTCCTGTATCACTCACTGCACTTTGCCCAGTATTCCTCCCTTCCCCACAGTGGCACAGTGGCCCCAGACACAGCCAGAGTCCATTCAAAAATGACAAATTCTTTATTTAAATCAACAAACTCATCTTCCTCAAGCCCCAGACCATGGTAGGCAGCCCTCCCTCTCCATCCCCTCACCCCACCCCTTAGCCACAGTGAAGGGAATGGAAAATGAGAAGCCACGAGGGCCCCTGCCAGGGAAGGCTGCCCCAGATGTGTGGTGAGCACAGTCAGTGCAGCTGTGGCTGGGGCAGCAGCTGCCACAGGCTCCTCCCTATAAATTAAGTTCCTGCAGCCACAGCTGTGGGAGAAGCATACTTGTAGAAGCAAGGCCAGTCCAGCATCAGAAGGCAGAGGCAGCATCAGTGACTCCCAGCCATGGAATGAACGGAGGACACAGAGCTCAGAGACAGAACAGGCCAGGGGGAAGAAGGAGAGACAGAATAGGCCAGGGCATGGCGGTGAGGGACTGAGGCCCCTAAATTTTGGTCCCAGGGGAAAGGAAGAGGCCAGTTGGTCCAGTTTTGATGGCTATGGGGAAGGGAATGTATTAGTAAGCATGGGGGAGAGGATGCCAGCAGGCACCTCAGAGGTGACAGGACAGGCTGAACCCCCCACCCTGACAGAAAGGAGCTTGAGAGCTCTGGGGCTCTCTGGGAATGTCACTGCTAAAATATATATCTACATATATATTAACCATTCGTGGGAGGGCAGGGGCAAGGCCTGGGGTGGGATCAGAGGATCTGGCGTGGCATCCCGTAGCCAGTCATGCCTGCCTGAGACGCCCCGCGGTTGGTGCCCATCTGTAACCCGATCACGTTCTTGCCCTCTTGCAGCTGGTTATCCGAGAAGTTCCGAGGATTCTCCTTGGATTTCCTGGGTGACAAGGGAGTGGTGGTTAGAGGAGATCACAGGCTGCCCTAGTAAATCCCTTCCTTGGACAGAGCACAGGCTTTGCTGTTGGCTCAAGGGCTGGTGCCAGCTCTGCCCTCGAGAGCCATAAGCTCTCTGAAGCCACCTCCTCATCTGTCCAAAGGGACAGTCATTTGCCATCCCAGAGGGTGTTGTGAGGATTAAGTGAGATGAGGAATTTTCTGAAAGTGCTTTGTAAAGGGCCAGCTGCTACTGAGATAAGTTATTTCCTAGGGACAGGATTGGGCAGAAACAATGCACCTGCTGGACCCTGCGGCTGTCCCAGCAATACTTACTTAGGGAACCAGTTGGGATCCCCAGAGAAGAGCCCATCATCTCGGGCTACTGCCAGCCCACCCAGATTCATCAGCGTCCGCTGCACACAGGCCATGTTCTTTCCTGGGAAGGAGAATGGGAATGTGTCAGCCTCCGCAGTGTCCTAGATACCAGGGTTCCGCCTCTATCGCTAAGTCAGCAGGCCTGGCTTCCTAATTATTTCTACTGTTCATTTCCATACCCTTCTCCATTCCAGCCTCCAATATGACCAAGTGCTCCATGGAACACAAACACACCCCTCTTTCTCTGCAGGGAGCCAGAAAACAGCCCCTTCTGCCTGGTCAAGAGGGCCCAGCCCAATCTCTGGCCTCCTGGATGACAGGACCCAGCCCCTCGCCCTGTCCCACCTTCCCAGAGGTCCACAGTTTGGAAGATGTCAGTGGTGTTAATGCCATAGCGCTCAGCTGCTTGCAGGAACTGAGAGATCTGCTCCATCTGCTTGAAGGCCATGGTGGAGGCCTGGATCTTCTTTACTGGGGCCTGCCCCTCGGGGTACAGTGCATTAATGAGCTCACATAGCACCTGGATGAGGACAGCAGGGGTGGAAAGGTGAGAATATGCCTACCTATCGCAGCTCAGCGTGCACCACCCTCAGAACCAGAGACAATGAACCAGAGAGGCTCCTGTCTTGCCTGAAGACAGCTTGGACTCTTTCACTAGAGTAAGCCTCACAGTCCTTCTTGCCAGCCTCCTTCCTCCGAGCCCAGAGTGAAAAGCCAGTGTTTAGTCTTTCCTTGCTAATATACCCTCCCACAGTTCTTTCCTTAGAGACATTCTTCCTCAGTGTCACCTCAGTCTTCCACTGCCTGGGAGGCACATTCACCCTTACCCTCCACTCCACGGGAAGGGAGGAAAGCATGGGCCCTCTCACATCCTTGACAAAGGCCTTCAAGCTGAGGAAGAGGCTGGGACATGTGTGCCTTCAGTCTTCTCCTCTTCAGGTTAAACAATCCCCAGTCCACTGGACCCAGTCCTGCTCTCCCTGCACTTCCAAGCCAGTGGGGCCCGGCTCTCACCGTGCCATCCTTGAGCCAGTTCTGGAAGTTCTCGCGTCCAGGCTGGGGCCGGCCCACATCCTTTCGGCACTGGGTGGTGATCCACTGGATCAGGATCTGCTCCAGATCTGCATCATATTGTTTCTCAATCTTCTGCTGCACCTCCCGGCTCAGGCCATATGCAGGTCCCCTGTTGGCCATTCCAATGGGTGGCGGTGGCTGCGGGGAGCTAGGGAGAGGACACACCCGGGCTTTTGGTCAACACCTTGCAGCCTGGGGAGTGGGGAATTCAGGAATTCTGCCTGCAGGGATATACACCATTTCCCCCACGGTGAGCCCCAAGGATGAGGACCAGAACTGTTACCAAATGCAACCCTGCTCTTTATAGCCCTGGGAAAGAGAATGATTTGGGGAGAGGAGGAGGAATGTGGAACAGCTTAGGAAACTGGTTGGATCTACCCTCCCTCAACCTCTGGGTTTTCTTTGCTTTTTTTTTAACCATCTAGGTTGGTGCAAACCACTGGATTTTAATTGAGCACCTACTATCTGTGCTAGGGATTGTGAAAGAGATAGTAGAAGTCCTTGGTCCTCAAGTGCCCACAGTGCCATCAGGGAGACAAAGTGAGTACATATGAACAGGTAAGGATTGCACACAAAGAATACTAAAGTGCACAGTTCAGATCACATGTTGTAGGAGTTAAAAGAAGCAGACGGGCAGAAGCAGCCTGGGAAGGCTTTCTGGAAGAGGTAGGCTTGAATAGGTCCTTGAGGGATTTCAGCAAACAAATCGAATTTCCTATGAAAAACCAGGCAATAAAAACAAATTCTACTTTCCCCTCTAGGAGCTATGACAGGCAGAATCATGCCCCCGCAAAAGGTGTCCATGTCCTAATTCCCAGAACCTGTGGATATTGTTATCTTATATGACAAAAAGGGACTTCGTAGATGTGATTAAGATCTCGAAATGGGGAGATTATCCTGCATCATCTAAATGAGCCCAGTGTAATCACAAGGGCCTTACTAACTGAAAGTGGGAGATAGGTGAGTCAGAGTGGGAGAAGTAACAACAACAACAACAAAATGGAAGTAGAAGTCAGAGTCACACAGGGCCATGAACCAAGCAATGCAGGTGGCCTCCAGAAGCCAGAAAAGGGAAGGAAATAGATTCACCCAAAAACCCCAGAAGGAACACAGCTCTGCCAACACCTGTATTTTAGCCAGTGAGACCCCTGTTGAGTCTGTAGAACTGTAAGATGCTGTATTTGTGTTGCTTTAAATCACTAAGCTTGTAGCAATTTGTTACAGCAGAAATAGGAAACTAATACAGGAGCCCTGGGTGATATTTTTGGGGAAACCTGGAGAAGAGAAGGCAAGACGGGGAAATACACAGGAGGGTTTCTTTAACTTCGTTGGAGGAGCTTGATTAGCAAGAACTGGGTGGTTTCCCGACCAATGGCCTGAGTTGGCGGACCTCACTGTGGCAGTGTGTTCCCACCACACTCACCACCTGGGTCTGACACTCAGGGGCTGAGCAAGACCCGGGCATGGTATGGATGCCAAGGGGAGCCAAGAACCAAGAATGGGCCACAGTCCCCATTTTCTGTCCCATCCCCACCCTGGTTTGGCTTTTCTCTCTTCTCCAAAACAGAGCTAGCTGTCAGGCTGCTCACGAAAGGGGACCCCCAGGACAGGCATCTGCGTTCAAGGGGAAGAAAGAGAGCCACCCCTTCTAACCACATCTGGCTCCAGGCCAGGTTGGCCTTCAGGGATGAAGTCACTCCAGCTCCCCCTCTCCCACACACCCAGGTTAAACAATCCCGTCACCCCCTCTCAATGGACCTTGGGGCTCTGCGAAATACAAGGGGACCAGCCTGCCTCAAACCCTCAACACCTCTCGGCCGCAGAGGCTGTGTCTTGGGCCAGTCCCTCCCGTCCCGACTCCAACATGGCTGCTCCTTTTTACCCCAGCTTATCAAGCTGCACATTTCCGGCAGATCCTCCCCTAAATCAGTTATTTTTAAACCTCATTAAGAGCAACCCGCCCCCTCCACTTCCCCCAGCCCGAAAGCTGGGCCAGATAAATGTCAGTCTGGGCCCCGACCCACAGCGCCAGGCACACACACCATCAGCTTGGGGAAGGCAGGCGGGGTGGGGTGGCTGAGTTCTGAGGAGAAACCAAGAGAAGCATCCCTGCCCTTCCCAGAGGCCACTCCACCATAGAAACCTCTAACCTCTGATGCACAGGGGAATGGCTGGAAGACAGGTAGGAAGAGGAAGGGGCTAAGAGCTACTACCACCAGTAAGCCCCCTTTCCGCAGCCCAGTTCCAGACCTCTCTCCTGGGAGTGGCTGTGCTCAGGGCTGTTTCCAGGGACCAAGTGGCCTGAGGCTCGGGGATCACCATGGCACAGGTAAAGAAAGGGCAGGAGAATGATTAACCTAGACACTGGGGTTAAGAGCAGAGAGAAAGGCCTGAAGCCAGACACTTCCAGTGCCCCCCAACCCCCCAAGGCAGGACAAACTTGGCCTCCCAGACCCACCACTGGGTGGAAAGTGGATGCTGAGGAACCCCCTCCACCGCCCAACGCTGGGGCCTGGACACAGCTGGCAGGGTCACGGCCTCCAGCTGCAGTGTATCTGCTCCACTCTGGGGCCATTGCCCTCAAGCTCTGAGGTGCCAGAGCCATAGGGCGGGGTCCTGAGAAGGGGCAGTTCCAACCAGGCCAGGCCTGGTCAGCAGCTGTTTCTCTTCCCCACCCCCACGGGCAGGCAGAAGCTGATGGGCTGCGGCTGCTGGAGCTGGGAAGGCCCACCCTAGGGACACCCAGGGGACCTGCCCCTGCCTTCCCTCAAACATAAAGAAAACAGTAAGCAAGTTGCCTACCAGGGTGAGAAGAGATATGCCCAGCTGGAAGACAGGTGTGGGGGACCCCCAGAGCTGGGGACCCCAAAGGAAGGTGACAGCTGAACAACCTGGGGGATGGACTGGCAGGGAGCAACCTAAACCCTAGCGCTACTGCAGCTGTGAGAACAACCCTCACCCTCACCCTGGAGTTACAATAGGCGGGAAACGGGGAGGGGCCACGCAAGGCACTCGGCCCCACCCAGACCCTGGGCTGGAAGCTTACCTCACCAAAGCCAAAGCCAAAGAAAAGGCGGACATGGGTGGGGGCAGGGAGGACTTCAGGGTTCTTGGCTAGGGTGTTTAATTGGGAAGACAAAGGGACTCTCCATCCACCGTGCAGATGGAACACAGGAGAACTTCCCAACTCAGATTTGGGACAGGGAGTGTTCTCAAAGAGCAGCACAGTGAGGGCACCAGCCCACAGAGCGAGGTGCCACAGCCAGCAGCAAGGATGGGGGGCGGCCCACAATTAAGGGAACCACCGTAGGGCAGCCCCTCACCACCGAGAGTCAGGAGCAGAAGAGAAAGCTGAGGCTACACAAACAGGAAGCTCCAAAGCTTGCGTGGGAGGAGGGGATGAGGTGGGGGCCGTTGCCATGGCTTCTGTGTACCAAACAGTGTTGGAGGCTGGGTGGGGGCTCCGGGCAGAAACACCCTGTCAACACAGACGTTGTGGTGAGCAGGCTGTGAGCACGGGAGCAGAAGTGGGATCGTCTCAGCAGTGCTCGGGTGTAGCCAGGTGCAAGAGATTATTCCAGGAGACAGCTATAGTGGGGATGGACAGCGTGTGGGGGAAGATAGGAAATGACCCGTGTTGGGGTGAAGAAGAGGACTCAGGAAGTAGTTGTTCAGGAGAAGAAATCCCCTGGGAAGGGAAAGTGTTCTGAGCTAGAGAACCCACAGCTGAAAATTCTGGAGGGAGAAGGGATGGAATGAAGAAAGGATTAGGGGCCAATCCCGGGGTGGGGGACAGGGGCAGAGGCCTTGGGGTGAGGGAGGGAGTTGCGGTTGGACAAAACCTATTTGTTGGTTCTGGAATGGTAGGGCCCTACTGGGCCCGCCCTGCCTTGGCCTCCTCTGCAGTTGTAGGTCTGCCCCTTGTAGTGGGGAGGAGAAACTGGGAGGGGGCTAGAGATAGAGAGCCATTGCTGTCTGGTGCTTTGAAGTCAATGAGAACACTGGGGGAGCCCCGTCCCAGCCGCAGGTCTTCTACATCGAATCCCACACTCCATCCCCACTCTCACCCCGTTTCTCTCTGCCCCACAGATACCAACTGCTCACAGATCTCCCAGGACACCGGCTTCAGGTAGCCCCAGGAGGCACAGGGCGCGGGGGGAGGCGGCAGTCCACCTCCGGTCCTGCAGGTCCGGCCTCCCAGCCGCCGCCCCCCACCCCCACGACCACACCCTGGGCCGTTACAACAGATGAGTCACCCACCGCCCTCCCGCCGCTGGGGTGACGCAGTGGTCTGGGCAGCCCGCCCGTCCGCCCGCGGCCACCACCGGCTTTCCCAGCAGCAGGGGGCACCCGGTGGGGGCAGCGGCGCTCGGGCAGGGTAAAAGCAGCCACCACCACCCCCACAACCTCACACAGGGCACCCCGGGGCGCAGTCAGGGCTGCAGCACCCAGACCCCCGAGGTCAGGGGACCGTCATAGAGATGACTGGAGCTTCACAGAAGGTCACCGTGCGACCCATGCAGAGCCCCCTAGCCCCAGCCCGTGACCTCAAGTCCCCAGAATAGCAAGCTAGCAGGAACAGGAATGAAAAGGGCGGCCTCGGGGACTCAGAGGGCACGCAGTGCTCACACGTGCTCCTGGAACCAGGAAGTGAAGGGTCGCGCGGGAAAGCCCAGGAGCACGAGCTGGCCCAGGGCCGGCGCCACGACCCGGGGTCACTCGGGGCCAGCCAGCTAAAGTCCGACGCCCTTTTTTCCCCTCGCCCCAGTGAGGACTCAGCGATGGAGCCCGCGGGTGGGGCTCAGTCCCTGAGTCCCTGCTCCAGACGGACGCCCTGTCTATGCATGGGCTAACCTCGCCTGACCTCATCGTCCAACAATGTCGGGTCAGGGCTTGGGGACAGGACCTGACAGCACGGGGCGGGGTAAAGTAGTCACCGGACCCTTGCCTGGTACCAGCCCTTGATCCCCGAGCTCGCTGGAGCAAGTTCAAAGCGCTGGCTTCTTGCTTTCTACACAGCACGCACATGTCCCCGACCCCCGTACCCCCGACCTGCTCACCGTTCAAGCGGGCTGGAGAGCGGCGCACTGACTCAAGGCAAGGGCTGCAGCTGCAAGTGGTGCGCCCTGCCCAGCCGGGGATTTTCAGGAGGGTCCCGCCTCAGACGGGGCGGACCCGGGGCGGGGCAAGGGCCAAGAAGGTTTAAAGGCGCCGCAGCGCAGAAGGAGGGAGGACTGCTTGAGACAGAGGGACAGTAGACCAGAGCAAGGGTTAAAGGTTCGGGGAGTCTGAATCTACAAAGGCGGCTGCAGTGGTCTCCACCCGTGAGTACCTCAGCCTCCACCGAGAGCCCGTAGACTTGTGCCCCAGTAGGAAACTTTCTGCCTAGAAAGTTAGCTAAACACTGTGGGCGTGTTTATGTAGGAAGAAGCCTCCTAGTTTAGAGGCTGGCAAGGTAAAAGGAGGCACAGGAAGGCCTTCCCCCGACCCCAACTGACTAGTGTGTGACAGGACTGGGACTTGCAGGCCGGGACAGCACCCCCACGTGATCTTGCTCACCTCTTACTTCAAGCCTGGGCAGGGACTAACAGTGAGGTCACTCTGCCCAGGGCCCTAGGGGTGTTTTCGGTGTTGGGACCCAGGGCTCAGACCTGTCTTCTCCCTGCCTTTCATCTCCTTTTCTATGACCTGGTATCTCTTCCTAAATCCTGGAGGGATCAGAGGGGGAGACCTCAGCGCGAGGAGGCTGGCTGGGGTTCTTTTGTCTCTGAGGGTGGAGGACAGCACAGTTCAGGGGTGGAGAAAGAGCCCCCCATCCTTTCAGGCTTCAGTTGAATAGAGTCCCCCGGGGTGGAGTTCTGCACACATGATAGAGTCCTCCCTTGAACCTGAGATTCCAGGATGTCAATATCCAGTCCTGTCCAACCTTTCTATTATTCTCTGTTCCCTCCCCGAGTCCTACACAGCCCTATATTCCAGTCCCACTGATTGTCAAGCATTCTCACTCTTCTGTGCCTTTACAAAGGCTATTCCTCTGCCTAGGACAGTTTCCCTTCCTTGACTGGCTCCCCACCTGCTCTACCCTTTACCTGCTGTGTGACTGTTGTGCATTCTATGCTTGAGTTCCCTGGTCTATAGAACAGAGCTAATAGTACTACCTAATTCATAGAATTGTAGAGAACTAAACAGTCCACCTATAGGGCTTAGAGCAGTGCCTGGCACATAGTGAATACTATTATTACCACCATCTATCTGTGAGGGTCCTGAGGACTCCCCCCCAATATGTGGCATTTGTCCCAGCACACGATATTAGCGTTCACTAAAGGTGGCCTTGAATGCAACATCTTCCTTTGTGCTACAATAACCAACACATAGCTTTATCACGGAACTTATCATACGGTAACTATTTCTTTGTCCGCCTCACTGACTAGAAAGAACTCCTCAAGGGCAAAGGCGTGCTTCCAGAGCTTTGTATTTTCTCAGTATCTACTTCAGTGGCTGGCCTTTAGTAGCTGGCCTCCGTAAGCACTCAATAAATGTTCTTGAATGAATGCTGAATGCACCTCCATTTATTCAAGAAGATTCTCCTCTTCTTTAAGGGTCCAGGGATTTTCCTGGCACTCTCTCAAAGACAGATAACACACAGAAACATCTTTCAAACTTTGTTTATTCACCTGTAAAAAACTTCACACACACACACACACACACAGAGAGAGAGAGAGAGAGAGAGAGAGAGAGAGAGGCAGACCTAAGATCCCTGTTCCAATCCCCAGACTCACCTAGGGGGTCAGCACATACATTCCATACCAAGGTGACCCAAACCCACTATCAGGGTCTGTGCCTGGGCACCAAAGGGGCAGGCAGGGGCAGTGCCCTCGTTTGAAACTAGGTCTGTCTGGTTGGGGGCCTCCTTTGCAGGTCCATATGCCTTTTCACAGCCTCACATCAGGGATGTTCACAGCAGAGTGGCCTGTTCGGGGTGGGGGACTGGCTGTCGATAGGCTGGTAGCCGAGCCCTAGTAGCATCTCGGCGGCGGCGGAAGGCCAGGAATTCCTCCCGAAGGGCAGCACAGCGGGCCTCAGGGCCAGTAACATGGGCAGTGTTCAGGAGGCAGCCCTCCTCTGGAGTCTTCACACCTGCAAGAGGCGGGCAGGACAATGAGAAGAAGCCCTGAGGTTCACTGAGTGAAGAGCTCAGATGTGAAGCTCGCTAGGCCCTTCCAGTACAGATGGCCCAAGGGGGCAAGGCACAGTCTAGAGCAGAGGAGCCTGGGAGGCAGGGCCTGACTGGGAATAGATGGGTCCTAAGGTGGCGGGGGGATGTGGGACAGTATGGCCGAGATGCCTGCCTTTCCGGGGGGCTCACACACCTAGCTCTGGCTCAGCTTCAGGTCTGAGCCGGGAGCTGGCCAAGCCCAGGTGCAAAGTCTCCAGCAATTCCATGTCCCCAGGGAATTCTGAGTCCCACTCATAGTTCTCGTCCACAGATGTGTTCCTCCTGTAAAAAAAAAAAAAAAGACAAACATATGGTGTGGGTGGAGGAATAGAGGCTGTTCAGAAAAGTCTGAATTCAGCGACCGCAAACTCACGTTAGGTCATGGGTTTCCCCTGAAAAATCCCTGGACCTCAGCAAAAGCTTCTAAAAGGGACAAGTTTTCCCGTTCCCAGGGTGGGAGTGGAGCAGAGAAGGTGCAGGGTATTGGGAGAGGGGTGAGAGGTCTGGGGTGGGACTGAGGCGGAGGCAGGGATGGGCAGGGACTGCTCTCACCTCTTGCTGACTGTCACCACATGCTCCCTTCGGGGCCATCTCTCAGGGCCACTGGCCCAGCTGCTGGTGTCTCCTGGAGCAGGGCTGAGGTAGCTGCCTCCTGCAGAGGGGGCTGTGGAGGGGGGCCGCAGGAACGAAGCGCTGCCTCGCCCACTGCTCTGGCTGGTGAGGCTGCCTCGAGGGGCAGCAGGGAGAAGGCCTGGCAGCAGCCGCTCCCTCAGTGTCCAGTCAGCCAGGGCTGTGTAAGGGGGCTCTGCAGTGGCCCCAGCCCCTACCACAGCCCCAGGAAGTGATTCCCTGGGGGATACAGGAGGGGTTTCTGGAGAACGAAGGAAAGATGAGGTGGGACAGCGCCGGGTATCCATGTAATCTGGGGGTGCAGCAGGGCTGGGCTCCTCAAGCGGGGGCCAGTCCCCATCCACATTCATCTCTCGGAAGAAGGGCAGGCTCAGGTACTGGAGCAGGGGTCCAGGACCTGGCAAGGGACTGGGTGGGGCTGCTGGAGGGGGTGCCACAGGGCTGATGTCTTCAATGCAGAGGGGCTGGGGTGCCCCACTGGGGCTGCTGCTGCTACAGTCAAAGGACCGGGCCAGACGCTGGGCTGGAGTCCGAGGTTCTGCCTGCTCCCGGCCTGACCTTTCCTGGGGGGCCGCCACAGTGGGCCCCATCACAAAGCGCCCGTCTGGGCCCCGGCAAATGGGCTCCAGAGGTAAGGGTCCCCGGCTAGATGGAGGATCCGGGTGGGGGCTGGGAGTTCCGGCAGGATCCCCCCAGAGCAGACTCTGGCGCAGGCTGGGGACTGGGGATCCCTGGAGCTTCAGCTTCGCCACGCTGTCAGGACTGCCTGAGCCCAGAGCAGAGCTGGGGAAGGACAGGAGATCAGGGTCTGTGGTAGGGGCAGGTCCCCCTCCCAGGAGCCAGCGTCAGGCCTTGAGAGGTTTGGTGAACAACAGAGCAGAGCTAGGAAGAACAAGCGAGGAAAGGACCAACAAGGTGGAGGGGTGGAGGGAAGGCACAGGCCATACTGGAACGGCCTCAGGCTGGGGCCACTGCACACCCCTTCTTACCCTCTCCCACTTTTGTTCCTCCCCAACACCCAACATCCCCCTGGTAAAGATGCAAAAAAGGAAGCAGAAGATACTGGCACGTACAATGGAAAGGCAGAAGAAAGCCAAGGAGGTGGAGGCACTTACGGTGCAGCTGACTTCCCGGTCGGAGAGAAGATAAGAGGTGGATCTGGAAGGGCATGAGAATAGTAGGTGACACAGGCAAAAATCAAGGCCCTCTAGGCGGAGACTCTCTCACCCAACACCAGGCGCCCAACCCCATCCGGCTGGGAAAAGCGTAGGCAGGACCAGATGCAGGACTAAGAGAATGCACCTGGATCACACAGGAGCGAGGGCTTTTCCCCCAGGTAGGAGGGGCTTAAGGAGGCTAGGCCCAAGTGCGCAGTAGCAGGGCTGAGGGTGGAGGGACTTACCTTGGCGGAGGCGCTTGCGGCGGCGGCGGGCAGCCCTGCGCCGGTTCAGGAGGCAGCCGGCCAGGATGCTCACAAGGACGGCCACTCCCAGAAAGCAGACTCCGCCCACCACGCCGGCCAGCACGGGCTGAGGCAGGAGGCCCGGCAGCTGCGTGCGCGAAGGGTAGACCTCCAGACCTAGGCAGGGGTCCACGAGGGAGGGTCAGTGGACTCGGAGCAGCCCTGGGGCTCCTCCCTCACGCCAGGTGCTCACCGGAAGTGGAGACGTTGGCCGTGTTGCTGGGGTCGCTGACGAAGCTGCCCGCGAAGGCCACGAGGCGGAACTCGTAGAGAACATCCTGCGATGGGGATGGGGTACCAGGAGGGAGGTCAGGGCCCAGCACCGCCCAACCCAGCGGGGCGCGGAAAGACCGTGCACGTGGGACGGAAGGGTGAGGTAGGACGCAGAGGTGAAGAGCTCAAATCAAGATGAGAAGATAGAGTTTGGGGAATGGAGAAGGACGCAGGAGAGCCCCTAGGAGGCCTCTCTCTGTATCGCCTTTCGCACATACCTTGATGAGGCCTGGCACCAGCAGCTCTGTTTCTGTGCCTGCCACAGCCGGGTCCAGCACCTCCCAGCCCTGGGAGCCTTGCCGGCCTTCCAAGACGTAGCCATCCAGTCTCTTAGGGACCAGCTCTGGGGGATCCCAATGCAGGAGTACCCCCCGGGGTGTCCTCACTGCCACCAGACCCCGCGGAGGGGACAGGGGAGGCGGTATCTCTGTTGGGGGAAGCCCGGGTGCAGCTGGCGTGGTAGGAAGCCCTGCGTGGGACAGAAAGGCAGGTCAGAGCAAGGATTCCCAGCGCCCCTCCCCTGGCCTTCCACAACTCCCAGTGCCCAACTCTTCTCCCAGAACCCCTGAAGACAAGCTCAAATCATCTTCCACACACCCCTCTGGACCCCAAGCTGGCCAGCACCTCTGCCCCTTCCCACCCAGGGCCTCCCATATCCCAGCTCTCCCAGCAGCCCTTCCCCATCCTTGTCTCTGCTGTTCTGGGACGAGAAGCTTCTCACCTTCCGGAGCAGACAAGACGATTTCGCTGAAGGGACCACTCCCCAGCTTGTTCTGAGCTAGCACGCTGAACTGGTACTGGGTGTGGGGCTGCAGCCCTGGCACTAGGAGGTGAGCAGCCCCCACAGGCACTGCCAAGGACACCCAGTCATGGTGCATTCGGTCAGGACGCTTGGCCCTGGGAGACATGAGGACATGGGGGGCACCTCGTGAGCTAGGAAGACCAGAAGATCTGGGGTCCAGAGATCTAACCACCTCCCCTCTGCTCAACCATCCAAGGTCTCAGGACCTTGGCCCTGAATGCCTCAGAATCTGGAAACAGGGAAGCAGAGCCAGGACTGGTGAGGGATAGAGGGACAGAAGAAAGGGCAGAAGGCCAGATAGGTTCAAGGAGGAGAGGAAAGGAGGCAAGATTGGCACAGAGAAATGGCAGGAGCAGGTCACTCACAGTGGGGTGTACCAGACACTGAATCTCTGCAGATAACCACCATCAAAGCCAGGCTCCCAGGAGACATTGGCACCCTTGGGCAAAGCCACCACGGACACATTGGTGACAACATGAGGGCTAGTGCCTAGGCAGGGGGGAATGGAGGGATGGTGGTCAGGGCCTGAGGGAGTGTACAGAGTAGCAGGGGCCCCAGGGCCACTGACCTTCACCCATCATCATCCCAGGGGTCCCACACCCATGATCCTCTTTCTGGGCCTCCAAAAACGATTCCCAAGTAGTTTCTCCCAGCCCCTGGCCCTCTCTCCAGCCACTAACCCAGCACGTAGACGTTCGTGGAGGTGGCCACTCGGGCCACAGCATTGCTGGCACTGCATTCCCAGTGCCCGTGGGCCTCCTTGGTCAATGGTCGCAGGATGAGGCTGCTGTTGCTGTCCACCTGGGCCTGGCCTTGCAGCCCCCGGCCCACCTACAGAACCACTGGTGAGCCCTGAGGACACACGCAGCCACCCCTCACCAAAGGCGCCCCTCATCTCTCCAGGCAGCTCCAGTTCCTCCCCACCCTGCCTCTGACAGCCTTCTCCTTCCCACACCCTCCCTCCCACAAAATGGCTGGGGCACGAGAGGCAGGGGTGTAGTGGGCGTGGGTACAGGCAGAGCGGGCTCAGGAGCCTTACCTTGGTCCAAGAGACAACAGGAGGAGGGTCCCCTTGGGCGGAGCAGGGGATGAGCAGCTCCCGCCCTACTTCTTGGAAATATTCTTCCTTGGGCCGCTCTATAAAAGCTGGGGGAGCCTGCAAGCCAGATCTGGCATTGGGAGGGGCCCTCTCTTACATCTAAGGCTGGCTACTCCCTCTCTCTGTGCTCCCTGTCATGCCATGTCTCACCTCACTCTCCCTCACTCCCCCTAGCTAAACACTCACCAAGCCTGTCTCTACCTCATTCTCTCTCCATCTCTCAATTCCTCTCTGGCTCTGTTTCTGTTCCCCAGTGGGTAGGGGCTGGAGGAAAATGGTGGTGTAGTAAGGGCTGGCAGGCTTAGGCAGGACTCTCAGAGATGTACAAACCTCTGCAGAACATTCTTCCTCCCAGAGCCCCAGAGAGGGAGGCAGCACGGTCAAGGTTAGTGAGAGTTGGGGCAAACAGGATATCTTACTTCTGGATGTGTGTGACTGATGTCCCACCTCCCGAGCACCACCTCTGCAGAAACCTCTGGGATGGCATCAGGCAGCTGCTGCCGTGGCCACCATGGGAAACAAACTTGGAAACCCCTCCCCATGTGTCTGCCCCACCCCACCCCCATCAGCCTGGCCTTAGCACCATCTCCAGCCATCTGACCCACTGTCACCACAGGCCCCCGCCCACCCCCGGCCTAACCTTGAGCAGCACGCGGGTCACAGGAGAGGGCCCGGCGGTACCAAGACTGTTGTAGGGGGTGCAGGAGTATTCTCCCAGGGCATCCTCGTTCCCCAGGGCGATGATCAGTGAGCCTTCTGTGCCCTGGGACCAGCCAGGGAACTGGAAGGAAGAGAAGATGACAGCTAGAGAGAGGAGCTCAGCAGAGACAAGCCCGGGATGGCAGTACAAGAGAGGGGGCAGGATGAGAAACCCACAGCTGTGCAGAAGACTCCAGCAGCTCCATGTCTAGGCCTGACCCCTCTCTGATTTCCAGTGCTTCCTTTCCTTCCTGCAGAGGGACCCCTCCCAATAGTGTGAGGCTGTGACTGCACAACTCCAGGGGGTGCCACTCACAGAAAATACACTGTGAATGGCCACCCCTGTAGTTGGGCCGCGTGGGGCTTCCTGCCTGCTGGGACTTCACCTGGCTCTCTTCCCAGCACTCCACAACTAAGTTCAGAGTCTTCCACCCAAAACCAGCTCCTATTTCTCTATTAAAGGGCCCGCCATCCTTCTTGCTGAAGTCTGCCTCCTCACGTTCCCTCACTCCCCCTGGTGAAATACTCACTAAGCCAGTCATCCTGGGAAGTCCCTTTTGTCAGAGCATGAGCCCATTCATCTTCATGTCCTCTGTAAATCAGACTCCATAACTCTCACCTGGGCCATTTCAGCAGCTTCAGAACCCCTCTTCCTATGTCCAGTATCTCCCGCTACATTCCACTGGGCAAGCTCAACCCCTGATCACAGCTCTGATCCTATCACACCAATGCTCAACAAATTCCAGTGGCTCCAACTGCCTGTAGACTTTTTTCTTAAATATTCAACAAAGATATACTGAGTACTATTGTTGTAGAAGCCCCAGGTACACTATGATGAAAAGATGCAATACTAGGCCTCAAAAATTTATAGTCTCTGCAGACAAAAGATCCCAATTGCCTTGGAATGAGGCAATAGTAACTTGGCATCCAGTTCTTCCTTTTGATGCTAACCTGTCTTTCCAGCTTTCTCTGCACCATTCATGTCCCTGCAGGCACTCCGGCTCCCACCCAATTGGACGATCCATGATTCCATAAACGTACTATACTACTTCCTGCCTCTTGACCCTGGTTTCTGCAAGGGAATGACTGTGTCCTCTTTGAGGCCCATCACCAAAGTCCCAGAATCTGTTGCTGGTCTATCCTCAACCACCCTAAGAGGAAGGCACGAGCTCCATCCCTGGCCTTCCAGACAGTGTTGCTGTCCTCTGCCCAGATGGTGCCCACTTTAAGGATGGATGCCTCCTTGCCCCTGCCCTCAACCCACTACCCCACACAGCACCTGGTAAGAAGTGTGTGTTCCCCCGGGACACACAATTTCCCAGTCATCACACGAAAGAAACTTCAGTTCTCCTTCTTGACTCTTTGCCATCATTTTCCCCAGAGATCATCTCTCTTCTTTCCCCAAAGAAGACACAAAACCACCACTTTAAACCATGGAAATTTTTCCTCAGGGGTTTTAAGTAGTTTCCTATGCAACATGTCTTATAACACAAATTAAATTCACAAAAGATGTGTGTCCCCAGTCACTGAACTGAATTAAACCGAGCTAACTCCACCCTGCTGTCCTGAGCAGAATAACGCCAAGCTAAGACCCTCCTTCCCCTGCCCCAAGCCTGTACCTTGTCCAGCTGCAGGGCCTTTCCATCCTTGGTCCAGCTGACAAAGAGCAGTGGGGGGTTGGCACGAACCGGGCAGCGGATCACCCCCGGCATGCCTATGGGCAGGGGTGTCTCAGGAGGCATAGCTGTCACCTGGGCTGGGTCTGGGGGAAAGTAGTGGCAAGTTGGGGGAGAGGGGCTTGGCCTGGCCCAGGGGAAGGGAGCAGGCTGAGGGAGAAGCTGGGGTCAGGCTTACAGAGCACAGTGAGGTAGGCAGAGGCTGAGGGTGGATGCAGGAGGCCATTGCTGGGCACACAGGTGTAGCAGCCGGCATCATCAGGCTGGGTGGCCAGCAGCCGCAGGCTCCCGTCCACCAGGATCCGCACCCGGGGCTGCAGGCGGCTGCAATGTGGCATGTGTGAGGAGGGGTCCAGGCCTTGCCCAGCCAAGCGGCTCTTCAGAGACTGTTTGTGAATTCCCCACCTCCACCTTCCTAATGAGGGTGACCCCACCTAATGTGGAAGACATTGATGTTGTCCTGGAACCAGCTGTAGGTGAGGTTAGCAGGGTATGCCTCAGCATGGCAGGCCAATGAAACATCCTGGGAGGCATTGACTGTGCTGTTCTTGGGGGGCACCACGATGACTGGGGGTCCTGTGGGATGCACAAGGGGAGGAAGGTGGCCTCAGCCCACAGTCTTCCCAGAACCCTGAGGTCACCTCTACAACTCTTCCCAGCTCTGCTCTCTGGAATCTTAGGGCTCGTTGTTACAGGGCTTTGGGGAGTGGAAGCAGAAGCTTCCCCCTGTATGTAACAAGAATTCATCCTCTCCCTGAGACCCATTCTTCTTTCCAAATTCTCTCTGTTCCATCAAGAGCAACTCCATTCATGCAGTTCCACTGCCTAGGAATGGTGTGTGTGTTTGGGGGAGTCAGTTTAACTCTGCTCATTTACCATTTGTATCCCTGCTTGTCACCTCTTGAATTACTTCTCTGTCTCTGGCCCTAACCCAGGTGCCCAATACCTCACCTCAAGATGCTGCAGCAGCCCCTGACTCCAGGCTCCCCTGCAGCTGCCACTCTAATGGCCATTCATACAGAAACAGCCCCTTGAGCCACAGAACACTTCTGCTCAGGAACCTGCAACAGCACCTGGCTCCTACTACACTAAGCTCAAACCCAGCCCTGTGGACCCCTGCGATCCAAACCCTCCCTACGTGGCCAGCCATCTTTCCATATGTCAGCCCTCATGAACTCTTTCAGGTCAGTATGGGCAGCTGGCTGTCCCCCATCTCCATGCCTTTGCTCCCTGCACCCCCGGTCTGGAATGCCCCTCCCAAGGGCCTGGCCGCGCCACATACCTCCTGCAAAAGCACCTCTGGCTACTACAGTTCCACTACTCCTTCCCCTCTCTGGGCCGGTACCGCATGAGCAGTCAGTAAGAAGAGGTCATGATGCGAGCTGACACAACAGAGCACTGACTGCATGCGGGACACTGAGTGCTAAGCACTTTACCTGCACGACCTCGTTTAATCCTCACCAAAAGCTTTGTGGTGGGAATTGTCTCCATTTTCTAGATGAAGAAGTGAAGGCTCAGAGGCAGAGAGATTGTGAGGTGATTGCCCAAGGACAGCAGGAGAGGCAACATTCATATTAGGCTTCCTGATGCCACAGACGACACCTTTAACCATTACCCGGCACTGCCTTTCTTACAGTACCACGGACAGCAACACTTCCCTGTTTCCCCAATTAGTCTCACTTCCCCACAAAGATAATAGGCTCTATGAAGGCACAGTCCAGGCCTTCTGCTTCTCAGTTTCCCTTCTAAAGGAAGGATCTTGGCCAGGAATTACCATGTGCCAGTGACTGGGCTCAGCTGCACCTAAGTAAATTCTTGTAACACACCTGAGAGGTAGAGATGAGTCTCTTTATAAAGATGAAGAAACTGGGACTCAAGGAGTTAACTGGCTCACAGCCTAACACAAGCACCCATGTCCTTTCCACTATAACACACTACTGGGCACTAAGATCGCTTTGTCTGCTTACTGAGCCTTTTAAAATTAAGGTGCTGGTTTCAGAGCAACAGCCTGCATTGGGAACCCCCTTAGCTTCCACGGGCCCTGCCCTCAGGCACAAATCTCCCTCCTATCTTGCTGTGAACCAATTCAGCCACAGGTCACAGCCCCCTTGCATAGGTAACCCTGGACCCCAGCCCTCCCGCCAGAGAGCACCTAGCACTAGCAGCTGGGTGGCGTGGGTGGCGCTGCCCTCAGTGCTGGAGGCTTGGCAGGTGTAGACCCCAGAGCTGCCTCGCTCTACCCGGCGGATCCGCAGCGTCCCGTTCTGCACCTAGGGAAGGAGTGGGTGAGGAAGAGTCCTTTCCCCTGCCAGCCTCAGATCCTGCACTTCCGAGTTTGGCCAGCAGAGGGAGGCAGCACCCCAGGCTCGGGGCAAACAATGCCAAGCCCTTCTTCTGGCCCATCCTCCAGCCTGGCCTTTGCCTCCTCTGTCCTCTGGCCCCACTGCCAGGCCCCCACCTTCCCTTCACACTCTATATGGCTCACTCTGTCCACCCCCAGGACTCACTTGCACCTGGCCCTGGCCCTGGCCAAGGTCCTTTCCTCGGAGCTTCCACGTCACATGAGGCAGGGGGCTGCCACGGGCCACACAACGCAGGGTCACAGGCTCCAGTTCCTGCACTTCCAACACAGCAGGAGGTGTCTCCTGGAATTGAGGGGGTGCTGCAAGGGAGACAGGCATCAGGGGCCCCAGTGGGGCTGTCAGCCCAAAAAGCAGTGTCCAAGGGCCAGGGAGACCACTCAGGGCTCCAGCCTGCTGCCCACCCACCAGCCCTGCCTCATAGGAGTCCTCAGCCCAGGGCCACCCTGTCTACTGCACCCAGGCCAAATGAGGATTCTGTCAACCCACCCCCACACACTGGCCTGGGGCTGAACCCAGGTTGGATGTCCAGAGCCTGGGGGAGAGCCAAGCCCCCTCAGGAGGAGCACTGTTCTGGGAGTGAGGAGGCCTGGGTCCTAGACTCTGCTCTGCCACTAATCAGTGGCATGACTCAGCCTCACCTATGCAATGGGAATGATTATGACCTCCTTCCTACTTAGGAGTGAGAGATAAATAATAAGGGCTTGGGTGAAAAGGTATTTTGAAAACACAAGGTGCTATATATATGTGAGCTGTGTTTCACTCAGGGCCCAAGAGCCCCTCTCTCCCACCCACTTCCCTGGCCAGGGAAGCAGGAGGGAAGAGAAAGAGGGAGTTCCTGACACCGAGCCTAGAAGGCTGATTGAATTTATATTTGAAGAACTGAAAAGGGCAGGAGTGTGGGGGAGGGGTGAGATGCAACTACTAAGTGAGCAAACAAGGGCTCTCAGGAAGGGTGGGGCATCAGAGCTGTTTGTGGGATGGAAATAGAACTCCCTCTTCCCCTTTCTCCCACCAGCCAGAGATCCCCATCCTCCTCCTCCCCGTCCTTCTCCACCACCTGCCCCCCAGCTTCATACAATTGACTGTCAGATGCACCCAGGAGCCGTTAGCAAAATCGTCTTCAGGGATGTGCTGGTCCAGGAAGAACACGCGGCACTCGTACCAGCCCTGGTCTTCCACCCGGAGACCCTCAATCTGGAGAGAGGCCCCCTTCTGCAGCCGGACTCGTCCTGGGGGAGGAGCCCTGAATCAAGGGTGCTGAAGGAACCCCATGGAAGCCCCAGTCCCCTGGTCACACTGGTAATTCTTAGAGGTAAGAACAGGCTCAGTCTCTCCCAGTTACTCTGAGTGTGGGGTCCAGAGAGACGCAGATGAGGTTGGGGTCATTCAGGACAGGTCCCTCCATTCGGCCCCTCTGACCACTCTTGCCATTCGACAGCTGGGACCCTGTCTAGACAAAGAGAAACCTAGGGGGACAGCAGGTGGACAAAACCTTCCCCTGAACTGCACTCGGTGTCTAGGACTGTTGGGGAAGGAAGTGAAGAGCCAGCATGTAGTCTCCTCTGGACTCTTACAGGATCTGTCCACCTCTGGGCTCTTTATGTAGGGGAAGGTGTGAGCTCCTGGGAGTACTCCTGATAGAGGACTGTTTCCCTGAAAACCTCAGCAGTGTTTGAGGCCCTAGCAGGGGGAACCCAGACCCCGCCTGCCAAAGCCCCTAATCCCTCAGGGCTATTATCAGCAGCCTAAGCGCCTTAGGGTGGCCAGAGTCCAGCCCAGCAAGCAGCAAAGTCAGCAGCCTCCTCGCCCTATCCTCTCCATGCCCCGGGGCACTCCAGTCCCAGCTGGCTGATCACATACACTTCCACAAAGCCACACAACCACAGCACAACCAGACACCTCAATCCCACTCTTAGTCAGCATCCACACCACACTGCCAGGCTCAGACCGAGGGTGCCTACCCAAGCCCTCAGCACCCTCCCTGGATGCAACTATGCACCCCAGACAGCTTCATGGGTCCCTGGCAGTGTAGCCTCGTGATACAAGCACACACTTGGGAGCCAGATAGACCTAGGCATGAGTCCAGCTCGACTGTGTACTCTTTTGGGCAAGTTACTTAACCTCTCTCAATTTCAGTTTCCTCATCTGTAAAAAGAAGAGAAAGAAACAAAATTGGGGTGGGGTGGAGGAGAGAAATAATGTAGGGAAGGCATGTAGCATGGTGCCTGGCATCAGTGGATGCTCAAATAAAAGTTGTTGAACAAATAAATGAGCTCTAGATTTGAAATCAGAAAGCTGCACTCAAGTCCTGACCCTGTCCCTAAACTGATCACACGTCACCTTCCTTTTCTCTTCCTGCACCACCACACACCAAGTCACCTTATCAGGAACCTGGCATCTCCTAGATTCCTCGATTACCTCCCATATCTACTTGCTCATTAGGTTTTTCAAATCCTACCTCCTAAACATTTCCCCTTCTCTGCTGTCCTCACCTTTACACCTGTGGCATGTCTCACCTGGGTTTCTCCAACAGCCTACTTGCCAGTCTCCCTGCCTCCAGCCTCCTCCCCTCTACATCACATTGCTCATCCCCACCTTGACCTCTGCTATGAACAAATGGAGCTTTCTTTTTTTTTAGAGACAGGGTCTCACTCTGTTGCCCAGGTGGAGTACAGTGGTTTGATTGTAGCTCACTGCAGCCTCGAACTCCTGGCCTCAATCGATCCTCTTGCCTCAGCCTCTCAAGTAGCTAGTAGTACAAGCACGTGTCACCATGCCTGGCTAATTGTTTAATTTTTGAAGAGAGGGGTCTTGCTATGTTGCCCAGGCTGGTTTCAAACTCATGGCCTCAAGGGATCCTCCTGCCTCAGCCTCCCAAAGCGCTGGGATTAAGCTGTGAGTCACTGTGCCTGGCTGCATTTTCTTAATCTTATGTTGTTTGCAAATGCAGCTCCAAGTCCCTTTGCATAGTGTCCACTCCAGCTCTTCCTAATGCTAGAAATTCTGAAGCTGTGAAAGTGCTCAGCCCCTCCAGTTTGCTTCCATTCTACCTCTAGAGTGATCTGTTTCAGAAATAAGAAAATCTATTTCAGAAAGAAGAGAAGGATCAAGTTGAGGCAGGCTTTGTGATCTTAGCCAAGAGTCTTTTTCTACTTAGAATGAGTTCCAGGGTGTGGATTCTCTAGGATGGGTGGACCTGCTTAAAGGGCTAGGTGTTGAAATCCCCACCCCGGAGATAAGACTAGGCCCAGCGGGTAAATATTTAACATCATCATACCCTTCCACCCACTGTCAGGATTCCTCAAGAAAGCTAATCTGCCTGGCCGCTAAGCCCTGCAGACCCCAGACTGCAACCTCTTCTGTGTCCCACATGATACTTTTCATTATAGCTCTACAAAGAAGGAAGAAGAGGGAAGGAAGATTGAGTGTGGAATACAGGCCATCTAATATTAGGCGTTGTCACCATATTTAATCCTCCCAAGAATTCCATTGTAGCTGAAGGAATTAATGTTAAGTTTCTTTCCAAAATCACATGGCTAGTAAGTGACAAAGCCAGGCTTCTTTCTCCAGACGCGGCGTGCTTTCCATGGACACGGGTGTTAGGACCGAGTGCTGTTCAGGGCACTGGGGGTAATCTATGTATTCTCACTTGGGAGATGCTGGTAGCCAATGGGTAACAGTCCAAATGTTACTCAGAATATCCAAAGAAGCATACTGCATGTCCTAGCTTTTCTGTGACAGCTGGACTGCTAGACCTGTAGTGTTACAGAACAGGAAGATCGCCAGCAGGGCAGCCCTGAGTCCTCCTGAGTCCTGGGCCCACCTCCTGGAGGCCTCCCTCCACCTGCAGGGCTAAAGCCTGTTGACTTCAGATCTTCCCATATGCAGCGGCGTGTGAAGAAAACAGGAGACACAGTCTCTGCTCTCTTAAGCTCTCGGAAGGCAGGGAACCCACAGTCACCTAAATGGGCAAGTTCACGTCCACACATCCACAAAGAAGTTCAAAAAATGGTGCTAACTGCGCCCAGACATTGCACTATGAAGCAAGAGGAGTAAGGAAGGCTTCTGGGAAGCTGTGACTGGGCAGAGGATTAAGAATAAAAGGTGGTGAGGGGAGGTGACTAGAGCAAGCAGGGGAGTTCTAAGTGGAGAACGAGGTCACTGATTTTTATCAAACAACTCAGGGCAGAGAAAAAAATGCACATCCCTTCTGCTGTGTGGGGCATCTTGAAAATCCCAAGAAATACAGCACAAAAGCCCATCCTGCCATTTTAATGAGTTGGTCTAAGACCCACCTTAGGAAAGCTGGTGTCCACTAAGCCTAACCTTCCTTCCCTCCAGAGGCCTGGTCATGGGTTCACACCACACAGGCACTGTGCAGGCACAGGCTGGGGCGCTTTACACACAGCAGCTAACTGAATCCTCCTCTTTAGTCCTAGCTTGTTTTATATTGCTTTCACTCCATGGCATCGTTGATAAATCCAGTCTCCTCTACTAGATGCTTCTAGAGTCCTCAAAGATGGGAAGCCTTCCCTTCTGTGTGGTCCCTAATCCAACAGTCTCTCTCAGGGTTCCGCACACATTCTAGGCCACCAGCCCCACAACAGTCCCCGACCCATCTCCCCTTCACTGCCCAGAGGGCTTATGACAGAAGAGCATTGTCCTTAGCAACCTCTACCTCCTGTTGCTTAGCAACTGCAGTTCCGAGTCCCCTACACAAAGGCTGAGAGGCCCCTTCCACACTGTGAGGCAGTAAAAGGGTTAATGGGCTCAGGGGCCTCCCTCAGGTCCCAACTCCCTCAGCCGGCTCTGGCCTGACCAAGAGCTCCAGACGGAGGTAGGGGTGTGAACAAAGGATAGGAGCAGACAGTAAGTCCCAGAGGCTACTGCTCACAGCCCCTGTAGCTCAAGCAACAGCACAGACAGAAGACCCACAGGTAGACAAAGTTGCTAACCATCCAGTGGCTTCAGGCCTGAGGGACCTCAAGGCAGGACACAAGCTGGAGAGAAGGAAGAGCTTCAAGTCTCCCTGGTGGAGTCCCAGGAAAAGCCCCTCCCTCTTCCACCTCCCCTTGCCTTGCCCTCAGTCAGGCAACATTATGAATCTGTCCAGCCTCAGCCCGGCAGCCCGAGACCCCTCCCAGGCCTGGGCAGGCGGAGGCAGGGAGGGAGGGCTGGTGGGCACAGCCGTTTTTTTCTCCACTGGTGCTAATTGGGGCCCGCTTTCATCCATTCCCACAGGGCTTGTGTAGACACATACACTCCCACCAGGCTGTTTGCCAATAACTGCCCCCAGTTTGAAAAGAAACTTCCCTTCTGCATCACCTGCCTGCACCTCCTCCCCTCTCTGCTCAGCCCGCCCTGTGGCAAGGCTCAGCCAATCCCGGGGTTTCCCTCAGGATTCAAACTAAAGAGGGAAAAGGTGGGGGTCTCCCCATCAACATCCTCCCAGGTGGCCTTTCCTGGGTCTCCCCTCTGAAGAGGAGGCAACAAGACTCTCTCTCGCCCCATAGCCCAGACCTGTCCTTAGGGCCTCCTGCAGACTGCCCTCTGAGACCTGGCACTAAACCGCTTAGATTAAGGCTCCATCCGGGATTAGGAGGAAGCAGAGCCATTGTAGCCATTCTAGGGAGCCAGCTGGGGTGCAGCAGAAGGCGCCCAGGGAGGCTACACACGATTTTAAGTCCCAACAGGTGCCACCTAAAGCAGCAACCCAGGCCAGCCCCATCCAGTCACTGACCTTTGGGGATCCTGGGCCCTCCCCAGCCACCCTCTCTGTACACCTGTGCTTCTCTACTCAGAAGCAGACTGAGTGTCCCTGGAAAAGCAGAGAGGTCACAGCCGCACCTACCCTGCTGCCCCATCAGCCCACTCCCTAGAAGACTTGAACCCCTGAACTAGCATTTAAGACGATGAGGAAGGGGGAGAGCGCAGAGGAGTGAGCAGATAGTAGAGCCAGGACCAAGGCAGGGCCAAGAGGGGAGACTACAGATCAGGATGAAGTCTGGGAGGTTTCATGATGAGATGTAGAAAAAGCAGTTACAGAATTAGAATGGATATTTGGAATAGGGCTGCAGGATCTCCTTTGGAACAGACCACGTGGAGTCCTAAATAGCACAGCTATAAGAGTGTGAGTGTGTGTGTGTGTGTGTGTGTGTGTAAATGAATGAATCTTTCAATGAATTAACACTGCTTGGGAGCACAGCCATGCTTATTAAGCAGAGTTAAGGCAGCAGAGCTGGAGATGAGATCAGAGCAGGGACAAAGCCGTTCATAGGAGGCCTTGTGCGACTCTACCCAGCCCACCTTTCTTGCTGATACCTCCCTACCTCCCACCTGAGGAGAACTCTTACCCACGTAATCAGGGTCAATTCGGGGAGAGTAGAGGCCGAACTGGATGAAGATGGGAAGCAGGAATCCAAAGCGCAGCCACTCGATGACATGCAGGGGGGGCCGGCCGGCCGGGGGCAGCAGGTCACAGCCCAGCACCACACTCTCCCCAGCCCGGCCCACCACCGATACCACCTCAGGCTTCCCTCGACCTGCATGATGGGTGGCATGAGGGCACAACGGGGGGCTAGGGTCAGTGCTGGGAGGGGGAGTGCCATCAGTATCTCTGTAGGCACCTTAGGACTTTGGGTGACTGGAGAAACCCCCAGTTCAGCTTCTCCAGAACCAGCCCTATTCCTCCCCTGCCCTCACATGCTCAAAGAGGAACCCTTGAGGAACACCCCCATACCCACCCCAAGGCTAACAGGGCATTCTTGAGCCCAAGAGCTCAGCTTACCGTCAGCCCCCTGGCTGATGACCAGGCTGAGGACGGCCAGGCCGAGGCACCACACCATAGCCCAGCTGGCCTGCTCACCCAGCCCCTCCTATCCACAGGAGCCCAGATGGAGGGGCCAAGGGATGTCCTTCTGATCAGCTCAGGGAACAGGTTTCAGCTCTCACTCTTCTGTACAGTGAGGGCTTGGCTCATGTAACACCCGAGGAAGCTGCTCTCCGGAGAACCACCAGATCTAAATGAAAAGTACAAGGCAACATGCAGAGTTGGCCAATACTGGAGCCCAGAAGAAACCCCACCATTAGAGAAAGGCACTGGGAAGAGAAAGGAGGGAGGAGTGTAGTTAAGTGAGGGGTAGGGGGAAGGGGGGGATCTTGAAGCCCTGGGGAGTAAGAGCAGGGGTAGGAGTACTGGGAGAATGGTGAGTGCTGAATGCAGATACTAGAAAGGTGAGGAAATGGGGGAGGCTGGGAGAGTTGGGAAGGTCTTAGGAAATGTGGAAGGATTCTGGGGATGCCTGCATTCTGAGGGTCTTGAAAAACTAAGCCAGAAGAGAACTGGGGTTCCTCATATGCTTGGAAAAATATTTTTGAAGGAAGTATGGTAGATCAAGACTCTCATGGCCTAGGCTGCTCTCGCTTCTTTCCTTACTCTTGATGCTCACAAGGTATAGCAGCAAGATGGAACCAGTGCTGTCGCCTTCACCCCTCTGTGACAAATAAGGGCCCTGAGGATATCTGCTCAGGGGCAGAGAGCCAGTCAAGGGCAAATCCAGGGCGCTTAAGCCTCAGAAAGTGGTCCCCAGGACACCCCGATACAATCCCTTGTCCCATTTCCCCAGCCTCTATGAAAAACTCTGGAAGCTGAGGACCCGAGGCCTTTCTCCATTCAGTCTCCCTACACTGCTTTGGCAGTGAGTGAGTCAGGCACTTGGGAGAGGAGGAGCTGCCTCCCCCACCTGCCAGTATGGGGGATCCAGGCAGCATCCTCCAGGTCTGGACAGGTCCCGGGGCTGGCAGCTGGCGCCACTTCCTCACGATACTGCCAAGCAGCCCTCCCCCTGCCAGGCACCACCACCCAAGGACCTCACCCAAATCCCTCCCACTCACTCCCCTCCAATATCTTCGGGGTGCCAGGGTTTGTCAAGCTCTTTCTTCCCCAACCCCAGAGGCATGGTCCAAAAAAAAGCCTGTGAGTCCCTGAAGTGTACAAAATTAACCCTGGGGCATGGAGGGTAGGAGCTTCTGACAGCCCCACAGATCCTAGGGCAGTCTCAGAGAGCCAGAGGGTCCATGCCAGGGCCTGGCACTGCCAAGTGGACTCTGCTCTGAGTCCTCCAACCCACTCTTGGCCGCAAAGTTCAGGACAGACTATAAAACATCCTCCACAGAGTCTGATCCTTGCCTCTACTTAATGATCCTGTATGTCTAACTTCTGGCAATTCACTAGCAACCAAGCCCCCTGTTTCCCACTGCCTCCAGGCAGCTCTCCCACACTTCCCTGAAAAACCTTTTTCCAAGTATATAGGAACCCCCTAGTTCTCTCCTGGTTGTTTTCCGAGACTCTGAGTAACTAGGCATCCCTAGAATTCCTCCCAGTCTCTTAATATCTTTCCAACTCCCCCGGCCTCCACTATTTCCTCACCCTTCTAGTCTCCCCACACACCACTCCCTCGTCCTCCCATTACTCCCTTCCCAGTTATCGCTACTACGCACAATCCCCCCACAATTCCAGCTTCTCGCACCTGATCTCCAATTGCAGCAGGTCTCCTGCACTATAAAGAACTCCCTTCTGGTCTCCCCACCCCCCAGCCACTTCTCCCCATCCTCTCCTCCCGATAATTCCCCTCCCTGGGATTCTCCTGCATCAGCCCACAATACAATTCTGATACCCCACCCCCAACAATTCCTTTCTCCCTCGCATTCTCTGGTCCCCTGGAACTCCTCCTTTCTCTTAGAACCCACCAAGAACTCCCCCACATTGCCTCCAGAACTCCTGCAGTTCTCCGGGAACTCCCACCCACCCGCCAAGAATTCCACTTCACTCCCCAGAACTCCCCTAGTTCTACTCCTGCAACGAATTCCACTTCTCTCTAGAACTCCCCGCTTTCTCCTGTCCCCCATAACTCCGCACTACCAGCACCACCACTTCTATACCTCCAGTACGCCCCCTCCCTCACCTGCTCCGCACCGCTCGGCTCCACTCTCGCCGCTACACAATAGGGGGCGGACCCGCCTCCCCGCCTCGGATGCCCCGAGCGCCTCCCGTCGCCCTGGAGACCGCCAATCCCCCTCCCGCGGCGGCCAATTGGAGCCGCCAGAGGCACGGCGAGGCGGGCGGGACCCCTGAGCGGCCTGGGAGTTGTAGTTTCAGGAGGGAAGAGCTCGGCTGCACGTGGGCTCAGGTCGCCCCCTCGTGGACCTCTGCACAGCCAAGCGTGGAAAGGCCGGTGGGCCGCTTCCCGCCGCCAGCAAGAGGGGCAGCAGGGTCCGGCTCGCGCTCCAGGGCTGCGGGAGCTGGCCCCTTGCCAGGCTACTGGTACGCCGTCCTTCTTTCGGAACCTACGGGCGACCCTCTCCGCTCCCCGAACGGGCGCGCCACAGAGGCGGCAGCGAGGGTTGAAATCTGAGCCTGGGGGTAGGAGAACCAGGCGGGGAGCATGACTCCCCGCCCTCCTCCCAGGGGATCCACCCAGGTCCCGGGCTCATCCGATCTCCTCCCCCATCCCCATTTCTACCTCCACCCATTGCTTCTCTAGCAGGACTGGAAATACCTGTCTGCATTGGCGAGCTCCCAAATCTTGCCCAGGCGCCTCCCACCGTGTGCAGCTGAGGAAGGCTGTGCTCTGAGCGTGGGGTTGCCAAGTCAGCTCCCAAGGCAGCTCTGGCACCAACGACCCAGAGAAACAGGCCCAGAGGGGAGAAACGACAGATATCCTGACACGGGAGATTGAAAGGGAGGAATGAAATACAAGATCACTTACTGGACCCATGCAGGGTGCCAGACCCTGGACTAGATGCTTTATAACTCTTGTGTAACCTTCACAGAAACCCTGCGAAGTAAGTAGAGCTCCCTTTGACTAATGAGAAAACTGAGGCTCAGGGAGATGAAGTAACTTGGCCCAAGCTTTCCCAACTAGGTTATGGCAGAGCTGGATTGAGACCCAACCCAAACTTCATCAAACCTACTCCCTTGGAGGCTTCGCCCTCAGACACAAAGATATCTTGCATATCTTGCCCCTCAGAGATTCCACCTCCTCAGCCTGGTGATGCTGTAGGGATGCTGGGTCGGCTTAAGCAACATTGCCTGTCCAGGTCCTTCCCATTCAGTTGGCTCCCTTGGAAGCCTTCCATGAAAGCAACGTGCTGATCTCATCCCAATCCGAAGTACTAAGACTCAAACTGAGTGCACCAGGCATCAGACTCACAGAATCACTGCTGCAGCATCATGAGAGAACCTCCAGGATGGGCCTAAGCACTACTTGGCCCCAGAATCCCTGGCACATCATTTCTCCATGTAGTCATCCAAGCCCCTATCTCATTACATCCTGGGCCAGGAAGCTCAGCACTACTGTTGTACCCATTCCATCCTTAGTAAGCTCTGCCTGCTGGACAGTTCTTCCAGGTGTAAAGGTTTTAGTGCTTTTGGGTGACTGAGATGGAAGGGAAGAGGCAGGAGCAGTGGGCCAGTCTCTCCCACCATCCCTCCTGCAAATAGTCCCAAAGTAGCAGCTTTTCAACAATGCATTTCAACATAATACCCTGATCTATTGATAAGACTATAATGGAAACATGTTAATGAATGCAGCATGGAAGCAAGGCTAGAAGAAATGGTAAAAGAGTGAAGCGGGTTTTTTGTTTGTTTGTTTTTTTGTTTTGACAGAGTCTCACTCTATCGCCCAGGCTGGAGTGCAGTGGTGCAATCTCGGCTCACTGCAACCTCCACCTCCCGGGTTCAAGCGATTCTCCTGCTTCAGCCTCCCAAGCAGCTGTGATTACAGGCGGCCACCACCATGCCTGGCTAATTTTTGTATTTTTAGTAGAGATGGGGTTTCACCATCTTGACCAGGCTGGTCTTGAACTCCTGACCTCATGATCCACCCACCTCGGCCTCCCAAAATGCTGGGATTACAGGTGTGAGCCACTGCCCCCGGCCGAGCCAAGTGTTTTTTAGTCTTTGGATCTTTACCAATCATTGGGAAGGATCTCCCTCCCCGCTGTTAGAATTGGCCACACCTTTGATCTAAACTGCTGTCTCCAGTGGTTTCTTGAGGATAAACTAATCTCATTTAGACATTAAAATAACTTTCTGTTAAATGACATTTAAAATGGTTTTCAATTTTTAAAAGTTTATGATATGGCCTTTTTTTTCTGGAAACTTATTTTGTGACTTTTATTGTTATTGCCATTTTTTGTCTGATTTATATGTATATTGGAGATTTTTTGTTAAGAAAAGGAACCTAGCCCTATAACTTGTTCCCTCACTGTGCCAGGAGTGAAAGCTGATTTAAAAAATAGTCCCTGAGGTTCAAAACAAAAGACTTTCCTCTAGGTTGTCCTTGATTCATAGTCATTACTCTCTGGGAAAGCTTATTCAACCAACGAGGATTCCACCTAACCTAAGTATCAGGCAGCCCCCATATTTTCAAATTGCTGACAAGGATATCAGAAAATATTCTCTCTCTCCCCCTCCTCCTCCTCCTCCTCTTCTTCCTCCTTCTTCTCCTTCTCCTGCTTTCTTCTTTCCTCTTTCCTCCTCCTCCTCCTTCTCCTCCTCCTCCTCTGCTGCTGCTTTTCCTCCTCCTCCTCCTCCTCCTCCTCCTCCTTCTCCTTCTTCTTCTTTTCTCTCTCTGTCTCTCTCTCTGTCTCTCAGAGCTGGGGTATTCTCCTCCTCTTGCCTTTGAACATCAAAACTCCAGGCTCTCCAGACTTGGGACTGTGAGTTATACCATTGGCCTCCCTGGTTGTGAGGCTTTTGGAGTTGGACTGAGCCACACTTTTGCCATCCCAGGGCCTTCTTTGTGCATGTTGTAGGACTTGGCCTCCACCATCATGTAAGCCAATTCCCCTAATAAATCCCATCTCATATTTCTATATCTGTATCTATCTATCTTATTGGTTCTGTCTTCCTGGTGTATACCTAATATTTCAGCAGGCCTTGGGAAGAAAGGACCTGAGCTGCTCCATAGCCCTGCACAAAGAAGATGGTGTGACCTCAGAGATGTCTGCTTGGCATCGTTAAGCACAGGTGTTCCTAATCAGCAAAGTTTCTCATTGTCTATAGATAAGCAGAGAATTACTTGATATCAAATGAACCCTGAAAGGTGGAACACATGGGCTTTTAGTAGTGACCACATTTGATGTGTTAACATTGCTTGTACCAATTAAGCACCACATAACTATCCCATATTCTAGAATAGAAAGGGTGGCTTTAATAATCGATAATAGGGATGTTGTTAATCAGGCATATATTAAGTTATATCTGAGTTAAAAAAGAAAAGAAAAGATTGTCATCCAGGGACTCTGTTGACCACATGCCTGTAAGCAGCAGTCTTATTACCAGATCCGTAAAGAAGTGCGGTTTCTCATATATTGTCATTTAACTTTTTGTGTGCCTATCTTCTATCCCAATGAAACACTTAGCCCCACAAGGGTGTGGATATTGTCCTGTTTGTCTTTGAATTCCTGCTTCAGAAAGGCCCTGCTTACTTTTCCAGCCTGGTTTCTCACTTATCCCTTTATCGCAGTGTGCATGACTTTGCAGGCCTTAGAACTACTGTGCTCTTTCACATACCAGTGTCTTAGCACTTAGCTTCTGTCTCGATAGAATGCCCTTTTCTCCTTTCCAGACTCACTGCTGGCCACAGGTCAAATTTCTGTTGATCTGTTCCCTTCAGGACACATTCCGTGACTTTTCCCACCACGCCCTCACCTTCACCCCAGCCCTTTTCCTACCTTGTTATTGTATCTTTACACACTCCACAAAACATTCCTTGAAGGCAGAGGTGTCTCTTCTGCCTCCCCAGTGCTTGCCAAGTTCCTGGCATATTGCAGAGGTAGCGGCTTGTGCCTCTCTGAGTTTATATTCAACTTTCTTTAAGATCTCATCCTTCCTCTTCCAGAAGCTCGGCCTCTTTTGAGGCCTCAACCCTTCTCTGCTCAGAGATCGGCTGTAAGAAGAAGGAACTTTGCCAACTTCCAGGGAAATCCCTGGGCCTATCATACATTCATTCCTTTATTTATTCATCCTTTTGTTTACTTTCTATGAATTCAATCCTGCAATAACATGAGAAATGAGCTGCCTCTTTATGTGCAAGATGGACTCAAGGTGGCCTTTCCAGTCAGTCCCCATCCCTGCAGTGGTGCCTCCTAGGAAAGATATAAAAGGAATCAAAGGGATTGGGGGCTGCTGGCCTTTTTTGGAAGCAAGACTGCTCAGGGCCTAAGGGAAGCCCAGAGAACCAGCCTCAAGAAGGGACTGCCTTCCAGAGGGACAAGGGTTCAGGCCCTCAGAAAGTAGAGGGGACCAGTTTACCAGCACTAGGAGCTCTTGGGGCTGGTTTCCCAACCTTACTACCTCCTTCCCAAGCCCCAAGGGGCTCCATCTCCTGCACAAATACCTAGGGAGACCCCTACTCTTGGCTTCCAGCCCTGCCCCACGCCGCTCTCAAGACTCTCCTCCTGGGTGGTCCTGTGCCAGCCCATGTGTTCTACTTTCCTAAAAGGAAGGTATCCTTGGTCTCATTGGTTGCCCAGTTGAATGCATTCCACTGACCCCTGCACATACTTCTTGTTCCTTTTTTAGAAGATACTTTGGAGATCAGCATCCTCCCCCTCAAAAACAAAGAGGAAGAAGAGACCCACAGCAATGTTAGGCATGCCTCCTGCCATGCGGCCCTCTCCCCACCCTTCAGACACCTCTTCTGAAACTCCCCAGGGCCCCCAACCCACCCTGTCTCTGTGGCACCAAGTCGCTTGCCTAACTGTGTCTCTGTAGGAGCTCCAAGCTGCCTCTCTGCCTGCTTCTCTCTTCCAGTGTGCACTTCTTGGAGAAAGAGGCTGTGGCTCAATGGAAGTTTGCTGAACACAGGGTCACAGGCCAGAGGCGAGTAGCAGATCAAAGCCCAGAGCTCCAAAATGTCACCTAGGCTCCCAGCCATACATCACAGCCTTCACCACTTCCTGCAATTCACCCACTGCGTACACCTGTCCTGTCAATTGGGTGTTTTCTAATTCTCTCCCCAGTCCTCGCTTCCCCCTAACCCCCTGCCCCATGGCAACTGCATAAGTAACATCCACAAGATCTGATTTGGAGGGAATACTAGAGACTTGGGCAGGGACACATTAGGCCTGGGAGGCTGATCATTGGTCTAGGGAAAGAGCAAGAACATAAACTTAAGGGCCTTTGCCAGGGAGTTGGGGGTGGGCATTAACCCAGGACAAGACTCCAAAGAGAAGGCCTAAGACATGGAAATCTATAGGCAGGGACACAGGCAGGACAGTAATACTAATCACAAGCAGAAGTCAAGGCTCCACGATCTCGGCTAATAATCCAGCATCCCTATGGGGTAGACGCCAGAGGCCCAGAGCAACTGGCATCAGGGAGATGACGGAGAGGTTGCGAGCTCAACTCAGACCCAGGGTAGGTCTGAATGAGGTCCTTCCTACCTCCCTATTTAGGAGAGCTTCTAGACTAGTCTGGGATGGATGGAGTTGTTAAGCAAATGTATCTGCCAGGATGAGAGTGGGGTAAGGGAGCAGAAGAATCTTAACAGGAATAAGGCCACTTTTATGCAGGATTCAAAATGCCTGAAATTCTCAAGTCACAGGTTCAGTTAGGTTCAAAGAAATCTCTCACATTTCTTATCTGATGAACAAATAGCAAGCATGTTGGTGGAAAACGGGATAGGTGGTGAGTGACAGCATACCAAAACTTCCCTGTGAGGGGGCCCTTTAGACCCACTCTTCTCCCCAAAGGAGGGCCTGAAAAAGCACGTGGACTTGGGGGAAGGCACTGGGAGTTGGGGCAAAGACAGCAGAGTGGGTTTTGCCAGAGCCACCCAGTGAGGACGGAAGGACCCAACACAGCTCCTGCAGAGTTGTGGTCACTTAATTTGACTTTATTGCCAGCCAGTCTTCCCTCAGAAGTATGGCTCTCTGGATACCCACCCCTGAGCACCTCCTTCCCCTGGAAAGAAGAGAGCTGAGGAAGGATTCTCTGGGTGCTGGGAAGAAACCAAGCTCAGGACTGGGGTTCCCAAGGAGCAGTCAGGCAGGGCTGGAGCCAGGCTTTGCCTCCTTCCTCAATTTCATTCTGTTTCTCATGAGTTTCTTCATCCTTGGCATTTTGTGTCTTTTCTGGACTCGGATGACCCAGAGTCCCATGGCCAGAATTACCAAGAGCAAGAAGATGAGCAATCCCTTGGCCAGGAGGCAGAAGGCTGTTGAAGGCTTCTCAGAAGCATAGTTAGGATCTGGGGTGGAAGAAAGGAGGAAAGGGCCCATCAGTGGTAGGGTTGGGGTTAAGATTTGGGCAGACTCCTACCCAAATTTCATGAAGGGGTCTCAAGTTCACAATCAGTTGAAGTCCCCTTGCAAGTGTCTCTGGAAATATATTCTATGCACAGAAGCTCAGGAACTGAGATCTAGGAATCATTCTGAAGCCAAGCAAGAGAAAAGAAAAGACCTTTGGAAGTTGGGGGCACTAGAAAAACGGAGGGTCTCCTCTCCAATCCAGGTGTCAAGCCTCCATGGGAGGGGGTTAGCTTCTGAATTCCCTGGGCTCTCTTGGGAAGAGCTGGGGGAGGGAGATGGTGCCTCTAGGCACTATCTTTCATGAGCTCAGGGGGTGTCTCAGGGGTTCTGGTACCTGCATAGAAGGGCCCATCAGGGATGGGGCAAGAACTGACGTTGCTGATGGGGTTGTTGGCTCTGCAGGTGTAGGAGAGGGCACTGTCCCCCGGCCTCCAGGATGTGCTGAGGACAGGGCCTTCATGGAATGTATAAGTGCTATCCCCCCGGGAGAGCCAGCTGTAGGTCATATCCATGCCTGCCTTCTCCACAGAGCACACCAGGGACATACTGCAGGCACCTTCCCCAGAACTCTCAAAGTTCACAGTGATCTGGGGCTCTGACAGCCATCCTGGATGAAGGGGAAACACAAAGACCCTCTAAACAATCAGGGATCGGGTCTGTTTTCCTAAGCTCCTCAAACCTGGGGTACTAATGCTACCCCTTGACAGCCCCTGCACCTAAACAACAAATAGGCAAAAGCAAACAAACCCAACCACCATAAAACCTGTGGTTTCAAGGTCCCCAAGGCAACTGTCAAGGAAGACAGAGCTGCCTTTGGCATCTTCCACCTCCCCTTTACGTATTCTCTCTCTTACTTTTGTACTCTACCTTCCTCCAAACCCCATTCTGTCTCCTTGATCCCATGAAATATTATCGCCCCTCTCAGGGGCATTTACATTTTAATCAGTGTCCCTTCAAGCTTCAAGGTAGATGCAGTGTGACAGACACTAAGAAGAAATTTGGGTTCAAGTAAAGAGAAGATACTCATTAGTAGCCCTCATCACACAGGGAAATAAAAGGCTCAAGAATGTAGGTGGTGTTCATCCCCAGAACACAATTTCACTGGAAGAGAAAAGCCCCCTACAGGATCTGTACATGAAGCCCCTGATCCCTGCCACTGCATCGGACAGCCTCCTTGCTCCAGGTCACTCCGCCTGTTGCTGCGGTTCAGATACAACAGGTGGATTGGGCACACTCAATCACAGTATCTAGATTGGAGACAGTCTGCCTCCAGTTCTAGCCCCTCAAACCATAACCCCAAGTCCTGAGACGCCCACTCCATGGTGTGAGAAGCTCAGAAGAGCCCCCAAAACCAGCTTTATGGTTCCCAGCCTAAACTCACGGTAGACACATATATTGTACTGCTGCATGGTAGAGATCTGGGATGTTCTCAGGTTGACTTGAGCTTGGTAAAGCCCTGAATCCTCCCAGCTCAGATTGCTGATATGCAGGGAATAGCTGGGGTCCAGGAAGCTCACTTGGCCCTGGTAGTGTGGATTGGTCACCATGATGGTAGCTGGATGTCCCTCTTTCCCTGGCACCACAGTGGCAAGACTTTTGTGAGAGGACCAGATGATGTTCTCAACCTCTTCATCTGGTGGTATTTCCAGGGGGAGGCTGATGGACTCCTGAAGGACCGCAACCACTTCCTCGGATCCACACCATCTCCAGAGTCTCCTTTGGCTGCCTATGCAGGAAGAAAAGAGAAGCAAACAACCCAGCTGCTGTCTCTGGGCTGCTGAACCTGGCAGTGGAGCTGCCAGAGTAGCGTAATCTCAGCTGGGCAGCTTCTATGACTCTCACACTAAATCCTGTTCTCCAGCTGCTGCTTCTGACTCTAGATTTCCCCTTTCCCTGAGTTAAGCACCTAAAAGGAGTTTGCTTCCATCTGTCCCTTCACCCTCCAAGTTTTACCTTCTCCTTTGCCATCTTGGGATTGCTCTTTCTTCCATATCCCCAGGTGTCTCTCGGTCCTGCCCTGAAGCCACACACCCTACTCCTTGTAACTCCAGAAGAGCTGACACATTCAACCCCTAAGAAAGGGTCTTACTGGCCCAGACCCAGTGGGGCAGGGGAACAGAGGTGTAGGGGACATTCCTGTGCACGAGCTGGCAGCTTCACTCACCCTCCTGGAGCAGCAGGAGAAGAAGCAGCCAAGGAAAGGCACACATGTCAGCAGCCCCCAGCCCCAGAGGTGTGATTCAGTCAGTCAGTCCCCAGGACTGTGCAGAAGACTGCATTAGGAGGCTCCTAGACACAAAGAGCCTGACTGATGGTCCTGAGAAAAGGGAAATAATTTTCCCCTGACTACAGCCCTCTGACGTCCTCTGTCCTCACTAAGCCCCTCCCTATGTATCATGGCTCTCTTAGTTCTCTTTCAGATCCTGATTGTCATGACAGTTTACTCACTGACTCATGATGCCATCCACCAAACTCAGCCCAAATCCCACTTCCTAAATGAAGTCTTTCAAGACTTCCTACCCGCCCCAGGTCCCCGCACGTACTGCATGCCCCGAACTCGTAGAACATTCCCTATCCTGTTATTTGGCTCCCAGGATATTCTTCCCTAGCTCTCTCTGGGTAATTCCTATGTTGCTGTGATCATTTGATCTTATAAACATCTATATCTCCCCAGACAGACTTCATCTTTCATTTCCTGTGTATGTCCCATTATTGCTGGCCCCATACTAGACATGTGTCTGCACTCAATTGATAGCTTTATAATGGATGAATGATTAAGCCTTTTTATTTAAAGCTAGTTATGTTCCCACCTGAGAGGCTATTCGCAGGGGAAAAACATTTGATTCAATCCTCTTTAAGAAAGCAGTTTGGCCGGGTGCAATGGCTCACATCTGGAATCCCAGCACTTTGGGAGGCCGAGGCAGGCAGATCACCTGAGGTCAGGAGTTTGAGACCAGCCTGGCCAACATGGTGAAACCCCGTCTCTACTAAAAATACAAAAATTAGCTGGGCATGGTGGCGTGCCCCTGTATGCCAGCTACTCAGGAGGCTGAGGCAAGAGAATCACTTGAACCCAGGAGGTGGAGGTTGCAGAGAGCCAAGATTGTGCCACTGCACTCCAGCCTGGGTGACAGAGCAAGACTCTGTCTCAAAGCAAAAAAAAAAAAAAGAGAGAAGAAAAAAAAAAGTAGTTTGATCAGAGAGTTGATCTATGTTGTTCATATTATGAAAAGACTTTAAATCGTTTTGTGAGAATACAATGTTGATCAACTTATATGAATTCAGATTCAAGAAGAGACTGCAGAGGATCAGGGTTATTAAATAGCTTCCTGGCAGTCAAAGCTGTTCTGGATGCAATGGGCTGCCTTAGAAAGTAGCTTCTGTCCCTAGTATTCAAGCTAAGAGGACAATCACTTGCTTGGATTATCTGCAACATCTCTGCCATCAGATGGATTCTCAGACTGGATAATCTTTAAGTTTCTTCTAATAATCAATTTTATGAGTCTGTGCTGTGAAGAGTGGTGTCTCAAGACCAAGGGAACAATAGAGGAAGACGTATTCAGCTTTGGTCTTGTGCCAACATTTCCTAGTTTTAGGTTAGCAAATTCAGAAATCTGTTAAATGTTTATTGAGTAGCTTCTATGGTCCATACACTGTCTTAAGTGCTGGGGAATTAACAGTGACCAAGAATTTTAGATCGTGACTTCATGGAGCTCATAATGCTAACAATTGACATTGGACAAGTAACTACAAGTTTGATGAATCTTACCAAAGGAATAATTGAAGGAGCCTATAATAAGGCGATTTGGCAAAGTTGGAGTCAGGAGGGTTGGGGAAAAGCTATCAAGGAGAGATATTTAAGATGAGACCTTAGTTCTTCAAAGATTGGTAGAATCTGCTTAGTGAAGAAGATAATGAAGTGAGTAGTTCTTAAATTTCAATTTATGAGTATAAAACCTGAGGGATTAGAATTTTTTCTTAAAGGTGAACCAGATTTCAGTCTGAGTATAAAACGTTTTTATGTAATAAATCTGTTTAACAAATAAAATTAGATCCAGCAATCCCACTGTTGGGTATACATCCAAAGGAAATGAAATCAGTATGTTAATGAGGTATCTGCACTCCACGCTTATTGCAGCACTATTCACTAGAGCCAACATATGGAATCAACCTAAGTGTCTATCAATGGATGAATGTGTAAAGAAATTGTAGATATATACACAATGGAATACTATCCATCCTTAAACAAAGAAGGAGGCTGGGCAAGGGAGCTCATGCCTATGATCCTAGCGCTTTGGGAGGCCAAGGCAGGAAGATCCCTTGAGGCCAGGAATTTTAGACCAGCCTAAGCAACATAGAAAGACCCCATGTCTACAAAAAAAATTTTTAAACATGATCAGGGCATGGTGATGCATGCCTGTAATCCTTGCTATATGTGAGGCTGAGGTGGGAGGATTGTTGAGCCCGGGAGTTTGAGGGTGCAGTGAGCTATGATCATGCCACTGCACTCCAGCAGAGACCACCCAGAATAGAGATGCATCTACTCCCAGCCAGGGGTAAGAGAGAGGGAACCAGCAAAACTTAACCAGCAAAACTGCCCTTAACAGAAAATAGTGCATCCTAGCCATCCTCCAGGCCCACTGAGTGCAAAGCCACTCAGCTAGGTAAGAAGAGTTTTGACACCTCCCCATCCTCCTGGAGTGAGGAAAGCTGAGTAGCGGGTGGTAAGTTGAGAGGGAGCAAAGCAAAACAAAACAAAACAACAACAACAACAAAAAGAAGGAAATGCTACCATTTACAACAACATGGATGAACCTGGAGGACATTATGTTTAGTGAAATAAGCCAGACACAGAAAGACAAATACCACATAAGTTCACTTAATGTGGAATGTATAAAAAGGTTAAACTAGGCCAGGCACGGTGGCTCACACCTGTAATCCCAGCACTTTGGGAGGCCGAGGCGGGGGGATCACAAGGTCAGGAGATCAAGACCATCCTGGCTGACAGGGTGAAACCCCATCTCTACTAAAAAACACAAAAAAGCTTAGCCGGGCGTGGTGGCGGGTGCCTGTAGTCTCAGCTACTCGGGAGGCTGAGGCAGGAGAATGGCGTGAATCCGGGAGGCGGAGGTTGCAGTGAGCCGAGATCGTGCCACTGCACTCCAGCCTGGGAGACAGAGCGAGACTCTGTCTCAAAAAAAAAAAAAAAAGACAAAAAAAAAAAAAAGATTGAACTACAAGTAGAGAGTAGAGTGGTGGTTACCAGAAGCTGTGGGAGGGGTGGGGATTGGAGAAATATTGGTGGAAAGATTTCAAAAGTCAGTCAGATAGGAGGAATAAGTTCAAGAGATCTATCATACCATATGGTGACTACAGTTAATAGCAATGTATTGTATTCTCAAAAATTGCTAAAACAGGCCAGGCACAGTGGCTCACACCTATAATCCCAGCACTTTGGGAGGCCGAAGCGGGTGGATCACGAGGTCAAGAGATCAAGACAATCCTGGCCAACATGGTGAAATCCTGCTTCTACTAAAAATACAAAAATTAGCCAGGTGTGGTGGCGGGCGCCTGTAGTCCCAGCTACTCAGGAGGCTGAGGCAGGAGAATTGCTTGAACCTGGGAGGCGGAGGTTGCAGTCAGCCGAGATCGTGCCACTGCACCCCAGCCTGGCGACAGAGCGAGACTCCATCTAAAAAAAAAATTGCTAAGACAGTAGATTTTCAGTGTTCTTACCACAAAAAAAGATAGTTGTATAAGACAACACTTACGTTAATTAGCTCGATTTAGCCATTTCACAACATATTCATATTTTAAAACAACATGTTGTACACCATAAATAGGTATAAATTTTTGTGAATTAAAAAATAGAAATAAAAAATAAAAGCAAGGAAAGAAAAGAAAACAGGGTCATGAGTATAATGCTCAGAGCTTAAAGGGTGAGAATACCGTTAGATTATCTGAGAAGCAGAAGCTGGAGTTCAGAGATAAAGAGTTTTAATGTGGGGAAAGGCCTGGAAAAGATAAATGGAGAAGGAAGCAGGTGGAGCCAGAAGGGCCTCAGACCTTGATGCGTCTCACAGTCTCAGCTGACTTAGCAGGGAGCTCTGGCACCGACTGCCCGTTAGAGAAGGCCTGTGGTGGGCAGGCATGTCCAGGCACTGGGACTCTAGCTGTGCAAGACTGTCCTGGTGCCAGGACTCTTGCTGTGCACAGCCATGGGCTGGGGCTGCCGGGAACAGCGTAGATCCCGAAGGTGCTGCAGCTAGAGCCTGTCGGTTAACTGCACTTCTTGCAGCCAAAAATGTGTTTACTCTTGAAGGGGGAGCCGAGGCTGCTACAGTGAGTATGCTGATAGCCAGAAGGTAACTGTTCAGATTTATTAAACCTGTCTCCATAAGTAGGCATAAACAGTCCATGATGCCTATTGAGGAGAGGAAAATAATTTCCACCCCACTGAGCTCTCCGAGTCCAGTGTGGAGAAAGTCACTTCTGAGAGCATGATTGTCAAGTCTAATTTTCGTTTCTTCACTTTTTTTTTTTTTTATTAAGAGACAGGGTCTTGCTCTATCACCCAGGCTGGAGTGCAGTGGTGCAATCATGGCTCACTGCAGCCTCAACCTCCTGGGCTCAAGTGATCTTCCCATCTCAGCCTCCCAACTAGCTGGGACTACAGGTGAGCACCACCATGCCCAGCTAAGTTTTTTAATTTTTTTTTATAGAGATGGGATGTGGCTATGTTGCCCAAGCTGGTCTTAAACTCCTGGACTCAGGGGATCCTCCTGCCTCAGCTACCCAAAGTGCTGGGATTACAAGTGTGAGCCACAGTGCCTAGCCAAGTGTAATTTTCATTCTTGCTAATGGATTGTGATTCAAATAGAACTTCAATTTTTTTCTCTCACTGCCCTTTTAATCTTATTCAGTGGGGTAGTCTTCTCTGCCTCAGATGTGAACTCTGGCCTCGGTCTCAGTCCAGAAATGAGTACTGGTCTCGGTTTAGAAATGAGTACTTCCTGTGCCATGTAATATTCAAAATTCCAAACTTACCTTATTATCAAATAATCTCCCTTACCCTGGCTTAGGTCTTCCAGGCTAGAGGCTGGTAGTCGGGGAGGGAGCAGTCTCTGCTCTCTACTATGCTCAGCTTGCCTCTCTGAATCTGTTCTCCTCCTTCCCCTCAACTCTCCTCCCCCAACTCAGGTTTCCTCACTCCAGGAGGATGGAGAGGTTGGGGAGGTGTTAAAACTCTTCTTACCTAGCTGAGTGGCTTTGCACTCTGTGGGCCTCACAGATGGCTAAGATGAACTATTTTTTGTTAAGGGAAGTTTTGCTGGTTAAGTTTCTCTCTTACCACTGGTTCCCTCTCTCTTACCCCTGACCAGGAGGTGGATGCATCTCTATTCTGGGTGGTCCTTTGCAACTCCTTCATCAGCCCCTGGACATCTGGCCACACATCTCATCTCCTCCTCCCCAGAGGCCTGTCCAAATGCCCCTATCGTACAGCACCCAGGACAACCAAGCAGGCTGTGTCTCATGGGTGGCCCTTAGCTACCCATGACAAACATTCCTTGCCCTGGCAGATCCTAGGATCTACAACATGGCACCATACTCCTGGCTCCCTCATGGGAGCCCATTACCGGTTTTAACTCTCCCAGACCTGTCATAGGTGCCTGTCGCCTCTGACTCTCACTTGCGGGGCCACATTCCAAAGCTCCCTAAGCCCTCCCCTTGAAGTCTTCTTTACTTGGCTTGTGGTCAGAGGTGACATCACTATACCCTGGGGAAGAGGTGTGGACTCACAGTAAAGTTCTTTCCAAAGAAGTCTCTTTCTTGATCTCCCTTTCTCAGCCCTCCATCCATAGATGAGGGGGTTCCAAAGGCAGTGACACCAGTTCTCCTTGACTCCCATTGTACGTTCCTCAAGGGCAGATCTCCCTCACATTGCCTTTGATCTCCTGATACCCATCACACTGTCAGCTTAGCGTAGCGTAACTAAGGCAGGAAGAGACCCATTCTAACATCTTGCTTGTAGCAGACACTTAGGGTTCCCTGTAGCACAGCCTGTTTATCCACCTGACTTCTTTATATATATATATATATATTATACTTTAAGTTCTAGAGTACATGTGCACAACGTGCAGGTTTGTTACATATGTATACATGTGCCATGTTGGTGTGCTGCACCCATTAACTCGTCATTTAGCATTAGGTATATCTCCTAATGCTATCCCTCCCCCCTCCCCCCACCCCACAACAGTCCCCGGTGTGTGATGTTCCCCATCCTGTGTCCAAGTGTTCTCATTGTTCAATTCCCACCTATGAGTGAGAACAGGCGGTGTTTGGTTTTTTGTCCTTGCGATAGTTTGCTGAGAATGATGGTTTCCAGCTTCATCCATGTCCCTACAAAGGACATAAACTCATCATTTTTTATGGCTGCATCTACACTGCTGTGTGGGCAGTTTCATGATGGAGTGCCCCATGAAGTTTGCACCTGGGCAGTCTGTTTTTCTGCTTCCAGGCTTTCTCTGATGATCTTTTTTTTTTTTTTTTTCCTTTGAGACGGAGTTTCGATCTGTTGCCAAGGCTTCAGTGCAGTGGTACCATCTCGGCTAACTGCAACCTCCACCTCCCAGGTTCAAGCAATTCTTCCACCTCAGCCTCCCAAGTAGCTGGGATTACAGGCGCATGCTACTACGCCTGGCTAATTTTTGTAGAGACGGGTTTCACCATGTTGGCCAGGCTAGTCTTGAACTCCCGACCTCGTGATCCACCCGCCTTGGCCTCCCAAAGTGCTGGGATTACAGGCATGAGTCACTGCCCCCGGCCACTTCCAGGCTTTCCCTATGACAGTGGAAGGCCACTCAGCCAAGCAACTGGGAAGTATGCAGGTTGGGGGGGTGCAGCTGAGGGAGTGCCATGTTGGTGAGTAAACGTGGATAAATGTTCCAGCCTCCCTGCCCTATTCCATGAGCAATTCTGAGGCATGTTCTCCCTGGTTCCTCAGAGGGATTGGGCCCCAGTTGTCCACAACGGTAATCAACTATTAACACACCCTTTTCTTTGGCTTTCCTCCCTTCCTTGTCTCATTTTCCTCATTCTTTCTTCTTGGATTATCTCCCAGAAAGACGTCCTCCACCCAAGTTTTTATCTAAGGGTGTGCTTTGGAGAGAGACCAAACTATGACATTATTATATATAATAAAGTAGTTGCACCAGTAATGTTTAGACTTTCTCTCTCTTCTTCCTGGATCTTTAGGAGCAATTAAGCCAATGAGAAATCAGACCCACACCCCAATTCTGATGTAACAGCCTTGGGAAAGAGGTTGCAGTGAAAAGCTGGTCCTGCTGTGGTGGAGAGAATGGAGGAAAGATAATAAAAGGCCAAACCTTTGCTCCAACTTTCTCCTTAGCTTCCCTTTGGATCTGGAAAGCTGGGGACCCACACGGCAGAGCCATGGTACTGGAGGAGCCATTAACAAGTAAGTTCCAAATAAATCACCTCCCTCCCGAGGCAATGTGTGTTGAGATCTGCATGTGTCTTCTATCCTATTCTGAGGCCAGCCTGTGCACTTGATATATGGTTTCTTTTTCCTTTCTTTTCTTTTTCTTTTTTAAGTGTCAGTGTTAAAAAGGTGATTATTCAATTGAACCATGAAGGTGGATGGAGAGAACTGTAAGCGTCTGCAAATTGTTGAAGTGCACCCAAAGGAGTCATTGTGAAACAAAGGAGAAAAGAGTGTTCCTCGCAGAGGGAGCAGCCTGTGCAGGATCCTTGGGGTGGGGGAGAGAGCTGGGCACACTGAAGTACAGAAGAAGCCCACACAGGCAGGGCCGAGAGATGGAGGCAGAGAAGAGTGGAGATGAGGCTACAAAGACGGACTGCAGGCCGCTCACTGGGGGCGTATAGACCTGCTGAGTTTATAAGTTATGCACTCAAGAAGTTTACCTTTGGCCGGGCGTGGCGGCTCATGCCTATAATCCCAGCACTTTGGGAGGCGGAGGCGGGCGGATCACAAGGTCAAGAGTTCGAGACCAGCCCGGCCAACATGGTGAAACCCCCGTCTCTACTAAGAATACAAAAATTAGCCCAGCGTGGTGGCACATGCCTATAATGCCAGGTACCTGGGAGGCTGAGGCAGGAGAATTGCTTGAACCCAGGAGCTAGAGGTTTCAGTCAGCCAAGATAGCGCCACTGTACTCCAGCCTGGGGACAGAGCAAGACTCCATCTCAAAAAAAAAAAAGGTTTACCTTTGACGGCAAGGGGAACAGAGGATGGGAGGCAAAGGGAAAACATGGGGTAGAGGGATAATTTTATTGCCAATGATTTCGTTTTAAGAGTGGAGATGAGGCTACAAAGATGGACTGCAGGCGGCTCACTGGGGGTATATAGACCTACTGAGTTTATAAGTTATGCACTCAAGAAGTTTACCTTTGGCCCGGGGCGGCGGTTCACGCCTATAGTCCCAGCACTTTGGGAGGCCGAGGTGGGCGGCGGAGATTTGAACATATTTAAATGCTGACGAGCAGATCCAGTAGGAATAGGGGTTGAAGATTTGGGGAAAAGGTGATGATAATGGAACAAGGCCTCTCCCTGACCCCACCCCACCCCACACACACCCAGAAGACAGGAGGGAACTGAGATTCAGAACCAAGGGAAAGGAACTGACCTTGGATTACAAGATGGGCCTCGGCTATAATGAGAAGAAAATGGGCAGAGATGCAGATAGGTTTGTATGAGACAAGCAGTTAAGGGAAGGCCTGCACAGTGGCTTCGATTTTCTCTGAAGTGGAGTCAAAGTTATCTGCTAAAACTGAAGGTTTACGTGAAAGGCAGGCATTTCAAGAGAATGGAGCAGGTGAGGTAACTGTGTGTTAAGGTTTCTTAGGAAGGTCCTCATGTAAGCCTGTTATCCTGCCCTAATTATTAAGAGTGCCCCCTTTCACTCTCAGAAAGTGCTCTAGTTTGGAGGATAAGTTATGGTTACCCTAGAGCAGAAGCAAAATCTTACTAAAGGAATCATAGTGAAACAGCTAAACTTTAAGAGTTCAAGGCTGCCCTTACCTTTTTGAGTCAACAAATTGCCCTAAAGATTTAGAAGGAGATGGTGGGTGGGCAGTGTCGAAGAGCATGCCTCTGGAACCAAACTACTTGGGTTCCTTCGTCTGCAGAATGGAATACTCACAATACCCGCTTTATAGGGTGGTTGGGAAAATCAGATGAACTAATGGCAGAAAGCATTCGGCATGGAGTTGGCACATGGTGAGGGCTCAATGAATGTGAGTCATGGTTATTACTGAAGGTTGGTTAAGCATAAAGACAGTGGGCTTTGGCATTAGAAAGACCTGGGGCCCCTTGGTAATTGGCCAGGGTCTGTAATTATTGAAGAGAATACACAGGAAGTCTCTAACATAAGACACGAGAATAGGTTTATTCAAGAACGTTAGCTGGCAGCACCAATCAGCCCACAGTCTAAAGAGACAGCAAGCATTGCTGTTGGGAGGTACAACCCAGCTCGGTGTTTTCCATGCCAGTCACCTGTTCACCAGATCAGCCTGTTACATATGAAGAGATGGAACATGCTGGGCTGATCCCCTTAACCACACTGTAAGGGCAACCCATTCCTTGTCTCTCAGGCTTCACACATCTCAGATTGGTTCATGCACATACATACCCTTTCCTCAACTTACCTCTTAAGTACAATGTGTCTGCCCTTCTTTCCTAAAATGGACTCGGCTCATGTTCTTCTTGATTGCATGTCCTGTGACTCCCTGATGCTTATTGATCTCAAAATGTAGGTTTCATACCACCTGCATCATAATCAAGCTGAGAGCTAGTTAAAATGCTTATTTGGGCCAGGCGCAGTGGCTCACACCTGTAATCCCAGCACTTTGGGAGGCCGAGGCGGGCAGATCACGAGGTCAGGAGTTCAAAACCAGCCTGGCCAACATAGTCAAATCCCATCTCTACTAAATATACAAAAAATTAGCTGGGCAAGGTGGCGAGTGCCTGTAATCCCAGCTACTCATGAGGCTGAGGCAGAAGAATCGCTTGAACCTGGGAGGCAGAGGTTGCAGTGAGCAGAGATCACGCCACTACACTCCAGCCTAGGTGACAATGCAAGATTCTGTCTCAAAAAACAAACAAACAAACAAAAAAGACAGAAACACTGATTTGGACCCACTGAGTCATGATGGGAGAAAGCAGAGTGTGGCTTGTGAATCCACCTACTTATCAAGGTCCCCCAGTGATTCTACTCTAAGCTAAAGTTTGGGAATCACTACACTTCACCTGCTCTTCTGTTCTGTTGGAGCAGAGAGGAAGTTCCCCAGCCAGTGATATCTTTTGTTTCCAATCACAAAGGGTTTCTTTCCCCCTAAGTAAAGCCATGAAACAACACTCTGCTTCATTCTTGGTCTGGCCTTTGGAGAATATGAGAGGGGCTCCGGGAGCTTTTAATCTGTTCTCCTGGGCTTTCTGAGGAGCTGTCTCAAGGACTGCCGCAGGGAAGCAGGTGCAAAGCCAGGGAGCTTCAACCACAGAGAGCCTGCTTTTATCTTTTCACACAGGGAGTTCTGATGCAGAACTTGTTTGAAAATGGTGTGCTCTCGCTAAAAGAAAAAAGTTTAGAATCTACGGATCTTGTCCAACCCTTTATTTCACAAATTAAAAACTAAAAAGCAAACAAACAGCAAACAAAAACCAGAGGTTCGGAGTGGTGGAGAGACTCCCTCAAGGTCACAGTTTAACGGCAAACCTGGGGCCAAAACTCGGGTCTCCCGGTGTCTTGTTGGCAGGATTTTACTTGATTAAACAAATTTGAGAAGTAACAAAACTATACCTGGCATATAGAAAGCCCTCAGTGTTATTATTATTGTCATCATCAATAATGTGTATTTGTATTCCTTTGCTGTTATTAATTTGTATTTGAGACTGGAGGCACACAAAGAAAGCACAAAGGAAACAGAGGGGAGTGGCTTGAGGGAAGCCCTGGGCCACCCAGACGGGTCTGCACACGATGCCATTTTTCTTAGTTAATTCAGCACTTTTCACAATACAGGCTCAAACTCTAACTCATCAATGTCCCAGAGTTGATCAGAATCTGGAATGCTGCCTCATTTTATCAGAGATGTCATCAAACTGACATATAAAATTAGCCATTCATCCTACAATTATTTATCAAGCTTCAATTAAATGCCAGGCACTGTTCTAGGTGTGGGACACAGCAGTGAACAGGAAAACGCGAAGCTTACATTATTGTCAGAGTCAAGGTTGGGGGAAAGCAATACACAACAAACAGATCTGTACCGTCTGATCAGAACACTTTATAAAGTACCGTGAGGAAAAACAAGGCAGGATAAAGGAACACCAAGGGATGGGGGCAAGAAGCCTTTGGTTAGAGTGTTCTGATCAAATAGGCCAGTTGCAGCTCCATCGCCCTGACATTCCCTCCCTGTACACAGTCAGTTTGGGGAGTTGTCAACAGAAGGCTGCCTAGGGAACATGGTGCTAGAGGAAAAGAGATGAGCTAAGATTCAACACTCTGATGACAATCTATGGTATCCATCTCCAGCGAGGCTCCTTCTGTAAGGTTGCCTGGATACTGCATCTGGCTGACAGAGTCCCCAGACAGAACTTGAATAGGCACTGCCAGGGTGTGTACTTCTATGACTCTCCTTTTGCAATGGGCCCACACCACCCACCTCATTTTTCTAATAAGGTATGTACCTTCATTTGATTATTTGTGTCATTAGGGATAATTTGCATACCTCATCTTTGATCCACTATGTATTGTCTTAATACTTTGGAACTCAGAAGGCAATCTCATTTTCTCCTTTTCCAGGGCTATTCACCTTCCTTAGTCCCATATTAAAATGTTTCTTTTTAAAAAGATATAAATTATGCTTAATTAACAAATCATAATTATATTACATTTATATAGTACAATGTGATGTTTTGATATATGTCTACAATTCCAAGTGATTAAATCAAGCTAATTAACATATCTATCACTTCACTTCCTTGATATTTTTGTGGTGATATATTTGAAATTACACTTTTAGTTATTTTGAAATATACAACATATTATTATTGATTACAGTCATCCTGCTGTGCAGTAGATCTCAAAACTTATTCCTCTTGTTTAGCTGAAACTTTGTACCCTCAGACCAGTAATTCCCCATTCCTTCACTCCTCCTCTGCCCACTGCCTCTGGGATCCATTATTCTTCTACAAATTCAACTTTTTTTATATTCCACATCTAAATAAGATCATGCAGTATTTACCTTTCTGTGCCTGGCTTATTTCACTTAGCATAGTATCCTCTAGATTCATTTGTGTTGTCCAAAATGACAGAATTTCATTCTTTCTAAAGGCTGATTAGTATTCCATTGTGTGTATACACCTCATTTTCTTTATCTATTTATCCACTGATGAACATTTAGATTGAGTCCACATCTTAGCTATTGTACATAATGCTATAATAAACATGGGAGTTCATGTTAAAGGGATATCCTTTCAACACAGCCATTTTAATTCCTTTGGATATATTCTCAGAAGTGGGATAGTTGGATCATATGGAAGTTACATTTTTAGTTTTTTGAGGAACCTCCATACTGTTTTCCATAATAGCTGTACTAATTTACACTCCTACTAACAGTGTACAAGTGTTCCCTTTTTTCTGTGTCTTCATCAACACATGTTATCTTTTATCATTTTGATAAAAGCCATTCTAACAGGTGTGAGGTGATACCTCATTGTGGTTTTAATTTGCATTTACTTAGTGATTACTGATCCTGAGCATTTTTTAATGAACCTGTTAGCCATTTGTATGCCTTCTTTTGAGAAGTGTCTGTTCTAGTCATTTGCCCATTTTTTAATCATTACTTGTTTTCTTGCTAATGAGTTGTTTGGATTCCTCATATATTTTGGATTTTAACTCCTTATCAGATGTATAGTTTGAAAATATTTTTTCCCATTCTGTGGGTCTGTTCACTTTGTTGTTTTTGTTTTTTTGTTTGTTTTTGTTTTTGTTTTGCTATGCATAAACTTTTTAGTTTTATGCAATCCCATTTGTTTATTTTTGCTTTTGTTACCTGAGGTGTCAGAGTCAAATCCAAAAAATTCTTGTCCAAACCAATGTAATGAGGGTTTCCCCTTATGCTTTCTTCTAGTAGTTTTATAGTGTCAAGTCTTACATTAAAGTCTTTCCCGTTTTGAGTTTTTTTTATTATACTTTAACTTCTAGGGTACATGTGTACAATGTGCAGGTTTGTTACACAGGTATACATGTGCCATGTTGGTTTGCTGCACCCATCAACTTGTCTTACATTTGTTATTTCTCCTAATGCTATCCCTCCCTTGAGTTGATTTTTATGCATGGTGTAAGATAAAGATCTAATTTCATTCTTCTGAATGTGGATAACCAGTTTTCCCACACCATTTATTGAATAGATTGTCCTTTCCTCATTGTAGGCTTTTGGAACCTTTGTCAAAAATCAATCAACTATAAATGCATTGGTTTATTTCTGTTCCATTGGTTGATGGATCTGTTTTTATGCCAGTATTTGATTACAATTTCCTTATAATATACTTTAAAGTCAGGTCGTGTGATGCCTCCAGCTTTGTTATTTTTGCTCAAAATTGTTTTGGCCATTTGTGGTCTTTTGTTGTTCCCTACGAACTTAAGGATTGTTTTTCTATTTCGCGAAGAGTGGCATTGGAATTTTAATAGAGATTGCCTTGAATCTGTAGATTGTTTTGGGTTAATATGGACATTATAACAGTATTAACTTTTCCAATCCATGAACATGGAATATCTTGCCGTTTATGTGTGTTTTCATTCATTTCTTTCATTAGTATTTTATAGTTTTCAGTATATAAGTCTTTCACCTCCTTAGTTAAATTTACATCTAACTATTTTATTTTATCTTTTGTTGCTATTGTAAATGGGATCGTTCTTAATTTTCTTTTTGGATAGCTTGTTATTAACATACAGAAATGCCACTAATTTTTATATGTTGATTTTGTATCCTGCAACTTTATGGAATTTGTTTATCAGTTCTAAGGGTTTTTGATTTTTAGAGTTTTTTATATATATAAGATCATTTCATCAGCAAATGAAGACAATTTCACTTCTTCCTTTACTATTAAGATGGCTTTTATTTCTTTCTCTTGAATAATTGCTCTGGCTAGGACTTCAAGAACTACGTTGAAAACGAGTAGTGGAAGTGGGCATCCTTGTTGTGTTTCTGATATTTGAAGAAAAGCTTTCAACTTTTCTCCATTGAGTATAATATCAGCTGTGGGCTTGTTGTATATGGATTTTACTGTGTTGAGGTACATTCTCTCATACTTACTCTTTTGAGAACTGTTCACACCACCCCATCTCATTTTTGTAATTCTTTAGGGATAGCGTGCATGCCTCATCTCTGATGTACCAAGTATTTACTTAGCACCTTGAGACTCAGAAGGCAATCTCATTTTCTCTTTTCTCAGGGCTACTCACTCCTCTCCTTCCCATTAAATATTTTCCATTATCACATGCAAAATCGTCTCTCTTCCCTATCAAGTTCCCCAAATACCCTGCCAGTTACAATGGTTTTGTGGCACCCATGGTACTCTTCTCTCTTGGTCAAATCCTTCTTTGTAGGGGAGAGAGGGACTGTCTGGGATTCTGACCTTGAACATTGAAGGTGGCTCGGAGTTTGAGTCATTGGATTGTGAGGCAGGATTTCCTATGTCTGAGAGGTTTCTTCTCTGAGAGGAAAGAAGCCTGGTAGCAGCACACCAACAATGGAGACATTTTCTTCTAGTCTATGGAAATGGTTAAGAAGTAGGGAAGGCCCAGGCACGGTGGCTCACGCCTGTAATCTCAATACTTTGGGAGGCCAAGGCAGGTGGATCACCTGAGGTCAGGAGTTCGAAACCAGCCTGGCCAACATGGTGAAACCTCATTTCTACTAAAAAAAACAAAAATCAGCCAGGTGTAGTGGCAGGCGCCTGTACTCGGGAGGCTGAGGCAGGAGAACCACTTGAACCCAGGTTGTAGAGGTTGCAGTGAGCTGAGATTGTGCCACTGGACTCCAGCCTGAGTGACAAAGCGAGACTCCATCTCAAAAAAAAGAAGAAGAAGAAGAGGTAGGGAAGAGCTTGGGGATTCCCCCTCAAACTACTAGAAGAGGAAATGGGAAACAGAAGGAGAAGTGGAGGGTCAAGGAGCAACCACTCCAACAACTCTCTGGATGGAGGAAGAAGAGGTGGAGAGAAGTTTTCTATGATGGACAATTTCTAGCACTAGGGATAGCCAATTTTGCTGACTGTGGATAGCTGCCTGGGGGGGATGGATAAGGGGGGAAGGGGTATAGTCCCTAACTCTTTGCTTTCCCAAGCTCACGTGATGAGGTATTACCCAAAGGCTATGCAGCTAAGTCCTTCCTCTAGAACAGTGGCTGCTGAACTTAAAAAAAAATCCATGCAACCTTTCCTCAATGGAAATATTACAAGAAACTCAATATGATAAAAAATAAACTATTCTTGTAGAAGCTGGAGGGAGTATCCCATCTCAGCACTTTGCTTAAACCCCAAGGCAATGCCTTGGAGCCTTAAGGGTTCTAGGGAGCCCCTCTGCTCGGGGATTGCAGATGGGCAAAACAATGGGGCAGCATTGGCAGGTGTAATTCCTGGACTTTCATCTCCATTTCAACTAGAATAGCTGGATTTTCACCTAGTTACATATTAGGCTTATGAAAATATTTCCTGGACAGGGGAGAGGAATATTTTCCTTAAAAACATGTTCCTACACCCCACTTAAAATCCTTTAAAATAGTGTTTATTAGCTGGGTGCAGTGGCTCATGCCTGTAATCCCAGCACTTTGGGAGCCCGAGGCAGGCAGATCATTTGAGCCCAGGAGTTCAAGAGTCACCTGGGTAACATGGCAAAACACTGTCTCTACCCAAAATACAAAATTAGCTAGGCATGGTGGTGCACTGGTGCACTTCTGTAGTCCCAGCTACTCAGGAGGCTGAGATGGGAGGATCGCTTGAGCCCGGGGGTGAAGGGGGAGTGGAGACTGCAGTGAGCCGTGATCGCACCTCTGCACTCCAGTGTGGGTGACAGAGCAAGACACTTCTCAATAAATAAATAAATAGATAAATAAATAAATAAAATAGTATTTATCACCTTTGGTATAGCCTTAAAACCACAAAAGCATGCCATATGCTCCTATATGTAATCATGGCTCACTCTGGCAGAGGTCCTCAAAGTTGGGCTTTCTGCCTCCATTGAGAATCACTAACCTGGGTTTAGCTGAATGATTAGAAAGATAAAACCCAAGCCACCTCATATGAGGATAGTGCAGACTTGCTCCCCTGAAATGCTTTGTTGCAATCAATGACCGTGGCCTGTGTCAAAGAGTGTTATAAAGCAGGAATATTCAGAGGGGCTATGGAAAAGATAAGGCTAAAGATGCTGTTCATTATCATCGCACAGTGTTTTCTTGAGAAAAAATGCCTCCCAGTGGTAGGAACAGCAGGGCCATTTCTCTGAGCAGCCCTGTGATTTTACAGTAGACTTTATTGTCCTCTTGGAGTTGCTGCTGGAAAGCAGAAAGCTACATTTGTAGCCCTCCCATAGCCATGGATAGAACACTAAAGCATAGTTTGGATACTGAGCTTGTTCCTTGCTGCAACTTATTTTCCTACCCTACTTTCTTCTAACCTCATCTTCCTAACTAGTATTTTATCTTGCGACAGTGTGTACATTTTCTAAGACGTGTGTGAGAGTTTAGCCAAGTGTACAGTCAGAAAGAATACAGTCTACACAGGACAGCCCTCACTTCTGATACCAACTGCAAGTTCAAGGAGTTCCAAAAACTACCCTCAGTTTTAATAATTTGCTAGAAGGATTCACAGAATACAATGAAAGCTGTTATATTCATGGTTATGTCTTATTGCAGAGGAAGGACACATATTAAAATCAGCCTAGGAAAGAAGCGCACAGAGTCCAGGGAAGTACTAAGTACGTCCTTTCCCATGGGGTTAGGACAAGGTACTCTTCTGGCATCAGTGTGTAACAATACACACACAATATTTCCAACCAGGAAAACTCGCCCAAGCCTCGGAGTTTTTACTAGGACTAAATCACACGCTGCCCACGTGGCTGACTGTCAGTCACCGGCCCTTCCAAAGGTCAGGCTGACACCTTTGTTCTCCAGTCCCTCTGGAGGTAGAAATGATAGTGCTTGGCATAAATCCCTCATCATAAATCACACTGTTGAACTGTCTGATGGCCAAGGCCCTTAGACAAACAAAGACACTCTTATCAGGCATGGCATTCCAGGGCCTAGAGATCGGCAGCCCACAGCGGAGGGCAAAGGCCAGACCTCTCTTTGGGAAAGGCTGATTCTTCGCTAGGCAACAAAAATTCATCTTTAGAACAAGCCAACAAGAAGGAAGGAAGGAAGGAACAAACCAACCAATCAAACTGGACTCCTCAATCCTGCCCTGCACTGACAATGACACTGCTGGAGAACAAGGTCCCTCAGGGAGAAGTCCAGGGTGAAGGATTCTAGCAGGGACCCTCTGTGCTCATAGCCGTTGAGCCCCTTTATGAGCTGGTACCCTGGGTTGGAGAAGGGGGGTTAAGGGTGCCACCCAGCTCTTAGTGAGGTGAAGAGAGATATCACATAGTGTCCTCTGAGACCAAGGAAGGTGCAGAGATGCTCAAGCACATCAAGGCTGACTTGGACTCGTTCTATCACCTCATTTTATTGGGTAAGATTCCCAGGCAGAAGGTTAGGACGTGCAGTAGAAAGTGGGCGTCCTGGCAGCTTTGCAGGACCATTTGGGAAGGACGCAGGGTCAGGGTCACAGTTGACACCCAGGCCCTTAGAGCTACTTTCGTGAATCTTCAGGCCGCACCTGGACAAACAGCTATTGTTTCTCCCCTGGCACTCTGAGGAGTCCTGGGGAACTCAGAGGCCTGTGATTGTCCCCTTACCCCCGCCACCAAAACACAAAACAAAACAAAAAAACTTGTCTGTAAGGCCACAGAGCTCCCTCTGCAGAACAGCATACAGACCCATGTCAATGGCTCACCCCAGCAGCAAACGGGAAGCAGGAGACGTAGACAACCCTGGGGGGAGGGTGCCTAGAGAGCTTGGAGAGTCATGAGGGCCAAGCTGAGGATTCTGGGCTCCTGTAGGTCTCCCAAGCCCACATGCACACGAGACTCCAGCTCCTTCCACCTCTCTGTTCGTGCCCTGTGTGTGCCTCTAGCTCTGGCCCCCGCCTCGCCCCTCACCCACACCCTACAGCCTCACTGCTGGAGAGAAGTTGCCTATGTCTTAGGCCAAGAGCCAGAAGGCAGCTCAGTGTTGGTGAGACCACAGGAAACCAGTTCTCTGGAAGGATCCACAACTTCTGTGGTTGTGAAAAGGACACACATCTCACTGCTTGGGCCCTGTTGCCCTTGTTTTCCTAACGCTTGAGATTCCTCTGCCTCCACACATCTGCCTCCTCCAAGCTCCCCTCACTCCATGCCAGGCTGCTGAGGTTGCAGTGATGACTGAACCATTATCCTAGCCCCCAGGGCTCAGAACCCAGTTAAAGGACAAGATGCACCAACAAGGGAGAGCTTTTGGGCTCACTCCTCTCTCTGGAGATGCTGTTCTCAGCCTTGCAGGATGAGATCCCAGCATCCTGCTCTGACTTCACTGGGAACAAGAGGGAAACAGCTCCACCATGGGGAGCCGAGTGATCCCCAGGACAGATACCCAAGATCTCTCCATTGAGGTAGAACAAGTACAGGATTGGAGGGGAGCCCCTCTGGGCCTCACAGAGGAGCTGTACCACATCTTCCACAGCAGGGTCAGCGGGACCGTGGTGCAGAGTGAGCACAGGATGGGACACAGGAGCTGGGACACACATGGGATGGGAGGCTCAGCCTGACCACCCAAGACCCTGGCTCCCTCCTCTCCTGGGGACACTTCCCACAACTCCTCTCCTCCCAGGGGGTCCCACTGCATGATGCCCAGACCCCTGGGGGCGTCGCCACTCCCTCGCTCATTTACCCTGCACTCTGACCTCCAGCTGGGGGCTCTGCTTCTGGACCTGGCCACCCTCGGGGGCCGCCTCACACCAGTAAAGCCCAGAGTCTCCCTCCTTGACTCCTGGGATGCAGAGTTCTGGGTGGGGGCCCCTGTCCTGCAAGGTGTGGCCATCCTTGTGGAAGGAGAAAAGGAGCCTCCAGGCTGACCTCAGGGGGTGCAGCTTTGTTTGACATCTCAGGGTAACCAGGCTTCCCTCTTAGGGCTCAGGAGTGGGGGCGACACTCAGTACAGGAGGTGGGAACTGCTCTGGGGAGATGCAGGCCCAGGGCTCAGGAGGGGAGTCCTGGATGATAAAGCCCCAGGAGGCTGAGGCCTGAGCTTCTACTCAGTCCAGGCTGCAGCCCGGGAACCCCAACGGGAGGCAGTTTCATCACCAAGACCTGTCCTCTTGTCCTCACCCACAAGCTCTGAAATGACTCCCACACAGCCAGACCCTTCTGGAATCTTGGAAGTCAGAGGCAGAGGGGGCCTTCGAGGTCCTCTAGTCCACAGAGGGGAAGGGTGAGCCTGGACTGGTCCAGGCTTTTCCCAGTGCCCCACTCCCAGGAATCTCCCCCCTCCTTCCCCTGGCTACATGTGTCCCCCATGGTGGGGAGATGGGGGTATTGAGACAACATCTTGGGAAACCTCGGGTCCCCACACATTGGCCCAGCATGAGGGGCAGCCAGAGACAGGGGTCCTGTCCAGAGAGCTACTGATCTCTAGAGACGGGACCCCTGAGAGGCACCTCCTGCCCCACAAACTCCCAAGCTGGTGACTTACCTTGGACTTGAACCATGGCAGTCTCTGAAGTTTGTGTGAATGTCTGTGGAATATACATCACCTGCCCAGTGCAGCTGTACTGGCCACGGCTCTGCATTGTTGCTCCTCTCATGGACAGAGTCTGGTTTTCCTTAGAGAAATGAAGGAATTTTCCATCTCTGTAGAACTTCACCTGAGACAGTGGTGTATTCTTCCATCCCTGACATCACAGAGTCAGGGCATCTCCTTCAAACACAGGGTTTGGCCAGGCTTGGAGGTACAGCCAGGCTGCAAGGCAGAGGAACAGGGCAGCCCTGGAGCTGCAGGTCCCATCAGTCACTTCTCTCCCTCTGTCCTCCAGCCTAAGGCCTCTGCTGGGGATGGAGGCCCTTGGATGGTACCGGTGCAGTGTCACTGTCTCCAGTCCTTCATGCTGACCAGAGAAGGGCAGGACCTGGACTTCCTTTTACTCCCTCTCCTCCCTTTCCTTCTCTCCTTCCTCTTCTCTTCCCATCTGCCTCTATCCTTTCCCTTTTCTTCTCCCTTTTTCTCTCTCCCTGATCCTACCATATATTGGGTTTTCTTCCCCATTGACATATTTGGTTCCAGCTAGAATCATCCCAATTATGTAGCTATCTTATTCCTCCTGAACAGATTCCAATTTCTTCACACTTCACATGCTGCCCCAGTCCAGGCTGACCCAATAGTCCCCACCTCCAGTGACAGCTCCAGGTCCGGACGTGTGAGAATCCAGGGATTGAAGGAGCCTGATCTGGCTCGCTCCTACCTTCTTCCTTAAAGGCTCCCAGAGGTCCAGACTCCATCGATGCCCCACACCAATACCGATCCCCAGCAGGGGCTTCAGTTTCCACCCCAGCCATGCAAAGGCCCCGTCCTGTCTGTTCTCATCCTAAACTTACGTTCTCTGTCCTGATTGGGCAGGACAAGGGTCTCTCCCCAGGTATGGAATCTCCCATAGGTCAGGTAGCCTCAAGAGCCAACAGCCATGGCTGGGAGTCAAGCCTGAGGATCATGATGAAGGATGGCAGAAATGGGGCTCATGGAAGAGTTCCCTTCTCATTCCCATTATGAGCAAGAAGAACACAGGTGTAATCAGCCTCTTCCTGGACCATAGGCACCTTCCATCACTCCTGGAACTTATGAGGATCACAAGGTCCCTGAGCATAGGCCCGGGTGTTCAAACCTGGTTTCTCTATTGCCACCAACCACAGAGCACTTGGGTTTCCAAGTGTGGTCTGAACTCCTTCCCCAAGCAGTAACATAGATAACTCCCTGGGAGTCTCAGTACTCATATGTACGTCAGAGATCTCATCTCTTTAACAAAGGTACTGATTCAATGGAAGGCAGAGAAGCAGGATTTATTCATTATTCATTCATTGACTTATTCATTCATCAATCATTTATTGAGTACCTCTACATGCCAGGCCCTCGGATATATGCTAGTTTATAGTGTAGAAAGCGAAAAAAGAGATAAAGTGTGACAGAGGGGGCACAGAGAGGAACTGCTTAGTTCTACCTGGGGAGGAGACCCAAAGAGGTGAGATTGCTTTGACCTCATCTTGCAAGATAAGTATTCAGTATAAGGGAGATGTAGGGAGAGGCTGTTTCAAGATGTAGCCACATGAGCAAGGACACAGCCAGGAGTAGTCTGGGAACTGGTGGAGTGTGGCATGGCTGGAGAGGCAGGCTGTGAAGAGGATGTGCTAAGAAGTAAGCCTGGGGAGGCAGTAATCAGACAAACTCAAACTACACCAGAGCAGTGGGAAAGGAAAGGAGGGATTTGAAATTGGGAGTAATTGAATCAAACTTGCATTCGAGATCTGATGGCTGCCAAGTAAAGAATGATCAGAACAGGGTGAGAAAAAGACTGAGCCTATTGCAATTGCCTGGGCAAGAGAGAGAGGTGTCAGCTGAAACAATGGCAGTGAGGTGAAAAGGAGGGCGTAGATCAGAGTGACACTAAGGAGGCAGAATCTATAAGACTTGATGATACAGACTTGAAGATTTGATGAGGGTGAGGGGCAAAAGAGAGGGAGGAATTCAGGATAATAGGAAATTGAGGGCAAGACGCTGATCTGTAGGAAAATGTAAGTTAAAATGTGTCCATCTTCAGATGAGATGTTCTTGGCATGGCCAGGTGGAGATATCCCTCAGTTAAAGTCTATATGTAACTTCAGGATCTGTTCTGGGCTGGAGATAGAGACTTGGGAGTCATTTACATTTGGTGGTGCTTGAAGCCAGCTGTGTGGATGGAGCACTCCAGAACTCAAGGAAGGAGTATAGGTTGTAGTGTGTGTGTGTGTGTGTGTGTGTGTGTGTGTGTGTAAGTTGTTTTTAACCTGTTGCTTTTTATATATAAAGAATATCTATATAATATATATGGCTTAAAATAGCACAAGGGCAAAAACAACTAAGATGGTTATTAATAAGGAATTTGTTAAATAAATTATGGTCCAGCCATATAATGAAATATAATGTAGCCATGAGAAAGAACAAGGTAGATCCATAAATACCTGTATGGAATGAGCCCAAGATAAAGTGTTAGTGAAAAACACTAAAAGCAACATGTGAAGCCATGTGTACAGTGCACCTCCATTTGTATATAAAAAGAAACATGCATACATATTCACACACATATGTATGCTTGCATATGCATATAAAATGTTTAGAATGTAAGGGAAGACTGGGTAACCAACTCATGGGCTAGGGTGAGGGAGAAACAATTTTCACAATGTGCTTCTTTGTTCTTTTTTAAAAAATTTAATGCATTTACTATATTCACATATATGTTTCAATTAAAAAGCTAAATAAAATAAAATATTCCAATCTTCTTTATTTCCCCATAGAGCTTTCAATAAACCTCTCTTTCTTGAAGTTACCTGAGAATGGATCCATTCCCTGCAACTGAAGATTCTAAGGAACTGGGTTTCTCAGTATACAATGGGAATGGTTGGGAGGAGGTAAAGAGTAGAAGACAGTATCAAGAATCCAGAGCCCAGCACCTGTAGTCCTAACTATTCAGATTCCTTGAGCCCAGGAGTTTGAGTCCAGCCTGGACAACATATTGAGACCCCCATCTCTCTAAAAAAAAAGAGAAAGAAAGAAGGAAAGAAAAAAAGAAAGAAAGAAAGAAAGAAAGAAAGAAAGAAAGAAAGAAAGAAAGAGAAAGAAAGAAGGAAAGAAGGAAAGAAGGAAAGAAAGAAAGAAAGAGAAAGAAAGAAAAGAAGATTGTAGCTAGGGGGAGAGTAGGTGAAAAGATGAACAACATGACCGGGAAGATTTCCTAATCTCACCACAGCCTGGCTCTACCTTAAGGTAGGTAGATGGACAAGTATAGCTACCTGGGTCACAGATGCTAAGATGACATCCAGACAGGTCAGAAATTAAGAAGAAAGGCAGATGAGGAAGGATAAACCCTATCTTATAAGACAAATTCCTGGCACTCATTTCTTTTTTAAGTTTCCTTTTTGCTTTCCCTAGTCCTGCATTTTTGTTGAAGGCAGAAGATTAGAGAGAGACAAAGAATGGCTGAGTTGATATCCTTGTAGTTACAGTCTGAGTTCCCAGGTAGTACTGGAAGACGTGAGGTTAGCAGATGTAGTCTTTACTTCAGGAGAAAAAGAAGAGTTTTCTGCTAGAAATTGGTTCTAGTCTCTTTTCTACCCTCCTCCCATGCCATCTCCCCAGTTATAGAAAAGATTAGTCATGTCCCTGCAGGGTTAGCTCCCTATAGGGCCAGTGACAGCATCCTTCAGCTACTGCTGGTAGGGCTAGGACTTCACTCAGTAGAGAAGCCTGGTGTAAATGGAAGAAAATGACCAAAGAAAAGCGGAACGTGACCAGGCATAGATGTTTGCCACCAGGAACTGGGGAGGGAAAGGACCCTGAGGCTTTCTCGCCTAGACCCAGACCACAGCCCTGTGCAGACAGGCACAGAAGCCTGAGCTCAGTAAGATGGAGCCAGCCATCTACACCTCAGCCAGACAGCTGTCCCCTCAGACAGACATTTCCAAACAGCCCAGGTGGTCAGAATGGGACATGAACATAGGCGTACTCATGGAGACATGCAGGAACATGAGATCAAAGGCTCGCCAAACTTTCCATCACAGGGACCTGCCATGGGGAAAAGGGAGGGGGTGAGATTAGATAATAAGGACCTCCTGACAGAAAGAGTGGTTAGAAGTGGGACTGGTGCATACAGGAGGATCTGTGGCCTTTCTTCCTCCCTCTTCCTACACAGATTTGAAAACTGCCAGCCCCCACCACTGCCCCACCCCACCAGGTCATAGTTCCTATTAAGTTCCATAGGAACATTTCTGCACTGCATCCTGGCCATCCTGGCTTCAGGGTCTCCACAGAGTGAGCCCATGTCATACCCCTCCCCACTTCAGGAGGAACAAGACAAAAGGGCCAGGTGAGACCTCAGTGACAACCACCTTGTCCTCCAAGAAGAAGCAAGCAGGACAAGACTTAGGGGTGGGAGATGGGGGCAGGCGAGGGGAACTTCATAAAGGAGACCTTGACTTTGGGGTTGTTAGGAAAAAGGTGGCTTTAGACAGGACTCCAGATCTGACGAGGTGGGTCTCAGGCACATAGGAAGATTTCCTAATATCTCCAGAACCTGGCTCTACCTTAAGGTAGGTAGATGGACAAATGTAGACACCTGGGTCACAGATGCTAAGAGGGCATCCAGACAGGCCAGCAGCTAAGAAGGGAGACAGATGAGCATGCATAAACTGTATCTTATAAGACAGATTCCTGGCACTCTTTTCTTATTTAAATTGCCCTTTTGTTTTCCCTAGTCTTTAATAAAAGCTTGACTGAAGGTACCAAGGTGTGCTGAAGTGGAAGCAAAGTTCTCCAAAGTCCAGCATGGTAGACATCAGTGGTGGTAACCAAGGACAGACCCCAAGGCAAGGTGAACCTCAAAAATGGAACCTCAAGTCTATGCAGTCCAGCTGCCCTCCCCACCAGAAAGTCCTTGTTCCAGCCCAACATCAGTGCCTCTGAGTTTGTTTACTAGAAACAAAGGAAGAATTTCCTTGTAAAAATATAGACAGAGTAGTCCCTGGCTTTCTCCTCTTGCAGGAAGGATGGATTCTCCCATTCCATACCATCTTTCCCCCACACTGGCCCCAGAAATACTTAATTCAACTATGTGAAAATAAAGATTGTTTTTGGTTTGAGGGCATAGGGATCCATTTATCCTTATTCTTTATGAGGCACTAAATTAGCTTTGTATGTTATTAAATGTGTCTCGTCAATGCTGTTGGCATTGTTTCATTTTAACTTCTATTTGGTAATGTTCAATTTTCTGAATGTGTGGATCACTTAGCATGAGCAGAAAACCCTGCAAAAGTGGTGGAGGTAAGGAAAGGTTGTAATAATGGTTACAAAGCAGGAGCAGCATAAGGCTACCTAGGTGGTACGGTTTGAGTTGTTTTGGGAAAGCCCTTCTTAATCACCTCTCTCTAGGACACCACCCCAACACACATGAAATTCCGCTGATGTCTTTTTGGTTGCCACTATGTTCCCCAAGTTCTTTTAATATGCAAACACTGGTAGGAAAATAAGAAGAAATCACATCATATCTCTGTTTAGAAACTGGTCTAAGATGTTTATAAATGTTCAGAAAAAATGTAAATCTCCTTGGGTAAGCAGGCTTAGATGAAACTATGAGCTCATGTTGGCAAATGTGCAAGCTTTAGCATTTAAGCCAAGTGCTTTAAATCAATCTGAGCTTCAAAAGGCAATAGTTAAAAGTCAAGGTACGGTAGACAAAAAAAATATTTTCTTGACTGGAAGAGATCTTCATGAGACTCTTTACCATGAATTACCTAGAGAAAATAACGTAAGGCAATCTTTTTTTTTTTTTTCACTTTAATTCAACTCAACAAAGATGTATTTAATTCTACTATATGTAAGTAAAACTGAAGACATAGAGTTGCATAAAACAGTTCTGTCCCCAGACAGTCTAGCCATGCAGGACAAAACACGTATGGAGACACAAAGCGAAGTGTCAGGTTGCTGTGAGAGTTTAAAGAAGGGAGATAGCCCATCCTGTTGGAGGTCTCACCAATAGCATTGAGAAGGGATTTGGAGGCAGCCATAAATTAATAAACTGTACATGAAGGAACTGGCTCAGAGATTGAAAATCACAGGACGTTTTAGGAAACTTTGGGTGGTGAGGTCTGGATGGAGCACAGAATCGGCGTGGGGAGTTAGAGGAAAATTAGGGTCGGGGAGAAGATTGGGATGCTCTGAGCAAAACCAAGGCAAAGGAAGTTTAAGGCCAATCAGCAACGTGTGTCTTCCATCCTTTTCCTTTTCTTCTGCTGTGGAGGGTTCATCCCTCTCCAGCCAACAGAACAATGATTCTGAACACACTCCCAAGAGGGACTTCTGGGCTGCAGGCACCTCCCCACGGTGGGCTGTGCACTTGGACCTGCTCCTGTCAGGGGGACTCGCCTTCTCATCTGGCTTGGTGCCCATCCTCCTGAGACCCCTCTTCCCAGCCTCTTCCCCTCTGCCACATCCCCCGACGCCCTCCACCAGCCTTGTACCTTTCGTTCCTTTACCTCATGGCTGAAAGTGACTGGTGGTAGAAAGACACCCAACCTCACTGCCCAAGTGCCCACCCACTTCCTTCACTGATGGGCAACAGAGATCCCTGAGGAGCAAGGGCTAAAGTGGGTTTAATTTCACCTCATGTCAGAGCTCAGCCCTATTTAATGCTTACTGTTCACTCTATTTTTTTTTTTCAGATGGAGTTTCAATCTTGTTGCCCAGGCTGGAGTGCAATGGTGCGATCTCAGTTCACCGCAACCTCCGCCTCCCAGGTTCAAGTGATTCTCCTGCCTCAGCCTCCTGAGTAGCTGGGATTACAGGCATGCGCCACCATGCCCGGCTAATTTTATATTGTTAGTAGAGATGGGGTTTCTCCATGTTGGTCAGGTTGGTCTCGAACTCCCGATCTCAGATGATCCACCCGCCTCAGCCTTCCAAAGTGCTGGGATTACAGGCGTAAGCCACCGTGCCCAGCCTTACTACTGTTCACTCTCTAATGCTTTCCCTGCTCTCTTCCATCACTCTCTGCATGTTGGCATCTCTTGGACCCACCTGACTTTCTTTGCGTCACACGCAGAAGCAGAACTCACAGGAAGGAGAAGCCTGCATACACTAAGGGACCAGGGCTCTTGATGTGTGAGAGGGCAGTGGAGGCAGCATATCTCTTACCTTCTGTGATGGGCTGAATTGTGGCCCCCAAAACTCCTATGCTGCAGCCCTGACCCCCGTATCTCGGAATGTGATTGTATTTGGAGACAGGGTATTTTAAAGAGTAATCAATTTAAAATAAGGCCATTAGGGTGGGCCCTAATCCATTCTGATTGGTGTCCTTATAAGAAAAGGAAACCAGGACACAGATGCACATAGAGGGAAGACTGTGCGGAGACACAAGGAGAAGACAGCCATCTACAAGCCAAGGAGGGAGGCCTCAGAAGAAACCAACCCTGCTGACCTTTGACTTTAGACTTCCAGCCTCCAGATATATGAGGAAATTAACTTCTGTTGTTTAAGCCACCTGGTCTGTGCCATGTGTTACAGCAGCCTGAGCTGACTCCTGCATCTGCCAAGCCTGTGATGTCCTCAAGAAAAGCGGAGGACAACTTCTGGCCCCAACCAAGAAAGGAGCAAGGGCAGCAACCTCACAAGCCAGAGGGGAAACAGCCTTCCCAGACCAGGGGGTGCTGGCAAACAAGGCAAGCTCCTCTTTTCCATCTGCTTTCCATTCTCCCGTGACTGGCCTTAGAGCAGACTGTGCTGCTGCAGGCATCTCTGTGCTGTCAGGGAGTGTGCTCAGGTCTCCCTTCAAGAGAACCTGGTGCAAGAAGCCTCCAGCCTCCTGCTGCTATATTTTGGTTGTGTTGGGTGTTCACACTGCCCCATGCTGCTCCCAGCCAATGACTGAGCACAGAGGGTGCCAGAAACAGGGCTAGAAACAGGCCACTGTGCCTGATGTGAGGCCTCGCTAAGAGGCGAGCTCTGTTCTGGGACACTAAGCCTGGCGGGGACATCCTGGAGCTGCACCACAGTTTGAGGATCATCCTACCTGATCCTCTTCCCAGCCTGCTCTCCTTTCCCAGGTGTCTGACCTGCACTGCAGTCTGAAGTCTCTCCTGACCACTCCTTCTGCCCGCTCTTCATCCTTCACAGGTGTGGTGTTTCCCACAATGCCTCTGCAGGTCTAATCTTGTCTTGGCCTCTGCTTCTCAACAAATCTGGCTGCCCCTAGTTGTCCTTCCTTCAATTCATCCTCCACACTGTTAGAGTCCTCCTCCTTTCTAAAGTCCAGATCTGATCTTGTCACGCTCTGCTTCCATTCTTTCCAAGATGTCTGTTTACTTACAAGATAAATTAGAAGCTTATGTCTCTTGAGACTCAGCCTGTGCTCAACTGTCCACTCTCTTATTCCCTACCCAAGGCCCCATCTTGACAGCCACATGGAACTATCTACACTCTAGTCTAAACGTCAATGCCGCTTCACATCAAGGCCTGTGGACATATAACGCCTCCTTTTTGGAACATCTTTCTCCATTCTCATCACCCCTTCCTGCCGCACACTCACTCACTCATACACACACACTTCTCCCAGTGATCTTTAAATTCCTATTAAGATCCATGCAAATGTTCCCTTCTCGATAGAGGTTTCCTGGACACACCCAAGCAGAGGAAATCATGCCTCTCTTTGTGCTATTTTTAGCACTTACTAATATCTCTTATGACATTTATCAAACTGTCCCACAATTCTTTGTCTTTTAGGGAAGCCTTTAGGGTAGGCATAAAGTCATTTCTGTATCTCCAACACTAGCATAGTACATCGTGTAATGTTAAGTATGTCTATATGGGTACATATGCATACACACACATGTGTGTAGGAAACATAACGACATGGCTGGGCGCGGTGGCTCACGCCTGTAATCCCAGCACTCTGGGAGGCTGAGGTGGGAGGATCACGAGGTCAAGAGATGGAGACCATCCTGGACAACATGGTGAAACCCCGTTTCTACTAAAAATACAAAACTTAGCTGGGTGTGGTGGCACGTGCCTGTAGTCCCAACTACTTGGGAGGCTGAGGCAGGAGAATCGCTTGAACCCGGGAGGCAGAGGTTGCAGTGAGCTGAGATTGCACCACTGTACTCCAGCCTGGTGACAGAGTGAGACTCCGTCTCAAAAAAATAAAAAAAGAAAAAAAGAAACATATCAACATTAGAGTTTCTAGCTTATATCCCAATATCTTGGCCATTCATTAGAACCCTGGTTAGGCTCCTCTCTTATCAACTTACCCTCATGACCAGCTTCTGCCTCCTGTTCCCATCAGAGGAGGTTTAAGGCCAATTAGCAACATGTGTCTTTCATCCTTTTCTTTTCTTCTACTGTGGAGGTTCATCACAGCACTTCTATCAGTTCACCAGATGAAAGAGGCATCCATCTGTGCCTCTTCATCTGTTGGTTGTAATGCAGCACATATGATAAGTGGGTATTGAGTGGACCTGGACTGGAGTCACAATCACTGATTATGTGCTGGAAGTCAGAGGGGGACAGGGAAAGTCCCCCTTTCCTAGGAAAAGGGTCCTCAAGTTGCCAAGAAAAGCAAGAGATCAAATTCCCCCGAGGAGTGGATTTCTGACCACTCCTTGGTTTGTTTTTTGTTTTTGTTTTGTTTTGTTTGTTTTTTGCTTGAGTTAATTTAAGTTAGTTTCTATTACTTGCAACTAAGAAGTTTTAATGAATTCACTTGAAATACTATTGTTAGGAAGGAAACAACTTGCTTGAGAGGTCAAGCTTAGGCTGAAAGTCAACATTGGCCAAGGCACTTAGAGAGCAATTAATCCTCGTGGCAAGGCAGGGATGGGGTGGAGGGGATAGATGATTCCTAAGGTCCTTTCTAAGAGGATAAGAGTGCTTCCCCTGGTCAGTGGTTCTGGCTAGTCTCCTCCCTCCCTTCAAAATGCGAAGCAAAAGGCAGGGAGAAGGTCTCCTTGCAGATCTTCAGCTCTCTCAGGGAAAGAGACCCACGTCACTCCCAGCAGAGTCCTGCATGGCAGCAAGGGGCCAGGGCGGAAGAAGAACAAAAGACACCTGGAGAAGAAAGGCAGTGCCTTTCCCTGCAGCAGCCAGGGCTGCAGATATGATGGAGCAGGGGAGATGGTCTCTTCTAGAGCAGCATGAGCCGAGTTACACAGATGATGTAAGGAAGAAGTAGAGAAACTGCAGTCTCAGCTCAGAGTTTTCCTTACATGCTTGTGAAAATAAAGTCACCCTCTGTTGCAGGCTGAATAATGGCCCCCCAGGATGTCCACATTCTAATCCCTGGAACCTGTCCATGTTTTATTATATGGCAAAAGAGACTTTGTAGATGTGATTAAATTAAGGCTCTTGAGATTGGGAGATTATCCTGGATTATCAGAGTAGGCTTGATGTAATCACAAGAGTCCTTCTAAGAGAAAAGCAGGATGCAGCCCCCTGATGACAGAAGCAGAGAGGAAAGCAGAGTTGGAGACAGAAGACGCTATGCTATTGGCTTCCTAAAGACAGAGGAAAGGGCCACAAACCAAAGAATACACTTGTATTCTTCAGTAAATAGCAGCTGCCTTGGAGTGTTGCTTGATTCAATACATGTAATAGTAATCGTTCAATAAATGCTTGCTATTATACCCTTGGATGTCTTAGAGCTGCACTGTCCAATATGGTAGCCACAAGCCACATGTGACCATTCGACACAGGTGTGGATTTTCCGAATTGAGGTATGCTGTATGTGTAAAATAACACACCAAAATTCAGATACTGAGTACAAAACAAAGAATGTAAAATAGCTCAGTAATCTTAATATTAATTATTTGTTGAAATAACATTTTTAACACATCCAATTAAATAAAATATATTAAAATTAAATTTCACCTTTTTTTAGTGTAGCTACTAGAAACTTTAAAATTCTATATGTTGCTCACATTATATTTCTTTCAGACAGTGCTCTTTTGAGTCTCTGACCCGTTACTGAATAGAACAGTCTAGAAGCAAGCCCTACACATTTAGGGAAAGTGATGTCATACACTGACTTCTTTACAGTCACCCCGGTACTCATCTGCTCCTTGGGCTCTGAATTTCTACAATGCTGACTGAGGAACATCCCCGAGCACACCGTTAATTCTGGACTGACAGGTACAACTAAACCAAGAGAGGGAATTCAGTTGGCCTCAGAGACAACACAGGCCCCTGCACCAGGACAGAAGGAAGTAATCGCTCCTTTCTCTTTTAAATGTCCAATAAGTTCAGAGCACCACACCCCCACACAGTGCCTCAGTGGGCACCTGTACGTACACTCCATGAGGTGGCTATTCCTTTAATCCCTACCATCTGCTCCAAAATGTTTATCCAACAGTTTGCCATGGTGCTTGAACTTCTATCATTTGGGTGCCTCTTTGGAACAGGAAATTTAACTCTGTCTGGTGACCGTGCACAGGATTTATAGCTGTTGAGCCTCAGGAGCCATCAGGAACTGAGCTTGCTTTCTTTCCTTCTCTGGCCCTGCCCATTCACTTTCTGTCCAAGAGTGGCCCTAAACCAGAAGAAACCTCCCAACTCCCTTCTCCTGATAGTCCCTAAAGACCACACACATGGTCTGCTTCCTTATGAAAGGCTCCACTGCCAATCACTGCAGTGATACTGATGACAAAGGATGGCAACAATAACAAAGCTAGGCAAGCTTCAAGGGCTCCAGAATCTTACTCAGGTATCTCAGCCACGAGCCCGGGTCTAGGGGGACTGAAAGGGACTTTGGCCACTGCCATTATTCTTGAGAGTGGAGCTCTCCACCCAGTGCCTGAAAGTAAAGGAGATGCGGGTTCAGCCCATTCTCCACTTTGTAGGCGTGAAGATGCAGCAGAGGCAGAAGAACAGCTGCTGCCCTCAGGGACAAGTGTGCAATTTCTACCTAAGAGGCCTCTAGGCTGCGTGATGTGCATTTCACAGGTTCTCGGCCTCTACCTCTTGATGTTCCTCACAATGTCCACTAAAAACTGTGTTTCTAATTAAAAATAGAATTACCATAAGATCCAGCAATTTCATTATTGAGTATATACCCGAGAGAATTGAAATCAGGGACACAGACAGATATTTGTACACCCATGTTCATAGCAGCATTATTCAAAATAGCCAAAAGGTAGACACAACCCAGTGTCCTTCGACAGATGGATAAACAGGATGTGGTATATACATACAATTGAATATTATTCAGCCTTAAAAGGGAAGGAAATTCTGATAAATGCTTCAACACGGATGGACCTTGAGGACCTAATGCTAAGCAAAAAAGCCAGACACAAAAGGATAAATATTGTATCACTCCATTTATATGACGTACCTTGACTAGTCAATTTCACAAAGACAGAAAGTAGGTTAAGGTTGCCAGGAGCTGGGCAAGGGGTCACTGGGGACCAATTTTTTGATGGGTACAGAGTTTAAAGGGCAAGATAAAAAGAGTTCTGGAGATGGACAGTGGTGATGGTTGCACAACTATGTGAATGTACTCAATGCCACTGAAATGTACACTTAAAAATGTACATTGTAAATGGTAAATTCTGTTATGTGTATTTTATCACTTTTTTAAAAGTACCTCTAATTTTTTAAAAATCTGTTCTTATAACATTTCTAACCAGAGCCAGGTTGCAATCAAATATGTTTTCAAGTATACCAATTTGAGAAAACTCATTCCCCACTCCTCACACTCCCTAATGGAAGAACCTCCACCAGGGAAACCCCCTACCCCCACCAAACTCTCTCAGTTCTAGGCACTCCTCCCCAAGGGTGGGCTTCATTCAGATGTGCCTTTGTCTCTCCTTAGAATCTGCTGGCCACCTGGGAGGTGCATACTTATCTGATCTCAGGGGCCTGGATGCTTCCACCCAGAACCCACAGGGGAGGCCTGCACTTTGGCAATAAGTTTACATCAGGGGCTGTTAGCAAGGCAAGCACATGTGGGTGCATGCCTGACATCAGATTCTGTTAGTAATAAAGCTGATAGTTTTATTACCATCTTCTTGACTACTGATAATAAGGAGATGAGATCACGGTTATCAGGACCTATGAACTTGGAGAAAAGTCTTTAACCACCGAGTTAAGTTCCCTCTAATTCTCTTTATCAAGAACTTTGATTCAGAACCAGGCCAGAAAGAAAAAAGGTCTTATTCATTGATTCCCTAAAATCCAAGCATGACCAGTGTTAGACCAGAAAGTGAAGTCCAGGGTTTTCCGCTGGACCTAAGTTTCAGCAGCCTTGTCTAAGGAAGGTGGTTACTAAATGCTGGTTATTAAGCTATTGTCTCTAGGATCTAAATCTACCCTTTTGCACTTGTTTTGTGATGCTGGATCCAGGACTCTGGTAAGCATATTTCTCCATTGCCAGCTTGCTCGCTGTCAGGTTCTGCTGACAGGGATGTTGGAGAGAGACTGGAAGGCAAGAGAAGGAAGAACTGTCCTTCCTATCAGCTGGCTACTCCTGGCAATAGGCCCAGGAATGGTCCTTCATCCTAGCAGCAGGTTGTCCCAGTCACCAGCTTCTTTTAGCGCCCTCAAAACAAGCCTCATGACACCTCCTCAGAAGGACCGTGTGAGTGAGGCAGCACCCACTCTACAGAGATCTGAGCTCTGCAGGGCCCCTCCGTGATAAACAGAATCAGTCAGAGGGGGACTTAACTCAGTGGCTAAGGACTTTTCTCCAAGTATGGAGGTCCTGATAACCCTGACTTCATTAACCCTTTATTGCCCTAGCCAGTGGGGTGGGAGGGAGAGATTGTTTCCTGCCCTTTTTTCGTTGTTATATCACTATTGTCTTGTTTTGCTTTTTTTTAGTCCACCAATAACTATTTAATTTCCTATATTAAACATTTCCTGTTAAATACCTAGTGTGGTTGCTGTTTTTCTGACTGGGCCCTGAGTACTTTCTGGGGTTGAGGTCCATGGCAGATAGCCCTTAGGGTGACTCTCATGACTCCTGTCTCTGGTGTCCATGGCCTGTATAATCTCTTCCTTTTGAGTGGAGGTGAGACGTGTTGACGTGGGTCTACCCATAGAATGTGGCAAAGGTGAAAGGACTTTGCAGATGGAGTTAAGGTCCCAAAGCAGTTGACTTTGAGTTAACAAAAAGGGAGGTGATCTGGAACGAGCCTGACTTAATCAGGTGAAAGACCTTGAAAGAGGAACCCTGGCCCTCCCTGAGATTGAAGAGATTCTCCTTGCTGAAGTAGCAGCCATTCTGAGGAAGCCTCCATGGAAAAGAACTGAGAATGGCCCCCAAGACCAGAGGAAGCCTCCAGCTGACAGCAAGCAAAACCCCAGGCTCTCAGCCATACCACCACAATAAAATAAATTTGGCCAACAACTTGAGTGAGGTAGGAAGCAGATTTTCCCCCAGCAGAGCCTCCAGATGAAAACTTTGGCTGAAGTTTCAGTCCAGCTGAAGCCTCAACTGCAGTCTCATGAGACTCTGAGCAGAGGACTCAGGTAGACCACACCTAGACTCCTGACCCACAGAAGCCAAGTTGATAAATGTGTGCATTGTTGGGAGCTGCTTGATGTGTTGGTGATCTGCTATGCAGCAATAGAAACTAATACAACATCTAAAGACTTCATATGAGGCAAACTAAACACTGTTCCAAGTACCCATGAAAATCCCAGAAGAGCTGACACCAACAGCCCAACACAGCCAGGTTTTTTCTTCCAGATTGGGACTTACAGTACCAATCAAAGAAGGTGGCTTTCATTTAGGAACCATGTGGTTCAAAACTACAAGTGTTTTTAAACATTAGAATCACACTCAGCATACTAAGATATCACACAAGATAACTGAGATTTAGGCAAAGCCGATTTGCCTCTCCTTCTCACTCTCATTCTGTGGTGTATATTCATTGAATGGAATAGCAGGTGGAGATTCTCTTACTATTTAAAGTGTTCTCTTGCTCACCGGGCACACTGGCACATGCCTGTAATCCCAGCACTTTGGGAGGCCAAGGTGGACCTCCCACTTGAGGTCAGGAGTTTGAGACCAGCCTGGCCAACGTGGTGAAACCCCATCTCTACTAAAAATACAAAAATTAGCCAGATGTGGTGGTGCATGCCTGTAATCCCAGCTACTTGGGAGGCTGAGGCAGGAAAGTCACTTGAACCTGGGAGGCAGAGGTTGCAGTGAGCCAACATTGTGCCACTGCACTCCAGCCTGGGCAATAGAGACTCCATCTCAAAAAATAATAATAATAATAATAATAATAGTACAGTGTTCCCTTGCTCAATACATAGTTGGGTTTGCTTAAGTTAAACAAGCATATAATGTAATTCCTTATTTGAGATTTTGTGTTTGCATTTTTAAATTAATAAGACATTTGTGATAAATTTTGGAGAAGCTTCTTTTACACTTTAAGACATCTAGTTTAGCCAAGACCATATTGAACCTGCCCATAGTCCATTGACAAGAGAAATGAAAATCCTCTTTCAGGAGGTAGCTGCAAAAGAATATGAATGCTTCTTTGGGCCCTCTATGTAAAACATGGCAACAAAAGGACTCAAGCCAGATCTTCTATCTCCATCCATCTCAGAAAGAATAATTCATAATGAGCGAAAAACAGCAAAATTGTGTCACTAAAATGACCTGAGACTTGGAATTAGGCAAAAGAAAATTCTAAGTGTTCTTTCAGTGCAGTACAGGGCATGATTTCTATGGACTATGTTATTTTACAATACTGTAGGAATACACCAGGCACAGTGGTTCGTGCCTGTAATCCCAGAAATTTGGGAGCCTGAGGCAGGAGGATCCCTTGATCCCAGGAAGGACCAACCTGGGCAACACAGTGAGACTCTGAGAGACAAGCGCTGGACACAGGAGCAGGCCACATGGGATGGTCTGGACAGGCTCTGCAGCACAGCAGCCTTCATGAGAAACAGGCAGAAGGGCCCGGGCATGAGAAGCTACTGCAAACAAAAAGCAGCAGCAGCTATAAAGGGCTTGTTCCCAAGCAACATGAATCATCTCTGAACTGGTCTGGTCCAATCCCTATAGTCTAACTAGCAAATATATTTTTTAAAATATTAGCAAACACACACACTAAAAACAGATTTTCATCTTTGCCAAGTGTGTGTTTTTTTCCTACACCAACCTATTATCCAATTCTCCTACAACAACTGAGTATCCTATAATTCAGTTCAACTCTGAGACTCAGTGGCGGGCAGACTCCACAGGCTTAAGGGCACAGTCCCATAGGATTGCCCTCACTTCTGATGCCAGTCACAAGCATCAGATCTCCAGGCTACCCACATTTGCATCTGACTTGGCTACAAAGTCAGGCTTCCCACACCCCACCCCTTGCCAGGGTTCAATAATTTGCTAGAATGACTCATAGAACTCAGGGGCCACTTTACTTACATTTACCGATTTATTATAAAGGATACAAATGAAGAGCCAAAGGAACAGGCCCAGAAGATGAGGTCCGGGAGGGTCCGGAGCACAGGGCTTCTGTCCCCATGGAGTTGGGATACACCATCCTCCCAGTATGTGAACGTGTTCACCAACTCAGAACCTCATTGTTTAAAGGTTTTTATGGAGCTTTTATTACATAGGGATGATTGATGGAATCATTGGTCATTGGTGACTAAATTCAATCTCCAGCCCCTCTCCCTTCCCCATATGAGGAGGGGGTGGAGCTGAAACTTCTGAGCTTTATCAGAACTTGATCAGAACTAGCTCCCATCTTAAAGTGATCTAGGGGACCCTGCCAAGAGTCACCTCATTAGCACAAACACAGATTGCTGAAAGGGGTGCATAATGAATAACAAAAGATGCTCCTATTGCTCAGGAAATTTCAAAGGTTTCAGGAGCTTTGCGCCAAGGACAAAGAACAAATTTTTTTTCCTATTATATATTCCAATGAATCCAGACAAGTTCATCAGAAAGTCAAACATATTGGTTGTCACAGTATATCTAAATAAGTTATATTTTTCTATGAAATGACAAAGATCATCATATTTGATCTAACCATATACTGTCCACAAGAGGCACATCTAAAACAAAAATAAATAAATAAAAATAAAAAATAAAAAGATAGAAAAAGATATAGTATACAAAAAGAATTAAAGTCCTAAACTATTAAAATAAAGGATAAGTAGTAAAAATCAAGATCTGCAATGAAGATGTGTTTGTCATAAATCTTTAGTTTCTGAATAAGAGGAAAATGACCAAAACACAATTGCTGTGGAGATTTCATCAGTTCTTAACAGATCAAGTAAACAAACAAAAGATGTAGAATGTCAGAAAAAAGTCATTGCTGGGATCCACTTTGTAAATATTGAAAAAAAAAACAAAAAAAATCTTTTTCAGGGTCTATGGAACAATTTTTTAAAATTGATTACATATTAAACCACTAAAAACCTTAAATAAATTTCAAGCCCAGAAATTTCATGACTACATTGCATACCACAATACAGTAAAACCAGAAATTGAAAAAATGTGTAAACAAAAATCGTCCAACTACTTGGTTTGAAAACACTCTTCAAAATAATCCACGGATCAAACAGGAAACGAAAACTGCAATTTACAGAACTCTTGGGCAATAATGATAATGAAAATACCACATATCAACATCAAGAGAAGACATCCACATCTGTAATCAGAAGTGTAAAATCAACTTTAGCCTAAAGCTGCAGACTTACTTATTTTAAGTTCGGTCTAAAGGCTTCTCAGTACATCGTGAACTGTAACCTACCTGGATGTATAAACAGACTGTAGCCTACTTTTGTGCCAATCAAGTTTGGGCCAATCACAGGCTGCCAACCATTCAAACTGTGTTCAAATAAGCTAAATGCCTGAGCTGTAACCAATCCAGCTGTTTCTGTGCCTCACTTCTGTTTCCTGTAAGTCACTTTTCTTTTCCTGTTCGTAAATATTGCTCCACCACACAGCAGCGCCATAGTCACTCTGATCCTATTCTAGTTTGGGAAGCTGCCTGATTCACAAGTCATTATTTGCCCAGTTAAGCTCTGCTAATGTTAATTTCTCTAAAGTTTATCTTTTAACAGAAGTGACTTCAAAGGGTTTGAGGAAAATGGTAATGAACATTTGTTGAGCAATTACTGTCTGCCAGACACTGTGCTAAGCACTTTTACAAGTGGTTTCTCAATGATTCCCCATAACTAACCTGAATTGCTTTAATTATCAAATAAGAAAGAATGAGAATATATGAAGTAAGCATATAACTCAAGATGTCAAAAAGAGGGATGTTAAATTAAGCTTTAGAAACAGAATAAAGTAATAAAGTTAAGAGATGAAACTCATGAGAAACCTGTGAAGGAACAGAATTGATCAATCAGCCCCAGCAGGTGTACATAGCAGAAGCTGTCATGCTTCTCCCATATGCTCAGAGCCACATCACTTCAGTGTCTTCCAAAAGAATTCCAATGCCAGTGTCTGCATTCCTTTGCCTACCAGCCTTTTCTGAGACTGTAAGCAGCCTTTCTGCCTGTGCCTGAGACAGGCTATAAGTGCCAGGGAATTAACACCCTGACACCACCCACCGCCACACACAGTAACCTTCAACTGGTGACTGTCAGGAGTTGTATATAAATAACTCCCCTCTGCCACCTCAGGAGTGGAACCCCTCTGAGGCATGCTTTTACTCCCCAGATATTCCCACCACATCCCAGTGCCTACAGAGGCAGATGGCTGGATAATTCCTCCTCTATGGGCCACATTTCTACCCCTGTGTCTCCTCCCTGCTCCCCACCAGGATTTTCCTGCACCAACCAAAAAACAACTTGAACTCAAATCCTTTTCTCAGAGGGAAACCCAAGCCATATACTGAATAAACATTAAAAAAAAAAATCAGCCGGACGCGGTGGCTCATGCCTGTAATTCCAGCACTTTGGGAGGCAGAGGCGGGTGGATCACCTGAGGTCAGGAGTTTGAGACCAGCCTGACCAACATGAAAAAACCCCATCTCTAGTAAAAATACAAAATTAGCTGGGCATGGTAGCGCATGCCTGTAATCCCAGCTACTCAGGAGGCTGAAGCAGGAGAATCACTTGAACCCGGGAGGCAGAGGTTGCAGTGAGCGGAGATCACACCACTGCACTCCAGCCTGGGCAACAAGAGTGAAACTCCGTCTCAAAAGAAAAAAAAGAAAGAAAAGAAAGAAAGAAAGAAAATATCCTACACCTATGGAGGGGGAAGAAAGAAAACAAAAATGGGCCATATTAGGAATGACACATTATAGCCTCAGATTAAAACTAAAGATTATAATCATGCCTATAGATTAAAATTTTAAAATATTTCTACATAAAACTCTATACTAACTTGTTTGAAAATCTTAATAAAATGGTAAATTTATGGAAAATATATAAGTAATCAAAACTAACTCGAGAGAATGTAGGTCTGAAAAGACTAACAAACATGGAATATATTGGAAAACATTGGCAAATAATTGCATCCTCCAAAGATAGATCTAGGTAAATAGGTCTAGGTAGATAGCTCCTTAATATGACAAAAAATATATATTTCAAACCAACAGCCAGTTGTTAATGCTATCCAAAAAAAAAGTAGACTCTACAATATTAATAGTAGATGAAATAGATTTCAAGTCAGAAATATGACTAAAATAGCACCAAAAAGAGAAAATTACAGGCCAACCTGACTTATGAATATAGATGCAAAAATCCTGAATAAAATATTATCCAATTAAATGCACCAGTGTGATAAAAGAATAATGCACTGTGATCAAGTAGGTTTATTTTTATAAGAATGCAAGTACCAAAATTAGAATAACTATTAATATAATATTACCCATAAGAAGAAAAAGATTAACTCAATAGACACTAAAAACATACTTTTTTTGATATTAAAAAAGAAAACTAAATAAACTAGAATGAAAATATACTTATTTAATGGGAGAAGAAATATTCATCTCAAATCAATAGGCAATATTATATTTAAAAGAAAAACTGTAGAGACACTATCAATAAAACGTACAGTAAAGATGGTTGCCATTGTCACTATTATATAATGTTATGATAGCTGTAAATTTCTATTTTTGATAGACGTACATTTCTGTTTCATTGCAGAGAAATTTACAGCTATCATAATATAATAGAAATACAAATATGCAGCTATCATAATATAATAGAAATATAAATGTACAGCTATCAGAATCAGAAATGTAATAAGTGTACAGCTATCAGAAAAGAGGAAGGTCTTGGCCAGGTGCCAGTGGCTCATGCCTGTAATCCCAGCACTTTGAGAGGCTAAGACGGGAGAACTGCTTGAGCCCTGGAGTTTGATACCAGCCTGGGCAATGAAGTGAGACCTTGTCTCTACAAAAAAAAAAAAAAAATTTTTAAATTAGCTGGGCATGGTGGTGCATGCCTGTAGTCCCAGTTACTTAGAAGGCTGAGGCAGGAGGATCACTTGAGCCCCAGAGACTGAGGCTGCAGTGAGCCATAATTGTGCCACTGCACTTCAGCCTGGGTGACAAAGTGAGACCCCCATTTCAAATAAAAGAAAGAAAGGAGGAAAGTCTTAGTTGCAGTTGACATAATTGCCTATCTTTAAAACCCAAGAATATTGTAGAAATAAACAAATGCCACTCAAAGAAAACAAGCAGAGGCTATTTATTCTGAGCTTGCTATTTTTAGTGGGTGGTCAGCCACCATCACTTGCATTGAGCAGAGTCACAGGCAGGCAGGGAGTAGGAAAGCATTAGAGCAGAGGAAAAAGGAAGGGAAGATTTCAGATATGCTCTGTGCAATGTACTGAATGTTTGGCCCCCTGCCACATACACACACACACACACACACACACACACAAAATCATATATTGAAACCCACCCCTAATCCTAATGTGATGGCATCTGGAGGTGGAAACTTTGAGAAGTGTATTAGTCAGGGTTCTCTAGAGGGACAGAACTAATAGGACATATATCCCTTTATACTCATATATATATATATATATATATATATATATATATATATATATATGGAGTTTATTAAGTAGTATTAACTCACACGATCACAAGGTCCCACAATAGGCTGTCTGCAAGCTGAGGAGCAAGAAAGCCAGTCCCAAAGCTGAAGAACTTGGAGTCCAATGTTCAAGGCAAGAAGCATCCAGCACAGGAGAAAGATGTAGGCTTGGAGGCTAAGCCAGTCTCTTTGCTAAAGCATAACAAGAGTCACCTTGGCTCCAGTTCCCAGCAAGTTCCTTATCTCCATGTAAAACCACCTCAGCCTAGATTTCATTGTCTGTATCATTATTAGCATTTTGGCCAAAGCCATTCAGCAAGTCTCCACGGAATTCCAAACTTTCCCACATTTTCCTGTCTTCTGAGCCTCCAAACTGTTCCAACCTCTGCCTGTTACCCAGTTCCAAAGTTGCATCCACATTTTCGGGTATCTTTTCAGCAGTGCTCCACTCTACAGGTACCAATTTACTATATTAGTCCATTTTCATGCTGCTGAAAAAGACATACCCGAGACTGGACAATTTAAAAAAAAAAAAAAAAGAGGCTTATTGGCCTTACAATTCCACATGGCTGGGGAGGCCTCAGAATCATGGCAGAAGGTGAAAGGCACATCTCACATGGTGGCAGACAAGAGAAGAGAGCTTGTGCAGAGAAAATTCCCTTTTTAAAAACCATCAGATCTTGTAAGACTTATTCACTATCACGAGAATAGCACGGGAAGGACCTGCCCCTATGATTCAATAACCTCCTACCTGGTCCCTCCCACAACATGTGGGAATTCCAGATGAGATTTGGGTGGTGACCCAGCCAAACCATATCAAGAAGTAATCAGGTCATGATGATGGAGCCCTCATGAACAGGATTGGTTCCCTTATAAGAGGCCAGAGACCTCTCTCACCCTCTTTCTGCCAAGTGAGGATACAACAAGATATCAGCAGTCCGCAACCCAAAAGAGGGTCCTCACCAGAACTCAATCATGCTGGCACCCTAATCTCAGACTTCCTGCCTCCAAAACTGTGAGAAATAAATTTCTGTTGTTTATAACCCATGCAGTATGGTACTTTGATAAAGCAGCCAGAACTAAGACACTCTGATAGATTTTTGGCGTGAGAAAGCAGGAGGTAGGCTAACTAGAAGCATCCCGTGTGATCAATTGGAGAGCATATTTGGCTTTCTTTTGTTGGTCTTGAATTGGAAGCCGGGGCAAAAATTGAGGGAGCGGGCCATCATTGACTAAGTACTGATATCTGGGCTGACCGCTGCAGAGGTCCTGCTCTGACTTCCTGGGCTGGTTGCTGCAAAAGTTGTGGGTCAGATTTCTGCTGTCATATGTGGTCTGAACATGGTCTATTTGTATATTCATTCTCAATAGCAATCAAAAAATAAAACTATTAACAACATAATGTAATGAAGTATAGTTGTAACTTAGATTTCTGCCTCCAGAGTATCTTCAAGTCATTCAGCCTTCTTGAATTGCCTTTCTCTTTAATTCAAACAGAATAGCTTGATCCTCCATCCCATGTAGAAAACCTGGCATTTTTCCAATTGAGCAGGATTATCAGGGGATTTTATACTTCTCCTGGTTACCTCTTGCTGTAACTTCTAAATTTCAATGGATTCTTGGTCTTTGCTCTTCACTTGCCTCTCATTACAGTTTTATTCTTCCTGCATCTCTTAGCCCCATGCTGAACACTGCCCCACTCCTTTTACAGACAGTAGGCTTTTCCCCAAAGCAACTGGGAAAATAAAGAGTATATTTATTGCAGAGTAGCAGAGGCAACAACACTGAATATAAGACATCCCTGTCAAGAAATGCATTTTCCATTGCTCAATACAGGTTCTTTTTCATTAGCTGTGTCCCTCCTTAGGTGCCAGTCTACACTAGCATCTCCACCACCTTCTTTCTAGTTCTTCTTCTACTCCCTCTCTACACATTCCTCACACTCTTCTCACCTTCCTGTTCTTGGTCCCTCACCCACTCTCCCAGCCTCCTGCAACCACTTAAAATACTTTATGATACAGTCATCTGGGTCTCTTTGCTCTTGCCAGACCAAATACCAGGCTGTGACTTTCTCAACCAAAAAGGCCCACTAAAGCATTTGCTTAAGACATAGGAGGACTATGGACTCCAGAAATAAGTTATGACATTGCCCTAGGAGGTAGAAGTAGCTGAATTTTTCTTAATCTATTTTTTTCTGCCCTCTTAACAATATGAATTTGCAAAAATCAACTATATCTTAGAGTAATAATTTATGTGAATAAATTCAATTTGCAACATAAACAATAAAAAAGATATCCAATATTAAGTATAAAAATCATATAAAACTCATATAAAAGAAAATATAAACCTATTTGAGGAATATAAAAAAGGTTTGAGAGAGACATATCCTATTTCTGGATACTAAAGACTCAATACTATAAAGATTTCAGCGCTTTTTTTTTTTTTTTGAGACGGAGTCTTGCTCTTTCACCCAGGCTGGAGTGCAGTGGCGTGATCTCGGCTCACTGCAGGCTCCGCCCCCCGGGGTTCACGCCATTCTCCTGCCTCAGCCTCCCGCGTAGCTGGGACTACAGGCGGCCGCCACCACGCCAGGCTAATTTTTTGTATTTTTAGTAGAGACGGGGTTTCACCGTGTTAGCCAGGATGGTCTCGATCTCCTGACCTCGTGATCCGCCCACCTTGGCCTCCCAAAGTGCTGGGATTATAGGCATGAGCCACTGCGCCCGGCCCAGTGCTTTTATATTAATTTGTAAGTGTAATGCAATTTCAATCAAAATCCAAAAGGGATTTTTTTTGTTTACAAATTAACATAATTATAATAAGGTCTACAAGAAAAATGACAGATGAGAATAGCCAAGAAAATATTGAAAAAGAAGAAAGAGAAGTACCTGTATTGTATCATATTAAGATGTGTTACAATGTTAAAGTCAAATTGCATAACCTTGTTAGATGAATATGCAGATAGAGCAGTGAAACCTAACACAAAGTCCATCATTTAGGATTAGGTTCACCTGCAATGATCACTAAAAAAAATCTATATAAAAAGGACTCAAATCAGATAGAAGTTGTAGGGGAAGAAAAAATAATTTTCTCTCTACACTTCACAGTTCTTAACTGGGACCCCCCTGTAACAAAAGACAGATTAACAAGAGAAAAATAGAAGTTTCTTAACATGTATGCCTCATATATACATAAAAGAAAACCCAGAGAAATGAATAAATCTCTAGAGTAGATCTCAAAAAAAAAAAAAAAAAAGCATGTAAACTTCAGGCGTAAATGTCATTTTTCTCTGAAACAAAGAAAGAAGAGTGTGGGTAAAAGCCAGGTTAAGAGCAGATGGCCAGGAAAAGCGCCACAAAACGAGGACGAGGTTTGTTATGTGGATTTAAGTCTATGTCTTTTCCATTGATAAGAGTCTCTAGTGATTTAGTCCTCCTTCTCTTCTTGGTGCAGAGAGGAAAACACCCTTAAAAATTGAGGTTTCCTTCATTGATGTAAATTTCTCCTGCAAAAGGGCAACTTTTCAGAGCTACTCCTATGTCTGCAGTTTCTCAAAAATAACCAACTTAAAATGACCAATACAGCAAAGAGGCATATTTTGGGATGGCATATTGTGGTCTCCTACAGTGATATTTTGGGGTGGTGTGTCCTGAGCCCCATCAAAGTTTATTTTTCTCTCATTATAAGTCTAAAGATAAGCAATCTACAGGTGACAGAAAGTCATCAAGGGCTCTTGGGAGACCAAGACTACTTCTATTTTGCAATAACATTCAACAAGCAACTTCTACGTCATGGTCCAAGATGGCTGCCAGAGTTCTTTTTATTTACATCACAGTTGTCAGAAAGGAGGAAAAGGGGTGAAAAGGAGCATGGCCCCTCTTATTCAGGACCATCCTGAAAGTTACATACAATATTCCTGCTTCTATATCAACAGCCATAGCTAGCAGCAAAAGAAGTTGGGAGACATAGTAATGATTTAGAAGACCCATGAGTCCAGATGAATTTGAAAGTTTATTACTAAAGCTAAAAGAGAGAGGGAACATTGGAATGTCTCTTCCAGACAAGCATAGACCAAAGTATACTTGAGCATTTAGTATAATTTAACATAATATCAAGGTGGCATTTAAAATCATTTAAAAGATGGTCAGATCATTGGCTAAACTTCAGGAGAAAAATTAAGCTAATGTTCCACCTCATTCTTTATATCAAAATAAATTCTAAATGGATTAAAGAGTTGGATTAAAAAAAATGAAATCATAGAAGAACTTTTTCATGCTTCCTTTCAACCAAAGCAACACTAACCCCAGGGTGCTGTTAGTAGGGAACAATCAACTGAAGAGTTGAGTCAAGTTGTATCATCCCAGCACAGCGCAGAAAACCATCTAACATTCAACATCAGACATTCCTTGCCACAAGGAATTCCTCCTTGGCTGCAGTCTTCTGGAGGCTCTACCGGTTTTCACGTGGCCAGAGCTTCTCCCCAGCTCCCCTCTTCTCTCCTCAACCTCTCACCTTCTTTCAACTTCCTGGCCCGTCATCTTCTCCAGTATCTTGAGCTGCCAACAAATAACTCAGTTCCCTCCTGTTTTGCTGTTTTGTGTGGAGTGATTCACTGCTCTGTTAGTCCCACCTCCTCTTTCCATGCCCTGAAAAAGAGGGAGAGGTGTTCACCATTCATGCTTTATCAAGACCATTAAGAATGTTTATAATTTTTAAAAATCTTTCTTGAGATGAATTCTACCATCCTCTTAAAGGCAGGAGCAGCTACAATCCTGTGAGTACATGTGTATAAATATAGGTCTCATTTTCTTCACACTTCATGTTTACATGTGCATACAATTAGAAAAAGGACTGAAAAAGCATACTTTGAAAATATTAACAACACTTCATTCTGATGACTGGGACTACAAGAGCATTTTATTTTCTCTTTGGGCTATTTTTTTTCAAAGCATCCACAATGAGTACACATCAATTTTATATTATAAAAATTATGTTTTTAAGTAATCAGATATAATAAAAAATCATTCTTTCGTTTTGTATTTTTCAAATGTAAATACTATTCACTTAATCTTAGCTTCCTTTGCCCTCAGTTCTCACCAATCAACTTAGAAGAAAAGGCAAATTTATAAATAGGTATAATTAAAGCCTAAAATGTATATTTTAAAGATGTCAACAGGCAAAGAGAAAATAAAAAGCAACTATTAAATAATTCACAACACTAACACTTAGGTTCAAAACACGGATGAAGCCTATCCTGGATTTATACTATGTATTTCCTGGATTTATACCGTGGTTTGCCTTTCAGGAGTATTCAATCAAACTCATAGACATTTGACCAGATTCATGGCTCATGAATTTTAACCACAGATAAAATCTGATAAAATCTATCAACCTTGATGTTTAGTTTTCCAAAAATATTTATGTCAGTCATTCGTCTACATAAAATATGTAAGGGACAATAGACTCCTAGGTTGAGATCAAATATGTAAGTGATGTACATCACTGGTTACAGAGTGTAGTAAGTTGAATAGCATCACCCCCAAAATTCATGTCAGCATGGAACCTCAGAATGTGTCTTTCTTTGGAAATAGAGTCTTTGCAAATATAATTAGTTAAGTCATCAATTTATTGTGAATTTAGAAGAGAATCAGTCTGAAATACACTAGGAAGTCTGATTAATCAATGGAAGATACTGCACAAAGAATTCACAGATGCCATGAAGTTCTCATTGGGGTGCTCCTCCTCTTTGAACAGGGCGGTGGGGGAGGGAACATTTAGCATAATATTCCCTTAAGGAGGAGAGCCATAGAATATAACTGCACATCCTTGGCAGCTCTGCCCAACTGGATGAAAAAGGCTGAAGCCTGAGGAATCAGGATTGATGGGTGACTGAGAAGAAGAAAGTCCAAGAACAGAAAATAATGTGGAGGACATGTCAGTGATAGGAGAAGTGTGCAGACTTTTGAATGGTCTAAGCACTGACCTCATCAATGTTAGGGTCCAGCTAGAGCATCAGCACAGTGTGTGCCAACCTGGATACTAATCCAAGGGCTCATGAATCTAGCTCACCACCAACCGTGCCTGTCTCTGAAGAAAAAGTGCAAATAACTCAGAGCCAGAAGCTGATTTTATATGCAATACCTTCTGCATGGAAAGTATTCAATTCATAAATGATGATCATGTGAAACCTTCCTACCTTCAAAGGAGGCAGAAACTAGTGGCCAGAGGAATAGGCAGATACAGCACCTAACTTTGTTGATAAAGCTCTTCGCCCTGGAAGAGTTTTATGCCAGTTTTACTAATTCAGTGAAGTTACCTGACTCAAGATGATTCCAATCAATTCTCAATTAATCCAAATGATAATGCGGATTATTCCTTTTGTGGATTATTAATACTTTTTTTCCATTCTAGGCAGACTTTTCTCTGTCATCTAGGCAGAACATTTGTGAAATGATGGCTGTGTTCAAGGAACCCAAATTAATTTCATTAATAGCTAAAGAAAAACATAATCCAAGAGATTACAAAGCCTGTTAGAAAAAAATCTACCTACTAAACAGAAAAATATGAAAATAGAGTGTAATAGTTAATAATGATAACAATAACATTTTGTTTTTATTAAACAAACATTATTAAAAGATATTGGTAGCATAACTGTGGTTTCTAAGCACGCTCATATCATGGTTTTTCTGTTCATCAGGTCTCTGTGACAGAGATGAGGTGGGGCATACACTATATTCCTTCTTTCCTGGCCTTGAATGTGGAGTCATTTCATTTATGTGAAGAAATGCTGACGTTGCAGACAGCCCCATCTTCCCAGTGTTCCCCCAATCTTTCTGGGGAACTTCCATTTGCTAGGGAGAGCTGCATGCCTTCCTATCTGGGACACTGGACATAGATTTTCCTGGCTCTGGGACTCTCTGGGCCAAGGTCTGAATGAGGATAAGGTGAAGGAGGCATCACTTTTCAAAATTTAAGGGAGTGCTACAGTTTACTCTCTCTTCTTGGGCTGGGACATCTATCTGCTGCTGCCTTTGGAAATTGGAGCTCCTGGTCCTCAGGCCTTTAGACTCTAGGACTTGACACCAGCAGTTCCCCACCCCATCCCCAACCCCAAGCTCCAGTTCTCAGACTTTTGGTCTTGGACCGTTACACCATCGGCTCTCCTGGTTCTCAGGCCTCTGGACTTGAACTGAATTACACCACTGGCTTACCTGGTTCTCCAGCTTGCAAACAGCATATCATGGAATTTTTTGGCCTCTATAGTCACACGAGCTAATTCTCATAATAAATCTCCTCTCATGCATCTATATGTGTCCTATTGGCTCTGTTTCTCTGGAGAATCCTGAATAATACAACCAGCCACCCCATGGCAACTCTTGCCTATATACACCCGATTCTCATTGCCACCAGAGGGAACTTCAACATGCAATCATGCAAATTTGATCACGTTATTCATTAACAAAATTTTCATAGCTTCCCAATGCTCTTGCGATATGGACCACACCTCTTACTGTGGCCTACAAGACCCTGCAGGATCTGCCATCTTCCCATCTATCCAGAATCATCTCATACCAAGCTCCCTTATTCTTTCCCTTCTGGCTATATTGGCCTTCTTTCAGATCCCCCAGAATGCAGTGTTCCCTCCTGACACAGGACCTTTGCACAGGCTGTTTTCTCCACCTGACATGGCCTCCCTTCTTCCCCCTCACCCTCACATCTTCCATGTGCCCTTGGCTCTTCTTCAGATCTCAGCATTATTGCTCCTCTCTCAAAGGAGGGTTTCCTGACTGCCTAGATTAGGCCCGAGTACTGCAATTGCTAATTTTTTGTGTCAACTTGAAGGGTGTTTTTGGTTTTCATGTATTTATTTTTTTAATTTTTTTTTTAAGAGAGGGTCTCACCCTTTCCTGGCTTGTGTGCAGTGGTATAATCTTGACTGACCGCAGCCTTGACCTCTGGGCTCAAATGATCCTCCCACCTTAGCCTCCCAAGTAGCTTGGACTACAGGCATATACCACTACTCTTGGCTTTTTTTTCTATTTTTTGTAGGATGGGGTTTTGCCATGTTGGTCAGACTGGTCTTGAACTTCTGAGCTCAAGCAATCTGCCCACCTCAGCCTCCCAAAATGCTGGGATTACAGGCATGCGCCACTGCACCCAGGCTTGAAGGGTGTTTTTGGATGAGATTAGCATTTAAATCAATACACTTTGGGTAAGGCAGGGTGACCTCCATAATGTGGGTGCATCTCATCCAATCAGTTGAAGGCCTCAATCGAATAAAAAGACTGGCTATCCTGAGCGAGAGGGAATTCTCCAAAAGACAGCCTTCATACTGGAGCTGGAACCTTGGCTTTCCTGGGTCTCCAGGTGCTGGCCTTCAGAATAGAACTATATTGTAGATTTGGACTTGCCAGTCTCCATAGTCATGAGAGCCATTTCCTTATCATAAATTTCTCTCCCTATATCTACATATGTGTATACACACACACACACACACACACTCACACATCCTCTTTGTTCTGTTTCTCTGGAGAACCCTGCCTAATGGGTACCTACTAGGAGCTCTTATAACATTGTGTTTGTCCTCATCATAGCATGAGTCTTTGCTTATAGGCTCTAAATTTCATGGTTGCATGATTAGTGCCTGTTTTTCCCCTCACTCTTATATCCCAAATGCCTAGCTCTGTTCCTGGCTTACCAAGCAGGCTGTTGGTAAATATGCATTTAATACATAATACATCAGGATAAACCTTGCACTCATGGAGCTCAGTGTAGTGGGAAAAGACGGCAAGTTATTGGGCCCTTTTAGTGCACGATGACAGAGGCCTTTACTGCAAGCACAGTAACCACATGCCACAACAATGAGGCTCCTGACCCAAGGTATGGGGCAGGAATAGGCCACAAAAGTCTCTCTGAAGGAGGTAACACCTGACCTGTACCTTAAAGAACAAGCAGGAGTTGACCACAAGGCATAGGGAAGGGAAGTGTGCTGGGAAGGGAAGGAGGAGCAGCCTGTGCAGAGGCGAAAGGCTCCACCCTGGGCAAATCGCCTCAACCAGAACCCAGCAGGGGCACCTTCCTAGAACAAGACCTGGACCAGCTCTCTCATCTCCTTGGGGCTGGAGGCGCAAGAGCAGGAGGAGTTGGGAAGCTCCTCCCATCCTTGCACCCCACCACCCACTCACCACCATGCACCTGGGAGCCACAAGCCTGTAATCTGCACTGACTGCCAGTGATCTTAGGTTCTTATCATTTCCTACTCATAATTGCCTTCTAACAGGCCTCCTTGCTTCCAGCTCTCATCTCCCCACCTCTCCCAGACTCAATCTTTGTATAATTCAAGTCTGGTCTTGTCTCTCCCCTGAGGAAATCTTGCAGTTCCTCTCCAATCCTTCCTTTAGTAGGGGGATGCCTGGCTCTTGGTCATAACCAGAAGCCCTGCCTCTCTCCATTCTTCTTTCTTTCCATTCCCCATCCTGTCCCCTAAGCTCTTGCCTTTTCAAGGGCCGGCAGTCCTGAGTGCCTCTGGGTTTTGATGGCACCAGAGCTTTACATGTTCCTCCCTGACTTCCCACTTGGCCGATTCCTGTGTTCCCTTGGAATCCCACCTTCCCTGTCTTGAGGCCCACCCTGCCCCTGCACACACCTCTCCCAGCAGCTGTCCCCTTCCTGGGCAGGCCTTAGCCCAGCATTTGTCACTGCGTGCCAGTAGTCTTTTTTCTTTTTTTTTTTCTCTCCCAACAGACTTTGAGCTCCTTGAAGGCAGAGACCATATATTACTCATCTTTGTGTCCCCTGACCTGACTCCATAAGGACTAAAAGATGAAGCCATAAATCAGCATAGGAATGATAGAGTAACATCTCCCCTGCTGCCCCCCCAGAGTCAGCCAGTAAAGGGACCCACCCACCAGCCAGAGAGCAAGATCAGCATGGTGTCCTCAGGGCACAAGGCACCCCAGGAGTTAAATAACCAAAGCCATCACCTAATCCTAAGAGACTAACATGATGGATGCAGCCTGTTCGCCAAGAGGCAGGTAGGAGTGGTGTTGGCCCCAGAAAAGCCAGACCGTATCTGTACACATGCATCCCCATTATTCCCTCCGTTGAGAGGCACACCTGCCACCTCCATCCCCCCTCCACAGCCAAGGTCTCTCCAGGCTCACTGTTGGCCCCAGCTGTCAGGAGTGACTGTTAGACTTCTGCCCCTGCTCCACTGCTGCCCCTCTCTCTGGGGCTGGATGGGTGCATGGCACCAAAGCTCTTGAGGGCAGAGCCTCCCCAACCCCATCTTCCCATCCCACCCCATGAGTCTCACAGGTGTTTCACTGGATGGCAGGGGATGCTGGTCGACTGCCCAGTGCCACCAGATGGCCGTGTTCTAGCCTGCTTCACTTGCCCTCTCTCTTCCCAGAAGGAAGCCCTCAAAGACGCCAGGCCAAGGGTCCAGGCGCCATCCCTAAGCAACCAGGCAATCATATCTGGGAGTGCCAGAACACACTGTCACTGGAGAGAGAAAAGCCACAGACTGGAAACCTAGCTTTCTTCTCTTGCCTGTCAGAAAGTGTCCTCTGAGTTACCAGCAAGCCTGCTCTTTTCCCAGAGGGTGATCTCTTTTCTCCCCTCATGTTCAGGCAGAGATACCTGCTTGGAAGTCTCAGAGTTCCTCCAATGGTAACTTTCCAAGGAGGGAAAAGTCGACCCGCACTACTACTTAGCCTGAAACATAGCTCTCCCTAGGCCTAGATGGGGAGGAATCATGCAGCCTGCCCACCCTGTGTTTTCCAATCCAGACCTATGACATTTTATAGGCAGCAAGACATTTTACAGACTGCAAGCGAGGCGAATAAAACGGCCTGTTTTTGAAGATTTGGGAAGCAGGTAAAAGTCTAGGAGCTTGGCAGCTATGAGGTCAGAAAGGTCTTTGTACAAACAGTTTTGTAACTTAAAATAATTCCTACACTCCCAGGTCACCTCCCATATAGTCAGTCAGAGCCCAGGTGAGCTAAACCTTCACCCTACTCTCTGGGTTATCGTGTGTCCCAGGCCCGAGGCCGAGTTTGCCTTCAGCAACTCCCTCTTCCTCCAACTTTCTCCCTCATCCCCCTCTCCCCTTACAGTAAACTTAGGACTCCACATTTTTTGGAAGTGTAGCTCAGGTCACATTATAATTTTCATGGGCCTTAGCTACTCTGGCCTTAGAGAGCCTCACCTCCATAATTTTTTTTTTTTTTTTTTTTTTTTTTTGTGACAGGATCTCGCTCTGTCACCCAGGCTGGAGTGCATTGGTGCCATCATAGCTCACTGCAGCCTTGAACTCCTGTGCTCAAGCAATTCTCCTGCCTCAGCCTCCCATGTATCTGGGATTACAGGTGCCTGCCATCACACCTGGCTAATTTTTTTTTTTAATTTTTAATTTTTATTTTTGTAGAGATGGAGTCTGGCTGTTTCCCAGGCAAAATGTAATGTAAGCTGGATTCCTTATTATATTCATTATTCTTATATTTATTTTTTCTTTGTATTTCAAAAGAACTTAAAATTAAAACATTTTCATGGGTACCAGTAAGTATCATGGCCCCAGATGGTGTGCCTCCTGAATGGGTAGTTGGCCCAGATGTAACTCACAGCACCCCACCTGCTCAGAAGATGCACAAACCTGCCTGCGCCCTCTGTCGGCAGCAGCAGTAGAGGCCTTCAACCTCTACTTCAAAGTGTAGACCCACAACACTTTGAATTATTCTTTCAGCTAACAATTTATCAGAGCAACCGACATCATAAGGTCAAGTATTCATGAATTCCCACTCCATTAAAGCCTTCACTTAGCAGCCTATACATGTATTCGGTGAATATGAATGTTCCCAATGAAAATATTTGCCTAATAAATGAATCGACTAAATCAAAACATTAAAACTGTGTGGTTGAAAAGTTATGAAAACATCCATATTTAATTATTAAATTATATTTTAACTACATCAATCAAATCATTACTTAAACACATCATTTGCTGAAATTTTGCACACTTATTCTAGAATACTTTTATAAACAGAAAAAAATAAAGATAAAAGTTTCAAATAAACTGGATTATTTAGCCTGCTAAATTACAAAGTGAAGGGTTATTTTGTATTTCATCAGTTTGATAAATTTGAATAGGGACATATCACATTTCCCCAAGTGGGGAGGGACACACCTGTAAAAGATTTAGAACAGGCATGTCTTGTTTTACATAAATACTTGTATTATGAAATTGTAAAACATAATCAGAGAACCAAATAACTTGGCCTCTTAAGTCCCATTTTTAAAATGGAAACTTGGACTAGTTAGTACTTTCCAAGCATTTTTAGTTATAAAAATGCCTTCGTAAAGTGAAATGGTCATAGTTAATAATGACAGTTAATCTTTGTGTTTTCACATATCGTCTCATTTCATCCTTACAACACCATATGATCAGTGTCATTATGTTACAGCTGAGGGAAGTGGGGCTAGACGAGGTTAAATAACATACTCAAGATCAGACAGCTAATGAATGAACCAGAACTCAGACCCAGTTGTGTTGAACTTCAAATCTCATGCCCTTCAATCCCTCAGACTCCTCTCTATGAAGTGGAAGGGGAGGTTTTGCCAATTGAATAGAAGTTAGGGGCTCCTCACAGCCCCACTAACTCCACTTCTCATCCAGGGAACTCAACTTGAAAAACATCCCTTTTTTCCTATCAAAAAAGATTTCAAGTAAGAGTTTTGCCTTTATAGCAGGTCGAATAACTCTTGATTTGATAAAACTTTTATCAAGCTTAAGATACAATTTTTAAAATTCTCATAGTTCTTTTGTGTCTCCCAAACAGATCCAGTGATTCCCAGAAGTCTGCAGACCCCACCCCAATTAAGAAATTCAAGCAAATTTCAGACAGGTGGCCACATGCACAATAATATGGCATATAGTGACATCTATTGGTCAATTGTGATATTGCATCCAACTTCCTTTCACAGGAAATTTAACAGGAGCTGGTTGATGTGGAATTATACTAGTCTCAGGTATAAATCAAAATAAGAAAAATTCCTTTCATACAGAGAAAGCAGAAGGGAGATCTTGGAATCTCCATGTTCAGTTAAAGGTCTGAGTCCTAGTCCTGATTTTACCATAAATAACTTGGTATAGACTTGGTTAAGTCACTTGGTCTCAGGAGCCTCATCTTCAATCAAACAGGGTCACGCCCTCTCAGAGGCCCTCAAAACACTAAAGGACACCCTCAGGGCCCTCTAGGAAAGGCAGAGTCAAGTGAGTGTGGCTACTGTCTTCACTCCCACATCTAGGCACATCTATTATTATCTTTTCATAAGCGAATTTTCTTCTTAAAAGTTTCAAAAATATTCTGTTTCTACTATTCGGACCTGGTCAGCCCATGTCAACATTTACTGTACCCCGCACATTTTAGGGTCCTGTACTAAATCTATTCTTGTTTAGTTTTGTTTTGTTTTACAGACAGGGTCTCACTCTGTCGCCCAGGCTGGAGTGCAATGGCACGATCACAGCTCATTGCAGCCTCAAACTCCTGGGCTCAAGCAATCTTCCCACTTTGACCTCCCAAGTAGCTAGGATTACAGGCATGAGCCACCAGGTCAGTCCGATGTACTGAATCTTTGTAATCTACAAAAATAGGAATCTAGCTCCCTTCCCTTTAAGAACTTACAATTTAGTTGTGGAATAAAACAAACACATCATCTACTCATTCTTTAACTAAGCATTTTTGTCAAATCAATTGGAAGATTTTCTTCCATGAGATCATATCTCTGATTTTATAAAACAAGTCAATGAGAGAGAGAAAATTCTTTTTATAGTCAATCTTGCTGGAAGGCATCTTTACCATAAAATAAATGTTTCAGGAGTCTCTTGGGAAGAATTCATGATGCAGTTGAGATCCACTGTCATCACTATGTAACAGTGTTCCTTCTCATGGGAATTGGATGAGATTAAGAGACTTTGTGAATATTCTCTGTTGTGCTTAAGCAAAGTTTATAAGGCTCTTGGTGTCCCAACCAAGAATACAGGCTTTGTATAGGCAAGAAGGGGAGGCATAAGATATCTGTAAATTTCCCACTAAAAGCTCATCTTCACTTAGAAACCAAATTGTTTGATTATTAAGCATTTCTATTCAAGAATAGAGAGAAATTTACTCCTCAATGATCCAAATAAGGTAATAATGTCATAAATAATGATTGATTAAGCACTTACTCTAGCCCTGAAACTCTCCTAACAGTTTTACCTCATTTAATTTTCACATCTCTAAAAAGTACATTCTATTTTTATCATCATTTTAGAGAAGAGGAAACTGAGGCACAGAGTTATAAAATAACTGAGGAAGTTATGATTAGCTAACTCCACTGATCCAGATTGCCTGCCCTTGCGAAAGTTGTAAAAGGAGGTCATAACAGTACCCCTCCCCCACAGGCTACCGGTTACCCCCAAGGACTTTGCTGTAGGCACAGCCTGCACCCAGCTCTGGGCTCAGGGACTTTCTGGACAATTGCACAAGGTCAGGAGTGGCATGGGCAATGCCTGAATAATTGCCCAGCCTTTTATGTTAGAAAAAAAAGAAAAGAAAAAGAAAGTGAAGTTCTTTAGGCCTGTCTCTGTCTCATAGCACTCTGCATAATCTGTCTTATTGTGGTCAAAATGCAATATGTACACTACTTTAGAAGCTTATCAAATCAGAGATGTTCTCTTGCTCAGGTTGGGCCCGACTGAATGATATCGGGGCAAAGTGATGAGAGTTTCAAGACTCCAACAGACATAAAAGAATAAAAGAGTTATTTCATTGTCCCATTTTTCCTCTACCCTAGAAAGTCCAAGAAACACTTGATTGTAATGTGTACAGTTTCCAGATTTTGACCGAAGATAAAGTTATTTTCAAATATCTGAGAAATCTAAGACCACGTTCCCTACCCTACCTTCCCCCTGTCCTCAAGTTAAAGACCCATGGACCACAGCCAAGCCCCTGGGCAAAGCTGGATAACTCTCAAAGGGGAAGTATTCTGACCTTTCAATTATATTCCCGAGAATGAGGATGATAAGCTTGAGTCCCCCAATCATAACTCACTGCCATCTTAGACCTGCTGAATGGACAGGTCTGCTCTGACAGATAGATTATGAGGCACGCAAAGAACAAAGAACCTTTCTCTGAGGAATTTCATAATCACTGTGTCTTTTCTTCTCCTTCCTTTAACATGTGTAATTTATCTTCTCTTGGAAAGGTGCATATAAATTTTAATGCAATTTGCTTAAGAACAATTAACAAAGTCACAATTTGAGAATCCTATTTGTTTCCCAGGAGAAAGGGAAACATCTGAACTGCATGCTGAGTACTAAGGAGACTTCAGGCCCTTAAAGAGGAATTTAACTAGAAGGTATCCCTGATTTGTCAGGCCCTTAAGACAATAAAACATATCTGTGTGATCATAAGACAGCCCCATCCTTCAACACTGACTAAAAAGCCTTAGGTGACATTGAACAAGCAGGCACATATCTCAGGACTTCAAGATTAGAGAGATGGAGCCCTCCATCTCTAGTCAAATAAAACACTAGTCACAGAATTTCTGTAAAGGAAGAGTATTAAGGACATTGTCCAATCTCCAGTTCTACGTACTTTCCCCTTCCACAATGTGTTTGGCAAATGGTCAGACTCCCTTTCTATTGTCCAGAGGCTAGGAGGAAAAGATTATCTTATTCCACATTAGAAACAAATGCTTATCCCCCAGGTGGCTATAAATCCCAGGTGGCATTCAGGTAGTTTCCCTTGTAACCTGCTGATGCAGCTGAAATTTTCTCAAGTATGGATTGGAAAAAAGAAGCTGCCTATCCATCTCTACCCTCCTTGCTAGGCTCTGGGAGGCATGCTGAATGCACAAAAGGCCCACTTTTCAACTTGAGAGTCAATACAAGTGGAATAGCCAGTGTTTCCAATTCAGCATGACAATCTGAGTCAATGCATTTAACACTCTCCCTTCGTAACTTGCAGCTGAAATGACCTATGCAAAAGAAGAGGACAAACACTCCACTCCTTGGTGTGACGGGACCAGAGATGAGTGACGATCATAAGACTGTCATTTTGTTGAGGGCAGTGTCAAATTCAAACTCCACCACCACCTTGAGAAGGAAACAGGTGCTGGAGCTCTCAAGGAGGGCCGGGTGGTCCCAGGGATGCTCAAGACTTGTTCACAGCACAGAAGGCATGGAGAATGGAGCAGAGGTTCTGATGAGGTTTGCTCTTGGGGAGGGCCGCCATGCTGGCTGGAGGGGTACTGCTGCCTGCCCCGGTGGGCTTCAGCTGCTGTGACAATCCCAGGAGGAGCCCTTCAGCCAGAGATGAGGCTGCCTACCTATGGCCACCTCTCTTCTTACTTCTCATACACCAAGACACTTCTAAGGTGGTTAAGGTCAACAAAATATAAACTTATTTCCTGTGCCAAGACTGAAAGGCTTTCACAGGGATGCATAATCTCTGAGAGAACACTTACCCATTCCCATGCTGGACAGGCATAAGCCTCCCATTGTAAGGATGAGAAAATGGAGGAAAATGACCACATATAGAAATAATGGGGCCAATATGAGGAGTGCCAGACAAACTTAATAAAATAATATTTATCTGGATTTATTCTAGCAAATTAGATTAAGAAGGATATTATTAGGGTTTATTAAGTAGTGTTAGACATTGGTAGGATTCATAATAAAAATACATACATGGCTTAAACTATGTGAAGCATATAAACCCTTAGAAAAATCTCTTATTATAATGTATTAAATTTAGAGAAGTCACAGGATAATATCAATAGATATTGAAGAGTCATTTGGTCTGATGAAATTCCACATATATTACTGATATTAATACAAAATCAAAACATCAGAGAACTATAAAAAGTATACTTCCTTGACACAATAAAAAAATGCTTACTTCATACCTAAAAGTCAAGCACAAGGGGCATTCCCATTAAAATTAGGTACCGTATAAAGATGCCTGCTATTATGAGCCTTGTGTTAGTCAAGGTTCTTCAGAGAAACAGAGCCAGTAGGATATGAGAGGGGATTTATGAGGGAATTGGCTGCTCACATGACCACAGAGGCAAAGTCCCACGACCAGCCACCTGTAAGCTAAAGAGAACCAGGGAACTCAGAACCAGGGAAGCTGACCGTGCAGCCTCCAGTCTGGGGCCAAAGGCCTGAGAGCCCTGGGAGGTCACTGGTGCAAGTCCCAGAGTCCAAAAGCCAAAGAACCTGGAGCCTGATGTCCAAGGGCAAGAGGAGGAAAAGCCTCCCACTCCAGAGGAAAGACAGCAGAGACAGAGAATCTGCTGTCTTTCTCCTGTTTGTTCCAACCAGGCCCCCAACCAGTTGGACAATGCCTGCCCCCATCGAGGGCAAGTCTTCTTCTCTCAGTCCACTGACTCACCCACCAATCTCTCCTGGAAACAGACACACCCAGAAACAAACCAGCCATTTAGGCATCTCTCAATCTCCTCATGTTAAAAATTAAAGTTAAAATTAACAGTCATAACGATTATTCAAAATGTGAGAAATTTTTAGGCAACTGTAATAAGGCGAGAAGAAAGAATTAGAAAGTATATATTTTGGAAAGAGAAGATAAAATTATAATTTTTTGCATGATGATATAATTACTTGAAACCCCAAGAAAATTAGCCACAAAACAGTTAGTACTAATTAGAGAATTCGTGTAATGTGTCCAATTGCAAAATAAATATACAAAACTTAATAGCATCCTGAAATGCCTTCAGGGATTAGGCAGACAACAAAAATGAATAAAGTACACTGGTGGGGACCTTTCCTGATGATGGGAAGCAATTGCCTCCCAGCTCCTGCACATTTTTGTCAAGGGAGACTGTGAGTCTAGAGTTGCCAGATATTCTGATTTTTAAGGAGAATTTGTAAAAACAGATTCTTGTATAAAACTTTCTGATTTTTAGATGCAGATAACTAATTCAAAAATATTCTGAACTAAATATATTCATAGGCTAGATATGGCCATGGGCCTCCAGTGTGCAACTTTTGATCAGTGCTTCCCTTTATAATTAATCTGCAAATATAGCAGAAGTAATGTGAAATGGTATAAAAAATTGATTAATCTTTGAATAGTGAATCATTTGAAATAAATTAAATTAAATTTCTACTTCTTGTATTATACCAAATAAAGTCTACAGGGTAATGATTTAAAGCAAAAAATGGAACTAAACAAGCAGTAGAAAATATATATATAGGAAAGTATTTATATAATTTCAAGTTGGGAAATGCTTTCTCAAAAATAACAAAAGAAAATATTTGCAAACTATTCATTTGACAAGGGACTAATATCTAAAATATACAAGAAACTCAACTCAATACCAAAAAAAAACAAATAATTATATTAAAAGTGGGCAAAGAATCGGAATAGACATTTCTCAAAAGGAGACATACAAATACACAATAAGTATATTTTTTAAATGCTTAACACCACTAATTAGGGAAATGCAAGTCAAAATCACAATGAGATATCACCTTATCCCAGTTAGAATAGCTATTATCAGGGAAAAAAACAAATGCTGACAAGGATGTGGAGAAGGGGAACTGTTATACACTGTTGGCGGGAATGTAAGTTAGCATAGTTACTACGATAAGAGTATGAAGATTTCTCGAAAAACTTAAAGTAGACCTACCATGCAATCCAGCAATTCCACTACTGGGTATTTATCCAAAGGAAAGGAAATCAGTGTATCAAAGGGGTATCTGCACTCCTATATTTAATGTAGGACTATTCACAATAGCATAGATATGGAAGCAAACTGTGTCCATCAAGGGGAAAATGGATAAAGAAAATGTATATATACACAATGGAATACTATTTGGCCATAAAAAACGGGATGAAATCCTATTATTTGCAGCAACATGGATGGAACTAGAGGTCATTATGTCGAGTGAAATAAACCAAGCACAGAAAGACAAATCACTCATATGTGAGAGCTAAAAAATTTGATCGCAGGGAGTTAGAGAGTAGAATGATAGATACCAGAGGGCGGGAAGGGTGTGTATGTGGATGGGGGGGATGAAAAGAGGTTGATTAATGAGTAAAAACAAACACTTAGACGAAAGGAAAAAGCTGTAAAGTTTGATAGCAGAGTGAGGTGACTATAGTTAACAACAATACCTTGTATATTTCAAAATAGCTGGGAGAGAAGACTTGAAATGTTCCCAATACAAAGAAATGATAAATGTTTGAGGTGGTGAATATCCTAAATGCCCTGACTTGATCACTACACATTCCATGCATGTATCAAAATAGCACTTGTACCCTATAAATACATACAAATATGTATCAAAAAATAATGTCTACAATAACAACATTTTAAAAATAGCAACAGAGAAATCACAAAAAGAAAAACTGGCCTAAATTACATATATTTTTTAACCATTTCAGATCAAAAAATAAAAGGCCAATGGCAGACTAGAAAAAATATTTAAAACACATAGACTCAATATCCATTTATAGAGATACTGGTCCTACAAATCAATAACAAGCATCTTCAGAGAATATTGAGTACAGGATATAGAAAAGCAAGTCATTAAATTAGAAATGCCAATAGCTAACAAGTGTAAGACAAAAACATTCAACCTCACAAGTAATCAAATAAATACAAATTAAACCACTGATGAGATACCATTTTCCCTATTGATTTGACAAACATTTTTGAAATTGTTTTTGAGACCCAGTGTTAACAAAGGCATTTATTTTTGGTAGAAGTGGACATTAATTCAGCCTGTAGAAAAATTTGGCAATATGCGTCAGAACTCTTTGACTCAGCAAGTCTACTTCTCAAAGTTTAGACTAAGGAAATAGGAATATACTGTATACAAGGATTTAATTGCAAGGATATCATTATTTTTTTGAAGCATTGTCTCACTCTGTCACCCAGGCTGGAGTGCAGTGGTACAATCATAGCTCACTGCAGCCTTATCTCCCAGGCTCAGTCTCCCAAGTAGCTGCGACTACAGGTACACACCAGCATGCCTGGCTAATTTTTGTTTTTTAATAGAGACAAGGTATCCGTATGTTTCCCAGGCTGGTCTCAAACTTCTGACCTCAAGCAATCCTCTTGTCTCAGCCTCCCAAAGCGCTGGGATTACAAGCGTGAGCCACCACAGCCAGCCAGGATGGCATTATTGACACACTAGCAGAACACAAAAACAAAAACAAAAACCAGAAACAATGCGAACACTGATAAATAGCTAAATTCGTACATTCATACTGTGAAATTCTTGGCGGTCATTTAAAGTCTGTAGAAAGTCTTGAAGAATATTTATTATTATTAAAAGATAGGGGCCCAGCTGGGCACGTTGGCTCACGCCTATAATCCCAGCACTTTGGGATGCCAAGGCAGGTGGATCACTTGAGGCCAGGAGTTTGAGACCAGCCTGGCCAACATGGTGAAACCCCATCTCCACTAAAAATACAAAAATTAGCTGGGCATGGTGGTGTATGCCTGTGATCTCAGCTACTCAGGGGGCTGAGGCAGGAGAATCACTTGAACCCGGGAGGTGGAGGTTCCAGTGAGCAGAAATCGGGCCACTGCACTCCAGCCTAAGTGACAGAGTGAGACTCTGTCGAAAGAAAGAAAGAGAGAGAGAGAGAGGGAGGGAGAGAGGGAGGGAGGAAGGAAGGAAAGATAGGGACTGGGTGCAGTGGCTCACTCATGTAATCCCAGCACTTTGGGAGGCTGAGACAGGCAGATTACTTGAGCCCAGGAGTGTGAGACCCCCCTTGGCAACATGGTGAAATGCCATCTCTCAAAAAAAACAAAAAACAAAAAAACAAAAACAAAAACAAAACTTAGCTGGGTATGGTGGCGCACACCTGTAATCCCAGCTGCCTGACACGCTGAGGTGGGAGGAACACCTGAGCCCAGGAGGTTGAGGCTGCAGTGAGCTATGATTGTGCCACTACACTCCAGCCTGGGTGACAGAATAAGATCCTGTCTCCAAAAAAAAAAAAAAGAAAAAAAGAAAAAGAAAAGAAAGAAAGAAAGATAGTCACAATACATTGCTAAGTTTTTTTTAAGTTTATTTTAAATTAAAATGAATAGTATGACTCCAAACTCTACAGTATATATACAATGATCTGGAAGAATACAACCTTAGATATTAACAGTGGTTATCCCTGGATGGTGGAGTTATGATTATTGTGTTCCAAATTTCCTATTTAAAAATTTTGCTTCTGTTTTACTATAAGGAACATATTGTTTTGATAACAAGTAAGATTTTTATTTTTACTTAAAAAATAAAGCTGGGGTCCTCAGGTGGACTAACTGACTGTTACAGTTACTTAGCTATATTAGAAAGAGCTGGACATAGTTCTTATGGCTGTTTACTCTGTGTGTGTGTGTGTGTAAATATATATACCATATATAATCAGTAAGCCTACCTTTCTACTTATGTTTTGCTTGGACTGCTTTAAACCAAACGCATATGCCAAAAGCCAATAAAGAGATCCACCCCAGACATATGCAAAATACTACAAGAGAGCTTAGGCAGGCTTTAATTTAACAATTAAAGGATTGTTAAAATTAAAATTTTATTGCAAATAATCTACAAAGCTGCATGTAGTTTATTAGAGTTGCCTATAAGTATCTGGTTTATCTATGACCACTTAATATAGTTAATGGACCTTATGCAAATATATACAGGCTCAAAAAGAGACTTAATGGCAGACTTGGCCTTCCTTCCATGCCCAGTTAACAGGGGATGGCTCCCAGCCCCTCAAACACACAGAAAGATAAAACTAGAGAGATTTTGCCAACAATTTAAGCAAGGAAAAATCTAGAGCTGCAAAGTGTGTAACATTTACTAGACTACTATGAGAATAGATTCATAAACAACACAAGTGTCCAAAATAAACTATCATATAGAGAAATTACAAACATCTATAAAGAACTATAAATTAAGAGCCCAAACTTTGGCCGGGTGCAGTGGCTTACACCTGTAATCCTAACACTCTGGGAGGCTGAAGCAGGAGGATAGCTTGAGCCTAGGAGTTTGAAACCAGCCTGGGCAACAAAGTGAGACCTCATCTCTACAAAAAATCAAAAAACAAAAATTAGACAGGCATGGCAGCATGCACCTGTGGTCTTAACCACTTGGGAGGCTGAGGCAGGAGGATCGCTTGAGCCCAGGAGGTCAAGGCTGAAGTTAGCCATAATGGTATCACTGCACTCCACTCCAGCCTGGGCAACAGAGTGAGACTCTGTCTCAAAAAAAATAAAAAAAAAAATCCCACACTTTAAAAATAATACAGCATTTCTCTGACTTAACTGACTTCTCCCCAGTTTCCTTTGCCCATTGCTGCCCAGCTAGATTATCTAATATTACAGTGCCCAGAGCTCGGTCTTAGGCCCCCCAAGCAATCCCACCCAGGCCCTTGTCTTTAAGCAACATTTATAATCTGGTGATTCCCAAATATATATCTGACTGTCCCTCTGACTTCCTCACTAAGACTGCTGACATCTCACACTTGACACGATCGATTCCAAACCGTCTTCCTCCCTAAAACTACTCCTTCCATCAGTCTTCATAATTCAGTGAAGAACATTACCATCCATCTAGTTGCCCAAGCCAAAAGCCTAGCACCCACTTTGGATTTCCCTTTTCTTTTCCCTGACACCAAATCCGTCAACAAGTTCTGCCAGTTCTCTCCCCAAGATACAAAAATGCATGCTGAATCAACCCACTTCTTACCATCTCTAGTACTGTCACTCTTATTCAAGCCTTCACAGAATCCATTCTCCATTGAGCAGCTGGAGTGTTTTTCAAAAAATGTAATTCATATCTGCTTAAATCTCTTCAGTGGCTTTCGGCTGCACATAGGAAAATAAACAAGCAAACAAAAAAAAAAACCTCTGAACTTCTCACCATGATGCAATCAAGCCTCTGAATGCCCTTCTTCTACTCTTTACTCCTTGCAGATAATTCTCTAGCCACAAGAGCCTTTTCTATTTCTGGGATGCCAAGTTCATCCTACCTGAAGGCCACTGCACTTTTTGTTCCCTTTGCCTGAAAGTCCCCCACTCTATTCCTACCCAAACCCTATTAATTAGTTTTTAAAATATTAAGAAATTGTGAATGTGCCTTGAGAGCATGCTGCGTGTAAGTGGCAATCAGAAGACTTGGGTATTAGTCTCGCACACTTTTCAAGATAGGACACCTGCTCTAAACCAATATGATAATGACTTTGGTCAACAACCAAGGTGATTCCTTGGCTCATGATTTCCCCTTCTCTGGTACAAGTCCCAACAGCTAACTCCTCTCTTGTTAATTTAAAACCCAAATATAGAGATCTGGAAACGAGGTCACTGGAGTTGGTCACCTGCTGTGGAAGTCCCCAAACTGTCCAATTTCTTGCCTCCCCAGACTTCCTTGTTCAGTTCTTTCCTAGGGATTTATGGATTGTCCAGTATCCTTTAAGTCCTTTAGCTAAAGTTGGTTTCTGTAACTTAAAATTGAAAAGAACGTTAGAAGAATCCCTTCTTAATTGTCTGGTTAGCTTCCTAGAACTCAGCTTTACAGAACCATTCTCTTAGTATTGGCTACCCCAGGGCATCTGTGGAATCTAAACTCAGCATGGATATTGACATATGTAGAACAACTTAATATTCATCTTCCCCACCTCATATTCATGCGTGCACATGCATGCGTGTGCACACACACATATTCTCTCTCTCTCTCTCTCCCCCTTTCTCTCCCCACACTGCATTCTTTCCAAGTCCTCTCATCACCCTTTGTACTTTTCTCCAGCATCCACCAGGCTGGATTTGTTCTGCCTTGATGTTTTCTCACAGTTCATCCTTCCACTGCATGCTGGGCTCCCAATATTTGTTATAAAATTAGGAACCTTATTTATGTATGTAAAGAGGCCTTCTGCATGCACAATCAATAAATGTGAGCTCAAAATGAACCCTTTCTCTCCTACGAGGCACTCACTTCCCTTGCCTTTCCTGGGTTATCTTCTATTTCATTGTCCCTGGTAGCTATGTTCTAATCACCAAGGCAGGGGTTTTACTTTTTGGAGGTCAGAGAACCCTTTGAATGCTACAGACACATTTTACAGAAAAAATGCACACAAATACACACACATTTTGCACACAACCAAGGTTTATGGGCTTCTGATTAAAACCACTTTACCAAGGAAAAGACTTCTGTGACCATCCGCCACCCCCATACACACACACCACTAATTCCTACCCTTCACTAGCAGTGACTCATCCATGCCTTTGCTGCCAGACACCAGTAAAATAAACCTGGTTCCTCTCTCCTAATATTTGTTATGTTGAGAGATAGAAAAACAAAAACACAAAGCATCCCCAACAATTATAGGCAGTTACACTTAAGACCCATTAAAAGTGTCCCCCATTAGAACACTTCCCCAAGGCAAACACTTTATAATTTCCTAGATTACTAGTTTAATGCACAAGTTACGTTTTAAATGCTTTTCTTTACAGGGAGGCATTCTTGGACCCTGGCTGAGATTAGGAAACAGCCAAGGCTTAGCAGCACACTTACCAAGAATTTCTTAGGTGGGTTATTTTCTGGGAAGATTATCACAGTGAATAATCTCATCTATTTTACTGTCAATTTCAGAGGGTGACATTTTTGGCCCTGTTCTCAGTTCTAGAGATATTGTCAAGTTGAAACTTGCAGCTTCTTATATGCTAACTCTATCTTCTAATTAGAAAAGAGGTTAGAAAATGCTGGAGCTTTCTGGGTTGCCTTCCCCAAGCTAAATTAGAGTCTACTGAAGAAAAGGAAAGGTGGAGAAGAGACAGAAGGACCGGGTGGATGCAGTAGAGTAAGAACCATACGATCAAAGGCAGGTCAGGGACTAGACAGAATAGTCTTTCTATCCTACCAATGCCAGTGGCTCATGAATGGCCCCAAGCCCCTAGGACTTCTCTTAAGCCCAATCTGACTCCCCATGGGGTCATGGATGCATTTATTTTGTCTGATGAATTGCTTTTCATTAGAGTCAACATGGAATAGAGCAGGATTTCTCAATGTAATAGAATGAAAGTCTGTGTCCTCCAAAATTTCAAATGTTGAAAACTAGGATCCCTTTCTTGCCTCCACTTCCTTGTTAGCAGGGACCCTAAGCTCTACTCCCATTGCCCTCAGCCACCCACCCTCAACCTTGATCGGGACCTCCAGGCCGCACCTGACCGTCAGCAGGGCAGTGCAGCTCAGGTGGGTCCAGGGCGGAGCCCTGTTCAGCCTGAGATTCGGGTCTCGAAGACACATGGGCCCCTCAACTTTGCCAAATGCTCCAGATGGCAGGTCCTTGGCCCACAGGCCTACAGGCCCATCTCAGGCTGGCAAGCATCGCCCCTGCTCCTTCTTCCTTAGGCCTTACCACTAAGCTTCTTTTTCCACACAGCCATCCAGACTGAGGAAATGTAGTCACCACAGGACCCAGAAATTTTGGAGCCAGGTGAGCCACAGCCTCTGCCGCATCAGCAAGCACTGAAAGCACCCAGGTGGCCGTGGCAATGCTGGCGGCATGCATCACCACAGGATCGACTTCAGCAAATGTCACCCAGGTTACTTTAGGAAAGTTGGTATGAGGCATTACCACCTAAAGAGGAACCTGAGCTTCTACCCAGCTGTCAACCTTGACAAATTGTGGGCTTTGGTCAGGAAGCAGACACAGGTGAATGCTGCTAAAAACAAGCCTGGAACAGCTCCCATCACTGATGTGGTGCCATCGGGCTACTATAGAGTTCTGGGAAGGGAAAAGTTCCCAAACCAGCCTGTCATCGTGAAGGCCAAATTCTTCAGCAGAAGAGCTCAGGAGAAGATTCAGTGGGGGGAGCTTTCTCCTGGTGGCTTGAAGTCACATAACAGGAGGTTCATTAAATGTTAACAACTGCTTTAAAGAGAAAAGGAAAGGGAAAGGGAAGGAAAGGAAATAAAACTAACCCCCAAGGTAGTGGTATTAGAAGGTGGAGACTTTGGGAAGTGACTAGGTCATGAGGGTAGAGTCTTCCTGAAGGGGATTAGCGCCCTTACAAAAGAGACTGGTGAGTTTTCTTACCCGTTCCATCATGTGAAGACAAAAACAGAAGATGGCTATCTATGAACCAGGAAGTATCCCTCACCAGACATCAAATCTGCTGGCACCTTGATCTCGGACTTCCTGGCCTCCAGAACTGTGAGAAATGAATTTCTGTTATTTATAAACTATCCAGTCTATGCTATTTTATTACAGCAGCTCAAACAGATGAAGACACTGAACCTTGGCACTACTGGCATTCAGGGCCAGATAATTCTTTGTTGTGGGGCTTTTCTGTGCATTGGAAGATGCCTAGCAGCACACCTGACCTGTACCCACTAGACGCCAGTAACATCCCCATTATAATAACCAAGAATATCTCCAGACATTGCCAAATGTCCCCAGAAAGGGGGGACAAAATTGTCCCTGTCTGAGAATCACACAAGAGAGGAAAGTTTTGGAGTCAGACAGACCTAGGTTCCAACTTTAGTTCCATTCCTCACAAACCCATAACCTTTGTGGGTGGGGAGAGAGGTAAGTATTTATGTCCTCTGCGACTGTTTCTTATTAGCAAATAATACTTAAATCAAAAAAATTGTTTTGAGGTTTAAATGAGATGATGTGTGAAAAGCATATAGGCTTACAATAGGTGCTCAATAAACAGTTGTTCCCTCCCCATACCTACTTCACTTATTTAACAAACATTTATTGAGCACTTATGCTGTATACTAAGGATATAAACACAAAACAGTAAATCTGAGAGAAAGAGACAAATGCACAAATAACCATAACATATCAAGTCCATTAACAGAGTTTACCAAATGTTACAACTCTGGCCCTATCTTTCTTTTTTTCCCCCTTAATGGCTAACCTTCTCTCTCCAAAAGCTCATCTGGCATTCCTCTTGAAAGAGGAAGTGTCCTATGAGTTGGGTCCTGAAAAACGAGTGACAGGTCATCTGAAGGCCAGGAGAGAAATATGCACACTAGGCAGAAAAAACAGCATAGGCAGGCTGGGCGCAGTGGCTCATGCCTGTAATCCCAGCATTTTGGGATGCCAAGGCAGGCAGATCACTTGAGGTCAGGAGTTCAAGACCAGCCTGGCCAACATCGCGAAACCCCCATCTCTACTAAAAATACAAAAAAATTAGCTGGGCATGGTGCCGCGTGCCTGTAATCTCAGCTACTTAGGAGGCTGAGGCATGAGAATCAACTTGAGCCTGGGAGGCAGAGGTTGTAGTGAGCCGAGTGTATGCCACTGCACTCCATCCTGGGCGACAGAGTGAGACTCTGTCTCAAAACACACACACACACACACACACACACAAACCCAGCATGGGCAAAGGCTTAATAGTGTGGTAACTTCAGGAAACTGCATTATCCAGTAGGCTAGAGTGAGGCTGAGTAGGGGAAATTGGTGCAAGATGGAGGATGCTAAGGAATTTGGACGTCTTTCTGCAGGTCACATAGTCCCCCAGGATGCTTTTTTTCAGAATGGTGGCAGGATCAGATCTGCTTTGGAAAGCACACTCTCGCAGCACTGGGGAGGATAAATGAGAGGTGGAATGAAGGGCGAGAGAGATGAAAAGCAACAAGACCAGTCAGGAGCTATCGATTCCAGATGGGAGATAATGAGGGCCTGAAATGTAGTACTGGAAATGACAATGGCAAGATGCCAGCAGGCTCCAGGGTCATTAAAAGGTAGAACTGACAGAATTTAGTGACTGATTAGATGTGGGGCGGGTAACAAGTGAAGGAGAAGAAGGAATAGGAGGTGATTATAAGATTCTAGCTTAGAAAATTAGGTGGATACTGATGGCATTTAGAAATGACAGGCACTGAGAAACTGTTTTCTCTTCTTTTTCACAGCCCCTGCCATTCACACTGTGCAAAGGAGCCTGTCAATCACTGACTGATTTTAAGCAGGAAAGTTTCAAAGAAAGCCCCCAGTACTTACCAATGTTAAAGAAAAACAGGTAAGATAACAAACATCTCAGTACCTAGTATATATCAGGTTCTGCACTAGTTTTGTCCAATTAATGTATTAGTGAACTACTTTAGGTGTATTTTACTCTAGCTACTGATTTATAACTGAGTTATAATCCTCTTTCCACCAGTCTCCTATGGCACTGGTGAGTTCCTTAAAGGCAGGACTCTAGTCTTAACCATCCTTATACCCCCAGGCTAGCTGAGTGCTTGGCACAAAGTAGGCTCCTAAGTATTTACTAGATGAATGAATCATTGGTTGGACAACGTTGTTCCTGAACTCCCTGCTTTCTAGAATCCAGTGGTTCATCTTCTGTTCACCATAGCTAAATGATAAGGGTAGTACAGAGAAATGAGTAGTACATTTAGCTCCAGAAGATCTAGGGTCTATTCCTGCCTCACATACTAACTCTGACCTTGGGCAAAGTGCATATACTCTGAGCTTTAGGGGTCTCATCTGTGAAAATGGAATTTTAAAAAATTCCCACATCACAAAATTTGTGAAAGTATTTTGTATCATTACTAAAATATAAGTTGTTTACATATATGTTTCATCTTCCTTACATATTAACATGTGCTCAGAAGCCAGAGGAAAAAAATAGGTTGGGCTCAAAGTTATTGCATTATAAGCCAGTAAAAATGCTAATGTTAACTGTATTTTTCAACTAGCATTCATGTCGTTCTGCTGGATAATGTGAATTAGATTCTGGTTGCTCCTTGCTCACTCCAACTAGTAATACTTGCCTTACTGTTCTTTAAACCTGCCAAGCTCATTCCTAACTCAGGATCTCCGCACTGCTTTCACTCAGCAGGGAGGGATGCTGAGTGAAATGCTCTTCCCTTACCTCCCTGCACCATGGTTGCATGAAGGTCATGCATTCACTTCCCAGGTCTTTGTTCAAGTGCCCTCTCATCACAGTATCTTCCTAACCAGTTCATCTAAAGAAGCACCTACTCCACTCTCCGCACTGCCATCACTCTCTACTTCCTTAGCTTGTCTTATTTTTCTTTATGATATATCATCATCACAATCCTGTACTTGCTTATTCTTTGCCTCCCCATGAAAATGTAAGATCCATAAAGATAGGGTCTTTGCCTCCCTCTCTCACTCACTGCATCTACGATGCCTAGAACAATGACTGGCACACAGAAGATACTCATGGCATTTTGCTAAGTAGTTTGCTAAGTGAATGACATTTGCTAAATAAGTGAGGTTTTCCACTGTAATCACCTGTCATTGTATAGCACTAAAAAGGACTTGCAAAAAAAAAAGATTAGAATCAGAAGATCTGGGGTCCCACCCCAATCCTGCCATTAACCAGCTATTTGGCCTTGGAAAGTCACTTGTTTCTGAGTTCAGTTTTCTTATCTGTAACATACAAATAAAAATATCCTCTACCTTGCCCTACTGCCCCTCCATTTCACAAATCACATCATTGTGGAACTTAATGGGGTGTTATATAACACTTTATCAGTGGGGTATGTTTCTGTTTCTGTTTTTACTGTTAACTCTCCAAGAGCATAAACTGTCTATTCATCTATTACAGAACTTGACACAGGGCCTGGATCTATAAATAACTGCCAAAAAAAATGAAGAGCAAAGGTTATACATTTCCTTTGTAAAAAGAACTGAGCTTCAAATATTCATGCTCCAAATTATTTTTAAATAGTCACTGTAAGTGTCATTTCACTTTGTCTAGCAGACATAGCAATTAGCAGAGTGCCTGAGCAGCTATAAATGTTCTCATTTAGTCTGGTTTTTGTTCAGGATAATGAATATAAATGCTTGTTTTGACTAAATGAATGGTTCTCCTAGGCCAGTGCTGAATAAATGCTTGTGCTATTGTGACGCTTCTGACCCAGGCAGGAGACATGTGCTTCCATCTCCAGAACAGCAACCCCTGAATGACCCCTCGATACAATGGAGAAAAGAAGTGCTGTGTAATTTAGGGGCATAAACCAAACCTCCACTGCTTAGAGTCAGCTTAATGTCTGACAGAAATATACAAAACTGTAAAGCCTCAACCAGACATCTGAATAATCTGTCCATACATTTTTCACATATCAGTATTTATTATCTTTTCAAAGGAACAGGTCAAGATGAGAATAAAGTTTATGATCAAAGGTAGTCAAACATTTATTTTATATAAATATAATTTCCTTGCCTATATCCATTAGATTTGGGGAAAAAAGGTTCAAGTTTACAGTGCCAGAACAGCTCCTTCTTTAAAGGCTTGTAAACAGTGACTTGTTCTATGCCAGCATGCACACTTTGAGCATATCAACTCACTTAATCCTTACCAACAATTCTATGAAGATTGTGCTATCATTCCCATTTCACAGATAAAAACTAATGTATCTAGATATGATAATCTTGCTCAGGATCATGCACTGGGATTTGAACCTAAGTGATCTATTCTCTGATGCCGTACTATCAATGCAGTACAATTTTTAACTGCATGAATGCACACTGCAGAGCAACAGCAATTGAACAATGATCATTTGCCTTTTGGAAATTATGGCCACATACTTTGTGTAGCTTGATTTACAAATAGCTTGGCTAAAAAGCAGTTCAGCAAATCAACTTCTTAAAATAGGCTATGAAGGAAAAGTGCATGATGAAGCCAGCAGTAAACAAAGAAATTACACAATTTGGTGAGAGAGGGTTTGGAGGTGGAGGGGAGTTGTTAAAGGCCTGGAATCATTGAAAAGTTTGGGGATGACAGTGACTTGGTACAACTGAGAGAACTGCCCCTCAAAAGATTAGAAGGACAATTGATTGGCAAGAGACACTTGACAGAGCCAGTATTGAGTTCCATTTATTTTGGAGCAGTATGCATCTGCTGGGTTTGGGTACTCTGGAAAAATCCAAAACATAATATAATGGAAAAAGCATGGGTAAAAATCACTTATTAGCAAGTTGTTTAATCTTTGAGCCTCTTCGTTCATCTATAAATTTAGAATATGAATATCAACTTTGAAGTGTTGCTGTGAAAATTAAATAAAACCATATATGGCGGAATAGGTGCCCAAAATTGGTTAATCATGAAAAATTTACCATCATCAAGATGTAAAATAATTAGCTGTTGTTGTTGGGGCAGGGCTTGGAGTTGGGGGTTGGATATTAAGATTCCAAACCTGTATAATCTTTTATCTGGAAAACCTACCAGATAAAACAAAGAGATTACCACCCCCATGTTTTTAGGGAGAGAGACAGAAAGTATGACACACAAAAGAATTAATTTGTTCAACTTTGATGGAAGGTAAACCCCTTTAGTTCTCACTTTGTTTTTAAGACTAGGAAAAGATTCAAACTTCTTAATTATGGATTATCCACCATGTTCTTTCCTTCCTCGGAATCTTTGAGATCCAAGAACGTCTGTTCTTTAAGATGTAACAAAAAACACCTGAAGAAATTTGAAAATGACAGAATGTTAAATCATAATAGATAGCAGAATTATGGTTTTGTAAGAAAATACCTGATTTTTAGGAGATGCATGCTGATATATTTAGTGGTGAAGTTCAATGATGTTTGCAACTTCACATGGTTCAAAAAATTTTATAAATATATAATTATACATATACATAAAGCAAATATGGCAAATTGTTGTTGAATTTAGATGATGGCAATATGAGTAGTGTTTAAAATAGTTAGGTCAGGCGGGGTGCAGTGGCTCACGCCTGGAATCCCAACACTTTGGGAAGCCAATGAGGGAAGATCACTTAAGTGATCTCCCTCTTGCAACATAGCAAGACCTCGTCTCTACAAAAAATAAAGATTAGCCAGGCATGGTGGCAAATACCTGTGGTCCCAGCTACTTGGGAGGCTGAGGAGGAAGGATCACTTGAGCCTGGGAGTTCGGCTGCAGTGAGCCATGTTTATACTACTGCACTCCAGCCTGGGTGACAAAGCAACATCTTGTCTCAGAAAAATAAAAAAATAAAATAGTTGGAGCTGTTTGTTTTAGAGGCAAGGTGTTGCTCTGTCACCCAGGCTGGAGTGCAGTGGCACAATCATAGTTCACTATAACCTCCTCGAATTCCTGGGCTCAAGTGGTCCTCCCACTTCAGCTTCCCAAGTAGCACTTTTTTTTTTGTACAGATGGGGGTCTCACTATGTTGTCCAGGCTGGTCTCAAACTCCTGTCCTCAAGTGATCCTCCTGCCTCAGCTTCCCAAAGCATTGGGATTATAGGCATGAACCACCATGCCCAGCTCTTAAAATCGTTTATAATAAAACATGAGGGGTGGGGGGAACCAAGAGGTTGCATTTAGGGACAATCCTAGGTATAATTTTTCCATCTTTTTCCTTTTCCATTCATAGTACAGATGGTTAGGGGAGAGGGTGGTAATGCAGAAAACAACTGATATTAGAGAAGTAACAGTAAATTCAGCCACAAGTCAACTGAAAGACAAGTTCTACACAACTTCTGAAACATCTTGTAAGAGTCCAGATGGTGAGAAGTCAGTAACTAAAATCAGTGGTTTTAGGAATTCTTTTGCCAGGAAGGAACAAAGCACTGGGTGGGAGTATTAGCCTTTCCAATGGGCCTATCAAGAGAATTTATCCAGGAATATTTAGGAACCACATTCTAAAGACGTTACAAAGGCAATTACAGAAGAAAATGTCATGTAGTTCCCTCTGTTCAGAACACACACAATCTTGAGAATCATCCCTCTTTATCTAATAATTAATGCTTACCTGCAAATGAACATATCAATCTTAAGAGGTGGTATAAGAAAAAAAGAATTATATAGGAAATAAGCCAAAGTCTTATAAAATTTGAAGGTGTTATTAAAGGATTAAAAAGGAAACAAAAGGATTGTGATAAGAAGCAAAAAAAAAACATTTTTTTTACATAACCAGAAAACAAATTAAAAAATTAAAATCCCCCAAGAAACCAAATTAACTCATTTTTTTAGTTAACTTACTAAATGTTTTGGAACATACAAAGTGCAAAATATCTTTTGCATCCCTTTAAGAAACACCTGCCTTTCTTTGGTAAAGAATTTCTTGCAGGAAAGATTCCAAAGTTTGAAGTTCCCTCCAACGATCCCAGCAGAAATGTTTCTAACTTCTAAGAATGTCCTAAGAGAATGAGCTAAAACACAGAAAATGTTGAAAGTCTTATTTAGAATATTAAAAACTGGAAGCAATCTAAAGGTCTAACAGTGGAAGAATGATGTATTTATAATGTGAATATACATGTGATGTCCAACAATTTCAATTCTAAGTATGAAGAGTAAGCCACAATAAAGAATGTTAAAAAACAATAATTAGTAAGTAAATATAATTATAAAACCAAGTCAGAAATACAAAAAAAGGGACAACTATACTGGAATGATGAAATTCGATTTCTGTTTCCTGCCTCCTCCCTTGCTGGCTCTATAATTTTTTTTTTTAATTCTTAGAATAGGAAAAAAAGGTAAGAATGCTATGGCTGGAAGGCCACTAGTAAACAAGCACATATAAAGGGTCCTCAAGACAAGACCTAATATGGGTATGAAACTAAATGTTATAAGGAAGGTCATTGTCCTCAGCAACTGACTCTGCTATTTTTACCCCAAACAGGAGCCCATACAAAACCACCCCATTCTTTCCCTCTTTCTAATGAAAGGTCCCAAAAGGTATCCATCCAAGAAGTGCTGCCAATAATAACATTGTTAATTGTGACCAGCCTATAAACATCTTATTTGCAAAGGATTTTAGGCCTGAACTGACATGAAATATAATACTGTGGAACTTTTTTTGTCTTTTTGTGAGTGTTTTCTGACTGCAAAAGAACAGTTCATCAAATTACTTATCTTTTAAAAAACACAATCACAAAATCATATTCATATACTGCTACTGTAGTATTAGGGAATCCCAAGCCTAGACAGGCTGTTTAATTAAAAAAAAAAATGTAAGGATGCTTGTTTAAACAACTCAGAAAGCATTTTTCCCCCAGAAATATTACAGTGATAAGGGAAACGATCTGACCACCTAAGCCTCAGTTCCACAATCTCCCTCTAAATTCTCTGGTCTAGAAAACCCATGGCTCTCTGGGATGCTTCTTATGCTTTTCAGGAGTTTCCCTCACAGGTCTGCATTTCTATCATGGAATTTTTGATTTTTTTTTTTAAGCTAGGAAATGTCTTACTAACAAGTTGTTTTATCACCTAAAATCTACTATTATCCATTTTTACAACATAGATAACACTTGGTTGACTTAAATTCTAGAAGAAAAAAGTCTTGCTTTAGCAATCAAAAACTTAAAAACAAAGGGGTAAGAGGATACTGAAATGTACTAATAGTTTGTGTAGGACCACAAACATTAAAGGCAAGATGATAGTTTTAAAAATGTAATAACTCAAGTCTAAACATGAATGAATTTAAATTTAATCCTTTTTGTATGAAACCAAATAGCAGTCTAATACCACTGGGACTAAGTGCTATAAAAGTAAGTAATAAAACAAATACATGAAACATGATTACAATTTAAATTCTTTGGATTATCTTTTTTTTTTTTTTTTTTTGATATGGAGTCTTGCTCTGTCGCCCAGGCTGGAGCGCAGTGGTGCCATCTCGGCTCACTACAGGCTCCACCTCCGGAGTTCACGCCATTCTCCTGCCTCAGCCTCCCGAGGAGTAGCTGGGACTACAGGCACCCACCACGCCCGGCTAATTTTTTGTATTTTTAGTAGAGAGGGGTTTCACCGTGTTAGCCAGGATGGTCTCAATCTCCTGACCTCGTGATCTGCCCGCCTTGGCCTCCCAAAGTCTTTGGATTATCTTGTAAGACCCCACATTTAATATAGAAGTTTAAAACTCTCTAAAATAATACTACTAAGCATCTTAGTATTATTTAATACTTTTCTATCTAAAAAGTTGTCCTTTCCTTTTTTTTTTTTTTTTTTTTTTTGAGACAGGGTCTTGCTCTGGGCTCAAGCAATTCTCCCACCTCAGCCTCCCATGCAGCTATGACTACAGGGGTGCACCACAACACCTGGCTAATTTTTTTTTTTTTTTTTGAGACTAGGTCTCACCATCTTGCCCCAGGTGGGTCTAGAACTCCTGAACTCAAGCGACCCTCCCACCTCAGCCTCCCAAAGTGCTGAGACTACAGGCAAGGGCCACCATACACAGTTTAAGAATATTTTTTGGATTTTCACAGCTGTCAGGAAAGCTTTAGAAAGAAAAGATGGGTGTTAAAAGTTAAGACACAGCTTAAGACAGAAGCATTGTAAAACAGGAACAAATACTGGCTTAAACCTGATGTCTCTAACTATATTCCTCTATTTTAAGAATGTTTTAGTATCTGATAGTTTCATCAGCCTTTCCATTTTCCAATATGTGACCTTTATTCCCACCATGTCCCAAATAAACGAGTCCTAGGATTTCCTAGAAGGTGGACCTCAATTATTGTGTCCCTTTTATATATAAGGCAAACATTGCTTTTAAGTTCTGTTGGAACATGGGAACTTTCACTAGAATGCTTAGAATGTTCAGAAAAAATGTCCCAAAGCTCTCTTCTGGTCCATACAAGACAATCAGAATGTAACACAGTAGCAGAGGGTGTGGAACATACACTAGTCATATTTGATTCTCTCTGTCAGGGGTTCTTCTTTGTAATGGGAAATAATTTGAATCAGGATGGAACAATTGATAAGAAGAAAGAACAAACCAGCTAACCAAATAAACAGAAAGGTGTTCTTTCCTTGAAACTCTAGAACATAGGCAGGAGCCAGCCACATGGCCTGCCCTATAAACCATAACATTAGGAGAACTACAGCTCTTTTCCAAGGCATTCTGACTAGTGGCATCACAAGAGGCAGTAAGCAGAGGTACCAAAGAAAGTACTGGGAGGTGCAGACTTTGTTAAAAGTCACAAAAATGGACGTATGAAGAAAACAACAAAAAACGAGGTCTCTGTAATAGGCGAAAGACACAGCTGAAAGCAAGATGAGCTGTGGCAGGAATGCAGCAATTCCCAGGGAAAAACTCCACTTGCTCTCTGCAGTCAAATACAGCATGTAGAAGTACGGAGAAAAGTTGTGACGGATATCCCGCCTAGTCAGGTGATAAAAGTAGGTGTGTTCCAAAAATTCCCAGCCGTACTCATAGTAAAAACCAAAGCTCAGGGCAAAAAACGTGAGTCCAGCAACTGCTACAAACAGCAGCACAGCCCGATTACACAGCCTTTTCAGGAGCTCGTACAAACAAGCCTGGAAAGTGTACCGGAATTGACGGAGGCTTTTGTCATTGTCGCGATCTGGAAGCAGGTGGAGGGTTATGGGAAGGATGTAAGTCACTGGATATATCTTCATATGCACCGCGAAACCATAGAATACAGCTGCACACGCGACGAGTCTTTTCTTTATCAAGTAGAGGACCATCAGGACCAGGGAGGCGACAATAGAGTCCGCATTACCGCGGCTGGATACTGCCATAGGCAGGGGGTTAAGAAGCCAAAAGACACAGTAGCCACAAGCCTGGCGGCGCCCCAGCCCCTTCAGCAGCAGCAGGCGGTATAAGAGGAAAGCGGTGAGGAGGTCGCAGCTGATGAAGAGAAACTTTCCAAAGAGCTCGCTGAGGTAGATGTTGGGAGTGAGGAGCCAACCCAGCAGCGGGGTGTAACGGTACGTGGCTCTCAGGTAAGGCGAGCGCCCCTCCGTGACGAAGCGCGCGGCGTCGGTGAAGACCTGGTAGTCGATGTCCGTATACCTCACGTGCAGGGTCCGGTCCTGGAAGACGCCATAGAAAACCAGGGCGACTCTGGCTAGAAAGGCCACACCAAAGACGCCGGCTGGAGCCACCTTCAAGTTCAGGAGCCATTCGCCCCAGTGCTTGGTGGAGCCCATGATCTGACCGTGCGACAGCTGCTTAGCCCCAGCTCCAAACTGCCTTCGTACTTCTAACCTTCCCTTCGGTTCTTTGCAGCAGGTGGCCGCCGCATCTCCCACCCGCCAGGCTGCCAACCGAAACGACTGCAGACTATCACATCCGGCATGAAGCCCCGCCCCCGTACTGCTACCTGTCTCCAGCCCCGCGCGGTCTTCTCAGCCGCCCGAGCCAAAAACTTGCCTTCCTCTGGATGGACGGTCTCGCTTCCGCTTCTTCTTCCAGCGGAGGCGGGATTTCCGGTCCGTGGGAGGGGAGACGTCCGCTTGCCGGGAAATCCGGCACTGGCTTGAGGATTTTATGGAGTGGAGTGAGATTTCTTTGTAAGTGACAGCCCGCCGCCCCCCGCCCTCTTCCCGCGCCCCATTTCCAGTCCTCAGAGGAAAACCCTCCGACGAGCAGCGAGCTGCGGGCTGCGCGCTACATCCTTCAGTCCTGGGCTGGAGATCCGAGAGTGAAAAATGTAGGAGTGAAAGGAAGATAAGCCTTCTCATGCTTTACTCCACTAGCTCGCCGGTATTCACCGGGGATTTGTGGGCCCCGGACAGGACAGGATGAGTTGAAGGGGGCTGAGTGTGTATGTTCCATGCAATATTGGAGGCATACTTATATTTTTAAATTACTAGTTGGTAATCAGAGATTCAGATTTAAGTGGGCAGCTTGTATTTTATCCGGCAACCCTAGGTGAAGGTGATGGGAAAGAAGACAGGAAAGCGTCACAAAATTCCTTAACTTGTCAGCCCCTTATGCCTCAGTATCTCTGTATTTGCTATTTCTTCTGTCAAAGTTGCCATCCGCTCTCCAATCACTCTGGCAAATACCTACTCAACCCTTCAGGCATCAGTGCAAGTGTTAGCTCCCAGCTCCCACTCACTTCCTCATCACGCAGAATGAATGACTTAGATGCCAGTCCCCTCCCCTGTCCGAGGATAGGTAGACTGGGGCGGACGGGATCTAAGTTCCAGAAAATCACTCACACAGAAGACCCTGCCATGCTACTAAAAGTTCTCCCAGTGCTCCAGAACTCCCTGGTCATTCCTTTGTTACAGCATTTGTCACACTGCTTTGTAATAACTGTTTTTGTTTGTTTTGCTCTCCTAGTTTTCCATCAGGACACTTTCAATTCTTCGGTATCAGAGATTATCTTGTTCTTTTCTCTACCTCAACATCTAACACAGTACTAGTAGCCATTCAGTAAAGTTGAATTGATTTTAGAGGTTCCTCCTACCAGAATATTTCTAGAGTGGCATCTTTGGATTGCTCCCAACTCCCAGTTATTTTCCCTTTTAAATATCCTTTATGTATGTCAAGGTCCCCTGCTCCCCCCACCCCACTCCAACCCTACTTCCATGAATTTCTTGCCAAGGACTGTAACCCATTAGCTCTTCCCTTTCCGTGGTTACTTAGTGCACTTACATAGTCCGCATTGTAGAATTTGATACTTTATTTTAGATTGTATTCATAGCCCTCACAAGAGATTATAGGGTTCTTGGGGGTAGAAATTATATCTTATCCTTAATTTTTTTCAATTATGTGTAATTTATTGTAGTCTTAGGCACATGGTAAATGCTTAGTAAATACTGACTAATTGGATTTTATAGAATAAGCCTGCTTCCTAGGGGAAGTCTTCTAGACTAGAATAAGGAAAAGGAGGTGACTTCATGCAGTCTGAACATGCAGCTCCCAGAACTACCTGCTGCTCATCCATCCTACACTTCAATTTATCCCTTGGAGATGAACTGTGTTAATCTTATATATTCCATATTCATATTGTGATAGCTCTATGTCCTTTTATATGCCTTGGTATCATTACATGCCTTAGATTGATAATTCTAACCATTTTTTTGCAGTATATTAGCCATATATATAGTGGCAGCACATCACCACTCATATAATGATGATTATGATGATGATGATTACTATTATTTATAATAGCTGGATTTGTTGAGGACTCATTTGCAATGTACCAGGCATTATGCTAAGTACTTTTCATGTAAGGTAGATATTCCCACCTTTACAAATGAAGAAAACCAAGGCTTATGGAGATTAAGTAATTTTCCCAAGTCACATAGCTAACTAGTGACAGTGCTAGAACTCAAAACCCAGTCTGTCTGACCTAGAATATCTTAATCATTATGTGGCTGACTTGCCAATAAAATGTTGATCACAAATTCTAATTTTCCTATGTTTTCTCTTATTGATCTCTCATCTTGATATTCTGGATATTCTCTCTCACTGTGACTCTTTCTACCTCTGATTTATTCTTTTCTTCTGCAAATAATAGATAAGTGAGGCTTAGTTCCCTAAGATAGAAAATATGGGAGGTAGGTGTCTGAGGATTAACTAAGTAAGGGTCCTTGTGGCTGGATTGGTTTCAGTAGTATAGCAGAAAGGTTTCAGTCAATCTGTCCCTACATGGCTGTCCTAGTAGAGAGATGGGAGGCACCAAATTTAGGCAGATAAGGAAACAACTAATAAAAAAATAAAATAAAAAAAAAACTAAGCATGTCACTGAAGTCAAAGGAGTGAGATGTAGATAGCAGTTGTGGGAACGAAGAAGAGACTGGAATCTGTAAAACAAATTGGACAGAGAGGTCCAACTTTAGTTACTATTTCTGGGTGGAAGAGATACATCACAGGGTCCGAGGACCCCATATTGAACTTTTTGCATTGGGTTTAGGGATTGTATTTTCTCACCTCTTTCTGAAAGAGTTACATTTTTTTCAAATGCTCAACTGTTCATTACCTCTCGGACTGTTACTTACAATCCTTCTTAATTCCCCCTTTCACTATCTGCTCCTAGATTTCTATCCTTTTAGAGCCAATGACTAAGGAAAGCACAAACATGGATCGCTCAACTTTAGTTTCCCTAGCAGGAACCTTGTCCTTGTTCACTATGCTGCATATACTCTCATTACCCTTCCATATCCACTATTCATCTTTTTTGCCCTGTTCTGTGTTCCAAGAGGTTAGGCTGTATGGGTAGCATCACTCAATCTCCCTTGTTCTCTGGCTTCCCATTAGAATAGACCAGTGGGAGGCACTAGCAGATCTTTGGCAGTGTCTGGAATTCCTCACCTAAAGCCATGGCTCCTGTTGAAGCTATAGCTCTCTCCTTTGGGTACAAGTCTCATGGTTCCAGTAACTGTCCCTTCAGGTTTAAGGCTGGTAAAGGCGTCCTACTTTGCGAGTGCCTGGGTACATCACCATATCTTGTTGATTTATTAAACTTGCCCATACCTTTGCAAATAGTTTCTTCATTAAAACATGTCCACTGGCCCTTTGAGTATACCATCTGTTTCCTGCTAGAACCTTGACTACTTTAATCACTTTCTTTTTCACTAGATTTTGTTCATATGTCTTGCTTTGTCATTTCTTTGGAATCTATTTCTAATTCTTTCCATGCCCAGCATCCTGCACCTTAGTTCAGACCTTCAACAACTCAAATAATACGTAGCGAACACCTATACTATACTATACCAGGATCTGTGACAATTGCCTTTCCCTCAAGCTTTAAAAATCTCTTAACTGATTTAATGTCTTATGTCTCAATTCTACTACCAGATTGATATTAATTAATAGTACTTTACTTAGATTCTTTCCTCCATCAAACATCTTCAGTGGTTCCTGACTGCCTAAAGAAAAAAATAATGAACACTTTAGCCTGATATTCAGTCCCCCTATTTTCTGGCTTTACCTTAGCTTTCCATCCTATTCACCTATAATGCCTCTGTTTTAGGTTTACTGTTCCCAAAATATGCCTTGTGCTTTCTTCTCATGACACTTTCTTCATGCTGTACTTCCTACAAAGAGACCTGTTTCTCTTTACTTACTTAAATGCTATTTGGTTTTTCAATGTTGAACCCAACTCTCAACTCCTCTTCCTAGACCTTAACAAGTGAAATAGTCTCTCCCTCCTCAAAACAGTGATGTTTATTGTCTGTTCTCTTTTTTAATAGTAATTATGTCATGCTCGTTATCTAACTCTTTTATAGTTATTTAACAAGATATACAAGCTCCACTGCATACTTTAGGCCATTTCTTTCTCTCTTTGCTTTCTTTCCCTCCTGCTAATTTATCAAACATCATACATGTCGGGCACTATATGAGGTGCTGGGCTGTACTCGTGACCAAACACTTGACATGAATCCCATTCATGTGACACTTGAAGTCTAGTAAGCTACACAGACATTAGTCAAATAAATTGACAAATAATATACAAATGCAGCTGTGGTAAGTGCTCTAGCTTTTAAGGGGATTTATTTGATCTCAGATGGGCATAGTGTAAGAGTTAAGAAGGTTGGCCAGGCACAGTGGCTCACGCCTGTAATCCCAGCACTTTGGGAGGCTGAGATGGGTGAATCACCTGAGGTCAGGGGTTCGAGACCAGCCTTACCAATATGGTGAAACCCTGTCTCTACTAAAATTACAAAAGTTAGCCATGCGTGTTGGCGTGTGCCTGGAGTCCCAGCTACTCAGGAGGCTGAGGCAGGAGAGTCGCTTGAACCCGAGAGGTGGAGGTTGCAGTAAGCTGAGATCGTGCCACTGCACTCCAGTCTGGGCTACAGAGCAAGACTCCGTCTCAAAAAAAAAAAAAACAAGAAAATTGGAAGTTGGCAAGCAGTGGGGAGAGTTCCACAGAAGGAATAGCAGGTGGAAAGTGCCATGATTGTACATCCCTTGATTCATGCATCATGTCTTATATTTCTTTGTCAGCTGAATGATACCTTCCACATAATAGGGACTCAGCGTTTGCTGATTTTTCTTGAACCTTAATGTATTCTAACCAAACATGTTAGATTGATACCATCCCTTCCCTAGTTCCTGTCCCTGTGAAATGTTTCCCACAGAGATCTCACTCTTTTTGGAACATTCTGCTAATGTTATATCTGGCATTAGTACATGGTACCTGCTATTGCTTTTCATTATATTTGTTATATGCTACTTGTTTTATTTCTGTTTTCTAACAAGTTTATAGGTTTCTTCAACCTTTTAGGCCTTTTAGGAACAATACATGTCCTATATCTTATATGTCTCATATGTCTTAGGATTCATTCCTAGTATTTCCTAAATGTTGTACTTAAGTATTTATTGATCATGGTAAGAGACCCAATTTTCTCCCTCCTCCTCTCTCTCTCCTTCCACTTCTGGGGAACAAGAGTCAGCGATCATAGGGTCTTTTGCCTCTCATCAGAGAAAATTCAGGCCTGGATATTAACAACCAGACCTTTCTCAGGCTACTGACAGACAAGGGTAGAAGAGAAATCCATTTATTTGAGATTTGAGGGAAGAAATGCCTGGTGATTAAAGGAATAAGCTTACAAAGAACCTTGAGGATATATAAGGAAAACTGGCAACAAGACTACATGGTAGCATGGAAGGGAAATTGGGCTTGTGATCACTGGCCAAAAGGGACAATGCCCAGGATCCAAAGCAACTTGACTTTTATGGATTAAGCTGAGCCAATTTTCATACTTCTGGGTCTTAAAGTTTTTTTCAGTATTGTCCCATGAAAACCGAATGTGAAAGGAACTCGCTAAAGCATGAGAGAAAAACAGAAGGGGCTTGGCCATGCAGTCAGAAGTTCTTCCAGCACAGCCGAATTCAACCCTCCACACTCATGGGTAGGTAGGTCTATGAGTTCAGACCTTGACAGTCTTGGTTTAGCTTTTTAAAAGAAGCTAGAGTGACAACCAAAGAGTCATCCATTTTATTTAGTAGCTTATTTTTAACAGACAAAAACAAAACAAATCTTACACACCTTTTTTTTCCTAGATAAATTTGACCTGGTTTAGTCTTTAGTGCAATGAATGGAAAAAACATCCCTAAATACTTCTGCATCAGTAGAGTTGGCCATTACTGAGCCTGGAGACCCATGCTAACTTTCCAGCAAAGGTAGTGTGTTACTGTACAAGTGAACTAGGTTAGCTAGCAAGAATAAAGGACCAGGGCAGCAGCCATGGAGAGGGCACAGTGTCCTGGACTTGTAGCAATAGTATAACTGGCTTTCTTTCTCTGCTCAGACCTTATAGGGAAACTACTGGATGATTTTATTAGGCTGACAGGGGTTGGGGGAATAATGGGGTGAAGCACATTGCAGAGATTTCGGAAGCCTCTCATGGAACTTCACCATCCCCTAGAGCAGCTGGTAACCCCACTCCTCATTTTCATTCAGAAGCATCAAAACCAAAGCATCACCCTCCATGCCCAAATGCCAGGATTGGAACTCTTCTGGAATCCATGGCTTTCTCTTTGGGCTGCTTGCAGCCACACAAAAGGCTGGGCCTTGACCTTGGGAGATCTTCAGCCTAACAGCTATTAGTCCTGGCATTTGGATTCCAGGGTTGAGGCTTCCCATTAGTGCCTCCCATACACCAAAGTGTTCAGCTCCTGAGTTTGATTTCAGGGGCTAGAGCAATAGCAGCTCCCACCCCTGTGGAAGACGGAAATACAGTGTACTTCATGAAAGGGAAACAAAATGGTGCTTTATTTTATTTTATTTATTTTAAAAAGGCGCTACAGTGGCAGGACGCTGCTGGGGATGGGGACACACAGTGTAAGTGGTAGATTTTCCAAGACTTCCCCTCCCTATTGTCCTCCGAGTTCCTCTCTTCCTGGTCCTATCAGTAGCATAGGATTCAACAAAAGCCTTCATGAATGCCTCTTTATTTCTGAAAAGGAACTTCTACCCCTCCCTTTCCCATTTCCAGACTTGAAATCCTTCATCAGCTATCTCACTTCCATGTTGAAACCAGGACCACTGATTGTAAGTCTGAAAATCTGGGTGTCCTACCCCATAACCAGGCCAAGATATCTGCCCCCAATGCTAAAGTCTCTGAATATTTCCTTTCTGTACATTCAATATATTTGGGCATATATACATCTATATACATCTTTCTATATATATATTATCTCTGTTTCTTTCTTCTTAGATAAACCTTTCATATATGTCATATCCTAATTTCCCAAGCCTCCCCACTTCTTGTTTGCGAGCCTAAGCAAGACTCAAGAGTTTCATTGATTTCACTAGGTCCCTCAGCATCATTTCTTTCTCATCTTCTCACCCCAGGTATCTTCCCCCATCAGTTGTTTCGCCCGTCTTCTGAAATCTCCCCTTTTTACACCTGTGCCTACCGAAATCTCCCCTTTTTACAACTGTGCCTACTACTCTGCTGATATTCCAAGTCCACAGTTGGTATGGGGGCCCATTTCTCACCAGACCTGGCTGCTTCTAAAGCTCGGCCTATTGCCTAAAAGAGGATTTCAGGTCAGAGGAGACAGACTATAGTCTAAAGAACCATTTAGAGTTAAGGTAGGGGGTAGTTGTTCCCTGTAGGGGGCTTGTGGGAGAAGATGCCAGATCGCATTAATAGGACAGTGTGATTTAAAGTGCAACTTAAAGCAAAGCCTGGGTAATAATGGAGGAGATTCCAAAAGGGTAAGTCAGAAAATGTTTTCTTCTCACTGTTTCATCCAAGAGTCTAGAGGCTTGAGTCTGGGGGCTTAGAATAGACAGCAGGGGAATGGGAAGAAAGCATAGCATGGCCAAATAAACCAGATGGAGGTTAACTTGGCAATGGATAGGAAGGTATAGACACACACACACACACACACACACACACACACACACACACACACACACACAGCAGTACATCTTGTCCCTACACACTGAAAGAAATAAGGTAAGTCTAATGTTGAATAAAGTTGAGAACGCAGAAGCTGGCTCTTGGCCTTCTGTTCTCTGTTTCAGATTTTTCAAGTTTTTGTGGTTCTTGTTTTTATGCCAACTAGAAGGTAATGGTGGGGTTTACTGTAGATGGACACCGAAGGGTCTTTGTTTTCAAGATATAGTTAGTTGAGTTCGAGGAGAGATCAATATAACAAGACCTTGTGCAATTATAGTTGGTGGTGATCATGGGTCTAGCCTCAAAATTTTGTGTTTCTCTGCAAGGCTCTGTACATAGATGCATGTATATATTCTGTAGCTTGTAACAATTGGCTGAGACCACCTTAAACTGCAACTTGACTTATAGTGGGACTATGCAGTACCACTATGTGAGGCTTCCTTGGTACCAAAGTGAGACCAGAAAGCACTCTAGGGATTTGGGGCTTTGGATAAAGCTCTGGTGCCTATATGCCCTTCCCTGACCCTTACCACAGACCCCACCAGGGAACAAGGAATAGGCTGAGTTTGATCTCTTAAAGTCTACTTTTTAACTTGTCTGAAAATGGCCTCATGGCAGAGGAGAGTAGAGATGACACTGATTTCTTCATTTTATACCAAGTCTCAGGAATGGCTGAGGGAAGCCATGGTTATTTGATCAGAAGGTATAATTTCATTTCCTTCCAGCATTGCCTAATGAAATAGCTGGCACTTTTCAGAAGGGCACTGGGAGGTGTAACTGAGAATAGTGGCTGCCAGCCACAGAGTTCTGCTCCTGCCCAAACCTTAACAAAGCATCACCAATTCTCAGAGGCTCTGTACAGCAGTTTGGAAATCTGAGAATTTACCCATCCCTCATGGTGGGATTGTGTTAACTTTCTGGGGAATCTGTGCCCTGTGAATCTAGTTTTACTTGAGCATCCGTGTTAAGAGAGGAAGGCCCTTGCATTTTCCCTCCCTTCTCCCAAAGAGTTGGGGTTAAGGAAGAAGGATCTAGGCTGAGCAGGAAAGGAAGAAGAGAAGCCAGGTACAGTGTAATCTGGAATATTATTTTCAGACCTTTCCATGGGGCCTGGGTACTGGACTCTTTTCAAAGGAACATATTGGCTTGGGTCCTTCCATTCACAGGACACAGGGAAACAGATCTTCTCTGGGCTGCCTGGAAGATAGGTTTAAAGGTTTAGATAACAACTTGTGTTAGTCACTCCAAATTGAAGAGTTCAGAATCCAGGATAGATATGGGTGGTTATATGTTTATGTTTCTTGGGCCAACTCCAATTCTCTGAGAACAGAGGCTATGAGGGAACTGGGTATCCTGAGAGTGTTCACTTGAGAAACTACAGAGGGAAAACAGTGGCGACCATGGTTCTAGCTTATGGTCAGAAGTCACCAGCAGAAATCAAGCTTCACAGTGGCAAACCCTGGCTTCTTTCAACAGAGATTGGTAGAAACCCTAGGATATGTTGATATCAGATTCCTGTATTTCTGAAAGCACAGACCACAAAGTGACCATCAGAGAGAGTCTTGCCTTTGGGAACTTGCTAGATGGAAAGGTAACAGAGGGAGCTCCAGCCTCAAGTCACCAAACTTCATGGTGGTGGTGGGAGGTAGGGGGCAGTCTATCCTTCCAACCACATGGTCCTCCTAATGTGAGTATCCAAGCATGGCTGAGGCCTTCTAAGCCACTTCAGCCTAATCCCACTCTTTCCCCCATCCTGGCTTAAGGGAGGTATGTGTATTGGGGCAGAAGCTGGGGAAGTGGAAAGGGGACAGTGGGAGGCGAACCTGGACTCCAGTTGGCCTAAGCTACCAACAGGCCACTGGGTTAAAGAAGAGGGAGTGGAGGATGGGTGCTTCGGGGGATCTCCAGTAAACCCGGGTAGTATTCCTTACCAGGGCATTGGAAGAGAGGAAAAGAGACCAGAGGAATGGGGGAGTGGGAACAGGTCATCAGACATTGCTGATGCGCACACTAAGGGCACTGCCCTCCTTCTCAGCTTGCTCCCTTAATGACTCCTCCAACTTGAGCTTTTCAGGGTCTCCGTAGCGTACAGTGCTGTCACGGAGGCCACTAGGAGAGGCCACTTTCACAACTTGGTCAAAAAGGCTAAAGTCAGCTATGTATTTACCACTGGCTGACAGTGAGATGGCAGGTGTGAACTCGTAGCCCCAAAGGATCTCCTCTGGCAGGTAGGAAGTGCGCACCTGACAGGTGGCACTGGTGGACTCCACTGTCCCACTTAGGATCAGCACCAGCTCAAAGTCACCCTCACCACTGCGAAGAGGGAGATCTTTCAAGGGACTGGTCTCATCTACCACATGATAGAAGGTAAGGGGTAGAATAAGGAAGGGGCTGTCAGAGGCTGTGTCTACTTGGAAAGTCACATTGACCTGGTTGAGCCGGATGTTCTCCCCTTCCTTGGTTTGGTGGGTCTGAAGCAGTTTTCCTGTCACCTGGCAGCCAATGAGGAGGCTTTTGCGCATATTGGCAACTCGGATCATGAGGCAGGGCTTGCCATTGTGGGAGGCCACAACTGCATGCTGGCTGAAACGAATGGTCTCAGCCCGCTTCTTGGGCCGGGCAATCTTCGCCAGGAAGGTACCTGTGATGAAGATTTCCAGGATGGTGGTGAGCACCAGCTGGGCAATAAGAAGCACAATGGCCAGTGGACATTCCTCACTGATGTAGCGGAAGCCATAGCCAATGGTGGTTTGGGATTCAAGGGAGAAGAGGAAGGCTCCAGTGAGTGTGTGCACCTGTACCACACAGGGGGTGTGGTTGGCCGGGGGGTCCAGCTCCAGCAGGTCCCCATGTGCCACAGCTACCAGATACCACACCACGCCAAAGAGGAACCATGTGCCTGCAAAGGTCGCAGAGAAGAGCAGAAGCTTGTAGCGCCACTGCATGTCAATGAAGGTTGTCCACAGGTCCTTGAGGTAGAGGAAGCGCTTGTCGGCAATGTGCTCCATTCTCACGTTGCTGCGACCATCTTTTGTCAGGACTCTCCGCCGTCGTATCCCTGGGCCCATTAGGGGCCGGCTTTCTGTCTGAGTGGTCTGACTGTAATACACCTTGGCAACTGACGTCATCTGGAGGGAGCAAGACAGCATAATGGAGGTTATCGTAGAAATCCAGCTGACTCCTAACCCTCACCCCATGGGAGGGAGGAATTAACATTCATTTGAATGTCGCTTATGTGTTCTTGTCTTACCAAATATTTATTGAGCACTTGCTATGTGCCAGGCACTGTGCAGGGGCCGAGGCGGGTGGATCGCCTGAGGTCAGGAGTTCAAGACCAGCCTGGCCAACAAGGCAAAACCCTGTCTCTACTAAAAATACAAAAATTAGCTGGGCATGGTGGCATGCGCCTGTAGTCCCAGCTACTCAGGAGGCTGAGGCAGGAGAATCGCTTGAACCCGGGAGACAGAGGTTGCAGTGAGCCGACATCGCGCCACTGCACTCCAGCCTGGGTGACACAGCGAGACTCCGTCTCAAAAAAAAAAAAAAGTAAATAAAATAAAATAAAATAAAATGACATCATTCTGCTCTCCAAGAACTCACAGCCTAGTGAGAAAGATGCCTATTTAGTAAGCAAATAATTGCAACACAGTCTGATATTTGTAATTCTTAGCGGAAGAGAGGCAGAAAAGAAAGAGTAGTAGCTTCACATTCCTTGAAGGTGAGGGTGAGACTAATGAGAGCCTTCACCACAAAACCAGTCCTCCGAAGAGCTCTAATTTTGAAATAGGATCCATCCCCACCCTTATGAATGGCTATGAAGCAAGACAAGCTATCCTGTTGAAATCCTTCCAGGCCAATCCCCCTTAAAACACACACACACACACACACACACACACACACACACACACACAACCTTAATTTCTTCATTCTCTGCTCTACCCCCAAGCCAATACCCACTGGTGATACTAAGATACTCATCTGGTTCAGAGAATAGCAGAAACTACCCATTCTTTTACCCTTCAAGATGCTCCCTAAGCACCCAGACCATTTCATTTTTTATCATCATCATCATCATCTGTTTGCATCATCTGGGGAAATTTGGTCTGAGTTAGAGTCTAGGGCAGTGTTAGGAAGAGTACAGATGGGACTTGAACAAAAGGAAATAAGCAGTGGTGGAGGAGAAACAACATGTTAAAACTTCCTGGAAGCACTGGGACATTTTCTGAAGGACTGGCAGAAATGCCAGATTGTGGGTGGCAAAATTGTTTTGACAGAATGAAGTAGAAGAGCTAGGGGTGTATATTAACTAGCAGCTATGTCTGCACAGGCTCAAATTCAGTATTGCTATTTGTTCTGATAGCAGAAAGTGGGGCAAGCCACTGAAATAGGAGACAATTCACTTAATACAAGGTGCCTGGCACCCTTGCCCAAGCAGTAACTTGTACTTTTCCAGCACAGAAAGAATTTTAATCACTTGAGCCCTTGGACCCTGGATCTGATAGCCAGATCTTCTGTGGAGCAGGGTGATCTCTGGGGAGTTTAGCCCTTCTTGGAGAGGCTCATTACATTCTCCATTCGAAAAAGTCTGAACCATTGCATTTTATGATTCTTCACACTGCCCACCCCACCCCCCATCTCTATTTTCCCCATGGCCTTGTCCCTGGAAAACTTCAAATCTTTTGGGCCTGACCATATGCCCAACCAGGTAGGCACTGAATTGGAGATCACCAATGGATGAGAACCCTGAGAATGTTCAGAGGCAACAAGGATGCCCAATTTACCAGCCCTGTGTCACAGGCCATTTGGAACTTCCGTTCATGCAAGACTGTTCAACCAGACCTGGATGTCATTCACTCCCCTATATCCTTGGCTGCTTTGGAACAAAAAGGAAGCTCTGCAACTCTGAAGTTTGAAGAATTTGTATTTCAAGCCTAAACAAAGCCCTATTTAGTACTCAGTAGTAGTAATAATAACATAACAACCATACTGCCTGTATCTATATACCATTTTAGAATTCACACATTAGAATACCTTCTCATTTGATCCTCAAACTCTTGAAAAAAAAGATGTAAACTCCTATAAGATTTTGAGGAATGAGAACAGAAGAAGTGCTGTAAAATTAGAGATGAATGAACATAGTTTTAATTTTCAAAAAGAAAAATGAAGTACCTTTCACAAACTACAAACAGGTAAGATATTGATCCTAGGCAAGATTCTAGAATGGAATATTAAGATTACGAGTACTTAGGTAGGATGGGGGAAAGGAAGTTATCAATAGGACCCAGTGTGGATTTACTAAGAACAAGTCACATCAAAATGGCCTAATTTTGGCTGAGTGTGGTGGCTCATACCTGTATCCCAGCACTTTGGGAGGCTGAGGCAGGAGGATCACTTGAGATCAGAAGTTCAAAACCATCCTGGGAAACAGCAAGACACCATATCAGCAAAAATTTTTAAAAATTAGCTGGATATGGTAGCACACACCTGTACTCCCAGCTACTTGGAGGCTGAGGCAGGAGGATCACTTGAGCTCAGGAGTTGGAGGCTGCAGAGAGCTATAATCATGCCACTGCACTGCAGCCTGGGCAACAGAATGAGACCCTGTCTCAAAAACAATAATAACCTAATTTTCTTTTATGATAAGGCTACTAAATTGACAAATCGAAGAAGTGCAACAGAGAACGTGTACCTAAACTTCAGGAGATTTTTGACAAGATCTCTCATTATGACCTGGGGATAAGATAAAGAAAAATGAAGAGAATGCTAATCTAATTCGGTGACTTTAAAAATCAGTGGTACTGGTGAGGGGACCATGATAGCCTGGAATTCATTTTCTATTGATACACCAGAGAGCTTCATCTTTGGCCTTGCCCTATTCAATTTTCTTAACATGAACTTCATTCAAAACTATAGAATGCTATGGCCATCAATTGTGTGCCTGACAGAAAGCTGGGACAGATAGCAAATGCAAGAGCTGGGGCAGAATTAGGATCCAAAAGGAGTCAAATAAGTAGGCCAAGTCTAACAAAAATGTTAAGTGCTGGATTATGTACTTGGGTCCAAAAATTACCTGAGCAAGTTCTGGATTGAGAAGATGTGATTTAGCAAAGCAGTACAATATAAAAAAATTAAACATATTAGCAGAAAATAATCCAATATGAGTTATTCATGTGTTTTGATTGCCAAAAAAGCAAACTAATCTTAAGCTCCTTCAGTTGAACTGAAGTCCCTAGAACAAAAAAGTAGTTGATTCTACTCTGCTCTGTTCATCCCACACCTGCAGTATCCAGCATCAAGGAACACTCAGGATATGAGAGGATTCAGAACCAGACCACATGAGAAATGATTGAAGGAAATAGGGAAGTTGATTCAGGAGAAGAGACAATCAGAAAGATATAATGAATGTGTGCAAATATTTGGTTTGAAGGACTATCACGTGATCAAAGGCTTGGACTTGTCCTTTGAGCTCCAAGAGGAACAATCAGGGAGTTCATACTGCAGGGATAAAGATTGCAAGTTGATATTATAAAGAGCATTGTAACAATCAGGAAGGCACTTTGGACAAGCACTTTGCAGAGATCCTATGGCGGAGATAAAAGCTTTGGATGGGAGATTGAAAGACTGTCTTGAAGATTCTGTCTATACCCATGGTGGGTGAGGATGTCTGCCTTCTCCACCCCACTTCTACCCCTGCACTTTCTATGGTGACATTCAGGGATCCTTTACTGAAGTCCTAGCTTTGTTTATGTTGAGGGGAGATTCTACATATCTTGGAGAATGGAAGCTCTTAGGGCCCAAGAAAAGCCTTGCTTATCATTCCCAAAATATTAGTCTATAATTCCTTCTCACTTTAAAATTTATAAAATATATAGTTTGATCCTCACACCATGAGGTAGGTAAGAAAGACACCATAGAAGCTAAGGCTCAGAGAGCTTTGCCCCAAGTAGATTAGTGGTAAAGTTGGAACCAGAATCCAGGTCTCCCAGCTCCTGGTCCAGAACTTTTTAATTGTAGCAACTGCTTTTGTGTGCCCCAGGTTCATTCTCTTGGACCTCATGCTCTCAGCAGGTGCCACTATGGTACGCTGTATGTAAGACCACACATCCCAGGGTTAAGGCTCTAGACTCAAGGGTACTGGAGATTTCGGCCACTGCTAGCCTCTTTGTTGCCTCTGGCTGTTGTGATTGCCACCTCCAGCTGTAGTGCCTGTGGTTGCCAGCCTTTGTATCTGCCACCTCCAGCTGTTATCTGCTGCTCCCAGCTGTTGTGCCACCTCCCACAGCCAGGCAGCTTTGTTCTCTGCGGTGGCCAGAGTCAGAAGCGGATAAACAATCAGCTACACTCCACCCCAAAGCTGGCCAGGCCCCTGGGGAAGGAATCGAGCCAAAGCTCTGGAAATCATCTGTTGCGCACCCCACCACCCCGGGGCACCCCCGCAAAATAAAACATACTCTTTCCTCTAGAGGGTGCTATTTCCCCAAAACAGTCCCAGCCGGCCAAATACCAGAGACAGAATTCTGAAGACCAGCCTGAGTGGCGAAAGAGACAGAAACAGAGATATTCACCTTCTTTCTCCTCTAAGACTGAACTAGTGATCCTTTCCCTAAAACAAAGCCAGTCATAGCTACAGTGATGATCAGCACGTTCCCTCAGCAAGTACCACTCCCACTTACTGCTACCCCCGGAAGTTCTTCCTGAAGCTGTCTTTTTTTGCCTGTGCACTCATTTATTTTACTTGAGAGTCATTTGTTCTACTTGAGAGTCATTTATTCTCCAGGATAATACATGGATTTATCAGGGCCTTTCTTGAGTAAGGACACTGTTGTTCTTGTGACTCTCAATAACTTGATCTGTGGCTCCCCTTTGCTTTTTGCTACTTCGCTCCTGGGTTTCTCTTCCTCAAATACACTTCTGACTAGAAAGAGTGCTTCAACCTCCTCCCAGGGACAGCAGGTACAGGGGAAAGAGAAAAGCTGCACCAGCAGGGAAAGTGCTTTATCTGTTTTCTCTGTAGCCTCTCAGCACACCATTCATGATTTGGTCTCTGCCTACTTCTGACTTTACCCTTGACAATCTTTCACAGGCCCCCTGAACTCCAACGCAGAGCCTCACTACCCAATCCTTTCTACCTTTGGACCTGCTTCTGCACTGCCCTGCTCCGTGCCTACCTGATGATCTCCTTATCTTTCAGAACTCGACTCAACTGTTAGTTACTCCCTTTGACGCCTTCCCTGACTCTCAAAAAAACAATTCATCTTCTCTGTCCCTCCCATCCCTGCCCAGAATGGGTTTACTTTACTATGCTTGCTCTTGTACATATTCTCTTTCCCCCACCTCACCCCCCGCCAGATGGGATCTCACTCTGTTACCCAGGCTGAAGTGCAGGAGTGCAGTGGTGCAATCTCAGCTCGCTACAACCTCTGCCTCCTGGACTCAAGCAGTCCTCCCACCTCATCCTCCTAAGTAGCTGGCACTATAGGCATGTGCCACCATGCCCAGCTAATTTTTGTACTTTTAGTAGAGACGGGGTTTCACCCTGTTGCCCAGGCTGGTCTCAAACTCCCGGACTTAAGTGATCTGCCCACCTGGGCCTCCCAAAGTGCTGGGATTACAGGTGTGAGCCACTGCACCTGGCCCTCTTGTACATATTCCTATTTTGAAGCATTATAGTGCTTTGAGATGGTTTGTTTATCATTGTTTACCATCTTTGTGCTCCTAATTTAAGACCACTGACTCTGCCTTTCATCTGTTTCCCCAGTGCCTAGTATAGTTTGTTAAGAAAGAGTAAGGGAATGACTGAAAGCCTGATCTGGACGGGCCAAGGCCTCACAGGAGACACCTAGTTCACACAGACCTTCAGGAGGAGCCACTTCAGAGTGCGAGGGGACCCAGGTTTACACAGGCTTTGCTAATGCTGCAGATGCCTACACCCTGTTTTCAGAAGGTAAGAAAATAAAAGCCCAAGATATCAGTCCCTGCTCCTTCTGGGCCAACTGTTCCATTTGCAGGGGGCTGGGGAGAGAATGAGCTTTGTAAATTGCTACAGAGCATTGGAGTTGATTATGCTAAATTAGGTGACTAGAGAAGATGCTTCAACCCCCTCCCAGGGGCAGCAGGTGCAGGGGGAGGGGAAAAGCTGCACCCACAGGGAAAGTGCTTTGTCTGTTTTCTCTGTTGCAAGAGCAAGTTGACTGAAAGGAGCTTTGGGATATGAATACTAAATGCATTCACTTCCAATTGTAAAATCCTTTCTTCTCCTACTTGCTGCTCTATTTTGGTTCCTAAAATAGTTAAAGGGACCATCATCCTACCCATTACCCACACTCAAAGCCAGGATCATCTCAAACTCTCTTCTTGCCTCAACTCAACATTTATCTAAAGCCATGTGCTGTGGATTTATTATTTGTGCCTCCTCTCCTTCATTCCATTGTCTTTTTTCAGGTCCTAATGCCTTGTGGCTGAATCACTGCATCAGCCTCCTACTCATCTCATGTCTCTGTTCTTTCTCTCCTCAAATCCATCCTACATTGCTCCTGGGTTTCTCTTCCTCAAATACACCTCTGATCAGGAATCAATGAACATTTATCCAGTACTTTAGAAAGCACTTTCACATTTTATTCTCATGGCATTCCTATGAAATATTAAGATTATAATCCTTGTTTTACGAATGAGGAAACTGAGGCTCAGAGAGATGGTGTGACTCAGTAAACTGTGGAATTAGATTCATGCCCAGGTCCCGTCTCCCAAATCCATCCACTTTTCATTTTACTATAATTGTCTTAGTTCTTTCTCTAGCTCAAAACATTTTAATGTCTCCCCATTATCTATCAAAGACAGGCCAAACCCAGGCTGGCATATAAGGCCTTCCGCAGTCTGCTTCTGAACCTGCTTTCTAGCCTTATCTCCGACCACTTTTCTGCTATGGCACACTGCATATTGCAAGCAAACCAACCACTCCCTGCTCCCTGCTGTGCACTCCCATGCTTTTCTGCCTTCCATGATCCTGCACTTCTCTCTTCCTGGGCTCCCCTTCCTCCTTGTCTTTACCTATCCAAGTCTTATCTTTCAGAGTCCAGTTCAAATAACCCCTCTTCCATGAAGCCTTCTCTGATTCCTACAACCTTAAGTAATGCCTCTCTTTTCTGAGTTTCCATATATGTATATCTATATCCAACTATACCCGTAATGGCACCGCTCTTAGTACATGGTGTATCATTTGTATTCTACTACAAATAAGGTCATTGAAAGAAGGATCCAGCATTTTATTTATTTATATATATATATATATATATATATATATATATATATATATATATGTTATCCTAAAGATTAGCACAATGTATGACACATAGTAAGTGCTCAAGAAGTATTTTATGATTGAATTAAAAGTAGGAGGGGACTCCTAACCCACTCCAGCCATAGGGGCCAATCTAACTGACTCCATCATCATAGGGCCAGGGAGATGTGGAAGTTCTTGTCCTAGGTAGAATGGATGGAACTTCACTCTGGTCCAGCACTTCTCACTCTGGGGCCTTCTCATTCCCCCTTCTTGTCTGTATCTTCTCTTGATTTTTTAATGATGTTTTCTTTTTTCCTTGTACACATGGAAACCCGAGATAACTAATTATCAACACTAATAGGTATGCAAACAAACCAAATGTTTTCATCTGTATTAATGTTGCCCACCACATTCAGTATGAGCTGTGTTTTTGTTCATTTATACAATAAACACTTTGTTATTGTTATTGAAACTGGGTCTCACTCTGTCACCCAGGCTGGAGTGCAGTGGTGTGATCATGGCTCACTGCAGCCTCGACCTCCTGGGCTCAAGTGATTCTACTACCTCATCCTCCTGAGTACCTGGGACTACAGGTGCACACCACCACACCCAGCTAATTTTTTTTTTTTTGTAGAGATGGGATCCCACTATGTTGCCCAGGCTTGTCTCAAACTCCTGGGCTCAAGCCATCCTCCCACCTCAGCCTCCCTAAATGCAGAGATTACAAGCATGAGTCATCATGCCCAGCCTCAGTAAACATTTTTTTTTCCAGCAACTACTGGGTGCCAAATTCTAAACAAGACAATGGAATTATGGAGATGGATCAGATGTAGATTCTTTCCGTGAAGACCTTGCAATCTAATAAAGGAGAAAACTGTAAAACAGGCAGGAAGTGATAAGTGCCATGGAAAAGGCATCAGTGAAGTACAAGAAGAGCTTGTGAAGGGAAAACTGACATCTAGTGCAAGGGAACAGGGTTGGGAAAGATGAGGAAATCCAGGGCCACCCAGGAAATAAGGAAATAAGGATCCATTCATTTTGGTTGAAGCGTTGGGAGCACATGAAAGATCTTAATAGGACACACTGGGAAAACAGTGATGTGCTGTGACCCCTCAACACCCTCCTGCTTTGTGGCCAGCCCCTGTGGATTCCTTCATGGCCAGCTGCAGGGCCAGGGTCAGGCCCTGCAGCTCCTGCAAGGGTCAGGTACAGAGCCTTGGCTTCCTCCATGGTGCTCCAGCCTGCTGGTCTGGTCTTTTCTTTTCTCTTCTTTTCTTTTTTTGTGGAGTCTCACTCTGTCTCCAGGCTGGAGTGCAGTGATGCAATCTCAGCTCACTGCAACCTCCACCTCCCGGGTTCAAGCGATTCTTCTGCCTCAGCCTCCCGAGTAGCTGGAATTACAGGCATGAGCCACCATAACCAGCTGGCCAGCTGGCCACCATGTTGGCCAGGATGGTCTCGATTTCTTTACATCATGATCCACCTGCCTCAGCCTCCCAAAGTGCTGGGATTACAGGCATGAGCTACGGTGTCTGGCCTAGCCTGCTGGTCATTCTTTCTTAGAGCCACTAGATGATTTCTGTTTTTTGACTGTGGAGTATTTCCTCTTGCAAATGTTTGGTTCAGGGACATGGAAGGAGAGATGGAGGGGAACTATCATGTATTGAATGCCTACTGTAGACCAGCACTTCATATTTCATCTTTTTAACTCTGTAAAACAAATCTTATTATCTTCATAATTACTGCTGAGGAAATTGAGGTTCAGAGAGCCCAGGTGACACAATTTATTGGTAGCAGAGCTGAAATTTATGCCTCTTCCTGGCTGGATTCCAAAGTCCTTTCCACCATTACTTCAAATTAATACTATAGTTTATTTGTCTTCACTGAGCAAACTCAACACTCAACAAGCAGAGATGACACCTTAAGCATAGTGGAGGTTAGCAGGAGCCAGACAGGTATGCAAAATTCACCAGCAGTGATGCCCAGGATGTATCCAAGGGTTGGAGGCGACGCCCTTCCTTCATGGCTGCTTGATCCCATTGTTTCTCCTAGTTTTGCATGATTTGTCTTTATTCTCCCCACTTCCTTCATGTGGACTCTCCTCCCAACGGTCTTCTCATCTCTATCAATGGTGCTTCTCTGCTTGTCCTCTCTTTTCATCCTGGCTGTCACTAAAATGTCTCCCCGACCCGTTCCTCCTTCTCACCTCCCTCTTTGCCTTTGTATTGCCTACACATCTCTCTGGCTGTCCCTTCTTTTCCTTATGGTTTCTCCAGCTTCCTGTATCTCATCCTGGTAATAGTATGCTATCCATCTAATCATAACTCTCGCCTTCAAATTCTTTACCACACTTTATCCTTCTATTCTTCTTCTGTATCACACAGCCTATGTGTCCATATTAATAGAGATATTCTAAGCCCAAAAGCCTCCTATTCTTCTCCCTACTTCTTCCCTGTAGAAAAGAGCCTTTTGATTGAGGGATCTGGAAATGAGATCAGAAAGGGAGGCAGATTCCTGGAAAATAAGAACAGTGCCTACTATAGCTATTAACTAATCCAATTATCTTAGGTTTGAAGGTCTTTCTGAACCAATCACTGTTTGGTAAAGACAAATGAATAGGTGGATAGAAATAGGGACTCAGCTTGCTCTCTGTCCTACTATCTGTCCATCATGCTCAAGAACCCCAGATCCAGCTCTGTTCTTCTTCCAACCTTGAGGGCTTACATAATCCTTGCAGTACTTTTCTTCCTTCCCTTCCTGTCCTATCCTTCTCCTTCCTCTTCCATGTTGGGAGAGCCCTGTATGCAGTAGAGGGGTTTTGAGCACTATGTCTCAGCACCTGAGATTAGGCTGGTCTCCACACCCACACTTATCTTAGACAGTTGAGCTAGGTATCTGTCCATGCCCAGTATTCTGAAGATAGAGTGAGAGAATTAGGCTCAAGGATGTGTAAAAGCCACTCAGAACTAAGAGACAGCACTGCTTGGTGGAACATGCACTGGACTGGGAAGTAAGAGACTTGGGTGCCGATCTCAACTCTGCCACTGACTAGCTGTGACCTCAGTCAAGCCTCTCAGCCTCTCGGATCTGTATTTCCTTCATTGTGGAATAGGGGTTGGTATTAGTTTCACACTTCTCAAACTAGGGCATACACTAGTATGTCAGGAGGCACTCAAAGCCACAGGACTAAATTTAGTATATTTCCTGAAGTTATCAATTTTGCTCAGATTTTGAGGGAAAATGTTGTTTTAATATTATGCCAACAATGTACAATGAAGTAGAATAAACATTTTGAATGGCTTGAGACAAAAAGAGATTTCAAGGATGTCCAGTGTGTGGCCGCTTACAGCTCATCCCTGTAGATTCTAGGGCACAAATTCCCTCTCCTCTGCCTTTCAGGACACATTGCGAGGTCAGTCTGGGAGGTGCTACGTTAGAGGATGATTAGGGTCACTTCCTGCTGTAAATCTCTATGTCTAGCCCAAGTTGCCTCCACAGCAGTCTGGTCCCACTCCTCCCCCCGGCCTCGGTGGAGAGAGCAAACAGCTACTCAGCCTCATCTCACCAACCATATTATCTGTTTTTGGATACCAGTTCCAACTTGAATAGCGACCTTAGAGTCCTCCAGAAGGAGATCAGTTGCATTGGGATGAAAAAGAAGCACTTCTGGGCTTCCAAGTGTTCTTAATGAGGGTTGGGGAAGAGAAAATGAAGGAGAGGGGTAAGAGAGGAAGGGCAGGAAGAAAAGCACTGCATGGTTATGTAAGCCCTCAAGGTTGGAAGAAGAATGGAGCTGGATTTGGGGTTCTTTTCAAACTTGATGTCTTTATTCATTAATCCGCCTCCTGTCTTGCCCCAAGGAAAATAAACAAATAGAAATGGAGCCAGATGCACACAAATCCTGAGGTGGGGAAAAAGAGGGCAGTGTGTGTGTGTGTGTGTGTGTGTGTCCTGGGGCCTGACTCTCCAGCTGAATCACTGTTGCCTCTGTCTCCCACTCCCTGGTCTCCTTCCCCCTTTCCCTCCCATCCTCTAGCCCCAGCCTGACATCGAGGCCCTGGCCCATGGAAGAATAGGCTTTTCTTCTCTTGTGTCAACGTTTGGAAAGTTCTCATAGTCTGATCAAAAGAAAGGATAAAAGCCTTCAAAGCATTTCCTGGGAGTCTGTAACCTCTGCATGGCCCTTCTGACCTGCCTGTGTGTTTTCCAGTCAAGAGAGGGAGGGACAAAAGATGGGGCCACATCAGATATTCTCTGGCCAGACACCACCCCTGCCTGTCAATGTGAGCTGACTAGGACCACTGCCCCTTCCTCCACCTCAATCCCCAAGCGGTGCCTTCTGTCCCCTGCAAGAAAGAAACAATGTTCTGTAGAGACCTGCCCACAGGATGGCATCTTGGGGACCCCCTGTTTCGCCGGCTGGAGAGGGAGGAGGACTTCCTGGTTCCTGTGACAAGTGGGTGCTGCCTCTTTGATGCACCTGCCCTCTCAACCTTTCACACTACCCCTATTGCACGCCCTCCTGAGTCATCACCCCATCCCGGTATCTGCTGCTAATCATTGTCTGGGCCAGCAAGGCTCAACAGGAGCTGGTCCTTTGTGAGGAGCTTGGCACTAGGCAGGGTTCAACTGAGGACAGAGGCTATACCACTGTCTCCTCAGCCCCAGCTCCAGCAATCCCAGTAGCCTCCCAGCCTGGCCCCATCTGGGTCCTCACCTCAGAAGAACATCTACTGGGAGATGTTAACCCATCCCTCCTCATCTTAACTGAACAGCCAGAAGAATTAGTATCAGTGCTAAGAGTCAGCTGGAAGCAATGGCATCTATAGAAATAACTCTTGTTGCTATTGTTATTCCTGTTGTTACCGCTAAGACATGCGATGCTGAAAAGGTTCCGAAGGACACTAGGGAAAATCTCAAGAGGATCCGAGCTAGGTTAGGGAGAGTCAAGGTGATAAACGAGAAGTCTGTTCAGGACCCTCCTTCCTGTGTCAGCTCTGCCTGGATCTCCAATCAGTCATCACCTGGCCTAGGCCCCGAGATTCCCCATAGGAAGAATCCATCCCCAACTTATCTCCAAAGACTGCTGGTTGAGGGGATCAACCTAGTTTAGGTACCAGAAGTATTTTTTCAGTCAGAGCCCCTCACGAGAGTGTACCCCCACCCCTAGTCTCTGCAGAGGGGGCTGACCAGGTTGCAGATGGGGAGTGTGGAAGTGGTGGAGGTGAAAGGGAACTCCTGCAAATTTCAAGCTTCACCAGCGATTTACCACTCTCCACCCCATGCGGAAGACTGACCTCCCCAACCATCAGGGGGTGGGGCTCCCCAGTCCCCTGGGGCCACCCTTGCCTGCGCAGTTGCCTGTCTCATAACCTCACAGCCCCTTCCCCGACTCCAGCTCACTCCTTTTACTATTAGGTTGAATTCTATGAAATCATCCATTTAATACATGGGTTCCCTATTGGCAATATCAAAGGGTTCAATCTAACAATACCTAATAACAGTAAAAATAACAGTAACAATCACCTCTGTAATATGGGGTTTTGAAGTCTACAAAACACTTGTATAAATTCAGAATTACTCCATTTGCCCCACACAGCCAGTCTAGGGGGGGCAGGGGGCAGTTAAAGCAACAGGAAGCAGGAAGCTCTCTCCAGTGTCACAGCTGACCTTCCATCATTAAATCCAAGGGTGTCTTCTCAGCCCTTGACCCCAGCAGTCTCTGCTACACTTGAGACTGATGACTGACCGGTCTGTTCTTAACACTCTCTTTTGGCTTTTATTGAGGTGTGGTGGGAATCCACTGATTTTATCTACCTTGATTAGCCATTAAGTAGCTCTGCCATTTCTAGGTTTTGTGATTTGGGGCAAATCACTTAAATGCATGAGTTTCTATTTCCCTTATCTGCAAAAGGGGCATAATAATACAGAGGTGACGGGAGAGTTCCATGTGATCATATGTGTGAGAACACTGCATGGGTTGTGAACACTACATGTGTGCACAGTCTCACTGTTACTCTCGGACACCATGTTCTCGGGGTTCTTTCTCTACCTCTGTGTTTACTTTGGATCATCTCTCTTGCTGTAATCTCTCCTCTGCACCTTAACTGTTGGTGTTTCTCAGGAATCCATCCACTCTTGACTCTCATCCTTGATCACTGTACTCCATCTTCCTCAACTGTTTCCCCCGTTCCGTGGATTCCACGTCACCTCTGCCCTGGGTGTCCAAGTACTTACAGGCTCCCGCTACCTGGAGCATTCCAATTTTAACATGTTCAGACTCAGCGTCCTGTCTCCTCAGAAGAGTCTCTTTTGTGTTTTCCTTCTTGTTCACAGAATTACCCTCCACTAGGTGCCCAAGCCTTAGAATTACCCCTGCTTTCTCTCTTCCCCCTCATCTGATTGGTAACTAGGTCCATCATTTCTGCCTTCATGACTCCTCTTCATGTCCATGGAGGCTGCCCTAGTTCATTCACTTGAAGTGTTGCAATGGTCTCCTGGTTCTCTTGCACCCAGGCTCACTGTGCTCATCTCGGTCCTCGGCTGCCTCAGTGCACACATTCTGACCCCATCACTTGGCTTTAAAATCTTCAAAAAGTTCCCACAGCTTTCGTGATAAAATTCAAACTTCTTGGCAAAATCCTTCAATGTCTGACTCCACCTTACTGTTCACAGCCTCCCCTGGAATATTTTCCCTGTGCAGCCCATATTCTAGCCACGTGAAACATAGCCTGTGCTCCACTTGTCTGTCTCCCTGTCTTTGCTCGGGCAGCTCGCTCTACCTAGAACATCCTCTGCCTGCTCCAAGACTCCCCTCCAGACTGCTGTCTTCCCTTTCAAATCCCCTTCCTCCTTCAAGGCCCTTCCCCAGTGCTCTCTCCACTGTGGAGCCTTCCCCACCTCCCAGGTAGAAATAGTTACTCTCCCTCTATGTTCCCGGGACATTTGCCACATCATCCTTTGTTCTCCTCTAGAGATTGTGAGCTCTTTGAAGGCACAGACTGTATTTTAGTCACCTTTGTAAGCTGTTACCTTTAAATTTAACCTAATTGGTTAGTAAAGAGGGAGGAATTAGAATCTCTGGGTGATTCTGGGCTAGGAATGTCAACTATACAGCATGTGAGCCATCACTCATCACCCCACCACCCCTTAGCAGATAACACTAATTCATCACAGTGCTTTTTATCTGACTGAGCCTCAGAATCATCCTCAATATGGTGATACAGAGAGTCATTTTCAATCAAATGGAGTTAGCCCAACAAATGAAACCTATTTCTTATCCTGGCATGTCTGAGTCACAAAGGTCCCTATGTATTCTCCTTTCCCGCTATTTGCCATCCTGTCTGTGTCACTTACTAGCTAGGGGAACTTCAGTCAATCTCTTAATCTCTCTAGAGCTCAGCTTCCTCATCTAAGGAGGCAATAAAACCTTCCACTATGTGGTCAGGATTACAAGATTTAAAGTATATGAAATCTGTAAGGCCCTTATGCAAATAAAGATGTTATTATCCTACTTTGCAGATGAATGAAAAATATTACTGAATCAGAGAAACTAAGGTTCAGAGACATAAAGTCACTTGCTGACGTTTATTTAATGGCAAAGCCAGACCCCATGTCTCCAAATCCTGTGGGCTTTTCCCTCACGTTGCCTCTCCACACCCCAGTGGCCTTGATGATGCTCAAGTTACACCATCCCTTCGATCTCCTTTCTCCAGGTGAGTTGTGGGGTAAGATTTACTCTAGCCCCAGAATTGAAGGGGACTTCCAACCCACTATTCTTTATCCCACCTCTCTATAATTCCTCCAAAACCCTCTCAGCCTGCCAAGAGGTGGGCAAGTGTGTGCTGAAGACTGCTGAGTAGAGCCAAGTTCCTTAATTACTATCCCTCAGCCTCTCGCCCTCTTGTCTGCCCCCAGCCTCAGGAGTATCAGGCAGCTGGCAGCCTTCTCAAGGCCTAGGATGGCCAGGGCCCTGGAGATAATGTTCTTGGGCTGAAGGCTAATGAGTTGTCACCTGATCTACCAGAAGAGTTTGAGAAACTAGGGAGGGTATGATGAGACCTATTCCTTGGAGTCCCAGGGCCAAGACAGGGTTCTCCACCTGAGAGAAGGGCGGGGGAGGCTGACCAGATCCCAGCTGAAGGGCCCTTCTCTGTACACTTTCCTGTCTTTGAACTTGAAGTGGTGTTGGCTGGAAATGAGGGGAGGCTTGGACCTAGGGGGTGGAGGGCCCAAGAGGTAGTGGCGGGTAGGGGAGGCAGAAGAGCTACTCCCCATTGTGAGAGCACCCCCAGGGCCAACTCCTGTAGAGGCTGTTTCATCAGCTCTGTGCCTTCCAGGAAGGACCATCCCCATCTTCCCAAACAGAGAACCTTTTCTGGACTGCTTCTTAATCTGTATTTTGTTCATCTTTGTGTCCTTCTCAGTGCCTGGCATTTCTTGACTTTAAAGAGCCTGTAGGATTGATGTTCTACATCACTTTTCCTCCTTCAGGCCCCCTTTTCCATGTGCCACCCACTTCATCCTTCGGAAGTCCTTCCTCTGAGCTTCCCATTGAAGTTTCAACGTTTGGACACTTGGGGGCACTGAGTCAGTTTCCCTAGCTCTTCTCTGCAGGCTGTGCTCAGCCCCACCCTGTCAACACTCTCCCTACTCTCTACAATGAGAGGGGCAGATGGGGAAACTGAGGCCCACTGTGGGAGTGCTTAGTAGGAGTGCCTCAGTGATAAAATCCAGGGTCTTCTGTGGAAGGCACATCTCTCTCTAGTGGTGAGAAAGGACAGAGGCAGAAAACTTCAGGCCTAAGCCAAAACTTGTCCAGAGGCAGACAACTCTGAACTTAAAGCTTCTTCCTGCACTGGCCAGGTCGTCCTAGGGGAGCCCAATGCTTCCTTGTGCTCGTGTGACCAAGGACAAGAGAAATTAGTCTTGGGAGAAAGGATGAATGAAAAGTAGGAAGAAGAGGAGAGGAAGTGGAGGGACCCTATCTCTGAAGTCCCTAGAATTACTGGTGGAACAGAGTCCTTTATGACCTGGTCTCTGCTGACCTCCCTAGCATCAGTGTTCTCTATCTGTACCCACCCACTTCACGCATGCATCATGTCCCCAGCCACACAAAACCTCTCGGTTCTTGAACAGACCAAGCTTTTCTTAGCAAATAATGGGGTCTCTTCCATGGAACACTCTTCCTTTCCCACTTTGCTTAATTTCTACTCCTCCTTCAGGCTTCAGCTTAGATGTCACTTTCTCTGGAAAGCCTTTCTGGATGCCCCCACCCACAACATGGGCTGCTATCCCCCTGTGTTCCCACAGTACCATGAACTTCCTACCTCAGGCTTTACGGTGCGCCAGGCATTGTGCTGGACGCTCCATGCCGTGCTTCATCCTAGCCTCCCTAGGGGGGCAATAGCATTGCCCTCAGATGAACGGGTGGAAACTAGACTTACATGGGTTAACTAACTTGCCCAGGAGGACTGCTCGTAAGGGGTGCACTGCAAGTTGAACCCAGGCCTGCTTAAATCTGCTTAAAGTCTGGGCTTCTCAACTTGCTACTGGACTGTGTCACAGAGTATTCATGCTGGGAAGTCCTCTATGGTCATCACGTTTAATACCCACATTTTACTAAAGAGGAAGCCAAGGCCTAGAAGAGGGGGGTAACTTTCCCAAGATCACACTGCTAGCTGGTAGCTCATGTTATTTTACATCAGAATCAGAGCAACAACCCTGGTCTTCTTCTTCATCTCAACTTATCTCTTCCTACAAGATCCTTTTCCTCACCCTGGGGTCCAAAAGTGCCAGTTTCTGTGGAGCCAACCTTGGAGCATTATCCACAGAAACTCTTCCCCAGCCAACCACAGCCACAGCCACAGCCCATTATCTTCAATCTGGGCCTCCCACCTAGTAGGTCTCAGGGTCTCCCTCACCCCTGCAGAAGCTGGCCCAACAAGAAGAGTTAGAATAAGCAGCAAATAGTGAGGTCCACGAGGAGGAGACATTCAGCAATGCTCTTACTGGGGTCTGTGGAAATGATCAAGGGATTCCTTTGAGGCCGCTGGAAACCCCACAGGGGCTCTGAGAGTCATTGGAACTATCTTCCAGGCCACTCAAGCTTTGTTCAGTAGGTGACTAAAGGGGGACTTTTCCTTCTCATCAAGGCAATGAGTTCTCCACCTCTTTCTGTCCCTCCCCTTATGCCCAGGGAATTCTTCCAGTTAAGTCAAAATTTACCTGTTGCTATCTGAGCAATTTCTTCCTATTTGTACCCTTAATGGAGCTGGAGACACAGAGGTACTCTGTACCTGTCATTCATATTCAGAAAATTGAGCCTGTTTCCCTGACAGGTGTCCTCTCAGCTCCCTTTCCTTCTTGGGGCTCCTGTTCCCTGCATGAAGAGCAGCCTCTGACCCTCACTCAGAGGAGTCTAGGGAGCTCACCATGACTCTGGGAGGCAATCTCTCTGCCCCCTCTCAACTTTTTACTTATTCCTTATCCACATTCCTCCCTTAAGAAGGAGGATGGGGTAGGGATGGCATGAGGACACTTACTAGATACAGAACTAGATTCAGAGGTGAGTGTCTCACTGTCCTCTGTCTCCTATAGTAACTAACTGCCCGAGCACAGCAGGGAAAGCTGAAGTTACATACATTGAGCAGTTCTCTTTCTCCAGTAGGGAACATTTGGAGCAAAAGAATCACACCAGAGTATAAGGGCTGGGGGAGGTGTGTTCCTGCATGAAGGAAGACAGATGGATGAGGCGGCTTAAGGAGAATCCAGTAGCCAGAGGGGAAGCATTTTAGATGAGGGGAAAGGAGAAGGAGTAGAAGGGCCCTGAGGTTCTCCCATGCAATTTTGATGGGAGGAAACATCATGGAGATTAGCACTCAATAATATTTGCTGATGAGCAAACCAATATCAGCTTAGTTCTCTATCTAACAGAGTTTCTGCAACTGTGACCCCATCCACCCTCCCAGGCCCCAGCACACCACTGTGCAGTCAGCCCTCAAGTCTCTGGGATCCCAATGGGCCTTCCTCTCTTCCCTTTTTAGGGCATCTGCTCCCAACTGCTAGAAGATGCTCTGGACCAGAATAGCAGGTGAGCCGTAGATACAGCCTACAGATCCTCGTGCAGACGTAGGATAATAACTGGAAAGGCCAGTACTAGGCAGCATGAAGGACTTATAATTGATAGAGATCCCCAACTCCAAACCCTAGCTAAGAAGGCTGTGGGGTTACTTTCCAGTGATCCAGAGTTCGTAGCAGGAGTGGGGCCGGTAGGAGGGTGGGAAGTGAAAGGAGGTAGGCTCACTCTGCCTAGGGGTAGTGCAAGGGTCAAAGTGACCTTCGGAGGTTCTTTCTAGACCCAGAAGCCCACTTAAGGCTCCTAGACCCGTTCTTCTCCCCACCCCTTCCCCTCACCATGCCCCCACTCCTTCCCAAAAAAAGGTGGCTAAAAGACAGCTCTGTTGGAATTGTAGATAGGGTTGGGGGTGGGGTCATCTGAGTGAAACCAAGAGACAAATAGTTGGGGGAAAAACACAAAAAAACTAGCGGTGAGAGACCTCCATTCTAGTCCCAGACTTGCCACCAGCTGCCTGGACACCATCATCTTACCTCTCAGAGCCTTGCTGGGAAAATGATAACTGTTCCATCTACCTCCCAGGGCCAGGAAGGGCTAGGAAATATCTATGTGCCCTGGGCAAATGCAAAGACGGACACACTGGACCTGTGCCAGCGAGGCCAGGTGGGGCTTTAGTTATTCACATAGAGCTCAGTCCAGGGTACTTGACTCAGCTCTGGGGTGGGGGGCCTGGCCCACCTAACTGCTTCCATGGTTGAGGCAGGAATGGGAGCATTGCTTAGAGTGCAGCAAGAGGCTGTGTCCATGGTTAACGTATAAGCAGGTGCAGTCTGGGGCAGCGGGACATTCTTAGCCCCAGGGCCACATTCTTAAGGTCACAACAAGTGCAAACTTGTTATAACCAGTGTCAGAGCAGCAGAGGGCAGCAAGGGCATGGGGGGGAGGGACATGGTGCTGAGATGCCTGCGGCCGTGGAGGGGGTGCAAAAGGGAAAGGGGGGTGGGGTGGAGGGAGGGTGGGTGTGCAGGTGCATATGCCAGGAGGTGGTGTTGTGGACGTGCGATCTGTGTGCTGGGGTCAGTGTGTTGTGTCTGGGCACATCCGTTTGGGTGTGTGTTGGGAGCCGTGTGTGGGGCCGCATAGATGAGTGTATGCCTGTGTGTCTCTGCATATATGAGCCCCGGGGAGTCCTGTAGTGGGAGGAGGAGAGGTGGCAGCCACAGGTCCAGGCTGGGCATACGGAACCGAGAAGTGGGCAGGCTCTGAGTGCCCCTTCCCCTTCTCAGGCCTCAGAGAACCTGCATTCCAACTCCTCCACAGACTGCCCCTGCCCCTGTGAGCCTAGGGCCTCTCCCCTCTGTGTGCCCTCTGCAGCCTGCCCTGTCAAATGCCCATCTCCCCAGCCTGCCCAGAGAGTGGGGGAGTCACCTCCTGCCCATCCCCCCTGGCCCAGGGCCCACTCCCCCGTGCTCTCTGGGCCCTCCGGACACTGGGGCGAAGGGGGGGTGGTGGGGAAGGCTCTGAAAGCAGGTGACTGTTTGGGGGAACTAGGGGACAGAGCCCCCATTGTGCCTGCCCCGGAGCCGCCTCAATGGAGCTCCCTGGCACAAAGGGGCTTTGACAATGGGCAGGACATTAGTATGCAGAGCCAGCCCCTCAGCCCTCTCCCTGTCCCACAGCCGAGGGGCGGGAGCTGGGGGACTGCTGGTAGAGGGTGAGGGGGGCCCAGGACTGAGACTAAGGAGATCTTGGCCCACAGGGGCTCCCCTGGGGGCACTGCCCAGGAGACAGGGGAGGAGACTAGACTAGGGCCTCCAAACCTGCCACTCGCCAGAAAGGACTTTCCAAATGGAAAAAGCCACGGGGACTGGTAGGAGTGGAGCGGGAGGGGCTGCGGGATGCCAAGCCCCTTGGTCCCAGGCTGGGCTCTAGAAAGAAGTGGGTGGGCAGTCTAAGTCCTCCCACGTTTTGCCTCAGTTTTACCATCTATGCAAAGGAATTTTGTGGGCAGGAGAAGAAAAACAGAGTAATACATAGCAAGTTCCCCAACCCCAGCAGGAAGGGCATGTGCTCAGGGTTTGGGGTCTTTGGGGTTCTACTTCCTTGGGGTGCCACCTTCTTTGAGATCTCCACCTGCTCTGGTTCTGGAGGCTGAAGAAGCTACTACAGGGGAAGCAGGGGTTAGGGACAAGAGTCGCCTGCCACCTGTGCTCTTCCAGGGAATTCAACCTGAACTAGTGAAGGTGGAGCTGGAAGCCCAGCTCAGGGGAATTTGACTGAAGGGCCAATGAGCCAGGACTAGCTCTTCCCAGTATATGTCTAACTCCCCATCTGCCTCCTCCTGTTCTACAATCTGTGAGGAGAAGCTTCCCTTCTCCTGCCCAGGGAACCCCAGCAGGCACCCCTATCCTCATTAATGCCCTCAGCACCACCAACTGGCTTTTCCAAGGCACCATGTTGTGCCTTGTGGTGCCTCAGCACAAAGGGCAGGGCCAGAAGGCATGATCTGGGGAGGGGCTCCTGGGCCTTGGGTGGTGGGAGAGCTGAGAGGAGGGCAGTGAGCGGGACTGAGCACCTCATGAGAAGCAGGGTTGCCCAATCACAGACTTCCTACGAGCCCCAGGAAGAGAAGGCCGGGGACACTTTGCAGAACTGCTCCCCACACGGCAAGACAGAACAATCTCTGGGCTTGAAAATGTCTTCCTAGCTTTCTTTCTCCTCTTTTCAGTTGCTGTCAGTATCGGAAGTTCTCCCTGCTGTCTGCCCTCAAGGCTTCCCACTGTACTGCCCTGGCCCTGGGCTCACCTGAGATTGCTGGGGAAAAGAAAGGTAAAGTCTGCTTCTTTCCCCGTCTTAGGACCTTGCTCCTCCACTCTCCACAAAAAAATTCTGGCGGGGAGAGCAGAGATGGAGCTAGGCCTTAGAACTCCTGGGTTCGGGGCCCAACAACCCTGTCAACTCTCTCTGGGAACTTGCACAGGTCACTTTCCCTCTCTGGGCCGAGCTCCTATGTGTAGCATTGGATGGATCTCCTCTGCAGCTCCCTGCCTTCGGGACAATGCGCAGTGGATTCAGGGGCAAGGCTCCGGAATTTAATGAGAGCTCACATCATTGAGCTCTACGCTGAGCCCTTTCCTATTATGTCATTTAATTCTCAACAACTCTAAAGGTGGGTGCTTTTTAAAGTCCCATTTTATAGATGAGAAAACTGAAGCACAGAGATATTAATAATTTGCCCATGGCCACATAGCTAGTGAGTAGTAGAACAGAGGCAGAACTTAACATGATGAACCACTACCCCATACTACCTCCCTGGTGAGAACATTCAAAAGACCATGGCAGCTGAAGGAAATCAACGAGGATATTCAAATTGGCCCAGGTTTTTGAAACTGTCTTCTAAGGTTCCTCTAGACTAGCAGTTCTCAAAGTATGGTCCCTGGACCCTTTCGGAGGGTTCCTGAGACCCTTTCGGAGGCTCTACAAAGTCAAACCTATCTTCATAATAATGCTAACAATACATTATTTGCCCTTTTCACTTTCATTATTTCACAGTGTTCAGTAGAGTTTTCCAGAAGGTACATGACCTATGATATTGCAACACACTAAATGCAGAAGCAGATGAGAAAGCAACTGTCTTTGATTAAGCCAGATGTTTAAAAAGACTTGTGAAAATATAAGACAATGTCACTCTTCTTATTAACTTTTTGTTTACTTTAATACAGCTGTTTTTCATTAAAAATACGTCATTTTGTTAACATGCAAAAATTAATAATTATTTCATGTGTCCCAGTGTTCATTTCTAACACAGTAAATGTTCATAGATAGAACCCACACAAACCAAAGCTCTTTGGAGTCTTCAGTAACTTTTTAGAATGTAAAGTGGTCCTGAGGTCAAAAAGTTTAAAAACCAGTGCTCTAGACTCTAATACACTCACCCTCTCCTCTTACCAGTTGCCTATATCTTTTTTATCACAGGGTCAACCGGGAGGTTTAGACACGTGGAGAAGGAGTGTGCCTGGCTCTACCAGTTGGAACTGGGATCAGAAGTGGAGCTGAGGAGGCTGGTCCAGGGAGAATGCAGTGCTAAGAGGTCAGACCTATACCCCACTTGGGAGGTGACCTCACATGTCTGCCACCTTGCAAGCCCCTGCTCAGAGGTATGCTCAGGACAATGGGGCTGCCTCAGACTAGACTCTGACCTTTATCCCCCTTTTTCATTCCAGACGATGCTGCTGACAAGCCCGGCCTCAGGCTGGAGTCAGACTGCCCTGGTGAGGGGAGAAAGGCTCTCTGGGGCCTACATACCTGCATTTGTGTTGGGGGGGTGGGTGGAGCAACAATGCTTAGAAGACTATAAATTGGGGGTTCTAGGGCTTGTAATCTTAGGGTGAAGCCATGTCTACAGGATGGGGTCGTTAGTAGGAGAGGGGTTTCTCTTGAGATCTCCTATAGAATTAGATAATAGGATCCTATACACACCCTGCTGCAGGATGCTCACATAAACCTCCAAAGTCAGGCTCCTTCCCCAAGAATAAGCGATCAGAAATGTTTCCTACCTAGAGTCAAACTGGACAGTAGCTACTCTGTGTCTTAGGAGGCAGGCCCTTTGCTGGGTGCCAGAGGGTCCAGAGAGAGAAGAGATGCCTTTGCCAATCTGACGGAGGTACAGGCCTCACCCTAGAGGAAACCCCCGGCTAATGAGGGAGACAAGTCTCCTCCAACATCGCCATGCATGGAGAACCCTGGGCCAAGTTGCAGATGCAAGTAACAAGCAAGATGGCAGAGCAGAGAGGGAAACAGGAGAATAGAGATCTGCGGGAGGGGTGAGACTTGGAATGGCCTTTGTGAGGGTCCAGAGTGTGGGGAGGAGCATGGCTCAGAGACTGCCTGGGATATGCTCCCCAGGATCAGGGTCTGAAGAGTGCAGTTCCACAAGATATGGGGCTGGAGGGGATGGGAGAAAGGCATAAAGTCTCTTGAAGCCTGTGATTGGGAAATTTTTATCCAATGCCAACAGATGTGTCTGGGTAGAGAAAGGGCAAGATAAAACTGATGCTTCATGATGACAATTCCAGTGATAATTTCATTATAGGGTAACAGGGAAGGAGTCGAGGAGAGAGGGGGCTGGAGTCAGGGAGGTCATTAAGGAGGCTGCTGTGGGCATCCAGGCTGATGGGATGAACAAGCCAATCAGGAGACACAAGAAGAGAAGGGCATATAAACCTGAGAGAAGTTGTGGGGGCAAACCTGGGCCGGGAGAGGGAGAGGCAGGATGAAGAATACAAGAGCGATAGGCAGGACCATGGGAGCAGGAATGAGATGTGGGGGTTGTCTTGACCGACAGAAGAAGTCTCTGACAGAAGTCTTTGGCTGAAAGAGAAGTTGCTGAGAATGGGGAAAGAGACTATTTGGTGAAAGCTCAACCACTCAGTTCTCATTTATTGAATCTGAAGACAGGACATCTGCTTGGCAAAAACTTGTGGAAAGCAGGGGCTGTGGGTGTGGAGACCCCACCTCAAGTGATGCCCAGCCTATTGGAATCAAGGAAGGAAATGCATCTTAAACTGCTTGATAATTCTTCTACCTTCCCAAACTCCAGAAGGGTGGGAAGAAAAAACCTAGGACAGAATCTCAAAACAAAACAAAGCAAAACCCACAAAGAAGGGCTGGGACAAAGCCCAGGAACAAGGAAAGATGACACAGTAGAAAACATTAGAGTGGTGGGAGAAAAGCAATGGCCCACAACTCCACTTTTTACAGACTAAGGACCATTCCAAGCCCCTTACGGTAGTCACTGTGCATCCTCACAGCAGTTATGAGCCCTATTGTGAGGATGGGACTTCCTTAGCTACTAAGTGGTAAACCAGGACCGAATCCCACAAAGTCAGACTCCAAGGCCATGCTCTTAACCATAGTGCCTGCTGTCTCTCAGAGCGGAAAGTAGCCCTGGAACAGCAAGAGAGAGGTGCAGCAGCCACCCAGGGGAGGCCCCTGACAGTTGTCACAATAATCCCTGCACTCTGAGCTCCATCACTCCTCTCGGAAGCTTTAAGGATGGGCTTCTGTGTTTGGGGATTTTGTTGGTGGTTTTTGTTTTGTTTTGGTTGGTTTTTTTGGTCCAGAAAGTGGTCTCTCTTTCCTTCCCAGTCTCCATTTCAAATGTCTTTCCTTTTCTAGGATGTGCTTCCTGAGATCTAACCTAAGTCCTTCTAGCTGCAGCCACAATCCTTTCCCCAGGTGTTGTGCCATCGGAAAAGTTGCACAATGGCCATGTATACCCTTTCTGTGCTGCACCTTGTTGGAGGCTTGAGGTCTGATTCAGTCCTCTTCTAGCTCCTGCTTCTCCAACCTCCTTCTCCATGCCACAAAGTTCTGTTCTTACTTCTCTCTCACATTCCAGAGCCAGCCCCTCCCTTCCCCCACCACCTCAAATCCAGGCTCCAAGCTGGCAAACACCCACGGGAGGGCATTTCCCACAATCCCTTTCTCTTTGCCCTTTCAAGGTTCTGATGGGGGAGGGGAGGAAGAGGGGCCACCAGATGCACTCTCTCCCTAAAGAATGGTGGCAAACATGTAGGCTAAACTCAAATGAGGGAAGAAAAGCATTGAACTCAGCCTGCTGGAGAGACCGAAGTGACATGGCAAACTCCCATTCCCAGGAGCTGCCCAGCCAACCACCCACCATTGGGTGCTAAAACACTTAGATTTTAAATCTCCCTTTCCTCTCCAATCTTTCTGTAGTTTCATCTCAACGATGTGCCTTGGCTGATTCCTTCTCTGCCCCCTTCCAGGGCCCCACTGCTATCCTGGACAGCTTGGCCTCAGCCTGGACAGTAGCACTGACCAGTCAGGCAAGAGAAGAATCTAGGCCGAGGAGGGGAGGGAGAGTGGAGGTTTTTTTCTTCCGTCCTAAATAACCTGTGGCTGGAAAGCTTAGGGACTCCATTGCCCAATGTCTCTTTTCCTCCCCACCAATGCCAGGAGGCTCGGCCTATCTTTCCATCTTGTGTGCAGAAACCAAGAGTTTTACCAGGAGGCTCAGGAGTATCCTTTGAGGAAACAGATCTTTCTGCATGACCCACCCCCTAGAGCTTTAAACCCCCTATCCTGCCAATCACAGAATGACTCCAGAGGACTTCATCTGAGCCCACCGTGATCCAAGTGTCCCAGCCTCTCTGGTCCCAAGGAAGGTCAAGGGAAGGAAGGTCCCCGGGTCCTCTGCCAGTCACTTCCTTGTAGCTCAAGCCAACCAAGCTGGAGCTGTAAATGAGCTTATGCACAGTGATGCAGGTGGGAGGGAGCTAGAATGTGGTTCAATGGGGCACACGGAGGAGGTAGGGGATACCAGCGGGCAGATCATTAATCCCCTCACACAAACATATGCACCCATAGACTGGATGTGGGTCAGATGTTGGGGAAGATGGATTTATTTTTTCCTCAGGGTAAGGGATAGCAGAGGGGTTCTGCATTAGAGCCACAGAGGGGCTGGAACCATAACCCTGCTACCCCTGCCACTCCCACTCCCCACCCACCCTCCATCGGTGGAGTCATTGCCATTTGATATCCGCTGAGACAACTTGGCTGCTCAGGCTCTGAGTGGGGGGTGGGGGGATGGCTCAGAAAACAGCAGCTCCTTTCAGGACCCAGGTTGGCAAGGGCTTTGGGAGGCTGGACCAGCCCAGATCACCCCCCAACACCCTCTCCCTCCCTTCCTCCCTTGCCACCACCACCAAAGGACTGGGGGAAGGCAGCGGGGAAAGGAGTTGGCACTGCCTGGGCCGTGCCTATTGCCTCCACAATCCAGCCCTGGACCCTCTCCCTGGCATGATGCCTTCCATCCCCCTCCTCCCTCGTTTCTTCCTCCCTGAAGAACCAGCTATGAGTCAGGATGCCTGGTTCCTTCCAAACTTGGTCCCCTATACCCAGTCTACCCCCAGAGAAATTTACAAGCCCTACCACTTGGCACAGGATGGTACCCACCATCATGCCAGGAATATGTTCAAAAATCCTTGGAGATTAGGGAGAGAGTTTCAGGATGAAACTAAATTGAACTCACTGGTGGCTGCCCACCCCTCCTGGGGCTAATTTCATGACAACCACTCCAGGCCCTCCTCAGCACCCTTAAACAAGGCCATCTCTCACATGGGGGCCCTAAATCTCCTGTCATTATCTCCCTCCCACCCAGGCAGCCTAAAGCAGTCCCAGTGGGGAGAAAAAAAATTCAAACACCACAGCAAGAGCAGACTGGCCAGACATCTTTAGTCAGAATTTGTATTGGTAAGCAACAGAAGCAGGCTTTAAGCACTGGCCTCTTTGGGGTCCAAATCTGCACCAGCTTCTTCCCCATCTGCCTCACCCTGCCTGGGGCACTCACTGGAATTAAACTTCAAGACACCAGAACCCACCCTCACTTTTTCCCAGTGTTGTCCTTCTACCCATTCCTGGGTTCAGCTCTCCTCCCCCAAATCAGGAAGTTCCATCCTTCATCTGTTCCCTAACACAGGTGCCCTGGGTTAGTTCTGATGAGAGGAGGAATGGAATGGGAAGGGGCGTCTCCATCTGGAGGGTGAGTTTATAGAACCCAATCTGCCCTTCTCACTCTAGCAGAAGTGGCCCTGCTCCTTTCCTTCTGGAAATCCCAGTGCGAAACAGCTGGGGTGAGGGTGAGGGGCCATGAGGAGGGATGTCTTAAAATGGGAGCCACTCAGAATAGAAGGAAGAGATTGGGTGGGCAGGGGTCTGGAGCACACCAGGCTTTGGTGGCTCCCCGGTTTAAGCTGCCAGTATCTGTTTTTCTCCCCATGTGGGAACTAGCGATCATGGGTGTCACTATGTGATTGTCACTGTATGGGGAGTGGGGGAGGGGCTGGGGATGGGAGTAACCTGTCCATATGGGGAGGAGGGCGCACTGTCTGTTGTGCCTGTGTATGGGGTGCCTGGTTATGTGTGGTTGTCACTGTATTAACTAGAGGAGCAGGGATGCAACTGCTGGTCTGCCCAGTGGGAGGGGGCATCGGGAAAGCCCCTTCCTTAGATGAAAGGGCTGAGGTGACCAGCCTGGCTAGTTTCCTCGTGGGGAGCCCTTCCCAGGAGGCTCCATTTGGGACTGCCCAAGGCGGGAGGCAGGGGAACAAGACGGTGGTACCGCTGAGGCCAGGCAGGGTAGGGACTGAGGATCTGGGACCCCGATGTCTCTGGAGAGTTAGGGGGACAGGACCCGGCCGGGGCGGCAGAACTCCTTCATCAGGGCCAGGGTCTTACCTTGGGTCCGAGGTGGAGTGGCCCCTTGGATGGGCCGCGGGGCAGCGGGACAGATGGACGGACGGGGCGGGCAGGAGTTAGGAGCAGAGCTGTGCGACGGGCCGGGCCAGGACTCTTAAACCCGGAGCTGGGATCAGATAAGGGCTTGTCCGGGGGCCGGGGCCGGGGTCGGGCCGGCCGGGGGCAGAGCTGGGCCGGGCCGGGCCGCCCCCTCCCTCCGCAGCGCCGGAGCCAAACTTTGTGTGAATGGAGGGGCCCGGAGGGGGGCCGGGCAGGCGGGGGCGGGGGGCTCCGAACAGACCAATGGGAGAGTGGAGCGCCAGGCTCGAGCCGCCGAGATTGGAGGGTCTTGGGCAGGGGGCGGGGCGTGCGGGGCAAGGAAGCGGAGACCCAGACAGCTGCAGGCGCAGAGAGAAATATCCAAAGACAGAGACCCAGACAGACCCGGGGAGAAAGAGAGATGAAGAGACGATATGCGAAACGATAGGAGCTGAGCTGGCAGGGTGACAGGGGAAGGGAGAAGGAAGAAAAGGGAGGCGGTCCTGTCAGCGATGGGTTACGAGAGCTGGAGCCGGGGGGCGGGACTGGGACCGAGTTAACGAAGTGGAAATGAATTCAGGACCGGCCCAGTGGCCCTGCAGGCAGCGCCGAAGGCGGCGCCTGGAAGTGAGATTGGGGCGGAGTAGGCCTGGGCTCCCTGAGCCACAGGACTGTATCTTTGGGCACAATTCCCGTGTTGTTCACCGTCTCCTAAGTCCCCGGTGCGGTGCTGGGTGAGAGACGCGCAGCACACGGTGCCCACCTGCAGCGGCTTTCTCTGTAAGGAAAGATAAGGCCGGAACCCTCAGCGAAGTGCGGGAGGTACTGAAGGCTGTAAAAGGGAGAGGTCATTCTACTCAGAGGGCTCCTAGCAGATGTGGGAGGAAAGAGGTAACATCTGATTAGGGTCCCAAAGGAAGCAGAAGATTCAGGTGCTGAGAGATGGTCCCCAGGACTCTGTTGCATTTAAGGCAGAGGGAACAACGTAGCAGAGTCCTGGGGAGACGTGAAAATACAAGTTCACTTGGGAAACAGCATCAAACTGTCCCATTTACTAGATTAGAGTGCAGGGTGATGGTTCTCAACCCTTTCATCACCAAAGATTTCTTTAATTTTCTGAATCTATGTGTTGAGAGGTTTTAATTCACCCCCACCCCCAGCATTTATTTAAAAAGAATATAATTATTTCCTCATTTCTGATCATCATAAACATTTAACTGCTAATCAATAACCAGTGTTACCATATTGAATTGCTATAAATTCAGGTAAAAAAAGGAAAGAAACTAGGAATGTAGCTTAGTTTAACCACTAAAAGCCATAAGATAAGTAAATGTCCATTCAAATAGCCTCATTGGAGAAGCTGGAAGGACGGGACTAAAGGTTAGGCACCATAGGCAGTGTTTGTGTTAAGGGGAACATCCGGAAGAAACACAGAGTTGTGCTGATTTGTGGTCAGGCCAGAGTTTCTGTAGGCTACGGAGAGCAATTGAAGGTTCTTGGGAAGGATGGAGTAGGAGAAAGCTATGGCATTTTAGGAAAATTAATCGGGAGGTGACAAAATAGTTTGAACCAAGTGGATATAGTAGGCAAGTAGACGATAGAAAATAATTGCAATAATATAAGCATGAAGAGATGACAGCCCAAATCAGCGTGGCAATGGTGAAAAGTGGAACACAGAAAATGAATTGGAGTACAGAAAAATCAAAAGAAAATGAAAAAAGTTTGAAGCCAACTTGACATGTTGAGCAAAAGAGGGAAGCTTCAGAGATCATACTAGAGTCTCAAGTCAGGTGATCAGAACTGCGAGGTCATTCACGGGCATAGGGGAGCCTGGGGGGGATCACACCTGGTGAGGAGACTGAGGTGGGGGAAGAGGAAGTGATGAGTTCAGAGCTGGAAGCTGTGGAGAGGGGTCAGAACCAGAGAGAGAAAGGAGGTCATTGCTGCCAGGGCAGTGTGAGTTGAAGCTATGAGAACAGGGTAGATCCCAACAAAGACTGCACAGAGAAATGAGAGCCTGGCACAGAGAGTGAGGAACACCTATGTTTAGGGGATGGGAAGAAGAAGGACCCCCAAAGAGTGAAAGAGAATCCACCAGACAGGCAGGAAGGAGACAAAGAAAGTGAGATGTCATGGAGCTAAGGAAGGAGAGACTGTTAAGGAGGAGGTTCTAACAGTGCCAACAAGTACAGAGAGAAGAGGCATTGGGTTTGGCAGTGACAAAGTCTCTAGTGACATTTGAGAGCAATTTCAGAAGAGTGAGCAAGGTGGGAACCAGATTACAAGTTACCACTAGAAAGTGAGAAACTGTCAGCAAGTATAGGTTACACTTTTGAGAACTCTACTCATAGAGAGGAGAGAAATAGAAACCAGACAATGTACTAGAAACAGGCCAGGCCAGGTGGCTCATGCCTGTAATCCCAGCACTTTGGGAGGCCAAGGTGGGTGGATCACCTGAGGTCAGGAGTTTGAGACCAGCCTGGCCAACATGGCAAAAACCCATCTCTACTAAAAATACAAAAATTAGCCGGGCCTGGTGGCACGCGCCTGTAATCCCAGCTACTTGGGAGACTGAGGCATGTGAATCGCTTGAACCTGGGAGGCAGAGGTTGCAGTGAGCCGAGATCACGCCACTGCACTCCAGCCTGGGGGACAGAGCTAGACTCTGTCTCCAAAAACAAAACAAAACAAAACACAAAATAAAAAGAAAAAGAAACAGTCTTCCAGTTTTTCTTCTTCACACTCCGAATGCCCTCTCTTCCTAAGTCAATATGGATGAGGGGCTGTGGTGAGGTGGTCTGAGGGCCAGCCTGCAAGACTGGTATAAGACCTTTAAGTTTCAAAAAATAGGACATCCAAAAGATCCTTAAGGGGGCCACAGTCTTGACATTCACAGACAGAGAGGACTTAGGCAGGGGTGTCCAATTTTTTGGTTTCCCTGGGCCACATTGGAAGAAGAAGAATTGTCTTGGGCCACACATAAAATACACTAACACTAACAGTAGCTGATGAGCTTTAAAAAAAAAAAATCACAAAAAAAACCCTCATGATGTTTTAAGAAAGTTTACAAATTTGTGTTGGGCCTCATTCAAAGCTGTCCTGGGCTGCATGCAGCCCACAGGCGGTGGGTTGGACAAGCTTAGCTTGGAGGCTCTGGTGGAACTCCAAAATAAACATGAAGAACACCACAGAAGAGAAAGCAAAGGGACTGTAATGATTTATGGATCATTAACAGACATTTATTGTGCACTTATTATTTTTCCAAAAATGTTATCCATCCATTTAGCTTCAACTACCACCCATGTGTCAATATGTCCAGCCCACCCGGATATCCATTTCAAACTCAACATATTTAAAGTCGAACATGTCACCTTGCTCACAAGAGTGCTCCTCTCCATTTATTCTCTACCATGGTAGATACACTATCATCACCCAACCAGAAACATGGCAGCCATCCTAGATTCTTCAATCTTCCTCACCTCATCTCCCTTATTGAATCAATGCATCTGTATTCTAAATAGCCTCAATATTGTCCCCTTCCTCTCTATTCCACTATCATTGCTGTAGTCTAGGACACCATTACCTCTCACCAGGTAATAATAGTTTGGATCTTTGATCCTGCTCAAATTTCATGCTGGATTTTAATGCCAATGCTGGACATGGGCCTGGTGGGAGGTGTTTTGATCATGGGGGCAGGTCCCTCAGCGGCTTGGTGCTATCTTCATGATAGTGAGTTCTCGTGAGATCTGGGTGTTTAAAAGTATATGGCAACATCCCCCATCATCAACTCTCTCTTGCTCCTGCTTTTGCCATGTGATGTGCCTGCTCCTGCTTTGCCTTCCACCACAAGTAAAAGCTTCCTGAGGTCTCCTGAGAAGCTGAGCAGATGTCAGCACCATGCTTCCTGTAAATCCTGCAGAACTGTGTGCCAATTAAACCTTTTTTCTTTATAAATTACCCACTCTCTGGGTTTTTTTTTTTTTAATTTTTAATCTTTTTTTTTTTTTTGAGACAGGGTTTCACTCTGTCCCCTAGGCTGGAGTGCAGTGGTGTGATCACAGCTCACTGCAACCCTGAACTCCTGTGCTGAAGTAGTCTTCCTGCCTCAACCTCAAACGTAGCTGGAACTACAGGTGTTCACCATTACACCCAGCTATTTTTTTTTTTTTTTAACTTTCAGTAGAGACGAAGAATCGCTATGTAGATCAGGATGGTCTTGAACTTGTGAGCTCAAGCAGTCCTCCCACCTCAGCCTCCCAAAATGCTGGATTACAGGCTTGAGCCACCATGGCCTATCTCAGGTATTTCATTATAGCAATGCAAGAATGGCCTAATACACCAGGGCTACTGCAGCAGCCTTCTAACTACTCTCCCTGCCTCCAGTCTTCCTCCACTCTAATAATTCTTTGGATTATGAATTTCTTTATTTGAAAGTAATTAAGCACCAGTAAAGTACATCTCTCTGAAACACACATCTGACCGTACCACTTCCAAGTTTTAAAACCTTCAGTAACTGCCAACTATCTATAAGTAAAGTCCGAGTTCCTTTCCCTGGAAGAGAAGGCCTATTATAACCTGGACCTGGTGCCATTCCAGCCTTATCTTCTTCCACTGCCCCTATACACCCAAAGCTACAGCTACTTCTTTTAACACTCAAGGTTCAGCCTTATGTTCTCTTTCTGTGTCTTGCCCCTTGAGCCTTTGTCATTTACATAGCTCCAACGATTGTCCCTGAGTGATGCCCAAATCTCTATCTTCAATCCTACACTCTTTTTGGAGCTCCATATTTCTAGTTGCTTGCAGGGGATTTCCATCTTGACTTGACAGGCCCCAAACTGAACTCAGTACCTTCCTCCCCAAAGGTGGAAGTGCTCGTGACTTCCTTAGTTCTGTGTTACTCCTGGTCAATTAGAATAAAAAACTACAAGTGACCTTTACTCTTCACCGTTGCCTTGGGCCCATTCCTGGACATGTCAAATAAGCCAACAAATGCTGTCAAGTCTCCCTTTCTTTCATCTGTTTGCAATGTGCTTTTTCATTCCTATGACCACTATCAGAATCAGAAAGATCAGGACCTGACCCATCCTTCACCTTTCTCTCCAGTCTCAAAGGAAGAGGCAACCTGTTTTCATCATGTCGGTCCCTGTGCCCTTGTTTTAAAACCCCAAACAGTTGCCTCGTGCTTACAGGTCACAGTGAAGGAGGTCTTCACCACAGAAGACCTAGAAAAAAAAAAAAGAAGATAAAAAACGTGACAGGCCCTCAGACTGAACTCGGCATCTTTCTCTCTGAGGCTGGAAGTGCTCATGACTTCCTTAATTCTATGTTACTTCTGGTCAATCAGACTAAAAAACTACAAGTGATCTACAGAAGTGTCCTCTACTAACAATCAGAGTGAGGATAGAGTCGGGTGGGACTGGGCAGTTAGAAAGACTTTATAAGTCCTTGAACAGCAGGGGTGGGAGCTTGTGGAAAAGTACACAGGTAGCTTCAACAGCACTGTAATGTTCTGAATTTAAAAGAGTGATTTAAATTGAGTTTTTGTTCTTAAATTATGCTTTATAACATATAGACATATGTCCACCATCTATATTCTTTTGTACATATCAAATGTCAGGTTTTCATTTTTAAATTTGTTTGCAAAAGAGAAGTCCTAGGACAGTCTCTAGGAGCCCAGTAGGGAATCAGTAATAAGGGGCATAGGACACTAATATTTGTGAGTGTTTACTACATCAGATAGATCAGAAGATGGGGAAACTGAAGTTCTGAGGAGTTAAGTGGTTTGCCTATGGTAACATAGCTGGAAAGTGTTTTGAGATTTGAATCCACATATATTTGACCCCAAAGCTTGTCTCAGAATAATGCCAGAGGGAATTTGCACGTTTTAAACACAATCTTGCCAACCAGAGGCTATGACCCCTGAGTACATGTTGGTATGAAAAATTCCCCAGAATTACAACATCCAATGTCCACCATGAAACATGACAGAGGAAACTTCTCTTTTTGAGGACCCCTCTCTCTTCTTTCAGTTTCCCAACTTGCGTCTTCCTTATTCTCCTCCATTTCTCCTTTCAGACTCACTGCTTCCAGCTTTGGCCTCATCTCTACTTTTACTTCATTTATAATGGGGCAGAGGCTACCTCAGAGCAGAGGAGGAGGAGAGTTGGGGTGTGTCACCTGTTTTAGAAAGAATCCACAAGTGGGCAGCAGTCTGAGGGGCTTGCGCTGGGCAAAGCAGATGTGGACAGAGGGAATCAGGAAAGCTTTGGGTTGGGAGGCATGATAGAGACTCAGAATAGTTAGTATTTAACAAGTCAGGGGAAGTGGCTAGAAAGAACAGAGACACTGGCATGGCTCACCACAGGATTCAGGATTCCAAGTGGCGTTTTGGTGCTCACATCCCACAGTGCTGAACAAATTCCATTAGTAGTGGAGCATCTCATAGCTGAATGACTCAGGCCGCAGAGGAGAAATCCAAGAGAAGGACTGAGCTACATTCCCCTAGTCACTAACGAATCATTATGTAAGTAGATCACCCCCTTTAAATAAATGCAATATACACAAACCCACATTTATAAGACATAATTTAGGGAATAGTTAGTTACCTACTAAAGAATTCTTTCCTTTAAAAAAGAAAAACATGGCCAGGCACGGTGGCTCATGCCTGTAATCCCAGCACTTTGGGAAGCCAAGGTGGGTGGATCACCTAAGGTCAGGAGTTCAAGACCAGCCTGGCCAACATGGTGAAACCCCATCTCTACTGAAAATACAAAAAAAAAAAAAAAATTAGCCAGGCATAGTGGTGTGTGCCTGTAATCTCAGCTACTCAGGAGGGCGAGGCAAGAGAATCACTTGAATCCGGGCGGTGGGGGTTGCAGTGAGCGGAGATCGCGCCACTGCACTCCAGCCTGGGCAACAGAGCGGAACTCTGTCTCAAAAAGGAATAAAAAAAAAGGAAAAAAGAAAAAAACAAATTTCTCTAACTAGGGACTTCTAGTACCTTTCCAGTTGGGTCCAATTGATAGAAATTCCATTAACATCCAATGCACTGTGATAGGAGGGAGGCAACTGGGAATAAAGAAACACGAGGAATCTCGAGTCGGGTGGCCTGAGTCTTAGTCCTGACTATGTTCTTGGGACCTATTCCTACCTGTAAAGTAAGGGCTAATCCTGTACCACCTCTAACCGTCATATAACTTTTAAATCTTAGCCTATCTCTACCCAGTCCTATAAAGCAAGATAGAACTCTGTGTGAAGGCTTCTGATCCTCCTGCTCTGCTGAAAGTAGCCAGAAAGGCAGCAAGCTCCTCAGCCTCAGGAACCCAGCCTGAGGCAAGGGGCTGGCTGAAATTGCCTCCGTCTGGCCTGGAGCTGTGCTCTGCTTCTCCCCATTTCACTCTAATCTTCAGCTTCAGTCATTTGCCACATCTACTCCTTCAACCATATCTTTCCTCTGCTCTGAGTTTTCTAGAGCCCCATCCCCCTTGAATTTATACAAATTTTTGCAATCAACCAGATTGGCCTCCCTGCTCCACTAAACTCATATCCTCAACTGTCTGCTGTCTTCCCCATCATGCTTCCTCTTCCACTTGCCAGATTTTGCACAAGATGTCTCATGATCTTGTCCAGGGAAGCCTCCCCAGTTTGGCTGATCTCAGGGCTGCCACAAAGGCACCTGCTGATGGGGCAAGTTGAGGACTGAACTGCATTCAGCTTGCCAATTCCTGCACCCAGCTCAGAGCTGTGTCTGCTGGAGGAAGGGAACCTTTTATTTTCTCCCAAAAGTATCACCTGTTCCCTGTTCTCCAAGTGACAGGCCACAGTAGGCTCTTTTTAAGCTCTTTTCCTATTTTGCACCACGGTTCCTTTTTTTTTTTTTTTTTTTTTTTTTTTTTTGAGACAAGGTCTCACTCTGTTGTCCAGGCTGGAGTGCAGTGGCGCAATCACGGCTCACTGCAGCCTTGAGCTCCCAGGCTCAGGTGATCCTCCCACCTCAACCTCCAAGGTGGCTGGGACCACATGCACATACCACTACACCCATCTAATTTTGTATTTTTTGTAGAGACAGGGTTTCGCCATGTTGCCCAGGCTGGTCTCCATCTCCTGGGTTCAAGCGATCCGTGTACCTCAGCCTCCCAAAGTGCTGGGATTATAGGTTCGAGCCACCGTGCCAAGCCAAAAGCTAGAATCTTGTCTATGCTTTTGTGTCCTGGTGCCTGGGAAAACTTTTTTTCTCCTGCCTCAGTTCAGCTCAGTGATAAATAAGGAACTGAGGTTAGATAACAGGTAAAGTCTAGGACCTGCAGGATGAGTGAATCAGGTGAGGGAGTGGTAGTCTTCTTCCTTGTCAGCCAGGCTAGGTTCAGGGGCACCTGGACTGAGGCGAGGGGCTGGCTGAAATTGCCTTGTGGAGGGCCCTGCCAGTGATGCCCCCTCCAGCAAATAGGGCCAGCTCTATGCAAATGTGTTCTTGCCCAGGAGTTTGGTTTCTTCTCTCTGAGCTCCTGGCACAGTGGAACCAATGTGAGCAGCTGCTTGGCAGGACAGAGAAGGGCAGGCTAGCAGTCCCAAAGCTCGGGTGACAGGACCAGGCCCAGGAGACGGGGATGTTGACTGGGGCTTTAACAGCACTCTTGATGCCAATCTCGGGCTGAAAACTCGATATTTCCACTTGGAACAACAAGAATCACCAGCAAGAGAGCTGAGGAGAGGGCAGTATACCGGGGGCGCCCCCTGCAGGCCTCACAGGGTGGTGCCAGAACAGAGGAAGGTGGCACAGGCAGGGTGGGGCTTTCAGGACATCCCTGAGATGATGGTGATGACAGTGACAATGATGATGACCATGAAGAAGACAATGAGGAGGAGGAAGAGGAAGACAGTAGCTAGCATTTACTGAGTACTAACAATGTGTCAGGCATTGCCTTATGTAGTCTTCATGACAACCCTCTAAGAGATGAATAATATGGTTTTCTTTTTTTTAGATGAAGAATCTGAGGTTTAACGGGTTAAATAATTGCTCAGGTTCACCCAGCTAGTAGTGGACAGAGGTGGGATTTGAACCCAAGTCATTGCCTCCTGAGCTTATATTATCCAGTACCGAATTTCCCACCTTGCCAGGTCATTCCAGGAGCTTCTAGCCCTCCGTGTCCATCTCTATGTCTTCCTGCTCCTCTAGCTCATATTTTCTTGATCCAAATTTAAAGGATCTGGATAAGAATAGATCCATATCTGGGATATAATAATACTGATAACAACAGCAACAACACTTTGCGTTTGTAAACCACTTTCTTCTCTTCATTATTTCCCTGGGGAAAAATAAACAATAAGATATTTCTGTTTCTCCAAATTTTGTTCTGATTTTTATCAGTGTTCCTGAAGCTATTTCAATATAGTCATGATCAATTTCTAAGAATATTTTTAGGTTCTGCTTTTTTATGTAACAGTGTGTTATATACACATTCACATATTTAAACACAGCAATTATTATGGCTTTACAGTAACCCATGATATTAATATTCCACAGATATTACATTACTGAGGCACACTAGGCTAAGGCTGACAACACCAAATGCTGGCAGGAATGTGGAGCAACAGGAACAGGAATTCGTGGCTGATGGGAATGCAAAATGGTACAGCTACTTTGGAAGAAAGTGTGGCAGTTTCCTAAAAAACTAAACATACTCTTACCATACGATCCAGGAATCATGCTCCTTGGTATCTACCCAAAGGAGATGAAAACTTACGTCCACATGAAAATCTGCCGATGGATGTTTATAGCAGCTGTATTCATCATGGCCAAATCTTGAAAGCAACCGAGATGTCCTTCAGTAGGTAAATAGATAAATAAACCATGGCCATCCTGAAATGGAATATTATTCAGTGCCAAAAAGAAATGAACTACAAAGCCATGAAAAGACATGGAGGAACCTTAAATTTACATTACTAAGTGAAAGAAGCCAATTTGAAATGGCTACATATTGTACAATTCCAACGACATGACATTCTGGAAAAGGAAAATTATGGAAACAGGAAAAAGAGCAGTTGTTGCCAGGGGTTAGGGAAGGGGGATTGACTAGGCAGAGCATAGAGGACTTTTACAGCAATGAGACTATAATGGTGGATACACATCATTATATATTTGTCCAAACCCACAGAGTGTACAACACCAAAAGTGAACCCTAATGTCAGCTATGGACTTTGGGCGATTATGATGTCAATGTAGCTTCATCACTTGTAACAAATGTGCCATTCTGGTGGATGTGTGGGGACAGGGGGCATACGGAAAATCTCTATAACTTTCCTCTCAGTTTTGCTCTGAATCTAAAACTACCCTTTAAGAAGTCTTCTTTTAAAACAATTTACAAAGCATGAGGTGATACAGATGTGGGAGTTTGGCTCCTGTCTCTGCCCAACTCTGTGACATTCGATAAATTACTTAACATGTCTCTGTTTCAGTTTCCTCATCTATAACTGGGAAAAATAACACCTGTCTTATAGAGTTGCCATGGGGATGACATGAGGCATGTGTCTCGTTCATATCCCATGCTCAGTGAATTAGTAGCAGCAGCCACTGTGTGTTTGTGTGTCTTTATCCCTCCTGGGTTAATGAGCTCCTTGTGGGCAGGGACTCACCCATTCTGTAACCACCCCATCTAACACACTGCCTGGCACTTGGGCTCCGCAGAAGTTTGCCGAGTGAATACTTAGTAAGCCCTAACCTAGGCTTTTCTCTCTGGTGGACATTTGGGTTGTTTCTAGGGTTTTTGCTATGAATAAAACACATTTCAAAGCCCTTTGTGGTTTTTTTGGTTTTTGTTTGTTTGTTTTTTCTTCGTTTGATCTGCTGACTCTGTGAAGCAGGCAGAAAGGGGATATTTGCTCTTGTCCACACCCTGGTACAGATGGAATAACTGTGGCTCAGGGAAGTGAAGTGACTCCTATGGGACACAGTGCAAATCAGTGGCAATAATTAGAACCCCTGACCCTGCCTCCCTTCCTTTAGTAGATCTATTTTCCTTCTAGCTACCGCCTTCTGGATCCATGGCCTCTCCAAAACTAGACCATGATGGTCAGCCTGACCTGAGAGCAGCACCTGCACGCAGAGACCCATGTTGAAGGTGGTGAGCTGCCAGCTACCAGATGGCCCTCTGAAACCCCAGGGAACCTAGCACCTTATTCTCAAATACATGAGGGCTTGTATTTTCCCCCAGGAAGGAGCTTCTTAGGAAAGAGCCAGCGTGCCAGCTTTGTTTTTCTTTCTTCTTCTTTTTTTTTTTTTCCTATGAGGGGGTGAGGAGCCAAGCTCTGAGTTGTCCAGGAGGAGGGACTTTGGCTAAAAATAGCTATGGCGTGTGGTTTGGATCAACCCCTAGTGGTACCCAGGACTGGGGAGGGGAGGGGGATGCTCTGGAGCTGTCGCCAGACTGGTTGCCGTGGAAACAAGAGAGGAGCAGGGGAGCCTGGGAAGTAGGGATGACACAGATAGCAAGTCCTAGTCAGAGCTGCCGCTACATTTAGGAGAAACAGCGGTGTCTGCGGCTCCCACCCTTCGGGGGGCCCGTGGGGGGGGCGGTGTCAGGGGCATGGACGCCACCCCCCAGGGGTCTCTGCTGCCGGCTACTCTCCTCTCCACGTGCTGTGAGTTGAGTTGCGGGGGACTTGGGGTTTGGGCCCCTATTTCCAAGGCAAGTGGGGGTTTGGGAGGAGCTGGTTCTTGGGGGAGTTTTCACCAGGTCTCTCCTTCCAAAAAATGAGCCCCCTTACTCCCCAGCTCTCTAGAGGGAGGAAGAGGGGCCCAGGAAAAGTGGTATTGCAATCTTCTGCAAAGGGGTCATAGCATGCACAAGAAATGAGGAGTAGGTTGGAGGAACTGAAATTCTTGGAGGGAAGATGGAGAAATCAAGTCCTTGATCTTGAGATAGAGGTAACAATTTCACACTTTTCCTTCCCCTGAGAAAAGTGCAGTCCCCCACTCAGGAAGACAGGATGTGGGACACATTCAAAATAAGGTTTACCTAGATCCCTGGGGCAATGGAGAGTGAGAGAGTTCTGGGGGTGATCCGACATCGGGGTTCCTTCCCCATCCCTGGGCAGAGAGATCTGTCTAGGCAAGCCGACTGGGGGTCAGATTACCTAAGACCCTGAGAGAACATCTGGAAGCCCACCTGGGACTAAAGCTAGGATAATGGGAGCAGGGTCGTTTTCTGCATGACCTGGGGTCTCTGAGCCAGTCAATGCTTACTCTTCCTGAGGACATCTGAGCTTCAGGGAAGGAAAAGGAAGCCCATTGTTGGGGGCAGGGGAAACCCTAATCTTCCATTGCCATGGGGCTCTTGGACCCTGTGTCCCCTGACTCCATGGACAATAAATGCAGGGGGTGCCCCTAAGCTCAAAGCCATTTCATTTTGATTTCTCTTCCTACCTTCTCTACCCCAAGACACACAAACACACACACACACACCCTCTCCAGAGTGCTGACTGCAGAGGACCTCACCCCAGAACATAAGATGCTGGAGTGCTAGGTTTAGAGTCACATACCCAGGCAGTTTCTCCCCAGGACCTGGTCAACCATCCAGGCCATCTGTGGTTCCTATGGCACACTCCTCCATCCCCCACCCACTAGCCAGCCCACGTTTCCGTGGAGTGGGAGGAGAGGATCATTCCCAGGAAAGAGAAGGGAAGGTGGAAGAGTCCCAAATCCTATTCTAAACCTTTCCCTGTATGGTCCATATCTCCTAGAGGACCCTGGGTGCTTTGGGGAAGGGCTCTGGACCTCTCTCAGAGCAGATTGCAGCTCAGAGAGCTCCTCAGAGGCAAGCATGTGAAGAAAAATCAGGTGGGCTTCGCTTGGAATGTGGGCTTTGGGGCATATGGCAGGTGGGGGCGGGGCTGGTGTTAGGATAGTCCATGGGAAGTAAGAGGCTGGGGGAAAATATAACTAGAGGGAGTGGGGAAATAAATGTGGGTGCTTAGTGCTTCACCTGATCTGATTCCATGTCTCTCATGAAGAATAGGATCCCAGAGGGATACGAGCCTAACTCTTTATAACTCTGGGCTTCCTTTCCCAGGCTTCTGTGTTGGGATCTTCCAGTTCCCCTCCCCATTTGCAGGCTGTCTCCACTAGGAGAAAAAACCCAAGGGAAATGAGGCTGGCCCAAGAGCAGCAGTGATCGTGGGTAGGTCTCAGGGAGGATTTCTAGTGGGAATTTCCTAATGTTCCACCCTTGTGCACTGGAGGGTTTCCACTGACTTTCCACAGCTTTCATTTCTTTCTCGTTTGTAAGCATGTTGAGGGGAGGGAATGGAGCGGAGTGAGTGAGGTCCAAGGAGGGAAGAATGAGAAAGACTGTGTATCAGTCTTGGGGTGAACTTCAAAACAGCCTGCGAGGAGAGCCATTGGTGGCTGCACTGGCTACAGCTGGGGAAGGGATGGTGGAAGTCCTTAGGGCAGGGAGGGCTCCATTACCCGCCTGCCCCCCTCCCCAAAAAGCCCCCAGTCTATTGATTTCAGGAAATCACTAGGGGGATCTGGGCCTGGGTCTTTGGCCCCGGGGCTGCCCCTGAGGTGCTGCACACCCCAGCTGGAGGTGATGGCACCAAAATATCTGGTACCTCCTTCCCCTGAAAATCATCGTGGAACTTGCACAGTTCTATCCAGTTCAGGTACATCATTCCATTTGACCCTCACAACTTTCTGAGCCTGGGGGGCAGTTAGGGCTGAATGTGTTATTCCCAGAAATAGAGGCCAGGCAACACGAAGGGACTCGCCCAGGGCCCCCCAGGGCTCGGTGCTGGCCCTGATGCCCCGTGCCTCCCCATCTCCCGAGGGGCCACTCATTCGGCAAACCTTTATTAAGCCCCTCCAGGACCCCCGACGCCGCCTAGGCGCCCAGCGACGCGCGGCAGGTGGCAGCAGCTCGGGCCCCCGCCGCACTCCAGGCGCCCGCAGCGCTCGCCCTGACGCGGCCGCCATGGCGCAGGAGAACGCGGCCTTCTCGCCCGGGCAGGAGGAGCCGCCGCGGCGCCGCGGCCGCCAGCGCTACGTGGAGAAGGATGGCCGGTGCAACGTGCAGCAGGGCAACGTGCGCGAGACATACCGCTACCTGACGGACCTGTTCACCACGCTGGTGGACCTGCAGTGGCGCCTCAGCCTGTTGTTCTTCGTCCTGGCCTACGCGCTCACCTGGCTCTTCTTCGGCGCCATCTGGTGGCTGATCGCCTACGGCCGCGGCGACCTGGAGCACCTGGAGGACACCGCGTGGACGCCGTGCGTCAACAACCTCAACGGCTTCGTGGCCGCCTTCCTCTTCTCCATCGAGACCGAGACCACCATCGGCTACGGGCACCGCGTCATCACCGACCAGTGCCCCGAGGGCATCGTGCTGCTGCTGCTGCAGGCCATCCTGGGCTCCATGGTGAACGCCTTCATGGTGGGCTGCATGTTCGTCAAGATCTCGCAGCCCAACAAGCGCGCAGCCACGCTCGTCTTCTCCTCGCACGCCGTGGTGTCGCTGCGCGACGGGCGCCTCTGCCTCATGTTCCGCGTGGGCGACTTGCGCTCCTCACACATAGTGGAGGCCTCCATCCGCGCCAAGCTCATCCGCTCGCGCCAGACGCTGGAGGGCGAGTTCATCCCGCTGCACCAGACCGACCTCAGCGTGGGCTTCGACACGGGAGACGACCGCCTCTTCCTCGTCTCGCCGCTGGTTATCAGCCACGAGATCGACGCCGCCAGCCCCTTCTGGGAGGCGTCGCGCCGTGCCCTCGAGAGGGACGACTTCGAGATCGTCGTTATCCTCGAGGGCATGGTGGAAGCCACGGGTGCGAGCAGGCCTGGGGAGGGGAGCGGGGTTGGCAGAGGGTGGGCGGGACCGAGGAAGGCAGGGGCGAGACTAGGGGCCAGGGGAGCTGGGGAGGATGGATGGAGGGGCTGGTGGAGGATGAGACAGTGAGGTGAGACAGGGGTCGGAGGCGGGAGTGGAACCGAGCAACGCCGCAGAAGGCCAAGAGAAAGCTTGGAGGAATTCTCCGAAATGGCACTGGCGTGGGGCCCTGGGCCCAGAGGAATGTGTCACTTGGAATAGGGACAGTAATAATAGCTAGTGCTCGCCCAGTATTCACCCTGTGTCATGCGCAGTTCCAAAGCACTTTCTACCTCTGAGTCGATTTAATCCTAACAAGAACCCTCTGAAGGTAACTTCTTGTTATTGTGCTCACTTTTTAGAGATGAGATTGCTCCAATGAGAAATTAAGGAAGTTGTCCACTTTCCTAAGCCAATAAGTGGCCATGCCTGGATTGGACACAGGCAATGTGGCTTCAATGTTTAGTGGTCCCGAGTTGGAAGGAGGGGTTAGGTTCAGGGGTTTTCTCACTGCAGTCAGGTTCAGGCCCCTGGAATTTGACGGTGAAGGTTTTCCATTGCCTGAGTTATTTCTAGGCCGGATCTTGAGGGGAGTTTAATACCTAGTCTCACTTGTACCTCGGTTTCCCAATTCATCCATTTCCACTGACAAGGGATATAGATGATGTTACCTTTTCTAGCTCTTTTCCAAAAGGAACTGGCAACTCATCTGTGATGTCAATAAGTCCAACCCAGACCTACACAGTGAAGGCTTTGGGAGCAGGTGAAAAAAGACCAGTGTTACAGGAGTCGCAAAGGAGGTCACTTAGGACTTGAGATCTAGAGGATAGATGAGGATGAGGAAACTGCGGGTGGAGGACCAAAGGCCCACTAGGGGGCGCCGCAGTCCCTCCTCTGACGCCAGAGCTGCTGATGCTCCCTGCCGGCTTCGCTGACAAGCTGGTGCCTTCAGATCCTTTCCCTGGCCCCTTTAGGCTGAGACTCCGCTTCACACCCCAACCCCAGCTCCGCATCACTGTTCCCATTCCTGCTTCACCCCGACTCTTTCCTCTTCCCCCACTCACCCCGTTCCCTTTCCTCTCTCTCCAGCTGTCACTCCTTTTCTGCCAGTATCTCAGGCAGGCCCCTCACCCTCCAGGGAAGTTGCTGCCCGGCCCTCTTTTCTCTTTGTACCCCCAGCCCTGCCCTCTCCTCCTCGAAGCCCTTCTCTCCCCAGTGTCCCTTATGCCTCTTTCTCTTCTCTCCCACTGGATACTTTCTATTCCAACTTCACCGAGGAATACCAATGTCTCAGCGCCAGGCTTTCCGAGTTGACAGCCACTCTCCGGTTAGCTAATGTTCACTCTTCTGTTTCCCCTTGTTCCGAGATGGATATGGGTTGGGGGCAAGACCCTGTGGCAGAAAGGAGAATGACCTGCCCTGAGGGGTGCACCAGCCCAACAGGAAGATAGGACACAAGCCCCGGGCAGGGAGGACCAGGACAGAGGAGATGAGGATAGGAATCTGTCTGTTTTTCTAGAGAGATAAAGCTGGAAAGGATGGTAATATTTTGGGTGAGACAGTCAGGATTCAAAACGCTTTTGAAAAGCAAGAATAATGAGCCAAAACCCAGCAAGATGACATTTAAAATGAATAAATATAAAATTCTACATTTAGGCTTTAAAAAAATCACTTATGTAAGCACAGCATGGAAGAGCACTGGTGAAAAAAGAACTGGGAGTTTTAGTTGGCTACAGTCTTGATGTCGTAGCAATGTGATGCAGCCTCCAAAATGATTATGTAATGTTATCCTGGGCCCTATTAGTGAAAGCATCATGGCCAGAAGAGAGAGATGGTGCGCGCTCTCTTATGCACGGAGCAGGCCACAGTTGGAAAATTTACTATACTCAAAATGCTTAAAGGGCCCTCCTTGGCCATTCTGGCTTGTAATCAAAAAAGTAGAGTTCTGGAAAACCAGGTCAAATGAGGAATCGTGGAGGAAGCCAGGGATGTTAAGTCAAGAGAGAAAACATGAGGGAATCTGAGACTCCTGTTTTCAGATACTCAGAGGACTGTGAAGTGGGAGGGGAATGAAGCCAAGAGTTGGAAATCCCAGGGTACAGGTTTTAGCTCTGTATAAAGAACAACCCAACTATTAGAGCTATCATACAAAGGAGTGGGCCCTTTATGAAGTGGTGAGCTATCAATCCTGGGAGGTAATCAAGTATAAGCTAGATGCCCATTGTTAGAAATGCTCCTTTGGGGAGCCCTGTATGGAGTGAGAAGTTGGACTAGAGGATCCCTAAGGTTAGTTTCAAGGTTAAGCTTTTTTTGGTTGGCATCACCAAATGACAGGAGGGGAAAAAAGAGCTGGACATTAAGAGGAGTTGGGGCAAATGGAGAAGACACGAGGGAGCTGGGTAAGAACAGGAGCTAGGGAGGGGGGGAAATGGACTGGACCAAAGGGAGGTGGGAGCCCTTAGGAAGGAATAGAAGGGAGGGTGCTGGGAGTAGGGTTGTGGAATGAGAAGAGGAGAGGGAAGCCTGGAGCTGAGATTCCCCCTGACCGGTGCCCCTCCTCCCAGGAATGACATGCCAAGCTCGGAGCTCCTACCTGGTAGACGAGGTGCTGTGGGGCCACCGCTTCACGTCAGTGCTGACTCTGGAGGACGGCTTCTACGAAGTGGACTATGCCAGCTTTCACGAGACTTTTGAGGTGCCCACACCTTCGTGCAGTGCTCGAGAGCTGGCAGAGGCTGCCGCCCGCCTTGATGCCCATCTCTACTGGTCCATCCCCAGCCGGCTGGATGAGAAGGTGGAGGAGGAGGGGGCGGGGGAGGGGGCGGGTGGGGAAGCTGGGGCTGACAAGGAGCAGAATGGCTGCCTGCCACCCCCAGAGAGTGAGTCCAAGGTGTGACCAGCTTCCTCCAGACCCCTGTGGCAGACCGGGGGCCAGACACAGATACATGGGGAACTGCATATCGGAGGTGGTGGAGGAGGAGGAGGAGGAGGAAGGCAAAGCCCCTGGAAATGTGCTAAAGTTGGAAAGTCCCCGTCCCCCAGAACCTCAAGTCTAGAAACCAGTATGGAAGGGAGGGGTCCTGATTTCAGGGAAATGGAGGGTGGGGCCGGGTGAAAATGCCAGTCTGTGTTTGACCTTCACATTTGTTCATGAGTGGATGGATGGACAGAATGATGGACTTTTGGGGGTTGGATGGGAAGATGGTAGCAGATAAAGACAGCTGACAGATACATAGATGGACCAGTAGACAACTGGTCCACTCAGGGCTGCCACTAACCTGTAGAACACCCCTGTGCAAATTTTAAAAAGGAACCCTTTTCCTCCAGACAGATACAGCCCCAAACCAGGGTGCATGGCTTGGGGAGCAGAGTATAGGATGGATTGCAGTCCCCAGTCACCTCTTCTGCCAGCCTCCCCACATATGGCACAACTGTCTAATGACACGGTAGGCCAAGCTGAAGTGAAGGAGAAAGGAGCCGGACCAAGATGGGCACATGAGGAGGGTGCCCTCCTAGCTCCACCCTCACCAGGATGAAGGCGTGCAAGGGGCTCAGCAAGGTGTGAATGACCTTAGTCCGCAAGTTCAGGGAAGCAGGCAGAGCGGGGAGGTGCCTGAGCTGGGGCCTGGAGAGGGGCCTGGGAAAGGAAAACCAGGGATAGCTATTTTCTTACAGTGGAGTGAGATCTTACAGGTATCAGGCACAGGCAGGAAGAGAGAGAGAGAGGTTCTGGGGAGGAAGGGCCAGGAGAGAGATCTAGAAAGTGGGTTCACTAGAGCTGGGAAACAGGGAGCCCCTAGGAAAGCAGTGTGTCCTTGGGGCACAGTCATTCACATCACTGATTGGGTGCCATGTGGAGTGGACATTCAAAAACCTGGTTCCTGTCCTCAAAATAAGGGGCACCTGGGAAAACAGAGGAATCTACCTGTGGTGACTGAACGAGGGATAATTCAAACTGACAACCTGTGCAGTCCCGTGGAGGGTAGGGGAGTGTGGGTGATCAGAAGGCTGGGGCCAGTGTAAGGCATAGGGAATATGTAAGTCAGGAGTTAGAAATCTCCAGTGTGCGTTGGAATCACCTGGAGGGCTTGGTAAAACACAGATTTTTGGGCTCCACTCCAAGGGTTTCTGACCCAAGAGGTGGGGACCAAAACCATGCATTCCTAAGAAGTCCCCAGGTCATGCTGCTGTTGCTGGACTGAGGACCACACTTTGAGAACCTGTGCTCTAAGTGAATACTTGGAAGTCGTTTCAGGACATGGGGCATAGAAACTGAGGAGTAGCTGAGAGGAAGATGAAGAGAAGCTGAGAAGAAGCTGAGGATCCTCACAGGAGCAGACAGAGAAATGTGAAGGGTGGGGTTTTATGTGTGGGAAAGGGACCCGAAGCCCAGGCTGAAGAGTTTAACTTTGGGCCCAGAAACTCAACCATCAATGGAAACAGGGCAGTGACAAGTGGAGGGGGTGTCTGGAAGCTGAGCAGGCCCGACAGAGAGATGAAGCCATCAGAAGGACTTGAGGGGGCTCCTGGGGAGGTCGGGGGGAGGTGGAGCAGGAAGAGTTTTAGGGGCAAAGGACAGAACCCCTTGTAGGACTGGAGGCAAGATTGAATGTGGGAGAAAATCGGAGAGAAGCGATAGGAGTTAGAACATCTGGATGTGTCTGCAGCCTGCTGTCAGCCCAATTGGGCCAGGGGGTCCCAAAGACGCATATTCTCACCCCACCTCCACCTGCTTCCTGATCACATCCCAGTCACCAGCGGCAGCTTCCTGGATAGTGAGGGAGAACAACTGCAAGTTGAGAGAGGCAGAGGGGTGGAAGGGACCTGAAGCTGGCCTGGAGAAAAGCATAGGCCCAGGAGAGCCTGCCCTGGGACAGCGCCTGTCTCCCACACAGCAGCACTGGCCCAGCAAGGACCTCCTCCCTTGGCCCTGGCCACATCCCACTCCTGCCCTTTCATAAGCCCCCTGGGGAAAGCACTCCAGTCTTCTCTGTTCCAGGCTGGGCAGATAGGGTCCTATGGGGCACAGCCAGGGTCCTATGGGCATAGCCAGGGCCCTATGGGTCCTCTGGAAGCAAGAAAGGGGGCCATGGAAGCAGCCCAGACAGCTGGGGTTCACTCAGAGAGGACCCAAGTCCCAGTCCCTTCCTTTCAGTCAAAACACGGATATCTTTGCCTCAGGTCACAGGGCCACTGGGGCCCTGTCATCAAAGATGAGATTCCTGAAGCCTGGCATTGACTGGTCCCCTAAGAACAGATGTTGGGATGGAGAATGGGGATTCATTTGGGTTTCAGTAAAACAGGGGGGTCTGGACAAGAGCGGGTGGGCTACTTGGTATCCACACACACGCACTCACACAGGAGCCAACCCATTGCAGCTGAACAAGCAGAGAAACTCAGTCTGGAAAGGCCCCTCCTGCCTGCTGAAGTCACTGAGACCCTGCCACACCTCTCCTCGCCACTGTCACCACTCAGGGCACCACTGTACAGTGCAACAAGTCAGGAGACCTAGGTCCTACTCCTGACACTTGCTAATTAGCTCTATGACTCTGGGCAAATCGCATATCTGGGCCTCAGTTTCCTCATCTGTAAAAATGACAGCAAACTCGTAATGCTCAATAAATGTTTAAATAACAACTGAAGGAGGCCTGCCAGATGCCTCTTAAGGTGCCGTGCAGGTAAGAATTTTAGGATCAGAGAATCCTTAGGCAAGAAAATTCATGAAACTCCTGGGGCACTGGAGGAGGGGTGAAGCTGAAGGGTGGGAGGGAGGAGACCCCAGGGTAGGTACAGGCAGGTGAAGCGGGTATATGCAGGTGTAGTGGGTATATGCGGGTAGAGGGTATATGCAGGTACAGCGAGTACATGTGGGTGCAATGGCTCTGTGGACACACAGGCCCTCCCCTGACTGCCTGTTGTCCCAGCCTGAGTATCAGTTGTGTTCTGAGGCTTCTATTCTGCTGCTATGGGTCAGAAGGAACAACAATTTCAGCCCCAGGGCCTAGTGGGAGGAGTCAGGTCCAAGACTAGCCTGACCAGGAGAATGAGACGTGGGAAGAGTTGGGGAAAGTCTGGGAAGCTCAGAAAAGGCACTGCCCCTGGAGGCCCATGCCCTTTAACATGGGAGAAGCTGGTGCGGGGGTGACCACAGGCAGCTGGAACCTACCCTCCTTTTCTATGCTTCCCTCCCCAAGTAGGAGTCCAATCAGGAGTTGTCTCAGCCCCGACAGTTCAGGCTGCAGATGGAACCCAGGTGTCCCCTCCTGGGGTGGGTGGCATGGCCCATGGAGGCCAGATGGTGTTTGTGGTGGGAAGAGAGGCCTGGGTCATCCAGAATAGGTTGTCAATCCCCAACCACCTCCCTACTATGCACCCTGAGCGTTTTACAGTCTCATGGTAGGGAAGACACAGCCAAGCCTGCTTTTTATAAAACAAGTTTATTCACATTTTAGAAAAACTAATTCCAGGACAGGAAATGGCCTCCCTATAGGATCCCTAAGAGATCAAGAACAGAAGGCCAGAGGGAGGGGCTTGGGAGGGAAGGAGTGGGGAAGGGGAGGCACGTCTCCCATTCTGGGTAGTGGGAGGTCAAATAAATTAAAGGAAGAGTGGACAGAGGGAGAGGGTGTCCAGGCAACCAGAGGAGGGCTTGGAGCTGGGCCGGAAGACAGTCGACACCTGCAAGACCTGAAAAGGGTGCCCGGTGTGGGCTAAGGACAGAGAGCCCTGAGTGGGGCTCCCTCGCGGCCTCCACCCCTTAACAGGGCCCTGTGGATCTGAGCTGCCTACTCCTCCTCCAGGTGGGGCCTGGGAGGGAGCAGCTTGGTTCAGGACTTGGGGGTGGGAAGCCCAATGAAAACAAGGTTGGGGGGTTCTTTTCCCTCACCTGGGGAGTAAGGGATCACCGTTTTCGAAGCCTCTTCATGAAGCAGCAAGTGATGGTACCAAGGACAGTGGCACCAGTGACTAGGGCCACCCCTGTACCCACCAGCAGAGGCACAAATAGGGTGTCCAGGGCTGGGGGAGAGAGGATGACTGTTCAGAGAGGATGCCATCATCCTCCACCCATACACTTGCCTCTGCGCTTTCCCCATCAAGTTCTCTGAACCCACCTTCTCCATTCACAGACACCCCCATCCCTGCCCACAGCCTGCCCCCTCAGCATGCAAGTCAGCATCAACCACAGAGGACCCCGTGCAGGTGGGCACTGCAGGGCTGGAAGTTGGATTTTTTGAGACTTCATGTGACATAATGTGGAGGAGAGAGATAGTAGCAGGAGGGTCAGAAGATGGGAAGGGAAGGCCAGTGGCAGAGGCCAGGAGGAAGGCAGAGTGAGGAGGGTGGAGGGGGTGTCACTCACCATGCATGTAGGGGTAGACTGTAACAGGCCCTGAGCGGGCACTGCCCGCCTGGTACCAGCTGTAGTCGGCATGCTGCACCCAGGCGCTGGGGGCACAGTGGTACACGCCTTCATCCTCGGGCCCCAAGCTGTGTAGTCTCAGCCGATGGCTTCGGGGCCCCACCAGCTCTACGCTGACAGGGCCTCCTCCAGGCCGGACTCCCAGCTCTGCCACACCATCCTGGCCTACGCCACCCACCAGCTGGGCAGGGACAGAGCTGAGCTCTCCGTCCTCTGGTCGCTCCACCCACCAGCTGGCGGCCAGCCGCAGTCCTGGGGGGCCACCCCGCACAGAGATGTTGCACAGCAGGGAGGCAGTCTCCCCGCGGTACACTGTGCCTCCTGCTAGCCATGCCACAGCCTCCAGCACCACACCTGCAGAACAAAGGACATGGGGTCAGAGGGTGCAGGGCCAGGGAGCATGGGGTTAGGGCTGCCGCCAAGCACCGCCCCAGGAAACTCAGGGTATTCCCACAATCTTGGTAGAAGAGGAGCGTGAGGCTGTGGCCTGCAAACAGCTGACGGAGAGGGAGGGGTCATGGAAACAGAAGGAAAAGGGGTTGACAATCCTCGAACCCCGTCCAGGGCCCAGCCCCCTCTCACCTTCCTCCCGCACATGTACAGGGAGAGGCCGGGAACGGGCACTGGCTGCTTCACGAAGCCGGGTCCCAGACCCTCGAACATAGGCTTTGGCGAGGCAGCGGTAGGTGCCCGCATCACCAGGCCTGGCAGCCTCTAGCCGTAGCCGGTATGTTCTGGATGCCACCTTCTCCATGGCAATGTGTCGGCCCTCATAGCCAGGGCCCAGGCTGCCCACACCCTCTGTGTCCAGCTGGGCTACCAGGCGGCCGGGCCCAGGTGCCCCCGCAGGTGCCATCTCCCAACCTACAGAGTATGCAGCATGACGGCCTGCTGGGGGAAGTGCCCCTGACACATTGCACAGCAGTTCCAAGGGCTCCCCTGGGCCGATCCGACGTTCACCAGGCCCCACTGTCACTGCCAGCTGGCTGGCTGAAACACAGGTAGGGGAAGAGGTGTCATGGAGGCAGGAGGGGACACAGAGGCACCCGATTCCCCAACTTCCTGTTTCCTACTTGACAGCAGCAACTTCAAAACCTCCTGTCTCCCCCTCACTAGGTATGACCATCTTTCTATTTAGGGGCTTGAATCTCACCCCTCAGCATGGGCCTCCTATCTCTATACCCAATTTCTGAGCAGAGAAAACCCATCAAGGGCCGGGGGAGAGAAATGCTAGCAAGGCTGCTCACTCTGTGGAAGATGAGTTCCTTGGAGTCAGATGATGGCTATCTGGTACCCCCTGTGGCCACAGTGCCCACCAGGATACTGTCCCTCCCAGCTCCCACAGTGGGATGTATAAGTGGCACTTACACAGCGTCTGCACATCCACGTGGGCCAGGACGGCCCTTTTCTCTGCAATCTGGGCCCAGCTGCCATCAGGATCCTGAATCCACTCAGCGGCAGTGCAGTGGTAGGTGCCTGCGTCCCCTGCCTGGGCACCCCCTACTACCATGCGGTACCGATCGGTCCCTTCCTTGCCCAGACGAAGCTCCCCTGCAGCCAATCGCTCAGCATAGGGAGCTCCAGCCTCCACGGCCAAGTCTGACCGGATTCCCACCACTTCCTGCAGAGTTGACCGCCCAACTGGTGCCTCGGGCACAGATCGCCCAAAGGACACTGCCAGGTGTGTGTGCTTCTGTGTGCTTGTCCTCGCCAGGCAGCCCAGTGCCAGCTCCTGCCCCTCATGCACCGTCATGCGTGGGGGTGAGGTTGGGGCCTGGCGGCCTCGGGGCCCTGGGGGGGCAGCAGACACCTGGAGGACATCTGGAAGAACTGGAGAGAACAGCTGGAGTGAGGGAGGGCTGGGAGCTGGCAGCCCTTGTTACTGTTTCCTGTGTATAGCCTATCTCCCTAAATAAACTGTGAGCTCCCAGAGGGCAAAGATCGCATGTTGTATTATTTCTTCTGTAACTCAGTGGTGCCAAGGGCAGTACTGGGCACAGCACAGGCGCTCAATAAATACTTGTAGAATTTCATAGAACCAGCCCATCGCCTACTCACCCTTATGTTTGAGACTGACCTCTGTTTGAAATACTGAGAAAAGCGGCTCTTTCTTCTCAGAAGACAAAGAAACTTAAGAGAGTGAGAATGTCACATGGTCTAACTCCTTCCCTAACTCTACTCTCTTTCCCAGATCTGGGTCCTGTACTGTCCAGGAGTAGAGGCTATTCAACCCAACAGTCTTCTTCGTTCTTGGGAATGGAAAGTGGACTGGACAACTTAAGGACATTTCTTCTCCCAGGAGGGGTCTTAATATGATAAGATGAGCACTGGCCTGGGTGAGGAACTCTGGGTTTGAGTCCCACATCAGCCACTGAGTTATTGGGTGACTTTGTGCAAATCACTTAACCTCTTTGGGCCTCAAGTTCCTTGGCTACAAAACCTAAGGGGCAACTAGATAGGTCACTTGTGGCCTTGACTTTCTGCCTTGAGAGGGTGTGTGGCTCCACCCCGTCCCAGGGCCCAGTACCTCTCAGCTCCACCTTGCCGCTGTAGCTGCCCAGGTAGCGGGTATCAGTGGAGGGGGTGTGGCACTCATAAATGCCGGCATCCTGGGCCTGCAGGCGGGCAATCTTGAGCACCACGGCATCACCTTGTAGGCGCTGCACCTGCACCTCACCCGCCACCACTCGGGACTTGAAGACAGCATAGGAGAACTGGGTATCCTTGGTACTGACAATGCCCAGTGCAGTATCTGGGGCCTCGGGCCTATACAGGAACCACTCGAAGTTCTGCTGGGCAGGGCCCTCATAGCCGGTCACATTGCAGGAGATGGAGACAGCTGTGCCAGCCACGCGGTACAAGGGCCCCTCGGGGACCAGCACCTCCCGGGCCCAGCATCCCATTCCTGTAGGGAAAGGCAGAAGGAGTTGGAGATGCCTGGTTCCTCATTCCATGCCCTCTGCCGCCACAAGCACCATTCTTGATCTCTGCCTACAAAAGGAAAGGAGACCTGGGAAAGCTTGTCCACAGCTTGGACCCTGTTCTGAGAATAGGAAAGGGATGCTGTGATATAAGACACCTGGATCTCAAGGAGGTGGCATGGGCCCAGGATTGCCTTGGCATCCAGATGCATCCCATTTCTGGCGGACTAGAAGCAGAGCACCTGAAGGCAGAAAGGAGTACATCTGATTCCTGACCTAACCAGGCCTTGGTTCCAACTGAACCTTGATCTGTCCCTGCCACTCACCCACCTCCATGTCTGCCATTCCTTCCTCAGCACCTGGCAAGGGGAGCCTTCTGGCTAGGGGACTCTGAGACTACATGTCCCTCTCCTTTGCTTGAGGGGAGCTGGCAGTCTTGCTCAGAAGTGCTAGTTGGCTCAGCTGTGTCACCTGGGCGAGACAATGGAGCCAGTGACCCTAGCTGGAAAGGGCACAGGCCCAGTCAGTTCTCACCACACAATGCCCTCCCCTCTCCAGCTGCGCCATGAGCTCACTGCTTCTCTCACCCCACAGGGCTGCCCAGGCAGCTGGGGCTTCTGGGGCAAGATCCAGGCTCTGCCCTGGCCATTGGGGGCAGAAGATCCCCTCCTCCAGTGCCTGCCAACCTTCCGGGCTAGCCCAGCAGATACAGAAGGTGCCTGCCCCAGTTCCTTAACAAAAGCCTTCATTTGCACATGGTATGCATTCATTTACATATATGGCTCTCTTTCTGTAGGGAGGCACTAAATCCCCAGCTGCCCCTTCTCATCTCTCTCCCTTCAGAAAGGCCAAACCTCTCTTCTTCACCCTACTCCACCCCTATGCCCAACCCTACCCCAGCAGATACTCCTGGCAGACTTAGAGGGCTTAGCTCCTCCCTTCTTTCCTTCCATAGCTCCCACTAGATAAGATCACAGAACCTCAATGTAAAGAGGGCTAGGCCACCCCTCCCCACCTCTCCCAATTTTACAGATGAGAAAGGTAAGGCAGGAAAAGTATAATATGTTAGCCAAGATCATGCTGTCCCTAGATGGCTTCCACACACTCCTCCAGAGGGGCAAAACCAGAGAGGAAGATGGGGAAACTCCAAGGCCAGGCCTGAAGGGACTGACCTCACCAACCAGAGTGTCACTTTTAGGCCTCCCAGGGGGATACCATGGACTTTCTGCAGGAGCTAGAGGAAAATGCCCAGGAGTCTGTGGTCAAACTCTACCCTCCAGCTTCTCTAGAACGGCTCCTCTGAACTTCCCCACCCCTGCTTCTGGGCTCCTAGCCCCTTCCTTCATCCTCTGGCTGGGTCACAGGGAGAACTCATGGTCTGTTGTTAAGGGCACAGCTGCCAGTCAGGAAGTGGGATTCCAGCACCATCCCCATGCCCAGCTGTGTGGCCTGGGATCCAGTCTCTTTCTGTCCTAGGCCTCAGTTTCCACACTGGAGGAGAACTAAGAGCTCCAGCTCTGACCATGTGTGAGTGCGTATGTGACTCAGGAGAGCCCTGCCCCAGGCCAGGCAAGTTTCATAATCAGAGTGACGGTGGAGACAGCCAAGCTGACACCTTCCCTGACTGCCTCAGGGCAGACTGCTCAGAAGGCCCCCTCCCATTTTCCTGGCTCCACAACTGCTGATGCTTGGAGATGCCCATGGGAAAGTCACCTCCACAGCCTTAGGAAATCAGTTGCCACACAGCTCTCTCTCCCCTCCTCTGTATCAGTCGCAGCAAGGAAAGGGACAGCAAAGAGGCCTGCTTTGGAATCAGATCTGTGTTCAAATCCTAGCCCCAACACTCACTAAATGTGCTCTCTGGGGCAAGTTACTTCATTTTCCTCATTTGTGAAATGAATGTAAGTGCCCACAGGCAGTGGGTGCTCAGACCTCTGCGTGCTCCTTTTTCAAACACAGGCCAGCACTTCCCCACCTCCCTGGGCTCCTCCCTGCTCCATGCTGCCCACTGGGGAAAACACACCAAGTGCTAGGCAACCCAGGCCCCACAGCGCCTTCCTCTCTGTACATCCTCCTGCCACCTGCCCAGGGACCAGGGAGAGGACTCATCCTAACCCTGCAGGGCCCAGGGACCTGCAGCAGGGGAAGGCTTTGCTTGGTGCCACTGTGGAGCTCTGGTCTAGAAACAGGCAGCTGGGGCTACCTTCAGCCTCTGCCTTGACGACAGCAGCTCTGAAGTCACCATCCCCACCCCCACGCTTCACTCTCATTTCAAGGGCTTCAGCCTCATCAACATCTGTACTGGCAGTTTCACTGTCTCCATGCCATACTCTTCCCCAGACCACCTCCTACAGGGAGCCCTCCAGTTCAGGCCAAAAACAATTCCACTGTCATTATCCCCATGCATCCATGCAAGATTGGCCCAGAACACCCCACCATGAACACCCACCACAGCAGGCACAAGGTGCTTGGAGATCCCAGGATCAGTCTCCATGGAACCTGGTTTCTCCTGAGGCAAGGAAGCTGGAACTAAGCGGTGTGAAAACTGATGGGTGGCTGCAGAGCCAAGTGCCATTTGGGAGACAGGAAGAAGGGCAAAGAGGGACCCAACCCAGGGTGGAGATGGGGGTGAGAGAGGGAACTGCCCCCAGTTGATGAAGTGCGTGGAGCGCAACTGGGAGAGACTTACTTCAAAGATCGTGGGCAGAACTGGCCTCTGGGCCTCCAGCCAACTCTGGGGCAATTATGAAGCTGGGCAGGCACTGCCCTCGTAGGGCGGGCACCCAAGGCCAGGCCTGGAGCTGAGTGTGGGGCAGAAAGGAGTCGCAGCATTTGGTGCAGCGACCCCAGTACGTGGGTATGCTAGCTGAGATGTGTGGCCTGCCCCGGGAGGCCGAGCAGTGCCTGGGGCAGCACCTTAGTGGGTCCTCTCTACGCCCCAGTCCCTGGCTTAGAGCTGGGGAGCCTGCACTCTTCCCAAGACTGGCTCGGCGGACAGCCACAAAGCGCAGCTGGACGCCGACCCCGGGGAGGCTGGAGGTACCCCTGACGGAGGAGGATGTGAGGAGCCCCGAAATGCTAGGGGGGTGCTGGATGGCAGGCACCTGCCCGGCAGGGCCGGGAACCGGAACGGGGGCCTGGCTTACCTAGCATTAGCAGCAGCAGCAGCGGCAGCGAAGGCGGCAGCAGCGTGGGCCTGAGGGCGCCCATCCTGCGCGGCCAGCTCTGGGGAGGCTCCGGGGGATGGCGCGGGTTCTGGGGGGCCGGAAGGGTGGGGGGCGCATGCCCAGGTTGAGGGCAGGAAGCGGGGCAGCGAGGCGTGGGTGCGCCGAGCGAGCTGAACTGGAGCTGCCGAATCCCCTCCCTCCGCCCCTCCCGCTGCTTTCCCTCCAGCCCTCGGCAGTTCTGAAACCATTCTCGCCCCGGCCCGCCCCGGCACCGCCCCTTCCACCGCCCCGTCTAGGCCCGCCCCGCCCCGGACCCAGCCTTGGCCCTGCCTGCCCCACCCCCGCCAGACTCCGGCCTTTGCTCCGCACCTGGCCCCGGCCCCGCCCCGCCCCTCGAAACTCACCTTTGAGTCGCATCGAGTCCCAGCCCCGCCCCGGCCCCGCCCCTCCCCGCCCCGCCCCGCCAAGACTCCAGCCCTGGATCCGCCCCGGGCCTCGGCCCAGCCCCAGTTCCGGCCCCTCCCCCGCCCCGCCCCACCAGGACTACAGTCGGACTCCAATCCTGGCTCCTCCCCGGGCCCCGGCCCCGCCCCAGTCCCAAGCCGCACCCCTTCCCCGTCCCCGCAGGGCTAACGTCAGCCTCCAATCCTGGCTCCGCCCTGGACCCCGGCCTCGCCCCGCCCCTGGCCCTGGCTCCGCCCGAGGCCCCCGCAGGAGTGAGCTAACTGCACCTCTGCGCATCGAAATTCCCACCCACCCTCGCACAGAGCGCATTCCACCCCGCACCTGCCAGCCTTTCCTGGAGAGTTGGGTGCAGGGTCCCTGGGATTGGCGAGGTGACTGTGACCACGCATTTAGAATTCAGTTATTTGCTCTGAGCCATAGTCCTCGCTGCAAACCCTGCTGAAGTAGGGGTTGGCGGAAGCCAGGAGTTCCTGAATGCGAAGGGTTTGAGCTGAAGGGCGCTTCCAGGATCCAGAAGGTCACTGGAGACCTGTTTTTCACCCCCTCAGAGGGCAAAACCAAAAGAAAAATGGATTAGGAGAGGGGGCCGTCCATGTGACGTCATTTCTGGGTTGGGTGATCCTAGCCCAGTTGTTTAACCTCCTTCAACTTCAGTTTTCTCCTCTGCAAATTGAATTGAGGTTGATCACATCACCCAAAGGGTTATTGTGATGATAGGTAATGTACATAAAGTGTTTGGCACAGGAAACTAACACAAAATGGGAGATAAGGATTATTTTGTTTTAGGTTTTGAATTATTATTTGAACTGCTTCCTAAGAGGCTTAGTTTAGACCTGGCATTTAGGTGAAGGAGTCTCTATGTTCAGTGACAGTGGGAAGAGATGAACATTGCTCTGTTCTAGGAAGAGTGGGGCTTGCCCTGGAGGTGGGAGAATGGAGGAGGCACCCTTCCCAGGTGCTCTGTCTCTTCCTGAACTGTAAAGATGGGAAGTGGGCAGGGGCAGGAAGGATGAGACCAGAATGGGGAGAAGAGATGGCCAGGTTTGCAAAGCCAAGGCTGTCAGAGTGGCTGTCAGTGGGAGGTGACCCCAGAGCCCATTTACCACCCTCTACCCTCCAACATCCTCCCTCTCCCCTCTCATCCCCCTTCCCTCCCACTCACTCACCCCCCTTTACAGAAGAGGAAACTGAGGCCCAGAGAGGGTAAGTGGCACAGGCCAGACCAGACCTTCCTTGACATGGTATTCCTCAAGCGTGGCACAGTGCCTGACTCTGAGAAGATGCTCACGGGGTTGCCAGTAGAAGCCACATTGAGGAACCCTGGAGAAACCAGAGAAACTGAGGCCTTGAAGGGAGATCAGAGGTCCAGCCCTCACTTCCCAGGACTGCCAGCACTGGCCCATGAACAGGGCAATAAGGTGCCTGTTTATTCCCACTTTGAAATATCCAGAAGGTTGCTCCAGAACCTCATCATCTAAATCCATCCACAGGCATATCGAGCTATGTGAAAACTGAAACTCATAGGGGAAGCTTTTGGAAGAATACGTCTCTCCCTTTATAATGGATTTAATTATCGAGTGGATTTAATGCCTTCATGATGCTTGAGGGATGAAAGATGTTACCAATTGTAATAATGATAGATGTCATTTATGAAATGCTTACACAAGAAGGCCCTTTTGGATATTAGTCCTAGTCCTTATAGCATATTTTGCAAGGTGGTGTCATTTAACAGAAGAGAAACTTGAGGTTAGGCAGGTTAAGTACCTTGCCCAAGGCCACACAGTTTTTAAGTGGCTTAGGGGTGACTTCAGCCCAGGCTTGTCTGTCTGTCCCCAAAGCCCCAAATCTTCCTACACCTCACTGTCCCTCCTCCCAAGCCTCTCCACCCTGTAAACTCAGTCATTCAACAAATATTGATTGGGCCAGGCCTTGTACTGGGCACTGGAGATGCCATGGTAAACAAGGTGGGCCTGCTCCCCTGCCCTCAGGGAACATAGTTCTATATGTTAGGGATACATTTCATAAACAAGTCATAACCAACCCCCAGTATGAGTATGATGAGAGGGGTCTTCAGGGAGGTGAGGTATCCTCTCTTACCCTGTGGCCTGGGGCTGGGAAGGAGCTGGGGGCAGGTTGGCGTTGAGAACTGGGTTGGTGTCTCCCTCCAGAGGGGATAAGGCCCAAGGAGAGAACAGTGTCTTCAGCAGGCCCCTCTGGAACCCAGGCCCCTCTGGAACCCAGACTGCGGGTTCCAGAGGCGGCCAGCAGAGGGAGCCCACAGCCCAGGCCTGACGGACCCCTCAGCTGCTTATGTAACTGGGAAAGCTGGGGGAGGAGAACAAACCCCAGGCACGAGGCACGTCACACACACAGACACATGTCCCCACTGTAATGGAGCGGGGATCAGACAGAAAGACGGCTCCCAGAAACACACCCCCACAGAGCCATGGGCAAACACACACAAGCTGCAAAACAGCGATGCATGGTGTAGATTGGAGGGCACTCATCTCATCCATTAAAAACACACACCTAGGCTGGTGCCCGAGGGTGGGGTGAGCAGAGAAAGGAGGAAGGAAGCCCTTCAGTGAGTTTCCAGGCCAGACTGAGACACGAAGGAGGAGGGAGCCTGGGTTTGCAGAGAGACCTGGCAGGTATGCAGTAGTGACCATGAGGGACCCTGATGCCCGGCTGGGCTGTGTTGTCACTGCCATCACCAGCTTCCCACCTGCCCTCCATGTACTACCCCAGGCATGGGCCTGCATCCGACACCCGTCCTGTTTCACATGAAACAGGTCTCATTTCACCTCAAGATGACATATACACAAGACACCAAGGTGACACTGAGGTGTCATGAGTATTGTTAAAGATAATTGAGACCCACGCTCTGCCCAAAAGCAGTTTATAATCCAGCTGAGATGTGACACACCACAGTCACAACCAAGCAGACAGCTCTCAGAGAGGAGCACGTTCAAAGACAGGACCATTCACATATGCTGACCTGTGTCAGGCACTAAATGTGATCTCATTTATCCTCATGTGCTATTATTATCCCTGTGAGAAAACTGAGGCATAGAAAAGTTAAGAAACTTGTCCAAGGTTAATGCATTAGTTACTGTCCACACAGGGATTCGAAATGGATCGCCTCACTGTGGAGCCTGTGCTTCTAACTCCTGTTATGTTGCTGCTTAAAGACAAACGTCACTAGGGACACAGTTAAATATGGGCTTAGCACACATGAGTATACACCAAGCTGTAGACACAGATACTGCCGTGGGGACAAAGTGACAAATACATCAAATACATAAGCACACATGCTCGTCAGACTGTCAGACATATAGAAATGGCACAAGCATACACATAGGACTCAGCTCTCTCTCTTTTAAATGTGTATCAACCGTAGCTTTGTGGGGAGCTAAGGATCACACACAAGAATGTCCTGTGATTTGTGTGTGTTTATAAAGCATTGGCCCATACTGCCCTGATGAGCTATATTTTCCCACCCTCCCAGAAGGGAAGATTCTCTCTGCTGAGTTGCTGAGAGGCTCAAGCAGAGTCAGAGACAGAAGTAGTGCAGAAACCTACCCTCGCCCTGATAACAAACTCATTCAGAGACACACTGAAACAGAAGTGCACACACAAAGATAAACACAGAGACATTATGCACACCCAAACACCAAACACACTCACAGAACCACAAAGCCATCTCCCCCCCGACACACACACACACATTCGCTTTCCACCCTCTCCCTCCCCTCTTTTCTCCCTGAGCCAGGCATCTGCACCTTCATGGTGAACTGTGTGTGTGTGTGTGTGTGTGTGTGTGTGTGTGTGTGTGTGTGTCTACTCTCTGAACCCTCCTCTTTCCCTGGCTAGGCCCACACTCCTGCCCCCATTCTTGAACCCTATGCCAAGGGGAGCAGCACAGCTGTTCAGGAATAGCAGAGCCGCGATGCCACTGGGGCTTTGGCACGACCTGGCCCTGACTCCTGAGGGGGCCCTGCCAGTTCTGAACCAAGGATTCGTGCCAGCTGCCACCCACGCTCAAATGCCACACATGGATTCCTCAGAGCTGGAATCCCCTCGGTCTCCCTTCTGACCTCCTGACAAGTTCTTTGTTCCCCAGTCCCATCGGGTGGGTGCTGGGAGCCTGGGCTCCGCCCCAGATGCTCACCCATCCCACTTCTCCATTCCCAGTCTGCTAAGAGGGAACTGACAGCTCAGATATATGTCTGGAGGGTAGCGTGGGACTGAAGCAACCCCCACTGTGTGATATTACTTCTTCTCTACCCTGAGCAGCCTAGGGTGGGGTGGGGGTCAGCCAAGGGCAGGAGATGGCAGTGGTTTGGTTAGACAGAGGTTTGTGGGCTGAGTGTTGTAGATGAGCCTCAGGGGGCAGGAGGTGGGTAGCACCAGGTGACTGCCAGTCATTTACGAGTTTGTCTCCACCCAGCTCTGAGTGGGGTGAGAAGGGAACAATTACTAATACCTACAGAGCACCTACTTCATGCTGGGCACCGTTGCACACACTCTGTGCACATTCATTCATTCAGCTTTCACAACAACCCCATGAGGTGAATACTACGAGTATCTCTATTTTACAGCTGGGAGACAGAAGCACAGAAAGCTCATATAATTTACCCGAGGTCACACAGCTAGCAAATGGTAGCACCCAGATGCAAATGCAAGCTACCTGATGCCCAAACTTCAGTTTCCCAAACATTCTTCTTCCCTTCTTCCTCCTGTTTCCCTAGCCTGCCCACATTGATTCATACATACATGTGCATATATTCAGGCACACACATGCATATCTGGTGCCTATGCAACCTTCTGAAATAACTTTTTCCACTACACAGCTCCAGCTTCCAGCACATAGTGAGTGTTCAATAAATATGTGTTGAATGGATGAATGCAGAATTGAAGGCCCAGGGAACAATGAGCGTTGTGTGTGTGGTGGTATGGGGAAAGAGGGAGGGGAAAGGAGGGATTTCACACACACACACACACACACACACAGACACACACATACACAGCCCTCTGCTGTGAATAATGTCAAAGACTCACTTCTAACTCTGGGGTCCCAGCCCTTCACAGCTACCTGGGTGGGAAAAGAGCAATGTAACCAGGCTTTACAGGATTCTCTGAAGTGGAAGAAGTCTCAACTCTCTCTTCCAATCAGAACAGAGGACAGGAGATGCAGAGAGAGCTCTGGAAGAGGACTCGAGGCACACAGCCACCTGGGCCTTCCAGCCAGGCACAGCTCATCCTGTGTTTTCACCTCTCCCTGCCCCATGCCTGCCGCGCTGCAGGCTCTCCCCTGGCTCCCTCGGGACAGTCCCTGCTTCCTCTGCTTGTCCACCTGGACTCTCCAGGAACCCGGCACCCCTTGGTTATTTTGGCTGAAGAGTAGACAATTCTCCTTTTCCCTGTTCCAACTGAAACAAGGGTGGAATTTTTCCAAAGGCTCTCTATTAGGAAAGTGAAGGGAAAACAAAGCCAGAAATAAAGACTCTGAAAAAACAAAGAAACAGATGGAACAGTGGGGGTGACCGAGCTGGCCATGGGAGAGAGCGGGGGCCCAGAGTTTTGATGCTAACGCGACCCACCCCCTTGCTCCCACTGCACCCTGTTCTCAGCTCCTTGGTAGAGTTTCCCACTCTGCATTGTAATTACAGTGCTTGTTTATATCTGCCTCTCCATCCTGGCTGTGAGCTTCTCAAAGCCACTGTTAACTCTTTTTTGCCTTTCCCCAAAGCCTACAGAGTTTCCTGGCAAGGAGTAGAAGCTCAACAGACATTTGCTGTGTGACTGAGGAAGTGAGGACATGCCGAGTGACAAGAGAAGGAATCTGGGCCCTTCCTCTCTTGTGGTCATGTCACCTCCACAGTGGACACTGTTAGTTCCTCTGGAGTCCATCATACACTAGTCACTTCCATCTACAGCTGATAGAAAGTTCCTCCTCTTATTTCAGAACCTGAACCTTCCACCCCTCAGGAAACAACCAGGCTGGCTTCCTAAGCAGCCTAGGAAGGGCTGAGTTCTGTCCTGTAGGGCGGGAAGGACGCTGGAGATCAGATCAAGCTGAAAAAGAAATCACAGTCTGAAGGCCAGGACATTGGAAATCAAGGGCATAAAATAATTGCTAACCTTCACTGGGCACTGTAATTCTCAAAATGACTCTATAAGTTAGAGCTGTTAAAAAAAATTGAAGTTCAGAAAAGCTAAAAAATTTGCCCAAGCCAGGCACAGTGGCTCACACCTGTAATCCCAGCACTTTGGGAGGCCAAGGCCGGAGGATTGCTTGAGCCTAGGTGTTCCAGACCAGCCTGGGCAACATAGCAAGACCCTGTCACTACTAAAAATTTTTCAAAAAAACAAACAACGAGCCAGACATGGTGGGCACCAACTATAGTCCCAGCTACTCAAGAGGCTGAGGCAGGAGGTTTGCTTGAGCCTAGGAAGGTGAGGCTGCAGTAAGCCACAGTTGCACCACTACACTCCAGCCTGGACAACACAGCAAGACCCTGTCTCAAAAAAAAATGTGTCCAATTAGTGGTAGACCTAGGATTTCTTCTCCGGGCATTCTGACTCCACAGCACAAGCCTTCAGCCATGTTGCGGGCCGCATCTATACCATACAAATTATTGTCCTCAGAAGGAGCTGGGAGACAACAAAGATGTAGAGGTCCAACCAGCCAGCAGGGCAGGGTGACAGGGAATCCAGCTGGTACTGAGGCCCTGAGCACTGGCATGAAGGATCCCAGCTCCTGAACTGGATAGCCCTGGGGAAAGGGGACTGGCCAGAACGAACCTGGAAATCAGGGGATGAGCCAGGTTACCAATCAGGAGCTCAGGCGTAAGAAATAAAGCTTCTGTGTTTTCAATTAAGTAAAAAGCTTGGGGGCTGGGATTTCAGAAGCAGACAGCACAGACCTGAATTTGCCAGCTGTGTAGCCTGAATCCCGTTACTCACTTTCTCTAGCCTCAGTGTCATCATCTGTAAAGTGAGAATTACTAGAGTACCGATCTCATTATTTTTTAAGGATTGTTGTGAAGATGAAATGAAAACATGTGTGTCATGGTGCCCCATTATGATCAAAGCTAGGGCCCACAGGCGCAGTGGGACCAGTGGCAAAGGAGAGGAGACTTCTAAATGGGTCTCTACTGTTCACTGCTTCCTCCATCTGCTGTCTCAGTTTACCCAGTCTTCTTTCCCCTTCCATCTCCCACAATCCCCTTGGGAGAGGATAACCTACGCCCTGCCTCAGCTTCCTCACCACACTCCTCAACGCTTCACAGGTTTATTTCCAAACTCAACCTGACATGGAAATGGTTTTCCCAAAGGACACACCAGTGACCTCTGAGTTGACAAAAAAAAAAGTGACCAGCTTTCCTTTCCCCCTGGCATCTGAAATCTGAAACTGTTAGTTTTTTGCCCCTTAAAACTTGTTCCTCTCTCAGCTTCCTGGCCCCTCTACTCGGCCTAATTCTCCATCTCTCTGGCTTCCCTACCTTGCCATCTTCCAGATCCTCTTCCTCTACCATAGGTGTTACTACCCAGGATCCTCAGACCTCTGTCCTCTAGCTCCCCTGCCTGGGCCATCTCCTCTGCTCTCCTGGCTCAGTGTTCCCCTCCATGCAGGGGATTCCCATGGCCCATGCCCTCTCCCAAGCTCCAGTCCCCATTTCTATCACCCCCCACGTGCCTTCATCTGAAGCCCTGCCTGGAGCACCTCAACCTTCATATGCCCCCATGCAAACTTGCGGCTTATTTCCCAATCTCCTTTCTCCCCTACCCTTATTTTAGTTAACTTTGCACCAACGTCCTCACCACCCCCACCATCTCCAACGGCTTCCTTCCTTACTCTGATGTCCAATCAGCTGCCAAATACTGAAATTCTACCTCCCAAACATCTTTTTCATCCATCCCTGTCTCCTCTCTGTCTTGCTCCAGACCTTCACCACCTATAGCCCCCATCAGTCTCTCCCTTCCAGCCCAACATCCCGTCCACGTACAGGCACACACCCTGCCATCAAATGAGCCTTCCTAGAACGCAATTTCAATGAGATTACTCCCCTGCTGAAAAACTTTAAGTGGCTCCATATTGTTTATAGCGATATTTCTCAAACTTGCTTGGTGGTAGGAATACAGGTTCCCACTCTCCACGCCCACCCTCATGAATCAGAATCTTGAAGAAATGTACCTGTTCTTTTATAGTTTTAACAAGCACCCAGGTGATTCTTATCATCAGAGCCTTTTTAGGAAACACTAGCAATTAGAGTGGCAATTACTCTGGCATTCAAGGCCCTCCATGAAATGGCTCCAACATCTATTTCCAGTAGTACCGCCCATATTCCTTCCTTGTGCAGAGTGCTTCTGCTGTCTGTGCCTGTGCTCACATTGTTCCTTCTCCTTTATCTCTCTGAGTCAGATCCTACCTATCTGTCCAGGCCCAACTAGAATGCCACCTCTTCCATGAAGACCTTTTTGATTCTTCCAACTGAGAACCATCTCCCCCTTCTCTGGGCTCCCACCACCCTCTAAATGCTATGGTGAGCAACCAGCAGCCAGCAATACCTGGCTCAACACAGATGCACAAGAGTTGGCACTTTTTCTTCCCCTTTATCTTCTGGAGCACTCCTCACTGTCACCACTGCATCCAGACAGTTCTGGTCATTTACTCCTGGGGACAAGAACCCAAAGGAGAAGCTTCAGTGGGTCCTTACAGCATGGAAGTTAAATGTGCAGGCTCTGGAAACAAACTAACCAGGTTTGAACCGCAGCCCCCCTACTTGGGTAAGCTGAGGATCTATGTGCCTCAGTTTTCCCATCTGTAAAATAGAGTTGTGAGGACTAAGTTAAGTACTACATGCTGTCTTCATTAGTTCTGGAGACTGGGAAGTCCAAGATCCAGGTGCTGGCAGATCCAGTATCTGGTGAGGGGTCCCTTCCTGGTTTGCAGATAGCCACCTTCTTGCTGTGTACCCCACATGATGGCCAGCAGAGAGAAGAAGAAAGCTCTCTCATGCCTCCTCTTAAAAGAGCACTAATCCCACCCTCATGACCTAATTATCTCCCAAGTGCCCCACCTCCTAATACCATCACATCAGAGGTTCAATCTGTAAATTCTGGGGAGACACAAACATGCAATCTACAATAAGTGCTCACTAACCGTTAGCTATGATGAGCTACAGATCTTAGGGACAATATAGTTCAGTGGTTCTCAAATCTGCCTGTTGATTCATCTGGGGAGTTAAAAAAAATACCGATGCGGCTGGGCGCAGTGGCTCACACCTGTAAGCCCGGCACTTTGGGAGGCCAAAGTGCGTGGATCACGAGGTCAGGAGTTCGAGACCAGCCTGGCCAACGTGGTGAAACCCCGTCTTTACTAAAAATACAAAAATTAGCCAGGTGTGGTGGTGCATGCCTGTTATCCCAGCTACTCAGGAGGCTGAGGCAGGAGAATCGCCTGAACCTGGGAGGTGGAAGTTGCAGTGAGCCGAGATTGTGCCATTGCACTGCAGCCTGGGCGACAGAGTGAGACTCAGTCTCGAAAAACAAAACAAAACACTGATGCCTAAGCCCCACCTTAGATCAATTAAAAACATGGTACCTGAAGATGAGGCCTGGGCATGGGATGTTAACATGAAGCTAAGGGTGAGAATCCTTAGCTAGTCCAACCCTCCACCCACTACTTTATTGACGAGAGGTAAAGGACTTATTCAAGTGCGCACAGCTGGTTAACTGTAGAGCAAGTCCCACACTGAAAGCCTCTGCCCTCCCTCTAGCCTAATCCAGAGTGATTTCCAATACGATTTCCAATACGCCATTGCGCAGCCTTTGCTCCCGCGTCATTGGGTTGGGAGAATCATCTAGGCAGGAGGCAGAGCCAGGCCCACTCAACCTCACTCAGCAAAAGTAGAGGTAAAGAAGTGGGGAAAGTTTGAGGAAATGGAAGTGGGGAGTCCCTAAGGACTATGAGCTTGGGAGGACAAGGTCAAGAATGGATGGGGGGATTTTGTGACTAAATGGCATGAGATTCTGAGAGAAAAGACAATGAGGGTGGGGATCTTGTTTGCCTTGATTGTAACTGTCTTTCTAGTACCTTGCACAGAATATAGCATAAAGTACGTGCTCAACAAATGTTTGTTGAATGTCTAAATGATGCAATAACATCAAAAAGCACATGTTCTGTTTATTAAGTCACCCAGAGGGCACTCACATTCCTCAAGGGGGCAGTGGTGAGAACATCCAGAGGGGAGCACAAAAGTAAAAGAATCTTGGACTTTCAGAGACACTGAGGCACAGAGGAGGCCAAGCTCCCTGAAATTCCGAGGAGAGGCTGCTATGTGGGAGGGAGGCAGTGGCCCTGTGTGCCAGATGTTTGCAGGGCATCCTGAACTCTCTGAGCATACAGAATGCCACAGGGGACAGGCAGATAAACAGAGCTGTATCCTGGGCCAAGTGGAGGGGGCCTGGTAAGGGAAGAGGGAGGTGGGAAGAAGGAGGCTGGGGGCCAAGCCAGCTGCCTCTTGATAGGGGGAGCGGGGAGGCGGGGTGCTCTGGGCCAGTGGTTGGTTCAGATCTCTGGCCAAAGCAAACCTGCCTCAGGGGGCTGGGGGACCTCTCCCTCCCTGCCCGGATGGAATCAAAGGCTAACAGGAACCCTGGAGGGTCCAGCTGTGACCCTTGCTCCTCACACTCAGCAGGGCCCATTAACCCCGTCCTCCCCATATCCTCAACACACTTTTCCCAGCCCAAAGAATCTTTGCAAACAGACTCCCCTGGTATTTGCTGATCAGATACCAGCCAAGAGATGTCAGGTTTTCCCAGTCTCACCACCAGCCCTGCCTTCCTCCCCCAAAGATACCCAGACCCTGTCCCACCTCTCACAGCGGTGCTCTGTAAGAACCCAGGGTAGCCTTTGCTCAAACCGGAGCCCTTCCTTTTTTCCATGCCAAGAGTTAAAGGGATTCGATTCATTTCTATGAGTCATAATAATAAACAAAATAGGAGCACCTGCCTCCATGCTCACAAACAAGACAGGACAACCTACCCTCTTGGATCTCCTTCTGAACCCAGGTCTCCAACTGATGGTTCTCACACAGGTACAACCTGCAGGTAACTCCTGCTGTTTACCTGAGCTGAGCTGTGCGCTGAGGCAGAAATAGCCTGGAATTTGGGGATCATCAGAACTGGAGAGGGACCTCAGAGATTTTCTTTTTTTTTTCTTTTTTTGAGACAGAGTCTCGCTCTGTCACCCAGGCTGGAGTGCAGTGGCGCAACCTCAGCTCACTGCAACCTGCACCTCCCAGGATCAAGCCATTCTCCTGCCTCAGCCTCCTGAGTAGCTGGGACTACAGGTGTCTGCCACCACGCCCAGCTAATTTTGTGTGCATGTGTATTTTTAGTAGAGATGGAGTTTCACGCATTAGCCAGGATGGTCTCAATCTCCTGACCTCGTGCCTCCCAAAGTGCTGGAATTACTCACAGATTTTCTCATCCCGTTCCTTGTCATTCAGATGAAGATGCCAAGGTCAGAGTAGAGAAGCCTCTTGTCCAACATCACACAGGTGGTTAGTGGCTTCAGCAGGACTAGCCTCAGCTGACTTGACTTTCAGGCAAGAGTCCATTGCATTGGACCACGGTGGGGACTGTGAGAGGACAGGAGGGAAAGCAGAGGCACAGAATAGCCCAGGCCTTCATGCTCCTGGGAAGGGTTGACATGGGTTCCCTGGGCTACACCATGGGTCCTTTCCTTTTTCTCCCTTGGGACTTCCACGTGAAGAAGGCACAGGCAGAACACAACATGGAGCTATCTGAATCCAGAGAGAAGTAAGAACGAAAGGAGGTGGGAATGCAGCACAGGCAGAGGCTGGGGAAAATGCTTCTGGGTGCTTTTACATCCTATTTTCTAAATTCTATACAGTGTGGTTTTAACAATAAAGAGGATAATAAAAATACTCTGGGGAGAGATTAAAATGACAGAACCAGCTGGGTGTGGTGGCGCATGCCAATGGATGCACAACTCTGGAGGCTGAGGCAGGATGACGGCTTGAGCCCAGGAGGTCGAGGCTGCAGTTGATCATGCCGCTGTACTCCAGCCTGGGTGACAGAGTGAGAATCTGTCCTTTTTTTTTAAGGGAGAGAGAAGAAGAATTGTTTTTTTTTGTCTGTTTATTGTTTTTTGTTTGTTGTTGTTGTTGTTGTTGTTGTTTTTGAGACAGGGTCTCACTTCGATTGCCCAGGCTGGAGTACAGTGGTGCAATCTTGGCTCACTGCAGCCTCTCAACCTCCCTGGGCTCAGGTGATTCTCCCACTTCAGCCTTATGAGTAGCTAAGACTACAGGTGCATGCCACCACGCTCAGCTAATTTTTTCGTATTTTTATTAGAGACAGGTTTCACCATGTTGCCCAGGCTGGTCTTGAACTCATGGACTCAGGTGATCTACCCACCTCAGCCTCCCAAAGTGCTGGGAAAACAGGCATGAGCCACCGCGCCCAGCCAGCAGAGATTTTTAGAATCTACTTTGAGTAGACTGAAAAGAAAGACCATGTTGAAGGAATGGTTTAACAGATAAAGAAAAAAAATAAGATAAAAATAAAAGAAAGACCAAAAAGAAAACGGAGGAGCAGATGTTAAAGGAGAGATGGGGAGAAAATTCAACACCATCCTTGTAGTCCAGTGAGGAAACTGACACAGCAGCAGGACTTGGACAGCCACTCTGGGGCTCTGAGCCCAACCTTTTTATTTATTTATTTATTTATTTATTTATTTATTTATTTATTTATTTTTGAGACGGAGTCTCGCTCTGTCGCCAGGCTGGAGTGCACTGGCACGATCTCGGCTCACTACAACCTCCGACTCCCTGGTTCAAGCGATTCTTCTGCCTCAGCCCCCCGAGTAGCTGGGATTACAGGCATGTGCCACCACTCCCAGCTAATTTTTATATTTTTAGTAGAGACGGGGTTTCACCATGTTGGCCAGGATGGTCTCAAACTCCTGACTTCATGATCCGCCCACCTCGGCCTCCTAAAGTGCTGGGATTACAGGCATAAGCCACCCCACCTGGCTGATCCCAACCTTTTAACAGGTCACTATAACCTGAGGGAGTGGGAGGACAGAGGGCTGGAGAGGCAGGGAGAGTGAGAAGTCATCTTTCTTGGACACTTGTCATGGCCAGTCCAGGCCTTCCCGGCTCCCCTCATCTCATCCCCCAAGGTGGGCTCCCTTTGGAAGCAGAAAAACTCCACCCACACTCCCAGAAGACCTCAGAAGCCTGATAGCAGTGACAAGACCACAGGCCCTAAAGAAAAAAAGAAAGGAGAGTTAGAGGGAATGGAAGAAGGAGAAGAAGGAGAGATGCCCAGAGGGGGGTTGGCAGCCGAGAGGAGGACCAGAGGAGCAGGGCTGGAGAGCTGGGCCCAAATCAGGACTGGGGGAGAGAAGTGGGGTGCCGGGGCGGGAGGAGGGACGATGGGGGTGATAGAGCCTCCCAGCTCTTCCTTCCCTCCCACTCTCCCTCCTCCTCTCTCTCTTTCATGATCTTGAAACAACCTTCAAGTCTGGGCTGGAGGCCCCAGGAGGCCAGTCACTTAGGAAACAAAACTGTTTCTTGGAGACCTTGAAAGCCCATCTGCAGCTGAGCAGCGTCCCCACCCCCTCCCTGTGCACACACACATTCTCCCATGGACTCTCACGTACACCCACACCCGGCTTCACATGAGCTCCCCAATGGCCCACATGCACGCACACACGGACTCCACACTTGATCTTAGCCAAAAGGCCGAGAAGCGATGCGCACTCACGGACTCACACGCACCTCTGTACTCATGCTTGCATACAGACAACCGATTCATAGCAGATTGGCCACACATCCGAATGAGTGTTGTCCTCTCCCCTGAGGAGCTCCTCCTTTGGAATGTGGTTTGGTACCACCACTCCGTCTCATACCTCACACAGGACCCAACGCTCAGGTCCTCCCAGTCATTAACTAGCACACATCTGTACACAGGCACATGCACACTCCTGTCTCTCTCCAACTGTCTTGGTCTCTCTCTCTCTCTCTCTCTCTCTCTGTCACACACACACACACACACACACACACACACACACACACACACTTCTTACCAACCAAATATTTGATTCAGGACCACTCCATCCCCACTTTGCCCTTGGTGGATCCCCCTCCTGATCTGTGACTTTCTCAGCCCACTCCCCAGCCCAGGCATCTTGGCCTTCCATCCTCCTGCTTTCAAGTCTTTCTTTCTCTCTCCTTTGCTCCTCTTACTCCAAGGGCCTTGATCCAAACTGGTACTGCTGACTGTGTCTGAAGAAACAGTAGCCCAACCCAGGCACTCCAGATCAAACGATCAGGTGTCTACACCTGTTAATATCCTGGAGGCTGAGGTTCATGGTGGACAAGAAGGAGGTAGACCACTCCAGAGCCTCAGCTCTCACTGGGCAAGGAGGGTGGTCAGTGATGCACGGTGGAAGTATAGGCCCTGGGTGTCCTGCCCACTCTTTGATTTCTCTGAGCCCTAAATATGTGAGCAGCAGCGCCCCTCGGGCTGTGCTCTCGCCCAAATGCAGGGCATGGCAGGGAGCCCCAGCAGGCTGTAGGGGCAGAGGAAGGGCACATCCTTTCCGGTATTGAGTTTGGCCACAGGGACCAGAGCCAGGGCCTTTGGAAGGACTGGGCAGTACTGGGAGGTGCCAGCAGGGGTGAGGGGTGGGATGAAAACTGTTAGAGTGCTTGAGGTTTGCACACCTTCAGATTCGGGGACTGACGTTTTCTCTCCTATCTCAGGTTGTGTTCTGGAGAGGGCTGGGCAGAAGATTACCCAGGAATTCCAACCCAGGAACCTACGGAACAGGCGCTTCCTAAACCCCAATTTATCATGTTGTTCCCACAGCCCCCAGGCAAGCCTGCCCCAATGTTGATCTCCCTAGCTGCCTCGGGGCCACTCTGGAGTGACTTTGCTTTAGACAGTCTCTCCTGGTGTCTAACCACAGGCTTTCCCGCTACTCCCCTCTCACTCTCTCCTTAACACACAGGGGCTGAACTGGTATCTGTTCCCTTCATTGTTTCCTCCCTCTGCCCATTCTCTCCCAAGACCAAATCTGAGCTCGGAGAGGGGGGCCATGAGAAGGCCCTGTTGGCCCCATCCTACCCACCCTTTCTGACTGTAACCCAGAGAGGGAAGGAGCGTGGAAGTGAGATGTGACCTACCAGGTCCCTGTAATGGAAAATCTCAACTGCAGGCCCGGAGGGGGCCAGTTATTTAGGGAATTCAGATGTTAGCCTTGTGCCCTGAGAGTGGATTTGCTAGAGGAGAGGCTGATAATCCCTCTGCAGGGAGTTCCCTCTGGGGCCAGAGATGGACCCAGCCCAGCCAGCAGGCACCTTAGGCCTCTGGCCAAAGCCCCCCTTCCCTCCCTCCCTTCCTCTCTGCTTTCTTTGCACTCAGGACACTTAGACCTGCCCCACTCCGCTGGCTTCCCCTCACTCCATCTCTGTGCCCAGAGAAACAGGGGTACTCCAGGGGAATCCTGTCCTCTGACTGTTCCCAGTAGAAGGCGGGAGCAGAATTTTTTCTTTTCTCTCTGCCCCTTCTGGGTTCCCCTTCCTCTCTGTGCCCCTCATCCTTTGGATTACTCATCAAATGAGCAGCAACAACACCCCTAGACCAGCTGGTCCTGTCCTGGGTCATCTCGTTGTCCCCAGTTTCTAGCTGGTATAAGGTTAAAGATACCCTTTCCAGCCCCAGGCAAAGCCTTAGGCATTTCTGGGATTGCTCCTGACTCTGATGGGCATCCTCACTCCTCAGACATTTCCAATCTCCCCCACTTCACTGCAGAGAGGCCTGTTCTCCAGCCTCAGTCCTGCATGCTGCAGCTTTGCTTCCCCTTCCCCACTGGAAGAAGGAAACAGTCGCTCTCCTTTCCCGTTCACATGTCTGATATTTGCTATGATATTGACCTTCACACACATCTTAGAGGTTCTGTATTTTCCTCTCTTTTGACTTCTCCCTATCACTACTCTACTCAGGCATAGATTCAGTCTAGAGCTCTTCAACAGCAATGAAACGGTAAACGAGGGGTAAACAAAACCCAGAGATGTCATCAGGTGCCTGCTAGGAGTCCCACCCGTTCCCCTCTAGCCCTGGCCTGCCCCTCCCTACCAGAGTCTTGATTCTCCTTCAAAACTTTGGAGAGGTTACATCTGGCAGGGTTTGGGGACACCCTCTTGCCTCCATCTCCAAACTTCCCGCTGCCTCCCGAGCCACCTTTGACTCCTCCTGGGCCCCCCTTCCAGGTGCCTCAAGTGCAGAGGTCAGCCTTCGGTTCAAATTCTATTTCTGGGCTTCAGTGTCCCTGCAACCTCTATAATAGAAGGAACAGAGTGGTCTATGTTTCTTTCTTTCTCTGGGAGATTGGATGTAGACTCGGGAGACCTGAGTTCTGGCTCTGTCTTATCAATTCAAATTGTTTAATCTCTCTGAGCCTCAGTTTACCCACTTGGAAAAGAAGAGTTAGGCCACATGGTCTCTGTCATCCTGGGATTCTGAGTCAACTGCTCCCCTTCAGCCAGATCCAAGGGGGCATATCCCCCCAACCTGGGACCCAGGCCCCCTTCCCTTGCAGCCTCTCTCAGTTGTGAGTGCCACAGGCCAGAGGGGGTTGAGAGGAGCCAAGGGGGGGCATGCCGTGGGACAAACGGGCTGTCTAGGGCCAGTGGCTAAAGGGGCGGGAGGGGAGGAGTCCTCAGGGATCCTGTTTCAACAAACGTTTCTTTCGGAGGAGGGGAAGGCGGGGGAGAGGGGGAGAAGGACCTATTTAAAGCTACCCTGTTGCTTTGGCTTTCTCTGTCTGCCAGGGTCTCCGACTGTCCCAGACGGGCTGGTGTGGGCTTGGGATCCTCCTGGTGACCTCTCCCGCTAAGGTCCCTCAGCCACTCTGCCCCAAGATGGGCCGTGGGGTGAGTATCCCTAAAGAGCAGGGGTCGCAGTCTAGAGGGTGAGGGAGGCTGCTGAGGAAGGATGAAGTGGGAATGGGATGTGGAAGGAGCGGGAGAGAGGAGCTGAGTGGGATACTTGGAACTTGAAACTAACAGTCTCCAAACTACCAATGTGTGTACAGATCCCACGGCGGTCACATACCCTAGTGCTCTCCTCTCCTCTGCACGCCCCAGCCCCCTGCCCACAGTTAGACCCACAGCCCACCACACATGCCCCCTCCATCTCTCCCTCCACCCCACTCCCACATCTCTAGTCCTTCCCTGCAGCAGTCCCTCCTCTCACTGCATCTCCCGGCCTCCCAGCTGAAAGGATGTTTGGCACTGTGAGTCCTCCTGTCTTTGCCACCTCCTGAAAATATCCATTCCTCTGGGAGTCCTAGCCTGAGAGGCTGGGGGTCCATTTTGAGGTTAGAGAGGGGCAGTAGAGCATCCGGCTCCCAGAGTCACCAAGTAGTTCCGGACACCAGCTCCAGGGGCCCTGAGTGCCAAGGACAGCTGGGCGGGGTGTGGGGAGGAAGAATGATGACCCAGCCCCCACCCCAGCACCCCTCCGGATGTCCCGAGCAGCATTGTCCGTGGGTTCCAAGCCATGGGCTTTGAGGACTTTCCCAGAGGCTGGTGACAGGTGACCCCCCCCCCAGTCCACCCGTCCATGGCATTCTGCAGCAATGGCTACACCAAGAGGAAGATTAACAACAATGGGGCGGGCAGGGAGAGGGCTTTGAATTCTTGGAAATGAAATTCCCATATGGAGAAGAGTGGCCCAATCCTTTTACATGCTGTGCCTGGCTGCTTTCCTTTTGTGGAATACTGGCAAAAGAGGACACAGAGGGAAAGGGCATGCTGCGGAACAGGAGGGTATGAGGAAGACTGTGCCTAGGGGGAGCCGTGGGTGTTTCTGGGCCCAGGAGGAGTCAGGCAAGGACATGTTATTGCACCTAGTTGAGCAGCTGGGAAATCCTGAGCCTGGACACCAGGGTTCCTGAGCTAGGGTTGGAGCCATAAATAGAATTGGAGTGCATGCATGTATCTGTGTGTCTGTGTCTGTGTGTGTGTGAGTGTGTGTCCTTGACCACGTGTTCTCCATAGGCGGGGAGTCCTGCAGTTACTCATGGATGAGTACCTGTGTTTGTGTCTCAGCAGGCAAATTTGTAAATGTACAAGCCTTCAAGCCTGCACAAGCATAAATGTCACTGTGTGGGGGTGCTTGAGAGTCTGTGAGCCTGCCCTTAGGAGCTGTGAGGTATGGGCTTCACGGAGGAAGAGGTCATAGCTGCAGGAAGATATACTGTCTTGGGACCTTCAGCTGCATCTTGACATCTCTGGCTCCCCATGGAAAGGGCATCCCTAGCTGAGATGCAGGACCTCTGAGAAGAGGCAGGGGTTAAAGGATCAGATAAGCCCTCCATTTCCCCCATCCAAGTGAAGAGAGAAGGAGGGGAGGTAGCCCCCTACCCTGCTCCATCTTAGAGCAAGGTAGACCCAGCTCAGGAGGTCTTGCTTGGGAAGTGATGAGACCTTGACTTTTCCAGTCTGTCTTTTTCCCCTAGCACCCCCAAACTCCCCTTAATCACCATCCTAAGTTGCTGTGGGTGATGCAATAGCAAGATGAGGAGCAGATCTGGGCTGTTTAAACTAAGAGGCTGGGTGAGGTGGGGGTATTTAGGGCCTGGAGCTTAGAGTTCAACCTACCAACGACCCCTGAAGAGGGAAGGCATCTGACACCCACAACCTGTTCTAGGGATGATTTTTCCTCCAATCCCTTCTCCCCTGCATCTCCACTGCAGAGGCAGGCTTCACTGTCCCCCCATTACCCAGTGGCTGTGAAGGGCAGCGTGGGAGTTGGGGGAAGGGACGACACTGGTGGGAGGGAGCCCAGCCTGCTCCAGCTACCACGGAGAGGCTGAGATGGGGGGAGCGTTGGCGGATTCCCAGCTGCCCCCACTCTGTCCCAGCCTCTGGCTTTCTCAAAAAGGACTCTCTGTTCTCCTTCAGCATTCAAGACCCAGAGAGGGGGACTTGTGGTTGGGGGAGGGAGGAGTGGAGGGAGGTTGGGGGGGTCCTTGCTTCCTCTCTTTCTTTCTTGCCTGGGCAGCCGCTGGCCCCAAATCTCTGCAGGCTCCTGGCTGCAGAGCCTGAGATCTTTGCCAGGACAGGAGGAGGGGGAAGGGGCAGTGTGTCTCAAGCTCTAAGCCTGCTGGAGAGCAGGGCGGGAGCTTGGGAAAAGGAGGCACTGCGTGGAGCTGCTTAGCTCAGCCACAATCCAGCATGCCAAAGTGCATGGACCAGCAAGTTTTTAAAAAGCATGCATTTTATTCCAATTTTTATGAAATTTATTTCACATCTGAATATACAGAAATTCCTCTGCACCCTGCTCTTCTGCCCACAGACCCAGCCCTGCTCCTCTGTGTATGCCTGGGCCCCCTTCTGTCCCTGAAGTTCCTGAGGGTCACACTGAAGCTCAGCCAGCCTGATCTCTTGCCTCTGTTCCCTTGATTGCATTTCTTCCTTTTCTCAGCTCTGTCCCACCACAGACAGTTAGTGAATGTAAAGCATTTCAATCCACTCAATTAAATGAATCCTCTTAGGTCACCTGAGAAAGGCAGAGGCAGAACCACTCACAAGCCTTTCCCCACCCCTTCCATTGGGCTGCTCGGTCTCCCCAAGAAGATCTGCCTTTAGGAGGCCAAAATTATACCAGATTCATAGATGCTTCAGGTGGAGACAAACCCACGATTTTACTGGTCACCTTTTCTGAGAAGAGCACTTCTGAGCAACACAGCCTCCAAAAGCTCATATCTTTTTAAATCATTGGTATCTTGGGAACAACAGTGTTGACTTCTCCTTGCATCCCCCACCCCTACCCTTGCTTCTGATTGTACTGGTCAGACTTCTACCTCTCAAGATGCTGAATTGGCGACCTCTTATGAACAAGGCAGCTGCCATACTTCTGGGATTGCTCCTGACTCTGATAAGTAAAAAAGGCATTACCCTGGAGCACAAAAGTCTTAGGGCAGTGAAGCTATTCCATATGATACCACAATGGCGGATACACGTCAGTATACATTTGCCCAAACCCATAGAATGTACACCAAGAGTGAACTCAAACTTAAACTATGGGCTTTGGACGATAAAGATGTATCAATGCAGGTTCATGATTGCAGCAAATGTAACACTCTGATGCAGGGTGTTGATAGTGGGTGAGGCTGTGCATGTGTGGGGGCAGGAGATATATGAGAACTTTCTCTACTTCCCACTCAATTTTGCTGTGAACCAGAAAATTGCTCCAAAAAAAGTATATTTTTTAAAATGCAAACAAAACCCCCAAAACTGCATTATCCTGCAAAAAAAAAAAAAAAAAAAAAAAAAAAGCAAACACCTTGGCTGTGGACCCTACCCAGGTATCCACTCTTTATGGGAAACAAAAGTTAACATCATAGTGTGGGAAAACTAATTCCTGAAAGCCTAGTGCAGACTTTGCAGAATCCAGTGGAGAAATAGGCACCAGGTGGAAACTGAGCAGCCCCTCTATGACAAGGACTCTATTTCCTGAGGGAAGTGGGAGGAGAGAAGACTGGGGCAGAAGAGGAAGTAAGAAGGTACCTTTTTGGGAACTTTTCATGGCTACCCAGGCCTTCCTCAGCCTCTATCCTATTCTATCACCCCAAGAGGGCCTCCTCTTAGAAGGAAAGATTTCCCACCCTGTCCCCAAGAAGTTCCCTGTGAGACCCTGGAAGGCTGGTAGTGGTGAGCCCACAGGCCCTGGAGTGGAAGGGAAATCAGGAGCCTCATAAGACTACAATTAAAATGTCCATCTGCTCAGGCGCAGTGGCTCACACCTATAATCCCAGCATTCTGGGAGGCCAAGGTGGGAGGATCACTTGAGCCCAGGCAATATAGTGAGACCTTATATCTAAAAAAAAAAAAAAAAAAGAAAGAAAGAAAGAAAATTGTTTTAAATTAGCTGAGCGTGGTGGTGCATGCTTGTGGCCCCAGCTACTTGAGAGGCTGAGGTGGGAGTATTGCTTGAGCCCTAGAAGCGGAGGGTGCAGTGAGCTGAAATTGCACACTGCATTCCATCCTGGGTGACAGAGTGAGACCCTGTCTCAAGAAAAAAAAAAAGGCCATCTGATTCACCAGATGACCCAGGAATGTCTAGACTTAAAAACTATATAAAATGTAGTTTTAGATTTACTCTCAGATACAATTTCTTATGTTTTGGGACAAATGGGGCTCAGTTCCCATGTTACCCAATTGTGCTTTGGGGGTCCAGTCCTGTGAGTTGCCTCCCGTCTAGTAACGGGCAGGCCTGCCCAGCAGGATGGAGAGGGCTCCCAGCACACCCCATGTCTCCACTTCCTGGACATGCCCTGACTCTCCAGCTACTGCCTCCTCTCAGTCCATCAGGCCTGCTCTTTCCATCCCTACCATTCCACCACCAGACCTGGCTCTCCTCTGGACACGTTCCTGCCTAATCCCCTGGCTCCCCAAAGACTCTTGCTCCCCCAAGTTCCTGAGTATTTCTACCCCTCTCTAAGTAAAATTGCCATGGTGTTGGGCTAAGACATTCCTACAGAGTGATTCTACTCCCTCAACAACCCCCCACAAAACCCTGTCCACTCCCTTCCAGAATTTTCCCAAATAGTGTAGGATACAGGTTTTCAAAATTTTTGTTTTGTTTTGTATTTAGCAGCAGGGTCCTTTCAACAAACAAAATCTTAGCAGAAGCCCAAGCATTAAACCACTCAAGTGGTGCTTTTCAGTCCTGAGCCCCTCACCCTTCTCTGAAACTCACATGGGAGCCCCTGGTTCTGCCAATAGTCTACAAACTGAGGGCCTAGGGTCCCTCACCCTCCATCCCCCCTATCTCCCCCAAGGCAGCCGCTGCTTTTGAACACACACCCCCACTGCCTGGGCTCCCTGGCTGAGTGGTGGGAATGGAGGCCCCAGCCCCTCTCTTCCCTGACTCTCTGGCTCTCCCTTCCTCCCTCAGGCTGGCCGTGAGTACTCACCTGCCGCCACCACGGCAGAGAATGGGGGCGGCAAGAAGAAACAGAAGGAGAAGGAACTGGATGAGCTGAAGAAGGAGGTGGCAATGGTGAGGGAACTGCTGGGCCATGGAGGAGGGGCCCCATGCTGGGAGAGCTGTCCCTGCAGCCCATTGCACTCAGAGAAACTCCGTGTCCCCCATGCTGCTCAACTCACCCCTGTGCCCTGCAGTACCCTCATATGCATCTTAGATACCTCCTCCCCAAAGTAACTCACCCTCCCTTCCCCAGGATGACCACAAGCTGTCCTTGGATGAGCTGGGCCGCAAATACCAAGTGGACCTGTCCAAGGTGAGTGGAGGGGCTTCTAGGGAAGGAACAAAAGAGGCAAGAAAACCATGCAGCATCAAGGTGGCAGGAGCCTTAAAACTGTAATCCAGCCTTCTTTACAGATGAGGAAACTGAGGCCCAGAAACAAGGACTGGCCCAAGGACATGCAGCTAGTTGGTGGCACAGCCAGAACTAGAATTTGGATCCCCTGCATCCTAGCCCAAAGCTCTCTCCCTGTATACCCTAGAAGCCAGGACTCCCTATGACCCAGGCCCCAGAGGGCCTCCAGGCAGGGCCCTTCCCTATACCCCAAGCAACTTCAGTTGCACACAGCCTTCCACAGAGCTGACAGCTGATGCACATGGGCTGACAGCCCATTCCTGTGGTTACAGTGATTTGCTGGGCCCCTGCTACATATGTGACATTGTGATAGATGCGTTACATACATTTCTCTAATCTTTACAACAACCCTTTGAGATAGGTATTGCAGACCTGTTTATTAAACAAAGGAGACTCAGAGAGGGAGAGTAACTTCCCAAGGTCACATGAACAGTAACTGGTACAGTCAATTGCTAAGCCCTTCAATTAAAAATTTGTTTAAAAATCATTAATCAAAAAATGCTGGGTGTGGTGGCTCATGCCTATAATTTTACCACTTTGGGAGGCCAAGGCAGGCAGATCACTTAAGGTCAGCGGTTTGAGAGCAGCCTGGGCAACATGGCAAAACCCCATCTCCACTAAAAATACAAAAATTAGCTTGGCACAGTGATGGGCACCTGTAATCCCACCTACTCGAGAGGCTGAAGCAGGAGAATGGCTTGAACCCAGGAGGCGGAGGTTTCAGTGAGCCGAGATCATACCACTGTACTCCAGACTGGGCGATAGAGTGAGACTCCATCTTGAAACAAGCAAACAAACAGACAAATATTTAGTGGGTGTATATCTCCTTTATGGGCCTTCCCTGACTGCTCTTTCTAAAATTCTATGCCCCTATTCCTTTACCTTACTTTATTTTCCTTAGTAACACTTTTCTATCTGGCACTAATATGTATTTGTTTATTGTGTGTCACCTCTCCAGATCATAAGCTCCTCAAGGGCAGGGACTTTGTTGGTCTTGTCCATCTCTGCATCCGCAGAGTGACAATTGTGCCTGGCACTGGATATACATTTATTAAATGAATGAATGAATGAAAAAAAAAAAAAAAGAAACGGTCCCTGCTTTAAAGGAGCTCAAAGTCTAGTAGCAGAAAAAATGCAATCCTAGGATTCCAATGCAATATGGTGAGTGCAGCTCTAGAATCAAGTATAGAACACCATGGGGAACCAGAAAGAAGCATCTGAACCAGCCTGGGGCTGAGGGAATAGGGCCAGGCAAGGCTTTCTGTGGAAAGTGACAGGTGATTGCCAAAGTTGTGTGACACTGACGGTCAATAATGTAGGACTTGAGCAGGGTGTGGAGGTGCCCACCTGTAGTCTCAGCTACTTGGGAGGCTGAGGTGGAAGGATTGCTTTAGCCCAGGGTTCAAGGATGCAGTGAGCTATAATTGCACCACTGCGCTCCAGCCTGGGCAACATAGCAAGAATCCATCTCTTAAAAAAAAATCTAGGACTCTCCTAGAATCCTTGATAAAATAATCTGAAGGAAGAGAGATGGGGAAAAAACAGTTGAGGTGTCTTTCCAGGGAGCTTATCCAGACTGCCTCCAGGGGAGATGTTATGGCCCTAACCATAGGTGTTGTCTCAATCCAATATAATTAGGGGTCAAGCCCAGTCAAACCCTTCTCAGCCCTCAAGCCCTCCAAGTTGCATCACAAATGCCACCTCCTCCATGTGGTCTCTCCTGATGGTCCCCCACCCCTTCCAACCAGGTGGGACTTTCCTTCTGGGCATTCTTCCCATGCCCGGGAGCTGAAGGGATGGGCATGGTGACTGGCTGGGTTGGCTCCGGATGCGTGCCCCTACGCCTCTCCTTGCTCCCTCAGGGCCTCACCAACCAGCGGGCTCAGGACGTTCTGGCTCGAGATGGGCCCAACGCCCTCACACCACCTCCCACAACCCCTGAGTGGGTCAAGTTCTGCCGTCAGCTTTTCGGGGGGTTCTCCATCCTGCTGTGGATTGGGGCTATCCTCTGCTTCCTGGCCTACGGCATCCAGGCTGCCATGGAGGATGAACCATCCAACGACAATGTGAGCCCACACGCCCGACCCGGGAACAGCCCGTGACTGTCCTCCAACCCTGAACCCCCAACACAGTGGGGGGTGGGCAGGGAACAAGGCCCTCACATAACAGTCCTACAGATGCCCCTGCATCTTAGGCTGGAAAGGGGAGAGGCTTCTATATATATCTGTAAAGTACTCCTCCGCCAACAGTGCATACACATTCACATACTCATTAATTAATGAAACAATCTCTCCCTGTTCCTCCCCGCTTAAGTGAGCCTGTCTGTGTGCCTGGGTCTTCATCCCCTAGCAAAGTCCTAACCCTGGGAACTTCCTAAGACTTTCCCTCCCATTTCTAGTCTTAACAGGCTTGAGGTTGGCAGATCAAGGGGGAGGTTAGTGAGAAGGGCTTTCCCCTACCATCATCACTCTCAGTCACAGACAAAGGTCTGGGCTGTCATCTTGGATGGCACTGCCTGCTCATCCCAAGTGGCAGCTGCCCCTTTAGGGTTGGGGGGAAGGTCAGGTCCCTGAAACTCTTTCTCCTTACCAGCTATATCTGGGTGTGGTGCTGGCAGCTGTGGTCATTGTCACTGGCTGCTTCTCCTACTACCAGGAGGCCAAGAGCTCCAAGATCATGGATTCCTTCAAGAACATGGTACCTCAGGTAAGATGGCAGGGCTGGGCTCTGGGCTAGGCTGTAAGGTTTTGGCAAGAGTCCAGCTCATCTTTTGTCAGCTCCCAGGCTCTAAGATAGAGATGGACAGAAAAGATCCTCCAGCTTTCCATGCCAGCACCTAATTGTTTATGGGGCTTCTCCTTCTGCTTGACGGTGTGGGAGACCAGCAGGAGAAGAAGGCAGGGGCAGAGACAAGCATTTCATGAGCTGCCTGTGGCTCCCCACAGCAAGCCCTTGTGATCCGGGAGGGAGAGAAGATGCAGATCAACGCAGAGGAAGTGGTGGTGGGAGACCTGGTGGAGGTGAAGGGTGGAGACCGCGTCCCTGCTGACCTCCGGATCATCTCTTCTCATGGCTGTAAGGTGAGGAGGTCATACCAGAGCAAGCAGTTGAGTCTAAGGAGAAGGCTGTGTGCAGAGCTGAGAGGGGCCCAGTGAGGTTTAAAGGTGGAGAGACCCAGGTCCAAATGTCAACACCATGCCTATGCCCCTGCTAAACCTTCTCTCAGTGTGGGGTGCTTGTGCAGTGCCTCCTTGCATCTGTGTGTTATGAATGCTCTATGCCCCAGGTATTTCTTTGTTGTCCACTTTTTAGCAATCATGTATTGAATACCAATTATGTGTCAGCTGCTTTATATATGTTCGATGTGCTATCTGATGTAATTCTGAAAGAGTGGTGTAATCATGCAGGGCTGCTGAATGTGGCCACACACGTTGCATCCTGAATGACCCCAGGAGGTGCATTTTCATAACTACAGTGTTAGTGTCTCCCCCTGTGGTTGTGCAAGGCAGAGATTCTGTTTACATTCACCATTTTACAGTTGAGTACATGGAGGCTCTCTTGGTTAAGCAAGTAACCCGAGGTCACATAAGAAGTCAGGAGGAGTCAGAATTCCAAACCAGGGCAGGGGCAATAGATGAGTAATGCCATAAATATGTGATGAGGGCAAGTGTGACTTTGTTCCTCGTGTCATGAAGATTGAGTGTGGTTGGAGGTGGTTCAGGAGACAGCTGTGTGCATACAAGTGGCTCTGCCAGTCTGATGACTATGCACTCCTTCCTCCTCAGGTGGATAACTCATCCTTAACAGGAGAGTCGGAGCCCCAGACCCGCTCCCCCGAGTTCACCCATGAGAACCCCCTGGAGACCCGCAATATCTGTTTCTTCTCCACCAACTGTGTTGAAGGTGAGAAGCCAGGCTGCCCCCTGTAGGAAAGAGTCTGAATCCTGAATCCATAGTCAGGATGAAGGGCTCTGGTAGTACTTACCTGGCAAAAGCTCTGCCATTGGTGGGGCAATTGAGGGGTCAGGGGGCCCTGAATATTATGGAAACACCCTCCACAGAGCAGGGTATTGACTGAGGGCAGCCTGACTCCATGGGAAATGTATCTCCCTTCCCCAGGGAGATCTCTGTTCTGTCCACCCCAAGACTGAGTGGATTTCAAAGCTTTCAGGTATTGGGTTAAGAACCCCTTACGCATGCGCACACACAGATGCACATACGCTCAGAACCAACCTGGATTCTTAGGAGTCTTTGGATTTGATTGATGCTTCTATTCCTTGTGGTTCTGGGCCTCGCTGCCCCCTTCGATAACCTTTGCTTTGGCCAGGGCCCCAGGGTCTGGGAGGGCCAAGAAGGCATTCTGGCCAGGTGAACACTTGGGGCCTACTTCAGGCTGCTTCTAACCTTTGTTACATCAAAAGACATGTTTCACCATGCACAGACTACCCAGTTTGCCCCATCCCTGTTCTGGGTTCTAGAGATAAACAAAGGTCAATAAGAACTCCCAGAGCTGCCATCACTTAATGGCAGGGGTCCAAGCACAACTGAAACCTGTGCCCTCTGTGGTAAAGCCAGTGAGCAGAGTCAGGGCTGCATCAGAGAAGGAGTAGGAGGGAAGAGACAGAAAGAGGCCTCACTAGACCAGTGGCCTCTGAAAATAGGGCAAAGGAGGCCTCATATCCCAATCCACACTTCCCCTGTCCATTACTCATTTCTCCTCAGTGTATTATGTTTCTCTGTGGTTTTTTTCCCTTCTTCGACAAGTTGGAATTCCACTGCTTGGAATCCATGAGGGATTGGTTCCAGGACCCCCTTCGTTACCAAAATCTAAGGATCCTCAAAGGCCCTGATATGAAATCGCATAATATTTGCATATAATCTGCGCACATCCTCCCATATACTTTGAATCAACTCTAGATTACTTATAATACCGAGTGCAATGTAATTTTTATACTGTTTTGTTTTTAAATTTGTATTATTTTTATTGTTGTATTGTTATTTTTATTTAGCTCCAAATATTTTCGATCTGAGGTTGGTTGAATCTATGGACATGGAATCTGTGAATATGGAGGGCCAACTGTACAAATAAAAATCACCACACATTACATTTCCTAAGTTTGTTTTTTGTTTTGCTTTTGAGACAAGATCTTGCTTTGTCACCCAGACTGGAGTGCAGTGGTGCAATCACAGCTCACTGCAGCCTTGACCTCCCAGGCTCAAGCGATCTCCCACCTCAGCCTCCAGAGTATTTGGGACTACAGGCGCGTGATACCACACCCAGCTAATATATATATATGTATATTAGAGATGGGGTCTCACTATGTTACCCAGGCTGGCCTCAAACTCCTGGGCTCAAGTGATCCTCCTGCCTCAGCCTCCCAAAGTGCTGGGATTACAGGCATGAGCCACCGAGCCTGGCCAAATTTCCTAAATTTTTAATGTACTGAGATTTTGAAATTTACATTTCCCACAATTGATTTATTCAGAAATGCCTAGTAATACATTCCTATTGCTTACTCTGCAATTGGCTTTGAAAAGAGGAAAGGAAATAAATGAGATATTTGTTGAGCACCCGCTATGTTCCAGGCACTGGCCTAAGTATATTAAAGCACAATCTCATCTAAATATTAAAACAGCACCGAGATAGGAATTCAAATAAGGATTCAAACCCAAATTTGGCTGGCTCCAATGTGCATGCTTTTTTCAATACACCACCCTTCCTTCCCAGAAGACCCCTGTAATGTCACACAAGGGTTAGCAATTGCCTGGCTTCCTCTATAGAGATTCATGCCTAATGTTGAGAAAGAAAATCTTAAGACTGGATGGAAAATCCATAATGAGTGCTTTACTTTGTGTTCATAATATACTTTTGGATGGTATCAAGTATGGGAATGATTTTACCAAAATGCCACAGGCAATTTTTATTTATTGAATCTTGTCTATTTGAACTTTGAGATTATTTGCAAGCTTCTCCCCAGGCTCGAGTACAAGAGAAAATAATTTGCTGTTGTATTGATTCAAGGATTGGCGATCTATCCAGGGAAAGGAAGGCCAAGTGGGGACAACCTACTGAATGTGGCCTCCAGATCTGCGGCTTTGGCTCACCTATCCTGTGATGATTTTCCTTGCTCAGGAAATAGGATGGGACTGCAGTCCCTGGGAGCCACAAGGCACCCAACCTGATGCCCCACCATGTTGCAGGCACTGCCAGGGGCATTGTGATTGCCACAGGAGACCGGACGGTGATGGGCCGCATAGCTACTCTCGCCTCAGGCCTGGAGGTTGGGCGGACACCCATAGCAATGGAGATTGAACACTTCATCCAGCTGATCACAGGGGTCGCTGTATTCCTGGGGGTCTCCTTCTTCGTGCTCTCCCTCATCCTGGGCTACAGCTGGCTGGAGGCAGTCATCTTCCTCATCGGCATCATAGTGGCCAACGTGCCTGAGGGGCTTCTGGCCACTGTCACTGTGAGTGGGTCAGGCTGAGGTGCCACCAGGGGAGGGTCTCACTACTCTTTCCTCAGAGTGATAGAGGCACAGTTGCTTGTAGCTTCTCACTACTTTTTCCCCCTAGAGTCACTTATTGGATGCGATACTCAGAGATCACTTAATACATGGCTTAGGGTATGAGTTGAGAAATCTCAGGTGGGGCTATTCTTAGGCACTCAGTTTCTCTTTTGGAGCTTGTCACGGCTGCCTTTTCTCACGATCTGCCAGCAGTCTGGGTCTCATTCCGTCCAAGTCTCCTGTAGAGGCTGTCTCAAAGGTCACCAGTCACTAACTAGCAAATCCAGGGACCTTTTCTCAGCTCTCCTCCCTAACTCTGCTGCTGAAACAGATACTGCTGTCCACCCTCCTACCATTCTCTCTTTTGTCGATTGCTGTGATGTGTCACTATCCTGGTTCGCCTCTCCTCTGTCCCTTCCTGCTCCCCCTACACTGATTCTCAGGCCTCAGCTGTCTGTTCTTCCTACACCCTGAGCAAGAGCCAATCTCCTCCCAGTTTGCAGTGTCCCTTCTGTGTTGATGACTCAGACATCCCTATGCTCAGCTCTGCTCTGGCCCTCTCTGGAGCTCTAGTCAAACGTCTTAAACCCCCTAATGGGCATTTCATCTTAACAGATACTCATGATCTCAACACATCTAAAATTGAACATTCATTATTTACAGCTAAGTCCCACCCATTCAAGTTAGTGGAGTAGAATCAGGGGAGGAGGAATGGAGCCACGGTCTAGGGTAAGGTTATGGCCATCTCCGGCTTCAGCCTTAACCTTTTTTATTCTCCTCTTTCTCTACCAGGTGTGCCTGACCCTGACAGCCAAGCGCATGGCACGGAAGAACTGCCTGGTGAAGAACCTGGAGGCGGTGGAGACGCTGGGCTCCACGTCCACCATCTGCTCGGACAAGACGGGCACCCTCACCCAGAACCGCATGACCGTCGCCCACATGTGGTTCGACAACCAAATCCATGAGGCTGACACCACCGAAGATCAGTCTGGTGATTGGGTGCTCCAGAGGGGGTGGATAGGATTAGAGGAGGCTGAGGGCAGTGGCGTGGTGGGGTGAGTGGTTGAGATAAAGGCTCTAAAGGGAGCCACGCTCCTGGTTCCCCCTCATTTCCTCCCAGGGGCCACTTTTGACAAACGATCCCCTACGTGGACGGCCCTGTCTCGAATTGCTGGTCTCTGCAACCGCGCCGTCTTCAAGGCAGGACAGGAGAACATCTCCGTGTCTAAGGTAGGGGGTCAGGACACACACCAGGTATGTTTTGGGGGTGTCTCCAAAGCCTCTTGCTGGCCCCAGCTTTCCTTCTCACATGATGTGGCTGCCTTGGGGGTTTCAGTGCCGCCTTCACCTGATCCTCCACTCCCTTCCCTCCCATGCTGACACTGAATTCTTGTCTCTTCTGGCAGCGGGACACAGCTGGTGATGCCTCTGAGTCAGCTCTGCTCAAGTGCATTGAGCTCTCCTGTGGCTCAGTGAGGAAAATGAGAGACAGAAACCCCAAGGTGGCAGAGATTCCTTTCAACTCTACCAACAAGTACCAGGTCTGCTTGGGTTGCCAGGACAGAGGAAGAGAGAGGGATATAAATGGGTGAGGGTGGACAAAGCCAAGGGGAATCATCACTAGCAGGAGTGGGGGTGTCTGAGGGTCATGTTCCCTCCCCCTGCTAAGTCCCCCAGGACAGCTCATATGACTGCATGTCTGATTGCAACTAGCCCCAGCTCCCAAACCTTACTCCATCCCTTACTACAATCTGTCACTCTCTCAACTCTTCTTCCCATAGCTCCGCATCCTCTGGCCTAGCCTTCCAACTCTTCTACCCCAGTCAGTGAAACCATAATTCTGTAATTCCTTTATGGTGCCCCTTAGCCTTTAGGCACCTGTTAAATGCCAAGAATGCAATCTCAGCATTCCTTATTATCCATAGAGGTAAAGCCCCCTGAGGCCAGGTGGTGGTGGGGATGCTGAGGAGGGAGCCGTTCAGCCCCTAGCACAGTGCCTGTCTTAACCTGACCTCAATAAATATTTGTTGAATGAAAGACTGTCCTACGGAGGTGGCTCTCAGGTTACAAGTGTTGGAACTGTGAGGTCTAAACACCCCCCTGCACAAGGAGATTCTCTTTGTTGACAATCTTTGATGGGTTGGGGCTACTTTTCTAAGGTGGTTTCCTTACCAGCTGCTGCTCTATGCCGCGCTACCAAGACAAGTATGGCCCTCTCTGTAACTACCTGTTGTCTCTCCAGCTGTCTATCCACGAGCGAGAAGACAGCCCCCAGAGCCACGTGCTGGTGATGAAGGGGGCCCCAGAGCGCATTCTGGACCGGTGCTCCACCATCCTGGTGCAGGGCAAGGAGATCCCGCTCGACAAGGAGATGCAAGATGCCTTTCAAAATGCCTACATGGAGCTGGGGGGACTTGGGGAGCGTGTGCTGGGTGAGAGGCCAGAAACAGGAGGCTCAGAAGGGGATTCCCAAGCCTCTGCGGCATCCCTGGGGTGGGGGACTGTGGGGGCGTCCAGGAAGCCACTCTGCGGATCTCACTGATCCCTTCTGCCCCCCTTTAGGATTCTGTCAACTGAATCTGCCATCTGGAAAGTTTCCTCGGGGCTTCAAATTCGACACGGATGAGCTGAACTTTCCCACGGAGAAGCTTTGCTTTGTGGGGCTCATGTCTATGATTGACCCTCCCCGGGCTGCTGTGCCAGATGCTGTGGGCAAGTGCCGAAGCGCAGGCATCAAGGTACTGGCCTCCCATCCTCCCCTCCATTCTAGCCTCCCCCATGCCAGAGTTCAAGGAGCTGCAGTGGCTGCTGCCCTGGAAAGGCCCAGGCCACGGTGGCCTCCTTCCCACTGACTCAGAGAAGAAGCTGTCCATCTGCAAGGAAAGGCCCACCCCTGCCTTGGGGCACTCACCCTTATCCCTTTTGCTCAGAGAGGCCAGTGTCCCATGCCCCTCCTCTCCCTCCCTGGCACAGCTCTTTGTCCCATCTGCATGTGTACCCTTCCATTCTGATTTGAAGCATAATCTGGCACTCCTATCTTGAAGACCTAGTTGTCCTACCCTTCCCAACTACTGCCCACCCTCTCTGTCAACTTAGGATGGGATTAGCAGGCTCTTGTATGCTCCCAGTGGCTCAGCCCATAACCCCACAGAATGCCTCCCACTCAAGGTTCTCTTGTTCAACTACAATTGCTTCTCACTGACCACTCCCTCCTCTGTGCTATGTTTGTTCTTCATTCAACAAATATTTACTGTTTACTATGTTTCAGACACTGTGCAAGGTGCAAACTCTAGCACCTTGCACAGTGCCTGATACATAGTAAACAATTTGTGTCACATGACACATCTAGATGGGACAATGAGCTGTGCCAGGGAGGACACATATAAATCAGGCACTATTCTAAGCACTAAACCTCTATGATTTCATTTAATCTACGCAACAACCCTGTGAATAAGCACCAGTATTTTTCCTTTTTTACAAAGAGGGAAACTGAGGCACAAAGTAACATGCCAAGGCCACACAGCTAGTGTAAGTCATAGAGCAGGTACTTGAACCAAGGCAGTCTGCTATTTCTTAACTATCATACCAGGAGACTTGTTTCTGTGGGTGTATGTGGTTTCTGAACCCCATAACCACTCTGTCTCCGAGGCAGGCATCATTATCCCTGTTAAAAGTAAAACAAGGCTGGGCACAGTGGCTCATGCCTGTAATCCCAGCACTTTGGGGGGGTCCAAGGCTGGTGGATCACCTGAGATAAGGAGTCCAAGACCAGCCTGGCCAACATGGTGAAACCCCGTCTCTACTGAAAAAAAAATACAAAAATTAGCCACGTGTAGTGGCAGGTGCCTGTAATCCCAGCTCCTTGGGAGGCTGAGGCAGGAGAATCACTTGAACCCGGGAGGCAGAGGTTGCAGTGAGCCGAGATTAGGCCACTGCACTCCAGCCTAGGCGACAAGAGCAAGACTCCATCTCAAAAAAAAAAAAAAAGTAAAACAAATGGAAACTGCAAGTGGGTAAGTCTTTTCCCCAAAATAAAACCACCAGTAAGTGATGGACTGGGACTATGAAGCATGATCTGCTTGACCGGAAAGCCTGAGCTCCTGCTGCTTGGCCAGGTGCCTCTCTCTGTGATCAGAACCATCACGGAGGCCTGGGCAGAGGACCTCTATGGGAAGTCAGCTCAGGGAAGCATTAATTCTGCCTCAGAGAACTGGACGATGTTTGACAAAAGGAATGATATTTGAGCTGGGCTTTGGAGGTCAAAGAGTATTCTGCAAAGCAGTGAGGGAGAGGAAGGCATGTCAAGATCAGGGAACAGTGTGTACCCTGGCGTGGCTAGACTGTACGGAGCGTGTGTAGGGGTTGGCAGGGGAGAGGTGGCAAGGAGTACTGGGGGTTGAGACTGGAACACTGGGTCAGAGCCAGTTGGAAGGACTTGGCTTAAATGCCAGACTTGGGCTTTATCCTGCAGGCCACAGAGAGCCATCAGTGTCACGGGGGAGGTTGAGCTTTTAGGAGACTACCTGGTTTGAGGAGGGACTGGATTTGGGGAAGAACTGGAGTCAGGGAGAGACAGGTTAAGAGGCCATTGCCATAGTTCAGGCAAAGAATGATGACCTGAACTAGGGCAGAAACAAAGGGAATGGAGAGGAATAGCCATGTCTGAGAAATGTTTTGAGAACTTGGTGACCAAACTGGATATGGAAGGTGAGGAAGATACAGGAGAGAAGGGGACAGGATGAATAGAGAGGACAACATCTAAGGTAGGGAGCAGTAGCAGGCTTGGTGGGGTGGCAGGAGTAGAGAAAAGGAGTTCAATGTTGACCTTAAGCTTAAAGAGTCTATAAGATACCCCAGGAAAGACAGATGTTCCAGTGAACATTGGAGTATGGTTTAGAGCTCATGAAAGATGGTCAGGACTGGAGATTTGAATCTCATTAGCACAAGGGTGCAAACTAAAGGCTTATAGTATGTTGTATTATATTGCCCAGAAAGAGCAGACAGGTCAAGTGAAGGGAGGAGAATGAAATCCTGTGCCAAACCAACATTTAGGCACAAGAGGAACCAGTGAGGAGGGGAGAGGGTGGTAGGAACCAATGCCATTTAATCTTCATGACCACCTAGAAAGGCAGGAATCATCTCTGCATTGTGCTGAGACCTCAGTGCTTCACTTGCCTAAGGTGCTGTAGCTGGAGAAGGTCGGTGTTTAAACTTGAGCCCCTCATTCAACTCCAAAGCCACTGCTTCTTCCATCCTACTAGGCTGCCACCCTGAGAGGCTGGGAAAGAGCATGCAGAGGAGTGGAGGGAAAACAGGAATGGAGGAGTATGTGGAAGCCAGGGGAGGGCAGGGTTTCAAGGAGAAGAGGTCAACGGTGCCAAATGCCTCAGAGGGGTCAAGTAGGATGAGGACGGCAAAGACACTTTTCATTTTTCAATTGAGAGGCCCCTGTGGCCTTTGGGTGGCAGTTTCAGTGAAGTGGTGGGAGTGGAAGATAAGGCAGTGGGGACCATGGAGGCTTCCTTTTCAGTATCCATAGGACTTGCCCTGCAAGCCCACACATGCAAATGCTATCCTAACCCAACTCTGCTCACCTCATAGCCTCTTAGCCCATCAGATGCCAGCCACCCTCCCCATCCCAACTCCATTCACTCTGCAACAATAGCAATGAACATTATGGTGAAGGTAGGGACCACCGTGCTCACCAGGGAGGATGTCAGAGGCAGATGCTCAAGGTGGTGGAGGCAGGGGTGTTGTCTCCATCTTATTCCTGTTCTGTCCATTACATTGCTGCAGTGATCAATATTTGACACTAAGAACCTCATGTCCTATATCCAGGTCCCTGTGCATTTGAGCAAATTGTAGCCCCTCTCTAAGCCTTGGTTTCCTCATGTGTAAAATAAAGGAGTTGTTAAAGGGTCCTTCCAGCTCTGACTGCCTTGAATCCCATGAAATCCAAAATCCTAAAATATCTCCTAAATAATCCTAAAGATTTGAGGCTTCTCTTCCAGGGGATCCTCATGAACTTGTTACTCTGTTATGGATACTTTCCTGCACTTAAGCAAACTATCTCTCTCTAACCCTCTGAACATAACTCAACTTGCCATTATCTTTCCTCCTCACCCACCCACTCAAATTCACACAGACACACACAAATCCCCACCTCACATACACACACATCCCACACACACACATAGACACACACAATCCCCACCCCCCACACACACATCTCACACACACGCACACATACACAAATCCCCACCCCACATACACACACACACACATACCCCACACACACACACACATCCCACACACACACATTCCCTCTCACACACACACACAATCCCCACCCCCTCACACACACACAATCCCCACCCACACACACACACACACATCCTACACACACATACACACACCCCACACACACACACATACACACACACACATACACCCCACCCCAGCCACTCCCCTGCCCACAGACGCACACACACATGCCCTTATTTCGGTTGGGATCTGCCATCCCCAGACATCTCGCTATCTAGCTTTCTCTTACTTTGGGAGAGGAACAGGAGGGGGATAAACCCTTAATACTACTTTCCTGTTGTCTCCTCTCCTTCCCACTAGGTGATCATGGTAACCGGGGATCACCCTATCACAGCCAAGGCCATTGCCAAAGGCGTGGGCATCATATCAGAGGGTAACGAGACTGTGGAGGACATTGCAGCCCGGCTCAACATTCCCATGAGTCAAGTCAACCCCAGGTGAGGCCTCTGCAGGAAGCCCCTGTGCCCTAATCAACACGTCCTCTTGCACAGAAGGCTTGGGTGTCCCCTGGGAGTATTTGGATAGCATTTCTGGGACCTTTATAGGCCTTACCTCTGACACTATTGTGACTGGTTCCTCAGCCCTGAGCTTGTATCCAGGCTGTGCCACTGAATACCCATGTAACCTTGGAGATGTCACATTCCCTTCCTGAGCCTCCATTTTCTCACCACAAAATTAGGATGCCATCTCCACTGCTGTAGGAGTGGGATGTGAGTAAAGAAACTAGCCCAGGGCCTAGCAAACTGCACTTACAACTGCGATGATCCCATGGTGAGGATTTAGACTCACATTCTCAAAGAGAAATGGGGGAAGTGAGTACTGAGGAGAGGAGAACTGAAGCAACAGGGGAAGCAGGCTCAGCAGGGAGCCTGCAGGCTGCGGTGGTGAAGAGAGGCAGGGGGCAGGAGGGGCTGGTACAGGTGCCAGGGGTCAGCTGTCTCTGTCCCCACCCACCCTCCAGAGAAGCCAAGGCATGCGTGGTGCACGGCTCTGACCTGAAGGACATGACATCGGAGCAGCTCGATGAGATCCTCAAGAACCACACAGAGATCGTCTTTGCTCGAACGTCTCCCCAGCAGAAGCTCATCATTGTGGAGGGATGTCAGAGGCAGGTGAGCACAGCCACGGGAGGCAGATGACAGGCAGGGACCGGGGAGGCAGGGACAGGGCCAAGACAAGCATGGAGTGAGAGGCGAGGAGCCAGGCTTGGGAAGGGGTTTCGTCCTCAAGTGTGGCCGTCTTCCCTCCAGGGAGCCATTGTGGCCGTGACGGGTGACGGGGTGAACGACTCCCCTGCATTGAAGAAGGCTGACATTGGCATTGCCATGGGCATCTCTGGCTCTGACGTCTCTAAGCAGGCAGCCGACATGATCCTGCTGGATGACAACTTTGCCTCCATCGTCACGGGGGTGGAGGAGGGTGAGGAGGCTGCATGGGTTGGGATGGTTTGCAGGATACTGAAGCCGGCACCTCTGTTCCCTGTCCCTTTACCCCAGTTGAAGAATCATTCCACAACTCTAGGCAGCCCAGCCCACTTTAGCTTCCCTTGAACACAAAATCTTCCTCTCTTGGGAAGACAGGCAGCCATGCTTCAGGGGCTGGGGGTGGGGAAGAGTCCCTCTGACCTCCCTGATGCCCTCAGAATCTCCCCACAGGCCGCCTGATCTTTGACAACTTGAAGAAATCCATCGCCTACACCCTGACCAGCAACATCCCCGAGATCACCCCCTTCCTGCTGTTCATCATTGCCAACATCCCCCTACCTCTGGGCACTGTGACCATCCTTTGCATTGACCTGGGCACAGATATGGTGAGCGCAGGAGGTGGAGGAGGGGACAGGCAAGGCAATCGTGATGGCACAGTGGCAGGGAGGAGAGGTGCACTGGGGCAGTGGCCCCAGCTGTGGGGGTTACAGGAGACAGGCACAGGCCTGGAAGACAATGGGGTCTGAATACACGCTTTTTTAACTGTGTCAACGATCGTCACTGTCGAAGATCAATTGCTTCTGTCATCTCCTACGTCCCTTCAAATGCCCTCCCTGCCCCATTTCCTACCCCACACAGGTCCCTGCCATCTCCTTGGCCTATGAGGCAGCTGAGAGTGATATCATGAAGCGGCAGCCACGAAACTCCCAGACGGACAAGCTGGTGAATGAGAGGCTCATCAGCATGGCCTACGGACAGATCGGTGCGCCAAGCCCCGGGCCTCGGGAGGGAACCCCAACAGGGTTCTTTTCCCAGCTTTCAGAGGAATGAGCCCCAAGCAAAATTCCAGGACAGAGGCCAGCTACCCAAGGGTCAGGGACCTCCATCTCTGGCCCTGAGGGGCTGTGCCCCTTCTGCTTCCTGCTCTGACCCTGCCCCTGCCTTTGGCCCTCTACCCACAGGGATGATCCAGGCACTGGGTGGCTTCTTCACCTACTTTGTGATCCTGGCAGAGAACGGTTTCCTGCCATCACGGCTACTGGGAATCCGCCTCGACTGGGATGACCGGACCATGAATGATCTGGAGGACAGCTATGGACAGGAGTGGGTGAGTGGTGCTGTGTAAACACAGCGCACATGTGTGAAGGTACGGGAAGCTGAATGCCTGGCAGGAGTGGCCAGTGGTGGCCAACTGGGACTGGGGCTAGGGGTGGATCAGGAGAAACCATGCTACCTTCTGGTCCTACCCTTTCCTCCGACACTCTCATCTGTCTCTGCCCACCCTCCCTCCAGACCTATGAGCAGCGGAAGGTGGTGGAGTTCACGTGCCACACGGCATTCTTTGCCAGCATCGTGGTGGTGCAGTGGGCTGACCTCATCATCTGCAAGACCCGCCGCAACTCAGTCTTCCAGCAGGGCATGAAGTGAGTGCCCACCCCCATGGCACCTACCCACCCAGGCTCTGGGCACACTCACCAACCCACACAGGCCAAGCTTCCAACTCAGCCCTGGACCAGAGCTGTAAGGAGGGCATCAGATTTTAATCTTCCATCTGTATATCCATAGATAGGTTTCATATAGAAGAGAGAAGCCATGCTTCAGGCTCCTAATTTTGCATTTTGTTATTGTCTCTCTCCACCTTTCTTCTCTCCTTCTCTCCCTCCCTTCTTTCCCCCATCTCCTACTTGAGTGCCACCTGCTCCTATCCTTTGCCCAGCCCTAAATCCAGTGTCTTCTGTGCCCACCCCTCCCCTGGCCTTCCGCAGGCAGTCTAGTTTATAGCACTTGCACTGTGGTTCTGGAGGCCACGTGCTGCCGAGGGTCGGGTTCAGCGCTTCTTGCAGTGTGAGTTCCAGCGTGCCAGGCACTGTGCTAAGTGCCTAACACATTGTTTAGCCCCACGATAGCTCTATGAGGTGGGTATTACTGTTTACATTTCATGGATAAGAGGCCCCAAACAGGTTAAATGATGTGCCCAAGGTCACCAAGATGGTAAGGGTTCACCAGATCTGTCTCTAAAACCCAGCCCTGGCTACTACCCAACATTTCTGTGCTCACACCATCTGGCACTGTTTGGAACTCAGTAATGACTGTGATTCTATTATGGGTGGTGGTTGAGCGCTGAAGGTTTCATGCTGGTTCCTTTTATTTTCTCCTACCATAAACAATGGCCACAATTCCTCACATGAGGTTGTTACAGTTTCTTAGTTTGGGGCTGGGGAGGGTGGGGAGAAGATGCCAAAGTGAAGTTAATAACACTTAAGATCCAAGGGAGAATAAAGTGAAAAGCCTGTTAGATAAATAAAGGTAACATGAAGGAAGGAGATTCCAGTAAGCTAAAAATACTAATGGAAAAAAAATGCAATTTGAAGAGAACAAGGAGCAGAGAGTCTAAGAAATTGGGTATAATTCTGGGGCCTGGGACTTGCTATGCACTGCAGGGATGACACACGAAGGTGGGAACATGGCCATAGTGGCTGCATCCAGCCCATCTTAGAGGCAAATGGGAAAAATGGCAAATGAAAATCAGGCTGGGTACAGAGGAAGAGTACTAATACCACCACAGGCCTCACCTTAGGTCCCTGGGCCACTGGGGATCCTCAGAGATGCTATTTGCCTTATTTTGAAAAGCTTTATGAAAATAAAGCACTCACCTATGCGAAGGCAACCAGGCTTACTAATGTGTCATTCTTAGGCAAAAGCCAAGAGCGCATATCATGACGTGGTGATCGGATGCTGATTCACAGTTCTGTCTGGAAGCCATGGATAGTTCTAATTAATTTTAAATGGGGAAATGTATTCAATACTTATTCACAAATGTAGCTTGAGAGACAAACAATTAAATGTGGCCTTTACAGAAGAAAATAAGGAGGTCCTTAGTGAGTGAAAATTTGGAAATCACTGGCTTGAACCAAAAAGAGGTACCTTGTGTAAGAATACAAAAGATGGAGTAGCCGGGGACAGTGGTTCACACCTGTAATCCCAGCACTTTGGGAGGCTGAGACAGGAGAATCAATTGAGCCCAAGAGTTTGGTACTAGCCTGGGCACATGGTGAAACTCTATCTCTACAAAAAATATAAAAATTAGCAGGGCGTGGTGGCACACACCTGTAATTCCAGCTACTGGAGAGGCTGAGGCAAGAGGGTCACTTGAGCCCAAGAGGTGGAGGTTACAGTGAGCTGTGATCGTCCAGCCTGGGCAACAGAGTGAGACTCTGTCTCAGAAAAAAAAAGTGGAGTAATAATGTGACTGAACATTTTCCAGGTCTGTCACTGAACATTTCAGTGACAGAACATTGCAGAGCTTTTCACGTGTTATCTCCCTTAATTTTCCCAGCAACCCTATGATAAAAAGGTAAAATCTCCATTTGATAGAGAAGGAACGTGAGGCTCAGAGAAATTCAACATTGCCTGCAACCCAAAGCTAGTCAATGGCAGAACTGGGAATAGACACCACCTGTCTGACTGCAGAAACTGCCCTGAGAACCTCCTTATTCTATCCTGCTTTTCAATTCTGATAAAGTGAACATATATTAACCACTTATTATGCAGTGATCCCCTTTACATTCTCTGAATTAAATATCTATAATGAAACCACCACCAGGAACTGTGGGAGATGCTGAGACGGTAGAAGACATACATGGGCCCTGCACTGAAGGAGCTTTCAAGCATCTTGCTGGGGAGACACACTTTCATGGGCCCTGTGCCTGGAGCAATAACAAGATCATGAGACAGGCCCCATGTTGACCACCGTGTCTCCAGTACAGAACACGTCACCCAACACCTAGAAACAATTATTTAATGAATGAATATACGTGCAATAGACAACATTCGGACGTAAACTCAGTAAGCAGAAAAACAAATAACATCTTCCTTTGGTTACATAAAGCATGAGAAGAGGCTGTTGGAAGAAGACATGCGACTATGTCGTTTAGAATTCTCTCTCCTCTTTCCCTTGCACCCCAGGGGTATCCCAGGATCTCTGCCTCCATGATCCCCCTTCACCTGCCACCTCCTTTCTTTGCCTTTCAGGAACAAGATCCTGATTTTTGGGCTCCTGGAGGAGACGGCGTTGGCTGCCTTTCTCTCTTACTGCCCAGGCATGGGTGTAGCCCTCCGCATGTACCCGCTCAAGTGAGTGTCTCTTTCGGGCGGCCTGAGTAGTCATACGGGGGGCCTTCAGCCCCCTCCAGGATCCAAGTTCTGATCGCTTTGAATGCTCCTTTATGTGACAGCCACCAAGCCAACCTCTGATGCTGCTGACACTCTCCTCCATTGCTTTCAGAGTCACCTGGTGGTTCTGCGCCTTCCCCTACAGCCTCCTCATCTTCATCTATGATGAGGTCCGAAAGCTCATCCTGCGGCGGTATCCTGGTGGTAAGCCCCTCCACATTCCCCCCAGCAAAGTGCAAGCCCCACCACCAGCTCCTCCCTCCAGGACCACACGCAGACTCCACTCCCACTACTGGTTCCTGCTTCTGTTCCTCAACACCCTCAGATCCTGGGGTCCCAGGTCCCAGGAGCCCTGACTCTTTCGAACCTGTTGTCTCTGCCCTCTTCCCATCAGATTCTAAACCCCGCCTAACTCACAGTTGGTCTCCGAGGCCCTCCACCTTCCACCTGAAACCACAGAACATCAGAATTAGAAGGGCCTTTCCAGGTCACCTAGTCCCACGTCCATATTTTACAGATAGAGGAGGCTCAGAGGTGAATCTGTTCAGGGTCGTAAAGCAAAGAATAGCAGGACTGGTACTAGAACCCAGGCCTCCTGATCCCCACTCATCAACCGACAAGTTATTGTTTTTCCTACAAGCGTTTTTTAATCACTTAGTAGAGGTTAAAATATGATGGCTTACAAACCAAATACTGTCCAGGAATACTGTTTGGTTTGACCTGTGCCATATTTTGTGTGTGTGGGGGGAGGAGGGTGGATTAATTGGTCCGATATAGAAAATTTAGGGTCTTTCACATAAAATCTGAATTCGACTTCTCCTGAAGATCAGAAGAGCTGTTAATCCCATGTCCACATCTCTGCACAGCAAGAATGGACAGCTGCTCCCTTAGACTCTCGTTCGTCACCTGAAGAGGCCCTGTGGGCGTTTGCATTTTCACCCTCGACCTATTCTGCCCCAGCCTCCAATGTGCTAAATACAAGTCTCCCCTAAAGGCAGGTTCACCCTCCCTTCCTTTAACCTATGGCCCCAGCTCACTGGACCTCCTTCTCCTCCCTTTCACCTTCTTTTTTTTTTTTTTTTTTTTTTTTTTTTTGAGACGGAGTCTCGCTCTGTCGCCCAACCAGGAGTGCAGTGCAGTGGCACGATCTCGGCTCACTGCAAGCTCCGCCTCCTGGGTTCAAGCAATTCTCTTGCCTCAGCCTCCAGAGTAGCTGGGATTGCAGGCGCATGCCACTATGCCCGACTAATTTTTTGTATTTTTAGTACAGACAGGGTTTCACTGGGTTAGCCAGGAGTCTTGATCTCCGCCTGCCTCAGCCTCCCAGTATGCTGGGATTACAGGCATGAGCCACTGCACCCAGCCTCCTTCCACCTTCCTAAGCCACTTCCCCCAGTGCCCTTCACCAGGCTTCTCCTTCCACCTGGCTTCAGCGACCCAAGCCCCTAGGAAATTGATCTCTTGCCTCCTTTTAAGCTCATGCTGCAATCTCCACTCCCAATCTCTCTAACAGGCTGGGTGGAGAAGGAGACATACTACTGACCCCATTGGAAGAAGAACCAGGCATGGAAAGATGGGGAGCTCTGGAGGTGTTGTGGGGATGGTGATGGAGAGGGATGGAAATAACGGGTGGCATTGGGTGGCAACATTTGGGGAGAGATAATGAGGCAACTCAGCAGGCTAAGTTGCGGGGTATATAAATTGGGGTGATGACCCCATAGACCTAACTGTGAACAATCAGATTAGACACTATGTGTTAGAGTCCCCCCGACCAGATCCTTTTCCATCCCACTCCACTATGTTGTCTATTTTTTCTGAGGAATTAAGGGTTACCCCACCCTGCCCACTCCCATCCCTTCAACCCCACTTCCTACTGTAATAGATCAGCATCCAAAAGCAGGAACCCATCTAAACCAGAAGGAAGCCCTCTCAGATCACCCCAGCCTCACTCCATTTCCCACTTCCACCCCCGTTAGCTTCCTGCAGGACTCTATCCCTGGCTTCCCCTTCAGACCTTGCAATCACAAAAGGTTCTTCTGGTGAGTGCAAGAGCCTGAGACTGGAAAAGGTGGACTTGTCTCCCAGTCGAGGCTGGTAAGGGACCTTCAGGGAGAGCTGGGCAGACAGGTGGGAGATGGAGGTAGGGCTGGCTGGAGGAAGGAAACAACAAAGGAAGTGAGGTAGTGCCAATGACAGGACATTTGACATGAGTCTCCAGATAGATGTCGTGGACTCCAGCTCTACGTCCCACATTTTAGAATACCCCACCAGCAGAACAAACTCAGATCTCATCAGGGTAGCAGCAGAGGCAGGACCAGAAGGCAATCAAGAGCTTCCAGAAATGCCACACTTGTGTGCCACAGAGTTCCCCGCTGACCCTTGGTTAGGGGTCCTCTTAGTCCACAAGGTCCGGATGTCACTCATGTACTTAATAACACTTCACCTTCTGTAATACTAAGTCCTCAGAGCTCCATGCTGTTCTGAAAGGGATGGCCACAAGTTCTTTCCCAGCCTCTTCCATTCCCTTTCTTTTCATGCCCATCCCGATGAACCTGCATCATTCCCCGACACTGCCAAGCCAACCCTGGAAAAGGAGTTCGCTGGCCATTGGCTAGAATCAGGGTGGAGAAGTTCCCTGAACCTTCCTGTCTCCCAGGGACATGTATGCTTCCAGGGACAAGCTTAGGTCATGAACATGGTCAGAACCTTTGGACAAGAGGAAAAATACTAAGAGATTTGCTTTTTCTGGGTGCGGTGGCTCATGCCTGTAATCCCAGCACTTTGGGAGGCCGAGGCAGGTGGATCATGAGGTCAGGAGTTCGAGGCGAGCCTGGCCAACATGGTGAAACCCTGTCTCTACTAAAAGTACAAAAAATTAGCCAGTCATGGTGGCACACGCCTGTAATCTCAGCTACTCAGGAGGCTGAGGCAGGAGAATTGCTTGAACCTGTGAGGAAGAGGTTGCAGTGAGCTGAGATCGTGCCATTACACTCCAGCCTGGGCGAAAGGGTGAGACTCCATCTCAAAAAAAAAAAAAATGATTTGCTTTTGACGTCTTAGGTGGCAGGGCTGTTCCCTCCAGGCAAATGCCCTTCAAACCGACGATCATTGTGCCCACTTACCCTGGGCTGGAGAGTTGGTTTCAGGTTCCTACAGGAGATAGCTTTCTTTCCCTTACTCCCTATCTAACACTTTTGCTCTGCAGGCAGCCTTGCCCATTCTCTAAGCCTGGCTTAGAAGGCACTGGGAATGTCCTGTAGAGAGAGACCTAGATAGGTCATGCAAGTGAGAAAGACATCTGAGGAAAATGGAAGACCTAAGGCAGACAGGAAGGAAGCACAAAAGACAAGCATTGGGTCAGACCCATAAACCACCTCCCAAAGGCTGTCATTTCATTGCACTGGAATTTTGCTTTATCAGAAGCAAGGAAGTAAGGGAGTCATTGCCTTGGGCCTGGGAATCTAAGTGGGAGACAATATTAATTTGGATCCGATTAATTGGAGATTACTAACTGTGGACAAAAGTTTATCTTTGCACAATCAATAAAAATGGCATTTTTTTAGTAAATTAAGAGCATAAACAATATTGCTAGAGGTGGCATGTTTAGTCTACCAAAAACAATACTTTTCAGGCACTTTAGAAATATCCTTTTAGAAGCAGCGAGTGCATGGGCTAATTATCATCAATCTTTATGTATTTGTTAAAGAAACATCTACAGGATCTTTATTGGTGACCTTTTGTAAGACATTAGTTTGAGGTACTACCTATGTACTTGAAAATAATAAAGTGGCATTTCTTTATGAAAAAAAAAGAAATCTCTTCCATAATTCAGATTTCTACACTTTATACTTGCCTCCCTCCTAAATCGTGATATTGAAATATGTGCTGTGGCAGAACTCGGCTTGTAGGGAAAGCAACAAAGAGATAGCAAGTGTCAGGGATGGGAGGGAAATGGTCTGGGAGCAGATGATGTCCGTGGAGAAAGCAAGAGGGGAAGAAGTTAGGTTGCAAAATAACCTACAAGAAACTATAGCAGGAGCCTCCTTCCTCATGCTGATCCCACCCTAAGAGCCACAAGAGTTTGTCCAGGACAGGGAGGGGCCTGTGAGTCTATTAAGAACAAGATCCTCAGGGGCACTTCTGCTTTTTCTGTTCCAGACCAAAATCAGGCCATTCTCTATCTGATGGGATGGGGGAAGGAGATAGTGGGTTGAGGAGCCCAAGAGTCAACACCAATTCACAATCTGTACTTCATGCAGAGCTTTGTCCTGGGTGCTCTCTTTAAGGGGTGGGGGTAAAGTGGATGCAATCCTTGAAATTCACCTGAGTAGTAGACATCAGAAACCATCATGGACAGAATGTAATGAGCAGTAGGGGGGACGCTTGTGTGCTGGAGATGGAGGGGTGGGTGGGTGGGTGTGCATTGCTCCAGGGGGGCCCTGGGAATGGGAGAGAGAAAGACACCAACTCTTACAACCTATGCCAGGATTTCAGAATAACGGTCAGAAGTCAATTCTTGCCCAAGCCATATTGCAGCCCCTTTATTATGACTCTTAACAGTGTCATTAATGACAGTTATAGTTAGTAGTGATTATAAGAGCCTTAATCACAGCTCATTTTGTGCCATAACTATGCCAAAATTTTATTTGTATAGTCTCCGTTCATCCCACCACAGGGCCTTTATTCTTGATGGTCCCTCTGCCAGGAACACTTTTCCCTAGTTATTCACATGCCTGGCTTTGTCACTTCATTCAGATCACTCCTTAAACATCAGTAAGATCCTCACAGAGGACCTCAAATAAAATGACTTCCTGGAACCTCTTTCTCTGTTCTCTTCGTTTTTGTTCATAAATACTTATTACCTTAAATTTAGATAGAAAGACAGCTAGATGTAATATTTAGAAAGATATACATGTATTTTGTTGCTGTTTATGCTTTTGTTTGTCTGACTCCTCCAGTATAAGTTCCATGAAGACAGAGACTCTATTTCTTTTGTTCAACACCTTTATCCTTAGCACCTAAAACATCTGACACACGTTAGACAATTAATAAATATGTGTTGGATGACTGAAAGGATCCTCACAGTAATTCAGTAAGATGGAGACTATTATTATCTCCAATTTACAGATGAGAAAACTGGTGCTCAGAAAGTTAAATTATTATTCAAAGTTTCAAAGGTAGTAAGCATCTGAAGCAGGATTCAAACCTAGGCCAGTCTGACTCCAGGGCCTGCCCTCTTAACCATGCCATGCTCTGCAACTGCAAGAACAGAAAGCCTATGTGCATGGACAGAGCCTGACTAGCCCAATGGCTCAGTGAACTGGGGAGGCTGCCAAGGGAGCCAGGAATTTGTGGACAATTAACATTTGAGCAGCAGGGGCAAGGCAGATCCGTGAGAAAGGGAGAAGATATGATCTCAAAGATGCGGTAGGGGGTTAAGAAAAAGATCCAGGCCAGGCACAGTGGCTAACGCCTGTAATCCCAGCACTTTGAGAAGCCAAGGTGGGCAGATCACTTGAGGTCAGGAGTTCGAGACCATCCTGGCCAACATGGTGAAACCCTGTCTTCCACTAAAAATACAAAAATTAGCCGGGTATACACCTGTAATCCCAGCTACTCAGGAGGCTGAAGTAGAAGAATGGCTTGAACCCAGGAGGCAGAGGCTGCAGTGAGCCGAGATTGTGCCACTATACTCCAGCCTGGGTGACAGAGCAAGACTTCATCTCAGAAAAAAAAAAAAAAAAGAAAGAAAGAAAAGAAAAGAAAGAAAGAAAAAGATCCAAAGAGATTTGATGGTCTGCTAGAGGATTTTAGCAAAAAGAAGAATCTTACTATTGAATGTAATCTGAGAAGCTAAGGCCAACTTTTGACCCAGGCAGAAAGTCTTTCCATGGCATTTTCTTTTTATCTACAGAATAGGAAATGTGATCATGCATCAGAGATAATCAGAGATAGTCACTAAATATTCATAATGCTAAGAACGCAGCAAAAAATAGGAAGAAAGTGGTTAGATCAATATCAAAGGAAGACATTTAATACAAAGTGAGTCTTTCAAAAATATCCTTGGCTCCAGTGAATTCAATGAAGGATTTTTTGCAAATTCCTCAAAGAATTTCCTTATATTATTTAAAATGTGCTGGAATATAAAAAATTATTTTGTGTTTTGTGTTGCCCAGCCTATTTTATGAGATAAGTACTATTTTGTTAAAATTTTATATTTAATATAGATAATAAATTGACTACCCCAAATGGTGGAATGCAAGGATAGCATATTACAAGGAAAATGTTACAAACAACTAACATTAACTAGACAAAGGATGAAATAATCATTTCAAAAAAGGTTGAGGAGGCTATCAGTAAAATTCAGTATCTATTACTGATAAAAATGTTGGAGGAAAAAGTGTATCAGAAAATATAATCATGGGCCAGTCGCGGTGGCTCACGCCTGTAATCCTAGCACTTTGGGAGGCCGAGGTAGGTGGGTCACCTGAGGTCAGGAGTTTGAGACCAGCCTGGCCAACGTAGTGAAACCTTGTCTCTACTAAAAATGCAAAAATTTGCGCGTGGTGGCACGCGCGCCTGTAATCCCAACTACTCGGGTGGCTGAGGAAGGAGAATCACTTGAACCCGGAAGGCATAGGTTGCAATGAGCTGAGATCCCGCCATTGCACCTCCAGTCTGGGGTACAAGAGTGAAACTCGGTCTCAAAAAAAAAGAAAATGTAATCATGTTCAGAGAAGAGAGGAAAGGATGTAGTAAGTCTAGAAAACCAATAACAGCAACTATAACAAATAATTGCAATAAAACATTTGAAATCCTCGATAAGCAGTTTGTGTTTAAAAGTTCTACAAAGGCCGAGCGCGGTGGCTCACGTCTGTAATCCCAGCACTTTGGGAAGCTGAGGTGGGCGGATCTCTTGAGGTCAGGAGTTTGAGACCAGCCTGGCCAACATGGTGAAACCCCGTCTCTACTAAAAATACAAAAAAAAAATTAGCCAGGCATGGTGGCGGGTGCCTGTAATCCCAGCTACTTGAGATGCTGAGGTTTGAGAATCACTTGAATCCAGGAGGCAGAGGTTGCAATGAACCGAGATGGTGCCACAGCACCCCAGCCTGGGCAACAGAGACTCCATCTCCAAAAAAAAAAGTTCTAAATAAGCCAGGTGCTATGGTTCACGTCTACAACCCCAGCACTTTGGGAAGCTGACGCAGGAGGATTGCTTGAGCCCAGGAATTTGAGACCAGCCTGGGCAACACAGTGAGACCTCATCTCTATTAAAAAAAAAAAAAAAAAAATTAGCCTGGGGTGGTGGCCCACACCTATGGTCCCAGTCACTTGGGAGGCTGAGGGAGGAGGATCGCTTGAGTCTGAGAGGTTGAAGCTGCAATGAGCCATGGTTGGACCACTGCACTCCAGCCTGGGTAACAGAGCAAGACTCTGTTTCAAAAAATAAAAATAAATAAATAAAAATTCTAAATAAATAAAACTTTGTTTTTAGCGAGCATAACTCCCTAAAAATCCAAGAAATTCAGCCAAAACAAAGCAACAGCATCAATAACAAAAAAAATCCTAGAAGCAATAAATTCAAAGTTACAGGGTATATGGGTATCAGTTTTCAAAGAAGCAAATGTATCCCTAAATATTAGGGAGACAGAAAATACAGCATAAAGAGCTTCTATTTACAATAGAATGAAAACAAATTACGCTCAAGGTTTACTGTGTGCAGCACATAGTAACTATTAAAGAAAATTTAAAAGTACAATGAGAAAAATAAAAAAACATGAATTCATGGAAAGCTAAACTTGACTGCCATTTGGGAAGGCAGAACGTAGTAAAGATAAAAATAAGTTACTATGAAAGAGTCAATTCAATATCAATTAAAATCCTCGCTGCATTTTTATAAAACATGACATATTGGTTGTGACATTCAGCTGCAAGAGTAATCAGGCAAGAATCTCAGAGGTTTTTTCTAAGTAATTATGAAGCAAATGAATAGATCACTGATGCTAACATATTTACCCCAACAGATTTTAAAACACATCAGACCACTGGCCGGGCGCGGTGGCTCACGCCTGTAATCCCAGCACTTTGGGAGGCCAAGGTCGGCAGATCAAGAGGTCGGGAGTTCAAGACCAGCCTGGCCAACATAGTGAAACCCTGTCTTTACTAAAAATACAAAAATTAGCCAGACATGGTGGCGCATGTCTGTAGTCCCAGCTACTCAGGAGGCTGAGGCAGGAGAATCGCTTGAACCCGGTAGGTGGAGGTTGCAGTGAGCTGAGATTGCACCACTGCACTCCAGTTTGGGCAACAGAGTGAGACTTCGTCTCAAAAAAAAAAAAAAAATCAGACCAAAGTGGCAATTATCAAAACCTTGTAGCATTAAGATAAAACCTGAAAACTCATTAGTCATTCAACATCTATTCAGGGACTATTTGTGGACCAGCTGCCCTGTGCCAAGCACTATCCTAGGAGCCAGGTATATAGCTGTGGAAAAAAACAGGGAAGGTCCCTAGGGTCATGGAGAACCAGACAAGTCAACAAGACAAGTCAATCAGACAAGTCAACAGTTAACAGGCAGGATAATTTCAGAGGGAGAGAAGTGTTGTGAAGATCAAAAGTGATAGAGAGAGGGCTGGCGCCGGAGGGGCTGTTTTGGATTTAACTATGAGAGAAGGCCTCTCCGAAGAGGTGGACTTTTGAGCTAAGATCTCTAGAACAAAATGAGGTTTCTAAAAATAATTTCAATTGATTGTATCTCCATAAAGTTGCTTTTGGGCAATGCCCATCTGCAAGACTGAGCTAAGTGTTATTGTCACATAGATGATGCATAGAAAAACATATGAATTTTAACTTTAATTCTAACCTTCTTCTTAAGAATTTTATGTTCATCTACATTAAACACAAAGACTGGGAGAAAACATTTGTGTTATATATGACAAGGGTTTCCTACAAATCAATATAAAAAAGAAAACAATGGAAAATTGGGCAAATTGTAAGAATGACAATTTACAAAATAAATAAATAAAGTCCAAGACCAGGCATGGTGGCTCATGCCTGTAATCCCAGCACTTTGGGATGCCCAGGCAGGCGGATCACCCAAGGTCAGGAGTTCAAGATCAGCCTGGCCAACATGGCAAAACCCCATCTCTACTAAAAAATACAAAAAAATCAGCTGGGTATGGTGGCGTGTGCCTGTAGTCTCAGCTACTTAGAAGGCTGAGGCACGAGAATCGCTTGAACACAGGTGGTGGAGGTTGCAGTGAGCTGAGATTGCACCGCTGCACTCCAGCCTGTCAAAAGAAAGAAAGAGAGAAAGAAAGGAAGGAAGAAAGGAAAGAGAGAAAGAAAGAAAAGAAGAAATGAAAGAAAGAAAGAAAACCAGAAAGCCAGTAAACATAAGAGAAAATGCTCACATTGACAATTTAAAAATGCAAATTAAAACTACAAGATATCAAAGTTCACTGATTATAATAGTAAAAATCAAGGTCATCTAGCATAATCAAAGGTGTGGAAGGCAGACATTCTTGCATCCTGTTGTTGGGATGCAGATAGATAAACACTTTTAAAGACCAATTGGCAGAATCTTTTAAGATTGTTAATGAGTGTACTCTATGATTCAGCAACAGGAACTGATTCTACAGAAATAGAAGCTCAAGGGCCTGATGATATCTATGTGCAAGAATGACACTCTAGCAATTTTATTAATGGTTAAAAAAATGGAAAATATCTCATAAATCCATCAGTAATGGGAATGATTGAATAGAGCATGGTCAATACAGAATATGGAAGCCTCACAGCACTGAAAAAAAGAAGCTTTATGTACATGACAGGTTGGTAGAGAGTTGAATGATTGTTTAAAAGTTGAAAAATACCTCCTTTTAGATATCTATTTGTATAAACATAGAAAAAAGACTGGAAGGACATGCAGCACATTGTTACCAGCAGTAACTTCAGCAGTGGGGAGAATCTGAGTTTGGAGGGAGGGAAGGTGGGGCTTTCAATTTTTATCTTAAACATTTTTAATAGAGAAGAAAAATCCAATCTGTTAAAGAAATAGACGATCATTTATCCCAGCTGGGAAGGGAGCATTTCTATTTCTGAATATTCAAGGAGGATTGCATCAGCACCAAGATGAATGTTTCCAGATACAGTCATATTTTTAAAAAGCATGCCCAACCAAAATGCAATTAAATAAATATCAGGCCAGGCTTGGTGTCTCACTTATGTAATCCCAACATTTTAGGAGGCCAAGGCCAAGGATTGCTTGAGCCCAGGAGTTTGAGACCAGCCTGGGCAACACAGGGGCACCCCGTCTTTACTAAAATAAAATAAAAAAAATTAGCCGGGCATGGTGGCACATGCCTGTGGTCCCAGCTACTTGGGAGGCTGAGGTGGGAGGATCACTTGGACCTGGGAGGTTGAGGCTGGAGTAAGCCATAATCGCACCATTACACTCCAGCCTGGGCAACAAAGTGAGATCCTGTCTCAAAAAGTAAATAAACAAATATCAAACAACAGAATGGGAAAATCTATGTGACGTGCATAATTGAAAAATATATATAATGGTTGACAGAAAAGTATAGATGCTTCAGATTATTCTTGGAAGGAGGTAGAATCCTATGGACATGCAAAACATATATACAGTTAATATAGTCAAAGCACTTACTGAGACACCAGAGAAGGTCAATGGAAGAGGTAAGTACATCATTTTAAAATGAGAAAATGCAACGCTATCACATGGAAAAGCATATTTTTACCCTCACTGAGAAGAGCTGCATATTAATCCACAAATAAAACTACTACTGAATTCAAGCTACCTATTGAGCACATACTATATATGTCACATAGTGCTTTTTGTAGAGCACCTCACTTAAGGTAGAAGGTATCCTCTTTTAAAAATAAGAAAAGAGAGGTACAGAGGTTAGGTAACTTGCTCAAAGCCACACAGCTGACAAGTGGAGGAGTTGGGATTGAAATCCAGGACTGGTTCCAGAGCCCAAGATCTGATCTATTCTGCTAGCTGATCTCCTAAAATTAAAAGATCAAACCCAATGTTAGTGGAAAAGTGTGCCTTGCTAAAAAACACACACAGAGTACCTGCTTTTTTTTTTTTTTTGAGATGGAGTCTCAAAAACAGACGGGAGAATATTAGTCCAAACTGCAACTGCACCATTTTGTAAGCTCCCTGCTATGGTTTTTTGTTTGTTTGTTTGTTTGTTTGTTTGTTTGTTTGTTTGTCTGAGATGGAGTCACTCTGTCACCGAGGCTGGAGTGCAGTGATGCAATCTCAATTCACTGCAACCTCTGCCTTCTGGATTCAGATGTTTCTCCTGCCTCAGCCTCCCGAGCAGCTGGGATTACAGGTGCCCACCACCACACCTGGCTAAATTTTGTATTTTTAGTAGAGATGGGGTTTCACCATACTGGCCACGAAGGTCTCGATCTCAGCCTCCCAAAGTGCTGGGATTACAGGCATGAGCCACCGCGCCCGGCCGAATACCCGCTTTATTTTTGAGTCATCTATTTGGCATACCTCTAAGCCTCCAAAGTCTGCAGGACCACACAAGAACTTTGTTCTAGTTCTGCCCTCAGACTGAAACTCTTTCTGTAGCAGGGCCTGCTCCAATCGTCCTCAAACCCAAAGACTGAGACTTCTAGGTTCTTGGTTAAAACCTTCATGAGGCCTTTGCGACAGCAGACCTGGACCATCGCCAAGGCAAGACTTCTGGATTCTTGGTTAGAACTTTCAGGAGGCCTTTGTGATGCCAGACCTGGGTCATTGCCCCAGCAACCACAGGGCCTGGGACTGGGGGGTTCCCAGATCCTTGAAGCTCACTCCGCCTCCTCACTCTCACTGCATTTCCCACCTTCCTGTGGGCCTTGCGGCATCTTCATCACTGAGGCACCTGGTTACGCTTCACCTCTTGTTTCCTGCCCTCACTGCATTCCCTCACCTCTACCTTTTTATCCTTCCACCCTAGGCTTCTCTCCTCCCTCTTCCCTCACTCCTGACTCTTCCTCTTCCCAGCGGACGGCTGGAGGACCGCTCAGTCTCTCCTCTCTCACTTCCCTTCCTCTCTCTCACCTTCACCACCCAACACCTCCCTCCCTGCCTCTTTCTTTCTGCTCCCTCATTCTCTCCCCACCACTCTCTTCTCGTGGCCCCCTTGCCCGCGCGCCCTCTTCCCTTCCCCTTGCCTCACTCTCTCAGCTTTCTTCCCACAGTTGAGCTCGGGCAGCTCTTTCTGGGGATAGCTATGGGGCTTTGGGGGAAGAAAGGGACAGTGGCTCCCCATGACCAGAGTCCAAGACGAAGACCTAAAAAAGGGCTTATCAAGAAAAAAATGGTGAAGAGGGAAAAACAGAAGCGCAATATGGAGGAACTGAAGAAGGAAGTGGTCATGGTGAGGCCACCCAAAGTGGGCGCTGACAGCTGCCCTCTGAAAACACTCCTCCACCTATCTTTAACATCTTACCTTGAGAATGAAACACACAGGCCAGAGCCACATCTCTTCTCTGTTAGGCTTTGGAGGGAAGGAGAGGGTTAAAAAAAAAAAAAAAGATACACACAGAGAGACAGGGCAGCTCAACAGCAAGCACAGGTATATTGCAGACACCTGTGGAAGTGGGGGATCAGCTTAATTCCACAGTCCACTGCCACTTACAGGCTGGGTACTTATAGGGATGGATGGGAGGAGTCTGGGCTGTATGGCCTGCTGCCTGGCAGGATATCGATAAGATGTTCTCATGATGAGGTGATTTTTGGCCCTTGTTTCCACAGAATATAATCATGGTATTCCCTGGACCTTTGCCCAGCAGGATGTGATAGGGATGTTTCTTTAGTGGGGTCTTTGTCTTTAATTGGGCCTTCGTCTGCCCTGTGGTCAGGTGGTTAGGCAGGCTGTTTCTCTGGCCCGAACCCCCGTGAAATGTTTCACTTTGACCAAGGCCTGTAAAATAGTGGGGAGCTAGGCCGGGCGTGGTGGCTCACACCTGTAATCCCAGCACTTTGGGAGGCTGAGGCAGGCAGATCACCTGAGGTCAGGAGTTTGAGACAAGCCTGGCCAACATGGTGAAACCCCGCCTCTAAAAATACAAAAATTAGCTGGTCCTGGTGATGGGCCCCTGTAATCCCAGCTGCTTGGGAGGCTGAGGCAGGAGAAACACCTGTTGGGAGGCAGAGGTTGCAGTGAGTCGAAATCGCACCACTGTACACCAGCCTGGGCAACAGAGTGACTCCATCTCAAAAAAAGAATTGCAGGGAGCTTACAAAATGGAGCAGTCTCAGTTTGGACTAACATTCTCCAGTCTGTTTCTCCCCCTCTCCCTGGAAATGACCTGGGCCACCCCCTGTCCCTCAATGCCTCTACTGTCCCCTCAGGATGATCACAAATTAACCTTGGAAGAGCTGAGCACCAAGTACTCCGTGGACCTGACAAAGGTGAGTAAGAAGCTCCCTGAGGAGGCAGAGAGTCTCCAACTCTGACTGTGAGGCTGCCAGGACAAAAGCTGAACTAGGAATCCAGCCCCCTAACTTCAAGTCCAACGTTCCCACCCCTCACCCTCTGCCTGGCCACGTTCCATGGACACTACCTGGAAAAAGCTGCAAATGGTAACTACCCTCAAAGAGAGTGTGGGACTAGATAAGAGAATAAGAATGCTTTAGGGCAGTGCTGGTCAAACGTCTTGTCCTTAGGTCTCCTTTACACTCTTAGAATTTATCTAGGACCGCAAAGAACTTGTGCTTATGTGGCTTAAGTCTGTCTATATTTACCATATTAGAAATTAAAATTGAGAGTTTTAAAATGTATTTCTCAATTCATTTAAAAATAACAAAAATAAAGTTATCATATATTCATATATGTTTTGACAAATAACTGTATTTTTCAAAACAAAAAAATTAGCAGCATCTTACATTTTTGCAAACCTCTTCAATGTCTTGCTTTTTAATAGAAGATAGCTGGATTCTCAAATATTTTCTGGATAAAATCTGTTGTGATGTTATGCCAGTTGGCCTTCAGAAAATTCCACTATATACTCTTAAGAAAATGAGAGTAAAAAAAGGCAAACAATGATTTAGTATTACTATGAAAATTGACCTTGTGGACCCCCTGAAAGGGTTTTGGGGCCCCTCGGGTGTTTCAGGCAGAGGTTGGGGAGTGGCTGGTGGTGATTGGCAGGTTCTACTATCATTTTCATTAACAGGAAAAAGCACATAAGCTTGTGCACAAGAGTGGAATGAGAATCTATGCATTCATGTTTTTTGTTAGTATTCTTTTCTATTTATGTTTTTTAAAAATTTATGGGCCAGGTGCCGTGGCTCACACCTGTAATCCAAGGCAGGCAGATCACTTGAGGTCAGTAGTTGGAGACCAGCCTGGCCAACATGGTGAAACCCCATCTGTATTAAAAATACAAAAATTATCCTGGCATAGTGGCACACATCTGCAATCTCAGCTACTTGGGAGGCTGAGGCAGGAGAATCACTTGAATGCAGGAGAATCACTTGAACCTGGGAGATGGAGGTTGCAGTAAGCCGAGATCATGCCACTGCACTCCAGCCTAGGTGACAGAGCAAGACTCTGTCTCAAAAAAAAAAATGGATATGTAGATGTACATATTTATGGTATACATGTATTATTCTGATATAAGCATACAATGTGTAATGATCAAATCAGGGTATTTAGGATACCCATAACCTCAAACATTTATCATTTCTTTGCATGGGAACATTCCAAATCCACTCCTCTAATTATTTTGATATCCATAATAAATTATTAACTATAGTTGCCCTATTGTGCTACCAAACACTAGATCTTATTCCCTCTAAGTTGGAGAGTCAAAGCGTGGTGTTAATATGTTATCAACATTAAGTATTATATTTCATCATGACATTGGCCCTGCACATTATAATTATCTGTATGTATTTATCTCCCCACTGGAGCACCTTAAGGGTAGGGACCATTCTTATTCATGTTGGTATCCTCAGCACCTAGGACCCGAGATAGGTTCTCAAGTTCAAAAAGGTTTGTGAATCAATCCATAAACAAAAACCTTCCTATGTAAGCATGCTAAATGACATCCCTCCTCTAATGCAAATTTTGAAACCTCACCTTATCCAGGAAGAACTTCCAGACTGACCTTCTGAAAGCGTCTTTAGTCTCTAGACCCATTCTGGGGCTCCAAATGTCAGGTTCCCTTTTGCTATGGCTGTTCCTCTTTTCACAGCTCTCTATCCAACCCTATTTCTTCTCTGCACAGGGCCATAGCCACCAAAGGGCAAAGGAAATCCTGACTCGAGGTGGACCCAATACTGTTACCCCACCCCCCACCACTCCAGAATGGGTCAAATTCTGTAAGCAACTGTTCGGAGGCTTCTCCCTCCTACTATGGACTGGGGCCATTCTCTGCTTTGTGGCCTACAGCATCCAGATATATTTCAATGAGGAGCCTACCAAAGACAACGTGAGTCTCTTCAGCTACTACTAGCCAGCCCTATCTCTGCTTAGCCCCAGACACTCTTTTGCTCAGCAGCCTAGCACTCCTGAAGTCCTCTGGCCCAAATCCCTAATTACATTATTACATTAATGTAATAATGTAATAAATGTACATTAATTATAAATGTAATTGATTGTAATTAATTACAATGTAATTGATTAATTACATTGTAATGAATGTAATTAATTATAAAATGTAATTAAATGTACATTAATGTAATAAATGTACATTACATAATAATGTAATAAATGTACATTAATGTAATAAACCAAAATCCCTAATACTCCACTTTCTAAGTTCCATCTTGGTTCCTCTCACCTTTTAATCTAAAAAGCTTCTGGTCCAGTTCCCTGAGGTGCACAATGTCCCCGAAAAACTTGCTGTTCTTTGATGACCTTCCCAATTGATCCCCAAAGCACTTTGCAGTCCCTTTCTCTTCTCCACAATTTTAACCTCATCTCCTTCCTCCCAGCCTCCCTCACAATCCACCCCCTCCATCCAGAGATTAGCCTTCCTGGAGAGAAAGATACAGGCCTTCTCTGACCAGGAATTTTGCTGACGGCTCACCATGGCTCAGGGTTCCTTCCCCAGGAAGCCAAGTGTACTGGTCCCACCTCAGATTCTTCTCTACCCCTCTGCTCTCAACTCAGTCTTACGGTCTCTTACACCTGGTGAAACTGCTGTGCCCCTTGCAGACTGATTTTCTGAGGATGAAGAAGACGACAAGGTCCCACTGATAAACGCTTTCTTTCCCCACCCTCAGCTCTACCTGAGCATCGTACTGTCCGTCGTGGTCATCGTCACTGGCTGCTTCTCCTATTATCAGGAGGCCAAGAGCTCCAAGATCATGGAGTCTTTTAAGAACATGGTGCCTCAGGTAGGATTGGAGTGGGAGGATCTAGTGGGAGCAGGAGCAGGATGTGGCCAAATACACAATGATGAAGTCCCGTGGAAAATTATATCCTATGATAAGTGAGCTGAGTGAGGTTGGTGATGAGGGGGTCAAGGTACTGTATCAGTCCTTAAAAGTACCTGGAAAAGCTGTGAAACCCTGAGAAAGACATAACGTCACCTATGAAGTGCTCTGATCTAGAAGGCAGAATCTGAATCTAAAGAGGAAACACCATACAAACCCCAAATAAGAACATTCTATTTTTTTAAAGAGACAAGTGTTGGTGGGGGTGGGAGCGGGGTGCGGTGGGGGGTGGCTGGATTCTTCAAATATCGATGACCTCAAAGACAAAGAACAGCTGTGGGGATGTTCCAGATTAAACAGACCAGGCATAGTGGCTCACGCCTGTAATCCCAGCACTCTGGGAGGCTGAGGCAACAGGATCACCCAGGAGTTTGAGATGCTATCTCTACAAAAATAAAATAAAATAAAATAGCTGGTCTACATCTGTAGTCCAAGCTACACAGGCAGCTGAGACGGGAGGATTACTTGAACCCAGGAATTTAAGTCTGCAGTGAACTGTGACCAACCTGGGCAAGACCCTGTCTCAAAAAATAATAATAATAATAAAAAGAGGCTAAAGAGGCATGACAACTATTCCGAGGGTGGTGGCTCCCACCTGTAATCCCAACCGTTTGGGGGACCGAGGCAAGAGCACTACTTGAGTCCAGGAGTTCAAGACGAGCCTGAGTAGTATAGTGAGACCTTATCTCTACAAAAAAATTTAAAAATTAGCTGAGCGTGCCTGTAGTGCCAGCTACTCAGGAGGCTGAGGTAGGAGGATTGCTTGAGCACGGAAGGCAGAGATTGCATGCCATTGCACTCCAGCCTGGTGACAGACAGAGACGCTGTCTCAAAAAAAAGACAGGGACGTGGCAACTAAATGCAATATCTAACCCTAGATCTGATTCTGTGCCAGAGGAGAAAGTAATGCTTTATTTTTACTTTTTTATTTTGAGCTTTTATTTTAGATTCGGGGATACATGTGCAGGTTTGTTATATAAGTAAACTGTGTGTCACAGGGATTTGGTGTACGAATTATTTCATCACCCAGGTAATAAGCATAGTACCTGATAGGTAGGTTTTCTGTCCTCACGCTCCTCCCACCCTCCACCCTCAAGTAGGCCTTGGTGTCTGTTTTTCCCCTTCTTTGTGTCCATATGTACTCAGTGTTTAGCTTCCAGTTATAAGTGAGAACATAAGGTATTTGACTTTCTGTTCCTGTTAGTTTGCTTAGGACAATGTCCTCCAGCTCCACCAAAGATAATGCGTTAAAGGATGTATTGGGTCAATTGGCAAAACTGGAATACTGACAGATTAATACAGTAGATTAAAGTATCAATGTGAAACTTACTGAAATTGATAACTACATTGTGGTTGTTTAAGACAATATCTTAATTCTTGGGAAATGCACAATGAAGTTTTTAAGATAAAAGATCATGATGTAGGTAACTTACCCTCAAGTAGTTCAGGAAAAGAGTATACACAGAGAGAGAGAGGATGAAAACAAATGACAAAGTAACTGGGGTGAAATGTTAATAGGTGAATCTGGATAAAGGTTATATAGGTGTTCTTGGTGCTATTTTTATTCTTGCAACTTCTCTGAAAGTTTAAAATTATTTTCAAGTTAAATGTTTTTTAAAGGTACCTGGAAAGAATACGACGGTAAACAGAGGTTCCTAGGCACGGGACTGGAAACTTGCAAAGGAATAGGCTCCACATTTTCCCTATAATATGATCATGTTCCAGTAGTATAGCCCAGGATTTCCTTCTCTTTTTGGTATCACTTAATTCCTTCCTTGGGTAAGAGTTTTGGGACAAAGTGTTTGGGCAGTTTTGGAGACTAGGAGTTTAGGCATGGTCGGTTAGCTTTTGCTACCTAACAAACTACCCTAAAACTTAGTGGCTTAAAATAGCAAGCTCCTGTTTCTCATAATTCTGTGGCTGTGCTGTTGTTCCTCAGCTGGGGCTGGATGGTCTTAGATGACCTCATCCACATGTCTGGGCCCTTAGCTGAGATGACTGGGACAGCTGGGGCCTTTTTCTTCGTGATCTCTCTTTTTACAGAGAGGTTAGCTTGGGCTTGTTCATAGGGTGGCAGAGGATTCTCAGAAACAGGAATGCAAGCCCCAGCATGAAAGCACTTTTTTTTTAATTTTTTGAGACAGGGTCTCACTCTGTCACTCAGACTGAAGCGTAGTGATGTGATCACGGCTCACTGCAGCCTTAACCTTCTGGGCTCAAGCGATCCTCCAACTTTAGCCTCCCAAACAGCTGGGACTACAGGTGCATGCCACCACACCTGGCTAATTTTTTTTTCAATTTTTGTAGAGACAGGGTCTCCCTATGTTGCCCAGTCTGGTCTTAAACTCCTGGGTTCAAGCAATCCTCCCACCTCGGCCTCCCAGTGTGCTGGGATTACAGGTGTGAGCCACCAGTCACGGCCTGAAAGCACTTTTTAAACTCCTCTTTCCATCACATTCATTCTATGGGCCAAAGCAAGTCACGTGGTCAAGCCCAGGTTTAGGGGTAGAGAGATAGACTCCACCTCTTAATGGGAAGAGCGTCAAAGTCACATTGCAAAGGGCCCTGCAAACAGCATCATGGGAATTTGCAATCTGCCAAAGACACCTTCAAGAATGATGTGGTGGGTGACAGTAAGAAAGGGGAGTAAGGAGGAGGGAGACCAATAACAGAAGGTTTTAGGCTAAGAGTGGGATGAGGAAAGCCAAAAGTTTTGGAAATGATCCTGCACTATCCTCTCATAGCAAGCTCTGGTAATTCGAGGAGGAGAGAAGATGCAAATTAATGTACAAGAGGTGGTGTTGGGAGACCTGGTGGAAATCAAGGGTGGAGACCGAGTCCCTGCTGACCTCCGGCTTATCTCTGCACAAGGATGTAAGGTGAGGGGATGCCGAAAGCTATGTGAGGGACCCAAGCGTGATCTCATGGCAGGGTAGACACCTGGGCCGTTAGAGAAAGTATAAGCTTATTACTCAGAATCTTGAGAAGTTACAAGTGCAGATTTGATGTTAGAGACAACAGATGTGTAAATTTGTTTCTCTCAGTCTGTCAGTGATGATGTTGGTGACCAGATGAAGACATACTATTTTTGTAAATAAATCTGCCTTTTTTCCTATGCTCACCTTACAACGCGTCCCCTCTCCCATCCCAGGTGGACAACTCATCCTTGACTGGGGAGTCAGAACCCCAGAGCCGCTCCCCTGACTTCACCCATGAGAACCCTCTGGAGACCCGAAACATCTGCTTCTTTTCCACCAACTGTGTGGAAGGTGAATATCGAACCATAAGTAGCATAGATTCAAAAGCAGGCACCAAAACATAAAGATTTTAATAACTGTCTTCTAAAGGTAGCGAGGTAGGTAAGAGCCAGTAAAAAGTCGAGCTTCTCCATCACGAGCTGTATGACCTCTGGTGAAAGGTCAAGGTCATCATTTCCACATTCGCACAGTGATGACAGTAAAAGTCGTTACTCTGTAGATTTTCGTGTGAATTGAGATAATATATGTAAAATGCCCAGCACAAGACCTAATACATTGTAAGTGACCTACAATTATTAGCTATTATTTTAGCTTGTGAATGGACTATGCTGTTTAAGCTGAAAATGGCACAGAGGGGAGGAAAATTGTTCAGCCCTGCTAAGTCATTCTTCTCTTAAGGTAAGCCCTAACTTCTAACTAGTCCCCTATCCAAGAGAAGATATTGGCATTGGAAACTTGAATTACCAGAGGTGCCACTTAGACTTTACCACTTAAACTTTGGCTTTGCTCCTAGAATCTAGGAATCCTTGAACTGGGAGACAGTTCTGGCAAAGTGGTAATAAAAAGGGACTGAACATCATTCTGTCAATCTCTCCTTTGCCCTTTCCCCTTAAGGAGGCCTGAAGACTCCATGGAGCACACTTGAAAACTATTATTCATGCTTAAGAACAAATGTTTGGTTATCTAAAAATAGTTCTTTTGTTTGTTTTGTGTTTTTTTGAAACAGAGTCTCTCTCTGTTGCTCAGGCTGGAATGCAGTGGTGTGATCTCAGCTCACTGCAACCTCTGCCTCCCAAGTTCAAGCAATTATCCTGCCTCAGCCTCCCGAGTAGCTGGGATTACAGGTGCCCACCACCACGCCCAGTTATTTTGTGTATTTTTAGTAGAGATGGGTTTTCACCATGTTGGCCAGGCTGGTCTCGAACTACTGACCTCAAGTGATCTGCCCTCCTCGGCCTCCCAAAGTGCTGGGATTACAGACGTGAGCCACCATACCCAGCCTAGAAATATTTTTTATTTGAATGCATAGTATTTGTTAAATATTATAAATATTATCTCTAATTCCCACATGCGCACAATACCAGATATTATCCCTATTTTACATGTAGCAGACTAAGGTTCAAAGAAATTAAGCACCATATCCAAGAGTACAACTCAATAGAAAGGAGGCGGGTCAGGGATTCTAATGTAGGTCTGTCTCCATATCTCGTGCTCCTTCCACAGACCCTGCTCTGTGCTGAAAGATTGCTATTTAATTTGAAAATACCTTAAAGAAGAAGCGTAATGTTAAGACAGAATAGACTATGAGAAAGAATCCAACTAGAAAATAAAATACATATATTAAAAATGTTTTAAAATTGATTGGACAGAAGCAAGTTAGCAAGCTTTCCCCAAAAACACTAGATGTCTACTATTAGATTTTAGGAAAAAATTTGCCCAAATTTACCCTTACAAAGTAGGGTTTTCATCAGCTAAGTATATGTTCAGATAAAGGGTATGGAGGAAAGTGGATGGTGGCATTTCGACTGGGAAGCAAGGGTCTGTTTAGATAGAAAATGGTTTTGTAGGAGGCTAAAAAAACCCAACATGTGGCCAAGAAGGTGGAGCTAGGTAGAAGGAGCTGGGCGGAAGGACTTTCAGTTGAGGAATTTCTCAGCAATTCACAGACCGATAGCATTTACCCTAGATCAATTTGCCCTTTAACCTTTACCCTAGACTTTTAACCTTTGCCTTAGACCAATTTGCAAATTAGTAGCATAACTTTAACCTTTACCCTTGCCTCCCATGTCTCATCACCGTAGACCTTGACATGGCTGTGGCACAGACTTCTCTTTGGGTTCTCATGCATCTTCAAGGGAGCCCAAGCTATTTCTCTGGCAATACATGGAAGGTGTATGAAGAAGCCAGTCTGGCCTGGGGTGCTGGATGCTTGGCCTTCTCAGCCTTCCCTGAGGTTGACATCAACCCAACCCCATCTCTAGACACACTGAGATTAATTATTAAATCCCGTTTCTCCAAGTGTGAGGAAACCATAGCAGAAGGAATAAAATAGAAGAACTAGACTAAACCATGACACAAGATATATGTAGGTGACACCATACACTACCCACCCTCCTCCACCCGGCCCAAAATAGGAAACTCCTCAGCATCTCTCAAGTATTTCAGCATCTTCATTCCATAGGACCCAATATATGCCTTTGGCAACCAGTTTGAAGCCCATCTATAGAATGCCTCGGCCTGGGAATCTTTTCAGGATTCCTCCTCCACATAAACACTGACCTGACCTGTCTGCTCCTCGAGTAGGACCCTGCTCTCAGACTCATACAGCTAAAGGCAACCTTAGAAAACGGAGACCACCACGTGCAGCAATGTTCATGGGAGCTCCCAGATTAGAGATGCTCCTACTAAGTCACAAGTATGAGTCTATATTGGTCCTACTGGAAACCCTAAGTTCATCTAAATGATGAGAAGAAAGAGAAAGAAACTAATTTTCAAGTGCCTATGATGTACCTAACCTTCTAGACTCTTAAAAATATTCAGTCCTCACAGTTTAGTAAGTGCTTTCATTCCATTTCGAAGATGAGGAAGCCTGACTCTCAGCATTTAAGTAACTTGCCCCAAGGAAAAGAGCTAGTAATTTAGAAAGCTGAACTTCCGGCCCTGAGTCTTTCTGCTTTTAAAATAAATGCAGTTTCAGTGATATGTTGCCTAAGTGATTCTGACTCTGATTTCAATGGTAGAAATTTCAGTCATTATGGTAAAGCAGGAAGAATTACTTTAAGAAAAGAATTTTGTCATGCCCCTCATTTCAAGGTGAGTGGCCTGCATCATGTGTGTGTAAAGCCAAACATGATGTCCAAGCTGCCCTTCTGACTGGGGCAGTGCTGGTGGAGAGGAAAGAGGGACCTCATAAGCACAGAAGCCCAGCTGTTATGGCCCGTGCTACCCAGCAGAGGTCAGATTGGCTCCAGCCAGCAAAGCAGGGAGGGGGCGCAAGTTACAGCAGGATTTCTCAACCACTCACATTTGGGGCTGGATAATTCTTTGTTGTGCGGGACAGGAGAGCTGTCTTGTGCGTGGCAGGATGTTTAACAGCATCCTGGCCTCTACCCACTGCATGCCAGTAGGAGCCTTCTCCCACCCCAGTAGTGACCACCAAAAATGTCTCCAAGCATTGCCAAATGTCCCCAGGGAAGGGGGTTGGTGGGTAGGGATTGCCTCCAGTTGAGAACCACTGTGTTAGGGGATAAGGGGATGTTGGAACATAGGGCTCTACCAGAAGGGTAACCACTATTCCTGGGATCTAGAAACTCCTCAGCTGCTGAGGGCAAGATAAGAACTATATAGGCAATAGAAGATACTCAGATTAAGTATAATAAAGGCCTTCTTGACAGTGAAGGAAATTAGGCAATAAAATTGGGTATTTCAGGAGAACTGTGAGACCTCTTCAGAGATTTTTCAGACTAGAAGACCTTTATTTGTATAAACTAAATATGAGGAGAGCAGAACATAATGACCTCTCAGAGGGCCTTGAGTCTCCAGTTTGTTTTTGACCATTGACAGCTTGCTCTTTGTGGGAACCAAACCAAACAGCTTCCTCAATTCAGACTCGGCATGTCTTGGGTGACCATCTCTGATGGAAAAAACAAGAAACAGCTTTTTTTTTTCTCTACACTCACGCTGAACACAGAACACTTCTGTGTCCAACATGTGTAGACAGTTCTCCCCACCAACAACCAGTTCTCCAAAGGACAATGATTGGGTGTCCTATAATTCAATTCAACTCTGACACAATCCACCTGGAGATAGCATCAGATCCCACAGGTTAGGGCTCAGCCCCACAAGACAGTCCCTAACTCTAGACCCCAGTCACAAGTCCTAGGTTATGGCCTGGCTATAAATTGGGGTTCCCACGACTCCCTCCTCAGGTTTGATTAATTTGCTAGGATGGCTCACAGAACTCAGGGAAACACCTTACTTAGGTTTACCCATTATTATAAAGGATATTACAAGGATACAGATGAGCAGTCATATGGAAGAGACGCACAGGACAAGGCACGTGGGAAGGAGCATGGAGGAGCGTCTGTGCCCTCTCCTGTCCAGGGTGCCCTCCAGTAACCCTCCACATGGTCATACACATAGACACTTTCCAAACCCAGTCCTTTGAGGTTTTTAATGGAGATTTCATTACATAGGTATAATCGGTTACATTATTAGCCATTGGTGATCAACTCAACCTTCATCCCTCCTCCCTTCCAAAGAGGTCAGTCCATGAACTGCAAGTTCCAACTCTCTAATCACATGGTTATCTGCCCTGGCCACCAGCCCCATCCTGTGGCTATCCAGGAACCCACCAAGAGTCACCTCATTAGAACAAAGATACTCCTATCACCCAGGAAACTCCAAGGCATTTAAGAGTTCTGTGTCAGACACTCCTATCACTCAAGAAATTACAAGGGTCTCAGGAGCTCTGTGTCCAGAACTGGGTCAAAGACCAAATATTAGAACAAAAGATTCTCCTAGCACCCCTATCTTTAAGGGTTTTTAGAAGCTCTATGTCAGGAAGTGGGGGCAGAGACCAATATCTATACTTCTTATCATATCACAACATCACATTGCCCTCTCCTGCTTCATCCACAGGAACCGCCCGGGGTATTGTGATTGCTACGGGAGACTCCACAGTGATGGGCAGAATTGCCTCCCTGACGTCAGGCCTGGCGGTTGGCCAGACACCTATCGCTGCTGAGATCGAACACTTCATCCATCTGATCACTGTGGTGGCCGTCTTCCTTGGTGTCACTTTTTTTGCGCTCTCACTTCTCTTGGGCTATGGTTGGCTGGAGGCTATCATTTTTCTCATTGGCATCATTGTGGCCAATGTGCCTGAGGGGCTGTTGGCCACAGTCACTGTGAGTAGACAGGGTGGAAAATGGCCTCAGGGCAGACAAACCACCCCAGGGAAAAGGGATCACTAGCGTCTCTTTTGTTGTTGAACCTTTCAAGTGCAGGGTCTTCCTGATATGTAAATAGGTATCAGGAATAATTTAGCTCTCAATATTACACTGACTCCTTCTGCCCATATATTTCGGTGTCTTCTCTTTCCTCAATGAGAGAGGAAGCAAGTTTCAATGGAAAGTGCATTGGATTATCAGTCACTGAGAGTGAGTTCTAGTATTGGCTAAATCACTTAACATCTCCAGACCTCAATTTATTCATCAGTTTATGGAGGAAGATTAATTTGGAATTATAGAATCCTACAGGAAAGGACTTCAAAGATCATATAAATTCAACCTTTCAACCAGTGCTGAATATCCTCTATAAAACCCATGGGAGATGATTATTATTTCTATTAATTGGGAAGCCCACCCCTTTCTGTCTCAATTCGTTTCATTGTTGTCTTGCTCTATTTACATTTCACTGTGTTAAGCAGAACTATAAATCCCTGTTTGTCCTAAGTTTCCCAGCTGAAGAAACACAAAATAAGTCAATTCTTTCTCTTCTACAGACTAGCCCTTTAGATTTTTGATGGTAGCCATTATGTCCCCTCAAACTCTGGTGGTAGCAGGTGAAATAATCCCTCTTCCCTTAGCCATTCTTCCTATGACATGGTCTGTAGGCCACCTGTCTTGATGATCACCTGTTGAGGGTATGCTCTAGTTTGTCAATATTCTTAAAAGAGAAATGACAATAATACTTGGGGTGTGTTTGGACTAGCACAAAAATGTAGGGACTAGTGATATTATGTAAATACATTATAACCCCTAATCCTGTTATTAGAAGCCCATACTTAGATAACCACAGCCTAAGAATTCATTAGCTTTTAAAACAATCTTGCTTCACACTTGACTTACATTGCCTTCACAATCAACAAAAGTCTTTTGGTTTAAATGATTTTTCAAGTCCTTTTCAATGCTGTGATATTATTGTTATCTCCTCCACGTTCTTTGTTTAAACTATTGGTCTGCCGGGCGCGGTGGCTCACACCTGTAATCCCAGCACTTTGGGAGGCCAAGGTGGGCGGATCACGAGGTCAGGAGATCGAGACCGTTCTGGCTAACACGGTGAAACCCCGTCTCTACTAAAAATACAAAAAAAAAATTAGACAGGCATGGTGGCTGGCGCCTGTAGTCCCAGCTACTTGGGAAGATGAGGCAGGAGAATGGCTTGAACCTGGGACGTGGAGTTTGCAGTCAGCAGAGATCACGCCACAGAATGAGACTCCGTCTCGAGAAAAAAAAAGAACTATTGGTCCAACACCCCCTCCACACCTAGCATCTTATACCACCATAAAAGATTAGCTATCTATGTGGTCCCTGGAAAGATTGGACTTAAAGAGGTGTGGCCTAAACTTGAATGAAAAAGAGATTGCTGAATAGAAAAGATGCAAAGATCCTGAGGGAGCAGAATATTCCAGGGGGGAATAAAGAGGATCCCTGTCTATGATACCCTGGTAAAGAAATACACTCTTTTTTGGCCAGGCACGGTGGCTCACATCTATAATCCCAGCACTTTGGGAGGCCAAGGCATGCAGATCACTTGAGCCCAGGAGTTCAAGACCAGCCTGGCCAACATGGTGAAACCCTGTCTCTACTAAAAATACAAAAATTAGCTGAACATGGTGGTGCATGCCTGTAGTCTGAGCTACTCGGGAGCCTGAGGCAGAAGAATTGCTTTAACCTGGGGGATGGAGGTTGCAGTTAGCCAAGATCATACTCTGCACTCCAGCCTGGGTAACACAGAGTGAGACTCTGTCTCAAAAACAAAAACAGAAAAAGACATTTTTTTTAAATACACTCTTTTTTGAAACTCTTACCATAAAGCACAAACCACAATCACTTTCCTAATTTCCTTTACCACAGCCAGAAATGAAATGTGTAAAGAGTAGGTGGGAACAAAAGGGAAGTAAGTACAAAAAATCAAAATAGCATTAAAAATGATCAAATATCCACAATGCAAAATGGTGTGAGTATTCCATCTCCCATGTGTATTCTCTCCTCTCTTCTTGGCTTTAGGTGTGCCTGACCCTCACAGCCAAGCGCATGGCGCGGAAGAACTGCCTGGTGAAGAACCTGGAGGCGGTGGAGACGCTGGGCTCCACGTCCACCATCTGCTCAGACAAGACGGGCACCCTCACCCAGAACCGCATGACCGTCGCCCACATGTGGTTTGATATGACCGTGTATGAGGCCGACACCACTGAAGAACAGACTGGTGACTAGTGGTATTGGTGGAACAAGAGTGGAGGGATTTGGGGGATGTGATGAGTGAGCTGAGAGAGAATGGTGAGTCCAGACAGACAGGAGGGAGCCTGAAAGTGGAGTGGAGAAGAGGGAGGTGTGAAGGAAAAGAAATGCTGCTCCTGTGAAGTATCTGGGTGCCAAAGAGGATGTGAATAACCGCTTGCTTAAAATTCTCATTCCCTGCTCACAATTCTTCTTTTCTTTCTCCCTAGGAAAAACATTTACCAAGAGCTCTGATACCTGGTTTATGCTGGCCCGAATCGCTGGCCTCTGCAACCGGGCTGACTTTAAGGCTAATCAGGAGATCCTGCCCATTGCTAAGGTGTCAGGCCCAAGGGGAAGAGGGTACCTCAGTGTCCAGGGTGTAACCTGACCTCTCCCAAAAAATCCTCTCCTGGAGCTCAGTAATTTCCCCCCAGGTACCCGCCCTCCCCATTTGTCCCCTCTCCATGTTGCCACAGGTATGCCTCATGCCCAGGTAGCATGCCCCTGGGGCTTACTATACAAACCCCATCCTGGCAGAGGGCCACAACAGGTGATGCTTCCGAGTCAGCCCTCCTCAAGTTCATCGAGCAGTCTTACAGCTCTGTGGCGGAGATGAGAGAGAAAAACCCCAAGGTGGCAGAGATTCCCTTTAATTCTACCAACAAGTACCAGGTACAGAACCCACAAAGGTAGGAGAATGGTGGTGGGGGGATGGGCTTATCACTGGAACAAGGGGAGCTTTGCCTCTGCCTTCAACTTCACCTCGGAGAAGCAGAGGAGCTCAGCAGAACCTGCATCCCAATTAACGGAAGACTCACATCAAGAGAACGTGACAAACAGGTAAAGAGAGGCGAAACAGGTGATAAAGGGAGAGGCATCAGTCAGTCCTATGCAGAGATCTGAGCTCTGCCACTTGGGGAAAAAGCGAGTCATAAAATCCTCTCTGAAATGTCTGTAGACAGCAGAAGCTGGTTGGTGAAAGTCATGTTAGAGTCACATGCAGCTGTTAGGAGGCCCCTCTGTGTCTACTAGGAGATTTGCCGCTGCAGTATTAGGTTGCATTTGCAGACACTTTATTTCATTAGCCATCAATATTTCCTTTCACCCCACACTTGGCTTGCAGTTCTAGTGACTGCCAGCGGGTAGGCGATCAGGAGTCTCTGCCTCCATTGGCGCCTGACCCTCTCCCCTGTGTGTCTTGTAACTTCTTTTCTTATAAGGATGCAAATCATATTAGATTAGGGCCTCCCCTACTTCTATGTAACCTTAACTAATTACGTGTGTTCGTGTTCGTGAAGTTTTTCATTTCCCAGGAACATTTTGGTCCACTCTCCGGGGAGGAGTGGACAAGAGCAGGGGAAATGCTGAGTGAGGGACCATGAAGGGACAGGAAAGAGTCTTTCTCTCCAAAGTAGAATCTGGGCAGACTGAAGAGAAGGTTATGGTAGGATGCAGGAACAGTGACATTATCAGAATTGGAGCTTTGCCAGGCTCAAGCTGAGTTCCACGGGGCAATCATGATTTGCTCAGGGAAGTAGATTCTTCAACTCCTTGCATTACTGAAAAGGCCAGACATTCAGGTGTGGGTAAAATGTCTCAGAGAAAATGACAATGAGACTCCCAAGTCTGCTGGTATCTTTTTTTTTTTTTTTTTTTTTTGAGAAGGAGTTTTGCTCTTGTTGCCCAGGCTGGAGTGCAATGGCGCAATCTTGGCTCACTGCAACCTCCACCTCCTGGGTTCAAGGGATTCTCCTGTCTCAGCCTCCAGAATAGCTGGGATTACAGGCATGTGCCACCACGCCCGGCTAATTTTTTGTATTTTTAGTAGAGACGGGATTTTACCATGTTGGCTATGCTGGTCTTGAACTCCTGACCTCAGGTGATCCACCCGCCTCAGCCTCCCAAAGTGCTAGGATTACAGGCGTGAGCCACCATGCCTGGCCTCTATATAAATTTTTTTTAACTGAATTACTCATCGTTTTACACTGAAAACTGAGCAAGTAAGGGTTAAATAGATCTATCCTTTTCTGTCTCAACTGGTTGTTAGTCAATGTAATAAAATAGGTCTCTTAGGCCCAAATGGCAAACTTATTCCCATTTTTTTCTGATGTTTAGTGGCCTCACTAGTCTGACAGGAATTCTGTGGCTTGGCAGGGCCTTTGACGGCAGCATAGCCTTTAACTGGAAAGAATTAGGTACCTCTCCGTCCATGTGATTCAAAATAAAAGCAAAACATATTCACAACATTTGTTGGGGCATCCAACAAATAGTGACTTTCTCTCAGATGACTATGTTGCTGCCTCTTCCGAGCTACCAAACATGCGGCTCAAATGGCAGACTTGTCCTCAGTGGTTCACCGAGTGTGACAGGCTGTCCCACTGGCCGCCAAGCTCTGGCAGGCACTTGTTCTGGGAGGCCCTCAGTTTGCTGCCTTCCTTAGCTTGCCCTAAAGGTGGAGACTCCAGTCTTTGCAAGAGACATCTCAGACTGCTGGCGGTTTGCAGAGCCTGGTCTGTCTCCCTCTGAGATAAAAATGAAACGAAGAAGATGCTCTGTTCCAGCATTTCCAGACTTCTCCCTCCGTCTCTTTTATATGTAATTTTCTATCAAGATGTGATTTTCTTCCGTGACCTCTGAGATTACTAGTAGGTCTTGCCATCACCTCCTGGGCCCTTCACTTATTCAACACATTTTACTGAGCACTTAGAAAACTGAGCTCTTTAAACTTTTTCCAGCTTTCTGCTTAAGTGAGTTACGGTTCTTCCTCTTAATTGCTTAAGCATATTTTGAATGTAACTGAACAAACGAACAGAACAGTTGTAACCACGTTTTGTGCACTGGTTTCCCACCCTGCTTACCCTGTGGGCAGTACAGTCCGGCCTCCTCTGCACTCCCGCTGTTCCTTTCAATGCATCGATTTTGTTCTCAACAGGCGACCTAGCGGGCATTTCCTGTCCATCACAAGAGGAACCCCATGGAGAGCTCCTTTTCATACATCAGAGATCAAGAGGAAATGCAAAACCCACATTTCTCTCTCCTTGCTGCGGGTTGTCCCCTCGGGTTCATTTCATGAATGTGCCCTTTCCCTCCCCCACCACAGCCACAAGGACTCCCATGCCCAACCACACTAGCTAGCCCCTCTCAGGAGACTTCTCACGCTTTTAGGAGACAGAGGCCCAGGGACTAGAATGACTAACTTATTTTTGGATTGTACTTCACAGTTTTCAAAGTATTTTCTACACTATCTCTTATAAAAACCCAATGAAGGGCCAGGTGTGTGGCTCATGCCTGTAATCCCAGCAGTTTGGGAGGCCAAGGTGGGCAGATCACCTGAGGTCAGGAATTCAAGACCAGGCTGACCAACATGGTGAAACCCCCATCTCTGCTAAAAATGCAAAAAATCAGCCAGGCATAGTGGCGGTGCCTGTAATCCCAGCAGTTTCCGAGGCCAAGGTTGGTAGATCACCTGAGGTCAGGAGTTCAAGACCAGCCTGACCAGCATGGTAAAACCCCCGTCTCTGCTAAAAATTCAAAAAATCAGCCCGGCATAGTGGCGGTGCCTGTAATCCCAGCTACTCGGGAGGCTGAAGCAGGAGAATCACTTGAACCCAGAGGCAGAGGTTGCAGTGAGCTGAGATCACACCACTGCACTCCAGCCTGGGCGACAGAGTGAGACTCCATCTTCAAAAACAAAAACAAAACACAACAAAAAACCCCATGAAGGAGGCAAGGCAGAGGCTTTTATGTTTTGTCGAAGGAACTAAGATTTTGCAAAGTTAAATGGACTGACCTGAGGTCATAATGCATTCTTGCTAGCCCCAGAACACAGGTCTTTGGACTTTTTTTTTTTTTTTTTTTTTTGAGACGGCGTCTGGCTCTGTCACCCAGGCTAGAGTGCAATAGCGCAATCTTGGCTCACTGCAACCTCTGCTTCCAGGGTTCCAGCGATTCTCCTGCCTTAGCCTCCCAAGTGGCTGGGATTATGGGCACATGCCACCATGCCCAGCTAATTTTTGTATTTTTAGTAGGAGACGGGGTTTTGCCATGCTGGCCAGGCTAGTCTTGAACTCCTGACCTCAAGCAATCCACCCGCCTCGGCCTCCCAAAGTGCTGGGATTACAGGCATGAGCCGCTACGCCTGGCCTTCCGACTCTTTTTCTTTCCTGTCTACTCTCTTTTCTTTCTTTGCCAGCCCCACTATTTCTGCTCTCTCGCCATCCAGTTGGCAAGGATGCAGGGGAAAAGTGAGAGTGCCTGGTTCTGCCCCCAGGGAGCTTCAGGCTGAGAAGATAATGGAGATTCCTGTGCAAATAATACCAGGCTGCAGTTTTCTGGAAAAAGGAGGAGGGGCTGGGTTCAACCTGGGGCGAGATGTGACTGGGGAGGGGAGGGAACAAAAGAAATGGGGGTATGAAACACATTTTTTTACCTTTGAAACCTTCCCCTTCTTTTTGCCCCTGATCCTTGGTCTCTCCTCCTGTCCCATCAGTGCTCCCTTTGCTCTCCCTAGATGTCCATCCACCTTCGGGAGGACAGCTCCCAGACCCACGTACTGATGATGAAGGGTGCTCCGGAGAGGATCTTGGAGTTTTGTTCTACCTTTCTTCTGAATGGGCAGGAGTACTCAATGAACGATGAAATGAAGGAAGCCTTCCAAAATGCCTACTTAGAACTGGGAGGTCTGGGGGAACGTGTGCTAGGTGAGGAGCTTTGGGAGAAGTTTTTAAAAGAATGGCATCAAAATGGTTATTATCCCTGGGGTGAGAAATCAAGGATGTTGGGGTAAGCAGATAGGAATGTAGAGTGCTGGATGACTACTGGTCCCTCCCTCTGTCTCTCTCCAGGCTTCTGCTTCTTGAATCTGCCTAGCAGCTTCTCCAAGGGATTCCCATTTAATACAGATGAAATAAATTTCCCCATGGACAACCTTTGTTTTGTGGGCCTCATATCCATGATTGACCCTCCCCGAGCTGCAGTGCCTGATGCTGTGAGCAAGTGTCGCAGTGCAGGAATTAAGGTAAATACTTGCCCAGACCAGGAGCCCCTCACCTGTCACAAGTTGAAGCATCTACTAGAAGGCCTTGCGCAGAGTAGATGCTTAATACCCTTAGTTTAATTGAGCGGATTTCTGTTTCCTTGGGCTTATGATTTTTAATTAATAGTAAGTTTCCTCTCCAGTTAGAATTCTACTTGCATTGAACATTAGAATCACCAGGGAGGCTTTAAAAATCGGATGTCTAGGACACACCCCAGACCGATTTAATTAGAAACTCTCAGGATAGGATCCTGGCAACAGTATTTTTAAAAACTTTCCTGGAGATTCCAATGAGCAGAGAAGTTTGAGAACCAGCGTCCAGCCCAGTGCTTCTCAGACCAACGTGCGTGCAGATCCCTCAGGGATTGTTTTGAAATGCAGATCTGGCTTCAGAAGGTCCATGGAAACCTGAGAGACTGCATTTTTAACGAGCTCCCAGGCGATGCTGTTGCTGCTGGTCTGCAGACCACACTAGGAATAGCAAAGTGCTAGAAGATGTCGTGTAAATGTGCTGCCGAGATGGGCGGTAAAAGGGTGAGGCTAGGAGGCCTGGGGCTCTGGACCAGGCAATAGTGAGAATGAGATATTGAGAGCTGAAGGATCTTCAATGGGTGTGAGCAGCTGCCCTAAGAGGTATATGCCCAGGTCTAAAAACTGGAAACCAAAAATCGGTCAGAGCAAGAGTGAAAGTTCAGCTTCAGAACAAACCCAGAGGTAGAAAATCCTCTTTGGTCAGGGTGGGCCTTGAACTTCATGGGATGGCAGCAGTAGAATTCTTCAAATTCTGAGGTGTTCTGTGTCCCATGTTTCCCAGGTCAAATTCTAAGACTCATCATATACATCTTTACAGCTTAGATATAGACACCTTCCGTGCTCATACCTTACATTCTGGATTACCTGTGTATTCTGGCTCCTAGACTTGGGGGATTGGAGGTATTTAAGGAGAACTAGGTGTTCTCTGTTGGAACTGGCTTTATGTTAGACCTGTGACTGTTGGCAGTTTGTCCAGGGTCAGTCTGGGCCATGTGTGCTGGGAGGGACTTGGGAACCCTGGGCAGTGGTTTCCAGGTAGTGATCATTCCTCCATTCCTTCATTCAGTAATTATTTGTTGATGGCTTACTATGTGCTAGGCATTGTGCTAGGGCAGGAAACTTTACAAGGAAGCCACCCTTGCAGAGCTCTCAGTTCAGTGGGGAAGAGAGATAAACAGGCAATCACCATACAGAGAAGTGTGGCAAGTGCTGAAATATGGCAGGAACGGAATGCTGTGAAAGCACGTGGCCTGGGTATTCATCTTTGGGTAGAAATGGGACAGGACTAGGTACCAGGTATCCAAAACCAAGCTGAAACCAAGGCACAGGGTGAGGCCACAGAAAGAAGAAAGGTAGAGTGAGAATTTCAATGCACTGGGCCTTAGATGAAATTTTGCTAGGCAGATGGATTATTCCAGACATTCCTTTATTACCACTTGTTCTATGTGTAGGTGTTTCTGTCTTTGCACTTAAGGAAGCAGAATAGCTTCTGGAGCAATTAAATGAAATTCTGAATATAGTCAAATCTCTGGCTTATTCCTGGTAAATCTAGGACCCAAATTGTCCTGTTTTATGGTCTCATGGTCTTGACCCACTCCCAAGGGTTGAAATCACAGTAGCATGGTTTTTGGTCTACACCACAAGTTCTTGGGAATGAGCGACTAAAACCCTTGTTGAAAAAAGCAGTGGTCTGTCAGTTCTCAGAGGAGAAAAATGAAGGATCCGGGCTCTGAAGATGATTCTGCTCCTCTTCCCTCTCCTTCCCAACCCAGGTGATCATGGTAACAGGAGATCATCCCATTACAGCTAAGGCCATTGCCAAGGGTGTGGGCATCATCTCAGAAGGCACTGAGACGGCAGAGGAAGTCGCTGCCCGGCTTAAGATCCCTATCAGCAAGGTCGATGCCAGGTGAGATCACTAAAGAACTCAAGATCTGCCATGTTCCCTCCATCCCCAGCCTGCCCCACCCAGATGCCACTTTACTAAAGTTCTTGGAGTCTCCTTCAATAGGTAGGATGTGTGGGGTTTACACTACAAAGTAAAACATAATAGGAAAATAAAGTGAATATGTCAGTGGGTTTTCAAAGGAAGCAAGATGAAGAAAGAGGTAAAGAGAGGAGTGGTTGGCAAAAGTGTGGGGAGGGAATAGGATGTGTCAATTTGGGGACAATATAGGGCTAGGGACAAGTGAGGAGACTAGGTTGAAAGAAGAAGCAATGAAGCTATAGTCAAGATGGGCACCAAGACCCCTGGTGAATTCTCAACACTCAAAACTAGCCTTTTGAAATTATTTTCCCTCAGTGCTGCCAAAGCCATTGTGGTGCATGGTGCAGAACTGAAGGACATACAGTCCAAGCAGCTTGATCAGATCCTCCAGAACCACCCTGAGATCGTGTTTGCTCGGACCTCCCCTCAGCAGAAGCTCATCATTGTCGAGGGATGTCAGAGGCTGGTAAGGAACGAAAAGGAGCCCCAAGGAAACTGGCAGAACTCCTGTGGCTTAGCCCCGTCCCAAACCAAGCAGAGGAACATGTGGGCTGGGCTAGAGGAGACTCCAGAGAGTACCCCATCTGGAACCTCCATGGTGGCCTTCAGTTTGGGGCTCCCTGAAAGTTTAAATATCTCAGGAGGAGTGGGAGAAGGACGGGAGCCCTAAATCAAGCATGATTACATCAGGAAACAAGGGATGCAGAAAGCGTACTGATCTTTGGGACTAGTTCTGGATCTGATGCAATAAATTGTTCACTCTCTCTGTCTGGACTTCCTCAGGGAGCCGTTGTGGCCGTGACAGGTGACGGGGTGAACGACTCCCCTGCGCTGAAGAAGGCTGACATTGGCATTGCCATGGGCATCTCTGGCTCTGACGTCTCTAAGCAGGCAGCCGACATGATCCTGCTGGATGACAACTTTGCCTCCATCGTCACGGGGGTGGAGGAGGGTGAGGAGGCAGGGTGCCCATGGTGGAGACTTCAACCCTGGACTCAGGTGGGGGTTGGTGTACATCCCCTCTTTCCGTTTTCCCATCATCCAACCTCCATGAGCCTGTACGGGCTCAGAAGAAAATCACTGTAAGACAAAATTTTGCAAATTAGATCAGCTGGTACATAGACCATCACTATCTGCAACCCCTTTTGATGAGATCGGAGAAAAGTCCCTTTTATTCATTTTGTTTTCCTATCAGGGAGACTGAGACTCTGGTATACATAATATCGTCATTGTCCTCTCACTGGACTTCAAGTAGGCCCACAGCCAGTTCCAAGATGTAGCCACACCCCTGGGACTATTCCATGCGCTGCAATCTTTAGGAGGGTCCCCTAGGAACCTGTTGCCTAAATAATGGTGACACATCAGGATCAGCTGGAGCTTGACCCGTGAATTGACTGCATGAGCCCAATTACACACCCTCTTCCCCAGAGAACTGTGAAGAGAATGCCCTCCTGCGAACAGGAGAGATCCAGAATTCTGCATTCCAGGTTCCCTGCTTTCTGCCTGGAGCTATCTTACTAAAACATATGGCAATCCACATCATAATCATGATTACCATTTCATTGAAACCTTGTATAATCCTGACACTTTGCTTGGTATTTTATATCCACTCAATTCAATAAGTTCGTTTGAACACTGACTATGTGGGAGGCACTATGCTTGATGCTGGGGATACAACAGTAGGGAGAACAAAGACACAAATCCCTGCCCTCGTGTAACTTAATTTCTAGTGGGGATGACAAACAATAAAATAATTAAATTATATAGTATGTTAAAAGAAGATAAGTGCCATGGGACAGACCAAGCAGAGAGTGCAGAGAGGGATTCGATCTTTGAAAAGGCAGTCAGAGACGGATGCAGCAATCTTGCAAGGCAGGAGGAATGAAGCTCACGGAGGTGAGGGTGCCCAAGGTCACAGCTAGCTATGGCAGAAGATGGGATTTGAACACAAGCCTGTCCCAAGCCCTGGCTGTTTCCATTCCAGCCTTAATCTTGTAAAGGCTTTTATACTGACATTCTCAAACATCGCAGGATTAACCAGGCCCAACCCTGCTAATTTTCAGAGATCAGATAACGTTAGCTAGGGTGAATCTAAGAACAAACAGTACACAGACGGCATGGCTCTGATTAAAAGGCACACAATTTAGAAACAATACTGGGACCCTGGAGGTCTAGGACCTCCAGACCCTTTCCTGGACTGTGACACTTCTTTGAGGTGGCCTGTCTGTCCCGGAGCTGGTTTGAGGGAGGCGTGTTCTCCCAGGGCTTCTCACAGGAGGTTGACCTTCCTCCCCAGGCCGCCTGATCTTTGACAACCTGAAGAAATCCATCATGTACACCCTGACCAGCAACATCCCCGAGATCACGCCCTTCCTGATGTTCATCATCCTCGGTATACCCCTGCCTCTGGGAACCATAACCATCCTCTGCATTGATCTCGGCACTGACATGGTAAGGGCCAAGCTGGTGAGCAAGAGATTCCCAGAATTCTGCCTCCTAAGCTCCCTGCTTTCTGCCTGGAGCTATCTTACTAAAACTCATGACAACCCACTTATGATCCAGCTCTCGCACCTCCTGCAAGATGGATTGAGGCTGCGTCAAGACAGAATGGTAGAGCTTGAATTACTGCTGGGTTTCCTTCTGAACTTTGTGACCCCTGTCATCCCCACCCTCCATCCTCCAGGTCCCTGCCATCTCCTTGGCTTATGAGTCAGCTGAAAGCGACATCATGAAGAGGCTTCCAAGGAACCCAAAGACGGATAATCTGGTGAACCACCGTCTCATTGGCATGGCCTATGGACAGATTGGTGCGCCCAGAGGAATGAGGGGTGGAGGGAGCAGGGAGTGGTTTCCCCTGCCTGGCAACGTGAGCCATCTCAGTTTGGAAGTCAGGGAGATATTTTCTCAGCAACAAACTGTGCTAGGCCCTGAAAACACAAAGAACCACTCATCTCTGATCTGTCCTTGACTTAGAGTCCAGTACAAAAGGAACAAACATACATAAAATGATAGCATCTCCAAGTGCCAAGTAATGAGTATAGACAGAACATACTACAGGATTACAAAGCAAGCAGGCTCACCATTATGAGGATAGCCAGAGAGGCCTTATGCAGGAAATAGGACTTAAACTTGGTGTGGGAGAGTGGGGCTTAGACTAGTAAGTGTATGGTCAGGTGTGGGAGACCAAAGGAGTGGGGAATTTCAGATGGCACAGTTAAAGAAGACTGAATAAACCAGGTTGGTAGAGCCCTTAGTCTTTATAAAGTAGTGAAAAATAAGACTGTAGACAGAGATATCATTTGTGTTGGGGTCAGCCTTGACAGACATTTGAGAGTCATTAGAAGTCTTTGTTCTTGATTTTCCAGGTGCAATGGTATTTCAGAAAATAGGGTGAGTGATGAACAGAGTAAGATCCTGTCTCAAAAGAAAAAATTGGGAGAGGGAATCAGTGGCCTCTAAAGTCCTTTTTAGTTTTAAGACCATGTGATTCAAAGCTGACTCTGGGTCAGAGTTTAGAAACAAATGTCAGGGCTTGAAGGAAAGTCCCACAGAGATGAGAGATAACAGGCTTAGGCAGCTGATGGCAAGATTCTTCCGCATTACTCTTCAGACACACACCAGCCCAGCCAGAAGCAAGTCCCAGCCCCCAGCCCTCCCCTGGCCTACCTTTTGGGGCCCTTCTCTGAACCAGGCTCCCCTGTCCTGCAACTCTGTCATTCACAGGGATGATCCAGGCTCTGGCTGGATTCTTTACCTACTTTGTAATCCTGGCTGAGAATGGTTTTAGGCCTGTTGATCTGCTGGGCATCCGCCTCCACTGGGAAGATAAATACTTGAATGACCTGGAGGACAGCTACGGACAGCAGTGGGTGAGTAGAAGGGATAAGGTAGGAGCTGAGACCAGTAAGAGTGAGAGTGACAGGGGAGAGTGAGTGCAGCAAATTTTTTAAGAGAGAAGAAGGGAAGCACCACACAAACAGAGCTGATGCCTTTTCTTCAGTCCTGTATGAGCCTTCTCACACTTGCCCTCAGTCTTCAGCCACAACAGCAAATCCTCTTCTGTTTAGCATAGGCTCATTCTGGTTGGCTCCTCCTGTCTGTTGTCTGGCCCTGCCTGTCTGAGTCCTTTGGCTCCTTGGAGTCTTTGTCATATCAACTTTTCTGAGCCGGTTTCTCTTTTCCCAGGTTTCAACCATGATTGCCCCAGAAATAAATGCTGGGTCCTCTCCTCTTATACTCTCCCTCCATGAGAGTTCAAATGATATGATTTAAAATTTGAGGCAGGGTGCAGTGGCTCACGCCTGTAATCCCAGCACTTTGGGAGGCCGAAGTGGGCGGATCACTTGAGGTTGGGAGTTGAGACCATCCTGGCCAACATGGAGATACCCCGTCTCTACTAAAAATACAAAATTAGCCGGGCGTGGTGGCGCATGCCTGTAATCCCAACCACTCGGGAGGCTGAGTCAGGAGAATCACTTGAACCCGGGGGGCAAAGTTTGCAGTGAGCCAAGATCACGCCATTGCACTGCAGCCTGGGCAACAAGAGTAAAACTCTGTCTCAAAAAATAAATAAATAAATAAATATAAAATTTGAAAACCAGCTGGGCACAGTGACTCACGCCTGTAATCCCAGCACTTTGGGAGGCTGAGGCAGGCAGATTACAAGGTCAAGAGATCAAGACCATCCTGGCCAACATGGTGAAACCCCATCTCTACTAAAAATACAAAAATAAGCTGGGTATGGTCGTGGGTGCCTGTAATCCCAGCTACTCAGGAGGCTGAGGCAGGAGAATCACTTGATCCCAGGAGGCGGAGATTGCAGTGAGCCAAGATTGCACCACTGTACTCCAGCCTGGCAACAGAGCGAGACTCCGTCTCAAAGAAAAAAAAAAACAAAACCCTGAAAACCTATTTTCTTTGTATATCCCTTCCTAATCATTCTAAACCTTTTTAACCTAGAGGATACCTCTCTATAGTTGTCTTTTCTAACAACCAAGATGAATGAGGCTCAAACTGAAGCCCTCTCCCCAACAATATGTGTTTAAGAATTTTAGTAGGTATGCTTTTTTGGTATCTGTGATACTCCTGTCCCAATTTCTAAGACAATGGGTCATGTGACATGTGACAGCAATTATTGCTAGAATTGTAGCGTCATAGAGGACACAGTAAATTTTCATCATTCTGTAGATGAGGAACCTGATCTAGGAAGATTCTGTAACTTGCTTAAAGTCCCACAGTGAATCCCTAAAAGAGCTGGACTTGAATTCTGGACTCTAGATCCCTGCCCAGCACTTTCCCACTTCACCACGATGTCTCCAAACCAAGCCAATTGCAGGTTTCTCAAATTGTGTTCAAATCTGAATTGTTGGGAAGGTGCCCCTCACATACAGTTGGCTTCCATTAGCTGAGGCTGTAAGGCCATCAGATGTCAATATTCCCAGCTATTAACACTGCTGCAGGATCCAGTGACACCCAAAGTTCTCATTGCTGTGTACCCTGCCAACATCTCAACTCCCAGCTCAAGCCCTTGTTTTCCATCTTGATACTTCCTCCCTGCTGCCAAGATGCAGCATAACATAAATTTACTGACAATAAATTAAAGGTAATTAAAAGTAATTTGAGGTAAAAAGTTAAGAATTCCCCCCTGCACATTGAAGACATCTTGAAGTGTCACAAAAATGTGTTGAGAACAGTTGCCCTGAGCAACAAACTCTACAAAGGCGTGTCCGTGTCTCTTCTATGACTGTAATTTTCAGATAATCTGGTATAGAGCCACCCACCCGGGAAGTGCATGATGCACTGCTAGAAGCAAGGATCGCTCCTTACTTTCTAAATATCTTTCATTAATTCCAGTGATTCCCTCACTCATTTGTTCATTCAGACAATATTTACTGAGCATCTTCTATGTACCAGGTACTGTTCTAGGGCCTGGGGATATGATAGTGAACAAAAATCATCAAGTTATTGCTCTCATGGAGCTTATTTCTAGTTAGGGATGGGAAGACAGATAATAACCAAATATATAATATATTTAATCAAGATATTGTAAGTCCAAGGGGGTCCAAGAAGTGTTGGAACTAGAATACTAGAGTGAGATGGAATTATAAAAATGCTAGTCAGAGAGAGAAAGATGCTTGAAATTACAGAGAAATAATAGGTATTGGAAAGGATAATATCTAGAGTTTAAGGATGGGAGCAAGCAGCCCAGGTGGGGAGTACAGGACAACATCATTGGAGGAGATCAAGGAACTGTGAGACCACGGCATTGGAAGGATCATCAACATGGACAATTCAATCTCCAAAAACAAGGACAGAAGTAATCGTGGAGTAACAGTGTCAGAAGCTAAAATCTTCAAGAAATGATAGGGAGTGACGCGGGTAACGGCAACTGACTGATTGGTCTTATTCTAAGTTCCATGCTCGGCTCATCAATTTCCAGCCTTTGTGTTCTACCGTTTAAGGCTCTACATTCCTCTCCAAGTACCACTTTGCCACATCCCGTGGGGTTTGATATGTAGTATTTCATTATTGTGCGGTCCTACCTGTTTTCAAATTTATTGGATCTACGAGTTGTTGATAAACATGCTGCTTTAGTTTTTAAAACAGAAGCTTTTTCTCTCCAGTCTAATTTAGATGCACCCCTTCTGTGTTCCCATAGCCCTCTGCAGTCTCTCTCTCATAACCTGTCTATTGCGCTGACATGGTTAGCATAATTATTTTCCCCACTAGACTCTAAGTTCCTTAAGTGTAAAGTGTGAATGAAAGAACAAATGAATGAATGAATGTCTCCTATCTGATACCACTCTTTGGGGTATTTCTTTCCCCCCTGTACTCACATTGTCCTCTGGCCCCACCATCCTTTCTTTCTGACCTATATCCCCTGACTCTGCCTTCTTCCCTTTTTTTTTTTTTTTTTTTTTTTTTTTTTTTTTTTTTTGAGACGGAGTCTCGCTCTGTCGCCCAGGCTGGAGTGCAGTGGCATGATCTCGGCTCACTACAAGCTCCGCCTCCCGGGTTCACACCATTCTCTCGCCTCAGCCTCCCGAGCAGCTGGGACTACAGGCACCCGCCACCACGCCCGGCTAATTTTTTGTATTTTTAGTAGAGACGGGGTTTCATTGTGTTAGCCAGGATGGTCTTGATCTCCTGACCTCGTGATCTGCCCACCTCGGCCTCCCAAAGTGCTGGGATTACAGGCATGAGCCACCACACGCCCAGCCTGCCTTCCTTTCTAACTCCACCTTCTTCTCTTACCCTATCCTTCTTATTAATTCAATCCATATTTATTGAGCCATGCTACATGCCATCCACCGAACTAAGCACAGGGAGAGGACATAAAGCTAAATAAGGCAAGTGCTTGTTCTTGAGAAGCTCTCAGTCAGGCAAGGAAAACATAAACAAATCATGATACAACATGAAAAGCGCTAAAACAGAGACATCTGTGAAGTGCTGTGGGGTCTAAAGAGTGAGGACCTGGCCGGGCACAGTGAGTCACGCCTGTATTCCCAGCACTTTGGGAAGCAGAGGCGGTCAGATCGCCTGAGGTCAGGAGTTCGAGACCAGTCTGGCCAATATGGTGAAACCCCGTCTCTACTAAAAATACACAAAAATTAGCTGGGTGTGGTGGCAGGCGCCTGTAGTCCCAGCTACTCGGGAGGCTGAGGCAGGAGAATTGCTTGAACCCCAGAGGCGGAGGTTGCAGTAAGCAGAGACCACACCATTGCACTCCAGCCTAGGCAACAAGAGCGAGACTTAGTCTCAAAAAAAAAAAAAAAAAGAATGAGGACCTGACTCAGCCCAGGGGTCCTGGAAGGTGGGAGAGGAAAGAAGCCTTAGGGTGTACAGAATCCCCTTCTGACACTGTTTCCTCTCTCCCTGCTGTCTCTAGACCTATGAGCAACGAAAAGTTGTGGAGTTCACATGCCAAACGGCCTTTTTTGTCACCATCGTGGTTGTGCAGTGGGCGGATCTCATCATCTCCAAGACTCGCCGCAACTCACTTTTCCAGCAGGGCATGAGGTGAACATCTCACAAAACAGCCCAGCACTCTCCCAAGCCCCACACACCAGGACATGCCATTTCCCCCTGCCTTTTCTTCTCCCTCCCCGCCACACCCATGAATGTTTCTTCCCAGAAACAAAGTCTTAATATTTGGGATCCTGGAGGAGACACTCTTGGCTGCATTTCTGTCCTACACTCCAGGCATGGACGTGGCCCTGCGAATGTACCCACTCAAGTGAGTAAGGGAAGGGATGCAAGCAGGGGATGTGCAGGCACGGGGGAGCATACAGAGGAAGGGTGTGTTTCACTAGGATTGTCATGAGCCAGGAGCTGCCTGGATACATGGAGCTACATGTACACTCAGTGATACAAGGAGAGTCATCTGTGCTCTGATAAGTGGATCTTATTTAGGGAGATATTAGAGACTGTGCCAAATGATCACAACCCACTAGACACACAAATTTAGCAGACTTACCAGTGTTTAACAGAGTGAAATCTTTTTCGTGATGATGTGTGCTGTAGTTGTCCAAGGATACATATTGCTTGGAGCTGAAGTAACCATAAAAATAGCCTAATCTATGCTTAGCTAATTCTGTTGTACTTATGCAAATATGTTTTAATGTATATGTATGTGATCGTGCCTACTGAAATTCTTATTGTCTGGTGCCTTGTCTTGTTCAACTCCAGGTTTTTGCTTTGTTTTGCTTTGCATTAACATTAGTATATGCTTGATGTGGAAAAATTTATATTTAAAAATGTACAGAGAAAAAAGCAAATGTTCCATTCCACTCCCATCCCCATTACCCAACCCAACTTGCATAGGTAGCCTCAGTTAAGGATTTAGTATGTATTCTTCCAACACATTTCTTTATTTTATTTTATTTTTTATTTTGAGATGGAGTTTTGCTCTTACTGCCCAGGCTGGAGTGAAATGGCGCATTCTCGGCTTACTGCAACCTCTGCCTCCCAGGTTCAAGTGATTCTCCTGCTTCAGCCTTCCAAGCAGCTGGGATTACAGGCACCCGCCACCATGCCGGGCTAATTTTTTGTATTTTTAGTAGAGACGTGGTTTCACCATGTTGGCCAGGATGGTCTCGAACTCCTGACCTCAGGTGATCCACCTGCCTGTGCCTCCCAAAGTGCTGGGATTACAGGCATGAGCCACCACATCCGGCCTTCTTCCAACACATTTCTATGCATGTCTCTACTCTGCTCACCTTTCCATCCCTTGTAATGTTTTACACGATGTTTTATACAATGTAGGCACTCAATTAATGTTTAATAGGAGACATTGGCACTGGCCTTAGACACTCACAATCCAAGGTGGAAATCTCAACTCTACTATGTATTATTCTGTGGCCTTGGACAAGTATGGAACCATTCTGAGCCTCAGCTACACCTGCAAAGTCTCAATAATACACTCCAGGGATAGACCTTGCAGAGTGTTGTGAGATTTACACGTAGAAATGGGCATAAAGCACCAAGCATGCTTAGGTCATGGTAGATGCCTTGTTACTAGTAGCTTTATTCTTGCTGTTATTAATGCCATTATAGACATAATAACAAATGTGGTTGGTATTATCTGTGCTTTCAAACACTCTGTGTACACATTAACCATAAAACTTAGCACCTAATCTTGCGATTCTGTATTCTGTGTGTGTGTGTGTTCACCCTCTTTTCTCTGATTCCCCTGAGCTCCTTGAGAGCTACTTGAGACCAACATGTTATCATTTTTATTTCCCCAATACCTAACACAGACACAGAGTACATAAAACAATTGTTTGTTGAATGAAGGGGTGGGGTGGCTGTTTGTGTAGAAATGTTTATATTTGTGTGTGTGTGGAATGAGCCATGGCCTAGGCTTGTACTGTCCAATACAGTGGCCACTATCCATATACAACTATTGTGCTTTTGACATATGAGACTAGGGAGACTGGGGAAGTAAATTTGTAATTTTATTTAATTTTAATCAAAGTCAAAAACTAAAGTAATGTTTTTCTATATTATAACTTCATTATTTTGGTTGGACTACGTTCCCCTTCAACTGTTGAAAATAATTTTGTATCTGAGTTCAAACATTCTGTCAGTGAAAAATATTCACTGAATTTCCAAGACTTAGGTTGAGAAGAAGAATGTAAAATATCTTATTGATAATGCTTTTTTTTTTTTTTTTTGAGATGGAGTGTCACTCTGTTGCCCAGGCTGGAGTGCAGTAGCGCAATCTCGGCTCACTGCAAACTCCGCCCCGCTGGTTCAAGCAATTCTCCTGCCTCAGTCTCCTGAGTAGCTGGGATTACAGGCACGCGTCACCACACCCAGCTAATTTTTGTATTTTTAGTAGAGACGGGGTTTCTTCATGTTGGTCAGGCTGGTCTCGAACTCCTGACCTTGTGATCCGCCTGCCTCTGCCTCCCAAAGTGCTGGGATTACATGCGTGAGCCACCGCACCTGGCCTTGATAATGCTAATATTGAGGCGGGGGTGTAGTGGCTCCAATCACAGCACTTTGGGAGGCCAAGGTGGGGGGATCGCTTAAGGCCAGGAGTTCAAGACCAGCCTGTACAACAAAGTGAGACATCGTCTCAATAAAAAAATTTAAAACTTAGCCAGGTGTAGCGGTGCACACTGACGGTCCCAGCTACTCAGGAGGCTGAGGCAGTAGGATTGCTTGAGCCCAGGAGTTCAAGACTGCAGTGAGTTATGATTGTACCACTGCACTCCAGCCTGGACGACAGAGCAAGTCCCTGTCTCTAAAAAAAACATTAAATGTAATTAAAATAAATAATGTTTATATTGATTACATATTTAACTGATATATTGATATCAGTTTTTGATATATTGGGTTAAATAAAAATATTATTAAAATTAATTTCATCTGTTTCATTTTACTTATGTTAATGTGGCTACTAGAAAGTATTAAATTTTACATGTGGCTCACATTATATTTCTATTGGACAGTGCTGGTCTAGGCCATTTCTTCTGTCATCCAAGGGAACAACTGCTGTCCTGATTCAACCCCTCCCCAGAATCCATCTTCCTGGTCTAATTATAAAAAGAGGTTGAGAAACAAAACAATATCCCCATCTTTGTAATACAGAAGCATCAATATATTCGCCGACAAAGTATCCCCACACTAAATGTCTCAGATAGACCCCTCCTGCTCAGACAACCCCTCCCCTTTGTGGGCACAAGCCCTAGAGTATGCAGAGAGCACAGGGGTCTCCCTCAGCGGCTCCACAAAAGTTGGTAGAGAATCTTGTGAACATTGCATATACTTCTAATATGACATTTATCATATTATATCATCATTGGCTTTTTTTTTTTTTTTCCCGACGAAGTCTTGGTCTCGCTCTGTCGCCCAGGCTGGAGTGCAGTGGTGCGATCTCAGCTCACTGCAACCTCCGCCTCCCGGGTTCAAGTAATTCTCCTGCCTCAGCCTCCTGAGTAGCTGGGATTACAGGCGCATGCCACCATGCCCCGCTAATTTTTGTATTTTTAGTAGAGACGGCGTTTCACCATGTTGGTCAGGCTGGTCTCAAACTCCTGACCTCGTGATCCATCTGCCTCGGCCTCCCAAAGTGCTGGGATTACAAGTGTGAGCCATCATGCCTGGCTATCACTGGCTCTTTATGTTTCTGTCTCGTGCCTCTCCTCTCCACTCCCGATCACTAATCCCACAGGATTTGACCTCCTCAAAGGTAGGGCTCAGGCCGGGCACGATGGCTCATGCCTATAATCCTAGCACTTTGGGAGGCTGAGGCGGGTGGACTGCCTGAGCTCAAGAGTTCAAGACCGGTCTGGGCAACATGGCGAAACCCCATCTCTCCTAAAAATACAAAATTTGGCCAGGCATGGTGGCTCACACTTATAATCCCAGCACTCTGGGAGGTGGAGGCAGGCGGATCACAAGGTCTGGAGTTCGAGACCATCCTGACCAACACAGTGAAACCCCGCCTCTACTAAAAATACAAAAATTAGCCGGGCATGGTGGAAGGCGCCTGTAGTCCCAGCTACTCAGGAGGCTGAGGCAGGAGAATCACTTGAACCTGGGAGGCAGAGTTTGCAGTGAGCCGAGATCAAGCCACTGCACTCCAGCCTGGGTGACAGAGTGAGACTCCGTCTCAAAAAAAAAAAAAAAAATTGCAAAAAATTAGCTGGGCGTGGTGGTGCACACCTGTAATCTCAGCTACTCAGGAGGCTAAGGCATGAGAATCGCTTAAATCCGGGAGGCAGAGGTTGCAGTGAGCCGAGATTGCACTCCAGCCTGGGCAACAGAACAAGACTCTGTCGCAAAAAAAAAAAAAAAAAAAAAAGGGATCAACCAGATCTTATTCAACTGCACTGTCTCCAGCACCCAGCACAGTCCCACGCACACAGTAGACACAAGCAATGAAACGTGCAATTCCTGTGCATTGCCCTCTGCACCTGTCCTCTGGCATCTCTCTCTCCTGCCATGCTGACTGGCTCTTGCTCTCTACAGGATAACCTGGTGGCTCTGTGCCATTCCCTACAGTATTCTCATCTTCGTCTATGATGAAATCAGAAAACTCCTCATCCGTCAGCACCCGGATGGTGAGGCTCCCCTGGGCCCCGCTCTGACTGAGTGGTCACCAGCCCCCTCACTAGCTCTCCCATCCCACCTAGTCCCTCCAGACCCACCACTGACTTTCTCCCCTCCTCGCTGCCAGCCTTGACTGCGCCTGGAGCCGAGACCTCTCTACCCCTTGGCTGCACCCCTCTGCTCCATCTGACCCTCAGTGCCCTGTGTTCCAGACCTCCCACCTCCAACCTTGTCCCTGCTTTCCCTTCTGCCTGTCTCCCCTGGATGCCTCTAATTCCTTCTCCCAGTTCACGCTGGCCTCTTCTCTTCCACAGGCTGGGTGGAAAGGGAGACGTACTACTAAACTCAGCAGATGAAGAGCTTCATGTGACACAGGGGTGTTGTGAGAGCTGGGATGGGGCCAGAGATTATAAGTTTGACACAACATCTGAGACACTAGGATGAATTATCTTGGATGAGAAAGATGGGCAATCCTGGGCTGGCTTGAGGGAATCATGGGCAGAGGATGAGGTGGGCTGAAGGGAAGCCCAGCCTGCATCTAGCTGGAGCCCCGCAGGGAGGGGCATGGTCCTGCTGAATCCCGTAGCCAGTCTAGACAGTAAATGTCTGGAAAAGCCCTCACCAGCTGGATGTGTCAAATCTGATCTTGGGGGAGTGGGGATTACTGTGAAGCTCCCTCCACAGGTCTTCATGATGACCAGGCTGGGGAAGTGTTTTAAGGACCAGAGTCAAGGCTGGGATAGGATCAGTATCAAGCATCCTTGCCCTTTAAAGTCACTCTCCGAGCCACTGGACAGCAAGGACAGGGCAAATGACTGCCTCAAAATTCCAGCTGAGATCAGAGAAATGGAAGGTGGGGGAGAGAGGAGCAGCTAAGTCACACGTGGGAAGAGGGTCCACAGCATCCGCACAGGGGGTAGGTGGGGTGGAGTCATCTGACCCCACCTTGCAGTTCCTGAGACCAGCTTGCAGACCACAGCGCTGTGGTGCTAGAAGAGATCAGATTGCATCAGTGAAAAGCCTGAAGTCCAGAGAGGTTAAATGACTTGGGAATGGCCATGTGCTGAGTGTTGTCCCTCATCTGAGAAAGGGACAGGTAGGAAGGACAGTCTCCAGGCATACTGGTGGTCCCTGCCCTCTACCCTCGGTCATCAGGGCTCCTCAACCCCATTCTGGCCCTCGGCCTGTTTTCTCTGGTGTAGCCTTGAGATAGAGGCTGTAACAAGACTTTCTGAATCCCTGTGGCCTTTACTGTGAAGCAGCCGCCCCTGCTCTGCACGGGGTGATGGACTTTCCCAAGAGCCTGGCCTCTGTGCCTGGGCCCAGGTGCATTCTCAGATGAGTGAAAACTCGTGGAGGGCCTTTCTCTCCTGCCCACCTTCGTCTCAGCATTTCTTCCTTCCCCTTCACCCGCTCATTCACTTTTGCTCTGTGAGCCCCTCCACTGTGCCATGTGGGTCAGTTCATTCTCAGGCCTCTTTCAGAGTAGAGCATTGGCTGTTCCCAAATGTGTACAGGGTGGAAGAGAAATGCTAACGAAAGCTAGGGGAACACCATCAGCTATTTCCACAACAAAACACATATGTACTAGGTGTCTGCACACTACACCTAACACTGGGACGAGGGTTTTATATACACACCATCAAGAAAGTCACATAAATGTTTCCCTACCACCCACTCCATGTTACCCAAGAAGAAACCAAGGTCTGTCCATTTTCAGAACGTGGGCCCTTAATCACTTTCAGACTAGTCTTTCAGTGAGGGCTGGGCCAAAAATACACAAAAACAAAACAAAGCAAACAAAAAAAATAGGCTAGTGATGGGGAAGGACCCGGGGTGGGTCTGGAGGATGAGAGGCCATGAGCTAGCAAAGAGAAGGCCATCGTGAGTATCGCCCGCCATTTTCCCTACATCAGGCCCCTCCTCAGAGGTCTCTCTCCCTCTTCTCCTCCCTCTTCCATCACAAGGTCTCCTAGGAACAGTGCTATATCAGCCTGGGGTCCTTCCCCAATTGCTGACATCGCTGAACCAGACCCTGGAAGATCAGTGGGCCAGGGTATATGTGAGTGAGGTGGGAAGCAGGAGCACAGAGGGGCCAGCTCCTCAGGTTTCAGTAGCAGGAGCTTCAGGTGTCTGGTGGGTTAAAAATACAGAGGCCCCAACTCACGGTCATTTGATACCAGTGGCTGAGGCTTCTCAAGTCCAAGGGCCTGAAGGGAAGGAGACTGAGTAGAAAGTAGACAGAGTGAAGCATCAAGAGAGAGCAGTGGGGGCGGGCGCTGGAAAGGGGAAGGGTGGGACTGGAGCCAGAGAGGGCAACGAGAGGGAACGGGATGGATGGCAATGTCCGGTAGCTGTAGGAAAGGACCAGGAGATGGAACAGACTCGCCACCAGAGTCCCATCTCATACTCTTGGGGGTACAAAAGGTCAGATTCAAGATGGAACAAGTTTTATGCTCCAGCGTCTCTGTCCCAGTGTCTCCCGCCTCCCCTGGAATGCAGAAGTGAGAAATCAGGGCTGGACATCACCTAGATCATCTGCTTCTGGGCAGGCCTCCCCATCTCACCTGGCTGCCTTTGCTCTGGCCTTGGGGCTTTCCCACGTTAGCCACTCTTCAGGGAGACCAGGATATGGGCTTCTGAGGTCTCTTCAGCTCCAACGTGCTGTGCTTAGGCTAGCTCCAACCTCTCCTGCTACAGTGACAGCTGTCCCTCTTGGCCTCACTCCTGCCATGCTTTTGAGATTTTCTGTGGCCTTCCGTGTTCAGCTGTGTAAGGTCCACCACACAGACATGTGGAAAAGTTATTCTGCTAACATAATTACATGACCCTCCCTGGATGCAAAACAAAACAAAAAAAACACCACTGTCCCTCTAGAATCAGAGATACCTCAGGGTGCAGTGGCAGCATGTGACTTTGATCTGACCCTCTATGGTCTCCCTCATGCCTCAGTTTACCTGTGCATAGTAAGAACCCTGGAGGGCCATGAAGAGGATCCTTCCTTCCTACGTATCCAGAGTTAAACTCACTACTCTGTCCTCACCCCCCAAGCTGGATCCAGAAGTTTAAGCCCCTACCCGCCCATCTCTGCTTTGGATCTCGGGTGCACAGAATTAATCATCAGTCTTGGTTCAGGGCACAGGGTTCACCTCTTCATGCTTGCCTAATGTTAATTTTTTTTTGCCCTGGTGTCAATACCTGATCCTCTTTGTCTTGTCAAAGACATGGGAATAAATAGTAGCTATTCACTCTCCTTGGAAGCATGCAGCCTGGGAAAACCTCCCTTCCCACTGTGCCCCAGAAAACCGAGTCCCATAGGATCAGGGTAGGGAGTGCACACACAGGTGGCAACCAAAGGACAGACCCCTTCTCATTGTGGGCTTTATAGGCAGAGAAACCCCAAACCCACATCTCTACAGGACAGGATCTGGGCCAGCCCTGTCCTTCCCTGCATTCCCAAGTTAGGAGTGCTGAGTGAAGCAAAGGAAACTGGCTGGAGCTGAGCCAGGTTGCCAGTCTTGGACGCGGCTCCATCTTTTATTCAGAGAATGACCTCATCCTTGGTCCTGGTTCTTTAAAAGAAAGTGGAGGGGGTCTCTTTCCTGCAGCCTGGCTTGCACTTTTATCGCCCCACTCTCCTACATAGTATCAAAGAATCAGAATCAGACTTCACCTACAGAAGATTCCCAGGCTTTAGGACATAGAGCCAATACCACATTTGTCCCCCTTTTGTCCTATATTATCAATTTAGCCTCTGACCCAGTTAGCTCCTCCTCTCCACTGCATTTAACTTCTAATTACCCTTGCCCCACCCTCGGCCCACCCTAATTACCCTTATACCTCCCCTCCCCCAGCCCCAGCTTCATTTACCTCCGACTCATCTGGTCTTATTTTTAGCTCCGGCATCTCTCCTTTTCCTTTCTTAATATGGCGATGAGCTCTTAGGCCAGTGTGGGGACCGGGGCTGAGGTGCCCTGGACACTGGAGGAGGGGGAGGGAAGGAGCCCCTGGGAGCCTGGGGTAGAAGTGTAGGAGGTGGGAGGATTCCGGCCCGCATGGAGCTGTCCTGGCCTCAGAAGGTTATCCGTCTCTCCTGCCAACCATGGAGACATATTTAGACAGGACCAGGTGGGGACTGAGGGGTGCCAATTTCAGGGGGCAGCTCCGGTTCCCTCCCCGCCCCCTGCTCCTATTCCTCCACCTGACCCTTTTTCCCTTGGCTCTGTCGGCAGTTTCTCCAGGACCCAGCAGTGCCCTCTGTCCACTGCTCTGGGCCATTCCCCAATCCCCCCTCCCACTTGAGCCCCTAACTCAGAATCTGGGACCCAGGGGCCCCTCCCTACCCCAGCTAACCTCTTCTGGACCAGGAGAGCCAACCCAGATCCCACTACCTCCATGAGTGCTACAGACAGGATGGGGCCCAGAGCTGTGCCGGGTCTGCGGCTGGCACTGCTGTTGCTGCTGGTGCTAGGGACACCCAAGTCAGGGGTACAGGGGCAGGAAGGGCTGGACTTCCCTGAGTACGATGGTGTGGACCGTGTGATCAATGTCAATGCAAAGAACTACAAGAATGTGTTCAAGAAGTATGAGGTGCTGGCACTCCTCTACCATGAACCCCCCGAGGATGACAAGGCCTCACAAAGACAATTTGAGATGGAGGAGCTGATCCTGGAGGTGAGTTGGGGGCACTGCAGGCCTGCAGAGCATGTCTAGCCCCTCTCCGGAATCCCCTATCCTACACCCATGTAGCTCTTTGAGGATGGGATCTGGGGGTGAGGGGCAGTGTGGTAGGAACCCTGTCCTGACCAACAGGATGCAAGTGGCATGTGGCTTTAGTCAAATGAGAAACAGAGTCTCAGGAACCCAAAAGTACTATCAGCGTCAGGAAACCTTTAGCAGGGGTGCTGCAGGAAGAGCTCCCCTCCCTGCTATAGGAGGCTGGTAGTATTTGACTTAGGTTTGGCTAGGACACTGAGGGTGAAAAAGGGAGGTACTTGGAGGGCCAGGGGAGAACAGCAGTGTATATTGCACTCCCCTACCCCACCCATCTGCTTAGCCAGAACACGTCCTCTCCACATACTTCAGGGGCTGCACCCCAAAGAGATCCAAACTGAGTGTAAATGTAAATGTTATGATACTTGCATGCCATGTTTAAATATCTCCTAGAGATCATGCCTCCCATTGGACTCCCAGTCCCCTCTCTCTTCCTTCCCCCTCCCTAATTCCCCATTTGTCTCCATTGGATAAGCTGGATGCCCTCACTGGAAAATTCTTATGGTTGCAGGAGGTGTCAGAATGTCTTCCCCAATCTTCTTTTTGTGGGAAAAGTCTCCTCACCTCCAAAATGACTTCAGGCCCAAAGGAGAAAGAAGTTATCATAAGAAAAGAAAAAAAACCTATGTTTGGGAATGTGTTCATACACACACACCTTTAGGAAATGGGATGTGAGTTTTCTTGTCCAAGCTCCTGTGGCCCCTTCTCTGGCCTCAGCTTGTCCAGAGCTTGGAGCATTTCAGGGTGAGACACCAGAACCACAGGCTCTCATTTTGTGCACCCCTGCTGGGTGCTAGAACCTGCCATCTGATTAATGAGCCGAGTATTTTTATCCTGAGTGCTCAGTATCCCTGGCCATCCACCTGCCAACCGCCTCCCTTCCCCACCCCTCTGAGAATCACAGTACCTGAGTCTGTGCTGAGTGGGGGTAGAGCTGCAAGCTGTGCCCACAGCAGAGAAAATCAGGGTTGAACGCTAAGCTGGAAGGCTTATGGGGGCAGGGACCTCCAGGTGTGACTGTCCACAGCCTAAGGACAGGCTGAAGTAGAGTGCGAAAGGGGAAAGTTGGGCCCTGATGGGGAGAACTGTCCGGTCGCTGTCAGTCTCTCTCCCTCTGGGGGGTAACAAATGGTGACCTCTTATCTCAGCTCTCTGGCCTTCCCCAACTCCTCAACAACATGACCAGACCCACCACTACCCTCCCACCCTCCAAAATTCTTCCCATTGGGAGTCACTCTGAAGAATCTCAGGGACTTCCAAGATCAACCCCACACTGAGCTTGGCCCTTGACCAGGGACAGGGACCTCCAGGTGTGACTTGAGCAGGATGGAATGCAGGACTCAACCCTGAAGGAGGGAAGGGGCCCTCAGTCACTCTGAAGCCAGACTCCTCAGTACCTCTTAGGCACTGGGAAGTATTGAGTGCAGTGTCTTCAAGTCCAACATAATAAGCACATTGCAAATGAGCAATCAATATTCATGAACTAAGTTGAGCCAAAAACAGAACTGTGTGGCTGTAGGGAATTTGGGGGATATTCTGGATCTTAGCAAAGGGTCAAGGTCAACTCTTATATCTCCCGCACCTCAACTGACCCAACTTGAAAGCATGAGAGGGAGAATAGGGGATAATAAAAATTCCAGGGGCTAATTTTAATCATAATCCTTCCCTCCAGTTAGCAGCCCAAGTCCTAGAAGACAAGGGTGTTGGCTTCGGGCTGGTAGACTCTGAGAAGGATGCAGCTGTGGCCAAGAAACTAGGTAAGAGAGGGGAGGGCAGGGGAGGGGAAGGTGGCATTGAGACAAGGGGAGGCTTAGGGCGGAGGACCTGTCAGGCAGTCCTTGGGATCCGAGGGGCTTGGGAATCTCTCAGATTTATGTCTATTCTAAAAGAGGGGGTGAGAAAATATGAGGTTGGGAGGGTTATGGCTCGGAGACTCTGCCTCTCTATTCCTTATGAAGTTCCATGCTCAAATCCCAGAAAGAGGTGGGGGAGGCCTTCTTTATACTTACCTTAAAACATGGCTAGGTGCTGGAGGGAAGGGGAGTCGGGGAATACAGGCGGGGCTGGCCAGACCTCTGCAAACTCCGCTTCCAACCCCTCCCATCCAGAGCCATGGTTGTTAGAGCAGTCAGCCACTAGGGGGCAGCACAGGCTTGAGACGGGATTCTGGACATGCATGGGGGAGGGGTGGTCAGTAATAATGAAGTCATCTGGTCAGTAATAGCAATTAAAGAGCTTGACTGGGAACCAGCTACTAGAGTGCTCAGAGGGGGTGGCATGAATACTCATCTCTAGTCGTTGCGGTCAGAGAAGGGGAGAAATACTGCTAGAATCTACACCTCTCTATTCCCTCCCCTCACCCTACCTGATCCCCCAGCTACTCCCTAGAAAGCTCTGGGGCCACGCTAGCCCCCTAGGCTTAATCCAGGGGCAGAGACCTCAGGCCTGTCGGCCTCTGGGTCAGAGGAGGTGGGTGGGGCAACGGGCCCATGAGGTGGAGCATGTGGGGCCCCGGTGATTATCAAACGGGCTGTGGCCGAGGATTTGGACCTTGAATCTGTGGGAAGCCTGGGATCATGGCTCACTACCCCACCCCTGCGCCCGGCTCACTCCCTAGGCCTAACTGAAGTGGACAGCATGTATGTATTCAAGGGAGATGAAGTCATTGAGTACGATGGCGAGTTTTCTGCTGACACCATCGTGGAGTTTCTGCTTGATGTAAGGACTCCCCTGGACCTGACGGCCTTGCTTGAAAACTCCACTGCCTGCCCCCTAGTCCCTACCAACCCCAACCTGACACTGCACACACACACCACACACACACACATACACCACACGCACACACACCATACATACACCACACGCACACACACCATACATACACACACACACCACCTGCATACACACCACACATATGCATGCACATGCACACAATAGTTCACAAATCACCTACACACCACACACTACACATAGGCACCACATGCACACCACACACACTACACACACCACACACACATCATATACATACCACACACCCATCACACACATATCACATGCACACACACACCACATGCACACCACACACTCCACACACATCACACACCACATGCACATACACAACAAACACACACCACACATGCACACACACCACATCCATGCCACGCAAATGCACACACCACACACGCCACACATGTACACACACACTACACACATGCACACACATCACACATATGCCACACATGCACACAATAGGCCACACATCACCTAGATACCACACACTATGCATATGCACCACATGCACACCACACACACAACACACACCACACACACCCATCCATACACACCACACACAACATATACATGCCACACACCCACCAGATATATCACATGCACACACACCGTACATGCGCACACACACACCACATGCACATACATACCTGCACACCACACATGCACACACTACACACATGCACACACCACATGCACACTCCACACGTACACACACCACACATTCACACACATCACACACATGCCACACATGTACACAGTAGGCCACACATCACCTACATACCGAACACTACACATATGCACCACATGCACACCACACTCATACCATCCACACACATCACACACACATCATATACATACCACACACCCACCATACATATATATCACATGCACACACACACCACACATGCACACCACACACTGCACACATCACACACTATACACACACACGCACATGCAATCCCCCACACACACACCCACACACTGTCAACATCTAGCCCCCTCCTCCAGTTCCCCAGCCTTCTTTTCCCTAGGTCCCTTTCTGGTTCTACTTGAGGATAGAAACTCTCTTCCTGCAATGTCCTCCTCTTTCAGGTCCTAGAGGACCCTGTGGAATTGATTGAAGGTGAACGAGAGCTGCAGGCGTTTGAGAATATTGAGGATGAGATCAAACTCATTGGCTACTTCAAGAGCAAAGACTCAGAGCGTGGGTAACCCTCAGACTCCACTGTGCCCCTCTCTGGATCCCCATCTCACCTGTCCTCCCACCTCCCCACATCACCCAGTGTCTCAGCCTCTACCTCTGCACTTCCCACCTCTTCCTCCAGCCGTGGTCAGCACCATCAACAGCTCTGACCTCCCTGTACTCTGGGGGTTCCCAGACAAGCACCTCCAGTATTCCACCTTCCCCTCACTCTCGAAGAACTAGAAGGGGTGGGTCTCAAAATGAACCCTGCCTGCAAAGAATTGGGGACGATAGTGGGGGATGATTCCCGGGCAGACCCTGGTTTCCCCAGAGACTGACTCTGCATTCCACCCCCCAGATTACAAAGCCTTCGAGGATGCAGCTGAGGAGTTTCATCCCTACATCCCCTTCTTCGCCACCTTCGACAGCAAGGTTCTCCTCCCCGCAGCTGTATTGGTTCTGCCTCATGTCCTGAAGCTGTCCTCCAGTTTCCTCTCCCAGAATCGATGGCTGACCTGGTCCCTTCCTACGTGCTGGCACTCCCTACCTGCCCCCCCCCCCGGCTCCTCCCACTCCATAGATTTAGAGCTGAAGAGGGGCTTTAGATGATCTAACACCCCTCTCATGTTAAACCCAACCCCAGGCAAGTTAAGACACTTGTCAGGTGTCACAGTGGCAGTGACAAGGATCCCGGCTTTCTGACTCCCTTCCTAATATTTGTTCCCCCATTATACTGCTTCTCGACATGACCCTGTGTCTCCTGCTCCACTCCCCTCCTACCCCCTCTCCCAAAGGTGGCAAAGAAGCTGACCCTGAAGCTGAATGAGATTGATTTCTACGAGGCCTTCATGGAAGAGCCTGTGACCATCCCAGACAAGCCCAATAGCGAAGAGGAGATTGTCAACTTCGTGGAGGAGCACAGGAGGTGGGGACCAAGGGCAACCCTCTCAGCGGGGTCGGCTCCTCCTTGGGCTAGAACACACTGTGTGAGATGGGCTGGGGAAAGCTTAGCCAACCGGGAAGCCAATCTTGCCTGGAGATGAATACACTTTGGGCACCAGTGCTCTCTGATACACTGACAATTTTGCACAATATTTTATACCCCACTACTTAGCCCTGAGCCCTACACCGAGAGGGTCCTTCATAAGTGTGTATAATTCAGTGTGAGGTTGATTGAGACTTAAATAATCTCTGTCAACAAATGAGTGTTGACTGCCTGTGGTGGGGCAGGAACTGCAAGGTACTTTCCATCTCTATGATTATATTAAGTCCTTTTAACCTCAGTGAAAGTTTCTACAGGTAATAAGTGTCAGAGCTTTTAACCCTGATTTTAACCCTGATGTGTCCCATGTTTGTTCTTTTTTTCTTCTTCTTCTTTTTTTTTTTTTCTTCCGAGACCGAGTCTTACTCTATCCCCTAGGCTGGAGCACAGTGGCGCCATCTTGGCTCACTGCAGCCTCCGCCTCCCAGGTTCAAGCGATTCTCCTTCCTCAGCCTCCCAGGTAGCTGGAATTACAGGCACGCCACCACACCTGGCTAATTTTTGTATTTTTAGTAGAGATGGGGTTTCACCACGTTGGCCTGGCTGGTCTCAAACTCCTGACCTCAAGTGATGCGCCTGCCTCGGTCTCCCAAAGTGCTGGGATTACAGGCATGAGCCACTGCGCCTGGCCCCATGTTCTTTCTAATACAATATCGTACACCAATGGTTCTCTACAAGGTGGGAAGGCGTGGCGAGGTGGGCATAGGTTTTTGCCCTCCAAAGGATGTTTGGCAATGTCTAGACACATTTTTGGTTGTGCAGAGTGCTACTAGTATTTAGTGGCTAGAGCCCAGGGATACTGCTAAACATTCTACAGTGCGCAGGACAGCCCCCTACTACAAAGAATTATCTGGCTCCAAATGGCAATAGTGCTGAGGTTGAATAATCCTGCCGGGCACTCACACATAATTCCCTTCCTTCATAGTAGTCCACAGCTGGAAATATCCAATCACTCTGTCCCCCAGGCTAGCGTGCAGTGGTGGATCACTGCAAGCTCCCTTGCAGTATATACAGTACTTACTCTCCCATACTACTGGCTCCCTTCATCAAGGCAGGAACATGCTTGCCTGGTTCAACTGTATGTACCCAGCACCTAGCATAGTGCTTAGAACATATCGGGCACTCAATCATAGTGAGTGAGTGAATGAATGAATAAATTAATGAATATCCTGATGTCCAGTTCTTGCCTTTCTCCCCCAGTCTCTCTTCCAGTCCCTTTGCCCACCCTCCCCTCTCCCACCGCTTTAACCATGCAATGAGCCGGGCCTGGTGCCCAGAGTTGAGGCCTTGCCAGATGGCTTTGTTGTAGGCTACAAGCTGTCTGTGCCCTGGGCCTGACCTAGAGGCAGCCTTTGCTACAGGACCCTCTGGAGGGGGCATCCTTCTAACCCACTGAGTAATGACACTCTGTCTGTCTCTTCTAGATCAACCCTGAGGAAACTGAAGCCGGAGAGTATGTATGAGACCTGGGTGAGTGCCCCTGGCCAGGGTCAAGCCCTCAGGGAAGCATGGGTGCCAGAAGACTCAAGTCCTAGAAAAACCCCACCCTACTGCTCCTCAGGCCCATTTTTAGAAAAAACAGTGCACTGACCAGCTGGGTGTGGTGGCTCATGCCTGTAATCCCAGCACTTTGGGAGGCCAAGGTGGGTGGATCACGAGGTCAGGAGATCGAGACCATCCTGGCTAACACAGTGAAACCCCATCTCTACTGAAAATACAAAAAAAATAGCAGGGTGTGGTGGCGGGCGCCTGTAGTCCCAGCTACTTGGGAGGCTGAGGCAGGAGAATGGCTTGAACCCAGGAGGCGGAGCTTGCAGTGATCCGCCACTGCACACCAGCCTGGGGGACAGAGTGAGACTCCGTCTCAAAAAAAAAGAAAAAAGAAAAAACAGTGCACTAGCAGCAACTGAAAGATTTCTACACTGAAGAATGTGTGAGGAAATGGGAGACAGACATAATTGAAGATGACAAGGGAAGAGCCTCAAGCCTGGGGATAAAGGGATTATCAGAGGAAGTGTGGGGCCTTGGAGCTGAAAGGAGTGTCACTTGGAAAAAGGTCACCATCACAAGAATATATATGGCCAGGCGCAGTGGCTCACGCCTGTAATCCCAGCACTTTGGGAGGCTGAGGCAGGCAGATCATCTGAGGTCAGGAGTTTGAGACCAGCCCGATCAACAAGGTGAAACAATGTTGTACTAAAAATACAAAATTAGCCAGGTGTGGTGGCGCATGGCTGTAATCCCAGCTACTCAGGAGGCTGAGGCAGGAGAATCGCTTGAACCCGGGAGGCGGAGGTTGCAGTGAGCCGAGATCGCGCCATTGCACTCTACCCTGGGGGACAGAGTGAAACTCTGTCTCAAAAACAAAAAAAAACAAACCCCAAAAAACGAAAGAATATATCTGGTCCTGAAGCTGGATTTCCACAAAATTGAGGTTCAATGAACATCTAGGATCTGTTCTGGGCTCCTCAACTTCAGGGAGTATAGTAAGGTCTTCTCCAAAACCCTGTTCTCCTTCTTACCCCCTGACAGGAGGATGATATGGATGGAATCCACATTGTGGCCTTCGCAGAGGAAGCTGATCCTGGTGAGGGAGGAATACCGGGTTGGACTGGAGGGAAGGCAGGGGGAGGTGGGTGTGTTTATTGGAGCATGGGCCTCACTAGGAGGCTTTCCTGGGAGTTTGCAAACAGCCTAGGGCTAGACATGTGAAGCTTGGGGAGCAGGGAGGTAGCTCTGCACTCCTGTTTCACCTGGGTCCCTTTCCTCTCTACACACCTCATACCTTGTACTTGTGTTCCCTCCAAGATGGTTTCGAGTTCTTAGAGACTCTCAAGGCTGTGGCCCAAGATAACACTGAAAACCCAGATCTTAGCATCATCTGGATTGACCCTGATGACTTCCCCCTGGTAAGAGGCACAGCTCAGGCACTGCTATCTTAAGGTGGGGCCTTGGACTGTGACATCTTCTTAGTGAGGGCTTTGTTTCAGAGGTCCCATCCCCACCTCCTAGCTGGGGGGCCCTGGGAGGGTATGCGTGTTGCATGCTTAAGGGCACTGTTGGCATGGAGGGCATCCTGAGCAAGGGGAAACAGGACGGACATCACACACATTCCCAGAGCAGAGGCTGGATGGGTAGCTCAGGTGCTAGGGCTGACTCCTAAAGAAAACCAATGTTGTGAGGCACAATAGTCCTGCACATGGGTATACACACTCAATCATAGAATCATAGCACAGAGATTCCCTGTTTCAGGAGATGATTTTGTTCTCAGCTACATTCCCAACACCTAGCACTCGCTGTTGAATGAGTAACTGAAAGAACAAAGAGAAACGTGAGAAACATTGGCACTTACCAGGTATACTTGCCTTATTTTAGAAATGTAAGATCTGAGGGCCAGAGAGAAGTGACTTGACCTTGAACACAAGGATCTGATCCAGGATCAGAACAGGGTTTCCTATCCAGTTTTCCTCAGAAAAGAGGGGCCAGTGCACCCAGCTGACCCTCCCGATTCTCTCCCTTTAGGATTTCTCCTCTTTTGTTGTTTAGTTCTACCCTTGCCTTGATGCCCTCACAGGTGGACCTGTCCCCATCCACTGCCAGTTCGCACTGTCCCCTCTCCATCCCTGGGCTGACCCTCACACTCATCCTCCTGGATTCATGTGCTCCCTAGTATCTATTAAGTTGCTGTATTTTGATCTCTCTACAGCTGGTCCCATACTGGGAGAAGACGTTTGACATCGACTTGTCAGCCCCACAAATAGGAGTCGTCAATGTTACTGATGTGAGTTTCCTGTCCTCATCCCGGGTTGACCCCCGACTCTACTTCCTAGCATAGCTAGCTCTCCTCCTCTCTGCTAACTAGGAGTTGGGCCCTTCTCACAGGACGCAGACATGCCCAGTCTAGTGGCTGGATGGAGGGGGAGACTTAGGATCTGAATGTGGCCCTGTCCCACATGTTGGAATCAGTGGCTCATCCTTCAAGGCCCAGTTCAAATTCTTTCTCCTCTGTGAAGTCTTTCCAGATCTCCCATTTAAAATCATTCCCTCCCTGGCACTCCCAGGGCTCAATAGCCATTGAGAACATGACATTTAAATGGCTATTTATGTATTATGTGTGTCTCTTCCAGTAGATTTTTGAGCTTGTTCAGGGCAGAAGTCTTCTTATGCACACACAGTAGGTGCTTCAAAACTGCTAAGTTGAACTGAATGAGCCACAGTCTCTGCTTTCATAGAATTCTCAGACTAATTAGAGAGGCAAGTGTTCCATTAACTACAAGGCCAGATCTGATAAACTTTATAATAACGATACAAATAAGACACAGGATCACATTGATTTCTGCTTGACAGAATCAGAGAAAAGTTTAAGAAAAAGTGATATTCAAAATGGAGATTCTACAATGTATACGATTTCAACAAGTGATGATTCAGGGAAGTCATTTCCAAACTGAGGAAAAAGCAAGATCAAAAGTTAAAAACAGGAAAATGAATATCAGGTTCCCGGAAAAGGCAGGTGGATTTTTATGGTTGAGAGTCTAGAGATCACTGAGAATGGTACTAGAAAAGCAGGTTATGAAAAGCCCTGGGGCCAGGGTAGTGGCTCAGGCCTGTAATCCCAGCATTTTGGGAGGCCAAGGTGGGAGAATCACTTGAGGCCAGGTGTTCAAGGCTGCAGTGAGCCATGACTGCCCCTCTGCGCTTCAGCCCGGGCAATAGAGTGAGACCATGTCTCTTTTAGAAAAGAAAGAAAGAAAGAAATGTCCTGAATGCCGAAGAGTTGCTAACTTTATTCTTATAAGCCATGAAGAGCTACCAGTGGTTTTGCACCAAAGGCATAATAGGGAAGTTCAGTGTGGCAAGAGCACGGGAGACAGATTGAAGGGAGAAGGTCTATTTGCCAATCCAACTTTTCTTCCCACTCTCACCTGTCACTATTCTAACCCATAACCCATACCTTCACCTGGACAGTTTCCCTGGCCTTTGGCAGATGAAAGGAAGGGACTGAGAATGTAGGGAAGGATGTACAGAGTCCAGTGAGTGGGAAGACAGATCCTAAGACCCGGGTTGGACTTAGCTTCCGTCCCTGCCTGTGCCATCTCCTAGGCGGATAGCGTATGGATGGAAATGGACGATGAGGAGGACCTGCCTTCTGCTGAGGAGCTGGAGGACTGGCTGGAGGATGTCCTGGAGGGCGAGATCAACACAGAGGACGATGACGATGATGATGATGACTAGTTGCTATGGCAACCATCTTTCAGCCCCACTGGTCTTTTCATGCTCTCTCCTGCCTTCCCTTGTCCTTCCCTGAGTTCCTCCAGGGAGACTAGGTTATTCTCTGCCATAGAGCTAACTGGGGTCTATATGCTGGGTGCTGAGACACTGATCCCCCTCATTTGATGAGCAAATGAGCTACTTTTCCCTAGACACCAGGCCAGCTCTCTCTTATCTGACTTCTGTTTCTTATCCCATAACTTACTTGTATCTATTATGTGTCTCTTCCATCACTCTCCATACTCTTTCTTGTGATTCTCCTCTAGCCATATATATGGGCCCCATCTCTGTTCTGTTCCCTCCATCTATGCACAGCTTTCCCCCACTCTCTCTAATCCTGTATCTTTCTGACTGTCCTGTCCTTGGCCAGAAGGAAGGGAGAATACTGTGTTTGGGACTGTATCTCAGCAATCACTTGTTAATGTATTTGGGTCAAATGAGAGGCCTCAATAAAGACATCTGGGGCAGCATGAACAAGTGTATTTTGGTGAAGTCTCACCCCTATGGCAGGAGGAGGTGGCCACTGATGGGGAATTCAGATGTGGGTGCCTTGCTAGGGATGAGCTGGGGGACTCTTATAGTGGGGACTGGGGTTCCTCCAGGCAGCTTTCCCAGAGAAGCCTGGATTGTTAATCTGCTTCAAGTCAACAAGCCTTTTCTGAACACATGGTGTTTGTCCAGGGCCACTGTTAGGCTCTGGGAGAACAGAGAGTGCTAGGCCTGTCCCTGATCTTGAGCTGATTAGCCTCACGGAGAAGTCAAGACAAGCATACTAAACAATCGAAGAAGAATACAAAGCAATATGTAATTAAGTGATTATGTGCTGCTCGATAGCACCCTCTCTGCAGCTCTTATTTGAACATCAAGACAGAGCTCCAATTATACTTCCTTGGTGAAGCCTTCCCAGAGGTGGCCCCTCCAGTGATGACCTCTTCTGAGTTCCTGCTGCACTTCCATTCCAGTACTCAGCACAGTCTGTTATTGTTCTTCATTTACGTGTCTGTCTTCCCCACTCAACTGTGAGCCCCTTGAAGGCAGGAACCCAAGCTTTTTCTTTGTGTCCACAGGGTCTGACACTCAAAAGTTGTCCCTAGTAAATGTTTCCTAAAGGAAGAACAAAGGAAAGAACAGAATGAACTCAGAAGAGAGATCAGAGTGGGCTTGATGACTTCACAAAGGAAGTAAGCCTTTACTAGGCCTTAAATTGAAGAATGGGATTTGGTTGGAGACAAAGGAGCTGAGGAGGAGACATTTCAGTCAGTGGAAAACATCAAGTACTGGCAGGATATGTTTGTCATATTGGGGGCACAGAGACCAGAGAGACAAGAAGAAAAATCAAGTTGTGGCCATGAAGTTGGGTAAGCATAATGGGGCTGGGTTGTAGAGCTGTTTGAATTGAATCCTGCCAGCCGAGGAGGCAGGGCAAAATTTAATCTGGTAGCGATAAGCAGGATGGGGAGGGGAGATGATGGAGATGCCAGAGGTAAGGGGCCCAACCCATAATCAGTGACTGTTATAATAATTGGAGTGATGTTGGGAGAACATGGACCCAAGTGGTGGCCATGGGAATGGAGAGGAGATATTGTATACAATGGGGATCTCCCAGACCTGGGCCTGCTGGAGGTCTTGGCAAGAAGGACCCACAGTCTTTCCAGAATAGGCCCAGGCTGGGGTAAGCAAAAAGGAGTTTAGGGAGTTGGGGATGGGAGGGCCAAATAGCTAAATAAGCCCATAAATAATAAACATATACATATATAGTTTTGAGATGATGCCCATGAACAATAAACATTTTATATATATAATATATACAAATAGCTAAACAAGCCCATAAATAATAAACATTATATATATATTTTTGAGATGATGCCCATAAATAATAAACATTATATATATATACATATACATATATATGTGTGTGTATATATATATATTTTTTTCTTTTTTTTTTTTTTTTTTGAGATGGAGTCTCACTCTGTTGCCAGGTTGGAGTGCAGTGGTGAGATCTCGGTTCACTGCAACCTCCGACTCCCGGGTTCAAGAGATTCTCCTATCTCAGCCTCCCAGGTAACTGGGACTACAGGTGCCCACCACCACACTCAGCTAACTTTTTTGTAGTTTTAGTAGAGATGGGGTTTCACCATGTTGGTCAGGCTAGTCTTGAACTCCTGACCTCAGGTGATCCACCTGCCTCAGCCTCCCAAAGTGCTGGGATTACAGGCGTGAGCCACCACGCCAAGCCAACATTATATTTTTCATGGATCAGGTGTAAAGTTGTTGCTGAGAGACTTAGAGGATTTCTAAGTACGGAAAGATGAGACCTGAGATTAGATATATTTTCACTCTCCACAGACAAGTCCAGGAAGTGTTCCTAGAGAATGTGGCAGGGGTGTAGAAAGCAGAAACTATGTATTCATTCCAACTTGTAGCTATTTAATAAATGTTTAATAAGTAGTATGGGCACTAAGCTAGTCTTACAATAATATTGTGGAGCTTACTGTCTAGCATAGGTCAGTGGAAGGCCCCGGTCTAAATAATAGCTCCTATTTTTTAAGCACCCATCTGTGCCAGTCCCTAGAGACTTACTATTTCTGAATCTCAGAAGAACCCTCAGAAATAGACATTGGCACCCTGATCTGACCGGTGAGGACACTAAGGCTTTCAGGCATAACTTGCCCAAGGAATGGGTGGAACTAGCACGCAGCCCAAGGCCCCTGTGTCTTGTTGCCTCCAGACCTGAGCCTTTCACTTAGAAACTACATGAGTCTCAAAGATGGGTCAACGAAATAGTTTTTGTCCCTACAACACAGAGCAAACATGATATATACAAAGGCAAATGATTAGTGTGTGACAGGGAATGCTGGGGAGAGGAAACAGCAGAGAAATGCTATGAAACCCAGAGCAGCAGGAACTTGGGCCTCTTCTAGGAATGGTGTAGACCCAAGAAAGGAGGGGCTCGTTTGAGGTTTCTGGAGGAGTCTCTGCCAGGTAGGAACTGAGATGAGATGGGTGATCCTGGAAGTGGCACAAACACTGAGGGGAATCCCCCAACCTGGGCCTGCTGGAGTTCCTGGCAGGAAGGACCTACCCAGGGTCAGACTTCTTTCCAGGGCCAAACCCTGCCCAGAGCTGAGGCAAGACCCCTTAGGCTATAGAGATGGGGGTGAAAACAGATGCTTCTCCAATTCTTCCTTTCCTCTTTTCAGTCTGGCTGAGAATCTGGGGGAGGAAAGTCCCTGGGGTAGAGGGGAAGTGAGAGCTGCCACATTGGGCCTGGGCAGAGGGGCAGAGCTAGGAGATGGAGCTAAGTGTGGCTTTGCAAGTTGTCTATATTTGCATGCTGAGCTCACTGCTGCTCTTTTTCTCCCCAGAAAATAAAATTACATCATGGTAGGGGGAAGGCAGGAGTGGGGCATGTTTGGGAAAGGTGAGAGGCACGCAAGAGGGCCTGAAGGCATCATCCTGGAAAGAGAAGATCCAGGGCTCCTCAAGTCCCCATGTGGCCCCAACCCCTCACTCCCAATGTGGATAAGTCTGATCAGTCATTTTCCACTGCGCCCCTGACCCTTAAGGCAAGGCAAGAAGTTTTTACAAATATTAAAGCCAGCAGCTAAGAGAATCCAGCCCCCAAAGGCTTTCCAACCCCCTAAACCAAACCTACTCTGTGCCTCCCAGGGGTCCTAGGCACCGTGGTCATCCAAAGGTCAAAAGGGGAGGAGGGTGCCCTACTGGGTAAGAATTAAATATGAGAATTGTTTCGCAGTTCAGGGGGAAGAGACCGTCTCCGCTCCAGCCCTCCGCCCAATTCTGTCCCCCATCCTAGGAGTCTTCCAGAACCCCAGCCCCTCGGTCCCCCGCCCCCTCCTGCCTCTCCATCCCTCCCCCTCCTCCCGCCATTCCCCGCCCCCCGCCCCTCCCCGGCTCTGACATCACCGGCCAGCCGGGTGGAGTGAGCGGCGCTGGGCTCGGGCTCCGGCTCCGCGGGCGGAAGAGGCGGCGGCGGCGGCAGAAGCGGCGGCGGCGGCGGCGGGAGCCGAGGAGGAGGTTCCGGACGCTGCTTAGGAACCGGGGACTCAGGAGTGCCCGCGCCCTGAGCGCTCAGCTCCAGAGGCGGTGAGAGGGGCGGAGAGGAGACATGTCGCGGGGAAGGGGCAGATTTCGGGGTCTAGGCTTGGAGGGGCAACGATCTGGGACACCGGGGGCCAGACGGGGAGTGTGGGGACCCCGGACGAGTCCACTTTGTGTCAGGCCTCACGGGGTCCGTCCCTCGGTCGGTGCGTCCCGAGCGCCGAGCGTGTGCTGGAGGCGGCGTGGCTCCGGCCAGCCCGTTCCACGCTGAACGGCAGTTTGGGAGTCGGACCGGGGCCTGTGGATTAGGATGCAGCCTGCTTCCCGCCCAGCCGGCTCGGCCAGGCCAGCGCCCGCCCCTCCCTCCCCGCTCAGGCTTCGGACTCGCCTCCGCTGGCGGTCTCCCGGCCCAGCCCTGTCTCGGTTCCGCGGGCGGCTGGTACCATGTGCCCTCACCCCCAGCTCACTGCACCTGGGGAAGAGGTGGGCTTGGCGGAAAGCTTGTCCAGAGGGAAGGAGGAGCTGGGGGTGTAGAGAAGTGATGTATATCTAACGTAAAAACCCTTATTAATTTCATATAATCCGTGTCAAAACTGACAGGGAAACACGCACACCTATAAGGCACGCCAGCACACACAGTGACACACACCCATGTGACTTATACACATAGTCTAGCACACTCCAAATCACAAACGTCCCTGGACTACGCATCCGGCCGCCCACCACACCCCCACTCTGTGGGGTGGGGCATCCCATGAGGAGTCTTCTGAACTGCGGGCTCCAAGTCATCAGTCCGACAGGACAGCTGAGTGGACAGAAAGGGCCACTGTCCCCAAATCCATCCTGATTTTCTGGCAGCTTTTCCCAGCCCCATGGTTTCAGATTGTTCCTCTTTAAAACTGTGGGGAAAGATGGGAGAAAATCTTGGTCTCATTCCTCTAACACAAGGAGACAGGATTTTGCGGACTAATGAGGGTAGGGGCTTCTGGTGGCTTCTCTTCCTGGGTCCAGTTAGGGCTTAGCGTGCTGGGAGTGGCTAGTTTCTGGGTAAGAGTGGCCAAGGGATGGAGGAGGAGGGGGTGGAAGAAACGGAGAGGAAAAAGAATGGGTATGAGTCAGCCAAGAATGGAACCCAAGTCAGAGAGAGAATGAGAGGAATGTGTGTGAGAAGCAGACAGACATCTCCAGAGAGGTCTAGAGATAGTCAGGGAACCAGGGAGAGGGAGGAAGTGAGAGAAAGAGATGGTCAGAGAAGTGCAAACAGTGTTTGAGAGTGCACTAAACAAATTAGGGAGGATGAAGGTTGGGGGAGACCACTGGGAGTTAGGGAAAGTGGTACGTGTGTCTGGGCCCCAGGCTGTCAGAGCGATTAGCTTTAATTGCTCTTCCCTTTGTGGTTAAATACTCCATTGGGGAAATTGCCAGTGATGCCCTAGGCTGCAGGCTTCCCTGGTTGCCTACTTCCTCAATTCCGTGCCCATCATGTGTGGATGTATTATCATGCATGAAGAGGGTCACAGAATCACAGAGCGCCTCACTCTCTCACACAGATCCTCACGCACAATGTCATGATGGATATCTTCACCAGCTGGTAGGCAGCCAACCACTGAATCTCCAAGCCACTCCGACCAAACTTACTCTGTCTTTTGTAGCAGGGATGCTCACCCCTTCCTAATTGCAGCTCCGAATATTCAGATGGGGACAGTGAAGCACAGATCTCAGGAGTCCTAAGTATTCATGGCTACCACTAAGTTGGATAGGTGAGTAGGAAATGCTAGAAGGGGTGAAAGCCTATAGAAAGGAGGAAAAGAGAGACTGAAAGATGAAGTAGAAAGGAAATGCATGACAAAGAGTGAGAGAGATGGAGAGAGACAGAAATAGAAGCAGGGAGTGCCACACCAGAAGAGTGGAAACAGAGATGGGCTGGGGAGAGTCCTAGGCCCCATTCCCCTCCTCGCCATCAGCCGGCCCTCCTCTGCTCTGCCTGATCCAGTGCCAGCTATCTCCTGATGCCCCATCTTGGGTCTGGCTCTTTCTAGACCAAGGGCTGAAGGCTAATCCTTGTCCCCATGCCCAAAGGTAATCCATTTTGCTTCTTGGACTGAAGTGAACATTTTAGGGCCCAGATGTCCTGCCTCTCGTCACTTCCAGGCTGACCCTGGAGCCTCAGAACCCTCAATTTCCTTGTTACAGGAGTAAAGACAACCCCCTCCTCCCCCACAAAGCTGGATAAAAAGCTTAAAGAAGAAATTAATTGAGAATGATATTAAAGGAAATAAACTACAGGACTGCTTGAATTTGGGGCCCAGTTATAATTTAAAATAGGAAAGCTGGACCCCTACTCTCTCCCTTCCAACCCCTCTGCCTCTCCGTGATTACTTCCAACTTCAGGCAGAAGACTGACAGACTTGAGTGCCTGGGAGTCCCCTCCTGCCCAATACAGGGACCTCTAGGTCCTTGCAGCTGTCTGGGATGGCCCCTCCCCTCAGGCTTAGGCAGCTGCAACAGATGTGGAAGAGGGACGGGCAGCAACTCTTAATCTTCAGGCTTCCTTCTCGAATTTACAGAGGATTTGGAACCAAACGTTAGAAGGGATAATCTACCACGACTTAATGTCAAAATGCACAGAAATTCTTTTGGTGCTGCCACCTCCTCCACAGGTGGTTATCCCAATTGCCAGGCTTCTCAAAGCACTCCCAGGGCCTGGCTCTTCTTACCCCAGTGCCCATGGAGCTCCCACCTGTCCCACCCTAAAAGGTCAGTATATAATGGTCCTTACCTCCTGCCCCTCTTCCCCAGCATCCTCAGTTGGTTTGACCTTTGTCAGGGCTGTGCCTGGGGCCAGCTTGGAAGGAGAGGGAGGCAGGAAGGAAGGAAGGTGTGAGGAAGCGGTGAGCCTAGCACAGAAAGCTGGGAGGGAAGAGGACTGACTTCCTGGCAGCCGGGGCTCCGGTTCCTGATTCCTGCCCTGGTATCCTGTCCCAAGAATGGCCTCCGCCCAGACTGCCTGGTGATCCCTGAGCAGCTCTCTGCACTGCTCCAGAAATCAGGAGGATTTTTCAGAGCCCAGAGAGCAGATTTCTCCACGAGCCCTAAGGAAATCTGAATCTCTGGTGAGGAAAGTGACATGGAGGATGAAGGAAACAAGCTCTGCCAAGCCCCACCATGGCCAGGCCAGACCAGCCCAGGTACAACTGTTGATCAGTGAGAATTGAGAGCAGTTCCCCTAAACAACACTCCCTTTGCTTCTTCTGCCATACTAAGGCCTAGGCAAATGGATCTCTCCAAGAAGGGAGGCAACTGGGCTGCCTTTCCTTGTACCGTCAGGGGGCCTTATTCCTATCCTTTCTGTCCCTTCTTACTCACCATTCCCTACACTCCTCCCATCTAGTGGTGTCATCCTAACGACTGGGGGTGGGGGGCACCCAGAACTGAGGTTGCTATAGTAACAGATGAGATGAGGCTACAGCCTTCTATAGTTGTGGACTGTATGCTCTCCTCCCCCTCGCCCCCCATGCCTCATTTGCAGCCTTAGTCTCTTTCTGTCTCCCAACTCCAGCTCTCTTTCTCCATTCTGTAGGCTCCCCTCACCCCTCTGGATGTGAGCCTGTGGTTATATGCCTTCTTACACATGCTCTTGGCTGGTTTAGACACATACAAACACACACATGACAGATACTCACAGCCAGTGCACCCACAGCCATATATCCAGTGCTGGCACATACACCTCCATTACCAGAACATCCAAACACACCCACAGATACCCAGCCACTGCCTCCTCCAGAGCTGTGCCCACAACCCGGGGATTAGCATCCATAAGATCCGAGCACACACACATTTCTCCTCTGCCACTTTAACATTCCTACCCCCATCTCTCTTAGGGGCCTCCTTGTATCTTTCACTCTCTTAGAAAGCTCCTACCCACTGCCCCCAAGTCTTTGTGGGTGAGTGTGTTACACACATTAATCTCTTCCCGCCTACCTCCTCTGTAGATCTGTTTTAGATTCAAAGCCCTAAATCTGAACTCCTCCCGACACACACACACACACACACACACAGACACACACACAGATGCACTCTTTCCTCCCGCAGGATCTGTAATATTTACAAACTCTCCTTCCATATGAAAGCAGGGAAGTATAACCCCCAATCCTGCCCCCTTTTCCAGCTGAGGGCTTGGCCCCAGAGTTTCCTCCACTGGGGCAGGGTCTTCTTGTCTCCTGCTGCGCTTTCCCTTCCAGTTGTACTCATGCCCCCCTACTCATTCTTATCTCCATCTCTAGTCCCCTCCCCATCATCCCCCTCACCCGTACCCCCCTCCTTCTGTCCTTGGATTATCAGTGAAGTGAGGGGGGTTGGGCTCCAGAGCTTGCTGCTGTGACCTAGATTTCAAGGCAGAGACAGTTCCTGGTGCTGACAGTCAGAGAGCATTGTTCCTGGCCCGGCCTGGCAGGGCCACTGCTGGGCCCTTCTGTCTGGTTGCACCTGGGTGTGCAACTGAGCATGCCTATGACTGCCTGTTTCTTGCGGGGGTCATGGTAGCCCTCCTGTCTGGCTCATTGTCTGCCTGTGTCATGGTGCCTGCCACCAAGGGAGGCTTGTTTATTCTGGTCCAGGTAGGGGGCTGGGAATGGGGACTTCTGGGTCTGTATCTCTTATTTTGTGACCACCATGCCAATCTCAGTTCCCCTGCAGTAGAGCAAGAAGGAAAATGTGAATGTGTCAACCAAGCCCCTTTGATCTGCCACATTCCCAGCCTAATGCTGGGGTGATTTGCAGGCAGCCTCCGTCAGGGACAAGGTCATCTTGCTGCTTGCCCACCCCTTGGTCTAGTCGCATACAGAGTGTTTATGATACAATTTACTTTTTAAAACATGCTTTACTTTTCTGACTAAAAGGAAATAGATACTCATTGTGGAAATAAGTTCCATTTTTGAGCTTACCACTAGTGTCACATTTTATCAAATCCAGAAAGTCCATTCAAACATCTGACCTTCTTTCTTCTGTCTTAGCCACAGTTCCTATCTTAGTGGAAGGAAGGCCTTGAATGTTCTCTACTTCTCACCTAAGGATCATGAAAGAGGGATAGGGTGAAAGCCTAGGTGAGATCTGGCCTTGCTGATCTCATCAGACCATGCTGAAGGTAGTGCCAGTAGGATGTTGATACGATACGAGAAGGGGGGGCAGTCCCCTTTTGCCATTCTCCCAAAGCCGCATCTAAAGTCCCCTCCCCCCACCACCCAGCCAGCCTGGGAACTGGGCAGGGGGCCAGAGCCAGTTGCTTGGTATTCTTGGGCACGGGGGCTGCAGGCACAGCACAAAGGGTAGGAGAGAGAGCTGAGTGGGGGCCTGGTAACCATCAAAGGAGAAAATGGGCTCCACAAAGGTGGGGGTGGTCCATTGCTTCCCCCACCTCGAACCCTAATGACTGAATACAAGGCTAGCATGGTGGGGCCAAGGAACCATCAGACCAAGCAACTAGGCATCTATCCAAAATGAGTCATTAGTGGGGTGGTGGGGAGTTGAAGTGAGGGACCCCTTTGCCTTTGAGGCAGAATGGGGAAGCTAGAACACATGAGTTCCTACCAGACCCTCCAGCTCTTTCTCAGCTTCTCACTGCCACAGCAAGCCTCGCCCTGGTTGTTTTGGAGTTTTTTTTCCCTGACATGGGGAGGGGTTGGAAGTGGGTGGGGCGATTCTGAGGGGGGACTTGGAGAGAGCGGGTGAGAAAGTCGGGAGCAGGTTGCTATGGTAACCGCCTCCTCAGTCAGGGGAACTGTTGCCAGGGTTACTGTTAGAGGGGGAAAACAGAAGAAAAAGATGGTGGGGGGAAGGAGGTATGACTTGTCACTCTAGGCTCCAGCCTGGCTCCTAGCTTCCCGTCTACCCTGACTGCCTCCCCTAGGTCTTCCTTTTCTCCCTCCAGCCCTAGCCACCTCCAGCCTCCATGTTCCAGGCACATGCCTGGTAGGGCAGAGTGGGGAGTAGGAGGGTAGTGCCAGTGAGTAAACCAGACTCCATACCTTAAGCTCAACTCCTATCCCTTTGTCGCCTCCCAACCCCAGTCATGGCTGAGTACGGGACCCTCCTGCAAGACCTGACCAACAACATCACCCTTGAAGATCTAGAACAGCTCAAGTCGGCCTGCAAGGAAGACATCCCCAGCGAAAAGAGTGAGGAGATCACTACTGGCAGTGCCTGGTTTAGCTTCCTGGAGAGCCACAACAAGCTGGACAAAGGTGGGGGAGGGGAGCACAGGGGTCCTGTCATCAGTCATTCAGGCTCAGTTCATTCAGCAAATAGAGATGAGCTCAAAGCTTTTACATCCACAATGTGTACCCCTCTATAGCAAGGCAGAAGAGAGGTGCTCTAAGAGTATGGGGGCCTTAGACATTTTTCACTGTGCCCCTCATCGGTAAAAAATGTTATTCAGATACTCCTGTGCTATTATCACATATACAACAGAACATAAAAACAATCTAAAAATAGTAAAATTTTAAGTGGCAAAAATTGGGAAGAATTCTAGACAATAAAAATGGAAGAATACCTGAATGAGGGGAGAACTCGAAGTGTAATCTAACTGGTAAATAGTAATACTAATCTTTGTTAAGCATTTTTTAAAAACTGGTAAAATTTAAAACTACAAGTTCTATCATTTTCTTATCCACTTTGAGAGACTACTGCTTGGGGAGTGGGATCTATGGATTAGAGTAATCCCTCACAGCTGGAGGCTTTAGGGAAGAATTGGTGTTTAAGATGGCCCTGAAAGGTGAGTGGGATTTCTAAGGCAAGATCCAAAGGAGGGCATGCCAGGCAGAGGAACACTGTCACAGAGTATCTAGTGTGTTTGGAAATGCAATCAGTCCTGCTTGGCTTGACTAGGATGTAGGGTGTTTAGAAATGGCTGGGAAGGTAAGGTAAGACTGTGTTGTAGAGAGCCTGGGTATTGGATAGGTGAGGTGAGTGAACTCAGGGCCCTTCAGATATACTATTCTGACTGCTGTGTGGCTGGCAGGGAGAACGTATAAAGGAGGACGTGTTACAGTTAGACTGTATGGCAACAGTCAGAGGGGAGGAGCCAGGGAAGAAGGTCTAAGGGCATCTATAATCTCCTGGAATTGGCCAAGCCATGGACATCGTCCTTCTGGTGGTGTCCATACCTTCTCTCATTTAGAATAACCTTTCTCACCAGGCCCAGAATCTCTCCTGGGTTGCCTAGAGATTCCACCCTGCTGGTCCTACATGTGCTGTCAGCAAATTCTGATACTTACTTGGATGGAAAGTGGAAAAGGATGGGGGTGGGGGTGGGGTATCTGGAAGTCAAGTTGATTTTTCTTTTGTCCCCTCCCCACAACATATGGGAGCTAGTATCTAAGCTAAACCCCTCATTCTAACCACAATCTAGAAACTTCACTGACCAACTATCTGCCCTTCCTGCGAACAGTCCTCTGTATTGTTGTTTGGGTACCTTAGCTTTCTTCTCCTGGATTAGTAGCCCCTCTTCCTCCAGTGTTGTACCCTCCCATAACCAATGTCAGCAACTCAGCTTTGGTTCCAGGTCACTAGTCTGGTGGAGTAGGGGAAGCTGACCTCTACAGCCTAGCTCTGACCCTATCTCCTGCCTTCCTCCAGACAACCTCTCCTACATTGAGCACATCTTTGAGATCTCCCGCCGTCCTGACCTACTCACTATGGTGGTTGACTACAGAACCCGTGTGCTGAAGATCTCTGAGGAGGATGAGCTGGACACCAAGCTAACCCGTATCCCCAGTGCCAAGAAGTACAAAGGTAAGCGGCCACTCCTTTAACTAGCTGCACCTCTGCCTCGTCCCGTTGACTATCCTTGGAGTACTTGAGTTTTGGGAGAGTGGAGGCAGATGCCCAATGGGCCTGCCTGGCATCTCCCACACTGCTGTCCCTGGACACATACCTTTTTGCCCCCAGACATTATCCGGCAGCCCTCTGAGGAAGAGATCATCAAATTGGCTCCCCCACCGAAGAAGGCCTGAGCAAGGGGGAGGAAGAGGAGGAAGGTTGGACCTTCATCAGACCACTCCCTTCCCCCATCCTCCAGGAGAGGGGGCAAGGGCAACCCACCATCTACCCACTTACTAACCTGGTCCTAACCCCCTTACTGTGCGCGTGTGTGTGCGTGTGCGCACGCTCTGGCTGTTTGTCTATATGTCTAGCTCATCTAGTTCCTCTTCTTAAGGGGATGGGGGTCAGGGGCTAGGGGAGGGGGCTGAGTTTCCCCACTTTAGGAGGAGGTGGGGGCTATTTCTATGCAAATAGAAATCAGCACATTCCTCCTACTTCCCTTTCCTCCACTCCCCCCATATCTTTAAAGTGTGGAAGCAGAAAGGACCTGCATTTTCCTACATTGAGGAGCTGACATAGGGGTAAGGTATGGGAGAGGTAGGTGGATCCAGGGAAAAGCAGTGGGGACGGAAGGCAAAGAGACCACTCAACCCCCACCTGGAAGGGGCAAAGAAAAGCCAGAGTTCCATGTTTGTACTCCTGTGCTGGACTGTTTCCTGAGTACCAGCAGGTCCCTTTTTGTCTCTCATGGGCCTAGCATAGGTATGAGCCAGGGATCCTTTCCTGGTCCCTAAGATCAAACCCCATGGAGCAGCCAGCGTTAGATGCCCCCACCCACCTGTACTCTGGAGAGACTGTGCTGGGAACATGTACCACTGAGCCTGAGATGGGGATGAGGGCAGAGAGAGGGGAGCCCCCTCTTCCACTCAGTTGTTCCTACTCAGACTGTTGCACTCTAAACCTAGGGAGGTTGAAGAATGAGACCCTTAGGTTTTAACACGAATCCTGACACCACCATCTATAGGGTCCCAACTTGGTTATTGTAGGCAACCTTCCCTCTCTCCTTGGTGAAGAACATCCCAAGCCAGAAAGAAGTTAACTACAGTGTTTTCCTTTGCACCGATCCCCACCCCAATTCAATCCCGGAAGGGACTTACTTAGGAAACCCTTCTTTACTAGATATCCTGGCCCCCTGGGCTTGTGAACACCTCCTAGCCACATCACTACAGTACAGTGAGTGACCCCAGCCTCCTGCCTACCCCAAGATGCCCCTCCCCACCCTGACCGTGCTAACTGTGTGTACATATATATTCTACATATATGTATATTAAAACTGCACTGCCATGTCTGCCCTTTTTTGTGGTGTCTAGCATTAACTTATTGTCTAGGCCAGAGCGGGGGTGGGAGGGGAATGCCACAGTGAAGGGAGTGGCAGAATCAAATTGCTACATAGTCCAAACAAAAAAGAAGGCTTTTTCAAAAAACATTAAATTCACATGCAGTCTCAGAGACTATTTAGACAAAGTTCAAGTTAGGAGCTTTTAGGATGTGGGAGTAAAACTTTAATGGGAGGGGAGGGCTGGCTGCTGGAAGAAGGAAGAAGCCAGACTGGTTAGACAGTACTCTTAACTCCTAGCCCAGCCTAGCGTGCCCTGCCCCTCTGGCCACTGCTGCAGACACCTGCCTTAACACACACACCTCTAGGACTCCACAGTTTTGCCTTAAAGGACCTTCCCAAGTCTCCCTTTCCCTGTCTGGCTTCTCCCTTAAGAAGAGAGAGATACTTGTAGAATTGGGTGGGGGGAATGAGCATGAACTGTCCTTCCATTTGGGATATGTTACATTAGAGTGAGAGAGAGAATAAGGAGCCTTTCTTATGGAAGAAATGGGAGAAGAGAGACAGGGTTCTTTTCAGCAGAGTCTAGTAGTTTCTCTGTAAGGCAAAATAATCTAAAAAGACTAACCTGCCCACCCACTCCTTATATTGCTGTGAGATTGCCCCTATCTTGTGCTCTTCTGTCTGCAGTGTGCACGGCCTTGTTCTAACCCGGAATAAAGGTGATTGATTGTATTGCAACTAACTGATTTTAAAATTTCTGTGAGTGACCAGGATTTTGCAGGCTTTGAATCACTGGGAAGGGAGGGGGAACAATATTTATGGCCCAGAATAAGGGCTGGGAAAATACCCCAAGTGTATACCCTCACCCCACCCAATCTCCTAAGTATCACTGAGCTAAATGGAGTGTATCCTACTTCCAACAGTCTCCAATTGGAGCCCAAGCACTGGAAATACGGGTCTCCCAAAATGGACTTTCTAACACTGTATCATGTGCAGAATGAGAGGGGAAGGCTAGGTACCTACATTAGTAGGAACAAAAACCATCCATTGTGAATAAATGGACCACATACCACACAGAGCAGCAGTCGGGAGAAGAAAAGCTTTACTGGGAGAAAATACAACAAATTCCAGAGTGCATGGTTTTTAGCCCACCCTATCACCCCACCAGCAATAGGAACACAGACCACTCGATCACCACACATTCCCTACCTCAGGGAGTAAGTACAGCAGCCAACATCTGGTCTCAGAGCTGCTGGGAAAAGGGGCAGGAGGAAGAAGTATCTGGGAATACCATTCTCTCACTCTTTTCCCCTCCTTCCTGGCCTGATTTAGAAGAATCTGACTGTCCCAGGATACAGAATTCTTGGTTGGATCTTGTGGAACTGGGGGCAAAAAAATAGCAGCAAAAGCACTTAAGGGCAAGAATTCAGCTGGGACTTTCAGACTCAGTGACCAGTGATAAGACAAGTGCCCAAGCTCCAGCCACTGTAATCAGTCCTTAGATTAATGACTTATTCCTCAATCCTAAAATATCAAGAGGTGGACAAGGTTTAAGTCAAACCCAGGAAGTCTTTCCCTTCACTCTTCTATAAAGAAGGGAACTGGCATGAAGTTGGATGGCTTAATGATCAAGCAGCTAAAGGTAAGAGAGACAGAGTGAGAGAGTGTGTATGTATGTGTGTGGTGTGTGTGTACATGTCTTCTGTCACAAAGTACCACAATAGTCTGCAGTGGTGGCACCACCCTAAAGTAGTTAAGTTTTAAAGACAGGCCAGCCTCTGGTTAGAAGAGCCATCCTTGGAACCCCCTACAAGACTTAAGGAGAGGTAGGAGATCTGAGGCAGAGCTGAGAGGAATTTCCTGTTTTTCCCAACCCCTACACCAAAGCAGGGAACCAGGAAGGGCAGAAATGAGGATCCTTCCATTCTCAAGCCTCCTAAAACCTAAAGGGTAAGTCCCAATCTCTAGTGACCATACACAGAGGTAAACTGACCCCAGGTGTCACTTCCACACCATTACTCTTGTTCACTCTTAAGTCCCTTTATTGCATTCAGAGAATATATAGGTATTTAAACTTTGACAATAATTTTACCTTGATACATCCAAGTTTGACTTGCTTTTTAATATATTTATAGATATAAAATTAGGCCTCTAACAGTGATAGGGACAGGGAGATTGCTGCCACCAAACAATGTTTCTTAAAAAAATAACAGAAGAGGTAATATCCTTCCTATTCTTCCTTCACTTCTGCCCCTCCTCCCACCTCTTCCCAGCCTCCCTCACCTGACCTATTTAGGGGGTGATGGGATGAAGAGAAGAGAGTGAAGGATATGTAATCAAGTGCAAAATACTGTGGTAAGTACAGAGAATGAATAAGGTGGAAAGGAAAGTGAAGAGTGTGGGATGGTTAGGGGCTTTAAGGACTTCCCAGGAAAATAGGATTCTGGGATGGGGTTGCTGGGGGTGGGGGGGGAGCCAACTGTCATAAACTTTTAAAAAACAAAGGAAGAAAAGGTCAAAAACCTAAACCAAAGAGAGAGTGGCACTCCTACCCTCCACTCTGGCCCCTTGGTACTGAATAGCCAGTTGTTCCCCCCACCCCTCCCCCAGCCCAAGAAACAAGGGAGATTAAAGAAAAAGAAACCCCATTCCCTATCCCAAACCAGTTAACAAAATAGGCTTCCCTCTCCTCTCAAAAAGAGGCTTTGGGGAGAGGCCATTTCTGCCGAGTCCTATGCACCTCTCCATAGAGCCCCATTCCAGGGCTCAACTCCCATTCCTAGGTACTCTTTGTTGGTTCACTCCTCTGGTTTGTCCTTCTCCTGGGATGTCTTTCTTTTATCTAAAGCAAAAAGTCCAAAGTGCGTTTCTGCTGAATGTAGGGCCTGGGACAGGAAAGGGTTGCCCAGGCAGGATCAGGTTGGCAGCCCCAGCCTGCCCCACCTAGGTATGAGGCCTCAAGATGGCATGCACTGCACCCGGTCAGGGCCCTCCTCCTCGTCCGATGTGTCTGAGGAGCTGGGAGACTCATCAGAGTCCGCGTCTGTGGCCCCAACCCCAGGTTCTCGCCAGCGCTGTGGATGGGAAAGGCTTGTTAGTAACTTCCCTGGATGGAACAAGGACAAGCCTGTTAGGTCTTAGCCAGAATTTAGATGCTTTAGGCCAGAGATCAGCAGAATTTTTCTTAAAGGGCCAGAGAGTAAATACTTTAGACTTGTGGTCTATATGGTCTTTATTGCAACTATTCAACTCATTGTAGCGTGAAGGCCGCCACAGACAATACACAGAATGGGTATGGCTGCAAGCCAATGAAACTTTATTTACAAAAACCAGCAGCAGGCCAACTGCCAGTTTGCCAACCCCTGAACTAGGCCTCTTTTGGCATAAGAGGAAAAATAGAAGGGTCACACTGAGACTTGTTATTTCTTCTCAATTCCCTCCTCCACCCTCCAGCTTTTGCCTTTATGAAGATAGCATTACACATGGACGGCAATGGACAAAAGTAGATACCACCCTTTTCTGCTGATGTCTCTTCCAAGGCTATATCAGGGATCTGATGGGGACAGAGGACAGTGGATAGGAAATCCGACCAAGATCACCTGATTACTGCTTGAAGTCACTACTCTGGAACTTTTTAGCCCTCTTAAAAGGGTCACTCCCTTGGGAATTCATTTCCAACCCTAGCTTACCCGGTGATGGCGTCTCTGTCTCAGGTGATGCATAAGGAACCACAGCATGTGACTATCAAACAGGTCAGTTTGGTGCAAGCTATCTTCATCCCGCTCCCGCTTGTTCTTCTTAATCACCTGGAACCCAAAAAGGTTGGGAAGAGGGGGCAGCAATGAAGAGGAACCCGGGACCTGATCAAGAAGGCTGATCTCCTATCCCAATAAAAGCTTCCCTTAAGTTGAAGTGGAGCTACATTAGATTAGGAAATGATGCCCTAGGTTCAGCTGCTGAAAAGGTAGCAGGCTTTAATACAGAATAATTCTTAAAGATGCTCCTTATCCCCATCCTATTACAAATTAGTGCCACTTCACAGCTGCCCCCTGGAGCAGGACTATTCCTACAGAGGAAATTACAGGAATGTGGGGGAGGGTGTTAGAGCAGTGCCTTTAAAGAACTGGGCAGCAAGTTATTCCTCCCTATGACAATAAGAATCAACAGTATGTGGATAAGCAGAAAGAAAATAACTTCTGCAGTCAGCCACTTACATCTTTTAACCCTGTCAGCTCAGTGGAAGCTTCAGCTGTGGGTGCCCAGATCTTCACATCATGGTCTAGGCCACTGGTTGCCAGCACAGGCAGGTGAGGGTGGGGCTCAAGACAGTTTACCTGGTCAGGAAGAAAGGAAAACACAGACTCAGCAGTGTGTGGGAGTAGGGTTTAAAAACCACTACTCACCTTGAGCCAAATAACTGCCCTTGATCAGGGCTGAGGCAGCTGCTGGGGAAGGGAGGCCCACCCATCCTGAGCCTAAGCCAAAGGGCACTGAGGGTAGAGAAACCAGACACAGACTGGGTATAAGACCAGGCACATCAATCATTTCCTATGTATAGGTCGGGGGTGGCTTCATCCCCAGATATGGCCCTAGGGGTGGGTGAGTGGACTGCCCAAGCTTACTGCTGGCTTCGTAAGAAGACAATGAAATCCAGATGACCTCATTCACTCCAGATTCCAAAGCTCCAACTTGCCCAAGGCTGGAAAAAACCATCTCAGTGGCTTTCACCAAGTGGCAAATAAATTTTAAAAAATGAAGAAAGCAGCAGCTGCCAATGAACCCCCAGAGAAGAGTCGGAGAACTATATTCATTTGGCAGTGTTTACTAGAACTGGAGGAAGGCACAGGCTGAGAAGAGGAGGCTGAGTTGCAGGGAGTGGTGGGAGTGATGGAGGCTCATGTCTGCTTGAGAGAACCTTGCACATCCCAGGGGGAACATCCTACTACTTGCCCTGAGCACAACAGGCTCAGCTATAAGGCAGCACATTAAAACCAAGCAGCTTCTTGGGGCTCCCAAAGCCTCAATCTCAGCCACCCTCTGGGTAAATTCACTGAACAAGGCAAAAGAAATAAACTCCAGCAGGCAGGCCTTCTAGCTTAGGCAGCTTCCTTCTGTCCGAAAGGCACCCAATGCCCCCTGCTGTCTGACTTGGAAACATGAGCTTCCCTAAGGGAAGGGCAGGGAAGTTCCTACCCCATCCAGAAGAGTTAGTTCCAGATCTAGCTGCTAAAGCATTTTGAGTCTTTTAGTGAAAAGAGGAACACATAGGAAAGGCACCCTGCCTTGCAGCTGGACCTATAGTCCAAGAAAACAACTTCTTTTAGTTCTCTCTGGACCAACCACCTCCGCTGCCTCACCTGCACAGGCAGAGAACAGCTGAGGAGAAGTCAAGGGCAGGCATGGAAAATAGAGCTGACCTACAGACTTCCCACTTACTTTGACTTCCATCTTACAAATAAACAAATGCTCAGAAAAGACTGAAGCTAAGACTGAGCTTATGAATAAAACAGAAACCCCGTTCTTTATCTCCTCCTCCCATTCCACATATCAGCCTATTGTGAAGTTTATCTTTGGGCTCTTTTAGGCAGTGCAGTTAAAGTCCAATGCCTGGAATAGTATCTATCTATAGTAATGGACAACTTACATATACAAACCTGCACTTTTTCATCTATCTCCTAATAAGCCCTTGTTACAGACCTGTACTCTGAGCTAGCTCTGCTTGAATAAGTCAGGAAAATAAAAAAACACAGGGGAACAATTCCTTGGAACTTAAGACTAAGGAAAAAGCCAGTGGCAAGAGGAACAAGAGAATAACATACAGTACCTGAATTGGAGCCTGCGGGGGGAGCCGACAGAGAACTTCTGGGCCAGAGTACCTGGTCACTTCACCAGACCTGTCTGAATGCCAGGACTTATCCTGTCAATAATGCCTGAGCAGAGAAAAGAGCTCTGGCCTTAGATGACTGGGCTGGGGGAATGTAGAGAATGGGATCAAGCATCAAAGTGCTCTTGGGAGACTAAGGGGCTGTCCTCTGATACCACCCCCAACCCTTGTCCCTGTGAAGCTGAATGGGAACAAAGAAAAGATCCTCAAATCAGTCAGGAGATCTGGGCAAGGCAGAAAATAACTTCTAAGATCTTTGGTTCTAACATTCTACGTTACAATTACATTCTACTCTACATTTACAATTTGCATGATATAGAACTGCTGAGTCTACTACATTGAAAGTAGTGCCTGGTAACCCCCACTGCTGGAAAATTAGGACCAAAAAACAGAGCAGAGGGAGCCAAGTAAAAGACCACATCGATCATTCAGCTTACACAGAGACAAGAATATGTAAGGAAATTTGCTTCAGGGGTAGCCTCTATATCTCTTATTCTACTCATTTACTCTTAGGACCACTAAAACTTAGGCCTGGGGCCCACCCATCCCAAGTAGATGCCTTCCTCACCTGGGCAAATGGGTTAATCATCAAACCCTGGCATTGGCTGAGCTAAAAGCAAACTGGCCTGCAGAATGCTTTTGGAGAATGGACAAATGCTGGCCTGGGAGAGGGCATTCAGCCCTGCATCTCTCTGGAACAGAATGCAAGGCAATAGCTTATGTCAAGAAAAAATTCACTGGCCCCTTCTGACTTCCTTTCTCTAAATGCCTATTGCATAATTCCCATTAAGACTCAAGTGTTTTGGGTTTGTTCACTGCAGATGACACAGGGGGACCTATGGAAGAGTTGGAAATGAAGCAGGGAAGAGTGAGACACACCTTGAACTTCTAGACTCCTCTCCATTTGTATTCAAACCATAAAAACCCTAGATCTATGCAGGTCCCAGGTCCCTGAAATTTAGAGGAAACCAGAAGAAAATTTGAAATACCCTTTCACCAGGGCAAGAAAAACATAAGGAATGGGATCCTGATTGCAAAGAACCATTCTAAATTCTAAAACCACTCTCTGAAAAAACCTCATCAAGAGATGGCTAGGCTCTTTGAAGTTCCCCACAGCTAAGAAGGAATAAAAAGGAAGAGAGACTTAGCTGTCTCAGTCATTCCTTAGAGGCCTTGGATAACCAGACTATTCTGGGCAATCAGTATAATTTAGTCTTCCAAACTGTGTTTTTCCCATCTCCTGTGGTCCAAAAACCTTGTAACAGAAAGCGATTGAACTCCTTCCTAATTCTAGGTCTCAAAAAAAAAAAAAAAAAAAAAAAGATAAGGTTAACCAGATACATCTTAAGAGCTGATTGCTCTTCATTCCCTAACTCGATTCTCACTCTTCCTTTTTGCCCTAACTCCACAGAGGGCTGCAGAACTCAAAGGCCAGGCAGACTATGATACGATCATGGGTTATACAGCAAGCAGACTGCTCAGCTACTAAAAAACAATTGCCACATTTGCGTTCTCCTTATATGTACACATGTATATGTGTTTGTTATCTATTTGAATGTACGCATGACATTTCACCCCTAAATACTTCAACATGTATCTCTTAAGTACAAGAATATTCTAAGTAATCAAATCAATTTAATATTGAATACCATGTTATCTAATGTATAAACCATATTCTAATTTTCCCAACTGTCCAAAAAATGCTCTTTATAGCTTTTATCTGCTAATCTAAGATCCAGCCAAGATCACTACTTAGTTTAGTTTAAAGGGAAGAGACATGGAGAAATCTTTAGCCTTGTGTAGGAGGGTACGCCCTGAACACTAACGCTTTTTCATTTGGAAAAGGTGCACGTCTAGAGATAAGTTACATCACTCAGGACAGGACAGAGGTTCTTCCCTAAGATCCCTTTCTTGTCTCAATAAACTGTGCTTTACAGGGACAGAAGATAGGAACAGGAAGAAAATACTCCATCAAAAACTCAGCACCTCCAGGCTAACTAGTCTTTTATGGCTGGCTGGACCTCTAAAACATGGTATCATGTAGTCACAGTGAGAATTCAGTGTCCCTGCTAAAACCTACCTTAATGACTGGAGAGATTAGGGAGCCAGCCAGCTCAGCACACCATACTCACCACGCCTCCCTTGTCCCCCTCCATGAACTGAATAATCTGGCAGGATGATTTCTCCCAGAGGAAGATGTGCCCACAGTCACTACCGCTCACCACAAACTCACTCTTGGGGCCATAGAAATTGACGCCTTTTACTGAAATGATAAATGAGGGAAGAAACCACATGAGGGTTGGCATCAGGCCTATATACATTCATCTCAAAGGGAATTTAGTTATTCACAAACTCTAAATCAGCTAGATTATGCATGTTTAACAGATAGTTATAGGAATCACACCAGTCCCAAGAGATGATTTATATTCTCCCAAAGAGCTCGCTCCTTAGGGCAGAGGAATCTGCAGTCCTTTAGCAGCAGCCTTAGTCTCTCAAGTTTATACCCTATCAAGTAACCACAGGCCTCTCTAATCTCTTACCTGTCCCACCCTGAATCATCCCAGCTCTGCCTACTCTTAGGCAGCACTGTCTTATGGCCTAGGATTATCTTTGATATGTGGACTTCATTGGTACCTTGTCAATATTTCTGGGTCATCAGCTGATCTGAGACTGATGAAGGTATATGCCACAACTGCCTCGAGAAGCAAGTGATCTGTGCTTGCTACCATTAACAGGGCTCCACTCTCCGGAATCAGTAAAAGAAGCCAAGAGTTCCAATGACTATGGTCAGTACAATATTGGCCATGAGACTGGCACCCTTCCTTTATCTGCCTGTGTACTGAGATCCAAGAACAGATTTTTCCCTCCCTTCTTACCAGCTCAGGAAAAAAAATAAAACTAACCTCTAACTGCTATCTCCAAGACAAAATCATGACAGGTATCTGCTAGGAGTGGTAACAATAGAGAAATGATTCCTCAACTTTCCTGGACATTAGAATCATGTGGGTAGTTTTTAAAAATCTCAGTGCTCAAGTTGCAGTCCATCCCTATTAAATCAGAATATATGGGGTTAAGGCCAAACTGTTATTTTTAAAAGAACACCAGGATTGGGATTGGTGGCTCATGCCCAGCACTTTGGGAAGTCGAGGCAGGCGGATCACTTGAGCCCAGGAGTTAGAGACCAGCTTGGGCAACATGGTGAAACCCCATCTCCACAAAAAATACAAAAATTAGCCAGGTGTAGAGGCATGCACCTGTAGTCCCAGCTACTCACGAGGCTGAAGTGGGAAGATCACCTGAGCCCGGGAGGTTGAGGCTGCAGTGCCTGGGAGGTCAAGGCTGCAGTGAGCCATAATTGCACCATTGCACTCCAGCCTGGACAACAGAGTGAGATCCTGTCTCATAAACACAAAACAAAACACATCAGATGATTTCAATGTGCCCCAAAGTTTGGGAACCACAGACATGGAACAAAACAGGCCAATCTTGGGCTAGTTACTACCACCATTCCTCCTCTTCTGCCTCATCTAAAAGAATTGTTTACTCCTCCTTCCTAGAGGTATAAGGTCACTCCCTATTTTAAGCAATTCAGGACCACTGACTAAAGAGGGCTTTCCCTGACTCCCTAACAAGGCATTTGTGCTTCTTTTGAAGTTGCCTGAAATCTTAAAAACAGTTAGTCTAGCCTCCTTATGTCCAAACCAATTAGAAGCAACATTATTGGAGTGGCAAGAGATGCTCTTGAGCGCTTTCTCCTCTAGCATAGCGGAGAAAACATGAAAACTCCAGCCCAATTCAGGATAATCCCTCAGTGCCCATGGCAACACAGGCAGGTAGTTTCTATTTGTATAACCTGAGTAAGACACTGTGGTTCTCCAAAGCCAACAGGCTTGGGCCAAAGAAACCTAGGAAGACAGTCTCACCTGTGGCATTATTTCTGTGGCCCTTGTATCTCTTAACATACTGGGCCCCATCACTGTGAGAGGAGTTGAAGAGGTAAATGTCTTCATCATTGTAACTGGCCAGGAGCTCTGCCAAGAACAAGAACATAGCAGTGAAGGCAAAGGCTGAAAAAAGCAGGGACCAGGAGGTGGGGGTTGGGGTGGGGCTTCTTGCCAGTAGTGCCCCCTCCAAATACCCAGGTGTAGCACCCATCTTATTTGGAACACCAGGCAAGTCCGACTGTACAGGGTAGACTAAGAACACACTGCCAACCCAGGGGCAGCAGAATGCTCAAAAAGGTCATACCCATTAACTCAGGAATGAGTCAAAGGCATAAGAACCTGCTCAGGCAAGCAACCTGGGCTTCAGGACAGGCCCTGCCAAATATCATCTGCAGCATTCTGCAAATGGTACCTGGCATCTCCAAGGGTCATCTACTGTATCCTCCCGCTATGTGCTCACCATCAGCAGTTACTCCCCAGCTGCTCTACTTGGAGCTATAGCACAGTGGTGAGCACTGGAGGGCACATGCCTCACTGGCTCAGCAGCTCCCTAGACAGAGGGGGCATGCCAGCCTAGGAGCTGGGCCCTGCTCACGTACCTGTGCCGTCGTGGCTGTACACAAGACAGGTGATGTTTGCTTTGGACTCACTGTTCACCTGCAATAAGGAGCAGATACTGACTGATGCCCCACCCCCCCATTTGTTATACCATCTTCAGGAAACAGCTTTTCCTTCAAACTCCCCTATATCTTCTCCCAGAGATTTGAGAAAGACAGACAGAGACAAGAGTACAACTGATGAAACATGACCACCTCAGGGGGTAGCATCTTGGGGCTTTCTTTTGGTTGTCATCCATGTGCTAGCCATTTTATGTACACTGTCTCATTAGGCCTCACCATCAAGGTGCAAGGCAGTTATTTTTATTTCTATTTTGTCGATTAAAAAACTGAGGCTATCAGAAGTGAAGTGACTGCCAAGATCACAAAGCTGGTAAGTGGTAAAGCCAGGATTCAAATCCAGATGACTGACTTGAAAGTCCAAGCTCTTCCCACCATACCAACAAGTTCAGGTGCAGCCTTGGGGTTGAGTCAGGGAAGCCTGCAGCAACTGGCCCTTCATGAATCTTACCAGGTGATGAGGACAGAACTTCTTGAGTACTCCATTGTTCTCATTCTCATCAATTTTCCTCTGGTCATAAATCCTACAGTTGGAAAAGCAATGAAAATGTAAAAATGTACAAACGAAACCCTTGAAGAGCTGCAATTTGATGTAGTGGCAGGAAACTGCCAGCTGGATGCAGATAAACAACATTTTCCAAACCAAGCTTTTGGTTTGTGCTCTTCCTTAAAGGGCATCCCTTTTCCAATCCATTTCCAAACCCTAAATCTTTTGTTTGTTTGAGATGGGGTCCTGCTCTGTCACCCAGGCTGTAGTGCAGTGGCATGACCCCGGCTCACTGCAACCTCCGCCTCATGGGTTCAAGCAATTCTCTTGCCTCAGCCTCCTAAATAGCTGGGACTATGGGCACACACCACCACGCCCGGCCAATTTTTGTATTTTTAGTAGAGACAGAGTTTCATCTGTTGGCCAGGCAAACCCTTAAATCCTTTATCCACATACTTCCCATTTTAAGTGGCAATCCTCAATTCTGTCAGTTTGAAGTGGTTTATCTCTCTCCTCAAGTTTTATATCACATACTGCTACTTTTCACTGAAACAACTAACATTAGTATGGAGCTTTTTACATGTACATTACCTACCGAAAAAGGTTACTCACGGGCAGAAACCATGCTTAATGTAAGTCAATGGGTCTGTAATCCCTCCTTAAAACTGTATTTGGCCTGTTCTCCCTCTCATACCCCACAATAATTATTAAAAACTACCACCCATATCCTCAAGACTCCCTCTCCTTTCCTCATTCTTATCAAGCACACTACACCTTCACCTTCCTTCCTCTCTCTAATCCAAGCTTTAAACTCATGAGGACACACATATTATGTGTCAAATATTATGCTAGGTGCTAGAAATACAGTGAGGAACAAGACAGATCCAGTATCTGTTCTCACCCAGTCTCCTCCAATCTCAGAGCCAATCTCTTGAAAAATGCTTTTCATTTCATCCTTCCAGGGACCTTGTTTGATGATTATCTAATTTCTCAACCTCTTCCTCATCACCAGCTGGCCACTTTCTAAAAATCCTTCTGCTGACTGTCCTTTCCTACTATTGCTTTTTTTCTCCTTCCCCTTACAGTTACACTACTGAAAAGAACAATCAACATTCAATATTTCCACTTTCTTACTTCCTATTCACTTCTCAGTCCATCCTAATCTGGTTTTGGTTCTCAACTCACCACTGAGACTTCTCTGGCTGAAGTCATCAGTTAATTATATCCATTTGTTAAGTAGGTGTAAGTCTAGAGTTCAGAATAAGTGTGGTCTGCAGACACAGATGTAAGTCATATATCCGTGTGAAAGGTGGTAGTTAAAGCATTGGTAATGGAATTAGATCTCCAAGGGAAAATACAGAGAAGATTTTCCCTTCGCCCTTTAGAATCTCTGGCCTGTTTCAGAATATAATGAAAACTCTAGTCCCTTCTCCCCAGAAAAATGCACATAAGCATACTTTCTGGAGGTTCACATAATATTTGTACTTCAAGTTAAAATTCCCTGGTATAGAGTAAGATGAGAGCTGAAGACTGAGCTACTGGAGAACATCAGCATTTAATGGGTGGAGAAAGGAAGACACACCCATGAACAACACTGAGGAGTGGTTGGACATCAAGGAGAGAAGGTGCTTCAGGGAAGGAGTAATAATGTCAAGAGTAGAGAAAAAGACTTGAAAAGTACTTTGTTTGCTTTGGCAGTTAGGTTACTGATGACTTAAGCCTTGACATCCCCAGCTCACACGATCCTCCCGCCTCAACCTGCCGCGTAGCTGGGACTACAGGCACACACCACCATGCTGAGCTAATATTTTTATTTTTTGGTGGAGACAGCATCTGCCCAGCTTGGTCTCAAACTCCTGGCCTCAAAAGATTCTCCTGCCTCAGCCTCCCAAAGTGCTGGGATTACAGGTATAAGCCACTACACCCCAACTAAGTGTTTATTAATAGCTTACTATATTCTACATATGATGCTAGAACGGAGTTTGGCAAACTTTTTCTTAAAGGACAAGACAGTAAATGTTTTAAGCTGGTAAACTGGCAAACCATCTAATCTCTATTAAAACTATTGAATTCTGCCATTGTAGCATGAAAGTGGTCATAAACAACATGTAAAGTAAGGCCATGGCTGTGTTCCAATAAAACTTTATTTATAAAAACAAGCACTACAGTTTGTCAAGCCCTGTGATAGACAGTAAGCATAGAAAGATTAATACAAACTTTCCTACCACTTTCTGAACATATGATAGGCCCTTGATAGTTTATATTTTACTTTTAGTTATTTTTTTTGAGACAGGGTCTCACTCTGTCATCCAGGATGGAGTGCAGTGGTGTAATCACAGCTCACTGTAGCCTCAAACTCCTGGGCTCAAGAGATCCTCCTCTGCCTCCCAAGTAGTTGGGACTACAGGAGCATACCACCACACCTGGAGATATTTAATTAATTAAAAAATTAAAATTTTTTCTTAATTTTTTTTTTTTTTGGTAGAGACACAGTCTTGCTATATTGCCCAAGTTGGCCTTGAACTTCTGACCTCAAGCTATCCTCCAGCTTTGGCCTTCCAAAGTGCTCTAGTTTTATAGTCATGAGCCACCACACCAAGCCCCTTGACATTTTAAGTCACGTAAGGAATAGTGTGCACACCTTTACCACATCTCTTCCCACATGCCTTCAGGCACCCACTAACTTGTTACCCTAAGTCTCTCTTCTATACCTGCCTTTAATCTAATGTTCTCTCAGTGTTGCTGATGTTGGCTTAAGAACTGGGGAATGAAGAGATGATTTACTGACTGTGCTTCATCAATCAGGGCCTATACTTAATCCTTTAGCAATAAATTTTCATGTCAGCCAAATTTACCACTAAAGGATTCACCTGATATATTCTCTTTTTCTTTACCCCTATAAATTCTTAAAACTAAGCTAAGCAGGAATTAGCTTAGCTTAGCAGGTGTAGTAGGGACTCACACCTATACCTCCTCTACTTACCTTTTTTTTTTTTTTGGCCACAGGCCAAAAAGCATGTCTCCCCAGAGCTTCCCTTAAATACTTTTTAATAACCCTAAACTAAAATTCAGTATTAATGATGCAAAAGCCTTGAGGATCAGTAAGCTATTTCTCTATATTCCCTTGAAGTAATTCCTTTAGGCTAGGAGTGAAAGTTAATGATGTTATGATATATAATATTCAGCAAAAATGTTTTCAAATTTATACCAGAAGATGAGCTGTTTGGGTTCTTTCAAAGGAAGAATAAGAAAGGAGAAACCTCAAAACATTCAGTTGGCTGCACAGGAGAGGTGCCAGAGAAGTTGAGTGTAACCTAATGTCAGAGAAGAGCTGGAGTGCTGAAAGGGCTACCTGCTTGTGTAGGATCAGCGTGCCTCAAAATCTTCACATAGCCAGGCGCGGTGGCTCACGACTGTAATCCCAGCACTTTGAGAGGCCGAGGTGGGTGGATCACTTGAAGACAGTTCGAGACCAGCCTGGCCAACATGGCAAAACCGTATCTCTACTAAAAATACAAAAATAGCCAGGCAAAGTGGCACATGCCTGTAATCCCAGCTACTTGGGAGGCTGAGGCATGAGAATCACTTGAACCCAGGAGGCAGAGGTTGCAGTGAGCCGAGATCGAGCCACTACACTCCAGCCTGGGCAACAAAGTGAGACTCTGTCTCAAAAAAAAAACAAAAATCTTCACATAACTTCTGCCCAGTAAATAGCCAATAGAGGAATATTGAGGCTGATAAGACACAGAAGATTTGAGTATTTCTCCTTGTGTTGAAATGCTAAAACTCTAAGCCTTACTCTAACCCTGGGAAAGTATCAGCTTTGGGTTAAGGCAATATGATATACATATCATATGAATACATATGAATACATACATACATATGAATACAGTTCTCAATACAGCAAACTACTACATTCCCCTCCAAACATCTTGGTCCTAGTGGTGGAATTTGTTAGAGACACAGACTTTTCAAGTAATCTGGAGCTCTAAGTAGGAACTCTCAACTCAAAATTTCAGTGAATGCTCAACTTGGAGGAGGTAGCAACTGAAAATCTATACAAACTACAACCCTTTTTGATCAACAGCTTCTTATTTAAAAATAAAAAAAATTGGCCAGGCACAGTGGCTCATGCCTGCAATCCCAGCACTTTGGGAGGCCAAGGCGGGCAGATCACCTGAGGTCAGGAGTTCGAGACTAGCCTGGCTAACACGGTGAGACCTCGGTTCTACTGAAAATACAAAAAATTAGCCAGGCGTGGTGGCGTGCACCTGTAATCCCAGCTACTCGGGAGGCTGAGGCAGGAGAATCGCTTGAACCCGGGAAGCGGAGGTTGCAGTGAGCCAAGATTGTGTCACTGCACTCCAGCATGGGTAATAAGAGTAAAACTCTGTCTAAAAAAAAAAATCTATGGCTACACATTTAAGGACTGTTGGTGACTAGAGGAAACGAATTTTGAAGGCATGGGAATAGGGGAAGAAGAGAGAAACAAGGTTTTGTCCAGGATTCTTGAACAAGGCAAAGTCATCTCATGTATTTTCTAAAAATTTACCCTATTCCCCATGATTCTTATTAATAAAATGAATCTGGAAATATAGCTATAAAATGTGCTCTCATTTCAAAAGGAAGATGATGCTTTTCACTTACCATTAGGAAAGCAAAAAGTCACTCATTTTTCTAGTGATCTTGCCCCTCTCTCTCCTTTCAAACTGATGAGCCCAAAGAAACATAGTTAAAATAGGCCAACTGGATAGGGATGGATACAGCTTATTACTAAGGGTCAGAGGAAATTAACTAATACATATGGAGACTGAATCCACAGTGTCTGTTTTCCTTAGGTCATGTCTCAAGAGCCAGTGTTAACAAAAGGTGTTCACGGTAACAAAGATATCACTATGGATAAAAAAAAGTGGTAGCTCAGGACAGTGAGAGCCAAAAAACCCTCAGTTCACACTAAGTGCTCCCAAGTCAAACTATTTCTGAATTGAAAACCAGTATTTAAAATTTCTAGTGCACGTTTATTTACATACGAAAAAGGTAGATTATTTACTAATATAGTACTTGCTGGTAAACCTAAATTTATGGCTTAGCTGCCACGTGAGGACCTTGGTCAATTCATCTAACTTCTTTTCTTTTCTTTTTTGAGACAGAGTCTCGCTCTGTCATTCAGGCTGGAGTGCAGTGGCACAATCTTGGCTCATTGCAACCTCTGACTCCTGAGCTCAAGTGATCCTCCTGCCTCAGCCTCTTGAGCAGCTGGGACTACACGCATGTACCACCATGCCTGGCTAATTTTTGTATTTTTTTTTTTAGAGACAGAGTTTTGCCATGTTGGCCAGGCTGGTCCCAAACTCCTGTCCTTAGGTGATCCACCCGCCTCACCTCCCAAAGTGTCGAGATTACAGGTGTGAGCCACTACACCTGACCATCATCTAACTTCTTTAAAACTTGATAATCTCTAAAATATGTAAAGTCACCCCTCAGAGACTGTTACATTAGAGAACAGAACATCTCCAAAGGCGTGTAAGATTTTTGGAAAACGGTAAAAAATTCAAGATAATAGTTAATGGATTCCTATAAAATTCGTAACTCTCCATAAAGGAGCACCTGGTAGTATACAATGCATCAGTCTTACAAACTGTCAAAGACACAAAAGAGCCACAAACTCACCTTACAAACTGATCTCGTCCACCCACTGCAAACTGGTGGGTATTGGCAGGATTCACATAGATCGTATACAGCCCCACTTTCTTCTCTTTCTCTTTTGTCACCACCAGTTTCCTTTAAGAGTAGAAAAGCACAGAAAGTTATATACTCCAAAAGATCCAAATGGTCATGGCAAAGGAGAGCCAAGAGAGTCACATGGCTAATAAGAAACCAAAGAGATTCTCATTTGGAAAGAAAGAATTGTTGTGTTTTCTCTGTTTGTTTTGTACGTAACAACAGGAAAAAAGCACATACATTTATTATATGGGACTTTGGGGATTGGGGAAAAAAATATGTAGTGAAGTCACTTTCTAGTGTTCCTTAAGAAGTATAAACTAAAGGTATATGAATGTACCATTCTTTAGGAAGCCTCAGTTTAGCTGCAGTCCAACACAGTAACAGCCAGTTATTAATCAGACAATACTACAGATACCTTCCTACCCTTTATTTATAAATATATCTTCCCTATCACCTGGGAACAAGGAGAGACGTGGAAGAAGAATCCCAGAAACAGTAGGCTAAAAAAGACCTTAAGGTCAGAGACTATTGCTCAGATTCCATTAAAATGTAACTTATGGCCAGGTATGGTGGCTCATGCCTGTAATCCCTACACTTTGGGAGACTGAGGCGGGTGGGTCACTTGAGGCCAGGAATTTGAGACCAGCCTGGCCAACATGGCGAGACCCCATCTCTACTGAAAATACAAAAATTAGCCAGGCGTGGTGGCGCATGCCTATCATCCCAGCTACTCAGGACAATCCCAGCTACTAAGGAGGCTGAGGGAAGAGAATCACTTGAGCCTGGTAGGTAGAGGCTGCAGTGAGCAGAGATCATGCCACGGTACTCCAGCCTGCGCAACAGAGCAAGACTGTCTCAAAAAAAAAAAAGTCACTTAAAACCCAACTTAAGCCAGGCACTGGCTCATGCCTATAATCCCAGCACTTTGGGAGGAACACTTGAGGCTAGGAGCTCAAGATCACCCTGGGCAACATAGCAAGACCCCATCTCTATAAAAAATTATTATAAAAAGCCGGGTGCGGTGGCTCACGCCTGTAATCCCAGCACTTTGGGAAGCCGAGGTGGGTGGATCATGAGGTCAGGAGTTCAAGATCAGCCTGGACAACACGGTGAAACCCCGTCTCTACCAAAAATAAAAAAATTAGCCGGGCGTGCTGGTATGCACCTGTAATCCCAGCTACTTGGGAGGCTGAGGCAGAAGAACTGCTTGAATCCAGAAGGCAGAGGTTCCAGTGGACCAAGATCGTGCCACTGCACTCCAGCCTGGGTGGCAGAGGGAGACTCTGTCTCAAAAAAAAAAAAAAAATTGTTATAAAAAATTAGCCAGTGTGGTGGCATGCACCTATAGTCCCAGCTGCTCAGGAGGCTGAGGTGTGAGGATTCCTTGAGTCCAGAAAGTTGAGGCTGCAGTGAGCCGTGGTCTTGCCACTGTACTTCTGCTTAGGTGACAGAGTGAGACCCTGTCTCAAAAAGTAAAAAAATAAAAAACCCAGCTTAAAATATGCACACTGAAAACTGATAAATTTTTCACTGAAGAAATCCAGAATAATCTGTCTAAAACAGCCATAATTTGTTCCAGGTTAAGGGTGGCATGAGGAATATTCTTCTCAGATCTAAGCATTCAATTAGTCAAATATGACATAATGAAGATTGGTAAATTTACAGCAAAGGAAAGACTTCAAGAAACTATAGGAAGAGGCTTGGCTTTAGTTTTTGTTTTTAAGTCTAAGGTTTTATTTATTTCTGATGCTATGGAAACAGAAAGAAATATAACCATGACAACAAGTTTCTTTGTAAAGAAATGATTTTAGCATCCTTTCTGCATAGCCAAAGTCACTTCAGCCTAGAACTGTTCTAGGCAAAGTGTTGAGATTTTACTTAGTATCTCTGCAGCTTTTCATTAAATGAATACAGAGGACCAGGTGTAGTGGCTCATGCCTATAATCCCAGCACTTTGGGAGACTGAGGTGGGAGGATCGTTTGAATCCAGGAGTTCAAGACCAGCCTAGGCAACATAGTGAGCTCCCATCTCTATTTATTTTAAAATTAAAAACAAACAAAAAAAATACAGAGGGCACTGAAAATGAATGTCATTAGGGGAAACCTCCATCCCCTAATGGTGTCCCCCACACATCTCAAAAACACAAGGCAGGAAACATGTCAAAAGAATAACAGCTTCAGGGACAAAACTAGCTAAGAGACTGCTCTAATATGAGTTTTAGACAGGGAAAGAGAGGAGGAGCTGATGCTGCTCCTTCCCACAGGACCATCTCATTTCCTTAGCAATTTGAAATTTCAGAAGGACAAGGTCAAACAAATACAAAAGTTACCATGTGGAAGCAAAATGAAGAAACTAAGGAATAGATTATGAAGTACTGGCTCCACAGTTATGTAATCCTGCTGAAGAGCTCAATCTTACTATGCCTCAACTTAATCCCATAAAACAAACATTTCTCCCTCCTGATGGGTAAATGCAGAGTACCTTGAACTCTGCAGGGGGCATGCAGAGGTGCTATAAAAATGATTATCATGGCAATAGGAGGAAAAAATGTTCACATTAGAGGAAACATTAAACAAATTCACCAAATTTTGCCTTAAAATTAATGAGCAAGTATGTCCCAGCAAAAAGGGAAAAATAATTACAGATGAGACCAAAGGATTTCTTTGAAGAATACCTCAAACTGGCTTCCACTGGCTAAAGGAATATTCCATCCACAGGTTCAAATCAAACTTTTTTCCTAAGATGTTAGTCAATTTCATTAGCTTTCAGAGACTTGGCTATCATCATATATACAAAAGAAAATCCCCCTTATGCCAACTTCACACAAAAATGCCTCTGACAAGATCATGCCACTGTACTCCAGCCTGAGCAAAAGAGTGAGACTGCACCTCAAAAAAAAAAAAAAATGCCTCTGACATAAGCAGATGTTCAGCTTTTCACCCCATGCCAGCCTGTAACACTACTTTAACCCTTACAACAAAAACTTTAAAGACTCACTGTCTTTATTACTCAAATCTAGATTTGGGCCTCCTTCTACTCTTCATTTTCTCCTTTACCCCTCTTTAGAGTCTATCCCACCTATCATTGCTTATGTTCAGATTCATGGTTAACTCTCAGCCAGACTTTCTGCCTATATAATTTCATTCTAAATTCAATAATCTGCCAAAGTCATTCGCTCTATTCATTACTTGCACCAGATTCAATTCCTGGTGGCCTAACAGTAGTTTCCCTCTGAACCTGATCCACAGGATAAGATCTCACTCTGTTTCACAACTCTTTAACACAGCATATTAAATAAACTTACTATCATTTTTTCCTTTTTTGCTCTTCCCTATGAAAAACTTGCTAATCTTCCATTACCATTACAGAACCCTGGAACTTTAGAACTGGAAATAACAAACATCATGTAGTTCAAAAGATTAAATGATTTCCTCAAAGTCAGATAACTACAAAGCTAGTACTAGAAGGCAGAACCCTTGTCATTTAGGCTTGTTCCATTTCCACTATAAATCTCCCAGTCTTTGTCCTCTTGAAGGTTATATAAACAAGCAACATATCTTTTCCCCAAGCCTAAAACATTTCTATCTTTTAAGCAGTTGTAGAAATTCTTCTACTATCCAAACAGCTTTTTCTGGACTTAGCTCTCCAAAAATAAGTCTAGTAATAATCAGCCTTCATGTTATATTCCCCAATATAAATTAATTTATATTTTACTTATGTCCTATGTAAATCATTGCCATCCCTTACTCAATACTGGTACTGACCTATAAGATCTGTTATAATAATTTTGGTTTTTTTTTTTGAGACAGTCTTGCTGTGTCACCCAGGCTGGAGTACAGTGGCATGATCTCAGCTCACTGCAACCTCCACCTCCTGGGCTCAAGCGATTCTCCTGTCTCAGCCTCCTGAGTAGCTGGGATTATAGGCATGTGCCACCACACACGGCTAATTTTTGTATTTTCAGTAGAGACGAGGTTTCACCATGTTAGCCAGGCTGGTCTCGAACTCCTGACCTCAAGTGATCCACAAAGTGCTGGGGTTACAGGCATGAGCCACTGCACCTGACCAAGATTTGTTATAATAATCTTTAAGACAAACAAGACAATAAACGATCTAGATATCTATCAATAAGGTAAAGGTTAAATAAACTGTGGTACACCAATGCTATGACATTTCTCTCATGGTTAACAACAAGGTAGCTTTTATGGTCCAACACAGAAAAATCTCCCACATTGTAACATGAAATAAGCAAACTGCAGAAACATACATATATGTTTATATATACATACAAGTATACTTATGGGGAGAAAGGAGAAAGTGTATATATGTATTTAGGTACAAAATGTATACAAAAGGGACTAAAAAGGTGTTCAAAATTACTTACAATGATTTTTTTTTTTTTTCTGAGATGGAGTTTTGCTCCGTCACTCAGGATGGAGTGCAGTGGCATGATCTCAGCTCACTGCAACCTCCACCTCCCAGGTTCAAGCGATTCTCCTGCCTCAGCCTCCTGAGTAGCTAGGGTTACAGGCACATGCCAACATGTCCAGCTAATTTTTGTATTTTTAGTAGAGGTGAGGTTTTGCCATGTTGGCTAGGCTGGTCTCAAACTCCTGACCTCAAGTGATCCACCTGCCTTGGCCTCCCAAAGTGCTGGGATTACAGGCGTGAGCCACCGTGCCCTGCCCACAATGGTTTTCAACAGCTAAAAAAATGGTGGGGCGGGGGTGACTGAGGGAGCATTTACATTTTGTCTGTATACTTTATTACTTGAATCTCTTAAACAAGAAGTATTTGTTTATTGTAAGAGCAATAAAAATGAAAAAAGAAACTAAAATAATTATAATTATAAGCTAAAACTTAATCAATTTCAGCCATGGTGTTAAACATTATGCTGAGGCATCACACACAAACACACACACACATACATACACGTACGTATATATATACATACATATATACGTGTGTGTATATAAATACATATGTGTGTATATGTGTGTACATATGTGTGTATATAAACATATATGTGTGTGTATATATGTGTACATGTGTATATGTGTGTGTATATATGTGTGTGTGTATGTGTGTGTGTGTGTATATATATATATATCCTCACAGAAACTACTAGAGAGGGAAGGACGGAGGGAGGGAAAAAAATATGCCCATAGCAAGGCTGAAGAAAATGAGGTTCAGAAGGTTATGTAAGTCATAACTAGTAGTGCCTGATTTGAGATTTGACCTAGGTCTGCCTGGATCCAAACAAGATGTTGTGTTTTTTCTATGATACCACACAGTTAAAAAGGAATAAAATTTACCTATGAGTCTCAGATTCACATACAAATGAACTGTGATAAAACAGAACTCAACTACAGCTACCAGTATTTTTGTTCAAATTTTATGTTTGTATGTTTCTATAAATAACTAAATTAAAAATGTATTTAAATTTAAAATTTACAGGACTGTACCTCTACATGAGTCTGTGGAAGAATGTGCTTTCTGTGGGTAAGATGAATGATATCCAAGTGAATAAAGAGCAAAAGATCATCAAATTATTAAAGGCCACATATAACAAGTAAACTGTTTGAGAAATGAAGGTAGACTGAATAGTATTTCACTACTGAGAAAGAGAGGAAGTAAGGAATTCCCCTTAACCTTAAACTACCTCTTAACCATAGGCACAAAGGTACTATTCGGATGAACCAGAGTTAGGCATTACCAAGACATATGGAATATGTTCAAGGCTAAGAGATACAGTTCTGTAATGATATTACTGCTACACTTACGACGCTGGGCGGTCTTGTCTCAGGTCAATGGTGAAAACAACTGCATCTTCACCTGCAGATAAGAACGTACAGGGAGAGTCTGGTTCCAGTGCCAACTGAAGAAGAAAAAGGAAAAACATGAGGTTTCTAAATATTAGAATTAGAGGTCATCTAGTTCATTCCTATAACTTTGGGAAGGGCTGCACTTAAAATGTTCCAAAAAGAGAAATGTCTACCTTTTTGTCATAAAATCCCAGGAAAGGACATAATCTAAGCCCACTTACTCTTGTTCTATGCGAATTATTTATAGTTTTGTTTATTCTATAACTAGTCAAAGGACAGTTGATTTGCTATTTCAACTAAGTCCTCAAGAGATATGAACAGATAGCAAAGAAAAACATCAGCCATTAGAGTTCATTTTCTTTTTTTTCCAGTCAGGGTCTCACTTTACCACCCAGGCTGAAGTGCAGTGGCATGATCATGGCTCACTAAAGCCTCAACCTTGTGGGCTTAAGTGATCCTCCCACCTCAGCTGCCCAAGTAGCTGGGACTAGAGGCACAAGGCACTATACCTGGCTAATTTTTTCGCTTTTTTTTTGTTTGTTTTCCACAGATGGGGTCTTGCTATATTGCCCAGGCTGGTCTTTAACTGCTGGCCTCAAGCAGTCCTCCCACCTCAGCCTCCCAAAGTATTGGGATTACAGGCATAAGCCACCACACCCAGCAACAGTTCATTCTCGAATAAAATCAATTCCATACCCTTAAGTGCAGAGAGAAATGGTGTCCAACTTCATTCCTTACATCTTAGTTCCTTACAACTGAAAATCAGTTAACTAGTGGGTTAGGAGTAGACTTAAGAATCAAAGAAATAGGTAATTTTCACATATCCTGGGCCGCCTTGGCTAGAAAAGGATACTCCAGGTCCACCTATATTTTTGCTTAGGGTTTCTAAGAGAGTACCAACCTCTTTTCATGGCACAAAAGACCAACACCATGCCTACCTTAAAACTGGCAGCTCTTAACTCCTTGTTAGCTGCCACCATGGATTATTTGGCCTATATTCCCAGCTTTAAATAGGGCTTCCAGAAACAGTGCTATTTGTGAACTGAGAGTTTGAGCAGGTAAGCTGAAGCTCTCACACAAGAGGAATAAACCACTAGCACCTTGAAACTGTCAAAATACCCTAAAAAATCACAATAAATGTAAAAGGTTTAGAGGGCACAGGAGACCTCAAAGATCTCCAAACCAACTAGGGCTTAGCTTAGGGGCCAAATACTATGAATGCATGATCTAGGGACTTTTCAGATACTTGCCTTCCTAGGAGTTTAGGGTGGCTGCTTTTGCTCCTTTCTTAACCACAAATCTTAGGACTGAAAGAGGTGAGGCACATGACCACAACAAATGTGACACAATGGGCAGAGATAAGGGAGAACCTTGGCTGAGAACCACAGAGGATTTGGATTGCACAAATTTTGGAGCAAGGTCTTACTTACCTTGTGGGACGCTCCCTTGTGCTGGGCCACACGTTTTGTATTCTTGCAACACTGTGTGGCAGACAGTTCTGCTACTCGAACCTGCCCGTCACGGGCACACATGGCCAGAGTAGAATCACCACTGTTAGGAAGAAACTTGGCCTGGGGTGTTAAAAATGAAAAAAAGGACACACAAAAGAAATGAGAGAGGTAAACTTGAGAATAAAAAATACGATGATGACCTCAACTTACCCCCTTTTCTTACATGACAGCTGGAAACTTAGCTTTCCTACTCTTGTACAGCTGGCTAAGCCCAATTTCTTCCAGGAGTTAAAGGAAAGGGAGAGAAAAAACTTCCTTTGATGTAAGAGAGCATTTCAGTTGGCTCTGGAAGATTGAACTGGCACATGATAAGAGCTCAGATGAACTAGGACTGTATCTAGCAGAGGAGAAAAGGAATAGAGGAGGAAAAATCTACTTTGATTAAGAAAGTAAATATAAATTTGCTACAAAGAAAAAGGAAAATAGGGGGAATGTCAGGGAAGAAAAGAGAACACCCTTAGGATAAATGGCTGGTACCAGTACAGTAGATGGGGCCAAGGAGTAAAATCTTTCCAGAATAACAACAGTATAAGCTAACATTTATCAAATGTTTATTAAGTACCAGTCACAGTTCTAACTGCTTAGCTTCTATTGTTACTTAATCCTCATAACCCTATGTGTTATTAGTCCCATTTTACAGATAAACTGAAGACAAAGGTAAAATAACTTGGCCAAGATCACTGAGCTAGTAAGCAGAAGGGCTAGGATTTGAACTCAGGCAGTTTGGTTCAAGAGCCTGTGCTTATACTACACTGCCTCCTACCAGCACACATTTAATAAGCTGCATGCACCCTACCTATGAGGCTTCCAACAGTCCACATGCTCAAGGAATCTAGGGTTGCCAAGAGTCTTTCAGTGTATTTAGGTCATTAGGGGAGCCAAAGTAGGGCCATGTCCCGATATGTAATTCCTACAATAACTCACTATCAGCTCCCAATCCATGCTGCAGTTCAGATTTCTCTAACTCATGCCTGATTCTCTCAGTTGCTATTATGCTCCCTTGCCTCACCTGGAACACATTACTTTTGTGGCCACTCTCAAAGTCCAGTACTGGCTGCCGCCGTACCCAATCCCACACCACCACCTTCAGGTCATCGCTGCCACTGGCCAGCCAGGTGCCGCGCTGGTTAAAGTGCAGGGTATTGACACAACCAGTATGGCCCTCAAGCCCATGCTGCAGGCGGAAACGCTGCACAAAGACTCTTGCCCCACAGGCCTCATAGACAAAGCGGGCACTTGAACCCAGCTCCCGCTCCCGAAGGGCAGGGAGGGCTTGCCAGCGAGGTCGGGGTAGAGCTGATGTTTCTGAGGACACCCAGTCCTCTAGGGCCCGCTCATCATCTGATGAGTCCTGGTCACGGTTAGCCCGCTTGCGCTGTACACGGCGCCGAGGCTGCTCTTCTTCCTCCTCTTCTTCCTCCTCTTCCTCTTCCTCTGAGCGGTCATGGACTCGATTTTCATCATTAATGGAGTAATGACCAGTGTCCTCCATGCTGTCAGAGTCCTTATCTTCACCTGAGCTCTCTGTGTCTGTGCCTCGACTTTCTGTGCTGGTGCGGTTGGGGCCACCATCATCCCCAGTCAAGCTCAAACTCAGGTCTGAGGCCTCCACTTCAATGCCTGAGGATGTCTCCCTCCCCTCTTCAGCTCCAGACATCTCCTCTGGACTGCTAGACAGGCTTCCTGCATGTTAGTGAGGAAGGAGTAGAGGAGAGGGAAAAATAAGAAAACAGGATAGTGACCACCTTAGTCTAAGAAATCTTCACATCAAAAGACCAAAAAATGAACTTTGGTCCAAGTGTTTTCATTACAAATAATTACAGAGAGTACCCTCTGAGGGGAAATCTTGTAAAGGACAAGAAATTGAAAAGATTAAGATCAAATCCACACACATAAAATACTTCAACAAAAGCAAAGAATCTCAGGACAATCTAAGATTATATTAAGTTCTCAAGAGGCAAAACATTGGCATATTGTATAAAAGTGTGCCTGATACATCTACCATTGGCTCTGTTGTATTGGATGGGCATTTATTAAGTTATAGCAAATAATTAAACAGAATATAAAAAGAAGAGCCAACTCCAGCAAGAGCTAGCATAGCCATCTTCTTAGCGAAAGACGGAAACCAGCTGATAAAAATCACTCTTGACTTATGGATGTGGTGTTGCACCATTTCCTACTTTAAGAAAGTATCAGGCCAGGCACGGTGGCTCACGCCTGTAATCCCAGCACTTTGGGAGGCCGAGGCACGTGGATCACGAGGTTAGGAGATCGAGACCATCCTGGCTAACATGGTGAAACCCCGTCTCTACTAAAAATACAAAAAATTAGCCGGGCGCCTGTAGTCCCAGCTACTCAGGAGGATGAGGCAGTAGAATGGCATGAACCCAGGAGGCAGAGCTTGCAGTGAGCCAAAGTCGCACCACTGCACTCTAGCCTGGGCGACAAAGCGAGACTCCATCTCAAAAAAAAGAAAGTACCACTACACCTTCTGTCACCTAAATCCTAAGCTTCTTCCCCACCTAAGTTTCTAAAATTCACTAAGAAAGCAAGCTGAAGGGGTAAGTGGGAATTGTGATCATTTGAGTGGGTTCTTGCTCACCTTTTGCTAGTAAATATATTTTGACTTACTTCCATTAGTTTGAATTTTTTAATATAATTCTTAGTCACACATTTTTAGTCTCTCTATTGAGACAGTTTTATTAGGAAGCATATATAAAATTGATAAAAAGCTGGGCTACTATAGTGGTGCCTAAGACGAAAGTTCAGTATATTCTAGGTCTGCTATGCTGATAGTTAAATAACTAGGTCACTTTTATCGATCTTATCTCCTATAACTACATACTGCATTCTCTTAACTCACAACAGTCAAGTCAATTCCAATGAGAACTTGAGGAATGTTCTAAAGCCAATACAACCACAACTTCCAACCTAAGTCAAGGTGTGAAGAAAAAAGGGGAGAATAAAGATTTTAAATGCTGCTCATGGGCCTCCTTTCCTCAGATGGCTATAAATTTTATCCGCCAGAAGTAAAAGCTGTCAGGAAAGGCAGACCATCCAGTATGAGCTATTCAACTCCAATACCACACTGATGTTTAAGGATTCAAAGGTGGAGCACCTTATTGCCTAGTCATGTGGATTAGAGCAGTAATTTGTGAAGAGCTCTGAAGCAATGTACTCTTAAGCAAAACCCAATACTGAAAAAAGATCAACAATACAAGTGCTTTGATTCAAGCAGTAACAGAAGCCCAGAAGACATAAACAGTTCTTGCAGGCTGGGCGCGGTGGCTAACACCTGTAATCCCAGCGCTTTGGGAGGCCAAGGCGGGTGGATCACCTAAGGTCAGGAGTTCAAGACCAGCCCGGCTAACATGGTGAAACCCCCATTTCTACTAGAAATACAAAAAATTAGCCGGGCGTGGTGGCATGTGCCTGTAATCCCAGCTACTTGGGAGGCTGAGGCAGAAGAATCGCTTGAACCTGGGAGGTGGAGGCTGCAGTGAGCCGAGATTGTGCCACCGTACTCCAGCTTGGTAACAAGAGCAAAACTCTGTCTCAAAAAAAAAAAAAAAAGCCTCAACTAAGAGCACAGTATAAAACAACTGGGCTAGGGGCTGGAAGAAAAAGTTATGAAGTACAGAAATTTGAACCCAAGGACCACATTTGCTGAGCCTGTTATATATGCTACGAAAGTTTAGCAGTTACAGTTTTTTGAAATGCAGCTGGGCTTGAGCTTGGGAGTGGTGAGCAGGGACTGAAACACCAACCTAACAGGTCTGTAGAAAAGAAAAAATAAAACACCAAAACATCTAGTGTTTATTGTTAAAATTATGAGTAACAAATATAGACAATTTTGGAGGCCTTACCACATTAACATAAGGGCCAGAGGGTATCACAAGCTCATCAAGAAGTCCCCAACAGTAAATCACCAAGATCTAGAGTAGGGGTTTGCAAATTTTTTCTGTAAAGGGCCAGATAGTAAAAACCTTAGGCTTTGCAGACCATACGGAGCTCCACCACAACTACTCAACTCCAGTATGTAGAACAAAAGCAACTCATAGACACTACATAAACGAACAGGCATGACTGTATTCCAATAAAACTTTACAAAAACAAGTGGCAGGCTGGATTTGGCCTGCAATTTATAGTTTGCCAATCCTTGACCTAGCTAATGGTCAAGCTCCAAATCAATAGTATACTTTAACTCCTCTAGAACCCTGTGCCTTTCAACTAAACCCAGTGAAAAATATGAACCACTTTCCTTTACAAAAGATGAATGAATGGCAGTGATAAGAACATATGGAGCAATAAAAAAGCATGTTGAAAATCTCACTTATCCTTCCTCCAATCACATCAACTAGAATTTAGCCTGTTATCCTGACCTTCAAGGTGCTAAGGAATGCTGGACTCTGTGCTGCCCAACTATATCCATTTAAAGGCGGCTTCTCTAATTTAAAAGTTGGCTCAGAGGTGAAGAGCTGGTTAAATAACCCAGGTGGTAGTTATACTCTATTAGAATTTTTATATTCTGCCTTCAAATCTGCCCTAAAGCCAGTGATTTGACACTTGGCAGCACTGGTCCTGAAAAGAAGGAGGAGGGAAAGGAAGGAAGGAAGGAAATAAATGGAAAGAAGGGAGGGGAAGTAAGGAAAGGAAATAAGGAGGGGAAAGATGTCCCACTCCTAGTTGGGTTGTAACTTCATCCCTTATGTAATCACCTTTTTTTTTTTTTTTTTTAAAAAGACGGGGTCTCGCTATGTTGCCCAGGCTGGTCTCAAGCTCCTGGGCTCAAGCGATCTGCCTGTCTCAGCCTCCCAAAGTGCTGAGATTATAGGCATGAGCCACCATGCCCAGCCATGTAATCTCTCTATCAAACTACTACTTACTGTGGAAAGGGACCTCTCAATATAACTGGGAAGCTCATCTTCCCTAAAATTCCCTTGTTCCTACTAGCCATTAGATTTTATTTTTCTCCTTTACTAACAGCATTTCCTAGGTTCTGCCCATCCTTATAGCTTTATAGAACTCCAAACCACTTGACCTCTTAGAAGTACAGCTCTGTTATTGATATTTTGAAAATGATCAGATAAAATCAGAAGAAGCAAAAGCATAATATAGTCCAAGGTGTTTCCTGTGTAGTTTCCTAAACTCAGAACAACACAGGAAAGTTTCCCTCTCTCCACTAAAATCCAGGCCTCCACTCTATCTTGCAGGGAGGAGGACAACCTCAGTTGATAGTAAAAATAGCTTCACCTTCATTTTGGCCCCTTACCATTAGCTAAGTCTGTTCTGCCATCTGTGCTGCTCCCTTTGCTGGACATCTTGAATGATGTTTGCTGTAGCCAGCCTGGGTTTGGGAGAGGAAGAAACCAAAACAATTAGGAAACCACCTGGGAAAGAAGACAATAGGGACAAGGAGATTTAACAATGTACAGGTTTTATCATTTTTATAAAAATGATTTGTGTATGCATGCTTAACAGGTCTTCTCAGCTTGTGAAATTTTTTCTTCCTTATGTTTTCTTCCCTATGTTTAAAATCCATATAATGATATATTTTTGGGGAGGTCAAGTGCCATCTCTTTACTTCACTCACTGAGTAACTGGCAGTGATTTTTCAGATGCGAAAGTGGGAACTAAAATAAAACCTGGAACAGGAGGCACATATCAAATGACAGGTACTGCAAGCCAAGAGTCTCAACTCAATACATAAAGCTAACTTCAGCATTGCCCCCTAGGCAAGAATCTTCCAATGTAAATAAGTGACATATGTATCCTCAAACTCTGTACAACACTTGTTTTCACAACATAAAGAGGTGGGTCAGATTCTGAGTATCATTTTACACACAAATCAACAGAAATCAACCTCTTGGGGGAAGAGATTGAGCTTTCTGTTCACTCAGATGACTAACTTCAAACCTATTATTATTATTCTTTCTTTTTTTTTTTTTGAGACAGAGTCTCATTCTGTCGCCCAGGCTGGAATGCAGTGGCGCTATCTAGGCTCACTGCAAGCTCTGCCTCCCGGGTTCACACCATTCTCCTGCCTCAGCCTCCCAAGTAGCTGGGACTACAGGCGCCTGCCACCATGCCCACCTTTCTGTATTTTTAGTAGAGATGGGGTTTCACTGTGTTAGCCAGGATGGTCTCGATCTCCCGAGTGATCCGCCCGCCTCGGCCTCCCAAAGTGCTGGGATTACAGGCATGAGCCACCACGCCCAGCCCAACTAACTTCAAACTTATTAAAGGCACAGATACTAAGGATTATAGAGCTGAAACTAGAAATCAGGAGCACCCTATCCCTAGGAAAGAAGCTTAAGTTGTTTTGTTTCCCTTAGGACTAACAGTCAGAGTCTCTAAGCACAAAGACAAAGGTGGGGAAGAAAAAGGCAACATTTCCATTAAACCATCTCATCCCATTTCATATAATGGCAAACACTGTTTCACCTAACAGCACCAGCTTTCACCAGACTCATCTTTCCTTAACAAGGAATCAGGGTATCTAACTCACTTCCTTTTATGCCACTATAAAACATTCATATTTTTTTCAGAGCCTCACTGCCACCTCCAGTAAATTCCAAAGAGCAAAGAATAATATTATTCAGACCAGAATTTTATTAAGCCCTTTCAGTGACTTGGACAAAAGGCACTAGTAAAAGACAAAGTATAATTATGACCCCAGTCCTTGTACCCAGGCACACTGGCCTCTAATCTTTCAACAGCCCTTTCATTCCCATGACAATTATTCCAGAAGCAGCCTCATCCTTATCTTTTCCTCCGCTACCCTCTATAGAAATCTAAGCTGCTTCATTAAAAGTATCCTCTGTCAAAAGACAGTAGCCCAAAGATTGTTCATAATAGGCCAAGGTGGGAATAGAAATACTGCAAGACTGGGGCTGAAGCTGACTGAACTTCAGGAAGGGACACCTGGAAGGGTGATGATGAAAGACAATGGCAACAAAAAACAGATATGTGAAGCAACATGAAGAAAAATAGTGAGAAGCTGTTTGCAATGCATTTTGTTTTCCTCATTTTTGAGGTAGACAGTTTTGTATAGCATTCCTCACACAGCACTTGTTTTTCCCTCTCAACAGTCCTTGTTTATATTCTTTAGAATAGGAGCCTATCTTCTCCATCTAGAGTTTAAAATTATATTAATTCCTATCAAGTGGGGAAAATGTACTACTTTGTTAAGATTAATCCCAGCACTTTGGGAGGCCGAGGAGGGCAGATCACCTGAGGTCAGGAGTTCGAGACCAGCCTGAGCAACATGGAGAAACCCTGTCTCTACTAAAAATACAAAATTAGCTGGGCATGGTGGCACATGCCTGTAATCCCAGCTACTAGGGAGGGTGAGGCAGGGGAATTGCTTGAACCTGGGAGGCGGAGGTTGTGGTGAGCCGAGATCGTGCCATTGCACCCCATCCAGCCTGGGCAACAAGAGCAAACTCCGTCTCAAAAAAAAAAATTAAAAAAAACTTATAAACTAAGGTAATAAGCAGACCAGTGTAACATGAAGAACAGATCTGATGTTTTCCCACCTCCATAATCAAAACTCTTTACCATACGTTTCACCCCACTATTATCCACTCCCAGAGAATTCAAAAGCAGCTGCAGAGAACCTCTCTCAAAACCAAGCATCAACTCCTACAGGAGCCCAGACTGCCTGAACTTTTGACTCATAATTGCTCTAGAAAATACATGTGCACAGATGATAAAAGTAAGTAGAATTAAATGTCAAAATTTCTGCAGAAGGATACTCTAGAGCAGTGGTCTCCAAACTTTGATTATGAACCTATATGAGTGAAAACTTTGAGCAGGAACCTGATGCTCACAGGTGTGGCATGCACCTGTAATCACAGCTACTCAGAAGGCTGAGAAAGGACTGCTTGAGCTCAGGAATTCAAGACCAGCCTGGGCAGAACTGTGAGACCCTTGTCTCTATAAATCAGTCAAGGAGGCAGAGATGCTGTGCCCTAGGTGTCAAGTATAGGAGCCACTGAAAAATCTTTTCCAGCCAGGCACGGCAGCTCACGCCTATAATCCCAGCACATTGGGAGGCCGAGGCAGGAGTTGGAGACCAGCCTGGGCAACATAAGAAGACCCCCGTCACTACAGAAAAGAAAAAAATCAGTCAGGCATATGCCTGTAGTCCCAGCTACTTGGGGTAGGGCTGAGATGGAAGGATCACATGAGCCATAGAAGTTGAGGCTGCAGTGACCTGTGATTATACCACTTCTCTCCAGGCAGGACGACAGAGCAAGACACAGTCTCCAAAAAAATAAAAAATAAAAAATCTTTTCCATTACCAAAGAATACAGTCTTAACTTTATAAACTGAGGTCTGCAGAGAACATATTTGATTCAAATCCAAACTATCTTCTTCACTTTTCACTGTATTTCCAACAAATCCACTATTTTTACTTTGATCAACTTTCATGTAAAATCTAGTCCAAAGCTAATCTTGCTGAGGTTGGAAAAGCTGATGAGCTCACTGTCCCAGGTAGTTGGAGGAGTTTAATTAGATTAGCTCCACTGTTCCTACTCTAAAAATAACCATAACTCCTGCCAAACTGAAGGTTAAAGAGTAACCCACTGGAGGGTGAGGAAAAAAGACCCAGGTGCCATTTTAATTTCACTAAGAAATTCCAGTGACCTAGATTTTTCTTGTCTTAATAAGAATAAAGCCTTAAATTTTTAACCAATTACATGACAAAATATTAACTAAAAACCAGGCAGAAAGACTTTACTACGCTGGATAAGAGTACTCTGTAAAAGAGATACCAAGTGTCTCTTGTTTAAAACTACTGGGGCTGCTCTTTTCCTCTAATATGATGAAAGATCTGCATAAGAGACTACGTATCCCTTGTCCGGTGTATCCTCTTACCCAAAATGCTTGGGGCCAGAAGTGTTTCAAATTTTTAAATATTTGCAATATACCAGTGGAGCATCTCAAATCAGAAAATTCAAAATCCAAAATGCTCCAACGAGTATTTCCTTTGAGCATCAAGTTGGCATTCGAAAAGTTTCAGATTTCAAAGCATTTTAGATTTCAGATTTTTTAATTTGGGATGCTCAACTTGTACCAGAATAACTGAACATTCAACTGCCAAAAGAAAAAAACTAAAGAACCTCAATCCATACATTGTACAATATACAAAAGCTAAGTCAAAATGAATCACAGACCTAAATATAACTTAAAACAACACAAGTTCCAGAAGAAAACAAAGAAAATAACCTTTGTGACCTTGGGTTAGGCAACAATTTCTTAGGATAGGACACAAAAAGCACATACAAAAAAATTAATCAGTTGGATTTATCAAAATTAATAAATTCTGATAAATCTGAGCGGTGGTTCAGGCCTGTAATCCCAGCACTTTGGGAGGCCAAGGCGGGTGGATCACCTGAGGTCAGGAGTTCGAGATCAGCCTGGCCAACATGGTGAAACCCCCGTCTCTACTAAAAATACAAAAATTAGCCGGGCGTGGTGGCACATGCCCGTAGTCCCTGCTACTGGGGAAGCTGAGACAAGAGAATCGCTGGAACCCAGGAGGTGGAGGTTGCAGTGAGCCAAGATAGTACCACTGCACTCCAGCCTGAGTGACAAAGAGAGACTCCATCTAGAAAAAAAAAAAAATTAAAATATCTCCAAGAGATACTGTTACAACAATGCAAAGACAAGCTACAGACTGGAAGAAAGTATCTACAAAACATGTATTTGATCAAGGACAGTAACCAGAATATCCTTTAAAACTGTCGCAACAGGCTGGGGCTGGGCGTGGAGGCTCACGCCTGTAATCCCATCACTTTGGGAGGCCGAGGTGGGCAGATCACGAGGTCAGGAGATCAGGACCATCTTGGCCAACATAGTGAAACCCCGTCTTTACTAAAATACAAAAAAATTAGGCAGGCATGATGGTGCGTGCCTGTAATCCCAGCTACTAGGGAGGAGGAGGTTGCAGTGAGCTGCGATCGCGCCACTGCACTCCAGCCTGGTGACAGAGCAAGACTCCATCTCAAAAAAAGAAAAAAAAAAAACTGTCACAACTAAATAATTATCGCGAGCTGGATATGGTGGCTCACACCTGTAATCCCAACACTTTGGAAGACTGAGGTGGGAGGATCACTTAAGTCTAGGAGTTCAAGGCTGCAGTGAGCTATGATCCTGCTACTCACTGCACTCCAGTCTACGCAACAGAGTGACACCATCTCAAAAAAAAAAAAGAGGGCGGGTGTGGTGCCTCACACCTGTAATCCCAGCACTTTGGGAGGCTGAGGCGGGCAGATCACCTGAGGTCAGGAATTTGAGGCTGGCCTGACCAACGTGGTAAAACCCCATCTCTATTAAAATACAAAATTAGCTGGGGGTGGTGGCACATGCCTGTAGTCCCAGCTACTGGAGAGGCTGAGACAGGAGAATCGCTTGAACCTAGAAGGCAGAGGTTGCAAGTGAGCTGAGATCGCACCACTGCACTCCAGCCTGGGCAACAGAGGAGACTCCATCTCAAAAACAAACCAAAAAAAGTACTGTAAATAATAATCCCTTGAAAAGATCCTCAACATTATTAATAATTAGGAAAATATAAATTAAAACCACAATGAGAATCCACTAAACACTTATTTGAATGGTCAAAAATTGTTTAAATAACAAAAATTTACTTTATTAAGTACTAACAAGAAGTAGAGCAACTACAACTCATATACACTGTTACTAGAAATGCAAAACAGTACAGTTACTTTGAAAAAAGCAATTTGGCAGTTTCTTATGAAGTTAAATATACACTTATCATACAACTCAGGAATCCCACTTCAGCTTCAGGAATTTATACAAGAAAAAAGAGGCTCAGACCTGTTATCCCAGCAATTTGGGAGGCTGAGGCAGGAGGACTGCTTGAGCCCAGGAATTAAAGACCAGCCTGAGTAACACAGCAATACTCCATCTTTAAAAATAAATAAATAAGATAAACAAGAAGGAAAATGTATGTCCACAAAATTAAAAATACCCTGTAGGTGAATGTTTTAATAGTTTTACTTAAATTCATCAAAAAACTGGAAACAAATTTTCTTCAGCTGGGTCATAGATAAACAAATTGTGGTAGGTCCACACAATGGGATACTACTGAGTAATAAAAAGGAATGAACTACTGATACAAGCAACAACATGGATAGATCTCAAGTATGTTATGGTAAGTGCAATAATTCAGACTCAAACAGCTATACAATATATGATTCCACTTATAGTACTTTCTGGAAAAGATAAAACTATAGGAATAGAGGGATCAGGGATTGCCAGGGCTTGGAGGTAGGGGAATGAAACTGACTACGAAAGGGCATGAGAAAACCTTTTGGAATGATGGAAATGTTCCATGCGCCAATCACAGTGGTGTTACATAACTATGCCTTTGTCAGAATTAAAAGAATAGGCCAACTCAAAAAAGGATAAATTTTACTGTATATAAATTATACCTTAATAAACGTGGCCTAAAAAGAGCGAATGCAGGCCGGCGCAGTGGCTCATGCCTGTAATCCCAACACTTTGGGAGGCCAAGGCGGGCAGATCACCTGAGGTCAGGAGTTCGAGACCAGCCTGACCAACATGGAGAAACCCCATCCCTATTAAAAGTACAAAAATATTAGCCGGGCGTGGTAGTGCATGCCTGTAATCCCAGCTACTCGGGAGGCTGAGGCAGGAGAATTGCCTGAACCTGGAAGGCGGAGGTTGCGGTGAGCCAAGATCGCACCATTGCACTCCAGCCTGGGCAACAAGAGCGAAACTGTCTCAAAAAAAAAAAAAAAAAAAAAACAGGATGAGAGAAGAGTGATGGGGGAAAATCATGCAAATTGTTAAATGACATAATACCATTAAAAACACTAAATTCTCAAGGCTGTGATTAATAGAAGTTGACAAAAATGGTCAATATATCATAGCAAATGAGAGCATAATGTCCAGACTTCTCACTTGAAAACGAAAGTGCTGAAAGGATTTTTGCTGCAACCAAGACTGCCTGTGTGATTTATCAGCGACCATATTAATGGCAAGATGAATCCTAAATACATAAAAAGTCTACAACCCTATTGTCTTGGTGATAACTAAGAATAGCAGAAATTTAAGTAGCTCAAAGTTGTTCTTGTGGTTGTACTATTAATTTGTATGTTTATGCTCTTTATTTTTTTTAAATTTCTCTGAATTTCATTTTAAATCCTCTGGTGCCTAGGGTCTATGAACACTGGTCTGACAACTACCTTACCTTGAGCCCGATCGAAACATCAACGTGTAAATATTATTATTGTCCTTGATCCCTTTACTAAGACCTGAATTCGGTCTGTCAAATCTCATGGTTTATATAATCCCAGCATTCTCTCAAACCAGTGCCTGCCTCATTCTGCTACTCAAGTGCCCAACTCTCCTACATAAACACCCATATTTAAATGAGACAAGGTTTTAGAATTTCCTCTGAAAGAAGAAGGTGATAAGAAAATACTTCAATTATTATTAAGACAGAGAGCCACACAGTCCCAAGTTTCTCTTGGGAGGACAGATGTCCCATACCACTCATAAATGAGCAGCTGTTCAGGGTTGATCTCCATCCAAAGTACAAATTTGCTTTTCTAGGTCCCACAGTCCATCTGGTATCAACTAGTTCTACTTTCTCCACCTCCAATTTTTGTTTCCAAGATGAAATGGCTCATTTTAAGTTTATTTTACTTTTCTTAATATTTCTCCTTCACAAGAAACACTTACTTCTCCAAGCCTACTTGCCTTCCACACTCTAATAGCATAGTGGTTTTGCAGATGTTCTTTTTTTTTTAAGACAGGGTCTCGCTGTTGTCCAGGCTGGAATTCAGTAATGTGATCTCAGCTCACTGAAGCCTCGATCTCCCAGGCTCAAGTGATGCTCCCACCTCAGCCCCTCCAGTAGCTGGGACTACAGGTGCATACTGCCACACTCAGCTAAATTTTTTGTAGAGATGGTGGTGGGGAACATGTTGCCCAGGCTGGTCTCGAACTCCTGGACTCAAGTGATCCACCTTCCTTGGCCTCCCAAAATGCTTGAGATTACAGGCACGAGCCACTGCACCTGGCCGTATAGTGTTTATTAATCAGAGAACCTCAGGCACTGAAACTCAAAGGATGACCCCAAAGAGGCTGAAACTCATTATATAAAGCATGTTTATGGTAGGTAGGACTTTAGTTCTGGGCTATTTTCTATTAAGTACTTGGAGGGGTCCAACATATGACACTGTCTCCTCTGGTAGGCTGGACAGATGAGCAGAAAGAAACTGAATGTTTCTGTAACAGAAAAATTAATCTCTATTCCTACTGTGCTGAAGATCTGACAGTACAAACAACCCAACTGCAGAGAGACTCTAGCAGGTAGACTCTAGCTGGGAGTCTAGGCTACTCATTTTTATACAAATCACAAGCCTCTGGCACCACCCAGTGGCCTATGTGTAAGCAAACATGCTGTTACACAACAGCATTGGTACCAGGCAATTTAGAAGCTACAAATATAAACAAGGCAGTCACAATCCCATTTGTAGCCAATTAATCAATTAGGAAAAATGAGTGATACAAGAGATAAAAGTATCTATCATTTTTTAAAAAGATAAATAGAATGCTGTTGTGGTTGAACAGAGGAAAAGATTATATTTAGTTTCAGGGAAAAACGAAATGCTTCCATGGAAAATTAGCTTTTAAGATGGGCTTTAAAAGACAGGCAGGATTTCAACGGGTAGAGTTGAGAAAGACATTCCACAGGACCAGAGCAAGAAAAGATATGGAGGTTAAAAACCTGACATGGTCAAGAAACATATATGGGTAGTCTACTTTGGCTAGATGGTAAGGTATAGTTGATTAGTTAAGAAGTATAATAAAAGCTTTGTTGTTGGGGGGCAGGCAGTCAGGCATCAGAGAAATTATTTTGTCAAAGATAATAAGATGGACTGAAATGAAGGAAAAGGAAAGAGAAACAAGTTTAAAAGCTATTATAGTTGCCAAGATAAGAAGTAATGAGGGGCTGTCTTGGGTTGATGGCAAAAGGAATTAAAAAGGGATCAACATGAGAATCGTTGTAAAGGTAGATAATGTTTAGCTCAATAAGCAGTTACAAAGCTGAGTTAAGAAGGACAAGTTCTTAGTCTGGCGCCCAGAGAAAATCAAGTGACACAAATGAGAAGCTGGCAGGTGGGATGAGAAATTATTCTGAATAAATTTAAAATCCAAGCCGACATGTTAGGAAGGTACTGACGAACAAATTTAAGTTTGGAACTTAAATAAAGTAAGGCCAGAGATACAGACTTGTGAATTATCTGTACAGAGAAACTTCAAAATCAAACACCTTGTAAATCATATCTCACTAAAACAAACAATTAGTTACCTAAGAAGGCTCTGGGAGAGGATGTTCAAGGGAAGAATCTTGAGGAATACCTACCCTTAGAGAAGAGAAAGGAGAGCAGAGAGAAAAATTGAGAAGAACGAATAATCAAAATTAAACCTCTGGAAGTCAAGAATAAAAAGGTTTCAAGGTGAGGATAGGCTGGGCGCAGTGACTCATGCCTGTAATCCCAGCACTTTGGGAGGCTGAGGCTGGAGGATCGCTTGAGTCCAGGAATTTGAGACCAACCTGGGCAACATCAGGAGACCCTGTCTCTAGAAAAAATTTAAAAATTAGGCTGCGCACAGTGGCTGACGTCTAAGTGACGCTGGTAATCCCAGCACTTTGGGAGGCTGAGGCGGGTGGATCACCTGAGGTCAGGAGTTTGAGACAAGCCTGGCCAACATGGTGAAACCCTGTCTCTACTAAAAATACAAAAATTAGCCACACGCGGTGGCATACGCCTGTGATTCCAGCTACTCAGGAGGCTGAGGCAGGAGAATCACTTGAACCTGGGAGGCAAAGGTTGCAGTGAGCCGAGATCGCACCATTGCACTCCAGCCTGTGCGACAGGGTGAGACTCCATCTCAAAAAAAAAAAAAAAAAAAAAAAAAAAAAATAGCAGGGTGTGGTGGTGTACACCTGTAGTCCCAGCTACTTGGGAGGCTGAAGTGGGAGGATCACTGGAGTCCCAGAGGTCGAGATTGCAGTGAACTGTGATGGGGTCACTGCACTCCAGCCTGGGTGACAGAGCAAGTCCCTGTCTCAGAAAAACAAACAAAAAAACCAAGAAGGTAAGGAGGATAGTCCATGCTTCCAAAAAAATACAGAGAACAGTATACTGTCAAAAGGCTGTAAGAGTCAGAACAGCTTTTCCCCTGGAATTATCTCAGAGATTGAATGGAATGCTGATTTTCTCTCCAGTAAAGAATCATAAAACACTAGGATTCAGCTATCTCTTAAATCTATAAAAATTATTTCCTGGGATGGGTGCGTGGCTCATGCCTGTAATCCCAACACTTTGGGAGGCCGAGGCAGGCGGATCATGAGGTCAGGAGTTTGAGACCAGCCTGGCCAACATGGTGAAGCTCCGTCTCTACTAAAAATACAAAAATAAGCTAGGTATGGTGGTGCATGCCTGTAATCCCAGCTACTGGGGAGACTGAGGCAGAAGAATCGCATGAAACTGGAAGGCAGAGGTTGCAATGAGCCAAGATTGTGCCACTGCACTCCAACCTGGGCCAAAGAACGAAACTCTGTCTCAAAAAAAAAAAAAAATTGTTTTCTTAAAAACTCATTAGCTTACCAATATAGCATAACTATGTCTAAACAATAAAAAAAGTTTGTATTCCTACTGTCATTTGAATAATTTATATACATATGTTTATAAGAAATATTTAATTCTACCTTTCAGCTTCATCTCTTGGCTTTGAAAAGCCCTGGTTTTTTTTTTGGCCAGGTACCATGGCTCACGCCTGTAATCCCCACACTTTAGGAGGCCGGGCCGGGTGGATCACGAGGTCAAGAGATCAAGACCATCTTGGCCAACATGGTAAAACCCCATTTCTACTAAAAATACAAAAATTAGCTGGGCATGGTGGCATGCGCCTGTAGTCTTAGCTACTCGGAGGCTGAGGCAGGAGGACTGCTTGAACCCGAGAGGGGAAGGTTTCAGTGAGCCAAGTCATGCCACTGCACTACAGCCTGGCGACAAAGCAAGACTCCATCTAAAAAAAAAAGAAAAAAGAAAAGTCCTATTTTTAAAGACAGCATGTGTTATGAAAGAAAGAAAAGGGCTTTGGTGTCAAACAGACCTGGGTTTGAATTCTACCTCTACCACCTGCTTTTGAGTTTTTCTTTTGTAAAATGGGATAATATTACCACCCTGCAGGAATTTAGAGGATTAAAAATAATGTATGCTAAGAGCCTGTTTGTACATAGTAGCCATTTATATTATTTTTCTAGTTTCCCATCTCTATACCAGACTACATTTCCTAGAAAATCCTGGACCTCTTTACCACTCAGCAATGATTCTCCAAACATCGTATATAATATAGGACACAGTCCCAAGTCTATGAAATCTGCTTACCCTTTCTGGCGTTTTAAAGAATTCAGAGAGCTCCGTTAATATCTTCTTTCAAGTATTCATGTTCTACGAACTGCAGTAAGACAATCTACCCAGGAACCCACAATATAAGCCTCCCTAAGTTTTTCTCCCTCTTTTAATTTTTAAAATAGATTTTTTTACTATTATTATCGTAGAGACGGAGTCTCACTATCTTGCCGCGTGGTCTCAAACTCCTGAGCTCAAGTAATCCTCCTACCTTGGCCTCCCAAAGTGCTGGGATTATAGGTATGTACCACCACACCTGGCCTCTTCTCCCTCTTGAAGGTTCTGAGGATACCCAAGATGGAAGACTGCAAAGCAATCACCATGGATAATGATGAGGATTCAAACTATGAATAAGGAACTTTGTTCCTTCTTTGAATTAATGCCTTCTCTCCCTATTGGTAACATAAAATGCCCAGTGTTTATAGTTTACTGGCTTTAATTATTGTTTTTTTATTTTTATTTTTTTGAGACAGGGTCTCACTCTGTCACCCAGGCTGGAGTACACTGGTGTGATATTGGGTCACTGCAACCTCTGCCTTCTGGGTTCAAGCAATTCTCCCGCCTCAGCCTCCCAAGTAGCTGGGACTACAGGTGCATGCCACTGCAGCTGGCTAATTTTTATATTTTTAGTAGACACAGGGTTTTGCTATGTTGGCTAGGCTGGTCTCAAACTCCTGACCTCAGGTGATCCGCCCGTCTCAGCCTCCCAAAATGCTGGGATTACAGATGTAAGCCACCGTGCATGGCCTCTGGCTTTAATTCTAATAACAGTATTTCAGACTATGTCAGGAATGCACTCTAACCCTTAAGTGTTAATTTCCAGCAGCAGAACTAAGCAAACTTTTTTTTTTTTTTTTTTTTTTTTTTTTAAGAGACAAGGTCTTGCTATGTTGCCAGCCTGAAACTCCTGGGCTCAAGCAGTCCTCCCAACTCAGCCCCCCGAGTAGTTGGGATTACAGGTACATGCCACTGCACCTGGCTAAGAGAACTTTCTATAAAAACATCCAGGACCATTTATCTCAGTTTAACTAATTCCTAGGGAAATCTACTTTTCATTTTGTTTCCATCTCAATTTACATTTACATCAGAAGTCTGTTGCCATTAACAGTTTTTGCCATTTATATTTCAAATTTTTCTTAAACTGGAGAGGATTTAAGATGAAAAAATGATGCTCCCAAGGTACAACTTACAATAAAACATTAAAGAGAGGCTTAAAACCTCAAGAAGTGCCTTCCTACAGGTTAGGTTAGAAGAAAGGGTCTAATGTTGGATTCTAAGTAAGGTTAACAAAACATACCTGGTAATGTGGCAATCATTAAAGTACACCAGAGGAATACAGTAACTTGACTACCATTAGAGGTAAACCCTATAGTAGCTTTCCAGATGGCTAAGAAAAAGCCAGGAAGAAAAAAAAAAATGGCACGTGAGGCAAATATGTATGCTTCACTTTAGAACTTGGCCAGACTTCCTTAAACAGTAACTTCAGAGGATAAACAGCAAATATCTAATCTAAAATGTTTGCATTGACCCAATCCACTAGACATACTATTAATACATTTCATTAATAAGATGACATCTTTGTCATATTAATTACTCCCCAATGCCCTATTGGCAACCTCAAGGCAGCCTCCGTTCATTAATTTATCTGTATCATAACACATTCCTGGGGTTAGATGGTACTTGAGAAATCTGGCTTCTGGCCCAGGAACTATGTCCTACAGAGGTAGAGATAAAAAAAAACTGCTGCAAAGAAGTGACTAATTCATAAAATTCATCACTCGCTAATTTTTGAAAAGCTTTCAAAGACTTTCTACTCACTCCAAGAGCAGAATGACTAAATCAATAAAGAGCAAGTAGCCTCCTTTTCTGACTGATTTTAACAGCAATGATGTTTCTTGGCTACATTTGTAAAAATAAAAGATGAAGTTTTTAATATTACTATAAAGCTAATCTAAAACTCACTGGCTTTTGGCTCTAAAATGAAAATATACAAAGTCACTACCCCATGCCTATTGCTGATTCAATTAATTCAGTTGCCTGTGTTCCAAATAGGTGAGGGTAAACAGCAGATTATCTTAGCTCACTGATAATCTGCTTTAAAAAAAAAAAAAGCTAATTCAATCTCAGAGACTTAAAAACTAACTCTAACACCAATGTTATGCAATAAAAAGTCTGGTTTGGATACCGTTATTTCTCTTTTATAATCTGGATATTTCCTAGACATGTTTAGAATAAACTTTTATACAGTAGAAATAATGGAGTAATGAATCTATCTACTGAAAGCATTTTAATAGTCACTTTATGATTTTAAAAGCCTATTACTCCCCTGATAGAATACAAGACTTAGAGCACGAAACTCAAGATCCCAGTCTTTCACAACAGGGTGCGCTTCTATACAATGTCTCCTACTAGAATCTGTTTGCTTTTAAAATGCCAGTATTGTTTTAAACTGGCAACAAAGAGGCTGCTTTCTTTCAGCTCTCTGTAGACAAGCTTCTGTCTTAGGTTGGTCCTACTCCACACTAAGGACCATGGCACTGGAACTGATTCTTTTTTTTGAGACTAGGTCTCGCTCTGTTGCCCATACTAAACTGCAGAGGCGCAATCTCAGCGCACTGCAGTGATCACTGCGCAATCTCAGCTCTACCTCCTGGACTCAAACAATCCTCCCACCTCAGCCTCCCAAGGAGATGGGACTGCAAGTACTTGCCCCATGCTTGGCTTTTTTTTTAAACTTTTTGTAGAGACAAGGTCTCAATATTGCCTAGGCTGGACTTGAACAACTAGGATCAAGTGATCCTCCCACCTTGGCCTCCCAAAAGTGCTGGGATTACAGCCATGAGCCAGCCGCACTCAGCCTGGCAGATTCTTATACATTTAATTGACTGCATTTAGCAGGGTGCAGTGGCTCACGCCTGTAATCCCAGCACTCTGGGAGGCTGAGGCAGGAGGATTGCTTGAGCCCAGGGGTTTGAAACCAGCCTGGGCAATATGGTGAAACCTCATCTTTACAAAAAATACAAAAATTAGCCAGGTACGGTGGCGTGCACCTGTAGTCCCAGCTACTCGAGAGGCTGAGATGGGAGAATCACCTAAGCCCAAGAGGTCGAGGTTGCAGTGAGCCATGATAGTGCCACTGCACTCTAGGTGACAGAGTGAGATCCTATTTCAAAAATAAATAAATAGACTGCACTTTAAGAGGTTGGTGGTGGGAACTAAAAGGTCACAAGCATTCTTAGCCTCCCACTCTAATCATCCTAGGAAATACTACCTAATAAGATGTCACAATTCTTAAGTAAACACCTAAAACCCTGGAAATATAAAAATATCTTCAAGCTGGGTGCTGCGGCTATGCCTGTAATCCCAGCACTTTGGGAGGCCAAGATGGGAGCATCACTTGAGCCGGGCAAGTAAGACCTCATCTCTTTAAAAAAACAAACAAACAAAAAAAAAACAACCAAAAATTAGCTAGGTATGGTGATATGCCCCTGCGGTCCCAGCTACTCAGCTGAGGTGGGAAGATCACTTGAGCCCAGGAGTTTGAGACCAGCCTAGGCAACAAAGTGAGACCCTATCTCTACAAAAATAAAAAAAACTTTAGAAAGATAAAAAGTTTACAGTGTGGTCCACAGACTAGAAATACTGATTTACTACATATAGATGTCACCTGGACATTCTTACCCAGCACATAAGGAAATAAACAGTCCAAGTTATCCCTCTTTCAAAGTATTTCCTTTTCTCCTCCCATCCTTTCCTTCACCCGACATGGATCTTCAGAGTTCATAAAAACACAAATGATACAAATGCAATCTCAACCCACCTCACCACCACCCTGGAGAATCCTTACCTTACAATGGAGAATTTAGACCCTGGATGATGGTAATGAAAAGTTCATCAAACCTAAAATGGTCACTGGTCTGAATGACACAGCTGCTTTCATTGTGATATTATCAGTACTTAATTTTCATGTGCCCTTGCCAAAAAGATACGAAAGAAAAGCCAACAAAAGGTTTAAAACTCTTCATCTGTGCTGTCATATTATTAAGACGGTCCAGCTGTGGAGCTGAAAAAAGAACTCTTTGGCCGGGCATGGTGGTTCACACCTGTAATCCTAGCACTTTGGGAGGCTGAGGCGGGCAGATCACAAGGTCAGGAGATTGAGACCACCCTGGCCAACATGGTGAAACCCCTCCTCTACTAAAAATACAAAAATTAGCTGGGCATGGTGGCGCATGCCTGTAATCCCAGCTACTCGGGAGGTTGAGGCAGGAGAATCGCTTGAACCAGGGAGTCGGAGGTTGCAGTGGGCTGAGATCGCGCCACAGCACCCCAGCCTGGTGACAGAGCAAGACTCGTCAAAAAACAAACAAACAAACAAAAAAAACCTCTTCATTCCTAACTCCCCAGCCCTGATTCACTTTTAAAAAAAGAGACCTTTTCCTCATACAGTTCTTTGATAATTTGTTGATGAGGATCACTGTATAGCCCAACAAGAAGGAAAAAATGTATTCCCTTCATGGCAAAAAAGGAAAGTATAAAGAATAGTTGCAGTAGAAGTAAACAACATTGCAGCAGAGAGGGAAAGAATTACAACACGGCCAACTCTGATCAGGTGTGCTAACAGAGAGTCCAAGATGAAGGAACCAATGAACAAAAAAATTTACTGATGTTTAAGAATACATTTTGAAATATACATACACCAATATCTAATATTCTCTGTCCTCTGGTTATGAACCCCCACCAAGGGTTTCATGTTCAGAAGACAACTCTAGGTGGGCACTTACAAAGGACACGTCTAAGCTGACCAATTAAAAATCAGTTGGGAAAATTAACCAGAAAAATGTGTTCTAAGGCAAAATGTAAAAGAAGCATAAATTAACGTATAACTTATTCAAAGCTGTATCAATGATGTGCAAAAAAAAAAAACCAAAAAACAACATTTTTTGAGTGTGTACCACGTGTTCTTAGATTACTAAGAGCTTTAAATAGATTCCCTATAATACTAACAATGACCCTGGGAGGTAAGTGGTATTATCACACTTTTAGAGTTGTGGAAATTAAGAGTCAGAGAAGTTTAAGTAACTTGCTCAAGGTCACATGGCTAAGAAATATTAGTCTAGTATTTAAACCTTAAAATTAAATTAAAAGTCTGTCCAATCTCTAAAGACTGTACTTTTCTCTTTATATCTTACTGATACACATATACACCATCACTAATAATTTTATTCCAGTCCATGATGAGCATTTTCTAATTCAGTCATCAGATGGAATAAAACTCACCAGTGTCACTCAATATTTTCCTACTACAAATCATAAAGATATTAGGAATTGGCCAGGCCTACCTTCCAGTCACTTAGCTTTTCTGTCACATGCCATGAGCCTCTAGTCTCTGCTACCAGAAACCTGAAAGCCTCACGAAAACTGCATTTATAAGTATGTTCTGACTCCCTTTTTGGCACCAACCCATGCTGCTGAATGCCCAGGATGTTTCTTCTGCTAACCAAGAATTCTTCAGACCAGCTACAAAAGAAAGAGCAGCCACTATTTTTTTTTTTTTTTTACAAAAAATTTCCCACTATATCCTAAAAAGTCGGAATTCTGAAATAGACTGGACTCAGACACCAACTAAAGGCAGCATCACTCATCACTCCCCAGCTTTTAGTCACAAGCAGCTAAATATTCTCCTCTAAATACCAAGGGATGACAACCCGAAGCTGTGAGAGGGGAAGAGACCTGATTTGACAACAGGATGAACAGAACTCAGGCAAACTAAGTTCCAGTTTTTAACAACGTAAAAAATATGATCGACACAAAGACAAAATACAAGGAAAATGAATAAAGAAGAAAAGAAGACATGGGGCAGGGGGCACACATTCACTTCTAGGCTTAAGTCATTTGGAGATACACAGCAATAGTTTAGGACAGAAAGACAAGAAGCCCACAGACAATTAAACTTGTAAAAGTAATTCAACCAGAGCTGGAACAAAGCCAAGAACAACACTCAAGCTCTTTGGGAAACTGGTAGGAATTTTATGACTTTAGTGGTCAGCAGTTGAGCATCAGCGCAGTCTGTCTTGAACTCAAGAATTTTAATGCCTCCAACTCCCACTCACCTTTCCTCCTTTTATCACTGAAGTAAGGCCAGGCTGAGCTCCTGAGAAAATAGGTCTGTAGATTCACTGAAGGACTGAGAAAAGTTAAAATTTACATGGCAAAGGTGTGTCTTCTACTGAACATAATAAAAATATTTATGAATACACTTTAGTATTTTTAGGCCTTCTCAAAACTACTTAAAAGCAGAATACTTTATCTAATTCTAATTACTGAACAAATAACCCACACACATATGGAAATAAAATGAACCAACATGAAGATTAGAAGCCAGGCAAGTAATCTCCCAGCTCCACTAAAACGTAAAGTCATTTAAAAGGATAACCTGAATCTTTTCAACGCTAAACCATAACCAAACAACCTCTCAACAAGAAGCCACAGAGCAGGGGGGGAAATCCCGGAGAGAATGTGATAGCGCTAGTGCCGGTTTGTTTACAGAGACTCCAGTAACAATCATGAGTCAGAAATTCAAGCCACCAGATGCTTTCCAACTAACAGGGACCAAATGGGACCGTTCTAAGATATCCTAAAAGATTTGGGAGTTAGAGGAGGTAAACTAAGATAATTATATTACAAAGGGTACAAGACCACAAGACAACAACCGACTCCGGAATTCTTGGACCTCCGCCTTCCGTACAAGGTGCTGGGCCTGGGAACTTGGGATGGGGGAGGGGGACACATTGCGCGGTGGCCCTGAGGTGACGGGGAGACGCAGGGCGAGCCGTGTCCCTCAATCTAAGGGGAGAAATAGGAGCGCACACATGGGTCACCCAACGAAGCAAGGCGTCCCTGTGAACTGTGCGGCTGGCTCTTGGGGGCAACACCAGGGCTGACCTGAGGAAAGGGCAACCAGTACTCCCAGCGATGACTTCGGGTCGGCGGAAGGAAAAGACCTGAGCGCTAAGAGCTTGGGATACGGGTCAGGCCCATCCTTAGGGGAAACCGGCTGGGAAGCGAGGGGGGGCGCAGGCCGAGCCGGAACGAGACACAGACCGGGTAGGTCAAGGGAGGGGGGGTGTCCGGCTGGGGCAGTTACAAGCACGGGAATCGGCGAGGCTCAGCAGCCCGCTTCCCGTCTTGGGTCATCCTTCTGCTAGCGGCTGCTCCGACTGTTCCAGGCCCAGCCGCCCCGTCCACTGCCACCACCAACGCCGCCGCCATCTTACACTGGCCAGCGGCCGCCACCACCACCGCCTCCGCTCTCTGCGCTTGCGCCTGCGCTGCCACGCTTTCCGGCCCCGTTTGCGACGATGTGCTCGAGAAGACTGAGGGAAGAGTGGTCGCGCGAGCTCACGGCTCGCAACCCTCCTCGAAGGACGCACAAGGGGCGGGGCTTAAGGCCAACGGAAAACAGAGCGAGAGGCGCCTGCGCATTACCGAAGAGGCAAAGTTGTTTTTGTAGTTTCTTCGGGCTTGCTTATCTTGTGATACTCTAAACAAATGCGAGTTAGGGGCTACCCAGAGTTGTGATAGAAATAAACTAAATTTCCAGCGGATTGGCAGGCCACTTCCTGGATGATGGCCAGTTTTGCCGTTTTTGAACACTGGAACGAGCAATGATTGCCACAAGGATTTCTTCTGAAAATCCCCGTTTCCTTTCAGGGCTTTGTTTCCTTAAGTGGTTTCTATACTATCGAGGCCCATTTTCCCCTGAGAGTCCCCATTTACGTATTTTTAAAGAAGGGGCTCAGTAGCTTGAGGTGTAGCTATTCCAGAAGCTCTTTTCTGAAGAGAGGTGGTGTGGGTAAAGGTTCCCAAGAGTGGGCCGGGTGATGTGGGGTGACTTTTGTACTCTGTTTCGTTATGACACCTACAGTAACCCTGCAGAGGATTACTCCCAGCTGCCAGGCTGGGGTATTTTTTTTTTTTTTCTTACCAGAAGCCCAGGGTGCAAAAATCTGACCCTTTCTCACCTCCCCTACCGCTACTCTCCTATTCCAAGTCATTACATATTACTTAAGACTACCGCAATAGAAACTTACCTCGTTTGTCTACTTCCATTATTGCCATTACAGTTAAACATAAGGCAGCCAGAGTGCTTTTTAAAAATGTAAGGTCTGGCCGGGCGCGGTGGCTCATGCCTGTAATCCTAGCACTTTGGGAGGCGGATGTGGGCGGATCACTTGAGGTCAGGAGTTCGAAACTCGTTTGAAACCAGGCCAACATGGTGAAACCCGTCTCTACGAAAAATACAAAAAAAAAAAAAAATTACCCGGCATGGTGGAGCGCGCCTGCAATCCCAGCTACTTGGGAGGCTGAGGCAGGAGAATTGCTTGAACCCGGAGGCGGAGGTTGCAGTGAGCTGAGATCGCACCACTGCACTCCAGGCTGGGCAATGGAATGAGACTCCGTCTCAAAAAAAAAGTAATGTCGTATTATTTCCCCAGTCCCCACCCTGCTCAAAACCTCCAATTCCCATCACATAATAAAAGTCAAAAGTATGATAGCCTTAGAGGCCATCAAAAAATGAATTGCCTCTAAGGAGGACCCTACATGATCTGATCTAGCACCTGCCTATTTATCTGATTCATCTCCTCCCACACTGCCTAGCTCTGCTCTAGCCTCACTAGCCTTACTGTCACTCCAGTCAAAGCATGTCCCAGCCCTAGGGTTTTTTTCCTTTTCTTGGAATGTCCATCTACTAGATATTTACTAGACTTGAGGTGTCTATTGAAATCCTACTTCCTAACACAGGCAGCTCTTGACTATTGTAACTAAAATGGAACCTCATGTCATCCTCCTCTATCCCCTTACTCTGCACTGTTTTTTTAATAACATTTTTTACCTATAACATTTAATCTAAAATTATGTTTGTGATCCAGCTATACTACTAGAATATAAATTCTTGAGGGCAAGGACTGTGTTTTTATCATCTTTGTAATCTCAACACCTAGAAGAGGGCTACAGCACAAAGTAGCTATTTAATGCCCCACCGTCCTATTCATTCTTTCATTCATTCAGTCAACAACTATTGAATTCCTGCTCTGGAAGGCCCTGTTCTATGTGCTGGGGCTGCAACAGTGAATAGAACCAAGATTCTTGCATTCATGGAACTTATTAGTGCAAGGGTTGGGAGCATAGGAGGAGGGGAGAGACACACAGATAATAAAGTTATAAAGAGTACTGTAAAGGAAAATAAAGCAGAATAAAAATGGGTTACCTGGATGGGTGTGCTCTTTTACATAGGGGATTCAGAGAAGGCCCCTCTGCTGAGGTGACATCTAAATAAAGGTTTGAAGTGAGACAATAAGCTATACATACTTGGGAAAGAATATTTCAAGCAGAAGAAACAACAAGGTAAAGACCCTGCAGCTTGAGTGTGCTTGGCAAGGAAGCCACTGTGGCAAAAGAATAGATAGGAACTTAGTTTGGAGAAACAAGATGGGAGCCAGATCACTTACGGACTTATGGACCAAAGAAAGGACTTTGAATTTTATCCTAAGAATGCTAGGAAGCCATGGAGGGTTTTGAGTAGAAGAGTGGCATGATCTGATTTATAATTGAAGATGTTCACTCTGGTTATTCTTTGAGAATTCCCTATAGGGAAGCCAAATAGAAGCTAAAAGACCAGTTAGGAAGCTATTGCAGAAGACCTGCAAAACTAGTGTTGCAATGAAATTGGTAGGATTCAGGATGTACTCTGAAAGTGGTGGAGAGGTGATGTGTTAATAGATTGAATGTGGGGTACAAGATAAAGACAAGAATAAAAAATCAGTAAAAAAGTACAAAAGTCAAAGTACAAAAATCAGTTTGATTTGAGTAACTGGATAAATAGTGATGTCGTTTACTGAGAGCGCATGTGAGGAGACAGGAGCAAGGTTTTTTTTGGCGGGGGGGAATGTCCAATTTTACTTCAAACATATTAAACTGGAGATCCCTATTAGATTTCCGAATGGAGCTACTGAGTAAACAATTGGAAATATGAACCTGGGGCTCATACAAGGGACAATGAGAGGTATAAATTAAGGATTAATTAAGTTATAAATGGCATACATAGCCATGGGGTGGAGAGAAATCAATGTGGAAGCAAAGAGAAGCAGTTTAAAGACTGAGACCTCTAATCCTGAGGCATTCCAACTAATAAAGGTCAGAGAGGAGGAACATACAGCAAAATTTATTTAAAAAGAGTAGCCAGGAAATAGGAAGAATAAAACTCAAAAGTGAGGGGTCTTATAAAACAAACCAAAAAAAAAAAGCTTCAAGAAGGGGCTATAATCTCCATCATTCCTGTCATAAAACAGGTTAAGATAACTGGAAATTGACCATCGGACTTGGAAAATGGAGGATTAGACCATGGCAAGTCATCTTAGTGGAAGCTATAGGGATAGAGGCCTCCCTTTCTATGATCTGCTTTTTGTACCCACTGTTTTGTGGACACCATGGTTATTACCACCAAATCAATAGCTATTACCACTGAATTCTCCCTTTCTTATTTGGGCTTTCCTATTGAATTTGAGGTTGTGATGATTATTATCCCTTGTGTATCCATCTTGTGACAGATACTCAATCCCACTGGTTTCCGTAACACTATATTCCACGGTTTTGTTTTTATCTCTCTAATCATTTATTTAATTAGCTTCTCTTCCCCTTCATTCTACATGTTCTTTCAGTGATTGTATCCATTCTCACATTTAAACTACTGTCCAGGGCCGGGCGCAGTGGGTCACGTCTGTAATTCCAGCACTTTGGAAGGCCAAGGTGGGCAGATTGTTTGAGCTCAGGACCAGCCTGGGCAACATGGCGAAACCTCATCTCTACAAAAAATACAAAAATTAGCAGGGAGTGGTGGTGTGCACCAGCTACTCAGGAGGCTGAGGTAGGAAGATCTCTTGAGCCTGGGAGGCAGAGGTTGCAGTGAACTGAGGTCACACCACTGCACTCCAGCCTGGATGACAGAGTGAGACCCTGTCTCCAAAAAAAAGAAAAACTACCATCCACGTAATGATGACTTCCAAGTCTTTTATTTTTATTTTTTATTTTTTTATTTTTTAGAAACTGATGTTTATTTTCCATCAACCATTTTTCCATGTTGCTTAAGAGCCCATGCAAGAACAGCTTAAGACCATTCAGTGGTTGCTCCTACCCATTCAGTGGCCTGAGCAGTGGGAGCTGCAGACCAGTATTCCGTGGCAGGCTGAGTGCTCCATTGTTCAGTAGGAACTGCTGAATAGGCACAGAGGGCACCTGTATACCTTCAAACCAGTCTGCAACCTCAGGCTGAGTAGCAGTGAACTCAGGAGCTGGAGCAGACCATTCACCCTGAAATTCCTCCTTGGTCACTGCCTTTTCAGCAGCAGCCTGCTCTTCTTTTTCAATCTCTTCAGGATCTCTGTAGAAGCAGAGATCAGGCATGACCTCCCATGGGTGTTCACGGGAAATGGTGCCACGCATGCACAGTACTTCCCGAGCCAGCATCCACCACATCAAACCCACTCAGTGAGCTCCCTTGTTGTTGCACGGGATGGCAATGTCCACATAGCGCAGAGGAGAATCTGTGTTACACAGAGCGATGGTAGGTAGATTAACATAAGATGCCTCTGTGAGAGGCTGATGGTCAGCCCCTGGGGTCAGTAACCATAAGAAGCCATGGCTCCCAGAAGGCTGCCTGGATCTGGTTAGTGAAGGTTCCAGGAGTGAAGTGGCCAGCAATTGGAGTGGCTCCAGTGGCAGCAGCAAACTTCAGCACAGCCCTCTGGCCAGTATTCCTGGAGGATATAACACTGACATCAGCAGGGTTTTCAATGGCAACAATAGCACGAGCTGCCAGCAGAAGCTTCTCCCAGGTTCCCTTCAGATTTATGATGTAGATGCCATCACTTTTCCTTTTATAGATATACTGTTCCATCTGTAAGTCAAGATTGGTGCCACCTAAGTGGGTTCCTGCTGCAAGGAACTTAAGGACATCCTCCTCCTTCATTTGCAGGACATCAAGGGCTCCGGACATTGTGAAAGTTTCCCTTTGAGTTAACGACGGGAATCCAGAACAACGCCATATGGACCCCTCTGTAGGTAGCACGGAAAGGGACTTCCAAGTCTTTATTTCCAGCTCAGGCTTTAGACTCATGTACCTGATGGCCAATGGCACTTTTTTTTTTTTTTTTTACAGCTTTCTTTCTCCTTTTTTCTCTTTCTTTTTTCTTTCTCTTTCTTTTCTTTTTTCCTTCCTTTCTCTTTCCCTCCCTCCCTCCTTTCCTTTTTTCCCTCCTTTCTCTTTCTCTCTTTATTTCTTTCTTTTCCTTTCTCTCTCTCTCTTTCTCTCTAGACAGAGTCTCTGTCACCCAGGCTGCAGTGCAGTGGCACAATCTCGGCTCAGTGCAACGTCAGCCTCCCAGGTTCAAGCTGTTCTCCTGCCTCAGCCTCCCAAGTAGCTAGGATTACAAGCACCCGTCACCACACCCGGCTAATGTTTGTATTTTTAGTAGCAACAAGGTTTCACCATGCTGGCCAATCCGGTCTTGAACTCCTGACCTCAAGTGATCCACCCACCTCGGCCTCCCGAAGTGCTGGGATTACAGGCATAAGCCACCGCACCCAGGCTTTAACAGCTTTATTAAGACATATAATTCACATACAGTTCACTCATTTGAAGTATACAATTGGCCAGGCACAGTGACTCACTACTGTAATCCCAGCATTTTGGGAGGCTAAGGCAGGCAGATTGCTTGAGTCCAGAAGTTCGAGACCAGCCTGGGCAACATGATGAAACCCCATCTCTACAAAATAAAATACAAAAATTAGCTGGGTGTGGTGGCATGCACCTGTAAGTCCCAGCTACTTGGAAGGCTGAGGTGGGCGGATAGCTTGAACCCAGGAGGCAAAAGTTGCAGTGAGCTGAGATCACACCATTGCACTCCAGCCTGGGCAACAGAGGGAGAGGCTGTCGCAAAAAGAAACAAACAAATAAAAAGTATAAAATACACTCATTTAAAGTATATACTTCAATGGCATTTTTTGGGGAAAAAATGTATTCCTAAGTAAAAAAAAAAAAAAGTATACATTTCAATGGCTTTTTGTATACTCATAGATACATGTGACCATCACCACAGTCAATTTTAGAGTATTTACACCACCTCAAAAAGAAACCTAGTGCCTTTTAAGTTAATCCCCATTCCATCTTCCCATTCCCTCATCCAGAACCCTAAGAAACCATTCATCTATTTTCTGTGTCTATAGATTCCTGTGCTCTAGACTTCCATATGAATGGAATCATATAGTATGTGCTCTTTTGTGACTGGCTTCTTTAACTGAGCACAATATTTTCAAGGTTCATCCATGTTGTAGCATTAATCAGTACTTCATTTCACCTTATGGACAAATAATATTCCATAGTGTGGATGAGCCACATTTTATGTGTTCATCTGTTGATGAATATTTCAGTTGTTTCCACCTTTTGGCTATTATGAATAATGTTGCTATCAACATTAATATACAAGTTTCTGTGTGAACGTGTTTTTATTTCTCTTGGGTATATACCTAGGAATGAATGGAATTGCTGGGTCATATGGTTAACTCTATATTTAAACATCTGAGGAACTGCCAGGCTGTTTTCCCTTTTTTGACGGAGTCTTGCTCTGTTGCCCAGGCTGGAGTACGGTGGCGCCATCTCGGATCACTGCAAGCTCCGCCTCCCGGGTTCACGCCATTCTCCTGCCTCAGCCTCCCAGGTAGCTGGGACTACAGGCGCCTGCCACCACGCCCGGCTAATTTTTTGTATTTTTAGTAGAGATGGGGTTTCACCATGTTAGCCAGGATGGTCTCGATCTCCTGACCTCATGATCCGCCCTTCTTGGCCTCCCAAAGTGCTGGGATTACAGGCGTGAGCCACCGTGCCCGGCCTGCCAGGCTGTTTTCCAACGCAGTTGCACCATTTTACATTCACAGCAGCAGTGTATGAAAATTCCAATTTCTCCCCATCCTTGACAACACTTATCTCACTTTTTGATTCTAGTCATCCCAGTGGCTGTGAAGTGGTATCTCATTGTGGTTTTGATCTGCAATTCTCTGATGACTGATGATGTCGAGTATTTCTTCATGTGCTTATATAGGTCACTTTTATATCTTTTCTGGAGGAATGTCTATTCAGATCCTTTGCCCACTTTTAAATTGACTTTTCTTTAAAAAAAAAATTTTTTTTTTTAGTCAAAGTCTTGCTCTGTCACCCAGGCTGGAGTGCACTGGTGCGATCGTGGCTCACTGCAACCTCCGCCTCCTAAGTTCAAGCAATTCTCTTGCCTCAGCCTCCCGCGTAGCTGGGACTACAGGCATGCGCCACCACACCCAGCTAATTTTTGTAGAGACTGGGTTTCGCCATATTGGCCAGGTTGGTCTCAAACTCCTGACCTTAGGATATCTGCCCACCTTGGCCTCCCAAAGTGCTGGGATTACAGGCATGAGCCACCACATCCGGCCAAAAAACAATTTTTCAGGGAGCCACATCTCACTATGTTGCCCAGGTTGGAGTGCAGTGGTTATTCACAGGCACAATCATAGTACAACGCAGCCTTGAACTCCTGGCCTCAAGGGATCCTCCTGCATAGCTAGGACTACAAGCGCATGCCACCATGCCCAACAGATTTTCTTTGTTCTTTTTCGAGAGAGGTCTTATTCTGTCGTGAACACAGCTTATTGCAACCCTGACCTCCCGGGCTCAAGCAATCCTCCTGCCTCAGACTCCTGTGTAGCTGGGACCACAGGCACATGCCACCATGCCCGGCTAATTTTTTTTTTTTTTTTTTTTTAGAGACAAAGTCTCTTTGTTGTCCAGGCTGTTCTTGAACTCCTGAGCTCAAGCAATCCTCCTGCCTTGGCCTCCCAAAGTGCTGGGATACAGATGTGAGCCACCACACCCGGGCCAGATTGTCTTTTTTTTTTTTTTTTTTTTGAGATGGAGTTTCGCTCTTGTTGCCTGGGCTGGAGTGCAATGGTGCGATCTCGGCTCACTGCAACCTCTGCCTCCCAGGTTTAAGCGATTCTCCTGCCTTAGCCTCCCAAGTAGCTGGGATTACAGGCACCTGCCACCACATCCAGTTAATTTTTGTATTTTTAGTAGAGATGGGGTTTCACCACCTTGGCCACGCTGTCCTCAAACTCCTGACCTCAGGTGATCCACCCACCTCGGCCTCCCAAAGTGCTGGGATTACAGGCGTGAGCCACCATGCCCGGCCCAGACTGCCTTTTTATTATTAAGTATATATTCTAGATACAAGTCTCTTATCAGATATCAGATATGTGATTTGCAAATATTTTCTCCCTTTCTGCGGGTTGTGTTTCATCATGATGTCCCTTGAGGCACAAAACTTTTAAATTTTGATGCGTTCCAACTTATATTTTTGTTGTTGCTCATGCTTTTGGTGCCATATCTAAGGAGACTTTGCAAAACCCGAAGTCATGAAGATTTTACCCGTGTTGTCTTCTAAGAACTTTAGTTTTAGCTCTTTTACATCACTCATCAATTTTATCTTTTGTAAACAGTGTGAGGTAAAAATCGAACTTCAGTCCTTTGCATGTGGCTACCCAGTTGTCCCAGCACCATTTGTTGAAAAACTATTATTTCCATATGGGATGGTCTTGGCACCCTTGTCAAAAATCAATTGACTATAGATATATGAGTTTATTTCTGGAATCTTAATTCTATTACATTGATCACTACATCAATTGTGCCAGTTCCACGTTGTCTTTTTTCTTTTTTTTAGGACAGGGTCTCACTTTATTGCCCAGGCTGGAGTGCAGTGGTGTGATCTTGGCTCACTGCAGACTCAACCTCCTAGACTCAAGTGATCCTCCCACCTCAGCCTCCCAAATAGCTGGGACCTTGCCTGGCTAATTTTTAAAAATGTATTTTATGTAGAGACAAGATCTCACTATGTTGCCCAGGGTAATCTTGAACTCCAGGGCTCAAGGGATCCTCCCACTTTGGCATCTATAAGTGATGGGATTACAGGCATGAGCCACTGCACCTACCCTTAAATTTTTTGTAGAGATGGGGTCTCACTGTGTTGCCCAGGCTGGAGGATTTTTTGTATGCAAGATAATGCCATCTGTGAATATGGTTTTATCTCTTCCTTTCCAGTCTGGATGCCTTTTCTTTCTCTCGCCTGATTGCTCTGGCTAGAACCTTCAGCACAATGCCAACTTGAAGTGGCAAGAGTGAATATCCTTGTGTTCCTGATATTGGAGGAAAAGTATCCAGTCTTTCACCATTAAGCTATGATGTTGGCTATAGGTTACTCATAGGTGCACTTTTATCAAGTTGACCAAGTCCCTGTCTATTCCTGCCAATGGCACCTTAACATTCCAAAGCTGAACTCACTTTTGCTCTAGCTTCTGTCAAACCCAAACTGTTCTGATTCTTGATATTTCTTAGTTGGCACCACTATTAACCTGTCTTAGGTTGGATTCTCTAAAAGCAGAGCCTGAGAAAGTGATTCTGCACAAATGGTTTATTGAGGGAGTGCTCTCAAGTAAAACCTGTAATAAAGTGAGGGAAGCAATATAGGACAGGAGGGGAAGGTTAGCCAAAGTTATAGATTCAGATGGTAAGTTTAGCCTCCACTAGGAACTCTGGAACATAAATGGCACCACATTTGTCCTACCTTGAGGAAAGGGGGAGGAATTTTGGAATTTTTTTTTTTTTTCTGAGATGCAATCTCGCTCTGTCGCCCAGGCTGGAGTGCAGTGATGCGATCTCGGCTCACTGCAACCTCCGCCTCCCAGGTCAGGATAAATTTTTGCCTTTTCCAAAATGGAAAAGGTTCAGTGTAATCAACTCACCATCAAGTGTCTGGTTGTTCTCCTTGAGTAGTACTGAACTGGGGGCTCAGCATTGGTCTGTTGCTGACAGGTTGAACACTCAGCAATAGCAGTAGTTAGGTCAGCTTTGGGTGAGAGGAGTCCATGTTTCTAGGTCAATGAGTAGCCTCCATCTCTGCCACCATGGTGATTCTACTCATGAGTACACTGTGCAAGCACTGGGACAGCTGAGGTAGTCCTGATAAATTCACCCTGTCCAACATGGTGAAACCCCATCTCTACTAAAAATACAAAAATTAGCCGGGTGTGGTGGCAGGCGCCTGTAATCCCAGCTACTCGGGAGGCTGAGGCAGGAGAATCACTTGAACCTGGGAGGCGGAGGTTGCAGTGAGCTGAGATCTCACCATTGCACTCCAGCCTGGGTGACAGGAGCGAGACTGTCTCAAAAAAAAAAAAAAAAAATCATCCTGTCCATCTGGTTACTTAGTCCTTTGCTGGCAATGCTTTAATAGGCTACACTCTCACTGACCCATCCAAATGCTCTTCATCCAACCTTGTCACCCATTTTTAAATCTTGTTTCTTCCAGGCCCCTGACCAGCAAAGCCACTGACCATGAGTTCTTGTATAACTTTATCTCCAGTCACTTTTTTTTTTTCCTCAAAGGAAATGATCAAGTACATTGCCTGAAGCCATACACACTAAGATTTCCCTCATCACTGTCTTTCAGAACCACCCAAGTCTCAGTGAGAGGCTGTAGTCCATCTGGCTTACCCCAACATAACAGGGCAGTCTACCCATAAACCAGGCCTAGATTTTTCCCTCCTTTGTGAGGTGGTTGAAGGAATTTCTGTATGGCCAGAGGCATGAGCTAAGAAAAAGGAATCAGTGCACCAGAGGTAGGTGACAGGGGAGTGCTGGGGCCCCTTGCTCAATTTAACTTACTTGTGCCACTAAGTTTGCTTGGGCTTCTTCCCAAATGTACCATTTCCACTGTAAGATGGCTTGCTGCTATATACACCCAACCTCATGACTTGGAGGGTCTAATGATAACCAGCTGGTTATATGGGCAACTGGTCACACGGTCACTTGATATCTCATGGTCAGGCACTGAGTCTCTTCCAGGGCCTAACAGCAAACCAGAAAATGCATTTCAAATGGTAAAACTTTTTCTGCTAAAAATGGCATCACCTTACTCCAGAATCCTGGAGGTCTGGGCTGGAACCGTCCCTCCTACTGGGTATTATCAAAGAATCTAGTCTCTTTTCCTACCACAGATACCTCTAATACAATGGAATTTTCCAGGTGATATGGCCCCCCTGGACCTGTTGCAGAGCTGTTTCTTGCATCCCCAAGTGCAGAATATGCTGCCTCCAAAACCGTAAGAGGCCTGAAATAACCTGTACTTTACTTTAGAGGTGATGTTCCAGAATGCTTCAGACCACTGAACTAAAAATTTCACCAATGTCGCAGGCCCCTGCATCTTTGCAGCATTTATCCCCCATCACCTTGAGTATATATGTCTAACCAAGGAATCCAGAGTACTTGACACTGCTTAGTTGTTGGGTCTGATTAACATATCCTTAATACCTGATTTGTATAACTTTTTTTTTTTTTTAAGATGGAGTCTCACTCTGTCGTCCAAGCTGGAGTGCAATGGCACAATCTCAGCTCACTGCAACCTCCACCTCCCAGGTTCAAGTGATTCTCCTGCCTCAGCCTCCCAAGTAACTGGGACTACAGGCATGCGCCACCATGCCCAACTAATTTTTGTATTTTTAGTAGAGACAGGGTTTCACCATGTTGGCCAGGTTGGTCTCAAACTCCTGACCTCAGGTGATCCACCCGCCTCAGCCTCCCAAAGTGCTGGGATTACAGGTGTGAGCCACCACGCCAGGCCAGATATTAAGTATTTTCAATTTTGCAGGCCATATGGTCTGTGTTGCAACTACTACATTCAGCCATTGTAGCACAAAAGCATCCACAGACAATATGTAAATAAATGATAGTTGCATGTTAATAAAACTTTATTTGCAAAAACAGGTAATGAACCAGATTTGGCCTGTGGGCTGTAGTTTGCTGATCCCTGTGCTAGATTAGCAGCTATATACCTATAAAAGAGGCTGTTACTTTGTCTAGTAAAGAAAGCATACCCAACACAGCACTGCAATTGGACTACTACTTGCTTAAGTTTGTAGTATTCCATTGTTATTCACCATAGGCCATCTAGTTTTTGCACAGGTCAAACAGCTGAAACTGAATGTGACTATAATGGAGACAACACCTCTACAACCTTTAAGTCTTTAAGGGTTGAACTAATCTCTGCCATTTTCCCCAGAATACAGTATATTTACTATCTTGGCAGAGGTGGGGATGCAGTTTCAGGAGCATGGCCTTTCTGCCAAAACTGCTAAACATATTCATTCTGATTATACATTTGGAAATGGGGGAAATGATCATAATGTGGGTTTTTGGACCCACTGTGAGAGCAGGGTTGGGGGTGTTGAGAGGGGAAGACACTGTGGTGGTACTTCAGGTTCCTGGGTATCAATGCCAACTCAGACCCTGTAACCCTGTTTCCCAAGTCAAAAACTTCTGCATATTCTTTTCCCAGTGTTTGGTTGTGATATTGTAAAATATGTATTTGGTCTTTAACCCCTTTTCCTGGAATATAACTTCTAAAATCCTTAAAATCTTCAAAGTGATGTCTTATTGTATTCCAATGAGTTGACTGATGGTTGGCATCCCCTAGGTAGCTTCAGGTTCAGGGTCAGTCAACAAAAAGACCAAAGCAGTATTAGAGGGTTGGAACTTTCAACCCCACCCCCAAACCTCTAGGGAGGACAGAGGGGCTGAATTTTAAATTAATCACCAATGGCCAATGGTTCAGCTAATCATGCCTATATATAAAGCCTCCATAAAAACCCAAAAAGACAAGATCTAGACAGCTTCCAAGATGTCAAACACATGAGGGTTTATAGAATGAGGGGTCCCCAACACCTGGGCCACGAACCAGTACCAGTCCATGGCTTGTTAGGAACTGGGCCTCACAGCAGGAGGTGAGTGGCAGGTGGGCCAGCAATACCGCCTAAGCTCCACCTCCTGTCAGATCAGCAGTGGCACTAGATTCTCAGAGGAGTGCAAACCCTATTGTGAACTGCACATGCGAGGGATCTAGGTTGTGTGCCCCTTATGAGAATCTAGCTAATGCCTGATGATCCGAGGTAGAACAGTTTCATCCCAAAACCATCCCCCCACCCCCCTCTGTGGAAAACTTGTCTTCTATGAAACTGGTCCCTGGTGCCAAGAATGTTGGGGACCGCTGTCCTAAATGGTGGCATGCCCAGAGAAGGAATGGAAGCTCTGCAACCTTGCCTTATACATCTTTTCATCTTTTTTTTTTTGAGAGATGGAGTCTTGCTCTGTCTGTTGCCCAGGCTGGAGTACAGTGGCACAGTCTCAGCTCACTGCAACCTCCGCCTCCCCAGTTCAAGCAATTCTCCTTCCTCAGCTTCCCAAGTAGCTGGGACTACAGGCATGCACCACCACACCCAGCTAAATTTTGTATTTTTTTAATAGAGACGGGGTTTCACTATGTTCGCCAGGCTGGTCTCGAACTCCTGACCTTAGGTGATCCACCCACCTCGGCCTCCCAAAGTGTTGGGATTACAAGCGTGAGCCACTGGGTCCAGCCATGTTTTCATCTATATTCATTGTAATATCCTTTAAATAAACTGAAATATGTAAGTAAGTGTTTCCCCAAGTTTTGTGGGCCACTCTAACAAATTAACCAAACCCAAGGAGCTGGCTGTAGACACCCTGATTTATAGCACAGGCAAAATAACCCAGGAATTGCAATTGACATCAGAAGTTGGGGGGGAGAGTCTCAGTGATTGATTGGTCAACCTGTGGGATCTGACACTGTCTCCAGGTAGACAGTGTCAGAATTAAAGTAAATTAGAGGATATCCAGCTGTTATCCACTGCAGAATTGCTTGCTTGTTGAGGGGAGGGAATTCCACACGTGATTACAGAAGAGTTCTGTGTCACTCATTGTGGTGTGAGAACAGAGGATGAACAGTGCTTTTCCACTCAATGATTAACTGATAAATGTCTCTTTCCATTGATAGTTTATGAGTCTAAGAACTATCTCAGGCTTAAAAACTGGACAAGAAATGGGGACTTTTCTTTGAAGTTTCTGACTTCAGCCTTCTGTTCAACCATTCTTGATCTCCCTTATATATAAGACAATACTCTTCTTGGTTGCCCATCTATCCTGCTCCTAGGACCACTCACATTCCGTTAGCCATCTCCACTTTGACCTTGCTACCCTTAAGGAAATTTACTCACCTTGCTTCTGAGAGTTAAGTGTTGCCACCTGGCCTCTGCTATGTCAGGATCCTATCATTCCCCCACTGCTACTAGGAAAACAGTTTCTTTTACATCTTGTATCAGCTTCGATCTAGAGAGACAGCCACTTCTAAATTTCTCAAAGATGCTGGTAACCCTTCATCAGTGCCTTTCCCATTGTCTTTATTAAAAAATAATTCCCAGGTCTTTCTGGGGTAGTCAGCTGGTGGGTTTACCAGTGTTATATAACATTCATTCTTGCATACCCATTTCCTCTAAGTCTTTTGGTCCTTTTTTGTATGGTCTGCCGTCTCCACGTCATTCAATATGGGCCAATGTTTTCTCCTAGCTCCCCAAAGCCATCTTAACATCATATTATAACTGCCTCATGGGGCTTTGACAAGACCTTCCAGAGTCACAGGAAAATGTCCCAATTATCAAAAAGTCTGTATTAATTCAATTCTTAATTCATGAAGCCACCCATACAATCACAAATTTATCTAACACATTTAATTTTGGAACAAAGGAGCAACTCCTTTAAAGTTTGAGAGTCGCATAAATATTTCATATACAGCTTAAACCTAAGCTTTGTAACGATTATTTTTGAGCAGCAGAAAAGGAAGGCTAGAGAAATGCTAGAGATGTCCTTACTAGTGACACATTCTTGCTGAAGAACAAGTTCTCTGGAAGTGAAACTCAAATAGGAGAGAACAAGAGATACAGGTAGGTATCAGTTCTGCTAGGGTCTTCAGAGAGACCGAGGGCCCCAAAACAGTGCTACTCAAAGATGATCTGCAGACTTGTGCTGGTCAGTGAACACCTTTTTTTTTTTTTCACCAGTCTGTGACATGGTGAATTAGAAATTGAGAGTGTTTAAAAACTTTTTAGCATTTCAATGTTGCTGTGATATCCAAGTACATGATCAATGGACTTAACCTACAGAACAGTCTGGCCAGTTTGGGTGCTGTCAAACTTGCCGGGTCGGCAGCACACAGTGTGAACTCCATACCTGTCATGGGCAATAGGAATGCATATTGATAAGTGAAGGACTGGAAAACAAAAAACCTGGTCCTTTACCATACATAGTTTGAGAAAGACTGCCCTAGAGTACCATAACTCCACCACAAGTCCTGGAATAATTCCAAAAGTTTTTGGAACAAAGTGTGACCTGAGGTCAACCTGCTCACATTCAATCAAAATCAAAATAAAAATGAGTGCCTTGGGAACAAAGATAAAGTGGACTAGGGCATCTATTTAGATTCCTGGAGTAAGCCCTGGCTAGGCTAGCAGAAGTGAGAATCTGTAAAAGAAAACTGGTAGGACAGAAGGCACAAGGTTCATAGAGAAGGGCTCTTTTGTTCTTCCCTCCTCCTCTCTATCCTTGTCCAGTTTTTGGCTGGAGCTTTAAGGAGAAAATAGTGACACTGAAGCCCCATGACTATATCACAAGTATACCTGTATTTTTTCCATCTCTGGCAGAACAGAGACGTTTTACATTCAGATCTGGGCTCTTCCATGCTCTGGTAAGGTATAGGAGTTGGAATTTCCCAAATAGCCTGAGACCTTGAGAACATTTCCTTCCTCACCAATACCATAAAACATGTAAGGTCTTCAAGGGGTGAAAAGTTTTAACCTCGGGGCAAGTGACATGTCAGAAGCTCAAAGCGACTCATAATGCATGTGAATTTGCTTTGGAGAGACTTATCTTCTGAGTGAACCAGGACAGCCAGCTGAGCTGACCAGAGTACCTACCAACATATGTCAGCCAAGGTCCGTAGACCCACTGGGAGCCACAGAAAAAAAGCCACGTCAGCTTAAAGAAAAATAATTTAGAAAACATAACAATATATTACTAACATTAATAACAATAATGTAAAAGGTTAAAATATAATACCACTTGAAGGGCTTTCTACATTGAAATACTCAAGGGAACATGAGGAAAGATGGCCATCCAGTCTCCTTTGCCAACTGAGGTGCAGACTGAGTTGTGGAAGGTGGGTGTTGATGGAACCCAGCATTACAATATTGTGTAGAACTAGTCTCCTAATATACCTCACTCTGCAACTTACGGAAGCTGAGGAAGATCAGAAAAAGACCACACTCCTCACTCAGAATATTTATTATATTCTGCCCCATGGGGCCTTGCAGGAAAAGGGACCCAAGCTATACCCCTACTCCTTTTCCAAGCTACTTTCCTGAACCAAGGGACAGGATTCTAAGAGAATCATGTATCTCAAATAAGCCAGAATGTATCTGGGGAAGAATAGCCATTAATTTCCTAGACCTGACACTGGGTTTATTTGTGTCTGCCAGGAAGACGGGGAGTCAGTGAGAATCGTAAATGGACTAGATGAGGGGAAATAGGATGGGCCCTTCTTTATCACAGCTTGAGCTCAAAAAGGTTGGGATAAACAGGTGTTTAAAAAAGAGAGGAGGTAAAAGGGAGGATGGGCAGGGGATAGAGGAAGGTCAGGGGCTGGGTTCACCCATATCACACAGCATTGTAGGAAGAAGCAGGGTAACCATTTGAGTTCTCAGCCTGGAACAGGGAGGTGAGGGCTCAGCACCTAGAGAGAGGAGAATCCTAAGGCCTCTCTTTCAACTCTATTGTGATTAGATGCAAAAGCCCTTTCCCTTTAGAGAATTCAGAATGGTCTGTCTGAAGGCAAGAGAGCATAGTGACAGACCTGTAGCCCCAGCCCAGGCTGTTTCTCCCCATTCTCAAAGGCTCTGCCAGGAGAACTATAGAAATACAGAGTCCCAGGTCTCTGCCCCTCCTCCCCAGATCCAAGAGAGGGAGTAGAGACAAGGCACAAAGACCCTGGACGTAAAGGTGAACATCAGTGTGGCCACATATAACATTATTTTGAGAAAGGAAAGAAAGTGCATGCCCCAAAAGGGATGCCTTCCTTCACCTTGCAGGTAGCTGGAACTTTGATAGTGGCAGAAACCACAATGGAGTAGGGTTCACAGAAATGGCCTGTGAAACAGACCCTATTCCTAGAGAGACAGAGGAAAAACCTCAGCTGGTATGGCACAATCTTGAATGGGATGACAGAGGGCAGCGGGCAGACTTCTCCCGCAGGTGACACTCCTGCCTCAGGTCCCAATGGTTCTGCTGACTCCAGATGTTCCCCATAGCTGGGACTCAGAGAGGAAAACGTGTTGTGTTTCACATGATCAGACACTGTTCACCACTGGCACCTGGTGGGCCCGAAAGATTGAGGGCATCCAGGTCAAAGTTGAGGCCAGGAGGCTGGGGAAGAGATGAAGGGACTCAGATAGTTGCTCATTTTTTAGGACAGACGTGAAGATCCATCCCCAGTAGCCACAATTTTCACCTTAGGTGGAATCCTGAGAGGTTAAAGAATTCTGGAAATTGGGGACTCAAATTAAAATCTGGAAAAATAAGACATACTCACCATCTCTCCAGCCAGCTCTTTTGGAGGATGGCCTAAATCTTGTAGCTAGAAAATAAGGAAAATGGAACATGAAATAGAGAAAAGCCCAGAAAACAACAGAGGATCCAGAAGAGGAATCTAATGAATGATCTCTCTATTTCTTCTGAGAGAGATCACAAGAGAGGATCCCTCCTCCACCTAGGTCTAGCAGTATTGCATCCTTCCCAGATACTTCCTTCACTGAACACCTAAGTGGACAGCACCAGTGGGCAGAAGGCAAGAGGCCTTACCTGCTGCATAAGATCCAGCACCATCTCAAAACGAGCCTTTTGAGTGGTTTCACTGTCTGTGGGGGTCTCTGCCTCAAACTGCTCACATATTTTGCACATGACGCTGTGCTGCTCCTGATATTTTTCAAACTGCTCTGGAGGTAGAGATTCCCGATGACTCTGCAACCATTCTGGATACTAAGAAAAGAGAGAATGGGTGGAAAAGAATTAAGTGAACAATGGATATGGATGGGTAATCAGAACAATGTGATTAAAATGTGAAAGGGAAAGGGACGTAGAAAAACGAAAAGCTAAATAAGTAAGTTCATCATGAAAAGCGGCACTGACTCCAACCAGATCACCTGGCCATGTTAGCATTTATGGTCACCAGAGATTGGTAAGCTTCTGTAAAGGGCCAGACAGTGAATATTTTAGGCTTCAAGGGCCACATATGGTCTCTATTGTGTTTTTTTTTTCTTTTTTTTCGAGACAGAGTTTTACTCTGTCACCCAGGCTGGAGTGTGATGGTGTGATCACCACTCACTGCAGCCTCGATCTCCCCAGGCTCAAGCAATCCTCCCACCTGAGCCTCCCCAAGTAGCTGGGTCTACAAGTGTGCACCACTGTGACTGGCTAATTTTTTTGTATTTTGTAGAGACAGGGTTTCATCATGTTGCTCAAGCTGGTCTTAAACTCCTGGGCTCAAGCAATCTGTCCACCGTGGCCTCCCAAAGCGCTGGGACTATAGGAGTGAGCCACTACGCTCGGCTATTGCACATTTTCTTTGTAGTTTTTTTCAAATGACCTTAAAAATGTAAAAACCATTATTTGCTAGAGAGTTGGATTTGTCCCACCCAGGTCTTGGCCTGCTGACTCGTGGTCTGTACTATTCATTACACACTTACCCACATTTCCCCATGTCACTGAAAAGCTTCTATTCCTGTATTTTATCTCTCCAGTAAAACTATACACTCTTTAGCCAGGTGTGGTGGCTCACACTTGTAATCCCAGCATTTTGGGAGGCTGAGGTGGGAGGATCACTTGAGCTCAGGAGTTTGAGACCAGCCTGAGCAATATAGTGAGAGCTCAACTCTACAAAAAATTTTGAAAACATTGGCCAAGCATGGTGGCACACACCTGTAGTCCCAGCCACTCAGGAGGCTGAGATGGGAGAAACACTTGAGCCTGGGATGGGGAGGCTGTGGTGAGCCAAGATCGTGCCACTGTGCTCCAACTGGAGCTAGACCCTGTCTCAAAACAAAATGATACAACCACACATATAAGCTCTTTTATGGCAGGGACCATCATTTAAACTACGCTTACACTGTTCACATCACAAAGCCAGTAAGTAAATCCTCAGTTAATTCTTTTTCTTTTTCAGATGGAGTCTTGCTCTGTCACCCAGGCCGGAGTACAGTGGCACAATCTCAGCTCACTGCAACCTCTGCCTCCCAGGTTCAAGTGATTCTCCTGCTGCCTCCTGAGTAGTTGCGATCACAGGCGTGAGCCACTACGCCAGGATAATTTTTGTATTTTTACTACAGACGGGGTTTCACCATGTTGGCCAGGCTGGTCTCGAACTCCTGACCTCAGGTGATCCACCCGCCTCGGCCTCCCAAGGTGCTGGGATTACAGGCATGAGCCACCATGCCCAGCCAAATTCTTGCTGGAGAAATGAAGTCAGAAATGCAAGATTGATCAGACAACAATCCCAGAGTCTTGAACCAGTTTATAGAAAACTAGAACTGAAGGATTTCCTCTTAGACCCCAAACGTTATACCTCTTATACCCCAACATACCGTGTGACAGCTTTATTCTCTCAGAGACACAACTCTCCCCAACCCCCAACTCTCCCTGCCTCAAATAAATAAAGAAGGAAAAAAAGCACACTCGAGTTACTCTTTCTGCAGGCTCTGAGTAGACAAAATAGCCCACATCAGTTGATGTGATGGAAAATGAAGAGAAAAAGCAGAAATGGAAGTTCACAAACCTTTTCTGTGATCTCCTTCAGTGATGGGTACAGCACATCCTTGGAGAGTAGGTTCTGCATAATACTCTGCATGATGGGGAGGATGTTCCCTTCCCCATCCCCTTCGTCCATGCCTAGCCCCTCCATGGCCTTGGTCAGCTCTTCTTCCGACATGCTGGAGTTCTAGATAGGACAAGTAAGAGGTGAGCAGGTATACTACCTTCTTGGGATGCTCACCACTCTCTCAGGTGACAAAGATAAACTATCTAAACTTGCCTGTAACAAACAATAAGACAGCAACAGACTTGGGATGATACTCAAAGCATCTGTCTTTTGAGACTCTGCTGGAGAAATGTCTGGGAGTGGACCCCTTGTGGGCCCCTACTACTTTCTCCTCACCTGAAGGTCAGTGGCATTTTTGGCTAATCCACTTAGTGTTTCCTTTAGGCAAGAAGTGAATTCTTGTTGGGAGGTCATATCACTGCCTAGGAGAGATTAAAAAAGCCAGCGTCATTTAGGAGTTTGTTTCCTTGCCTAGACTGAACTGGTTAACAGCTTGGATATGAAGCATTTACTAGTGAATCATTATCACTCCCAATCTTGGAAAACCCTATGGTTATCTTCATAGTCTTTTCATAAATCTATTTAGTACACGGACTCTGCATCAGTTTATTCTCCATGATGATACCCACAATAACACTGTGACCTTTCAAATGGTCAGTTTTGAATAATGTTTTCTATTACTTTCCAACCTATCTCACCCCTTTTCATTAACAGGGATTCCCATCCTTTCTCTCATTGCCTTTACCCGTTCCTTGGCTGTGACATCATGATTGCTATCAACTTCACTAAGAATTCTGGTGTTTTCAGGCAACAAAGACTTAAGAGTCTGTTCAGATATTTCCATGTATCTGGGGTCTCCTCACCCACTCTCCCTGCAGCCTCTGAGAGCTTTTGGAACTGCTCCACCAGGTGGGGTTCTTCCTCAGCCAACTCCTTCATTGCCTTCTCGAACTCCGCAGTGGCTTGGGAAGCCAGTTCACTGTCGAATAGTTCCTGGAAAAACTTCTCTTGGGAAGCGAAGAGGGCATCCTGCGGGGGAAGGATGGCTGAAATGCGTCTCTTACTTAGGACTACACTGCACCTGGCCTCTGATAGAAGCCACAGGCAGTGGCTATGGGAAATGCACCTCCCTCCTACCCAATTCCACTGGACATTCTAACTACTGCTCCTAATGAGGATAGCAAAAAAGGTATCTAGTCATTGAAGGAGGGTATGGGATGGCATACCAATCCAACCATTTAAACCTACTATTTTTTCAAGGAACTCTGAGATTCCCCCACTCAACCTCAAGTCCTTATTTCACAAGGACTGAGGCTGGCAAGAGCACTCACCAATGTGAGGCCAAGGTACCCTCCCACATTCCCCTCTGGCCCATAGGGGCCTGCCCAACCTCTGCTCAGGGCTGCATGCCCATCCCCTCCCCATCCCTTAAGGGGGTGGAATTTATACTTTGGCAGTGTCTCCTGGCGATCTCTTCTGGGGCCCCGAAGCATCAGGGGCCGTGGTGGTAGAAGGGGGTGCTGGGGAGGGTTTGGCTTTATCGAAATCATCAAGAGCACCTTCAGAGACAAGAGACATGGTGTGTGTGTTGGCGACAGATGAGAATGCAAGCAAGGCTGGGTGGTTTCTGGGCAAAGCATTAGGAATATGATTTTTCAAATTGCCAACTTTCCTCAATTTTCCTCCTTGAGTCCCCCACCTCCCCAGACCACCCTCAATGAGCCTCCTACTTCCTTCTGGATTACCTAATTTATTGTGAGCAAAGGCAAAGAAATCCCTTAAGGTGGAACAAATGTCCATCTCAGAGCTGGGAGGAGAGGATTAAAAAGTTCTGCAGAGACATCTCCATCTATAGTGTCTCCCTTGCCACACCCTAACGATTCCCTAGAAATCCCATACAAATACCCAACAGTAGTAGAGAACACAGATGTCCTCATCCCTCTGAACTCACTCTGGAGCTCTAAAAGGAATAACTTGGTGAGAAAGCACAGGACATCCCACCCAGCTTCCTGTTGGTACTGGTACCAGCACAGACTGAGGGACTACATACCAGACTCCATGGTACGGCATTAAACTATCTTCTCTTATTCTCCAGTTTAGTGCTCCCCAACAACCTTCTAGAGCTCCCTTTGGCCTGATCTCTGCAGATAACCGTACACTAATTTACACAGTCACTTGGCACTCCTCAGGGTTTCTGTTCATTTTTCTGCCTGCCCACATCTCCGTGATTGAGCAAGCGATTACAAATTCACCTCTGCCCTGAAAAGCCTGTGTCCTCACCACCATTCTGTTCGCCAGGCCTAGGGAGAGAGCACTGGCCCTACTCTGGGCAGGAAGTCAACAGGGGAGTGGAGAGTAATGCTAAGAAAACATCCCCCGTCTTTCAGGAGGGTGAACTGCTTTCCCCTGAAATCGCCACATCCTCAGTTTCTCAAAATAAGGGAAAGGAGTCCGCTTGAGCTACTGACAAGATGAAAGAACTGTTAAGGGGCCTAACGAGAGAAAGAGAAAAGGACTAGGAGGAGAAAAGTGTCTTTCGTGTTAAGGAAGACAGGACGAGGCACACAAGGACCGGCCACGAGCTTGCTAGGAGTTAATGTAAGCAATCAGTGAGTGCGTAGTTCGCTACCCAGCAAGAACCAAATGCTGCTGCTGCTGCTACTGCTGCTGAAGTCGAACTTTAAGAACTCAGTAACCTAAAGAGGAGTTTGAAGAGGTATCATGAAACGCCGTCCTGCGGAAACATCCACCATCCGGACCACTGAGGGACCCCAGGTGAGCTCCCCAGCTCCAGTCGCCGGGGTGGGGCAGGATGACCCAGAGATTTTTGGGGGGCTCGGGGGTCAGACTCTCCGCCCCCATTTAACCTTTGGAGAGCCTCTCCTGCCCGTCCCTAATATCTCAGGTTCACTTAACCCCCAGAATGGGTCCTCACACGTGCCCTCTTCGGGCCTTTCCCACTATGGGCTCTTACTTTCCAGAAGCTCCTCCAATTCCCTGTCCGCTTCGGCCCCGACACTACAGCCTTCCTCAGCGGCGGCCATCTTGCTACCTCCGACTTGCCGTAGGAGGCGGGACCTCCTCGGTGCCGACACGCCCTCCACCCCTTCGCTCCCGCCCTCTTCTGCCTCGGGTAACCAATGGTATTGTTGACCAGTGCGGAACCGCCATTTTTAAAGGGCCAGGAAGCTTTGAGTGTTTGTGTTTTGGGTATTTTTCCCTTTTCTCCTGTGAAACAGAATTAGGGATAAGATAGGGTTATTTTCTGTCTGGTTTTAGAGGCCCGGACTCCTTTCTTTCAACTTCCCAAATTACCTGGCGAAGCTCTTTCATTATTTTTTCCTGAGCTGTGAGTAGGCCAGATTGAGACAAACTGCCTACAAATAACCAGAATCTAAACATATATAATTGATATGACAATTATGGCACATAACATACTACTTTCTCTCACTTCATTTTTTTTTTTTTATTTTTTTTTGAGAAGGAATCTTGCTCTGTCGCCTACGCTGGAATGCAGTGGCGCCATCTCGGCTCACTGCAGCCTTGGCCTCCCGGGTTCAAGCGATTCTTCCTGCCTCAGCCTCCCGTGTAGCTGGGATGACAGGCGCGCGACACCACGTCCGACTAATTTTTGTAGAGACGGGGTTTTAACATGTTGGCCAGGCTGGTTGGCCAGGCTGGTCTCGAACTCCGGACCTCAGCTGATCCGCCCACCTCGGCCTCCCGAAGTGCTGGGATTACAGGCGTGAGCCACTGCGCCCGGCTTCACTTCATTGTTTCCCTCAAATATTATCTTTTCTGAAACGCTTTCCTTGGCCATTCCCGTTCCTTTTCTTCCTAACACTGAACAGTATCTGACATACTATCTACCGTACTTTTTTATTCTCCGCTCCCCACCCTGCAGAATTTAAACACCATGAACGCAAAGATTTTCGTCTGTTGTCTTCACTGCTGTAAAGCCCAACTCCCAGGCTAGGGTTTAAAACTTAGTAGGCATTCATTGGCCACTCTTTGCTCTCGCAGTCCCTAATCAGGCACATCTGTCTGCCCAATCTAGTGGCATCTCTCATTTCCTATTATCTATTAGAACTGTTTGATTAAAGGACACAGGGCCGGCCAGGAACTTAGAACTCCATGTTATTAAGAGAGCCTCTGGTACCTTGGACTGAGCAGGGCAATTCGAATGCAGTAGTAATAGACTTACTTTCCCTGAACAATCTCCTTTTCTCCACACAGAACCCAACCTCCAACTGAGTGAACACGGGGAATGCTCAGATAGAGGTAACTCTAGACGTCCCTTTCCTCCTTTGGAATTGTTCTATTCAGATGTCAGAATGTAGCAACTGTTTCACATACAAATCTGTTTTCGCACTTAGAGAGCACCTATTATTAAGGTCTTGTTCTGGGCACAGTGAGGACAGAGAGATAAATCAGGACCACCCCCTGCTGTAAGGTAGCTAAGTGGGGGTGAGCCGGAGGTATGATGAGATATACACACAGTATGATACAAGGTAAGAATTTTAAATGAAAAAAAATCCTGTGTTAAGTCACCTCATCACTTTCATTCTTAGCTTCCTAAACACACATTTGAGTACTGCATCAAGCACCAGATCAAGCACTTACTATGTCCTTCACAGATAGGGCACAGACTTGTAAAATCATATCTGCAAAACCTGTTTTCTTCCAACCACAAGTAGTGTGTTTTGGGATCAAAATATTATGAACTGTGAGTTAGAAAGCCTAAATTCCAGCCCCAATTCTGCCACTAATCACTTTTGAAGTCCTTTACAATTCTAAACTTCTGTAATCAAATCCTTTCCTGATAAACCTGTTTTCCAACACCTGCAACATAATTTATTCCAGACTTTCTCATTCAAACTGCTTACACGTGTATCTCCAATATGGCTATAGTTGTAACAAGCACGTCAAAAAAAGAAAACTTGTCTATCAACAGGCATCTCTATTGGTTTTATTTTTTGAGACAGAGTTTCACTGTTGCCCAGGCTGGAGTGCAGTGGTGCAATTTTGGCTCACTGCAGCCTCCACCTCCCGGGTTCAAGTGATTCTCCTGTCTCAGCCACCTGAGTAGCTGGGTCTGCAGGCTCGCGCCACCATGCCCAACTAATTTTTGTATTTTTAGTAGAGACAGTGTTTCACCATATTGGCCAGGCTGGTCTTTAACTCCTGACCTCAAGTGATATGCCCACCTTGGCCTCCCAAAGTACTGGGATTATAGATGTGAGCCACTACACTTGGTCAATTGGCTTTAAACTAATGTAATATAAGCATGTTAATTAAAAGATAATAGATGATAATTAAAATGGAGTCAAAAACAAGCATGATTCTTTCTTTGCATTATTTCTTAAACTTCTTTCTGCTTTTCTATTTTTACTCCTAATATTCCTAACATCTCATCTCAGTATTTACTGACCTACTGACTGCTCCTTCTGCCCTTCTAATGTATAGCGAATACTGTTGAATAACAGTATTTTATAACGCTTTCATATCACTCTGTTCCTTAAGGATTTAATGGTTCTCCACAGTTTATCGAACAAATTCTAATTCTTGCCTGGGAGTCACAATTATTTCACATCTTGTATTTTTAGTAGAGACAGGGTTTCACCATGTTAGCCAGGATGGTCTCGATCTCCTGACCTCGTGTTCCGCCTGCCTTGGCCTCCCAAAGTGCTGGGATTACAGGCGTGAGCCACCACGCCCGGCCTTTTTTTTTTTTTAAGACAAAGTCTTGCTCTTGTCCCCTAGGCTGGAGTGCAATGGTGTGATCTCAGTTCACTGCAACCTCCGCCTCCCGGGTTCAAGCAATTCTCCTGCCTCAGCCTCCTGAGTAGCTGGGATTACAGGTGCCTGCCACCCTACCCAGCTAATTTTTGTATTTTTCGTAGAAACAGGGTTTCACCGTGTTGGCCAGGCTGTTCTCGAACTCCTGACCTCAGGTGATCTGCCTGCCTTGGCCTCCCAAAGTGGTGGGATTACAGGCGTGAGCCACCACTCCCGGCTAATATGTACATTTTTTTTTTTTTTGAGACGAAGTCTCGCTCTTGTACCCCAGGGTGGAGTGCAATGGCACAATCTCATTAGTAGTATGTACTCTGTTGAGAAGGCAGCCTTAGTTTAGGGATGCTGTTTAAAAAAGCAACTCTTAAGATAAAGCTAAAAAATACAACGTATAGTATGAAGAGAAGTAAAAAACAAAGTGAAGCTCCCTAATATATTGATACGAGAAAATACCAAAAATGTTAAATGAAAAAACAAAGGTACAAAATTGTTAAATAGTGTGGTTTCATTTGTGTATAAAAGGAGATAGAGAATGGCATAGTGATATCAGCATGTGCATGTATATGTGTGTGTGTGTATATATATATATATATAAAATTTCTGGAAGGATGTAAGAAAGCTGGTAACAGTGGTTACCTGTTTAGGGGAAGGTGATAGGAACTGGGTGGCTGATGAAAGGGTGGAAAGATTTGTCACAGAATAGCTTTTTATATTTACTGATTTTTCAACTATATGCATTTATTATTTATTGAAAACATGAATTTAACACGCAAAAAAGTACTTATTTTAATCGAAGGCACAGTAATGTCACTCTACCCAATTATTCTTAGCATATGACAAGCAAAATATTGTATTGTTAATGTAATCATTGTATCATTGTAATATATATAAAGTACTATTCTTTTATCTGTATATTACATGTAAAATATCTAGAACAGTGACAGTCACATGGCAGGTGCTCAATAAATATTGCTATAATTAGCAAAAGATAAAAGGCTGCAATCAAAAACAGAATAAGGGAGCTACTTGCTTTCTATCATTTTCACAGCAGTTTAGGTCCTCATATATACCCTATGAAAAACATGTGCTTCTTTTTTTCTTTCTTTTTTTTTGAGATGGAGTCTCACTCTGTCGCCCAGGCTGGAGTGCGGTGGCGCGATCTCAGCTTACTGCAACCTCCGCCTCCCGGGTTCAAGCAATCCTCTGCCTCAGCCTCCAGAGTAGCTGGGATTACAGGCACCCACCACCATGCCCGGCTAGCTTTTTTTTTTTTTTTCCAATAGTGGATGTTTATTTTGTAATTAAAAATTATTACTGGAAGGAAGATATGTACTTTGGTGGGGTGCCTGCATGGGTGAACAAGAACATGAGAGTGTCCAAGAAATAAATGGCCAAGTCAAGAAGCTCTCATAGAGATTTATTTAGTGTGAGAAATATGAGAACAATAGTTGTAAAGAACAAATCAATAACCCGCAGTGTGCATTTTGGAAAACCAAATAACTTCTTCAAATTTCTGAGTACACAGAGGGTACCTGCCTTGAAATTTAAATGTCTAAGGAAAATGGGAGATGATTAAGAGTTGGTGTGGCCTAGTCACACCAAAATGTATTTATTACATCCTGCTCCTTTCTAGTTGACAGGAAAGAAAGCTGCTGTGGGGAAAGGAGGGATAAATACTGAAGGGATTTACTAAACAAATGTCCATCACAGAGTTTTCCTTTTTTTTTTTTTTGAGACAGAGTCTTGCTCTGTCACCCAGGCTGGAATGAAGTGGTATGATCTCAGTTGAATGCAACCTCCACCTCCTAGGTTCAAGCGATTCTCATGCCTCAGCCTCCTGAGCAGCTGGGACTATAGGCGCATGCTACCATGCCAGGCTAATTTTTATATTTTTATTAGAGACGGGGTGTTGCCATGTTGGCCAGGCAGGTCTCGAACTCCTGGCCTCAGATGATCTGCCCACCGTAGCCTCCCAAAGTGCTGGGATTACAGGTATGAGCCACTCCACCCAGCCCAGAGTTTTCATTTGTTCCTTAAAATAATTAAGCTGGAAAGGCAAGGACAATTATGAGCACAACTGTAGTCAAGTTGAGAAGACCTCAAAAAAGTCAAGTTTAGACCTTCGGATTTTCCATAGAAGAGAAAAAGATACTAGGTTTTAGGGTACAGAGAGCCAGATCTGAAGAGTAGCTGCAGGGGGAAGGTGCTGTTAGAAGGAGGATATAGACACATTCTCTGGGGGGAACATATGGTGACTGACCCATGCACACAAAGGGGGCCTTAGCGAAACTGCAGAGGACTGATCCTTAAACCAATCACATCTTTGCCAATCTCTGTCACCTGTGGAAAAACAAACAAAGGAACAAGTTAGAGATTTGTAAGATTGAGAACCCTAGAAAATGTATTCCCTATACCCCTCAATGGGCACAGTAGACAGGTATTGGGGTGTTCATCACTGACTGGCCAAGAGCAGTGGGGAGATGCTCTAGCTTTCTCCAGTGTCACTGCCTCAGGGAGCAGGGGACAAGCACAAGAAGAAAAAAAGGACCACCATGTTTCTTTCTTTTTCCCCTTCGCTCAATATCCTAGATATATTTATTGAGGACAGTACTTACTGTGGTGACCCTGCAGATTTGACCTTTGAACTCAGGGGAATAGCAGGCCCCACTGAGTGGACACTTTTCTACTGGCTTTCCACGGTAGATGGGCCGATATGATGCAGCACAAATGTCAAAGGGGTTGTGCATGTCATAATTGAGCTGGTAGGCATCTGTGGGATTCTTCTCACAGGCAGACAGGATTTTTCGGGTCTAGGGGAAGGAAGGAGTATTTAGGAGGACAGAAGGCTGCAGACAACACCTCAAAGGATCCCAACACCATGGTTTGGTAGTTCCGTTGATGTGAGACACAACTGTACTGCGTGAAAAGAGGTCCCAACCTCTGTACTGGATGTATGTGAAGGGTTAACAATCACCATTCCTATTGTATCAAACTTTCCCCTTCTCAATACAAAAGTGGCTCCATAATCTAGACCCACATTCCTCCACCAACTCTAGAGATTATCAGGGTCAGGTCCTAGAAAGGGTTAAAACAGACTTCCATCACCCAAAAAGAATGCATTTGGAGGACACAAGTAATGAGATGTGTATGTGAAGCTTTGTGGTGGTTGTGATGGGATATCTGGAGCTTAAGGACAGGACTGGGGTTACTTTCAGCTGCAGTGGAGCTATTCTAGGTTGCACGGCACTCTTAGACGAGTGCCATGTCTCAATAAACTATTAATTTTCCAGGAACAAAGGAAACACCAAGTCAGGAAGTAAACAGAGGGTAGCATTCTGTTGGCTTTTTGTTGAATGTTGTTATTTATTGCTTTGTTTCAGAGGCAAGGACCTTGGTCTGCTCCCTCCATGTAAGAGCTGATCTGGCTTCCCTATGGTCACTGAAGGAGTTCCATCTACCTGTTGGGCCACCTCAGGCTTGGGCCCGAGTTCTAGTAGGCGCCGAGCAAAGGTGGCAGCTGTCTTGAAGTTCTTGAGCTTGAAGAACAGATTGAGGGCTGTACGCAGCACCAGGATCATGTGCACAGGCTGCAGGTTTGAGTGGGTGAAATAGGCTGCCATCTGGTGGACAGAAAAAGGAACACATGCCAGGTTGATGCTACACCTGGTAGAAGTCATTTCTAAGCTGCTACACATGCATAAAAAACACAACACAAAATAGGATGATGGGCTATAAAGCTGAGAGGTCTTCTACCTCCTAGGTATGGAGGACTGGTGAGATGAGGAAGTAGGATGAAGAAATGTATCCTCCCCTCATAGAAATGAAGGGCCTAAATTTCTCTTCATCCCCACTCAGATCTGGGTTTGAAATTAAAGAATTCAAACCTAGTGAAGGGTGAAGGGAAGGACGTCTCTGTTGTGCTCAGGGTCCTATAGATCTTACCTCACAGATGCGCTTCTGCTGTTCTAGAGTCTCTTTGGGCAGCTTCTTCCTTTCTGTCTCCACGGACAAACCCACAATGTACTCACGGCAAATGGTGATGAGCTGCTGGGCCTGTAGAGGGGGCAGAAGGTCAGGATACAGAGACAAGAATGTGGAAGTGCCCAGAACTGGGACAGCGGCTAGACCCTCCTACCTCTGCAATCTCTTGTTTATTGTCCACAACAAGAAGTGGCACACTGAGAAGGATGGAACGGAATTTTTCCACAGCCTCCTCAAATTTGCCAACTGTGGTGAGCTGGTAGCACAGCTGCAACCGTTGGATGAGGTCATTAAGCTTCAGGCCCACAGCTGGTACACCATTCTTCAGCCCTGCATCCTTCCTGGAAAGGGAAAAGTAGGAAGAAGACAGGATAGTCAGTAGGCAACTAGGACCCAATTTCCTTTTCTGGCAAACATCCTCATAGCTACCCTCCTGTCTCCTGTTAAAGTAGCTGGGGAAGAGGATGACAGCAGGTGTAAACCAACCCCATAGAGTAACAAACCAAAGATCTTTTTCTACTGGGAAACCCTAGCTCTGAGAGAATTCTGACTATGTCACTGAGGCTACCATCTGAAATATCGACCACAACTTGGAACAGATGAAAGCAAAGAGAAAAGGGCCTTACCAGTTGCGATTAGGATAGCCATACATGGAGGGTAGGCAGGGCAGAGCCTGATAGGTTGTGCGGCCTCGGGCGTATGTCTGTAGGAACAGTTGCTTGTAGGGGCCAAACTGGATTACCCCTACTTGGTCATGAAGGAGCTGGAACAGAAGGAAAGAAACAAGGATTTTGGCCCTGCTGCATAAAAAGCTACTTTTCCTTGGGCAAGGTAATTAATTTCTCTGTTCACGTTTCCTCATCAGTAAAATACACTTAATTGTAAGACCTACCTCATTTAATGATACCTATTAAAGTATTTAGGATAGTGCCTGGCACACAGTGAACATTAAATAAACGTTAGCAGTTATTGCAGTGTTATCATTATTGTTGTTATTATAACAATACTGGCTTAGTGTTCAAAACAGACCTCTGCTTGGAAAGGGGTACTTATCTCACTGATATGAGCCAGAAAGCAAGCTATAAATGGGTGGAAGATGACTGAAGGATATGCCCTAAGAGATTACTAGGCCAAGTGGAAGGCAGATAACAGGAAGGCAAGTGTACTTAACAAAGATAAAGAGTTTTCATGAAAAATATACACCTTTCCCCTTATGGGTAGGATAATTTCCCTTGATTAAAATGAGTCAACCATCTCCCGGGGACCCTGGGCTAGGCACACTCAAGAGGAAAAGCCAAGGTTACTTACCCGCATGGCTGTTTCGAAAGAGCCTGCCAGGATGTGATCAACTGGAAGCTGAGAGTTATTACACCAGATCTAACAAGAAACAAAAAAACCCAAGCCAAGTGAAACTTTGTCCCTTCTCTATTCTCCTCTGTAACTATAGTAGAAAAGTAGCCAACACCTGTTATATACCAATCAAGTATTAGCCACTCATCCCTGCCGTGCTAGGTTTCTTCCCGCTTACCTGAGTTGGACTTGTTCCCTTGGTTGGGGGCACAAAGAAACCATCTTCAGCCCCACCAGCTGCCCCAGGGGATATATCCTAGGGGAAAAACAAAAATTGAGTATTGAGTAATTTTTTTTTTTTTTTTGAGACAGGGTCACACTCTGTCACCTAGACTGGAGTACAGAGGCATGATCTCGGCACACTGCAACCTCTGCCTCCCATGCTCAAGCAATCCTCCAACCTCAGCTTCCCGAGTAGCTGGGACTGCAGGCATGAGTCACCACACCTGGCTAATTTTTGTATTTTTTTGTAGAGATGGGGTTTTGCCATGTTGCCCAGGCTGGTCTCCAACTCCTGAGTTCAAGTGATCTGCCTGGCTCAGCCTCCCAAAGTGCTAGCATTACAGGCGTGAGCCACTGTGCCCAGCCAAATTGAGTAATTTTTTAAGCCATTCAAGCACTTTGTTCTGTTGAATCTAGAACACAACCATTTACATTGTTCCCTGCCCCCACTGAGGAAGAGGGGTGATAGTTGTGGGAGAAGGCTGCCAAAATAGGAGCCACCTCACCAGTGACAAAATGACATATCAAAAACTCCAATTCAGATGAAACAGCTTGCTACCTTCTCATAAGCTGCTGCTGGCAGAACGCTGATTACCTCATTCTTCTTTCTTTCAAATGGGAGTTAAGCATCAGATTAGAGATAAGTCCTACATCCTCTCCTCTTGGAGCATATCAGGATAGATGGAAGTGACAAGGCCACTAACTTTGACTCTCTCGTTCTTCCTGCTTCTTTTACTTTTTAAAATAGAGACAGGGTCTTGCTATGGTGCCCAGGCTGGTCTTGAACTCCTGGGCTCAAGCAATTGTCCTGCCTTAGCCTCCCAAAGTGCTGGGATTACAGGCATGAGTCACCGTGCCCAGCCATCTTCCTTCTTTCAAATGGGAGATAAGCATCAGACTAGGAGGGTCTAGTCCCCTTCCCAGAAGGGCTGACCTTAGGATAGTGGTAGGGGATAGGATAGGAGACCTGAGGATAGTGGTAGGGGACAATAAGGCCTCTGGCTTCCACAGGGAGATACGGAGAGAACCTTCTAAGGGTACAAATTCCACATACCAGCTCAGGAGGGAGCTCCAGATCTTCTTCTACATCCCAGCCACCTCCTTCTTCCTGTCCCTTGCCAAGAGCATCATCCCCCAAACCTTCTGTAGCCTCCACAAACCCATCTGTAAGGAAAATTCAAGCTCAAAACAGATTTGGGCAGTGGCATAATCTTAGCCAAAGGAAGTAAAATCAATCCTAGTTCGTTTCATGGCCTGGAAGTCTGCAGAGCTACCCACAACCCAGTCCCAATCCAAGGTGTCCATCACCCCAGAACAGTCTTAAAACAGCACTTTTACCTTCATCCAACTGCAGCTCTGCATCCTCTCCCCAGCCCTCTGTACCAACAGTGTCAATGTCAATGTCAGCAGCCAGTGCTCCTCCCTTCCCTACAGAGGGAAGGAACAGAACGGAACTGGTTATAGTCCAGCAAGTCTGAGATACGGCCTTTTCTGTAGGCAGGTTAAATCCTTTCAAAAACAGGTGCCAAGCTTCTGCCTACTTACTATTTATTTTTGTGTATTATTTATTTTTGTGGTATATATGTTATGCTAACTTGCAGTAGCTTTCACAGAGGGAGGGAATAGAAGACAGATGGAAGGAACTGGCCTTCCTGCTACCAAAAACTGGCTCTTAAATAATTTGTACTTACCAGCCTTTGGCTACCAACTCTTGAATTTCTTCCTGAGCGCTTTGCTAAGCTACCACCACTACAATGTGTACAGGGCATCAGGCATAGGGTAGATAGAGGAGGTGGAGAAAAGAGTGGGGTTTGGCACAAAATGCTCAAGAGTCTGTTTAGGCTCTTACTCACGGGAAATGAACTAGGAGACCCAGAAAACAGGAGGAGGTTAAGGGTGGAAGTGGTGGAGGGTGATAGCACACATCTGCCTATACCCACATACCGGAATTACAGGTAGTTGAATTAGTACCTTTAAGATTGTATGTCATGAATGATAAAATACTGAACAAAGAACATGACTACATATATAGTAAAACCTAAGAAAATACACCAAAATATTAACCGAAGTTATTGATGGTAGTAGAGGGATCCCTTTTTTTCTCCCTATTTTCCAAATTTTCTTTAATGACCTGAAAATGCTATCTTAAGTTTTTAAGACTGCACCATAAATGACTGGCATTTCAATATTCCATTAGGCTCCATGCAGAAAAAAAGGACAAGTTAAACTAAATGCTAATGGTATTCTCTAGGACAGTTCTTCACAAAACAAACAACAAAAGTGCTATGGGAGAAATAGGTACTTACCTTTGCTGGCAATGGTGCCTTCAAAAAATCCTTTGGATACAGTCAATAAAGGCCAATTGGTATCCAATGGCATGATAGGTGCAGGTGGCTGGAGCAGCTTGGCATTAGGGTCAATGTCTGGGATCTGAATAGTAGAAGAAAAGAGGCTAAAAACAAATAGCACTTGGAAGTCACGTAAGGAAAGTTATGGAGCCTCCTTTGATCTCATTTGTTTCTCTGCCTCTCCTGGTAACCAGGTGGGAGAGTGACATTCATAATTTTAAATTGTTCTAAGATCCTAGAGTTAATCCTGTAATAAGAGACAATTATGTAAATAAAGACTCACTGTCTCCTTCTCTGGGTCAAATGTCTCCTTTAGGCTCTCAGCTTCTTCATCTAAGCCATGGGTAGCAGCTGTGAGATAGGCCAGGGACTCTGTAGAGAAAACAGACTTTGTGGTATAGGTACATTTCCAAATGCATGCTGCTGTGGTAAGCAACCTCTGAAATGGCCCCCCAGTAATCCCTGACTCCTGGTATTCAAGTTGTTGCAAAATACCCACCTCTTAAGTGTGGGCTGGATTTATTAAATAGCTTCTAATGGATGGAACATGGCAGATGTGATGGGATGTTACTTCCTAGATCTGGTTACAAAGATTGTGGCTTCTATCTTGGGGTGCCCTCTTTTGCTCACTTGCTGTAAGGGAAACTAGCTACCACGTTACAAACTCCTATGGAGAGGTCAACACGAAAAGAAAGTGATGTTTCTTAGACAACAGGGAGCAAGGACATGGGGGCTGCCAATGGCCATTGAGTGAGTGCAGAAGTAGATTCTCTCCCCGGTGAGTCTTCAGATATCTGCAGTTCTGGCCAACACTTTGACTGTAGCCTCATGAGAGATCCTAAGCCGGAGGCACCTAGCTAAGCCATGCCACAAATTGTGAAATAATAAATGTTTGTGGTTTTAAACTACTAAATTTGGGGATAATTTGTTACACAGAAATAGAGAACTAATATAGCTGCTTATCTTTGAGACGTATCCATCCGTGCTGAGAACCTTGGATATCCCTGACTCCTCTCTGTTACATCTCAAATCTAGTTACCGCAATAAATCATGTTGTTTCTACCTTAAAATATATCCTGAATCTGACCACTGCTCACCCCTCCACTAATAGCGCCTTGGTCCAAACCTCATCTTTCACCTTGCTTGTTTCCTAATGTATCTTAAATGCTAATATAATGCTTGGTATATAGTGGGTTCTCAAAAAATATCCCTTGACTATATACATGAATAAATGAGTGAAACCTCCAAACTGAAAATAAAGAATAAAATTCTAATGGCATCCAACCAAGTGCATTTACTAGGGCGTCCACTCAAGACCTTTTAAAACCTCCTATCTCCCCCATGAATAACTATTCTCCTAAGGGTGTTTGGCTGGACTGAATATTCTGGCTGCACCTCCCTTTGGCTTTGAAGAAAATCTTCTAAGCACAGTAGGAGCATGTTGTCTCTCCTAAAAAAATGCACAATAAAGAGAAATCCCTCACCACTATACACAGATTAACTCAACAAAAACAGAAAAATACTTCCTCAGACCCTGAAAAAGCTGGCAAGTCTCGGATACTTACTCTGTCCACAGTTCTTCAGGATCCGCACACGCTCTGACACATCACCCAGGTATAGGGCATTCTGATAGTGGCCACTCATGTCCTTTCTGATCTCAGCTGCACCAAGTAAGAGACACCAAGTTAGGTCTTTTCTCTTAAGTTCTCTTTCTCCTTAATTCACCTTCCTCCTTCCCCCAAGAACCCCTCTTCCCATCCTTAGTTTGAGGGCCTCACCAATCTTCATCATCTTGCGAAGTTTTTCTAAGTTGCCAGTGATAAGATACAGGAAGGAAAGTTTGTCAAAGTTTTTGGTACGCTGATAGCACATTTCCACAATCTGGTGGTTCCCCTGCAGCAGGGCCACTTCTCCCAGCTTTTCCCAGCAGTTCTTGTCATCCAGTGCTTTGGCTGCTTCCAGAGCAATCTAAAGAATCCCCAGGGTCGTGTTAACAGGTTGAAGGACAATGTGACTCAAAACCAAGGACTCTGCAAAGCATCTGCATCTATATAGATTTCCTGAAGAACTTCCTATACTTTCAATTACTCCTAGCTTTTAGTCTAATTCCATTGAAAATCGGCTGGGTGCGGTGGCTCACATCTGTAATCCCAGCACTTTGGGAGGCCAAGGCAGGCGGATCCCGAGGTCAAGAGCTCGAGACCATCCTGGCCAACATGGTGAAACCCTGTCTCTACTAAAAATACAAAAAAAATTAGCTGGGAATCATGGTGCACGCCTGTAGTCCCACCTACTCGGGAAGCTGAGGCAGGAGAATCGCTTGGACCCAGGAGGCGGAGGTTGCAGTGAGCCGAGATCATGCCATTGCACTCCAGCCTGGGCAACAAGAGCGAGACTCCGCCTCAAAAAAAAGAAAAAAAAAAAAAGAAAATCCAGTGAACACATAGGACCCCTTTGGATACAGAGATGGAAATAATTACATCGCATTATCCTCCTCCTCCTCCTCAGAAATTTACTTTTACAACAAAACCACCTAGCAGTTGCTGATTCCATAGAGCCAGTTCTTGCTTAGCTACCTTACTTCCCACCTGCCAGGTTTGAAGATCCACAGGGGCTTTAGCAAAGACAGAAGAAATACTACTAGGAAGAAGTTCAGAACTGGAAAACGTTTTCATAAGCTCTTTTCGCCTTAGAAAACAATGCCTATACATTCTAGGCCCCAACGCTTAGTAGGTACTCTTTCATCTAAGTAGCCAGTCAGCAAGATCAAGTGTCAAGGAAATAATAAGATTTTCAAATTCCATGCCATCTTGCTTTTATCCTAGAAGTTACTGAATTCACACTAATTGAGGTTGACAAAAATAGAAATGCGGTGGCAGAAGCAGAGGCAGGTAAAAGTAGAGATGGGCAAATAGCAACAGGAAGATGGCTCAATGTAACAACTAAAAAAAATCCCAAATTTCATTATTCTGGCTAAAGAAGCAAGCCCAGAATAATGCCCTCCCAATGGCACTCTAACTCTCTCACCTCTAAGACAATATGGGGCTGATGACCATATTCCTCTCACCTCAATGTTTCCACACTCCAGTGCCAGACTAAAGCGAGTTTTCTCATCCTTGACAAAATGCAGTGCCACTTCAGGATAGCCCTTCTTCTGGAGATAAGCAATAATAGACTGGCCAACTAGTTTGGCATTCCTCACCATGTGCAGTACCTAGACATTTGGGGTGGAGTCGGGCAAGAAGTAGACATCACTTACAGGAAAAGAAAAAAAAAAAGAGTGCTGCCTCTCTTAATACTCTAGTTTGCATCCTCACTTCATACCTCATCATATTTTCTGTTGATCAGGGCCAGCTTGAATTTGAACTCAGTGGGATCAATGGTGAGTACCCGGGGACGACACTCCCTGTCTAGGCAGTATACATTGTTGCCCTTCACCCGTGTGACATAGATGGGTAAATCCAGAGTTCGAATGATCCCGTGGTCCCTAAGAACAGAGGGCACAGCTTTCAGTAAGTGAGAGGGAAAATCCATCCTGTGAAGAAACGGAACAAACCTAGGAAACGGTCTTTTGTCAAGTGCCATTTGAACAATGATATAGATGGGAAGTGATTCAAAAAAGAGCAGAACTAAATGCCAAATTTATCATATTCTTTCTACGATGGGGTAGATGGCACGATCTTTATATGCTATTATCCTAGAAGATGAGTAACAGATGTGGCTATAGGAATCAGACCTAAAAGTTAAATCTTAAGTTCTGATATATAATCAGTAGGTGATTATGGACAGGTAACTCCTTTATAATCTATAACTGAAAGTAGAAGAGAGGTAGATGTGAAGAGTTCTGATAAAGAAATAATAAAAAACAAAGTATTTTGAACTGAATAATAATAAATAGATTGCAAATTGAAGTTTGTCAATATAGCTAATGCAACATTTAACAGATAATTTACAGACTGCATTAGAAGAAATATTAAAAATTATTGGGTTCTACATGCATATATTAGGAGAAACTGAAAATTAACAAGCAGTCATCTCAAAAAATTTACTGTTCTTTTTAAGCCAAAGAAAGTACTTAGAAGAAAATAATGAAGCCAATAGTAGAAATTAAATAAAAAACAAAAACTACAGTAGAGAAGTTCAATGAAAGCAAAACTTGAATAAAATTGATAAGCCTCTCATGAGGGTAATTCAGAGAAAAGAAAACAATAGGAATGAAAAAGGGGATATCACTACAGATCTTGCAGAATAAAGATGTAACTTTTTAAGAGAATCAAACTGGCCAGGTACAGTGGCTCACATCTATAATCCCAGCACTTTGGGAGGCCGAGGCGGGTAGATCACATGAAGCCAGGAGTTCAAGACCAGCCTGGCCAACATGGTGAAACCCCGTCTCTACTAAAAATACAAAAATTAGCCAGGAGTGGTGGTGCATGTCTGTAATCCCAACTACTCGGAAGGCTGAGGCAGGAGAGTCACTTGAACCCGAGAGACGGAGGTTGCCGTGAGCCGAGGTCGTACCATTGCACTCCAGCCTGGGTGAGACTGGGAGTGAGACTCCGACTCAAAATAAATAAATAAATAAATAAATAAATAAATAAATAAATAAATAAATAGAAGGATCAAACTCCTAAAAAATAAAATTTGCCAAAGTTGAATCAAAAATAAATAGAAAACACCTATAGTCCTATAATGGCTAAATAAACTGAATCAGATTTTTAAAATCCTCCCATAGAGAAAGTCCTATGTCCATATGACTTCAAGGGCAAATTCTAACCAATATTCAAGGAAGAATTAATTCCAGTTGTATGCAAACTCATTGAGGGAACAGAAAAAATACATTACTTTGCTTTATGAAATTCACACAACCTTGATACTAAAACCTAACAAGGACAGTAAGAAAAGGGAAAATTACAGGTAATCTCACTTATAAATATGTGAAAACATAAGTAAAATATTAGCAACCTAAAGCTAGCAATATTTGAAAAGGGTAAAAATATCAAGACCAAGTTAGGTTTACATCAGGAATATAGTGTTGATTTAACATTTATAAAAAATCAGCTGGGCACAGTGGCTCATGCCTGTAATCCCAGCACTTTGGGAGGCTGAGGCAGGCGGATCACCTGAGGTCAGGAGTTCAAGACCAACCTGAACAACACGGCAAAACCTCATCTCTATTAAAAATTCAAAATTAGCCAGGCGTAATGGCTCATGCCTATAATCCCAGCTACTTGGGAGACTGATGCACAAGAATTGCTTGAACCCGGGAGGTGGAGGTTGCAGTGAGCTGAGGTGCTTGAACCCGGGAGGTGGAGGTTGCAGTGAGCTGAGGTCATGCCACTGTACTCCAGCCTGGGGTGAGACTCTGTCTCAAAAAAAATAAAAAATAAAAAAAAATCAATTTAATTCACTACATTAATCAATGAAAGGAGAAAAATTGTATGACTACCCCAATGCTGGCTGAGCATCCCAAACAGGAAATCTGAAATGCTCCAAAATCCAAAACTGAGCACTGAAGTGACACTCAAAGGAAATGTTCATTGGAGCAGTATGGATTTCAGATTTTTGGATGTGGGATGTTCAATCAGTAACACAAATATTCCAAAATCAGAAAAAAATCAGAAATATAAAATAATTCTGGTTTCAAGCATGTCAAGTAAGGGACACTCAACCTGTATATGCAGAAAAGTTATTTAATAAAATTCAATATTTAGGCCGGGCATGGTGGCTCATGCCTGTAATCTCAACACTCTGGGAGGCCACGGCAGGCCGACTGCTTGAGCCCAGGAGTTCAAGACCAGCCTGAGCAACATGGTGAAACCCCATCACTACAAAAAAAACAAAAATGAGCTGGGCATGGTGGCATATGCCTGTAGTCTCAGCTACTTGGGAGGCTGAGCTGGGAGGATAACTTGAGCCCAGGAGGCAGAGGTTGCAGTGAGCCAAGATTGTGCCACTACACAATGGGCAACAGAGTGAGACTCTCTGCCAAAAATAGTTAAATTACATTAATTTAATAAATAGATATAAATAAATAAATTCAACATTTAGGTTGGTAAATGTTGAATTTTACCAAGGTAAAAAAAAAAACTCTTAGCAAAAAGAAATAGCAAAATTCCTTCATAGAAAAGGGATATACATTTTAAAAATCTACTGTAAGCTCACATAATTCTAACACACTGAAAGTTCACCCTTTAAGTTAGGAATAAGACAAGAATGTTTGCTGTCATCATGTTAATTCCACATTGCTGGAGATCCTAGTCAGTGCAGTAAGCAAGAAAAATATAGTAATATATAAGTACTTGAAAGAGAAACTAAATTGTCATTACCCACAGATACTATGATTATTTGTAAAGGAAATAGAAATAAATCCTGGAATTGATAAGAGTCTAGCAAGATTCCTAAAATCAATTTTAAATTGATTTTATTGTATTTAAATTGAATTAACTGTATTTCTAAATATCAACAAAATTAGAAAATTAAAATTTTAAATAGATATTATCCATTTACAAACAGAATTTTAAAACCATCAAGTGTCTAATAAATCTAACCAAAGAAATGCAAGATCTCTATAGAGAAAACTATAAAACTTTATTGAAGGATGTTTCAGAAGACCTAAATGAATGAAGAGCTGCTATACCAAGTTCACAGATTAGGAAACTGAACACTGTAAGGACTGTAAAGATGACAGTTATCCCCCAACTGATGTAGAGAATTAATGCAATTCCAAACGAAACCACAAACTTTTTTTGTGTGGAATTTCACAAGTTACTTTTTTTTTTTTTTTTTTTTTTTGAGATGGAGTCTCACTCTGTCGCCCAGGTTGGAGTGCAGTGGCGCGATCTCAGCTCACTGCAACCTCCGCCTCCCAGGTTCATGCCATTCTCCTGCATCAGCCTCCTGAGCAGCTGGGACTACAGGCGCCCACCACCACGCCCAGCTAGCTTTTTGTATTTTTAGTAGAGATGGGGTTTCACCGTGTTAGCCAGGATGGTCTCGATCTCCTGACCTCGTGATCCACCCGCCTCAGCCTCCCAAAGTGCTGGGATTACAGGCGTGAGCGACCGTGCTGGGCCCGGAATTTCACAAGTTACTTTAAAAACTTATATGAAGGGCCGGGCATGGTGGCTAATGCCTGCAATCCCAGCACTTTGGGAAGCTGATGTGGGAGGATGGCTTGAGGTCAGGAGTTCGAGACCAGCCTGGCCAATATGGTGAAACCCCATCTCTACTCAAAATACAAGTATTAGCTGGGTGTGGTGGCATGCGCCTATAATACCAGCTACTCAGGAGGCTGAGGCAGGAGAATCACTTGAACCTGGGAGACAGGAGAATCACTTGAACCTGGGAAGCAGAGGTTGCAGTGAGCCAAGATTACGCCACTGTACTCCAGCCTGGGCAACAGAGTGAGACTCCATCTCAAAACAGCAACAACAACAACAACAAAACTTACGTGAGAAGGCAAAATTTACTTGAAAATACCCTAACGACTTTTAAAAAATAAACAAAATAGGATCAAAGGAAAAGTTGTACCAGATGTGAAGATTTATCATAAAGCTACATTATTTAAGACAGTGTGGAATTAGAGCAGAGATAGACAGACCACATTTGAAAACATGATTTATGTATAACAAAGACGAGACTGCAGAACAATGGAGAAAGAACGGTCTTTTCAATAATGCTGCTGGGCAATTGAGTGTCCTTATGGAAAAAGTGGGATTGAGCTTTCTATACCTCACACCATACATAACTATCAATGTCAGGTAGATTATAGACCTAGATATAAAAAGCAAAGTTACAATGTTTTTACAGAAGAATACAGAAGAATGGCTTTATGATTTGGGAGTCAATAAATATTTTAAAAATAGGATGAAACCTAATATCCATAAAAGATAAAGATTCATAAACTCAACTACATTGAAATTAAGACTGTTCATTAAAGGATACCATAAAGAAAATCAGAAGACATGCTACAAAAGAGGAGATACTAATATTTGCAACATGTAGCTCTGACAAAGGACTGACATGCAAAAAAGAAAGATAATATAAAATAGATTAAAGATTTGAACAGAATTCACATAAGAGGAAATCCTACTGGATGGCCAGATGAAAAGGTGCTCAATCTCATTAGGAAACAGAGAACAGCAAAACAAAATTACAAGGAGATACCATTACGCATCCATCAGATGGACAAAAATAAGTCTCACCAAACTTGTCAAGAAGACAAGAAAGGAAATTTTTTGTTCTTTTTTTTTTGAGACAGAGTTTCGCTCGTTGCCCAGGCTGGAGTGCAATGGTACGACCATGGATCACTGCAGCCTTTGCCTCCTGGGTTCAAGTGATTCTCCTGCCTCAGCCTCCGGAGTAGCTGGGATTACAGGCACCACCACCACACCCAGCTAATTTTTTTTTATTTTTAGGAGAGAGGGTTTCTCCATGTTGCTCAGGCTGGTCTTGAACTCCTGACCTCCAGTGATCTGCCTGCCTCAGCCTCCCAAAGTGCTGGGATTACAGACGTGAGCCACCACGCCCAACCCAAAAGGAAATTTTTATACCAAGCTGGTGGGCATGCAAATTGGTACAATCACTTTGAAAAGCAGTTTCACAGCTGGGCGCGGTGGCTCACGCCTGTAATCCCAGCACTTTGGGGGGCCAAGGTGGGCAGATCACAAGGTCAAGAGCTCAAAACCAGCCTGGCCAACATGGTGAAACCCTGTCTCTACTAAAAATACAAAAATTAGCTGGGTGTGGTGGTGTGTGCCTGTAATCCCAGCTACTCGGGAGGCTGAGGCAGGAGAATCACTTGAACCCAGGAGGCGGAGGTTGCAGTGAGCCAAGGTCACACCACTGCACTCCAGCCTGGGCGAGACTCCGTTTCAGAAAAAAAAGAAAAGCAGTTTCACATTGCCTAATAAATGTGAAGATATGCATAATCCATGGCCTAGCAATTCTATTCTGGGGATACACTCTAGAGAAATGTATGTACATGTACCCCAGAAAACAGGTAAAAAAGAATGTTTAAGAGCATTGTTCATACAAGCCAAAAACTAGAATTCACTCAAATATTCCTTAAGAGTAGAACTGACAAACTGTGGCATAATCATATAATTATACAAAAATGAAAATAAATACATTGGAGCTACAAGATGGATGAATCTTACAAACAAAATATTGGGCAAAATATGAAATAATATATTCAGTATGATTTCATTTATATGAAGGCAAAACCAGGCAAAACTAAATCATATTAAGAAACACAGGGCAGTAAAATTACAAAGAAAAGCAAGGAAGAAATTACTGTAAAAACTAGAATGTTACTGTTGGTGGAAACAGGGAGGGTTGTGACCACGTGGCAAAGGGCTTCTGGGGTGCCGGAACTGTTCTATTTTTTGACTTGGGTGGTAGTTATGCTGATGTTCACTACATAACTTATTTGTTATTCTATTTTTTTTTAATGTAATTGTCTATATTTGTTTTAGATTTCTCAATTTTAAAAAAGTTGAAAAAAGAATGTTCTGATGCCCCTTGCACATATATGCCAGGTAAGGCTTTTCCATGAAGAAAATTCATGGAGGACTTCAGTTACATCTCAAGACAAGACAGTGATTTCAGGAAGCTGTCTTCTCCCATTCTGTATCCCAGATAATTAACTTACCCAGTGGTGACAGCATATTTGATGTGGTTGCTTGTGGTATAGATAAATACCCCACTCTCATCCCAGGCCCCACTCTTGACACGAATGTTCTCATGAATGTTACATAAAGCATCCAGTTTGCGGTTACAGATCACAATGGCTGTAAGAGGCAAAGGGCATGAGTGTTCTGTTGGATAGGGTAAGTGCCGTAGACTGGCAGGGATCGGGGTGGAAGGGAATGGTCTCTAAATCAGGGTGGATATAATGAAGACTCACCGTGTTTGGCTAGTAGTGCTACATGTGACATGTCTGCTGACCAGATAACGTATTTCACTTTAGAAATCTTCACAGATGCCAGAGTCCTGAGATAGATAGAGATGTGCAAACATGAATGGATCTATTTCCCTTGTCTCAGGCTTTGATCTACATCAATTGCACCCTCTAATTAATGTAAACCCCAATTTCTTAATGTAATTCTAATTACATAAAATACTTAATGTAATTCCTACATAGTAGCTCAGTGACTTAAACATTTTGGCTCACATTGTGCACTTACCCCTTCCTCAACCCCCTCTCCCTCATTTCCTTGTATTATTAGGGAATCTGTGTATGTCTGTTTTCACCACTGGACTGCAAGCTCCCTTAAATGTAGGAACTATGTTATTAATCTCTGTCTCTCTCTCATTCTAAGCTCGGAGAACACGCTTTGTTCAGGTAAGTACTGTAAAAACAGATAAATAACCAAGAATCTCACTGTAATGCTAGTGTGGACGTGAAGAATGGAGAGTGATCACAGAAGGGAAAAGTTACTATAAAGAGTCTTGGAGCACAAGAAGTGGCCAAGCCACAAGACAAACTCACTTGGGGAAAAAAGGTTCCCACTAAAGATGTCCACTCTCCCCAACTACAGGGCTGTCTGCTTAGGGGCACCTGATATGTTACCGCTTCTGCTGTACGTCAAAGAGTGTGATAGAGTCCGCATCTCGAAGCAGGAGATTGCCTGTGCCAGCATAGAAGATCTCATCACAGTTGGGCACCTGTACCTTTTTGGTGATCTCATTCTTCAGATTCTTGATCAGAAGCTGCAATAAGTATTAAAGATGGGGTTAAGAGAAGAAATGTGTATAGATGATGATGACAACTGATGATGTTCCTCAGCAATTGTTCCTTAGCTTCAATTAACTAAGTATTTTTTGTCCTGTCCATGTCAATTACCACTGCAGACAGACCATGCCAACCAAGATCTTCTCTAAGGGCCTTAATACATTATTTTTTCTCCTCCAACTAAAACATCCTGAGAAGTCCCAACTAAAGTCTGAATTTCTCAATGAATGAGAGAGAGAAAACACTGTTTCTGGGGCTTAAATTTTGTTAAATATTTTCTTCAGAGTGCTTTATCTTGTGCTGGACCTATTACATTTCAAGTAACAATGGAGGCAGCAGAAGGAGGGAAATTTCCTCATCCAGCCCACTCACTTCAGATTTGATGCGTTTTGGGCTCCTGTAGTCAAGAGTGACTTTAGCTTGGTTCTTAAACCCAGAGCCACGGCGATCATCAACCCAATCAAATCAGTTTTAATGCCATTCCCCCAAGAGGGCTTAGTGTAGGGCTAGAGACAGAGGTACAGCCAATACATGAGAATCACGGCTGCCCGGGGGAGAACAGAAAAAACAATGGTCTTTATTTTGCAATACACAGGCCACTGCCACCACACTCCCCAAATTAGTTTCTGCTTTTAGTCTTAACTCACCGAATGCATCCGATCTAGGACAGCAAACCGATTTCGAGCGACCCAAACGGCTGTCAGGCCTGAGGATCGTTTCCCTTCAGGCGCTGAGAAGAACAAAACCAAAGGGTGGGAGCATGTGGTGAGTCACTGGCAGGTGACATAGTCGGGTGCCATGGAGCTGCCAGTCTTGCTGGATGCCATCTTGGCTTTGCCAGTTGAGCTGCTTCCTAACTAATTCAGCCATAACCTGGGGCTATTATTGAGTGACTTTTCCCCACCAGTCCCCTCCAAACACCAACCACCACCCCTGCCAAGGCTCTTTTCTCTAGGCCAAGTGGTTGCATTTCAGCCAACATCATGTACTGGCAGAAGGGCCGCCCATCTTGGGAGACAGCACACTCCATCAAGCTAACGAGCAGGGCCTCCCTGGCCAAGCTGCGGCAAAGCAAGCCTGTGTCATAGGACCCCCTCCACAGGATGCAGCTGCTCTCTGCTGCTTTTAACATGCAAATGCAGACTTCCTAGTAGGGCAGGGTGAGGCAGAGCACTCCCAACTAAATCTTGACAGGAGAGCTTGGTGCTGGGCGGTATTTAGAACCAAGTTGTTGCTCTGTAAATGTCAACTGACCATTCTTATCACCCTGAAGAGAGTTACAAAATGTTCCTCAGTTCAGTGGCTTATTAGAATTTTGAAATGGACACTCCATTCTCTGGGAAACTTGTAGAAGGATAAACAGAAGGGTGCATCAAAATACTCTTTTACCTATTAGACCAGCAGAAAACTGGAGAGAACATGCTGGCCAGTCTTGCCCCTGGCATCTGGAGTGGCAGGCAATTTATGAAACTAATTATTATCAAAACCAACACTCCCGTTTTCCAGGGGCCAGGAATCTGCATTATTCAAGCCCATCTCTGTTGCCCACCACTGGGCTGCTCCTTTATTATTATCTCCCTCAAAAAATGAAGTACAGAAAATAAAAGTGGTAATAAAACAAAACAAAATATTTTAAATTCTATTAATTGTAAACACAGATGGGGAAAAAAAAAAGCAAAGAGCTAGTTGGGAGGTACCAAACCATAAGATTTAGTCAGAAATGGCTTAACTGACTAATTTATAAGGGAGACTTTGACTTATGGATACCAAATACAAATATCTTTTCTTTCTCTCACTATGAACACATTTAAAAGAGAGGAGATCGATTAGCAACAATAATAACCCAGGGGCACCCACAAAAGAAACAGAGCTAGCAAATTATTTCTTAGGAATCTGTTGATGGGGTCTAAAATATCATTAAAATATGCCAGTAAGAGTGGGGATCTGCAGAATAAATCTCTGACCTGGTACTAGCCATAAACCCGCTGGAAGAAGTGCACCCAAAAGACCATAGGCAATAGTCAAATCCATTCTGAGAATGTTTTGTCAGCAAGTTCTAATCACAAGGACATCAACAAGGGATAGTGGTAATGGAAGAGGTAGGCAGGAGTCTCAGCTGGATCCTGGGATCCCAGGTGGGGTGTGGGGCTGTTAGCAGCCTCATCTTTTTGACATGCAAAAGGAAGCAAATCGGATCTGGATGTGGATAGGACAGTATAAATCCCTAGTCCCAGGATGAGGCATTATAAGATTGGAACCACATTTTTAAATAAATGAAACTACCAGGGTGAAAGTCATATCAACTGACAATAAACTAGGATAACATGCTGTGCTGAAAGAGAGAATGGAGAGTTTCTAATAACCAAATTATAAAATATATATATCTAGCTGGGGTAATAAAATGGAGGAGGAACATGAATATTTCACACCATGGTCGCCTCTGATGCAATTGTCAGCAGCACCTGCCAACAGACATGAGTGATGTGGCCATGGCTTGGGGATGGAATGTGAAAAACTTGAAGAGGAGTTATGATGCGGGTGAGGAGAGCTGGAAGCAGAGTGGGGTAGACAAAAAGAACACTTACCATCAGGATTCTGGGAGTCAGCATCTTTAGGGATGGTGTACAGGTCATAGGTACTATTCTCTAGATTGCTAGCTCTCTGTAGAAGAAAAGGGGAAATTAAAATGTTAGTGAGAAGCACCCAAGATACCAGTTTTCCAATTTACTCTGACAGAGAAAACAGTTCCATTGCACAGACACCAATCTGAAACCATACTTTTCTTACCCTTCACCCAGAGGGCATTTGACTGTTTCTACATCTATGAGTTATAGGGCTCTTTGCCAAACACATCAGCACTGATGTCACTTTATTTTCTTTATCCTCCAAAGATGCAGATATTATCTGAATGAAAGTAAGAAATGCTCTCTACTCCACAAATTAACAGACTAGGACCCTGATATTCTGGTACCCCACCCTGAGGACTCATCAACTGAGTACTCAACCTCTGGAAAGGAAAAAAAAAAGACATCAAAGAAAAGACACTATAGGAATGCAAATGTTTATTGGAAAAAGAAGAAAAGAAAAAACACTCAAGAAAACTCAGAGTATGGGACTACTAGATATTAAAGAAGAACAGATTAGACAATATAGTTATATGAGGAAAGACATTTAACTTCATTCCTTTTAACTTGGCCACGAGGGCACTAAAATTAGAATGTCATTTCTTTTTTTTTTTTTTTTGCAAATTCTGTTGCAAGAAACAGAGAGGAGTCATTGATGACTCTGAAGCCAACCCCACTGATATGAACTTCCTCTCAAAATAATAGTTCTTCTATTTTCACCCAAAGGAAGGGATCAAGGTAAACATTTTCTTTCCATAGGAAATATATATATATAGTCTAAACATTCTCTCAAATTATTTCTAGTGATCTGGGTCATTCATTCTGATGCTCCATTAAGTTCAGCTTTAGGAAAGATAGGCAGTTCACAAATGCTCAATATGTTTACGACAACTGAAACCTACCTGATTTGAGTCTCTGAGTGATCACTGTGTCAGCTCTCACAAAATGACCATTAAATAGTTTCTAAGAAGCCATTAAAGATTCCCTAAGGGCATAAGAAAGAGACCTATGGAAAATGAGGAGAACCTAGGAGGGCTCCACAGGTTACTTACTGTACAAAGCAGGACTGCATTTTCTGCTGGATTGTATGACATATTGAATACTGGAAACTTGGAACCACTAGAGATATATATAGAAAAAGGAGAAAACAGGGAAGAGGCATAAGAATAGAAGGAAGAAAGGAATCACCCCCACACCTCCTACTTATCCAATCTTTACACTATATACTCATCACTTTTATAATCAGGAATAAAATGAATAAATATTGTATTCTCTTCCTTTAAGGCTTGGCAACTTCCCTAGCTCAGCTTTGAACAAACAGTTTTAAAAAGTAAGCCATAGTAGAAGTCAAATTATTCAACAGAAGGTAGGTAGGGTTAACACTCACTGTAGTGAGTGGGACTGGTTCTGCTTGGATACAAATTCCTACACGTAATTGCAGTGGACACCACAGAGTAACATAATGTGATTTGTCTCTGGCTGGTTTCTCCTGTCCCTTGGAGTATTCACATAAACCCATTTTTTTATTGTAATGATGCTAAAGGGTGGTTATCAAAACCTCATTCCAAATTTTGCCACCATGAATGTTTCAGCATGCTGATGCAGCTGGCTTTTCAAAAGGACAGGTCCTTTTGCCAGGCATCCCAGAGGTTATTGTATCTTCAGAATTAAGAGTTTCCAGGGACATATATTCTGGTTCAGAGTTGTGCACTTTTTGCTGGAAGGCAAGGGAGAGTTAAAGAAAAGAAATGCCAAACAAAGGCGAAAAGTTCTGTTACCAGTTTGGGCCATTCTCTATCAAGAAACTTCCTCTGGCTTGCAAGAGACCCAGCAAATTGTGGCAGAATGATTTTCCATCCACAAGGTCACTAGCATTCTCAAGAAGGGAACTATCATTCTACTCATGACCACTTCCTTGCCTCCCTCACTCATTGGGTTTAAACTGAGCGGGCTCATCTAATGGGGATTCCATCTGTGACAGAATACGAGATCCAAAATGTCATTTAAAAGAAGAGTCTTGGTTGGGTGCGGTGGCTCACGCCTGCAATCCCAGAACTTTGGGAGGCCGAGGTGGGCGGATCACAAGGTCAGGAGTTCGAGGCCAGCCTGACCAACACAGCGAAACCCCGTCTCTACTCAAAATACAAAATTAGCCAGGTGTGGTGGTGCACACCTGTAATCCCAGCTACTTGGGAGACTGAGGCAGGAGAATTGCTTGAACCCAGGAGGTGGAGGTTGCAGTGAGCTGAGGTTGCATCACTGCGCTCCAGCCTGGGTGACAGAGTGAGACTCCATCTCAAAAAAAAAAAATTTAAAAATAAATAAATAGGCTGGGCGCGGTGGCTCACGCCTGTAATCCCAGCACTTTGGGAGGCCAAGCCAGGCAGATCATGAGGTCAGGAGATTGAGACCATCCTGGCTAACATGGTGAAACCGTCTCTACTAAAAAATACAAAAAATTAGCCAGGCGTGGTGGCGGGCGCCTGTAGTCCCAGTACTTGGGAGGCTGAGGCAGGAGAATGGTGTGAACCCGGGAGGCGGAGCTTGCAGTGAGCCGAGATCGCGCCACTGCACTCCAGCCTGGGCGACAAAGCGAGACTCCGTCTCAAAAAAAAATTAAATAAATAAAATAAATAAATGAAAGAAAGAAAAGAAGAGTCTTGTTTGTGGGAGTTGTATCAGGGTGACAGATGAGAGGGTTTGGAGGAAAGAAACAAGTCCGATTTACCTCCGCAACTGCATCACAGCTACATCTTTGGAGCTGTTGAAATCCAGCTGTCGTAAGAATCGGTCCTTGACATAGTGTAGCATATTGCCATGAACAGCATAGGCTGGCCGTTCCCGTTCCAGCTTAAACACAATCATACCACCATCATGGCCTGGGGGACAGGGAGAGGAGGAGAAAAAATTAAGCTGTAGGCAAGAAAAAAACCTGGAAATTGGAGATACGTAAGGATGAAGATTATATCTGTAAGACAAGACACCTGAATGCATCCCTTATTTGCCTAAATTCTCACAATTCTTGGAATCTTTATTTAAATAATTCTCTGTGAATCCTTTCCTAATACTATTCACACTGCCACACTTAGTGTCACTATCCACACTGCCCTTTTCTGTGTTCCCCTAATGCTTTGTACAAACCTCCATTACAGTACTTATCATCCTGCACTGTAATCATTTAGGTCTATCACCCACATTGTAACATGAATTCCCTGAAGGCAGAAATTATAATTTCCATCCTTCCCCAGTCTCTAGCATATAAAAAGAGTATAAGAAGTATTTACTGAAAAAATGGATGTTAAAAACCCTTTGTGATTCTGTTTTTTAAAATGTTTTGCTCTTTCCCTACTAGCACCATCATCCCTTAGAAAACCCTTCCACTCTTGTTCTCCTACTGTCTGCTCTCCAAATATAAACCAGATCATGTCACTTTCCTGCCCAAAACCTTCCAATGGCTTTCCATGTATTCAGAATAAAATCTTAAGTTCTAACCATGGCATAGAAGGCAATACACGATCTGGCCAGACCTCACCTGTTACTCAGTCCCTTACTCACTGTGCTCCAACTGGCCTCTTTGGTGTTCCTTAGCATGTGATGGTGACATGCTAAGCACCTCTCACAACACAGTCTCTGCATTTGCTGTTCCCATTGCCTCATACCCTTTCACTTTTCTGAACCACCCAATATAAAGCAGCAGTCCCCATACTCATCTGTCTCTATCTGCCTTACCTTTAATTTTTCTTCAAAGCATTTTTCACCACACATCATTTTACGTACATATAAAGTGGAAGAAAAAAAGGAGAAAAGCTTCAACTAAGTGGCTCTGAGAGTCCTTCTTCTTCTTGTCATCCTACTATACATTTACTAGAGACAAAGCTAATAATCACTTTCAAGACTTATAAACTTTGAATTAAGCAAAGAAAAAAGAGAGAAAATGGCCCTTACCTGCTGCAAAGAGGTTAAGGTTAGGGTGAGCAGCTAGGACCCAGAAACGATCATGGTCTCTGCGGAAAGTCTGAACCCCAGTCCTAGAAAAGGTACACAAAAAGAAAAACATTAATTTCCTAGGAATCTTCAGCCCATCCTACACAAGAATATTAAATGGTAAGCCAGCAAGCTGATTAAAATGTAAATCAGGGAGAGTAAACTGCATATCCTAAGTAACAGTAGTCGTGATAAATTCTACCAAGGAACAAAAAGAGGAGACTTCAAAACTGACCATATTATTATGATATATAGATTTCCCCTTTTCAGCATAATTTTATGGCTTTCATTCTGCATTTTTTTTTTTTTGAGACGGAGTCTCGCTCTGTTGCCCAGGCTGGAGTGCAGTGGCGCGATCTCGGCTCACTGCAAGCTCCACCTCCCAGGTTCATGCCATTCTTCTGCCTCAGCCTCCTGAGTAGCTGGGACTACAGGCGCCCGCCACCACGCCCGGCTAATTTTTTGTATTTTTAGTAGAGACGGGGTTTCATTGTGTTAGCCAGGATGGTCTCAATCTCCTGACCTCGTGATCCACCCGCCTCAGCCTCCCAAGTGCTGGGATTACAGGCATGAGCCACCGCGCCCGGCCTCATTCCGCATTTCTTACTTCTCTAGCTACAGAACTGGGGAAAGGGGGAAGAAGAAAACATGTTTAAATTTAGAGGCAAAAAATAATATACATGGAGATTTCTATTTGATGGAAAATTTGTAAATGTTGACTGATCTCTAGGTCTCTTCAAATTTTCATAATATATGATTTGATTTGTCTACATGCTGAAGATGATGAGAGACATAAAGAAGTATTCCAATCTAATTTTAAAAGAGAGAGTAAGAGAAAGTTCACACAACACTGAGGACTACCTTACCGCTTAGACATATCCCAGACTCGAATACTCTTGTCCTCAGAATTGCTGAGGATCAACTCTTGGCGAGGGTGGAAGACGGCACAAGATACATTGTTGTAATGGCCCCGGCAGGTATCAACCTCCCATGCCTTTGATTCTGAAGGACAAAAAGAATTAGGTCATCACAATTCCCTACTACTATAACTTTAGGATTTGGAGATATGACATCCTCTTCATCAAGAACTAAGTACTATTACAGAATGCTAAATTGCCAACTTCTTTCTAATATGGCAATCTTCTTCATTTAAGTCTCTTAATCTTTACATGTCTTGGTTCTTTCATTCTGACCCTCTTATTGATTATAAAACCTCTTCTCTTGGCCAGACATGGTGGCTCACACCTGTAATCCCAGAACTTTGGGAGGCTAAGGTAGGGGGATCACTTGAGCCTAGGAGTTCGAGATCAGCCTGGGCAACATGGTAAAAAACCCCATCTCTACAAAAAATACAAAAATTAACTGGGTGTTGTGGCGCACGTTTGTAGTCCCAGCTACTCAGGAGGCTGAGGGGGAGGATCGCCCAAGCCCAAAAGGTCAAGACGGCAGTGAGCCGTGAATGCACCACCAAACTCCAGGCTGGGCAACAGAGCAAGACCCTGTCTCAAAAAAACAAACACCTCTTTTTCATCATTCTCCATCCCTTTATCCTGTTTTATCTGTCCTGATAACAACTGTCCTAGTTGGCCTTTCAATTTTTGTTATTTTTTCTTTTTTTCAGGGACCTGCCACTTTAGGAGTTGCCATTTTAGAACAAATATGAGCTCCTTCAGACAGGGGCCTTATCTGTTTTAGTCACCGCTGTATCTCCAGAGCCTTAAACAAAGTCTAGTACAAAGGAGGTACTCAATAAATATTTGTCAAATGAATGGATGAATTCTATGTTCATACTCCTCAAAATAAGGGTACCACCACAGGAAAAAAGGGAAAGAAGGAATACTTTCAGTTTCAAAACAGTGGTATAGAAGCAAGCTGGCTTCACTCCCCTCCACAGAAAACCCAAAACAAATATACAGTGCTGAGATTTTCATCAGCAACAACCCAGAACTCAAATATGACAATGAGACAGTTCCTGGGGCCACAGAGAGATGAAAAAACTCTGAGCAGATGGTAAGAGCATCTGATTTCCACATCTGCAATGGCCCTCCCCCAACTCATGGTTTCTACACTGGAAAAAGTGAGACTGAGGAGGTCAACTACCTTCCCCATCTTCCTGGGTGCCCTGGCAGGAGATCTAACCTTGACTTAACCCATGGGAAGCATCACGACTGCCTGAAAGGGGAAATATCCCTGAGGACAGGCAGAGAGAAAGCGGGGAGGCAAGACTATCACACCCAGCCCCAGAAACTCTGCTCTGTTACTTGGCCAAAGGAGATGCCAAATCAGAGTGGCTGCTCAGCAGCACTGCATTGCAGGAAGTATATTCCACAGGTCTGCCCATACACGAACCTCTAGCCAGCCTTGACACACAGCTGGGATAATCCCTTTGGGACCTCCCCATTCAGGACAGACAATGCTCTGGTCATTTACTAAAGCCAAGGTGAACCCGGACTTAAGGTGTCACCTAAAGCCAAAGAGGAGGAAGTGACCTAGCAGTACAGATTTGCTAAGCAAATATATCCAATAAAAACCAAAGCAAGCCAAACAGAGAAAACTGGAATAAGTAACTAATCTTTCAATACAAAGACATAGGTGTATACCCAAAATAAACAATAGCAAACAGGGAACCATAACCTCCCCACAAGGACAAAGCAAAAATACAATGACTGACCCTAAAATGACAGCAATTTGTGATCTCTGACCAAGAATTAAAACTGGTAGTTTAAAGGAAACCCTGTTATCGCCAAGAGATGGCTGAAAAACAATTAAGAAATTTACCAGAGAAGTTTAACAAAGAGATTGAAACAATGAAAACAAATCAAACAGAAATCTTGAAACAGAAACACATTTGCTGAAATGAAGAGCTCATTAGAGACTCTGAATAGCAGACTGGACCAAGTGGAGGAAAAAAATCAGTGAGCTCGAAGACTGGCTGTTTGAAAAATACACAGTCAGGCTGGGCATGGTGGCTCACACCTATAATCCCAGCACTTTGGGAGGCCGAGGTGGGTGGATCACAAGGTCAGGAGTTCGAGACCAGCCTGGCCGACATAGTGAAACCCTGTTTCTACTAAAAATACCAAAATTAGCCAGACCTGGTGGTGGATGCCTGTAATACCAGCTACTTGGGAGGCTGAGGCAGGAGAATCACTTGAACCCGGGAGGTGGAGGTTGCAGTGAGCTGAGATTGTACCATTGCACTCCAGCCTGGGTGACAGAGCAAGACCCTGTCTTGAAAAAAAAAGAAGTCAGAGGAAAAAATAAAAAGAATGAAAAGGAACAAAGACTACCTACAAGACTACAAGATACAGAAAATTGCCTCAAAAGACCAAATTTAAGAACAATTGGCTGGCGTGGTGGCTCATGCCTGTAATCATAGCACTTTGGGAGGCTGAGGTGGGCGGATCATCTAAGGTCAGGAGTTTGCAACCACCCTAACCAACATGGAGAAACCCTGTCTCTACTAAAAATACAAAATTAGCCGGGTGTGGTGGTGCATGCCTATAATCCCAGCTACTCGGGAGGCTGAGGGAGGAGAATCACTTGAACTCGGGAGGCGGAGGTCATGGTGAGCTGAGATCGCACCATTGCACTCCAGCCTGGCCAACAAGAGCAAAATTCTGTCTCAAAAAAAAAAAAAAAGAATGATTGGTTTTCAAGAGGGAGCTAAGCAAGAGCAAGCGTAGAAAGCTTATTCAAAGAAATAATTACAGAAAATTTTCCAAAACTTGAGGAAGAAATATCCAGGTACAGGAAGGCCTGAGAACACCAAACAGGTCCAACCCAAGTAAGACTACCCTAAGGCATATAAAAGTCAAACTCTCAAAAGTCAAGGACAAAGAAAGGATCCTAAAATACACAACAGAAAAGAAGCAAAGAACACACAAAGGAGCTCCAATTTGTCTGGCAATAGATGTTTCAATGCAAACCATACAGGCCAAGAGAGAGAGGAATGACATTTTCCAAGTGCTCAAAGAAAAAACCTGACATCTAAGAATACTGTACCCAGCAAGATTATTTTATTTTCCAAATATGAAGGATAGTATTTCCCATACAAACAAAAGGTGAGAATTTACCACCACCAGATCCATCTTACAGTAAGTGTTAAAAGTAGTTCTTCGATCTGAAAGAAAAAAACACTAATGTGGTAGCGGAAGTTACTGCAGCTGCGGTGTTGTGCTGTGGGGAAGGGAGAAGGATTTGTAAACCCCGGAGTGAGGTTCTGCTTACCCGAGGCCGCTGCTGTGCGGAGACCCCCGGGTGAAGCCACTGTCATCATGTCTGACCAGGAGGCAAAACCTTCAACTGAGGACTTGGGGGATAAGAAGGAAGGTGAATATATTAAACTCAAAGTCATTGGACAGGATAGCAGTGAGATTCACTTCAAAGTGAAAATGACAACACATCTCAAGAAACTCAAAGAATCATACTGTCAAAGACAGGGCGTTCCAATGAATTCATTCAGGTTTCTCTTTGAGGGTCAGAGAATTGCTGATAATCATACTCCAAAAGAACTGGGAATGGAGGAAGAAGATGTGATTGAAGTTTATCAGGAACAAATGGGGGGTCATTCAACAGTTTAGATATTCTTTTTATTTTTTTTCTTTTCCCTCAATCCTTTCTCATTTTTAAAAATAGTTCTTTTGTAATGTGGTGTTAAAAACGGAATTGAAAACTGGCACCCCATCTCTTTGAAACATCTGGTAATCTGAATTCTAGTGCTCATTATTCATTATTGTTTATTTTCATTGTGCTGATTTTTGGTGATCAAGCCTCAGTCCCCTTCATATTACCCTCTCCTTTTTAAAAATTACGTGTGCACAGAGAGCCCACCTTTTTCAGGACATTGCATTTTCAGGCTTGTGGTGATAAATAAGATTGACCAATGCAAGCGTTCATAATAACTTGCGAATTGGCCCTGATGTTCTAGCATGTGATTACTTCACTCCTGGACTGTGACTTTCAGTGGGAGATGGAAGTGTTTCAGAGAACTGAAACTGTGGAAAAATGACCTTTCCTTAACTTCAAGCTACTCTTAAATTTGAGGGTCTGGACCAAAAGAAGAGGAATATCGGGTTGAAGTCAAGATAACTGATAAGGAGAGAGTAATGACTAACTCCAAAGATGGCTTCATTGAAGAAAAGGCATTTTAAGATTTTTTAAAAATCTTGTCAGAAGATCCCAGAAAAGTTCTAATTTTCATTAGCAATTAATAAAGCTATACATGCAGAAATGAATACAACAGAACACTGCTCTTTTTGATTTTATTTGTACTTTTTGGCCTGGGATATGGGTTTTAAATGGACATTGTCTGTACCAGCTTCATTAAAATAAACAATATTTGTAAAAAAAAAAAAAAAAAAAAAAACAAAAAAAAAAAAAAAACACTAATGTGCAAAAAGAAAACTTTTCAAGATATAAAACCCAAGATGTAAAATTAAGTTCATAGACAAACCCAGAAGACTATATTACTATAATGGTGGTACACAATCCACTTATAACTTTACTATGAAGCCCAAAAGACAAATATATCAAAAGCAATAATAGCTATAGCAACATGTTAAAGAGATAGTCAAAAAGGCAGGAACAGAAATGGAGTTAAATGTATAATTTCTGAGTGTGTTTTAGCCTTTGTTTTTGTTCTTGTGTTTGTGATATAAAATAAGCTGTCATCTCTTTAAAATACCTTATTCTATCTATAAGATTTTTTTTTGTGAATCTCATGGTAATTACAGCACAAAAACTATTAATATATACTCACTAAAAATAAAAAGCATCAAATTAAGACATATTACCAAAGAAAATCACTTAACCACAAAAGAAGACAGTAAGAAAAGGAAGAGAGAAGCCTCAAAAAAAAACAAAACAAAACCAGAAAACAAGCAAAAAACAGCAGTAATAAGTCCTTGCTTATCAATAATATCACTGAATGTAAATGCTCTCAATTCTTCAATTAAAAGGCATAGAGTGGCTAAACGGATAAAGAGAGAAGACCTAACTATATGCTGCCCTCAAGAAACCCATTTACCTATACAGACACACATAGACTGAAAACGAAGGAGTGGGAGATATTCCATGAAACTGGAAACCAGAAAAGAGCAGGCGTAGCTATACTTACATGAGATAAAACAGACTACCAAACCTAAGATTGTAAAAAGAGACAAAGAAGGTCACTATATAATGATAAAGGGGTCAATTCAGCAAGAGGAAATAACAATTATAAGTATCTGTGCACCCAACACCAAAGCTCCCAAGTATATAAAGCAAACACTAATAGATCCAAAAGGAGAGGTAGACTACAATATGATAATAGTAGGAGAGCTAATACCCCACTCTCAAAAACAGACAGATCATCCATACAGTAAATCAACAAAGAAACAGTGGAGTTAAACTACATACTAGATCTAATAGGCCTAACTGCAATTTACAGAACATTTCACCCAACGGCTACAGAATATTCTTTTCATCAGCACATGGAACACTCTCCAGAATAAACTATACTTTAGGCCACAAAACAAGCTTGAAAAAATTGTAAAAAATAGAAATTATATTAAGTATCTTTTCTGAACACAATAGAACTAGAAATCAATAACAAGAGGAACCTCAGAAAATACAAACACATGTAAGTTAAACAACATGTTCCTGAAAGACTAATGGATCAATGAAGAAATTAAGAAGGAAATTTAAAAATTGCTTGAAACGAATGAAAATGGCAATACAATGTAACAAAATTTATGGGATATGACAAAAGCAGTACTAAGAATGAAGTTTATAACATAAACACCTATGTCAAAAAAAAAAAAAAAAAAAGGAAAGACTCCAAATGAACAATCTAATGATACACCTCAAGGACCTAGATAATAAAAAACAAGCCAAACCCTAAATTAGTAGAAGAAAACAAACAATAAAGATCAGAGCAGAAATAAAATTGAGACTAAAAAAAATACAGACTATCAATGAAACGAAACACTTGCTTTTTGAAAAGATAGTATCAACAAACTGTTAGCTAGACCAACTAAGGAAAAAGGAGAGAAGATCCAAATAAATAAAATCAGAAATGAGAAAGGAAACATAACAACTGAGACCTCAGAAATACAAAGAATCATTAGAAACTATTACGAGAATGACATGCCAACATACTAGAAAACTTACAAGAAATGGATATATTCCTAGACACATACAACCTACAAAGATTGAACCACGAGGCCAGGGATGGTGGCCCACGTCTGTAATCCCAGCACTTTGGGAGGTGGAGACAGGTGGATCACTTGAGGTCAGGAGTTCAAGACCAGCCTGGACAACATGGCAAAACCCTGTCTCTACTAAAAACATAAAAATTAGCTGGGTATGGTGGCACAGCCTGTAGTCCCAGCTACTTGGGAGGCTGAGGCAGGAGAATTGTTTGAACCCAGGAGGTGGAGGCTGCAGTGAGCTAAGATTGCCCTGCTGCACTCCAGCCTAGGCAACACAGCGAGACTCCAACTCAAAAAAAAAAAAAAAAAAAAAAAAGATTGAACCACGATAAAATAGAAAAACTTCTAAAAACCAGTGCCTAGATCAAAGCCTTAATAAAAATTCTCCCATCAAAGAAAAGCCCAGGACCTGACTGCTTTACTGCTGAATTCTACCAAACATTTAAAGAATTAATGCCAATCCTATTCAAACTCTTAAAAAAAAAAAAAAAAAAAAAAAAGGAAGAGGAGGGAATATTTTCAAACTCATTCTATGAGGCCAGCATTACTCTGATAACAAAACCAGGCAAGGACACCACAAAAAGAGAAAACTACAGGCCGATATCACTGATGAACATAGATGCAAAAATCCTCAACAAAATATTAGCAAACCAAATTCAATAGTATACTGATAAGATCATTTACTAAGATCAAGTGGGATTCATTTCAGGGATGCAAGAATGGTTCAATATACATCAATAAACATGATATATCACATTAACAAAATCAAAAATAAAAACCATATGATAGTTAAGCAGATGCTGAAAAAACATTGGATAAAATTCAACATCCCTTTATAACAAAAGTTATTATCAACATGGGTAGAGAAAGAGCATACCTCAAAACAATAAAGGCCATATATGATAAACTTACAACTAATATTACACTTAATGGGAAAAAATTGAAGGCCTTTTCTCTACGGACCAGAAGGCAAGGATGCCCACTTTTACCACTTTTATTCGACAAAACACTAGAAGTCCTGGCCAGGTCAAGTAGGTATGAGAAACAAATAAAGGACAAACAAATTGGAAAAATTACCCTTGTTCACAGATGACATTATCATATACTTAGAAAAACCTAAGACTCAACCAAAATGATAAATTCAGTCCAGCTGCGGGATACAAAATCAACATACAAAAATCAGTAGCATGACCAGGTGCAGTGGCTCATGCCTATAAACCCAGCACTTTGGGAGGCCAAGGTGGGCAGATCACTTGAGGTCAAGAGTTCGAGACCAGCTTGGCCAACATGGTGAAACCTCGTCTCTAAAAAAAGTACAAAAATTAGCCAGGTGTGGTGGTGTGCACCTGTAGTCCCAGCTACTCGAGACGCTGAAGTATGAGAATCACTTGAACCTGGGAGGGGGAGGTTTCAGTAAGCCAAGATCGAGCCACTGTACTCCAGCCTGGGCAATAGAGCGAGATCCTGTCTCAAAATATCAGTAGCATTTATATATGCCAATAGTGAATAATCTGAAAAAAAATCAAGAAATCCCATTTATAGTAACTACAAAAAATATAAAATGCCCAGGAATCACTCTAACCAAAGAAGTGAAAGGGCCATACAAGGAAAACTATAAAACTCTGATGAAAAAAGTTGAAGAGGACCCCCAAAAATGGAAAGATAGTCCATGCTTGTGGGTTGAAAGAATATTGTAAAAATGATAGGGTAAATTACTACCTAAAGTAATTTACAGATTTATTGTATTCCCCATCAAAATATCAAAGACATTCTTCACAGAAACAGAAAAAAAATCCTAAAATTTATATGGCAGCACAAAAGACCCCAAATAGCCAAAGCAATTCTGAGCAAAAAGAACAAAGATGGAGGCATCACACTACCTGACTTCAAAATTTGCTACAAAGCTAGAGTAACCAAAACACTGTGGTACTGGCACAGAAACAGACACATAAACCAATGGAACAGAACAGAGGACCCAGATATAAATCCACAAATCTATAGCTAACTCATGTTTAACAAAGGTGCCAAGAACATACAATAAAGTGTTGGGAAAACTGGGTAACTATATGCAGAAGAATGAAACTCCTATCTCTCACCACACACAAAAATCAAATCAAAAAAGGATTAAAGACTTAAATCTAAGACCAGAAACTATGAAACTACTAGAAGAAAACATTGGGGAAATGTCCCAGGACATTGTCTGGGCAAAATGCTCATCAATAATTATCAGAGAAATGCAAATCAATGTGTCCTTAACACAGAGGCTGAAATATATATACATATATATAGAAAAAAAGACATGCGAATCAAATCCACAATGAGATATCATTTCACCACAGGTAAAATGGCTTGTATCAAAAAGACAGGCAATAACAGATGCTGGCAAGGGTATGGAGAAAGGGGAACCCTCCTGCACTGTTGGTGGGAATGTAAATTAGTATAGTCACAATGGAGAATAGTATGGAGGTTCCTCAAAAAACTAAAAATAGAACTAACATATTATCCAGCAATTCCACTACTGGCTATATATCCAAATAAAGGAAATAAATATATCAAAGCGGTATCTGCATCCCCATGTTTGTTTATTGCAGCACTATTTACAATAGCCAAAATACGGAATCAACTTAAGTGCTCATCAAGGGATGAATAAAGAAAATTACATACGCGCACGTGCACACACACACACACACACACACACACAATGGAATATTATTCAGCTATAAAAAAGAATGAAATCCTGTTATTTGCAGCAAAATGGATGGAACTGGAGGCCATTATGTTAAGGGAAGAACAAAGAGACAAATATGGCATGTTCTCACTCACATGTGGAAGCTAAAAAGTGGATATTATTAAGATCGAGAGTAGAATGGGAAGGAGGGTGAAGGAGGAAATGGAGGAAAACAGAATATAAATATATTTATTACCACTTAACTGTACACATAAAAATTGTAAAGATGATATATTTTATTTGTAAAATAATTTCTATGCTCCTGGGATTAGCATTAATTAATCACCTAAGGTAGAAAAATAGGTCAGAGTCCAGAAGACCTGGCTACTTTACCTTGCTGGCTGGCAGTTTCTTAGATATGGCGATAATGTAACCGGTTCACTCACCATTCATGCGCCAGATCTTCACTTGACGATCATCTGCCCCAGATACAATAAGGGGCATAGTGGGGTGGAAGGCAGCCCAGTTTACTCCACGATCGTGACCCTGTAGAAAAGAGTGGTTCTTCTAAAACATCTTTATAGTCATTACTCAAAGCAAACCAATGAATCAAGCTACTCGTTGTAAAAAATGTCTCTGATTTATTCTTCATGTGAACAGATTCAAGAGACTACGCTGCTCTAAAATTTTGAGCATCAGAATTACCATGTCTGTCCTCCAATATTACCCCAAATTCTCATGTGAATTTCCAAATACATATTTCTAACCCCTAAACTCAGCCTCATTTGCATTTAGGATATTCTGCTTTGTTTTTTACTTGCCTATTTTTATCTTATTTCTACAAATAATTATTAATATCTCCAGACAAATTTTATTTTTTATTTTTTATTGTTTTTAGACGGAGTCTCGCTCTGTCACCCAGGCTGGAGTGCAGTGGCACGATCTCAGCTCACTGCAACCTCTGCCTCCCGGGTTCAAGTAATTCTCTGCCTCAGCCTCCCAAGTAGCTGGGATTACAGGCACCCACCACCATACCCGGCTAATTTTTTTGTATTTTTAGTAGAGATGGGGTTTCACCATCTTGGCCAGGCTGGTCTTGAACTCCCGGCCTCATGATTCACTTGCCTCGGCCTCCCACAGTGCTGGGATTACAGGCGTGAGCCACTGCGCCCGCCCGAAAACTTTTATAACTTAATGCAGAAATCTCAGTCTGGTCTTGAAGGAGCTCCAAGATTATTTTAAGAAGTTTGCAAGGTAAAAACTATTTTCATAATATTACTAAGACTTTGTCTTCTTCATTCTTTTTTTTTTTTTTTTTTTTTTTAAGATGAGGTCTTGCTGTGTCATCCAGGCTGGAGTGTAGTGGTGCAATCATATTAATTGCTCCCTGAAGTCTCAAACTTCCAGGATCAAGTGATTCTCCTACCTCGGCCTCCCAAAGGACTACAAGTGAGCACCACCACGCCCAGCTAATTTTTTTTTTTTTTTTTTTTGGTAGAGACAAGGTCTTGCTATGTTGCCTAGGCTGGTTTCAAACTCCTGGCCTCAAGTAATCCTCTGGCCTCGGTCTCCCAAAGTGCTGAGATTACAGGTGTGACCCACTGCACCCAGCCTATTTATCTTCTTCATTCTTATTCTTTCGTAAGTATACAATAGAGTTTCCCAGCACATGATATGTGATATCATCGCTCTGACAGCTAATAGAATGTGTGCTGATATATTTCATGTTTTTAAAAGTTGTTTTAATCTAAAATGTGGTAAAAAATTGACAGATATAACCCACATAAACAAAAACTCTTTGGGGTCCTCAATAAATTTTAAGAGTATAAAGAGATCTTCAGACCAAAAAGTTTAAGAACTGCTGATTTTAAGATACTGTATACCCTATTTATACAGTTATATGGTATATTGTGACAGAATCCTGGATAAGGCAGTTTTGAATTAGCAGTATTATTGAGATGTATCATGATGCAGCGAAAAGCACCTGGGTTTTGGAGTCAGATCGAAATTCAAATCTTATTTCTTACATTTATTTACTAGATATATGTAGATTTTGGTAGACCACTTAATTTCTCTAAATCTCTTTTTTTTTTTTGTCTGCTAAATAGGGATAATAATATCTACTTCAGTGGGTAGCTATGAAGATTAGATAATTTTTTAGAACAAAAACTAGTTTCTTTCCCTTATGCTTTTCTGTTTTCCCACCTGCACAAAAGTTACACATGGCTGGTTCTCGATAACTCCGATTAAATTTCCTGCTGCCCTGCCTTACAGAAAGCTTGAGAATGGGCTCTGCTTTGGGATGGTGATGAGGTCTACGCCTGGCTTTCTCCCTTTCCCACTGGGTTTATAAGGTAATAAGACTCTCCCTCAGGTGGCACATAAGCTTCATTTCTCTGTTGGTTCACGCACAATTTGATTTCTAGTACCTCAAACAGTGCCTGGCACTTAATAAGCACTCTGTAAATATTTGTTGAAGGAATGAATAAATGAACAACATACTGTGACTTTCCCAAGATGACAGCCCATATTCAGCCCCTGGCTATAAAGATAAGTACCTCTAGTACATGCTTCACCACTGCATCTGTAGTTCCAAATAGATCAACCCCAGTTATTCCTCTCACATCCGATTCCACCGCACCAGGGGACAGGTTTTTTTTCCTCAGACCTTTGAAGGGATAAGGAGTGGGATGAAAGATGTAAACATAATATTATCTAAAACAGCACAGTATCAGAAACACAGAAATTACAGTGAAAAAGAAAAGAAAAAGAAATGGAAAAGACTGAAGAAAGAAAAGAGACTCAAGAATTCCTATTTCTAAAAATGTTCAAAATATTGAAGTACATTCACCGTCTTCTCTTCTGCTCCCTTAACACTTAAACAGATCCATTACTGGAATTTCTTTCTAGAGGAGGGTAACCCAAATTTCTGGCACACTTTAACCTCTTCTTCCACAAATCTTACCTCAAGAGGTGTCTGCTTCAGTTAATGCCCACTTTCCATTCTTCAGTGTTCTTGAAATGTGGCCCCAAATGGTAAACATTCAATTTCTACTCTCAACTTCATAAAATTTATAGCAGCTTTTCCCCGATCATTTCAGAAATTTTTTTCTTTTTTTTAAAGAATAGTCAAGTGCAGTAGTGAGAATGGGGAAAAGAGTGGAACAAGGAGTTCAATCTGTAACTGACTGTGAACAATCAACTGAGATAACTCACTATCTTCGGACTAGGCTCAAGAAATTTTAAAGGAAAGCCATTTGAGGTTGGCGTGGTGGTTCACGCCTATAATCCTAGCACTTTGGGAGGCTAAGGCAGGTGGATCGCTTGAGCCCAAGAGTTAAAGATCAGCCTGAGCAACATGGCAAAACCCCGTCTCTCCAAAAAATATAAAAATTAGCTAGGTGCAGTGGCGCGAGCCTGTAGTCCCAGCTACTTGGGAGGCTGAGAGATAGGGGGATGGCTTGAGCCCAGGAAGTCGAGGCTGCAGTGAGCCATGATGGCGCCACTGCACTCCAGCCTGGGTGACATTGAGACCCTATCTCAAAAAAGAAAAGCCATTTGAAGAAGCCACAGTGCAGTGTTTCTCAACTTGAAGCCTTTCGACAGCTGATGGGGGAAGTTCCAAATGGGTTACAGAAACTAGGCCTATTAAGTACAAAACAGCTGTTTGGTAGAAGATAACGTAAAACCATAAGCCATGTAAAAAGTGTACTCATGCCTACTACTTGACTCTTGGACGAAGAACAAGATAATTAAAACTGTCATGTCATTTTAAGTTCCTGCTTAAAAGGCTGATTATAGATTTGAATACTTGGATTTTGCCATTAAAACCTTTGGAGGCTAGTTTTACTGGGAGGAATTATCCTGTAACTTAAAAACGATGGAAAAAGACACCAGAATAATAATAGTCTTATTTGTAGAGGACCCACATATATGGCTCAAGTAAATCTATCTTTAAAAGCTATTTGTGCTATAGTCAGAACCAAAATTATGATAGCACTGCTACTATCTCACATTCGGAAAGTACTTTGTGGTTTTCAGAGAGTATGTTATGTAACTGGACTCTGATAACAAACCTTTGGAATGAACAAGCAGGTAAAATTATAACAGTTTGTAGATGAGAAAAAAAGAATTGAGACTAAAATCCTATATTTTGAAGTATTTTGGGGGAATAGTGGAAGATGAAATTACCTAGCACTTGTAAATATTTTTTAAAAAGACAGTTATGTGTAATGGAAAATAAAAACTCTCATTGAAAATAAAACCTAAAGGCTGGGCGCAGTGGCTCACGCCTGTAATCCTAGCACTTTGGGAGGCTGAGACAGGTGAACCACCGCAGGTCAGGAGTTTGAGGTCTGCCTGGCTAACATGGCAAAACCCCGTCTCTACTAAACATACAAAAATTAGTCGGGCATGACGGCGCATGCCTGTAATCCCAGCTGCTAGGGAGGCTGAGGCAGGGGAATTGCTTGAACCCGGGGGGCGGGGCTGGGGGGGGCGCAGCGCGGAGGTTGCAGTGAGCCAAGATTGCACCACTTTACTCCAGCCTGGGCGAAAGAACGAAACTCCGTCTCAAATTAAAAAAAAAGGAGGCTGGGCACGGTGGCTCACACCTGTAATCCCAGCACTTTGGGAGGCCAAGGCAGGTGGAACAACTGAGGTCAGGAGTTTGAGACCAGCCTGGCTCAAATGGTGAAACCCTGTCTCTACTAAAAATACAAAAATTAGCTGGGTGTGGTGGTGCATGCCTGTAATCCCAGCTACCTGGGAGGCTGAGGCAGGAGAATCACTTGAACCCGGGAGACGGAGGCTGCGATGAGCTGAGATCCCGCCACTGCACTCCAGCCTGGGCAACAGAGTGAAACTCCGTCTCAAAAAAAGGAAAGAAAACCTAAGTCATTTTAAGCCTAAACTTTGCCATCTGTAGGAAAATATAAGAACTTAAGTTTAATAACTGCATTTATATTTATTGTTTTAAAATTATAATATATCTCTTCTGTTATGGTGGCACCTACATGTTAACACTGGAGAAGCAAGAGCTTAGAAGGCCACAACAATTTTAATTATCTTGTCCTCTGTCCAAGATGAGCATTTAGCCAGTAGGTAGAGAGAAATAAAGCTGATGTTTTACAATATACTCTCCCAAAGGCTCATAAATACTTTATCGCTGGGATGCCTCCTTTCACTTATTTCACTTGTCCCTTTAATAAGATCTGTCAACTTTTTCTAACGAGTCTGGTATATGAAACAGATTCAAAGGAAAATACAAAGATAGACAGCTGTGAGAAACTTCACCTCCAATAAGCTTCAACAAACACATTAAAAGGAAAGCCGTATGACAGAATGGAAGGCTTTGTTGCATTTGCGTGTAATGATCCGGGAAAAGGGGAAGGGCAAAAACAGACAGATGAATGGTGACAGGCAGTGAAAAGATACTCAGAGAAGAAATATTTGAGCCTTCAACAAGCCGCTCGCTAGGACTGAACGACAGATGGAAAATTTCTACAGCAGCTACCCAAATCCAGAGGGAGGAGAGGACACTCTCAGAATGGACCAGTTTGATGCACACCTCCCAATACGGACCAGGGAAAGCAGGAAAAAGAGAGGGATGATAACAGGATTTGGCAGCAAATTAATACTTTTTTAGTAGCCTTTTCAGAGACTGAGCCTGAATTACATGGGCTTGACATGCAAAGGTATAAGCATATTAAAATAATTTAACTGTCAGTTTACTTAGAAGCTCAAGTTAAGAAAGTAACCTTTTATATGTAGGTTTGTAAATACATTCCCTTTTAAACAAATAGTTTTTGCCAGGGTAACACAAAAGATTCAGGTTAAGCTAAGCCCTGTGGGGTTCAATCCCTATGGGAGAGGTACCAAGAGATAGGTTTTCCTTTAAAGATCTCTATATTCTCTTACTGCTTAACTAACTCAGAGAGTGTCCCTTTCAAAAAAAAATAGTCAAAAAAATTAGAACTAGTCCTCTAAATTTGGGAGTATTCATACTCTCATTCAGAACTAACTTCTCCCTTTCAGAAATATAAGCACTGGTCTTTAACAGATCGGAAAGCTAATTCCTCTTCCTGTTTTCAGACTTATTTGAACCCAATAGCAAAAAAGAACCCTGCTGAAAAAGAATATGCTGATTTCTAGAGAAGGAAAGTATAAAAGTCTAACCCAAAAGCTTCTTGCACTTTGTTAAATACCAAAGCATCTCCTTCCACTCTGGTTAAGGGGTTACTGGAAGTCAAGAGTTGTGGGTAAAGAACAACACTTAGAAATGGTAAAAAGAGCATTAACATTAGTACAGCAAGCTAGCACAAAATTCTTACTATCACATAAATAAAGTATAGCAATTGCAAGGTTATTACATAGTAATCCATGCACTTCACACATTCAAGAGCAAGTATAAACCCCATGGGGTCACACTCCCTCTCTTCTCTGATCTAGGGCCCTTAATTTTGATGTAAAAATGTTCTCTGTCTGCAAAAGGTAAAGAAAAGTATTTCATGCCTTGAGCATTTCATGACCACCAAGAATCCAACCACCTGACTGCCCCCAAACTGCATTGGCTAGACTGCAGGGAACATGCAAGGCTGGCATCAGGTGGCACAAACATTACTTTTACAGTGGAGCCCTTCTCAACCCGGCGTTCTGGAAAAGAATTAAGTTTTAATGCCCGAAAGGCATCAGTTTAGGTATGTAACAAATTCTCTATGAACTAGAATAGCATTAGCTATATACCATTCTTAGAAGAACTACGAAAACAGCCACTGAAAGTACTTTCTATAGCACTTAATTCTCTCACAGAATCCAGGTTGACAAAGGATATTCTGAATAATTGCCGGCCAGGGGCAGTGGCTCGTGCTTGTAATCCCAGCACTTTGGGAGGCTGAGGCAGCTGGATCACTTGAGGTCAGGAGTTCGAGACTAGCCTGGCCAAAATAGTGAAACCCTGTCTCTACTAAAAACACACAAAAATTAGCTGGGCATGGTGGCATGCCCTTGTAGTCCCAGCTACTTGGAAGACTGAGGCAGGATAATTGCTTGAACCCAGGAGGTGGAGGTTGTAGTGAGCTGAGATCATGCCACTGCACTCCAGCCTGGGTAACAGTGAGACTCTGTCCCCACCGCCACCCCCCCCAAAAAAAAATTGCCCCTGATCAGCTGGAATAGCATGAATTGGGATCCAAGCCCATCAGGCTCCTATATCCTGAGACAGAGAGAGTGCTTTGAATGTGTGCACAGTGAAAAACCATGGAAAGCCATAGCAAGGTTACTGGGAGAGTAGATGCTAAGCTCCCTGGTACTGGCAGTGAGGAGAGGACACAGGTTCACAGTGCCTGTGTCTAGCTCCTCCTGTTGGCATGGCTGGTCACATCTGGGTGTACTTCAAAAAACCTTGTCAGTCTGATGAAAAACTGCAATGGCAAAGCCCTAGGGAAAGAGAATACAACTGCCCTATCTCCAATACCTCTTGTTTATACTCCTCCCTTTCATTCTATGCCTTTGAAAACTACAAAGACAGCATTATCTAGAGGTTCTACTCTACAATTGTCCCCATCTCCTCTTGTCTTGTTTCTATGCTACATTAACCTAAACTGCTATTGCAGTATTCCAAATGCTGTATCTCAGAATCCAAATTTTCAGCTTGCTGTTCATTAATGGTCTATAAGAACAAGTGCCATTATTGCCCCAGTCCCCCATGCCACAATGGAGTTGGGAATAGTTATCACCTCAGCTGTACAATGCAGAGGATGACTCCTTTATTACAAAGAACCAAACAAAGATCTATGAGGGGGGCCTTCCTTTCATAGAATGAAACATGTTTTGTAGTCCAGTCACTGACATTTCAAAGAACTCAAATCTCCAAGAATTTCTAAGGAAATGAATACAAAGAAACAACAGGCTGGGCATGGTGGCTCGCGCCTATAATCTCAGCACTCTGGGAGGCAAAGGTGGGTGGATCACCTGAGATCAGGAGCTCGAGACCAGCCTGGCCAACATGGTGAAACCCTGTCTCTACTAAAAATACAAAAATTAGCTGGGCATGGTGGCACATGGCAAAAATAAATAAATAAAAGTTAAAAAAAAAGAAAGAAAGAAACAACAAATACTAACTGGTCAGAGAACTACAGCATTTAGTGTTTGATTTCCCTATTCCAACATGAAGCGCTTCCATAGGTCTCACAGGTACAGTCCATTCTCTACATTTAAATTCTCTAGGTAGCACTTTCTTAGATCTCCTCTATATAAGACTAAACATTTAAATCCTTGTCTCAAAATAAAGATATGTAAACTGTAAAAGGAGGAATTATCCCAACTATCCATAATCTATAAATTATTTAATTTCTAGTCCTAAATCTGTCCATTAAAAGGTATTCTGGGCTAGGCACAGGGGCTCATGTCTGTAATCCCAGCACTTTGGGAGGCTGAGGCAGGAGAATCACCTGAGGTCAGGAGTTCGAGACCAGCCTGGCTAACATGGTGAAACCCTGTCTCTACTAAAAATACAAAAATTAGCTGTGCGTGGTGGCGTGCACCTGTAATCTCAGTTACTTATGAGGCACAAGAAACGCTTGAATCCGGGAGGCAGAGGTTGTAGCGAGCCGAGATTGCGCCACTGCATTTCAGCATGGGTGAGACAGAGTGAGACTCCATCTCAAAAAAAAAAAAAAAAACAGGCCAGCCACGGTGGCTCACACCTGTAGTCCCAGTACTTTGGGAGGCCGAGGCAGGCAGATCACAAGGTCAGGAGTTTGAGACCAGCCTGGCCAATATGGTGAAACCCCATCTCTAATTAAGATACAAAAATTAGCCAGGTGTGGTCACATGCATCTGTAGTCCCAGCTACTCAGGAGGCTGAGGGAGAATTGCTTGAACCCGGGAGGTGGAGGTTGCAGTGAGCCAAGATCATCACACCACTGCGCTCCAGCCTGGGCAACAAAGCAAGACTCCCTCTCAGAAAAAAAAAAAAGGTATTCTGGACATAAAAGTCACCAACTCCTAGAACCCAACCATGCTCCCCGCACTAGAAGAAACGTAATAGAGAGATTTTACTATTTTTAAATAAAGCGATAGGGTCCAAGAGTCTTGTTTCCCTGTATTAATCTATTCTCAAAATTTCTTTTTGTCATAGATGTATTTTTTCTTATTTGAGTGGAAAGCATGATTCTTAATCAAATGTTGCAACAGTAAATAGATTTTAACAAAAGCTGATGTAACTAGAAAGTTAAAATTTCTTCAAATCAAATGAATTTTCTAGAGTTACCTCTTTTCTTAGAGAAGACTTCCAATATGAAGAACCATCAAAGCAAATTCAACAACCTCAGAAACAAAGATGCTATTATAAAACAGAATATTCTAAATTTTCCAGTTCTAAGTCAACTCTCCTCACTATTTTAAGCAATTGCAGTTTTGCACCAGAGATGACCAGGTTGTCCTCTGAACTTGGGCAGCTCACCAGAAATATCCCAAACGCGCACAGTCTGGTCCAGGCTGGCTGATACTACCAAGTCTTCTGTGGGGTGGAACTGAGCACACATCACATAATGGTTGTGCCCTGTTAACACACTGCAAGAAAAAAAAAAGACAATACCAAATTAGAGGTGGAAGTCAACAGACTCCTAAACTAAATACCTTTCTCCATATTCAATAAATGCTTATCCAGTTTTACTTTTATGGAGACAAAGGCAGGTCATCCTACCAATTCTGAACTAATAATAATAAGCCCAGTCAGCTATTTTAACAATAGTTCTCTTCTTGCCTCTAATGCTTTAGTATTTAAATATTACTAATTTCAGGAGGACTAAGATTACATAGCTCTTCTCTCAAAAATATTTTAAAATATCAAAATAAATGTAATCTCAGTAATCCATACTGTAAATTATCTGTGAGATTTTAGTAGGGTATCCCTTTTAAAGGCCATCACTTTATTTTTTATTGTTATTATTTTTTTGAGATGGAATTTCACTCTGTTGCCCAGGCTGGAGTGCAGTGGCGCAATCTTGGCTCACTGCAACCTCTGCCTCCCCAGTTCAAGCGATTCTCCGCCTCAGCCTCCCGAGTAGCTGGGACTATAGGCACACGCCACCGCGTCCAGCTTATTTTTGTATTTTTAGTAGAGACGGGGTTTCACCATCTTGGCCAGGCTGGTCTCGAACTTCTAACCTCAGGTGATTTGCCTGCCTTGGCCTCCCAAAGTGCTGGGATTACAGGCATGAGCCATGGCGCCGGGCCAAGGCCATCACTTTAAATGGTCCCTAACTCTTCATGGAAAGTTCTATGTAAAGCTCCAGCTCCAAACACAAAATAAGACAAAGGTCTAGACCTTGACTCAGGTTTTATGGGAAAATAATTGAAAACCAGCTAAAAGTTCTTGTTCTAAAAGGCTATATGACTTCTCTTCCTGGTAAGAAATTATTGGAAGTCCAGATTCATATATGGGATTGCCTCTACATTTATTATTTTGCACTTAAAAGCATCCTACAAATACAATCAGTAATTAATCAGCCGACATAGTCCATTTGAGAAGGGAGAAGATTGTTCTAAGAGAAGCTCATTATGAAAAACTAGGAAAAATGAAGACTCTTTTCGAGCCCTCTGCCTCCTGCTTTACCAAACACAGGTTCTAGATTGCCAGTTCCACACTCGGATGGTCTGATCATCGGAGGCACTCAGAATCCAGGGATATTCCTGAAAGATATTCCAGACAAAGGCTTTAAACATTAAACAAATCTGTTCTATCAGGTTCTTGTAATCATTTTTCTCTAAAGAACTGCATTGCTTAACGGCTCAGCTACATTAGCAAAGGGGCTGCTGCTTTTGCTATCAGGTTAGCTGTCTCCTTTTCTCTACCACTCTAACAGCTTTTCTCAACTTCGGCACTTTCACCTATAAGACTTAAGAATGGAAGCCAGTTAGAGGCACAATACATTCTCAGAGGCAGATAGTGAAACATACATTTACATTTACTTCTATATGTGTGTGTGTGTGTGTGTGTATTTATATACAGTTAATCATGTAAATTAAGATCCTGTGAAAGACTCTTCTACCTTTAACTCTAGGATGGGAATATTATTTTATTGTCTGACTTCTTTCTGTCCAGTTTCAAAAAATTCCCAGGTCTCAGCAAGCAAAGCAGAAAGTAACATGTAAAGACAATTTAGCCTTTTTGGAGTCTATAAGATTGTTGAGAAAAGGAAGTATTTCTTATTTACACTTCCTTCTTACTACACTTGCTAAGCTTTGTGTTAAACACTGAAAATAGATGGTATTTCTATTTTCAATAGAGATAGTATCTCTACCTTCAGTATTTAGCACAAAGCTTAGCAAGTATAAGGCACACACATATTTAGTGAGCTGGTAAAATGAAAGAAAATAAGGTCTTTCGTAACTTTCCAGGTAGATGGCAACTTGTTCTAGGCAAGGGTCTTCAGGAAGTCCTTTATGGCAATGACAAATAATTCCTACTTAATAAGTTATCTTATTGAGTGGTTATCATTCTCAAATGTTTAAGCTGTAATTTTCTCATTCTCTCCTATCCTAGAATTTTTTAATTAAAAAAAGAAATAATATATACTCAACCAGTAAATTGTTTATTTCATCATATTCTTTCTAACTTAATTAAAGAGACTTAATTTACTGGCAATCAAAGAATAGTGTAAGTTAATGCTAATACACAGAACTATAAGGAGATCCTGTCAGGGTGCAACTGGATTCAGAGGTTGGGAGTCTGTAATCTGCACCTCACTATCTAAATCTACTATGTTACCTGGCAGATCAAAGAAAGTAGTAAGCCTGGCTAAGGGAACAGCCTCCACCAGACCCAAAAATCCTAGGATAGAGGGGTATGATTGTTAATACTTCGAAACGTTTGTTAGCTGATCAAAATGGCATCTTAGTCTGACCTTCTTCCAGACACACCTACTACTTACTAATAATACCCTACATGGGATTAGCTGGCAAACTTTTGTTTTTTGGTTCAGCAAATCTGAAATCAAATCCCTACTTTTCCCTACAGAGAAACAATGACTTCCCATAGAATCCACTGAATCCAATAAAATTAAATTCAGTATAATCCCAAGTGCTTCCTTTTGCAGAAAGAAAAAAAGCAGAAAGGACAATACCACACAGATTGTAGAAGAGCCACTCCAAAAACAACTCTATTATTAAAACATGGGTTCTCAAGGATCAAATAAAGATTACTATGGGGAAACTAAGAATGCTCCAAAACTAGCGCCACCATGACTACTTACATGATGAAAAAACGTGGTGCGAATATAATCTAAGTGCCCAAGCAATGTGAAAAGACAGCGCCGAAGCTTGTAATTCCAAACCTGCAAAGACAAATCAAACTAAGAAACAGAAATAGTTATTGAGCCTCTAAAAGGCTCAGAGAAATTGATATCTTTACAGAGATAGAAATATGTATATAAATATAGATTTATATACATTATTTGTATTTTGGCATTTCTAAATAGGTAGGAACCTTGGTAGAAAGCCTTGTTTAAGATTTGAGGGGAAAAGAACAAGAATGAAAATATAGGTCAGATAAACAACATGGGGTTGGGGTAGGATTAGGGAAAAGCTAAAGATAAAATTATTGAAGTTTTTCAGGCTGGGCGTGGTCACTCATGCCTGTAATCCCAGCACTTTGGGAGGTCGAGGCGGGTGGATCACAAGGTCAGGAGATCGAGACCATCCTGGCTAACATAGTGAAACCCTGTCTCTACTAAAAATACAAAAAATTAGCCAGGCGTGGTGGCATGTGCCTGTAGTCCCAGCTACTCGGGAGGCTGAGGCAGGAGAATCGCTTGAACTCAGGATACAAGAGGTTGCAGTGAGCCGAAATCATGCCATTGTACTCCAGCCTGGGTAACAGAGCGAGACTCAGTCTCAAAAAAAAAAAAAAAAAAAAAAAGTTTTTCTTTCTTTGGGAAGAAGCCATCTGCATTTAATAGCAGGAGATATTTATCCAGGGCTTGATTTGCAACTCTTTTTTCTACTGCAAAATTGTGCTCTTGGCTTGAATATAGACCCCTTAAGTGCTTTACCCATCACTTTTAAAAAGTATGACAGGCTGGGCACGATGGCTCATACCTGTAATCCCAGCACTTTGGGAGGTCAAGGCAGGGGGATCACCTGAGGTCAGGAGTTTGGGACCGGCCTGGCCAACATGGGGAAACCCTGTCTCTACAAAAATACAAAAAAAAATTAGCCGGATGTGATCCCAGCTACTTGGGAGGCTGCGGCAGCAGGATCACTTGAACCTGGGAGGCGGCGTTTGCAGTGAGTTGAGATCGCTCCACTGCACTCCAGCCTGGGCGACAGAGAGAGGCTCGGTCTCAAAAAAAAAAAAAAAAGTAGGACAGATAGATACCATGACTCCAAGGGAAACAATAATATAGGGCATCAGCTTCTTAGGCTCCTAACTTGATGGCAAACAACGCCCATACATGTGTGGTCTGTACTCACCTGTCAAGCAAACAGACCTTAACTTATTACATGGAAAATACTACATTGCTCAGTAAGCCTGAGCTAAGCAGAGAAACAATATCATATTCAGATGTGAAGTTGAGTCAACTACCAAAGTACTAGGCATCAATGAACACAACTGAAGACATGAAAACCAGGATCATAAATATAAAATAGCTTATCTTCCTCATTCAGAAAATCCCCTAAAATGTACAAAAATAAGAGACCAGATGCATTTTTCTTCTTATTTAATTTTTTTAAATTTCTTTTTAATATTTGTTTATAATCAATCTGGGCCAGCTTGTTACTATTTCTAATTTTTAACTTTTCTTCAGTAAATTATAAAAATTTCATTTCCTATAACAAGTCCAGACAATCCAAAAGTATGATCTTCCAAACAAGAATGCTGAGTTCCTTAAAGGCAGGGTTCTTGTCCATCATGCTCAACACTATACCCTTACCACCTAACACAGTGCCTGACATTAGGTAAGTGCTCAGTAAGCATTATGTATGGAAATAAGAATAACATGAAAAGTTAAGGTATTCCAATACCTTTGCCTCTATCTATTCAATCAGCTACATATAAATACACATGTACACAGTAGAGTTTCACATAAAAATTAGACCATACCATAAACACTATTCTTTAACTGACTTTTTTCCCCTTATAGAGTTCAGTGTTTTAAACTTTCATATTTCTAGTTTCAAAATGTCTTGACTCCTTTAATGGCCTAAGTCAAGCTCCAAAACTGTAAATCCTTAAAAACTTATAGGGGTTTTAGATGAATACTCTGACCATTTGCTGGGCTCCTTGTCTTACTCTTTGTCAACGAGGATTATAACTAATGCTACATTTATCTGGATATAGCAAGCAATAAGATGGTCCACAGACATGACTTTTCTAGATAATCCCCCTTTTTATGGAAAAATGTTCAAGTTTATTAGTCATCAGAGAAATTAATTAAAACCACCGAATGGGCCGGGTGCGGTGGCTCACGCCTGTAATCCCAGCACTTTGGGAGGCCGAGGCAGGAAGACGACCCGAGGTCGGGAGTTCAAGACCAGCCTGACCAACATGGAGAAACCCCATCTCTACTAAAAATACAAAATTAGCCGGGCTTGGTGGCGCATGCCTGTAATTCCAGCTACTCGGGAGGCTGAGGCAGGAGAACCACTTGAACCCGGGAGGTGGAGGCTGCAGTGAGCCGAGATCACGCCACTGCACTCCAGCCTGGGCAACAGAACAAGACTCCATCGCAAAAAACAAACAAACAAACAAACAAACAAACAAAAAACAAACCAAAAAAACCCACCAAATGATAGCACTACACACCTACCAGCTAATAAAGAATTCCTTTGTTTTAATAACAGCTTTATTGAGATACAGTTCAAATACCATACAATTTATTCATATAAAGTATAAAACTCAATGGCTTTTAATATATTCACAGTTGTGCAACCATCCATTTTAGAACATTTTTATTCACTCCCCTAAGAAATTCATACCCATTAGCTGTCACTTCTCATTTCCTCCCAACCCCTCCAACCCTAGACAATCACTAACCTACTTTCTGTCTCTATAGATTTACCTATTCTGGACATTTCATAAGTGGAAGATAATTTCTTTTCCAAAATATTAGTCATTTTGGGAAAACTTTTTCTTAATTAACACCCAGTTTTTCCTTTTTAAACAGATTATAAGAATCCCAAGTTAACCATTCTTGATACTCAATGTTCATCACTATAAATAACAAATACAAAAATACTATAATGAGGTGATATCCTTATGGGCTTTTGAGATCTGTCAGGTGGTTTGAGTTTTGATTGCCCCAGGATGTGGTGCCTAAAAACTAGAAAACAGAAAGAAATGTCCTTCCTATAATTCTAATAGCTCTTTTCTCTGTAGGCAGCTGTCACTCTTTACTCCCATCACCTAAGTTCTGCGGTATAATCACAATATATAACTTCTTGAAGTTGCTTATGAAAAGACTTTACCTTTTTATGAATTAAATTTCACTGGTTCGGTTTGACACATAGACTTAATGAAAACAACTAAAGGAAGTAAACAGAGGAAATTTTGATTTATTTTTATAGGTTGCTAGTCTCTGGCTCTAACTTTTGCTATTATGATAGTCAGTTGTCTTTAAAGAATTGCCTATATTCTGTCTGCTTCCTCATTTCACACTAAGGCCTTCCAAATTAAGCAATTCAAAGGTTATTTCTCAATCTTGATCTTATTCTGAACACTTTCTCCTTCCCAAAATTCTCTTCTTCCTTGGCATCCAAGAGGCTTCTTCTCCCTCTTGGTTCATCTCGAACCCCTCGAATCACTGTTTCCCATACTAACTCTACTTCCTCTCTCTCCCTTAAATGATGGTCTGTCTTCTTATTCAACGTACTCCTTGAGCAATATCTTCTACTGCTTCTCCTTTGGCTCCTCCCTTCATGACGACAAATCACAAATATATTTCTAGCACAGACACCTCAACTAGACTGTCCCTTAGGTCCCTCAAAATCACCAGAGACAAGATGGAATTCATTATCCATTCTCTTCCACTCCAGAAAACTATCTCCTCCTGATTTTCCTTTCCTAGTTAATGACACCCCCTTTACCCAGTGACCTAAACTAGAAGCCTGAAAGTCAGCTCATTTATTTCTCCTTATTGGCCCTTATTTCTCCTTATTGGCCATCTCATTTATTTCTCCTTATTGGCCATCACCCAACAGACACACTGATTCATTTCCTTAAATTCTCACATCCATCTCCTTCTCTCCATTTCAAATGCTACTACCTAAGCTCAGGTTTCCTAACTGGTATTTTTGCCTCCTGTCTTGCCCAAATCATCCAATCTTTTCTTTAATTACCACCAAGTAATCATTTTAAAAACATATAAATCTGGTATCACTCCTGTATTTAAGTTCCTCAAATGGCTCCTAGTTATCTGCATGATAACATCTAAACTCCTGAGCGCCACAAACAGGTACTCCATGATCTGGCCCCTCTCATCTTCTGCCCCTTCTCTCACCATTTCTCCAGGTTTTCTCCATACAAAACCAATAACAGCTGCCCTGTATCTAGCTGTGTCATGCTTTTTGTCTTTGCACCTATACTGCTCTTTCCTATTTCACTGTGAATATCTCTCTATTATATTGCTTACCAAACTGTACATGCTATTACTTGGATATATGTTTATCTTCTGTATTAGAATAAAAGCTCCTTGAAAACAGAAGCCATTTCTTATTTATTTTTGAATTCCCTAAAAAGAAAACAGTGTCTGGTACACAGTAAGCATTCAATAAATGTTTGCTGAGTAAGTTCTCCGGATAATGTTGTCAAAGGCCTGAGCTCTGTATGAATGAAATTTCCTGTCTTTCAGTTCCTTTCATGATTCCCAAACCTTCCCACATCCTCTTTCCTTTATTCTCAGTTATGACAGACCCTCTGTACCTTAATCTTATAGTCATCTCCTCCAGAGACGAACAGTGGCTGCTGCTTATGGAAGTCAATGCCTCGCACTGGACCTGGTGGAGAAGGCAGGCAATGTATGTTAGACAGAGCTATCCTTTCTAATCTCTAAGGTGATTCCTATTCAGGATTTTTCAGTTCTATCATTTCCACATTCTTTAATCATAGAGGAATCCATGTCAAACAAGGCTTAAAATACCCCAGGATATTATAAATACTTATACTCCTTTAACTTCCTCCTAGAAATATCTCACCATCATGTTCATCAAACTTGTCAATGAGAGTGCACATCCGATAGTCCCATAACTGGATGACCCCATTATGTAAACTAGTCAGGATCCAAGGTCTTTTGGGGTGAAAGCTGAGCCCTGAAAAAAATAGAAAATGATACAATGAGCTAACTAAGCCCCATGATGTCACCTTCTGTCAATTCTGATAAGAAAAAGAAACATCAAGGTTAATCCTAGGTTCATTCATTCGACATGCTTGATGATTTTTTACTGGATGCCAGACATCGTGAATTTTATGTTTGGTACTAGATTTTTGTCATATTCCTTTACATATTCTTGGGCTTTGCTCTAGGATACAATTAAGTTACTTGGAATCAGTTGATCCTTTCAAGGCTTGCTTTTAGGTTTTATTACAGAGGGGCTACAGCAGCCTTCATTCTAGGCTTAATCTGGAACCACTATTAAAGCAATAGCCATCTGAGGTCTCTATTTGAAGCCCTGTAATATTAGGAAGTCTTTCCTTTCTGGCAAGTAGGAACACAAACTAGTCCCAGTTCACTAGTGTGAACTCTGGGGATTGCTCTGCCTTCTCCTTTCCAGTGGTCCTTTTTCAGGTTTTGAATAGTTTTCTCACATGCAGATCAGTACTCAAACAAAGACCTGAGAAGACATCCTGCAGATCTCTAGTGCTCTCTCTCTGCAGCCCCCTCTTCTCCGGTATTTTGCCCAACAAAATCTAGCCATCTTTGCTTCCCCACACTCTAAATTTATGTCTCCTCAGAAAGACCAAGGGATTCCCCTCTTCACTGAAGCCTAAAAACTCTCTAGGCAGTAATCTACGACAATCACAGGACTCACCTTGTTTATTTGCCTTCTCTGGAGAATTATTTTCCTGCACTGCCTGTTGCCCAACATCTGTGAGCAATGTATGAACCTTTGTTTCATACATTTTGTTCAGTTGTATAGTTAAGGTGGGAAGGTAAATCTGGCTCTTGTTATTCTATCATGACTGGAAATGGAAGTCCCCAGAGGTAACAACTACTAACAGTTTGAAGTGTATCCTTTCAGATTTTTAATGCAGTTACACATAGACATAGGCTTTAGTATTTTATGAAAGTGGGGATCACGTTATGATGTTGTTCTGCAAACTTCTTCCTCACTTAACTATATAATATGGATCTCATGGAAGTACATATAAACATAACCTCATTCTTTTTAACTACAAGGGACAAATGTACTACACTTATATTATTCTAACAGGCATTTTGTCCGCCAATTTTTGGCTATCAGAAGAGCCTACTGAAGATACTTCTACACATAATCTAGCCTATTTGCATTATTACTGCCCTAGGCTAAAGACCTGTGAGATTGCTCAGGAATAGAATATGTGCACTTAACATTTTAGTACATATAGTTTAAATGTAAAAACACTGTATCAATATACAGTCTCATGAAGTTTATGGAGGTGCCCATTTTGCACACAGGCTGCTATCAGCTATTTGTTGTTTTGTTTTATAAATCTAAGACCCTCCCCCCAAAAAAGTAACTTAACTTTTTTTTTCTTGCATTTCTTTCATTACTAGTGAGGTGGAACTATTTTAATTATTTATTGAACATTTACAATTTTTCTTCTAAATTGTCTATTTTTCCATTAGGTTCTTTTTTTTAATTATGATATATAAGTACACTCAACAATGGATGTTTGCCCTCAAATATTATGACATCTTTGTTTTTCCTTCTGTACTGCCCAGCAAGAAATTAGGAGCAGAAAAGAAAACTGAAAGATTATGAAGACCCATTTCACATTTCACCTATACAGGTCTCAGAAATTCTTAATGGTACCCATCTTTCAAGGTCAAGTTTCCCAAGAGACTTAGAAACTGCTCAGAATATATTCACACATTGATAACAACCTCCAGTTTTTGAGCTACTGAGTCTACACCAGGCGCTGTAATAAATACACTCCATATACTTTCTCATTTTAATACTCTCTATAAAAGACGATTTTACAGATGAGGAAATACAGACTTAGAGACATTAAGTAAGTCATCCAAGTCACAGCTTGTTAGTGGATGTCTCAGGATTCCAAGGCAAGCCCATCTGACTTCAAAGACCAAGTTCCTAACCACTTTGTTACGCTGCATCTCACTAAATATTCTAGATACTATTTTTTCCAGGTCTTCGGAGACCTTACTTCTCTGACTTTCACATTCTAACGTTCTGAGGCTAATACTGCGATCTCAGTATTTGCCCTCCACCCCCAACGACCCACACTCGAGCTCTAGAGCTGCCGTACTTAGCAAATAAAAATACGAGATTTCCAGATAAATTTGAACTTCTGGTAAGCAACGACAGACTAAAAAACTATTCATTGTTTACCTGAAATTCAAATTTAACTGGGTATCCTGCATTTTATCTGGCAACTCTATCAAGTTGAGACTTTATTGGGGTTATAAGCCTCAAGTACTATTTCCGGGTAGTAAATAAAGCCGAATGGAGGCACTGATGTTGAGATGCTGCAGCCAAGGCCTCCTTAAGTGAGGTTGCCACTACTCGTCTCCAAAAAGGCTACTGACTCGGGTGCGAGTAACAGAGATCGAGACTCAGTTCCCAGGGCCACTCCATATAACACAGTCATCAAAAAGCCAACAGATCACAGGGCCTTTGGAGCAGAACAACACAAATCGGGAGCACAGCCAAGAGAGAAAGGGGGAAGAAAGAATAGGGAGGGGGTCTAAGGAATCCCCTGCAGTGTGGGAGCCACTTTATAGGTAAATCGAAGCCCAAGGACACACCAAAGAAGAGGGGACTGGAGAACCGCTAGCCAGGCCCAACCTCTCTCCCACCCTCCGTCTTCCTCCGGGTCCGTCTGGTGGGCCCATTTCGACCAACACCTCTACCCATTTTCTCTTCCCCGGTGTCAGCGCCGCTCCTGACATCCAACCTCCATGTTCCCCCTTTTATTCTCCACTACCTTTGACCCGCGCGCTCTTGGTCTCGAATTTGGTTAACATCTCTCAGGTCTCCGACTCCGATGTCTTAATCCGAGCCCCGACACACCCTGCTGCCCTTCGGACGCCTCCACGTCAGCGACCCTCTCCCGCGGTTTCCGGAAGCGCCTGGAAACACGAACTTCCGGTCTCTTAGGCTCCGGGCCACAGAGACGGTGTCAGTGGTAGCCTAGAGAGGCCGCTAACAGACAGGAGCCGAACGGGGGCTTCCGCTCAGCAGAGAGGCAAGATGGCTACGGCAGGGGGTGGCTCTGGGGCTGACCCGGGAAGTCGGGGTCTCCTTCGCCTTCTGTCTTTCTGCGTCCTACTAGCAGGTGAGGCCTCCCCGCCCGTGAGCTCCGTTCTCTAAGGGGAACTCTCGGATCGGCCCCGCCGCGACCGCCACTGTCTCCCTTCTGGTTCCTGCTGCCCCTCTGTCCCCCCACCCTGTAAATCCTCTTTCTTTTTCGTTCCCACGACAGAAGTTCCCCCTTTGCCTGGACCTGAAGGTCCCTTCTCCCCCGCAGCACGTCGTGTCGCTTCACTCCCTTCTCTAGGCCTCTTCCTGGACTTCGAGCCTGACCCTCTCCCACTTTGTCCAGATGTCTCGTTTTTCCCACAACCCCAGCCACCCACCCCACAGTCGAAAGGAACAGGTGTGAAAGTTAGCTTTCTTCCTCGCGTTTAGACTTTTTGAGACGAAAGCAATCTTGTTCTGTGGGTGCTGTGCGGCGCTTAAAAGGTGGATTTCTTATTTCTTCCTCTGTTGATTACATCCTAAGTCTGTGTCCCCCTGCCTTGCCTCAGGTTTTTTTTTTTTTTTTTTTTTTAATCAGTAAAGCAAGAATAAGGTAGGATATGGGTACTCTTAACTGTGAAGACCCTGAAGTAACAATTCAAGGAACTTTTGGCATTTATAATGTACTTAAGTGTTTGCTGATACGCGTTCATTTACTGATACATGGCTTTTTAGTTGGTCAAGCCCTAAAATGCAAATGCCTGTATATAACTATGACTGTGCCTTCCCCCAATTCACATTGTTTTTAAGGATCCTCAAAGGAGAAACTACAGCTGCCCCACACTGTGGGCACACAAATGACCTGCTGATGTTAAATTAACTGACCCGTGTATGTCATAAGGTTTCTCTCAATTCTGTTCACACTCTTGGAAAAATGCCTCAGAAAGTTTTCTTAGCCCAGCACCTGTGTATTAACCAATTAGTAATATACATACAGGATATACAAGCAGAAGTGTGATCACCTGTGCAACCAGAATCTGGCAAATCTAAGGTCAAACACCTTTCCTTTGACCAAGTTTTCTCTCTTTTAGTGTCACTGTCAATGGCGCTACATGGACTTTGTAATAACCCTTTGAGGCACATAGCTGGGTGCCATGTAGAACATGTATCTGTTACGATAAGTGTGTGCCCAAGAAATCAGAAGAATGGACTTTAATCTCATTTTAGAAAGTATGATATTAAATGATTTACCCAAGCCATACTTCAGGTTAATGACACGATAGAAGCTAGTACCTGTGTCTCTCAAATTTTTCTAACACTTTTTATCTTCCGATCAGGTTTGTGCAGGGGAAACTCAGTGGAGAGGAAGATATATATCCCCTTAAATAAAACAGCTCCCTGTGTTCGCCTGCTCAACGCCACTCATCAGATTGGCTGCCAGTGTGAGTTGAGATGGATTCATGTTTGTGGACATTGATATTTGTCTGTGCCCTAGATACTAAGTAACATCCATGTCCTGCTTAGGAGATTTGACACTTATATTGGACTGTATGTAGGCAGTTACAGATAACCGTCTGTCAAGCTAGGCAAGATAATTAATAAGAACTAACATTTAGTAAATGCTGCATACCAAGCTTTTTACATGTGCATCTCATACAACCCCAACCACAACCCCACAAAATAGGTCTTACTGTTATTGTCACTTTATAAATGATGAAACTAAAACTTAAAGAAGTTGAGTAACTTTCCCAAGATCATACTGGTAATAAGTGATGATGCCAGGATCTGGTGGCCCGAGCACTAAGCTGAGAGACCTTTTTTTTTTGACACGGAGTTTCACTCTTGTCCCCCAGGCTGGAGTGCAATGGCACGATCTCGGCTCACGGTGACCTCTGCCTTCTAGGTTCAAGTGATTCTCCTGCCTCAGCCTCTTGAGTAGCTGGGATTACATGCACCTGCCACCATGCCCAGCTAATTTTTGTATTTTTAGTAGAGATGGTGTTTCACCATGTTGGCCAGGCTGGTCTCGAACTCTTGACCTCAAGTGATCCACCCACCTTGGCCTCCCAAAATGCTGGGATTACAGGCGTGAGCCACCGCACCCAGCCGAGCCAGCACTCTTAACCACCCTATTATACTGTTTTTTAAGGAGAAAAAAGTCTCATATTCTATGGTGTCCAGTTATCACTTGCACTCTGAACTTTTTGGAACCAAAATGGGCTAAAGGCAATGAACTATCTGAAGAGAAGGCACTGAAAATGCCAAATAGGCTGGGCGCAGTGGCACATGCCTGTAATCCCAGCACTTCAGGAGGTCAAGGCGGGTGGATCACTTGAGGTCAGGAGTTTGAGACCAATCTGCCAGCATGGTGAAACCCCCCCATCTCTACTAAAAATACAAAAATTAGCCGGCTGGCTGCTATGGCATGCCTGTAGTCCTAGCTTCTCGGGAGGCGGAAGCAGAAGAATCCCTTGAGCCCAGGAGGCGGAGGTTGCAGTGAGCTGAGATTGTGCCACCATACTCCAGTATAGGTGACAGAGTGAGACACTGTCTGAAAAAAAAAAAAAAAAAAAAAAAGAAAATGCTGAATAATTGCAAGAGGAATTAGTGAAGCATTCTATTTATCCTTTTTTAAAACTTTTTTTCCTTAAATTCAACTGACAGGCCGTTTATTTTCACACTTTGTGTGTTCCAAAAGAAGGTTCCATGACACTGTGGCTTTAAAAACTATCAAAATCATAGGGCAGGAAAAGTAGTAATCTAAAGGCTAACCTGCTGTCTTCAGATTTTGTTTCCCATGGACAATAGCTCTGTCAGAATGTAGTTTTGCAGATAAGCAGGAAACTTGGGGTCTGATACTGGCTTCTTCATCATCAAATTGATCACCTCTGAATTTCAGTTTACCCCTGGAATAATGGTTGGAGTACTTGCATAAAGCTGAAAGTCAAATACCTCTTAATAGTTGTTTATTGATGACGCTAGGTAAATAGGGTGGTCTCAAAAGTGCTGTATAATTTCCTGAAGCCTTCTTCCCATTTGATAAGAGAAAACTGGGACACTGAGAAGTGAAGGACTTGTTCGTGGAAGCAGTTACTACTTTTTTAGCCATCTTTCCCTGAGCTATAGTATCTGTTAATTGTCCCATGTCCCTGCTATACAAAGCACTGGGAGTAGGTTGACTGGTTCCAAACAGCCCCAAATAAAGTTTTTGTTGTACTTAGTTTCTTTTTTTTTTTTTTGAGATGCAGTCTCGCCCTCTCGCCCAGGCTGGAGTGCAATGGCACAATCTCAGCTCACTGCAACTTCCTCCTCCCAGGTTAAAGCAATTCTCCTGTCTCAGCTTCTTGAATAGCTGGGATTACAGGCGCGTGCCACCGTGCCCAGCTAATTTTTTGTATCTTTAGTAGAGGCGGGGCTTCACCATGTTGGCCAGGCTGGTCTCGAACCCCTGACCTCGTGATCTGCCCGCCTTGGCCTCCCAAAGTGCTGGGATTACAGGCATGAGCCACCATGCCCAGCCCTCTGGACTTAGTTTCTGAACTGGTTTGTAGGTAGAAGAGAGCTAGGTCCAGGGTGGGCTGAGATCAGACTGCTGGTCTTGCTGGAACCTCACTATAAAGTACAGAAGGCCAGGACCCCAACCTCTTGTAACTAGGCTCTAAGAAAACTCCTTTGGGAATAAGTCATTCTACTCTATGTTCTTAAAACAGCTCTGTAGGAAGCAAAGCCTCTAGAGGTAAAGCCACGTGCCAGTACAGAGAAACAAGAGGGGGTAAGCGGGACTGTGGCCACTTCCTCATTAAGATCTTGGTTCCTTTTCAACCTACTTATTTCCAAATCTTACTTCGTCATATCTGTCTTTTCTGAGCAGGCTCCGCCCTTTTTAATTAGTGTAGCTAACATGATAAAACTAAGGAGAAAAAAGTGATACCCAGATTTGATTTCTGATTATAATACTCTGCTTCTCTTAGACGCTTTAAAGTTCTCAAAGGGGGCTTTAAATAGGTTTCTTTTCCCTCCCTCCCTCCTTCTATCCTTTCTTCCTTCTTTCGTCTGTCCCCACAGTATGAGATGAATAGAGGTAGAAAACCTCATTGAAGGCGCAGAGAAAATAAGCAAGTTACTTAAGACTACACCATTACTAGTTGGAACCCAGATTAGAATCCAGGTTTTTTTCAGTCCAGTATCATAGTTTGTCTTCCTGTCCTCGCTGGAGTTGAAGTTTTGGGGTGTGTGTGTGTGTGTGTCAGAGTCTCACTATGTCACCCAGGCTGGAGTGCTGTGGCACAATCTCAGCTCACTGCAGCCTCCGCCTCCCAGGTTCAAGCAATTCTCCTGCCTCAGCCTTCTGAGTAGCTAGCATTACAGGTGTGCACCATCACACTTGGCTAATTTTTGTATTTTTAGTAGAGATGGGGTTTCGCCATGTTGGCCAGGCTGGTCTCAAACTCCTGACCTCAAGTGATCCACCCACCCACTTCGGCCTCCCAAAGTACTGGGATTACAGGCATGAGCCACTGTGCCCGGCCGAAGTTATATATGTTTTAGTTGCCACACTATCTGTTCCTTTTCCCATGTTTTAAATGCTGTGGCAAGGGCCGGGCATGGTGGCTCACTCCTGTAACCCTAGCACTTTGGGAGGCTGAGTGGGCATTTAAAGTGATGCTGATATACAGCCAGGGCTGAGAACTACTGGTCTAAAATAATTGATGAATAACATATCCAATTTTCTGTAGGGAGAAGACTCACAGGGAGACCCTAGGATATCTCCACACAGATCACTGGGGACTTAAGGAGTATTACCTAATGCCTTGAATTATGTAGAATTCAAAGTATTCTGGACTCTGGGTCATCCATCCTCTAATACAGTGCTTCCCAATCTTTATCATGTCATGAGACACATAGAAAATGTTATTTGTATAGCATCCTGGCACATAGAGAAATGGGTGATATTTTCAGGGCATCCTGGGGTAAATGATAAGTAGGCTCCTGGCTGGAGGTGACTTTGGAAACCCTAGGTTTCCTGGAATGAGGAGAACCAATGAGAGCACATCTCTGATCCATTCGAGGCTTATCAATTGGGAAGCTCTGTTTTAGAAACCTCAGAGTTCTTGACTAACCTCATCTAAAACCGGCCAGAAGCAAGTAAAGTCATTCCCAAAAAGGGCAAAAGGAATGACGATCCAGGAAAGCTCCTGAGGCCAAGGGCATGTATGCATGTGTTTTTACAAAGGAAGATTCAAAGCTAAAACCCTGAGCTAGAGATTTAGTGGCATTTCCTAGAGAAAATATAGGTTTGAAAACTTTGGTGTCTATTGTTGTAGAATCTTATGTATATGGCTAAATAAGGTTGAGGGCAGAGGGCAAAAAAATGAAGTTCACAGAACCTTTCTGGCATATAATGAGTCCTCTTGTGCTCTTTTATATTCCATTCCCTCCTGATAACCTTCAGATGGAGCTGGGGCAACAGCTTTTCAGTTCAAATCTAGAGGTGCCTGTATTCACCCAAATATGTTGTGACATCTTTAGGGGATAAAAGATACGCAGAATCAGTGAGGCAAAGTCAGAATTGTTAACTATGGGAGCTTTAATTTGACTCATTCTGTCCTGGCAGCTTCAATTAGTGGAGACACAGGGGTTATCCACGTAGTAGAGAAAGAGGAGGACCTACAGTGGGTATTGACTGATGGCCCCAACCCCCCTTACATGGTTCTGCTGGAGAGCAAGCATTTTACCAGGTAAGAACTAGATGTATCTGCTGGGAAAACATCCATAGAGGGAAAGTTTCAGTGAACAGTCCTCACACTTATTAGTGAAAACTTCCCTTGGCTGCCCTGGTCTGGTCAGGGGAGAGGGCAGGGTGGTCCTCAGAAGGAAAGGTGTACCATCAAAAGAAATGATCTTGAGCTTAGGGCTAAATTTCACCTACCTGTCCCTGAGTAACCCTGGGCATCCCTCCCCTCCCTCCCTGGGGTCCTTACTCACTAAAGCTCTACTTTTTAGAGCAGATCATTGTCCAGACTCAGAATTTAGAGACTGAAAGGGAAGAAATAAGTCAACAGTTTGATTCCCCTAGTTCCCCATTTGTTTCCATCCTGCAGGCAGAATGTCAGGCTGTCTGATACCTTCCTGTGTTCCTTCATGGAATTCCTTTCCTATTCCAGGGATTTAATGGAGAAGCTGAAAGGGAGAACCAGCCGAATTGCTGGTCTTGCAGTGTCCTTGACCAAGCCCAGTCCTGCCTCAGGCTTCTCTCCTAGTGTACAGTGCCCAAATGATGGGTTTGGTAAGTGTCCCAAAGGATCAGGAGAGCCTACTGTCACCTAAGGCTCACTGTTGCTTCGGTCTTACGTCTTTGTGAGGGATGTATATGTGTTTGTGTCTGTGTGTAGTGTCAGTAACTGACTCCCAAACAGGGGGTAGTGTTTATTTGTCTTTGCTGCTCATCCCTTCCCTCTCCTGCTTCCCCTTCCTTTGCCTTACCTGGCATTATCTCTTTTTGTCACGTGTTCACATCCCTAATCTTACAGCCTAAGACTCCCTGATACCATTGTCTTTCTATTTTAGTGTGGATGGTAATAGACTTCATGCCTACTTCTTTGAGTCACCACCTCCTTTTGAACTCTTAGTCCCAACTGAAAGATTCTTCTGCCGTCACCTGGTTCCTAAGTACTTGGTGTCCCAGTAACCAGTCCCCCTATTCCCCATCCTTCCCTTCAGGTGTTTACTCCAATTCCTATGGGCCAGAGTTTGCTCACTGCAGAGAAATACAGTGGAATTCGCTGGGCAATGGTTTGGCTTATGAAGACTTTAGTTTCCCCATCTTTCTTCTTGAAGATGAAAATGAAACCAAAGTCATCAAGCAGGTAATGACACTGCCAGCTCCTAGCAATTCCAGTTAGAAAGAAGATTATTTTTCTAGCCAGGTGTGGTGGTGTGTGCACGTAGTCCCAGCCACCCGGGAGGCTGAGACAGGAGGATCACTTGAGGCCGGGAGGCAGAGGTTTCAGTGAGCTGAGATGGCACCATTGCACTCCAGCCTGGGTGACAGAGCAAGGCCCTGTGTCACAAAAAAAAAAAAAAAAAAAGGATTATTTTATAGGCTCTCCTATTTGGAGGGTGGCTCATTCTTCTGGTACACCTGCTGAAAGACGGTTGCTCCAAAAAGAACCAAGACGTTAGTTCTTCTCACATTCTTTCCCCACATTTTGCTCCTACCTGATATTACAGCATTAAAGCCTTTTAGACTAGAAGAAAATATAAAGAATATCTGAAAGAGTAATATGAAACAAGGTACACAGCCCAGGTTAAGAACCACTAGTATCGTTAAAAAAAAAAGCATTGGATTAGAGATTGAGAAATTCAATTTGGTAATTTCTGAGCTTCTTTTTAGCTCTAATATGCCTTAATTCTGGTCTAGTATTTCCATTTTGACTCATAGAGTAGTTAAGAGATTTGTCCAAAGTTGTATGGTGAGTTGATCTCCAAGCTGTGTCATATCTGATTTCCTATCTCTAGTTTGGTGCTCTTTGTATCAGACCACACTGAATCTTTTCAGTGGCTGAAGCTTCAAATTGGGCCAGGCCATCTGGAATGGGATAGTTTCATCTCCAGCTAAACCACTGAGTCTGCAACCCTTTGTAACTCTTGATGAGTTTTTTTCTTTGACCTTATAGATCCTATGGTGGTTCTAGGATAACTATAGCTCAGGGATAAATGTCTCCGAAAAGGGTGTGGCTCCATCCCAAAAGGATGGAACTGGGCCCTCCTCCTTCTGGGATGTAAGGGAGGGCCTCCACAAACTAGCTGTCTCAGTGGGGTCCATCTCCCCTTTCAGTGCTATCAAGATCACAACCTGAGTCAGAATGGCTCAGCACCAACCTTCCCACTATGTGCCATGCAGCTCTTTTCACACATGCATGCTGTCATCAGCACTGCCACCTGCATGCGGCGCAGCTCCATCCAAAGCACCTTCAGCATCAACCCAGGTAGGGCAGATCCGAACCATGAGGGTAATGGAATAAGGGGCAGAGGGAGAGTGGAACCAGGCCAGGGAATGTTAGAGAGACTGTAATAGGGAAGGAGTAGACACCATGAAGGAGCTCTGCATGGGAGAACTAGAAACAATTCTGAAAAATTTAGGCAGCTTGTTCCTAAAGTGGATAGTGGCAGAGAAGCCAACCTCGGACTGTTGGAAGTAGAGAAAACGACTTAGAGTCCGTGGGGCACTGGTCAGAGATTTCCAATGTTGCCTTTATAGCTACCTTCTCCTTTAGCCTTGTTGATCTCTCATTGTTTGTGTCCTGCTTAGAAATCGTCTGTGACCCCCTGTCTGATTACAATGTGTGGAGCATGCTAAAGCCTATAAATACAACTGGGACATTAAAGCCTGACGACAGGGTTGTGGTTGCTGCCACCCGGGTGAGTGTTGGCTTCTGATCAGGATGGGCAGGGCTGGCACAAAAAGAGCTGGTAGGCCCCGCTCTAGCATATCAGATTTCAAAGTTGCTAAATTGGGAAGCCTCAAATGGGGAGGAATCTGGGCTGTGGGACTCCTGGGTTGTCTCCATTGCCACAGGACAGGTATATTCTCTTGACTGGAGCAAGAAAGGAGGTTTGGGGCCAGTTTTAAAGTATATATCCCCTGACTTTTCTTCTGTTGTACCTAGCTGGATAGTCGTTCCTTTTTCTGGAATGTGGCCCCAGGGGCTGAAAGCGCAGTGGCTTCCTTTGTCACCCAGCTGGCTGCTGCTGAAGCTTTGCAAAAGGCACCTGATGTGACCACCCTGCCCCGCAATGTCATGTTTGTCTTCTTTCAAGGGGTAAGGGCTCTTTGGCTGGGGTGCAATGGCAGGGAAGAAAGAGGATAGTAAAGATGAGAGTGGCTACTGGTTGGAGAAGACCTCAGCACTTGACCTAAGTTGTTAACCAGCACAGAGCTTCTGGATGTGTCTACATGTGTCTCCCCTTTAGATTCCTCCATTTTAGGAAGCTTAGATTCCTTCTTTTTAGGAAGCTTTTACACCCTGAATTGGTATGTAACCAGCCCCCTCTTTCCCCCACTGATAAGATATATTGGAGGCGGCCTTTTACTTTTATTCTCTGGACTCCTTTACTGCTATCTCCATCCAGGAGCCGTTAGGCTCCTGACTCTCATCACTAGGACCACAGCAGAATAAGGGAACAGCATCTGTGGCTGAGTCACTGGAGGTGGGGGACCGTTAAGAATCAGACACATAATAGCTGATGTTCATCTTAGACCTTTACTAAGGCTACTTTCCCCATTTCTGGGCTTCAGAAGTCTTGTAATACATATGAGGGATAGTCACAGCTGGGAGGTGGGGCCAAGAGAAGCCGAAAGTCACATGACTGTAAGCTGACTAGCAGTTGAGGTGACCTGAGATAGTCGTCTTACCTACAGCTTTGATGATCTGGCCGCCTTCGAGGCTCTCCTAACCCTTTGGAATCTCTGTTCCCCCTCCCACCTACCTCCATCTCTCAGGAAACTTTTGACTACATTGGCAGCTCGAGGATGGTCTACGATATGGAGAAGGGCAAGTTTCCCGTGCAGTTAGAGAATGTTGACTCATTTGTGGAGCTGGGACAGGTATGTGGCATGTCCCCCAGCCCCTTCCTTTTTAATTAAATCTTCCTCCTTTGTTGTTCTGCGGTCTTAACTGCAGGAACCACCGCCTCTTCCCTTGACTTCTATCCCCTAGGCATGGCCCAGAACAGGAGACTGATTCTAAGTGTTGTTTCTTCATCCTCCCCCCAGGTGGCCTTAAGAACTTCATTAGAGCTTTGGATGCACACAGATCCTGTTTCTCAGAAAAATGAGTCTGTACGGAACCAGGTAACCTGAGCATCTCCCCTCATTTCCTATTCCTACAGCTCAGAATCCAGACCCCAACCCCTGCCCTGTTTCCACCAACCCCCAGGGCCTGTGAGACAGGGTAAGAGACAGGATTGGATTGGGTGTTGGCCAAAGGATGAACACCACAGCTGTTGTTGCTGCTGGGAAGAATCAGGAACTCAGTGACATTCCATTGGTTCCCTGGACTGGGTAGTTCTCTGATCATTTGTTGCCTAGCAGACTACCACTGCCCATTAAGGATAGGTGAGTGACTAGCTCCCTTCTTGCCTTGCTGCCCCATGGATCCAATTGTCAAGGCTGCTCTACCCAAGTCCTGGCTGTGTCACACTCGCTGCCCAACTTGTCCTCCACTTTCCTCATTGCTTGTTCAAAACCTTCCCTTCCCTCTAGGTCCACCTTTAGGCCTGCTTTTTTCCAGGTGGTCCTCTTTCTGCAATTCCAGCCTTCAGCATCATCCCTGCTCTGGACTCCTGTAGCATTTAAAGAATTGGTTATCTGTTTGGCATTCAGCACGCAGTTTTCTATTATTATTTGCTCCCTTCAATTCTGCACAATAAATAATAAGTGAAGCATCCACTGAGGATAAAGCAGAGTCTTGAAGACAGTAGAATTTACTTATAAATATGAAAAAAAAGGTCTCTTCTTTATGCCCCAATTTTCTAACTCTAAAAAGAATGGTGGAAGCTACAGGAAATTCAGAGAGCCTTGGTCCCAAAAGGCTTGAGGGATAAAGGTCTACTAGAGATAGGGTAGCTCCCCAAGCAGGGAACTTGAAGTATAGAGCATTTCAGGCCTAAAAGAGACCTCCTGCTTCCCATCCCCCAGCCTCCCATCAGTTAATCTCCCTCGTACCCCCCAGGTGGAGGATCTCCTGGCCACATTGGAGAAGAGTGGTGCTGGTGTCCCTGCTGTCATCCTCAGGAGGCCAAATCAGTCCCAGCCTCTCCCACCATCTTCCCTGCAGCGATTTCTTCGAGCTCGAAACATCTCTGGCGTTGTTCTGGCTGACCACTCTGGTGCCTTCCATAACAAGTAAGAATCACTTGGCCCTGCACCCTCTTCATTCTTGAAGAGAGTCTATTCTGCAGTCTGGGAGGAAGGTCACTGCCCTCCGCTTTCCCACACTACCCCCTCCAGAACTTCAGGTCCATCTGTATTCTTTGCTCAGTGGCGTTTTCACATCTGAACTGAAACCCTTATTTGTTTGACTGGATATTCATCTTAGAAACTCATCCTCACCCTTAGCCCTTTACTGTCAACAATCCTTGGTTATGGTTCCACTGCTCCCTAGCTCTCCAGGGTCCTGAGTTCCTCAGGGTTGCCAGCAGAGGGCATCATCTCAAACACAAGCATGGGAAGGATGGTGGGGGCCCTTTGGCTAGAAGACAGAAAGCAGTCCTTCTCTGGAACTCACCCAGAGGTGCCAGAAACAGTATTCATACTCTGTGAAATGTACCATGTTCTTGCCATGTGGTAGATGGCCATGGTTCAGTGCGAGGGTAAAAGTGCCTCCTATAGCTGATGGGGCTCCAGAGATACAAAGGGTAACTCTGGGTTACCCTTTAACTGCTCCTAACTTGAGGCCTTGGATAACAGGGGACTTCTTACTCAGGCTGGATTGCCAAGCTTCCCGAGGGCCAAATGAGTTTCGTAGTGAAAATGCTTGAGCTCTATTTCTGACCCCAGCCAAGTAGCACCTTCTCATTCATTTAGGGGAGTGACCGTCCTAGCACTTAGGGTCAGCTGTCTTCTCTAAAGCTATCCTTGTACCACTTTGGGGCAAGTGAAGATTCATCATTTGAACACATTTTGGATTTGATTATGTAGCTGACTTGACTTTGTGTGGGACAGGGATTTACTGATGGTAAAGACTGTGGAGCTCAGCCTCTCTTTTAAGATCTATCTCCTTGGGGCTCCATAAGGATCATCATGGTGATTTTATCAGTGTATTCTTATATATCAGTGAGCAGACCTGATCCTAAGACCTGCTAATCACCTCCTGCTCCCAGCTACCCTAAATATAAATGTTCATTGGAACAGTTATACAACTGATCTCATGATACATGGCAGAGTTCTCTGAAAATCATCTTAGCCATCCCCCATATCTCCAGCCCAAATGATGTAGAAGAGTCTCTCCTTTGTTTAAAGATCTGAGCTCATTCAGCTTTTCTACCTTGTCTGTCAGGAAAGTCTTTAATTTTCACTAACCACCTCACCCTCACTCCTACCTCCCTGTTCTCCACACCTTCTGCAATATGGGATCCTGATTGTCTCTCACCCCTTTCTTCTGATGCTGAAAATGAGATACTGAGTCCCTGCATAAGGAGCATTTGAGGGAGGAAAGGGGCAGAGCCCTGGCTAAATGTAGCCAAGGCTCATGCCGGCTTTCCTGGCAGATATTACCAGAGTATTTACGACACTGCTGAGAACATTAATGTGAGCTATCCCGAATGGCTGAGCCCTGAAGAGGACCTGAACTTTGTAACAGACACTGCCAAGGTAGCACTGAGCCAGGCTGGGTGGGAGCCTGGGGCACACAGTGAAGATGCTAGCATTTGAGGATAGGAGAGGTGGGCCATTCAGCCCCCTCCTCACCTACCACAGGCCCTGGCAGATGTGGCCACGGTGCTGGGACGTGCTCTGTATGAGCTTGCAGGAGGAACCAACTTCAGCGACACAGTTCAGGCTGATCCCCAAACGGTAAGCAGATGGGCCCTAGCTCCTTCTTTCTATTTACACAGCAAGCTGTCCCTATCCTCCCTTGCCCTAGTGTCCCAAACCTTGGAATTCCACATGACTGTTGATGCCGGTGAGAATGCCTCATGCCCCAGAGAGCTCTTGGGTGGGCCTCATCTGCATCTTATGAGCCAGCTACTGTCTCCCAACTCCAGTCTATCTGGCCAGTCTGGTTCCTGCCCCATGACTGGGTCTCCACTGATAATTCTTTCCCTGGGCTCCCTTCAAGTCACAGGGTTTTCTCTCTTTACTGTTCCAATCCTAGGTTACCCGCCTGCTCTATGGGTTCCTGATTAAAGCCAACAACTCATGGTTCCAGTCTATCCTCAGGCAGGACCTAAGGTCCTACTTGGGTAAGCATCTGGTGTGGGAATGGGACCCTTAGCTGAGGAAAGGGATAGAGAAAAAGTCTTTTGGTTTAACCTTTATTATTTTTTTTCTTTTTCCTCTCTGTTTTTCTTACCCCCTGTTTTCCTTTCTTTCTTCTCATATTTGATGGATCCTTTTCCATTGCCCTTCTTTCTGGCTGCTGCCAATCTTGGGCTTTTCCTATTTCACCCACCATCCACCCACCAAATCTTCCCTTCCCTTTGGTCTGCACTCAGGTGACGGGCCTCTTCAACATTACATCGCTGTCTCCAGCCCCACCAACACCACTTATGTTGTACAGTATGCCTTGGCAAATTTGACTGGCACAGTGGTCAACCTCACCCGAGAGCAGTGCCAGGATCCAAGTAAAGTCCCAAGTGAAAACAAGGATGTGAGTGGTGGTGGGTGTTGGAAGTGCCCTGGGGCCCCTTTCCCTTGGGAAAGTTGGAGGTTCTTCTAGACCTAGTTAGACCCAGGGGATTGGGATGGAGAGGTGGAGAGATGCAGTCCTCAGCAATTGGGTGTTGAAAAGCCTGGGTGAAAATGGACCATCTGAAGGGTAAAGGGACAGCAGCCAGTTAGCTCAATTGGTTAGAGCATGGCACTGATAGAGGGTAGAGGGAACGAGTGAGAAGAGGATCACCCTAGCCGTGTGTTGTGGCGCATCTTCTGTGCAGCTGTATGAGTACTCATGGGTCCAGGGCCCTTTGCATTCTAATGAGACGGACCGACTCCCCCGGTGTGTGCGTTCTACTGCACGATTAGCCAGGGCCTTGTCTCCTGCCTTTGAACTGAGTCAGTGGAGCTCTACTGAATACTCTACATGGACTGAGAGCCGCTGGAAAGATATCCGTGCCCGGATATTTCTCATCGCCAGCAAAGAGCTTGAGGTGAGATGGGGCAGGGGCATAGGTGGCAGGGATCTGTTTGACTTCTTTCTCTGCTTTCTTGTGTCATATAGCCCTTTCCATCTCCCATTTGCCCCACATTTGTAGCAAAAGCCTACTGCAAATCTGTCCCTGGTCAGCCAGCATGTTCCCTTAGGAGGCCTTTTTTTTGAGATGGAGTTTCATTCTTGTTGCTCAAGCTGGAGTGCAATGGCACAATCTCAGCTTACTGCAACCTCCGTCCCTTGGGTTTAAGCAGTTCTCCTGCCTCAGCCTTTCGAGTAGCTGGGATTACAGGCATGTGTCACCACACCCAGCTAATTTTTTTTTATTTTTAGTAGAGATGGGTTTCACCATGTTGGTCAGGCTAGTCTTAAACTCCTGACCTCAGGTGATCCACCTTTCTTGGCCTCCCAAAGTGCTGGGATTATAGGCGTGAGCCACTGCACCCGGCCAGGAGGCCTTTCTTCACAGATAGTTTGAGTAGGTGTTCATTCTGGAGAGCCCCTGTGGATCCCAGAACTCTTTCACAGCTTCAACTCCCGGCTGGCATTCCCCATCTGGCACAGCTGGGATGAGTCAGTCTAATGTACCGAGCTCCTGTCACAAGTCAGTAATGTAAGTGCCGCAAGGGAACCAAAGCCATGGGCCCTCCTTTCAAAATGCCTAAAATCTAAGTAATACAAGATGGAAGCAAGAACAGAGATGCTTTACTTCTCTTTTCAAATGGGGAGACAAAGTCTGTAGGCTGGAGAGATGTTGCCCATGATTATTCCATAGTTGGTGCTTAGAGCCAGCATCCGAATTCCCATGGCTCCAAACCCCAAACAGTTATCCAAAAAACTGCACTGAGTTCTGAGAATGCCTTTGTCCTTTCCTGCCCTCCCTCCCCCTGCAGTTGATCACCCTGACAGTGGGCTTCGGCATCCTCATCTTCTCCCTCATCGTCACCTACTGCATCAATGCCAAAGCTGATGTCCTTTTCATTGCTCCCCGGGAGCCAGGAGCTGTGTCATACTGAGGAGGACCCCAGCTTTTCTTGCCAGCTCAGCAGTTCACTTCCTAGAGCATCTGTCCCACTGGGACACAACCACTAATTTGTCACTGGAACCTCCCTGGGCCTGTCTCAGATTGGGATTAACATAAAAGAGTGGAACTATCCAAAAGAGACAGGGAGAAATAAATAAATTGCCTCCCTTCCTCCGCTCCCCTTTCCCATCACCCCTTCCCCATTTCCTCTTCCTTCTCTACTCATGCCAGATTTTGGGATTACAAATAGAAGCTTCTTGCTCCTGTTTAACTCCCTAGTTACCCACCCTAATTTGCCCTTCAGGACCCTTCTACTTTTTCCTTCCTGCCCTGTACCTCTCTCTGCTCCTCACCCCCACCCCTGTACCCAGCCACCTTCCTGACTGGGAAGGACATAAAAGGTTTAATGTCAGGGTCAAACTACATTGAGCCCCTGAGGACAGGGGCATCTCTGGGCTGAGCCTACTGTCTCCTTCCCACTGTCCTTTCTCCAGGCCCTCAGATGGCACATTAGGGTGGGCGTGCTGCGGGTGGGTATCCCACCTCCAGCCCACAGTGCTCAGTTGTACTTTTTATTAAGCTGTAATATCTATTTTTGTTTTTGTCTTTTTCCTTTATTCTTTTTGTAAATATATATATAATGAGTTTCATTAAAATAGATTATCCCACACGACTTGTACTGCTAGTTATTCTTCCCAGGCCACCTTGTTCAGCGAGCCTAGACTGGAAGTCATGAAGTTATCTTTTATGCTATCATCTTGGGCTCCAGAGGACCCAAGGAGTAAGGCTCTGTCAAAAACAGTTGAAGTCCTTTCAAATTGCAGAGCCCTGGTTCTCCTCTTGTAAGAACAATGTTAACATAGTTTCTTCTCACTTTGTAATGAACGGGCATTTTTTTTTTTTTTTTTTTTTTTTTTTTTTTTTGAGATGGAGTCTTGCTCTGTCACCCAGGCTGGAGTGCAGTGGCGCGATCTCGGCTCACTGCAAGCTCCACCTCCCGGGTTCACGCCATTCTCTTGCCTCAGCTTCCCAAGTAGCTGGGACTACAGGCACCCACCACCACGCCCAGCTAATTTTTTTTGTATTTTTAGTAGAGACGGAGTTTCACCATGTTAGCCAGGATGGTCGTGACCTCCTGACCTTGTGATCCACCCACCTCGACCTCCCAAAGTGCTGGGATTACAGGCGTGAGCCACCGCGCCCGGCCATGAACAGGCATTTCTTTATTCACTCTGAGACACTGGCTGGGGTACAGAGATGAAGAGAATATAACCCTAACCCTCGAGTAGCTCAGCTGGGATGAGAAGAGAGACAGACATTCTCACAACTACATGTAATCCAGTGTAATAAAAGGAATAATTGCAGCATATCCCAAGTGCTCTGGTAGCACATAGTGAAACTCAGGACCATGTCAGGGGTGACATTCAAGTGATGATTTAAAGCGTTCACCAGTTGTGGAAGCACAGAGTCAAGAAAAGGAGTGAGTCATGTTTGGGAGATGGTAAGTTCAGTGTGTCTGAGCCATAAGCATCAGCAGGAGGCGAGGTTGGGCTAAATCCCGAAGTTCTTGGCTGGCATGCTGCTAAGGAGTTTGGGTTTCTGTTAATGGTGGGCCTTTTGTAGGCCAAAACAAGTTTGGACTGTTTTAGAAAAAGAACATCACCTCTGTAGAGATCCTCAAATTCCCTGGGTCTTCACGGAGGCAAAATTCTGGAGTATAGCAGCACTGCTAAATAATCGTGGGCAGCGGCTGAGTCAGCCAAGGGGGAAAGAGAACCTGCAGGAGCAGAAGCCTAAACCCAGCCTTCACTCCACTGCTGGCCAGGAGGCTGCTTCTGACACGTGCCTGAATACTCGCAGCAATGGAAAGGGACTGGCTGGCAGTATTCACAGGGTCTCAAGCACTCCTCTTAGTTCCCTGATTGGACTACTTACCTTTTCAAATCCTGCTGAGAAGAGGTGATTTTTCTCCAGGTTTCTCTCCAAGTTCCCCTGGGGGGAAGGGAGACATGTTTGGAGTTCAAGAGATGAAATACACCCTGCTACTTCTCCCCCACCCCAACCCTCCCAGTTTGAGCTGGAGAGGCTGTGTGATGCTGGCGGAAGTCGAGCACAGCTGCCACCATCGACTGGGCCAGGCTCCACACCTCCCTCGGCCAACAGGTCTCCCAGCGGACAGAGCAGTAAACTCCCTCATCCTGCTGGCAGCTTCAGGAAGCAGAGAAGTGGCTGGGTACCAGTGAGGGGGCTGAACAGGGAAACACGGTTGGGCGGAATCGTGATCAAGGGGTAAGTAAGAAGTTACAAGATGTAGGACTGTCACTACTTCAATGTCCTCTGCCTAGGGAAGCATCCTGAACACAAGCTTGTCTGCTGCCTTCCATGTTCCCTTACCTTCCACCTCCTAAAAAACCAGCTTAGCTTTTTCCATGGCTCATGGAGAGGCCAGGCCCCATAGAAGGAGCACAGCCATCCAGATGACCCACTGGGCTCTCACCCTCCCTTTCTGAGACCATGGTTCTGGCTTCTTACCAGGTATCTCCTATGCCCTGAAGACCATGTGTGACTGGCTGGAAGCATCTAATGGGCCATGTACTTCTCAGTTCCTTAGCCTCCACCTCTCCCTTGATCTAGGCCTTGCCTACCCATGCCTTCTGAAATATTTCATTTTCCAGCCCCTTTCCTTTCCCTGAGGGCTTTCCTCCCTACCTACTCCTGCTTGTTGCTAGCTGACACTGTACCTTCTCTTCCTCCCAACCCATGCCAATAATTGAATAACTGACCACTCCTGCCCCAAGACCCAGCCTGCCTCTGCCTATTGTGATATCTCGTCCCTCAAGACGAAGCCTTTCCTACCCACTGGTGTTTCTTTCCCAGCTTATTTGAGTAAAGGGATTTTCTATTTTTTTCTTTTTCATCTCTGGGCCACTGCTCTCAAAGGTACATATTAGGATGAGATACTGTTTACCCAGAGTACTCTGTGTCACCATTATTCAGTAGGACTTTTGTTTCTTCAAGGGACCTTAGAAATCATTTGCATAGTCTAACTCATTTGACTGAAGAGAGAAACAGCCCAGAGGAGTGATGTGGCTTGCCCAAGGTCACACAGCAAATTAGAGACAGAACTAGGATTAGAACCTTCTGTACATCTGCACGGGCAGCCACAGCAGTAATAAGCATTTATTGAGCATGGCTCTGGGCAGGGCATTCTGCCCAGCATGGACAAAGGGGAAGAGATAGAGCAACTTCCCTTGGAGATTTGGGACCTAGAGTCTAGATGGCAGGACGAGACATAAGATAAATAACAGGCAAGGCAGCATAGGCCCCATGCAAAATCAGTGCTATAAACAAGTTCTACAGAGAAGTTCAGAGGATGAAAGGTTTCCTTCCCAGGCGAGGCCAGTATGGAGGAACGTCGTGGGAAAAGCTAAGGACCAGGATTCTGCCACTAATGCTCTTTGTGACCTTGGAAAGGGCATTTCCTCCCTCTGTAAAGTGTAGTTAGACAAGGGACTGCTCTCAGGTCCCCCCTGGCTCTGTCAGTCTTGTTCTTTGAAGAGAGAGCTGGAATTGAAGCCTCTTCCTTCTCCCTTCATCTGAAAACTCGGAACAGGGAACGTTTGAGAGGTTGATCAATTCCTGAACTTTCAAAGGTAGCCGGAGAATCAACTCTAGGGAGGAAAGCCTGAGGGGCACTATTGCCCTATAACCCAGGGACAGCAGGAATATGGGGAAACTGTGGCATAACACCATAGAAAAGACCCTGTCACCCAGCATCCCATTCCCAAAAAAAGTTTGGCAGGAATCGAAGTTAAACTGGGGAAGCAGGGACCCCTGGAAGGTTGGGGTCCCAATGGGCCTCAGATTGGATTTTTATTCCTTCCTGAATTCAAACTCCAAAGCTAGAGGAGCTCTCCCACTCCTATTGTGGAAAAGGGCAGCTGTTGCCCCTGTCCCCAGTCAGGGGAAACTTGGAGCAGGAGTGGAGGGGTCATCTCAGGAGGCCTAAGGAGAAGTCATTAGTCGGAGATGATGCAATTGTGAGTAAATGTTACAGCCTCTGGCTCAGGCTAGTTGGATGCTCAGAAGCTGGGGGCTAGGACCCCTAGAGTCCCCACTATCTCCCCCAACTCACAACTGAGAAGGAGTTAGATAAACTGAGGGAAGAAAGAAAAAAAGTGAAATGAGAGGGTATCCAGAAAAGGATAAGCTAGTGAAAGGAAACTAAGGAAGTAGGGGGTTCCTGGAAGGGCTGAAGGCGGAAAGGGAGGCTGAAAGCTGTGCTGAGAGGGATCCGAGCCTGAGGGGAGAAAGGCCAGGCGGGCGTGGCCAGGAGGGGAGTAAGCCCAGAGCTGGTGGTGACAGATGGGTGGACACAAAGAAGAGAGCTTCAGGGAAGACAGATGGATGGGGGAGGGAAGAGAAGAGGTTGGGGGGGTTAGGGGGGAGCCCAGTGGTTGGAGGCCATAATGAGATTGGAGATGGACTATGAGCTGAGGAGAGGTGAGTGAAGAGGAGAGAAGAAAGGGGAGGCCGCCTTAGGAGACAAAGGCAATACAGCCTAGAGGGCCGGGAGGAGAGGGCTCAGTTGGGTGCTGAGAAGGGGGGCTTCCAGCCGGGCTGGCAGCAGAGAGAGTGACAGATTGTGTAGTGAGCCAGAGTGGAGACCCGCTGTCACCTTCCAGAGGCACAGAGAGGTGGAGACAGAGAAAGACAGACTGACAGAGACCATGTGGAAAAACAAGGAAAGAAGCTAAGACAGAAGACATCCAAGACAGGCTGTCCCTTCCCAGAAACAACAGCTCCTGCCCAGGAGGAGCAAGCTCTGCCTGTCTTGCTCCTGTGACCCAAAACACTGCCACTGTTACAAAATAACACCCTAGCCATAGGCCACTCCTGGGAAGGGTCAGGCGGTGTGGCACAGCGAGGGTTAATGTCGTCTGCTGTCCCTGCCAGCCGCTTGCCTGGTTGGGTCCCCAGGGCTCCCCACATATGTCACCCCCTCTCCTGCCAAACCCACTGCTTCCCAGCTCCTCCAGGCCCTCCCCCCACCCTCAAGGACAAGGCCCAGGCCCCTGTGTCTTCCCTACACACCAACCTCCCTCCCCTCCCTCAACGATCTACCTCTCAGGCTATGGGGAAAGATTTGTGAATCATGATCTGAAAAAGTGAATGCCTATAAAATGTAAAATAGCAGGAACACTCATTCTATTGTATCAGGTTTTGCTTGATTATCGGATTATAGCAAATAAAAGCCAGTGGAGATTTTTAAACAACAAAAAGAAAGTAAAATAACAACAAACTATAAAGCCATAATCATCCTCCTTATCCCCAGGCCCTGGTCTTCCTGTCCTCCTTGCAGCAAAGACCCACACACAACTCCAAGGGTTCTCCCTTTCACTGGGGCCAGAGGCCAGACAACCTGGGTTGGCCTCAGAGCTCTCCCCTGCCTCCACAATCATAATGCTTCAGATATATGTGTGTATGAAACTTCTTGCCACTTTTAAATCACCATAGGAGGTTGGGATGAGCACTTTATACAGTTCACCTAGCACTTTCCCATGCATTATTTCACCTGGGTGTCACTACTATAACAAAATAAAACTCAGCCAAGGTTAAGTGACTTATCCAAGGTCACCAGGACTTAGACCCATGTGTAGCTGCCCCCAAATTTAGTAGATGTAGTTCTTCCCACCATTTCATGCGTTTATGTCCTCTTTGTCACAACTATGTTCTTTTTTAGCTACTCCCCTAAGGAGCAAAAGCTGAAATCCTAAGTGAAAACTGGGGCAGGAGGCCCCAGAGTCCAGGATCCTGGGATGCCAGATGCAGAGGAGGAGGAGCAGCCCCCAGAGCACTCTTTCACCCTCCTCTCCCGTGGAACCTTAGCTTGAACTGCGACGGGTTCAGGCGGTGTGCTTCAGGGATGGAGGTTGCAGAGCTTAAGTATCTGAGCAAAATGGCCTGAAAGGAGGGAGCCCTGCAAGGGGTTTGGCTTCTTCCTGCATGCTCTATGCCATCCTCAAGGTTCCTTTCTGCTTCGGGGGTCTCTCTAGATTCTGCTTCTTTTTTCCTCAATGTCTTACTTTTTGGGATCTGGCCTCCCTGTTTCAGTAATAGTTCCTCATCTCCATCGTTCAGTTTATCACCTTTCCCCACCTTGTTCTCTTTGTCTCTGGTATTTTTTGTTTCCTCCCAACTGTCTGCTCTCTGCTTACCCCGTGCCTATGTGGCCCCACCTTGCCTTGGGGCCTCCCTCAGGACTCTGTCTCATGGTGTCAGTATTTCCCTGCCGCTGAATAGCTGTTTCCTCCACATATGTATTCATCCAAGTCTGTGTCTCCCTAGCAGCCTCCTTTTTTTTTTTTTTGACGGAGTCTTGCTCTTGTCACCCAGGCTGGAGTGCAATGGCACAATTTTGGCTCACTGCAACCTCTGCCTCCCGGGTTCAAGCGATTCTCCTGTCTCAGCCTCTCGAGTAGCTGGGATTACAGGCGCCCACCACCACGCCCAACTAATTTTTGTATTTTTAGTAGAGACAGGGTTTCACCATGTTGGTCAGGCTGGTCTCAAACTCCTGACCTTAGGTGATCCACCCGCCTCGGCCTCCCAAAGTGCTGAGATTACAGGCGTGAGCCACCGTGCCCGGCCACAGCATCCTCTTTTAAAGCCTCTCCCCAAGTCTCTATCTCTCCCATAGCTTGGGTCTCCAAGTCTTCCACAAAGCCTTGGCAACCTGGCAATTCTGTTTCCATTCTTTTTTTTTTTTTTTTTTTTAAATCTTTTTACCTCCTTTGTGTCTCAATCTCCCCATGAGACTGTGTCTTCCCATTTCCCTATGTCTTTCCCATGTCTGTTACCCAATGACTCTGGTTTCTCATTTTTTTCTCTCCCTGAGTCTCGGTATCTTCCCGTGTCTTTCTCGTCGTTTCCCTCCGCTTCCCCTGTCTCTGTTCATCTCCCCTTCTTTCTGTATCTCTCATCTCCCCCATGGCACTCTCTCCTGAGTCTCTTGGTCTCCCAATTTCTTGGATGGGGTGGAGGGCAGGAGAGTGGAGGAGGTAGAATTGTTGTTGCTGGGGGCTCATTAGGTGGAGATTGGTTTTTAATCAGCACCATGGCAATGATGATGCAAGAACTGAGATGCCACCTGATCCCCTGCCCCCCAGCCCCCCTCCTCAAGCCTCCTTTCCCCTCCAGCTCAGCCCATCTGCTGGCGCCTGGGCACCTGTCTGGGCCTGCCCAGGTGGGAGTTGGCACCTCCCAGACTCAGGGATGGGGGCAGGTGGGGGAGCTTGGGGAGGAATTATGGGACCCCCTTAGGGAATGCTTCACCCTGGAGAAAGCCCAGAAAAGGTTGACCAGCAACAGGGAAATGGCAAGTCCCTCCAGCCTGAAGGTGGGATGTGCTCCTACTAAGCTCTAGGCCCACTACACATATTATCTCCCTTAATTTCCATGGCAACCTAAGAAGCAGCTATAATCAACCCCATTTTACAGGAAAAGAGGTCCAGGCTCAAAAGGTTGTTATTTGTCCAAGGTCACACAGCTGACAGAGCCTTTTTCACTGTACCACACTACCTCTGGAGTCCTCTCCAGTCATGGTTCTTTTGAATACTCTCAAAGGTTCAGAGAAGACATCCAACAGCTGAGTGGGGAGAGAACTTCAGACACTGAAACCCTCTATGCACTGTCTCTCTATGCACTCTGGTCCCTGTGCTGCCCCTCCTCAATCCTGCCACTCGGCAACACACACATACACACACACACTCACACTTACATTCACATTCACACACACTTGCATATACATGCTGGAGGCTGCTGAGCTATTGATGGGAGCTTAATCAGTGCCCATTTGCATATAATTTTGTGTCTGGTTTTCTTATTGCTGATTTGATGCCCTCAAAACACACTCAGAGCCTGCCTAGGCTGCCCTGCCCTCCTCTCCCAGTGTCCTTCCAATCCTGGTTCTTCCTGTCTTGGCACTCCTCCACTCCTCTCCTTTTAGCCCTTACCTCTTTCTTCCTAAGAGCCCTCTAATTCCCAGTGGGTCAGGTTGGGCTGGCCAGCCTAGAAAAACTCCTTGTGGGGTCTGTGTCCCAAATTTGATCCTGCTCCTCCCCTTGGTGATGGGTTAGGTAGGAAGATAGCGGGTGGGGTAAGAGGGTATGGGGGTGATTGAGTCCCAGGGTGATGAGGGTAGGGGCCTGAACAGTTGCTACAGGCAGGCTGGCAAGCAGTGGGTACCAGCTTTATGAAGGATAAGAGCTTGAGGGCCAGGACCCTAGGGTCCTCTTCTGCATTTTAGTGCTACCCACTTGCTCTTTTCTCGGTTTCCCTGTTAGTACCTTGAAGAGTCTCCCTCTCAGGAAAAAAGAGACACCAGGAAGGGGCTGTCCAAGTCACGCTGGGACTCCGAATGGGGCCATGGCACTTAACCATAGCTTGCTGGGAGCCTCTGCCCTGCTGCCTCTGGTGTGGGAGACTGAGGGGGTTCATCTGTGGTCCTGCCCTGGCTCTCGCCCCAGCCCCACCCCTTCCCCAGCTCTCCATTTCTTGCTTATGAAATATGCATGGAGAACAGATGTCCCTGCTCCCCCGCTCCCCGCCCCCACCCAGGGCCAGCCCCCGCCCCCAGCTCCCGAGGGGTTCCCAGATCCCTCTGCCAATGGCTGCCTGGCCTGGCTGTTTAATATTGATGAGGGGGGGGTGGGCCTGGGCCAGCCAATGGAGAGCTGGGGGTGTGTGTGTGTATCTCCATATATATACATAGGGCTGGGCCAGCTCAGGTGTGTGTGTCTGAGGGTGTGTGTGTGAGTGTGGCTGGCCCCAGTACCTGGCCAAGCCCACCACTTCCACCTGGGCCCTACACCCCCACAATGTGTACCCCTCTTATCTGCCCTGGAGCCTGTACAGCCATGCCACGCTACCCCTGAGAGTCTAGAAAGCTGGTCACTAACTTTGCAGACGGATGAGCCTTGAGCACCCAGAGGAGACTGGGGCTGTCAACGCTGCCCCTTGTCCTGCCGGCTTGGATCCCCTGACAGGGTCCTTCTAGGTAAAGGGGAAACCATGGGCGGGGAGGGATGGGCGTGTCCCTCCCATTCTCTGGCTCAAGCCCCTTCCTAGAGCCTCCCTCTAGTTCTCTCCCTTGTGCGCTGTGTCTCTCCCTGTCTCCGCGTGTCCCTCTTCTCCACTCCTCCCCTTCGACTCTTTGTGCCTATCTATCCTCAGTTGGGTTAGGGCTGGCAGAAGTGGGGTGGGAAGTCCTGTCCTGCAGGCTTGGAATTGCTGCTCCCCTGATCCTTGGACCCTGGAACTTTGAGACCAGAAGTGGATTTGGGGGTGAGGACTTGATGGGTAAATAGAAGCTGCTGCCGGGACTGGAACTGGGGAGGACAATGGGGCCAGGTGGAGATGAGACTGGGGCCAGATGGGGAGCACGGAGAGGGGAAGGAAGGGCATGGCAAAGTGATGAGGGATGAAGGAACATAGGGACCGGGCAGAGAGAATTAGCCTGTGATAGATGTGATAAATGTGTTGGGAACTCCGCAGCTGAACTCCTGCTCCCAGCCCCAGCATGGGGGGTGGGGAGTTGGGGGCACTAAACATGTACTGGGAGGTGCTGACTTTGGGGCCTCCCACACTATTGCCATCCCCCCATAGTTCATTTGAACCCCAGAATATGGAATGTGTTCTCAATTTCAGCACTAACCACCTTCTGTTTCCTGTTAAGATTGTGTGTGTACTTGTCATCAGATGTGGATGACTTTGCATCCCTCCAGAGCTTCATAGCTGTTTGTTGGCTTGACTTGAACCTATCTTCTGTGTGGTGGGGTGGGGCAAGGCTTGGGAGGATCCTAACCCCTTTGAGAGTATCTATCAGACAGGAAAGCCAGGGCTGGGGAGGAAGGGGAGATAGTGATGGTGCAGGCACCTTGGTGCTTCTGTTTCTAATCATTCTTAGTTGAGCTGATGGTGAGTGGCCCACTGTTCCCCTTTAACACTGCACACAAGCAAAGCCCTTTCCCCAGCTTTTCCCAGGCCATGTTTGTGCTGCCTTGCCCTGATCTCCTCTGGTCCTAGGACAAGCAAACCTTAGCTGAGTCCCATAAGGGTAGCTCCAAAAATCTGTCTGTGTCCTCTGCAGGCCGTGTCTGAACCTTCCTTGGGCTATGGGAGAGTATGGGGGTAGAAGGTTGATTATGTTCCCTTTCCCCAATCTTCCTTGCCCAGCCTCCAAAAGGGCCAGGGAATGGCAAGGGCTGAAAATTTCGAAGACAGAGGTGGAGGAAGAGGCTGGTTGTGCACAGTGGGGTGGTGGTGAGAAGAGATATCTTCCCCTGGTTTTAGTGGACAGGATCTCATATCTACAATGGTTCTGCTGGGAAGGTTTGGGGAACTGGGAGGGGAGCTGTGCAGAGCTGGGGCAGCTGCGCAGAGCTCCATATGTCCTAGTCTATTCTACAATGGGCAATCTGTGTGTTTATCCGCTCCTCCACCTCAGGCAGCAAGGGTGGAGAGGGGCCCTGAGAGGGAGGGGACCACAGGGCCAAGGCTTGTATTCTCCCCTCACAACTGGGAAGCATCTAGAGTCATAGCTAACTTCTCTTGGGGCTGTGGCTGCAGTCTTGCTCAGATTTTTTCCTCCTTTTATTTATTCATTTAGATAAAAAACAGCATACAATTTATAATCTTAACCATTTTTAAGTGTACAATTCAGTAGTGTTCAGTATATTCACATTGTTGTGAAACAGATCTCTAGCAATTTTTCATCCTGCAAATGTATAATTCTATACCCACTAAACAACAACTCCCCTTTACCCCCTCCCTCCAGCCCCTGGCAACGGCCATTCTACTTTCTGTTTCTATGAATTAGACTACTTTAAATACCTCATATAAGTGGAGCTATACAGTATTTGTGTTGTTACTGGTTTATTTCACTTATCATCATATCCTCAAGGTTCATTCATGCTGTAGCATGTGACAGAACTTCCTTTTTAGGGCTGAATAATATTCCACTGTATGTATATAATACATTTTGTTTATCTGTTGTCTATTGATGGACATTTGGGTTGCTTCTACCTCTTGGCTATTGTGAATAGTGCTGCTATGAACATGAGTGTGCAAATATCTCTTTGACACCCTACTTTATTTGTATATATACCCAGAGGTAGGATTCCTGGAGCATATGGTAGTTCTATTTTTTATTTTTTGAGGAACATTTATACTGTTTTCCATAGTGGTTGCATCATTTTGCAATCCCAACAAGGCATAAGGGTTCCAATTTCTCCACATCCTTGCCAAGACTTATTTTTTGTTTGTTTGGTTTTTGTTTTTATAGTAGCCATCCTAATGGGTATGAAGTGATATTTCATAGTGGGTTTGATTTGCATTTTAATGATTAGTGATGTTGAACATTTTTTCATATGCTTGTTGGCCATTTGTATAAAATCTTTGGAGAAATGTGTATTCTAGTCCTTTACCCATTTTTTTCTTAAAAAATGTTTATTTATATAAATTTATGGGGTACAAGTGCAATTTTGTTACATGCATAGATTGCATAATGGTCAAGTCAGGGCTCTTAGGATGTCCATCACCTGAATAACATACACGGTACCCATTCTGTAATTTCTCATTTCACGCCCCTCCCAATCCCTCCTTTGCCCATTTTTAAATTGGGTTATTTGATTTTTTGCTGTTGTTGAGTTGTAGGATTTATTTATATGTTCTGGATATTAACCCCTTATCAGATATATAATTTGCAAATATTTTCTCCCATTCCATAGATTGCCTTTTCACTCTGTTGATTATGTTCGTCAATAAATTAAAGTCTGATGTGGTCCCGTTTTTTCTATTTTTGCTTTTTGTTGCCTGTGCTTTTGGTGTCATTTCCAAGAAATCACTGCTGAGTCCAACATCATGAAGGTCTCTCCCTATGTTTTCTTCTAGGAGTTTTATGGTTTTAAGTCTTTAATCCTCTTGCTCAGTTTTAACCTGCCTGGTGTATCCTTCTCATCACTTCTGTTCCTTTCCTGTTACTCGTTTTCTCTTCCCTTCTTACTACCTTTCGTCCTCCTCTTCCTTTCACCCTGTCCACCTGCCTCTCTGTCTCTCGGCCTCTCCCCACCCCCCGACCCCCACCAGTTTCTGCTGTTCTTCCCTCACATTCACAGTTCCTTACCCCTCCCAGCCCATCTCAAACCTGCTTTCCCACCTCTGAGCTGAGCATTCCCTCCTCCCTCCGCTGCTATCACTTCTCTCTTCTCTTTTTCAGGCTTCAGACTGGCACCCTGACCATGGAACCCTGAAGTGGCAGTGACTTCTAGAGCTCAGTGGCAGACCCCACGACCCTTCCTCCCCCTTCCTCCCCCTCCCACCACCAGCTTTCAAGCTCCCAGAGGGAGGGGTGGGGAGGGGATCCTGATCTCACAGGGCAGGGGGCTTCCATCATGATGCTCAACTCAGACACCATGGAGCTGGACCTGCCGCCCACCCACTCAGAGACTGAGTCGGGCTTCAGTGACTGTGGGGGCGGGGCGGGCCCTGATGGTGCCGGGCCTGGGGGTCCGGGAGGGGGCCAGGCCCGAGGCCCAGAGCCGGGAGAGCCTGGCCGGAAAGACCTGCAGCATCTGAGCCGCGAGGAGCGCCGGCGCCGGCGCCGCGCCACAGCCAAGTACCGCACGGCCCACGCCACGCGAGAACGCATCCGCGTGGAAGCCTTCAACCTGGCCTTCGCCGAGCTGCGCAAGCTGCTGCCTACGCTGCCCCCCGACAAGAAGCTCTCCAAGATTGAGATTCTGCGCCTGGCCATCTGCTATATCTCCTACCTGAACCACGTGCTGGACGTCTGAACTCAGCCTGTCTCCCACCTCCCGGGCCTCTCTGGGGCCCCTTTCCACCGCTCACTGCTTAGAAAGGCCGCATCCTCCCCGAGCCCTTATACCTTGGCATGGAGTCCCAAAGGCCCTGGGCACAGGCAGAGAGCCCACCGGCTGGTCATGAGGGCCTCTTCCTTTCTCTGACCCAGGCACCTCGAGGGCTATTCTCCTGGGTTCCTTCCGGGGTTTATTGCTGAGGCCCAGCTGTGCAGAATTGTTTGCTAGTGTGGTTGGTATGGAATCCTTGCTGGCTTTACTAAGCCAGCCACACTTGGAGTCTGCCCCCAAGCTCTCTCACTGAATGCTGCCTCTTCTACCCCTATGTCCAAATTTTCAGCCACCACAGACCTCAGCTGTGTATCCTATCTGTTCTAGCTTCTCCTGCCCCTGGTGGGGATGGGCTGTCAGAATTGCAAGGGAGGAAGGCTGGGGTTAGAGTGGGGAGTGGGCTTCTTCCTCCAAGATCTCAGTCTCTCAGTGCTTGGCAGAGGGGTGAGGCCCTGGGGAGGCAGGGGTTGGTGCCCTGACTCCTGTGAGGGGAATCTCAGTAGCTGGGAATTATGGAAAAACTCTTCCTGTTTCTGTCCATCTTGTTCCTGTGGCTTAGCACATACAGACCTCAGATCTTACTTGGTAGTGAGTGCCTTGCCCTCTTTGAGCTATTTGGCTACTTCCCTGTCCCTCTGACTCCTACTGTCCCAATTTTCTCCCTCCCTGTGTGTCACTAGAGAAAAAAAAAAACAAAAACCTAGATTCCGGATTAGGGGATGACATCCCAAACAGCCCGGAGTATTTGCAGAAGGCTCAGGCAACGAGTGGGCCACATCTCACTTCTGCTTCCTCATCTCAGCCCACTCTGAAAATGTGCAGCACCCTCACTGGTTCCTCCCCCCAACGCAAGGAGGATGCCCAATTGTTGCCCTCTGAAAATGCACAGTTCTCCTGGCCCTAGGACTTACTTATTACATTTTTTTCTCTTTCCTTGAGCTGCCTTTGGCAAGGGAAGAGACCCCCAACTCTGCGCCCCTACTCCATGCTGCTGATCCCCACCTGCGCACTATAGCTCAGGGTCAGCAGTGGAATGAAGGGCCTTAGAACCTGCATAGAAGAAATGAACTCACTGCATTTCTGTGCTCCCTCCTCCCTCGCACCAAACTCCTAGCTCTACAAGTATATTTATTTATTTATTTATTTATTCATCTATTTATTTACTTATTTATTTATTTATAAATATTGCTATTTATTGCCGAGTTGTGCACTTTGGGGTAGAGTGAGGGGCTCCCAGCAGCTCTAGCTGGGTCTCTCTTGCTTCCTCCCTGCTTACGCCTTTCCTTTTCTTGCTCCTTCTTCAACTCCTGGTGTGTGTGAGCATGCCCTTTGCTTGCCACACCATATCCTTTCCCCAGATCCACCTGTCCTGACACTCTAGTCCTCCAGGATAGTGCTCCTCCCCCAGCTCCAGGGCTCCTGGATGTCCTTCCTCAACTCCCTCCACCCCTAGACAATCCTACCTGGTCCCATCTGCCTCTTTTCTCTCCCCAGCCTGCCCTGTGACCCTTGCCTCTTCCTGATACTCCCAAGAGCAGGCCCCAGGGGTCTGTGTCACATATCTCTGTGTGATTCCTTCTGGTTGCATCCCCAATTTCATACAAAAAGAAAAATAAAAGTGACCTCGTTCTAGCACCAGGTATGGTTGTGGCTCATTCAATTGGGTTAGGAAGCTGGCCTGCAGGTTATGGTAGGGTGGGCATTGAGGGTCCTAGGCTTCGTAGGCTCTTCTGATGGGGTCAGGAGAGCTCAGTTTGGGGAACAAATGAAGACAGAGAAAAGGGGCCACAGGGAAAAGAGGTGCAGGGGAGAGTATAACATACAGGTCCAAGATCTCCTCACCAAAATCTGGGTGCCAGATACTCCCTTCTTGGCACTAATTTAGTGACACTATCTGACTTCTCTGATGTTGTGCTTCCGCTCCTGCTCTCTATGGCCTGAGAAGGAGGTGAATATTTCGGTGGAACCCAAGTTAAACATGTGTCTGTGGGTCCATGCTGCTGGGAAAAGCTATGGTATGAAACTGAGACATTGCCTTCCCCTTTATTGTCTCTAGGCTGGGTCAAAATTCCCTGCAATCTCAGTTCTTGGCCTATTTTGTGTTCCCCAGCCTTAGGATACTGGGGAAAACAGATGGCAGGCCTGGGACTCAGAGAAGAATATGGACAGGGATAAAAAAAAAAAAAGAGTGCTGAAGGGACCCTCAAATGAATTTATAGATGGGGACACTAAAGCTCAGAGAAGGGTAGGGTCTTACCCAAGGCCACACAGCTAACTGGGGGCACAACTAAGGCCCAAATCCAGGTTCTTTCTACCATATGCTGCCAACTCCCCTCTGCCTCCCTAAAATGACCCAGGCTGACAGTTAGCCCTCTTTTGGACCCCATATTTTCATAGGTGCATTGATAAACTAGAGAGGATTTAGGGTTGTGTGGCGAAGAAACCAAAAGGTCTGGAGACCACTTTATAGAAGAAATAGTTGAAAAACTGAGGATATGTGTCTTGATAAGAGTAGACTTGGGGGTAATATGACACCCATCTTTAAATATTGAAAGAAGAATCAAAAATGGATATTCTGTGGGGCCCCAGTAGGCCGAACAAAACCCGTGAGTAGAAGTTAGAAGAAAGCAGATTTTAATTTGAAGAAAAATTTTGCAACACCTGGAGCTGTCCAGCAATGGCACTGACTGCCTCAAGAGGAGAACTCCAAATAGAGAAGCTGGAGAGTCAACCACACGCAGAGAAATCATAGAGCACATTGCTGCCTCAGATGGAACACTGGCTAGGTTCATTAGAAGATCCTCTCCAAACTTAAGGTCATACGAGAAGGCTGAAGGCAAACAGCAGGAGGGAAATGCAGAGACAACTTTCAGTCCCTGAAATATTTTCTTTTTTCTTTTTATCTTTTTGAGACAGAGTCTTGCTCTATTGCCCAGGCTGGAGTGCAGTGGCGGGATCTTGGCCCACTGCAACATCCACCTCCCCATTCAAGCCATTCTCGTGGTTCAGCCTCCTGAGTAGCTGGGACTACAGGCGCCCGCTGTCATGCCCGGCTAATTTTTGTGTTTTTAGTAGAGATGGGTTTTCGCCATGTTGGTCAGACTGGTCTCTAACTCCTGGCCTGAAGTGATCCTGCTGCCTTGGCCTCCTAAAATACTGGGATTACAGGCATGAATCACCATGCCCAGCTATGGGTTTTCATCTTTGATGAACAAAGAATGACATAAGCAGCATGAAGGGCTTGAGTTAGACCTAGGGAGGAGCTTCCATACAGGAGGACTTGACATCTTCCCCTTCCCATGTGAGTTAAATGACATGTGCTCTGCCCAGAGCCTGGCAAAAGGGAAGGCTGAACTGAGATCAGGGAGAACTTCAGGACTCCAAAGGGCCAGAGTTGGACGGGAACACAGAAATCACTGAATCCAACAACTTTATTTCAAAGGCAGGTAAACTACTGTCCAGACAGGTGACGTGACTCACCCATGATGATGGCCTGGGATTAGAAGCCAAGTCTTCCATTCCTGGCCCTGAGAGCTTTGTGCTTCTCTGTGCTCAGCAGCCACAGTCCTCTGGGCTCCCTGCCTCCCTCTCTTGTCTCTTTGCCTGGGCTGGAGAGCAGAAGGGCTTAGGGGGCCCCTCCCCTCAGGGATCCCTGAGGGCCTGGAGGTGGTGAGAGGGGGAAGCTGCAGCTGTTCTACTGCTAGCTCCGAATTTCTTCAGATAATCAATTGGCCTCGCTGCCGCTGTCGCTCTTGTTGCTCTTCTCACTCTGGGAAGGACAGGAGAAGGAGGTGGAGAGTGGGAAGAGGAGGGAGCAGGGGACCAGGCACTGGGGGAGGAGGGAGAGGGCAGGGAGATGGAAGTCCCTGGGCTGAGGGGAAAGTGAAAGCTTTGGGGCTAGCAGATAGGGAGGATGGGGAAAAGGGATTGTTAGAAGAGGATCTGCTCTGCATCCCTCATTCCACATCCCTCTAAACCCAACTCGTGGGTGGTGGGGTGGGGGAGGGGCAGTTAGGAGGACCCCAGAATGGGACTCTTGCACTTCACCCCTGCTTCCTTACTCCCCTTGCCAAGTATCCCATGCATGGCCATAGCTCCCCCAGCTGTCCATGCCCTCTTCCAGTCCTAGTGACCACAGGTGCCTGACCCTCCAGTCCTGTCTTCATCAACGCCCTGTCCTGTAACTCAGCAAACCCATCACCAGTGACAGAGCAGAAGTCAAGGCCCCAGGGGCTGGGTGGGGGTTGCCTAAAATCTCTCTCTCTCTCTCTCTCTCTCTCTCTCTCACACACACACACACACACACGCGCACACACACACACTGTCATAGGCTGCCAGGCATATGGCCTCTTTGTGCCCACACAATGGAGGCCCTGTCTGTGCCCTTTCCCAAGTCTGGGCACAGTGTGGAGGGTGCTCCGCTTCCTCATTCCACCCACCTCCCTTCCCTCTCCACCCCCAGTGCAGGCCCTGTCTTCTTTGCCTTTGCTTCTTCCTCTTTCTGGAAAGCCCTTTCTACCACCCAGTTCCTTTATCTTTCTGCTTTCTTCTTGTGTTCTTTCCTGAGCTTTTGACCTCTCATTGGATGAGGATTATGGGCAGAAGAAAGAGGCTCACAGTGCTGGGATGTCAGCGCAGGGAGGAGAAGGGAGCAAGCAGAGATGAGCCTGAAAGGCTGAGAGGGAGTGGAAGAAGGGAGGCAGTGGTGGCAGTGCAGCAACACTGTGCTAGAGGGGAGAAAGCCCACACCCGGCAGCCAGAGGTCCCGTGTCCCTGCTCTGTCTCCACCTTTCCCCTTTGTGCCACAGTGAGCAAACCGCATGCCCTCCCTGAGCAACAGCTTTTTCATATGGAAAGCAGGAAAGACAACAAGACCCACCGGGGTGTGATGAGGATTAAATGAGATCATCGTGAAAGTGTTCAACACCGGAAACGCTCATCAGATGCTATCTCAGGGGCAGTAAGTAGCAGGGTCAACTGTACTGTCATACAGTTTGTGCACTTTACAAAGCACCAGGCTAAGGGCAGTGCAGGGGCCTGACACCCAACCCCACTTCTACTAGACCAGCTGTGCACCAGGATGCAAGCATCCCCTGAGAGGTGGCCCTGGAACTGAGCCCCTCATGTGGGTTCCTGAGCATTGGTCAGGAGTCCAGATGAAAACTCCGAAGTCCTGACCACCTTGGGAACCAAGACAGAATGGAAAGGGACAAGAGGCTAAGGGGAATGTCTCTCCCTGAGGGGGAAATTCCTGAGCTTAGTCTTCTCTGAGCAAATAGACAATCCATGAGATCTACTAAACTAAGGATGGAGAAACTGCAGCTGAGGAGAAGAAGGGGGCTGAAGAAGCAGAAAAAAAAGAGGGAGACATGGATCGAGGGTGTGATCAGAGCAATGTGTTGGTCTGAGGACCCTTTTCTGGTTCCCTCGTCCTCCATTCCCTCCCTTCAGCAAGTTGAAGGCTGATTTGATTATTGCTTGTTGAACACTGTCCCCTGCTGGCTACTAGCAGAAACATTTTCCCTCTTCCCTATCCCTAGCTAGGAGCTGCTGAGAGCCTGAAAAAGAGAAGAAATGACCTGACTGGGGACAAAGGACGAAGGAATTGCAATTCTGCAATCTGGAATTCTCTACTTGTCAGAGATTTCTGGAAGGTGAAGGAGGCTTGAAGGCTGACTAGGGGTAAACAGAGTTTAGAATTCATAGGTGGTTCATTTACATATATTATGGCCTATAATTTTCAGATTGATTTTTTTCTGGTCTGTGTCTGTTTCATGTATTGTGTGTCTGTGTTATGTGTGTGTTCTGTATCTGGGCGTGCTTACCTGATTCTGTGGTTTTTGAACACGTGTATATCTGTGTACTTTTTTGTGTGTGTGCTCTTTTTAATATAGGAGTCTGAGTGACAGCTGGCAGGTATGGAGCAAGGAGAGGGAGCTGTCGAATTTCCTCTTTCCTAGAAGCCCGTTCTCCCCTTGAAGTTTTACCTTTGTCTCCCAGCTCCATGAGCTATAACCTATGGCTATTTATAGGTTACAGGTTTTGTTCTGGCTCCTGCCCCTCTTTGGACATCCCAAGCTCAGAGCCTTGATTCGCTCTAACCTGGGACTCTTGGGCCTCCCAAGCAGGGTCTCCAGTGTGGTTCCCAAGTGAGAATCTCTACTGTCTATGTCCCTTTTATCCTTTCTAGCATTAAACTCCAGCCTCCTTCTTTTATAAGCTTGTAGCTACCTCTTTCATTGGTTGATTTCAATTTATTCAGTGCAGCATGCCTTTATGGAATAGCCAATGTATACCGGGCACTGTTCTGGATTCTGAAATACAGGATCAGGCCCTCCCCACCACCTACTTGGGAGGGAGTATGGGAGACAGGCATGTAAACATATCAGTTTCCCAACAGTGAGAGGCATCTGCAAGGAAGCGAGTGATTACCTGAGAGAGGGTGTTGGTGAGGAAGGCAGCCGGTAAACTCTGAGCTGGGTTTTGAAGACCATGAGATACGTACAGTGAATTCTGTGGTGTGCTCCACTCACTTCTCCAGCTGTGGAAGTGTTGACTCACAGCTGAGTCCCTCTCCAGGAATTGCCTTTGGAGGAAGAAAGCCGCCTTGCCTGAGGTGTTGCTCTTTCCCTAGGGCAATGACTGGTTGATGTGGGGTTACAAAGTTATCCCAGCTTGAGAGCCCCCATGGGATGGACAGAAGCCTCTGTTGCCATTGCATTGCTTTTCAGTTTCTCTCTCGGCTTATTGCAGCTTCCCTCACACCTCACAGGTGTTCTCAAGAACTCTCCTGCTGGCACTCTCCTGTATACGATCTCAGAGTTCAGGAATCCACTTCCCAGGGAACCCCACCTACAAAGGAAAGGCACTGTAGGTATGAAGGCATGGAACCCTGAGAAGCTCTGGTGAGCAAGAGCACACTATTAGCAGTGTGGTATTGTTGGGACATTAAGTGCAAGGGGCTGGTGGGACAGGAAAGTGACGGAATGGTCTGGAGAGGTAAGCAGGGGCCAGGTCAGGAGAAGCATAATAGGGAGTGTGTGCTTGGCCACACAGTGATGGGAAACCAATGAACATTCTCTAGTGGGGTAGATAAACACTATCATCAGATGTACACTTTAGAAATATCACTTTCAGAACATTTCTTTCTTTCTTTCTTTCTTTCTTTCTTTTTTTTTTTTTTAAGAGAGAGTCTTGCTCTGTCACCCAGGCTGGAGTGCAGTGGTGCAATCTCGGTTCACTGTAACCTCTGCCTCTGGGTTCAAGTCATTCTCCTGCCTCAGCCTCCTAAGTAGCTGGGATTATAGGTGTGCACCAACACACCCGGCTAATTTTTTATTTATTTATTTTTTGAGATGGAGTCTTGCTCTGTCGCCAGGCTGAAGTACAGTGGGGTGATCTTGGCTCACTGCAATCACCGTCTCCTGGGTTCAAGCAATTCCCCTGCCTCAGCCTCTCAAGTAGCTGGGAGCACAGGCGGGCACCACCACGCCCGACTAATTTTTTGTACTTTAGTAGAGACGGGGTTTCACCCTGTTGGGCCAGGCTGGTCTCGATCTCCTGACCTCAAATGATCTGCCTGCCTCGGCCTCCCAAAGTGCTGGGATTAGAGGTGAGAGCCACCACGCCTGGCCACTTTTAGGACATTTCTGATCATAGCTGCGTAAAGGTAAGCTCTGTGCAGGGAACAGTTTTAGGAGGCTATCGCAAAGTCAGCTGCAAGAAGCTGAGGGTCTGTATTTAGGTAGCGGCAGTAGGAATGGGGAAGGGAGGACAGATTTAGGAAGCTATTTAAATGGTAGATTCAACAGGATGTCGTGATTCATTAAATGTGGCAGGCTAGAGGAGAACTCCCAGGTTTCTGGCCTGGGAGCCTGGGTGTACAGTGGTGCTACTTTCCAAAGTAGCACACGTAGGAAGAGGAACGTTGTGGAGAATTGTGGTGGAGATGGTGGCAGTAAGGTGGTGTAATAAGGACAAACTGAATGAAAGCCCCCCAGGAGCCTTCCCGTGGAGCTGCCCAGAAGGAAGTTGGCTTTCTGGGTTTGTAGCTGAAAAGTTGTACCTCTTTACTAGGATATCTCCCAGGAATGTCCAACGCCACATGTTGCAAACTGGCCACCTTATCTTCTCCCCTCTTCAACCCTCCTCCTCTCCTGGTATCCCCACGGCAAAACATGGTATCATCAACATTCAGTTGCCGTGACTATTGCTACATGTTTTTCCCTCTAGTCTCACCTCCAATCCATCATCAGTAGCTATTCATTTTACCTCCTAAACATGACTTCTGTTTTTCTACCAGTTCTACCAATGCTTTTCTTCACCTGGACTATTGCGGTGGCCTAGCTAGTCTCCCTGCCTTTCGGCTTCCTCCCCGTAGGTCCACCCTTCAGGCTGCCCTCAGACTTAGCTACCCAAAATGCAAACTGAACCAGGACACTTCTACACTATCCTTTTAATGATTCCCCATTATTTCCCCAGGATAAAACCCAAGTTCTTCAACATGGTATGAAAGTCCCTTCACAGTGCAGCTCCTGCCAGTTTGTCCAGCCCCATCGGCCATTCTGTCCTTTGTACTTTTTGCTCTAACAATTCGAAGGCACTCAAAGCTCTCTGGCACAGTCCATGTTACTCCTGACTGCCGTTCCTTTGCTCCCGTTGTTCCTCCTCCTGTACTTCACCTATACGAGTCCTATTCATCCTTCAAGACAATGCAGATGTCCTTGCCTTCAGAAAAGTACCCCAACTTGGTGTGTCTCTCCTATAGCCCCAGCTTGGCTCCTGGTGTGCTCCCTGGTCTTTCTATGCATATCTCTATCATTGCACTCACCACATTGAACTTTACTGAAATCATCTATCTGCTAGCACATGGATTTCAGTGTGACCTGGGGTGAGTTACTTCAAATCTCTGAACATGTTTTCTTTTTTTTGTTTGTTTGTTTCTTTGTTTGTTGTTTTGAGACAGAGTCTCCCTCTGTCACTCAGGCTGGAGTGCAGTGGCCCAATCTCAGCTTACTGCAACCTCTGCCTCCCAGGTTCAAGCAATTCTCGTGCCTCAGCCTCCCGAGTAGCTGGGATTACAGGCGTGCGACATCACGCCTGGCTAATTTTCATATTTTTAGTAGAGGTGGGGTTTCACTATGTTGGCCAGGCTGGTCTCAAATGCCTGACCTCAAGTAATTCACCCACCTTGGCCTCCCAAAGTGCTGGGATTACAGGCATGAGCCACCACACCCGGCCCTATCTTCACTTTTTAGACTTCTGCATAGGACATATGTATATAATTCATTGAGCTTTCCTCCTGCTGATGGCTTCAATCTTTCATTATTAACAATGCTGCAGTGCACATGATCTCATGCATATATTTGTGCATTTATATGAGCATTTTTTTTTTTTTTTTTTGAGACAGAGTCTCACTCTGTAACCCAGGCTGGAGTGCAGTGGCACAATCTCGGCTCAGTGCAACCTCTGCTTCCTGGGTTCAAGCCATTCTCCTGCCTCAGTCTTCCGAGTAGCTGGGATTACAGGCGCGTGCCACAACACCCAGCTAATTTTTGTATTTTTAGTAGAGGCGTTGGTTTCACCATGTTGGCTAGGCTGGTCTCGAACTCCTGACCTCAAGTGATCTGCTGGCCTCAGCCTCCCAAAGTGCTGGGTTTACAGGTGTGAGCCACCGCGCCCGGCCTATATGAGCATTTTGTGAAGGTAGATTTCTAGAAATAAAACTGCTGGATTAAAGAGAATGTACATTTTACATTTTGATAGATACTTCCAGTTCCCCTCCAGTAAGGCTTTATCAATCCACGCTATTTCCAACCACATGTAGGAGTCTACATTTCTCCTACCCTTTATAACAATGGATATCATCATTTTTTTTTTTGCCAGTATGATGGGCAAAAGGAAATATCAAATTTTTCTTTAATTAGAATTTTTCCTATTATTTGAAGTTGATGATAATTTCATGTACTTATTAGATATTTGTTTTTCTTCTGTGAATTTCCTGTTCATATCCTGGGCCTATTTAAAATTTATTTTAATTCTTTTTAAAATTAAAGCTATATATATATATTTAAATGCAATTTATTTTAGGTAAAATAAAAATGTGTTTATTCCCCCTTTTTTTTCAGAGATGGTATCTCACTCTGTTGTCCAGGCTGGAGTGCAGTGGTCCTATCCTAGCTCACTGCAGCCTCAAACTCCTGGGCTCAAGTGATCTTCCTGCTACAGCCTCCTGAGTAACCTCAGTGTTTTATTGGTTTTTTTTTTTTTTTTTTTTTTTTTTTTGTGGCACACTAGATAATTGGTTCATGTATCCCTTTTTGTTGCATCCTCTTTTCCCATCCCTAACCTTATTCTCCTTATTTTTATTTATTTATTTTATTTTAGATGGAGTCTTGCTCTGTCACCCAAGCTGGAGTGCAGTGGTGCCATCTCAGCTCACTGCAAGCTCTGCCTCCCAGATTCAAGTGATTCTCCTACCTCAGCCCACCAAGTAGCTGAGATTATAAGTGTGTGTCACCACACCTGGGTAATTTTTGTATTTTTAGTAGAGATGTGGTTTCACCATGTTGGCCAGGCTGGTCTTAAACCCCTGATCTCAAGTGATCCACCTACCTTGGCCTCCCAAAGTGCTGGGATTACAGGTATGAGGCACTGTGCCTAGCCACCTAATTCTCTTTATCACCCCCCATAGGCGTTGACTCATTTATTTAGTGTGTGTCTTTGAATCTACCTTTTATTCTTTTATTTTCTTTCTTTATGTATCCATGATCAATACATTAGATTATTTTGCATATTTTACATTTCAGAACAATATTGTAGTGTACATCTCACTCTGCTTCTTTTACTTTTCCTTCTTACCAAACATTTGTTATTAAATTCTATTCTGCTTTTATATGAGTTGGAATTTAAAACAATATATGGTGACTTAGTTCATTCTTTGTATCTACATTTACTATATGTACATTCCACAATATATTTATCATAGAAGATATTTTTCCTAATTGTTTGCTGCAATGAATAGCCTTGAGTATGTCATTTTACATGTCCTTTGCAGAATTATTTTTGTAATATACTCCTAGGTATTGGAACTAGATCGCAGGTTACACACATATTCAATTTTACTAGACACTTCTAAATCACCCTACAAAAGGTATCAATTTATATTCACACCAGCAGCTCACGATGCTCTTCATTTCCTACCACTTCACTAGTGGTTGATTTTTTTTTTTTTAATTGAGATGGAGTCTCGCTCTGTTCCCCAGACGGGAGTGCAATGGCATGATCTCTGCTCACTGCAACCTCCACCTCCTGGGTTCAAGCAATTCTCCTGCCTCAGCCTCCCAAGTAGCTGGGATTACAGGGGCCCACCACCATGCCCGGCTAATTTTTGTATTTTTAGTAGAGATGGGGTTTCACCATGTTGGTGAGGCTGGTCTGGAACTCCTGACCTCAGGTGGTCCACCTCCCTCAGCCTCCCAAAATGCTGGGATTGCAGGCATGAGCCACCACACCCAGCCACTAGCACTTGATATTATCCAAACTGTAAATCTTGCTGCTTAGGTAAAGTGATGTAAAGTGAGAGATATTCTTTTTCCACTTTCTGTTTGATTGTTTGGAATTTTAATTGATTCTAGGATCTCTAGAATTATTAAACTGAGGATCCATAGGTTTATAGACAGTAACACTTGCCATGCAGAAAATTTTTATTTAGTCAAATGTATAATCTTGTCTTCTATGACTTCTGTATTTTGGGCCTTGGCTTTCCCTGCTCCAAAATCATAAAAGAAAAAAAAATCCTTTGTTCTCTTTTCATACTTACATTATTAATTTTTTGTGGGTAGTATTTTACCTTTAACACTTTAATGTATCTGCATGTTATTAGATTAAGAAATGAGGTAGGAATCCAGCTTTACTTTTTCCAAATGGCTATCCAGTTGTTCCAACACCATTTATTGAACAATCCATCTTTTCTTTATTAAAAGAATAGTCTTATTCTCCCTTTGCAATACTTTTATATATTATTTTCTTTTTTCTTTCTTTAGTTTTGACAGTTATTTACGTAATCTGAATACAAGTTTTTAAAAAATCAAATACGTGATTTGCAATGTTTTCCTCTAGTCCGTGACTTGTCTTTTCACCTCTTAAAAGTGTCTTTTGAAAGTGGAAGTTCTTAATTTTTAGTGAAGTCCCACTTATCAATTTATTTCTTTTATGGATCATGCTCTTGGTGTAAGAAATCTTTGCCTCACCCAGGGTCACAAGGATTTCTCCCTGTTTTTGTCAGGAAGTTTTATAGTTTTAGGTTTTTTGTTTTTGTTTTTTTTTGAGACGGAGTCTCCCTCTGTCGCCCAGGCTGGAGTGCAGTGGCGCGATCTCGGCTCACTGCAAGCACCGCCTCCTGGGTTCACGCCATTCTCCTGCCTCAGCCTCCCGAGTAGCTGGGACTACAGGCGCTCGCCATCACGCCCGGCTAATTTTTTTGTGTTTTTAGTAGAGACGGAGTTTCACCGTGTTAACCAGGATAGTCTCGATCTCCTGACCTCGTGATCCGCCCGCCTCGGCCTCCCAAAGTGCTGGGATTACAGGCGTGAGCCACCGCGCCCAGCCTAGTTTTAGGTTTTATATGTAGTTTTATGATCAATTTTGAGTTAATTTTTGTGTATGATGGGAAGTATGGATTGAAGTTCTTTTTTAAAATTTGCACGTGGGTATTCAACTGTTCTTTATTGAAAAGACTATCCTTCCTCTACTGCATTGCTTTTGTACCTTTATGAAAAATCAATTGATCATATATATGTGGGTCTACTTATGAACTCCTCAATCTGTTCAATGGATCTATTTCTCTGTCTTGATGCCTGTACTATACTACTATACTGCCTTGATTACTGTAGCATTATCATAAATCTTGAACTTATGTAATATGTTTTTCAAATGTATTCTTTTTCAAAGCTGTTTTGGCTATTCTAGGTCTTTTGCATTTTCATATGATGTCAATTTTTATAGAAAAGGTGGCTGTGATTTTGTTTGGGTTGCATTGAATCTATAGACCAAACTTTTTTTTTTTTTTTGAGAAGGAGTCTCGCTCTGTTGCCCAGGCTGGAGTGCAGTGGCACGATCTTGGCTTGCTGCAAGCTCCACCTCCCAGGTTCCCGCCATTCTCTTGCCTCAGCCTTACCGAGTAGCTGGGACTACAGGCGCCCGCCACCACTCCTGGCTAATGTTTTTGTATTTTCAGTAGAGATGGGGTTTCACCATGTTAGCCGGGATGGTCTCGATCTCCTGACCTCCTGATCCGCCCACCTCAGCCTCCCAAAGTGCTGGGATTATAGGTGTGAGCCACCACGCCCGGCTGATCAACTTTTAGAGAAGTAAAATCTTAACAATATGAAATCTTCTAACCCATAAACAATGTATAGTATATTGCCCCATTTATTTAGACCTTCTTTAATTTATTATTTTATTTTATTTTTTATTATACTAGGGTACATGGGCATTATACTAGGGTACATGTGCACAACGTGCAGGTTTGTTACATAGGTATACATGTGCCATATTGGTTTGCTGCACCCATCAACTCGTCGTTTACATTAGGTATTTCTCCTAATGCTGTCCCTCCCCCAGCCCTCACCCCCCAACAAGCCCCTGTGTCCAAGTGTTCTCATTGTTCAATTCCCACCTATAAGTGAGAACATGTGGTGTTTGGTTTTCTGTCCTTGTGATAGTTTTCTGAGAATGGTGGTTTCCAGCTTCATCCATGTCCCTGCAAAGGACATGAACTCATCCTTTTTTATGGCTGCATAGTATTCCATGGTGTTTATGTGCCACATTTTCTATGTCTATCATTGATGGACATTTGGGTTGATTCCAAGTCATTGCTATTGTGAATAGTGCCACAATAAACATACATGTGCATGTGTCTTTATAGTAGCACGATTTATAATCCTTTCGGTATATACCCAGTAATGGGATGGCTGGGTCAAATGGTATTTCTAGTTCTAGATCCTTGAGGAATCACCACACTATCTTCCACAATGATTGAACTAATTTACACTTCCACCAACAGTGTAAAAGCGTTCCTATTTCTCCATATCCACTCTATCATCTGTTGATGGTATCTCATTGTGGTTTTGATTTGCATTTCTCTGATGACCAGTAATGATGAGCATTTTTTCATGTGTCTGTTGGCGGCATAAATGTCTTTTGAGAAATGTCTGTTCATATCCTTTGCCCACTTTTTGATGGGGTTCTTTGTTTTTTTCTTATAAATTTAATTTATTGTAGATTCTGGATATTAGCCTTTTGTCAGATGCGTAGATTGCAAAAATTTTCTCCCATTCACTCCTGTTCACTCTGATGGTACTTTCTTTTGCTGTGCAGGAGCTCTTTAGTTTAATTAGATCCCATTTGTCTATTTTGGCTTTTGTTGCCATTGCTTTTGATGTTTTAGTCATGAAGTCTTTGCCCATGCCTATGTCCTGAATGGTATTGCCTAGGTTTTCTTCTGGGGTTTTTATGGTTTTAGGTCTAACATTTAAGTCTTTAATCCACCTTGAATTAATTTTTGTATAAGGTGTAAGGAAGGGACCCAATTTCAGCATTCTACATATGGCTAGCCAGTTTTCCCAGCACCATTTACTAAATAGGGAATCCTTACCCCATTTCTTGTTTTTGTCAGGTTTGTTAAAGATCAGATGGCTGTAGATGTGTGGTGTTATTTCTGAGGCCTCTGTTCTGTTCCATTGGTCTAGATCTCTGTTTTGGTGCCAGTACCATGCTGTTTTGGTTACTGTAGCCTTGTAGTATAGTTTGAAGTCAGGTAGTATGATGCCTCCAGCTTCGTTCTTTTTGCTTAGGATTGCCTTGGCAATATGGGCTCTTTTTTGGTTCCATATGAACTTTAAAGTAGTTTTTTCCAATTCTGTGAAGAAAGTAATCTGTAGCTTGATGGGGATGGCATTGAATCTATAAATTACCTTGGGCAGTATGGCCATTTTCACGATATTGATTCTTCCTATCCATGAGCATGGAATGTTCTTCTATTTGTTTGTGTCCTCTTTTATTTCATTGAGCAGTGCTTTGTAGTTCTCCTTGAAGAGGTCCCTCACAACCCTTGTAAGTTGGATTCCTGGGTATTTTATTCTCTTTGAAGCAATTGTGAATGGGAGTTCACTCATGATTTGGCTCTCTTGTTTGTCTGTTATTGGTGTATAGGAATGCTTGTGATTTTTGCACATTGATTTTGTATCCTGAGACTTTGCTGAAGTTGCTTATCAGCCTAAGGAGATTTTGGGCTGAGACGATGGGGTTTTCTAAATATACAATCATGTCATCTGCAAACAGAGGCAATTTGACTTTCTCTTTCCCTAATTGAATACCTTTATTTCTTTCTCTTGCCTGATTGCCCGGGCCAGAACTTCCAACACTATGTTGAATAGGAGTGGTGAGAGAGGGCATCCTTGTCTTGTGCGGGTTTTCAAAGGGAATGCTTCAAGTTTTTGCCCATTCAGTATGATATTGGCTGTGGGTTTATTATAAATAGCTCTTATTATTTTGAGATATATTCCATCAATACCTAGTTTATTGAGAGCTTTTAGCATGAAGGGCTGTTGAATTTTGTTGAAGGCCTTTTCTGCATCTATTGAGATAATCATGTGATTTTTGTCATTGGTTCTGTTTATGTGATGGATTACATTTATTGACTTGCATATGTTGAACCCGCCTTTCATCCCAGGGATGAAGCCGACTTGATCGTGGTGGATAAGCTTTTTGATGTGCTGCTGGATTTGGTTTGCCAGTATTTTACTGAGTATTTTTGCATCCATGTTCATCAGGGATATTGGTCTAAAATTATCTTTTTTGGTTGTGTGTCTGCCAGGCTTTGGTATCAGGATAATGTTGGCCTCATAAAATGAGTTAGGGAGGATTCCCTCTTTTTCTATTGATTGGAATAGTTTCAGAAGGAATGGTACCAGTTCCTCTTTGTATCTCTGGTAGAATTTGGCTGTGAATCCATCTGGTCCTGGACTTTTTTGTTGGTAGGCTATTAATTATTGCCTCAATTTCAGAGCCTGTTATTGGCCTATTCAGATATTCAACTTCTTCCTGGTTTAGTCTTGGGAGGGTGTATGTGTCCAGGAATGTATCCATTTCTTCTAGATTTTCTAGTTTATTTGCATGGAAGTGTTTATAGTATTCTCTGATGGTAGTTTGTATTTCTGTGGGATCAGTGGTCATATCCCCTTTATCATTTTTTATTGCATCTATTTGATTCTTCTCTCTTTTCTTCTTTATTAGTCTTGCTAGTGGTCCATGTCTTTTGTTGATCTATTAAAAAAACCAGCTCCTGGATTCATTTATTTTTTGAAGGGTTTTTTGTGTCTCTATCTCCTTCAGTTCTGCTCTGATCTTAGTTATTTCTTGCCTTCTGCTAGCTTTTGAATTTGTTTGCTCTTGCTTCTCTAGTTCTTTTAATTGTGATGTTAGGGTGTCGATTTTAGATCTTTCCTGCTTTCTCTTGTGGGCATTTAGTGCTATAAATTTCCCTCTACACACTGCTTTACATGTGTCCCAGAGATTCTGTTACATTGTGTCTTTGTTCTCATTGGTTTCAAAGAACATCTTTATTTCTGCCTTCATTTCATTATTTACCCAGTAGTCATTCAGGAGCAGGTTGTTCAGTTTCCATGTCATTGTGTGGTTTTGAGTGAGTTTCTTAATCCTGAGTTCTAATTTGATTGCACTGTGGTCTGAGAGACAGGTTGTTGTGATTTCTGTTCTTTTACATTTGTTGAGGAGTGCTTTACTTCCAATTATGTGGTCAATTTTAGAATAAGTGCGATGTGGTGCTGAAAAAAATGTACATTCTTTTGATTTGGGGTGGAGAGTTCTGTAGATGTGTATTAGGTCCACTTGGTGCAGAGCTGAGTTCAAGTCCTGGATATCCTTGTTAACCTTCTGTCTGGTTGATCTGTCTAATATTGACAGTGGGGTGTTAAATTCTCCCACTATTATTGTGTTGGAGTTTAAGTCTCATTGTAGGTCTTTAAGGACTTGCTTTATGAATCTGGGTGCTCCTGTATTGGTGCATATATATTTAGGATAGTTAGCTCTTCTTGTTGAATTGATTCTTTACCATTATGTAATGGCCTTCTTTGTCTCTTTTGATCTTTGTTGGTTTAAAGTTTGTTTTATCAAAGACGAGGATTGCAACCCCTGTTTTTTTTTTTCTTTCCATTTGCTTGGTGAATCTTCCTCCATCCCTTTATTTTGAGCCTATGTGTGTCTCTGCACATGAGATGGGTTTCCTGAATACAGCACATTGATGGGTCTTGACTCTTTATCCAATTTGACAGTCTGTGTCTTTTAATTCGGGTATTTAGCCCATTTACATTTAAGGTTAATATTGTTATGTGTGAATTTGATCCTGTCATTATGATGTTAGCTGGTTATTTTGCCTGTTAATTGATGCAGTTTCTTCATAGCGTTGATGGTCTTTACAATTTGGCATGTTTTTGTAGTGGCTGGTACTGGTTGTTCCTTTCCATGTTTAGTGCTTCGTTCAGGAGCCCTTGTGGTGACAGAATCTCTCAGCATTTGCTTGTCCGTAGAGGATTTTTTTTTTTTTTTGAGACGGAGTCTCGCTCTGTTGCCCAGGCTGGAATGCAGTGGCATGATCTGGGCTCACTGCAAGCTCTGCCTCCTGGGTTCACGCCATTCTCCTGCCTCAGCCTCCCGAGTAGCTGGGACTACAGGTGCCCACCACCATGCCTGGTTAATTTTTTGTATTTTTAGTAGAGACGGGGTTTCACCGTGTTAGCTGGGATAGTCTTGATCTCCTGACCTCGTGATCCGCCCGCCTCAGCCTCCAAAAGTGCTGAGATTACAGGCGTGAGCCACCGCACCTGGCCCTGTAAAAGATTTTATTTCTCCTTCACTTATGAAGCTTAGTTTGGCTGGATATGAAATTCTGGGTTGAAAATTCTTTTCTTTAAGGATGTTGAATATTGGCCCGCACTGTCTTCTGGTTTGTATGGTTTCTGCCAAAAGATCTGCTGTAGTCCGATGCGCTTCCCTTAGTGGGTAACCTGAACTTTCTCTCTGGCTGCCCTTAACATTTTTTCCTTTATTTTCAACCTTTGTGAATATGACAATTACGTGTCTTGGTGTTGCTCTTCTTGAGGAGTATCTTCGTGGTGTTCTCTGTATTTCCTGAATTTGGATGTTGGCCTGCCTTGCTAGGTTGGGGAAGTTCTCCTGGATAATATCCTGAAGAGTGTTTTCCACCTTGGTTCCACTCTCCCCGTCACTTTCAGGTATAGCAATCAAACTTAGATTTGGTTTTTCACATAGTCCCATATTTCTTGGAGGGTTTGGTCATTTCTTTTTACTCTTTTTTCTCTAACTTTGTCTTCTCGCTTTATTTCATTAATTTGATCTTCAATCACTGATACCCTTTTTTCCACTTGATCAAATTGGCTACTGAAGCTTGTGCATGCGTCACAAAGTTCTCGTGCCATTGTTTTCAGCTCCATCAGGTCATTTAAGGTCTTCTCTACACAGTTTATTCTAGTTAGCCATTCGCCTAACCTTTTTTCAAGGTTTTTAGCTTCCTTGCAATGGGTTAGAACATGCTCCCTTAGCTCGGAGAAGTTTGTTATTACTGACCTTCTGAAGCCTACTTCTGTCAACTCGTCAAAGTCATTTTCCATCCAGCTTTGTTCCATTGCTGGTGAGGAGCTGTGATCCTTTGGAGGAGAAGAGGCACTCTAGTTTTTAGAATTTTCAGCTTTTCTGCTCTGATTTCTCCCCATCTTTGTGGTTTTATCTACCTTTGGTCTTTGATGTTGGTGACCGACAAATGGGGTTTTGGTGTGGATGTTCTTTTTGTTGATGTTGATGCCATTCCTTTCTGTTTGTTAGTTTTCCTTCTAACATTCAGGTTCCTCAGCTGCAGGTCTGTTGGAGTTTGCTGGAGATCCACTCTAGACCCTGTTTGCCTAGGTATCACCAGCGGAGGCTGCAGAACAGCAAATATTGCTGCCTGATCCTTCCTCTGGAAGCTTCGTCCCAGAGGGGCACCTGCCTGTATAAGGTGTCTGTCGGCCCCAACTGGGAGGTGTCTCCCAGTTAGGCTACACAGGGGTCAGGGACCCACTTGAGGAGCCAGTCTGTCTGTTCTTGGAGCTCAAATGCTGTGCTGGGAGAACCACTACTCTCTTCAGAGCTGTCAGACAGGGACATCTAAGTCTGCAGAAGTTTCTGCTGCCTTTTGTTCAGGTATGCCCTGCCTACAGAGGTGAGGTCTGTAGAGGCAGTAGGCCTTGCTGAGCTGTGTTGGGCTCTGCCCAGTTCAAGCTTCCAGGCCACTTTGTTTACCTACTGAAGCCTCAGCAATGGCAGACACCCCTCCCTCCTCCAGGCTGCTGCCTTGCAGGTCAATCTCAGACTGCTGCGCTAGCAGTGAGCAAGGTTCTGTGGGCATGGGACTCGCTGAGCCAGGCACAGCCGAGAATTTTCTGGTCTGCCGGTTGCTAAGACCTTGGAAAAGTGCAGTATTTGGGCAGGAGTGTCCCATTTTTCCAGGTACAGTCTGTCACAGCTTCCCTTGGCAAGGAAAGGGAAATCCCCAAACCCCTTGCACTCCCAGGTGAGGCGATGCCCCTCCTTGCTTTGGCTTGCCCTCCGTGCGTGGCACCCACTGTACAACCAGTCCCAATGAGATGAACCAGGTACCTCAGTTGGAAATGCAGAAATCAGCCATCTTCTTCATCGATCACCCTGGGAGCTGCAGACTGGAGCTCTTCCTATTTGGCCATCTTGGAATGGACTCCAACCTTCTTTAATTTTTTTGAGCAATATTTTATAGTTTTCAGTGCATAGGACTTGCACATCTTTGGCTGGATTTATCTCTCAGTATTTTACACTTTTTGGTGTCACTGTAAATGGTGTTTTAAATTTAATCTTTTGAGTGTTCATTGCTAGTGTTATGGATTGAATTGACCCCTCCTTCCAAGAGATACATTGAAGTCCTAACCCCTGGTACCTGTGACTGTGACTTTGTTTGGAAATAGAGGTCTTTGCAGATGCAATTCATTAAGATGAGGTAATGGAGTGAGATGGGCCCTTAATCCAATATGGTTGGTGTCTTTTAAGAAGAGGGAAATTTGGACATAGACACACAGGGTGGGAAGATGACGCAGAGATCCAGAGAGAGAATCCAGCCAAATGACAATGGAGGCAGAGAAAGGAGTGATTAATTTACAAACCAAGGAATGCCCTGGACTGTCAGAAAACACCAGGAGCTAGAAGAAGCAAGGAAGGACTCTCTCCTAGATCCTTCAGAGAAAGCATGGCCCTGCCAACACCTTGATGTCAGATTTCTATCCCCCATCACCTTGGTAATGAGTGTTTATCATTTTTAAGTTCTGGTATCATTTCAAGTCCTCTCCTCTAGTTACTTTGAAATATACATAAAATTGTTGCTAAGTATAGTCACCCAAGTCTGCTATCAAACATTAGAACTTATTTCTTCTATCTAACTATATGTTTGTATACATAATCAACCTGTCTTCATCCTTTCCTTCCCCTCCACCCTTTCCAGTCTCTGGTATTTTATTTGGAGATTTTCTAGATATCTTTCTATTATTGGTATTTACTTTAATACCATTGCAGCCAGGGAATATATTTTATATAATCTGATTCTTTTAAAATTGATCACTACTTATTTTATGGCTATCTTGGTAAATGTTCCATGTGCAATGTTCTTGAAAAAAATTCTGCTGTTGGATGGAATGTTCTATAATCAATTAGTCAAATTAGTTGATACTGTCGGTCAAATCTTTTACATCTTTACTGATTTTCTATTTGTTCTATCAACTATTAAGGTATGGGTATGGATATTACTGATTATCCTTGTGGATTTGTCAATTTATCCTTGTAGTTCTATTGGTTTTTGCTTCATGATATATATATACACACACACACACACACACACACACACACACACACATATATACACACAAACATATATACATACACAGAGAGAGAGAGAGAGAGAGATAAAGAGAGAGTCTTACTCTGTCACCCAGGCTGGAGTGCAGTGGCGCAATCATGGCTTACTGCAGCTTTCACCTCCCCAGGCTCAGGTGATCCTCCCAGGTAGCTGGGACTACAGGTGTGAGCCACCATGCCCAGCTAATTTTTTGTATTTGTATTTTTATTTTTTTCTGAAACTGAGTCTCACTCTGTTGCCCAAGCTGGAGTGCAGTGGCATGATCTCAGCTCACCACAACCTCCACCTCCTGGGTTCAAGCGATTCTCATGCCTCAGCCTCCACCTCCTGAGTAGCTGCAACTGCAGGTACATGCCACTACGCCTGTCTAATTTTTGTATTTTTAGTAGAGACAGGGTTTCACCATGTTGCCCAGGCTGGTCTTGCACTGCTGGGCTCACGTGATCCACCCACCTTGGCCTCCCAAAAGTGCTGAGATTATAGGTGTGAGCCACTATGACTAGCCCAGCTGTTTTTTTGTTTTTTTTTGTTTTTTTTCAAATTCAGTCTTTGTATAGACTGTCAAAAATTGTCAGTGCTGACTATGTTGCAAGTCATCACAGTGGGGTATTGGGAAAATTTTTCAATTAGCAATAGTCATGCCTCAGATAAACCTCATTGGCTATGATACTTGCCATTGTGCAAAGCTGCTTCACGTACTTTGAATCTCTGTTATTGGGTACATAAGTGTTTAGAGTTATTATGTCTTCTTGATGAATTGACCTCTTTATCATTATGAAATGATTCTTTTTTATCCCGGGCAATATTCTTTGCTCTGAAATCTACATTATTAGTATTAGTATAGCGATTCCAACTTTATTTTGATTAGCATTAGCATGGTACATTTTTTCTATCCCTTTAGCTTTAACCTATTTTTGTCTATATTTAAAAGGATTTCTTTTAGGCAGTATACAGTTAGATATTGCTTTTATAATCTAATCTGACAAATTATGCTTTTTAATTGGAGTATGTATGTATGTATGTATGTATGTATTTTGAGACTGAGTCTCACTCCGTCACCCAGGCTGGAGTGCAGTGGTATGATCTTGGCTTACTGCAACCTCCGCCTCCTGGGTTCAAGTGAGTCTCCTGCCTCAGCATCCCAAGTAGCTGGGATTACAGGTGCACCCCACCACGCCTGACTAATTTTTGTATTTTTAGTAGAGAGAGGGTTTCACCATGTTGGCCAGGCTGATCTTGAACTCCTGACCTCAACTGATCTGCCCTCCTTGGCCTCCTAGAGTGCTGGGATTACAGGCATGAGCCACTACGCCTGGCCTTTAATTGGAGTATTTAGACCATTTATATTTAATGTGATTACTGATATAGCCTGGTTTAACTTTTGGTCTTGTTATTTGTTATCTATCTGTACCATCTATCCTTTGTTTCTTCTTGCCTCTTTTTCTCAGGAACATAAATAACTGAAATTCAAAATAGTGAATATGGCCGAGCATGGTGGTTCATACCTGTAATACTAATACTTGGGGAGGCCAAGGCAGGTGGATCAGTTGAGGTCAGGAGTTGGAGGCCAGCCTGGGCAACATGGCGAAACCCTGTCTCTCCAAAAAATACAAAAGTTAGCTGGGCATGGTGGCAGGTCCCAACTACTCGGGAGACTGAGGTGGGATGATCAGCTGAGCCTGGGGAGGTTGAGGCTGCAGTGAGCCAAGATCATGCCACTGCCCTCCAGCCTGGGCAACACCGCAAGACCCTGTCTCAAAAAAAAAAAAAAAAAAAAAGACAAAATAGTGAATATGGTGGGAGAGATTCAGAGAAAGATTTGGGACTTTATAGAAGAGAGATATTAAGTCAAATCGATGATGTCAGGAATGACTTACTCAAGAAAATATTCAAATTGAACCTTGAAATATTTTGCATATGAGTGATGGTGTAAGGAAGGTGCTCCATATAGAGGCAATAGGATGAACAATGGGATTGGAGGCAGTAAAGCATGTGTTTGGGCTAGGGAATAATAGATTGTTCAGATAGCCTGAGAAAGAGTGGCAGGAGAGATGTGGAAAGTGCTTATGTTATTAACAGCTTCCTATGGATGTCCCTACCGTGATAGTCCACAGATACCTGAGATACCTGTCAAATCCCACATATGATCTACCCTTTAAACCTGCTCTCTCAATAGCCCCTAATTTTATGTATGGCATGACCAGCTTCTTTAATATACATACCAGAAGCCTCTGAGTCATTTTAAATGCCTCTTTGTTCCTCAACCCTATTCATCCCACCTGCAGGTCATCTCTTCCAAATTTCAGCTTTTTTTTTTTTTTTTTTTTGAGATGGAGTTTCGCTCTTGTTGCCCAGGCTGGAGTGCAATGGCATGATCTTGGCTCACTGCAACCTCTGCCTCCCAGGTTCAAGCAATTCTCCTGCCTCAGCCTCCCAAGTAGCTAGGATTATAGGCATGTACCACCATGCCCAGCTAATTTCGTATTTTTAGTAAAGACGGAGTTTCACCATGTTGGCCAGGTGGTCTCGAACACCTGACCTCGTGATCACCCGCCTCAGCCTCCCAAAGTATTGGGATTACAGGCCTGAGCCACGGTGCCCGGCAATGAGCTTTCTTTTCTATCCTTATCTATCCCCACAGCCTTGGAGCCAGGCTCAACTCCCCTCCACCACCCTGCCCCCAAACTATTTAATTAGCCTTCTTACTGGTTTTGCTACTTCTAGATTTTTCTCTCTTTAAACCAATGCCACACATACCCCCCAGCATGCCCTGAGAATGGATGTGAATTCTGTGTGTGTACATGTGTACATTGTTCTGGTGAGCGCTTGTAGCTTTCATCAAAGTCTCAAAAGTCCACAAAAGGCTAGGAGTCACTACCATGATCTTTATTTCAGATGAAACCGTGCTCAGTAAATGTGGTGCAGTTGACAGACTGCTGAACAGTAAGTCAGGAGACCCGGGTTTTAGTTCTGGGGCTGCCACTAATTAGCCGTATGACTTTGGGCAATGAGGCACTTACTTTGTACCTGTTTCCTCATCTGTAAAATTCAGAAAGTCTCTTCCAACCTCAAAATGCTATTATTGAGAAATTACCATACAATTATTATTAAGAAATTGCCATACAATGTCATAAATGCTAAAACAAAGGTATGCAGAGCTTTGAGAGCACAAAGGAGGTTCTCCGGGTGTGGGGTCATCTAGCTTTGCTTGGGAAAATTGGTAAAGAGTTGCAGAGGAGGCCACAGTTCAGTCTTGAAGGATCAACAAAACTTTCCAGGCAGAAAGAAGGAGGAAGGCATTTTAGGCAAAGGAAACTTTGTGAGAAGGCAGAGAAGTAATAGAGCCTCAAATTGGCAGAACAATGAGTAGATGCGTATAGTTTGGATGTACGTGTGTTGAAAGTTTGGGCTTTAAATGCACAGGGAGCACTAGGAGATAAGCCTGGAGAAGGCGAATGAGTTGGGGCCTGAAGTTTCTTATGTATGGTGCCAAAAAGTTTTGACTTTATCTTGTAGACAGTGGGAAGCCATGGATTGTTTTAGGTAAGAGAGTGACAGGCTGATTTCCCTTTCATAAAAATCACATTGGCAACATGGGAGGAAGACGGATTGGAAGGGAATGAGACATGTTTGGAAATGATAAAGGTCTGAATAAGCCAAGGGGATAGAGGTGGAAGGAAGATAATGTTGTTCCTTTTAAACCTATTACATTTAAGATACCCAAGGAATATCCAAGTTAAAATGTATGGTAGGAAGTTGAAAATTTGAGTCTTATGCTCACAAGATAGACCTGGATTTAGCAGCACTCATAAGTGAGTACTGACTGAAGCCACAGGAGTGAATGACATTGCTTTGGAAAAGCATGTGGAGTGGGGAGTAAGGGGGCCAAAGGCTGAATTCTGGGAAATAATAGTATTTGAAGTCAGGAGTAGAAAACACATTGGAAGGATGGCTGGGGTGCAAGGAGCTGAGGAGTGAAGGGAGGAAGAGAGATAGTAAAGAATCTATCCATTTTTTTTTTTTTTTTTTTTTTTTGAGATGGAGTTTCACTCTTGTTGCCCAGGCTGGCGTGCAATGGCACGAACTCGGCTCACCGCAACCTCCTCCTCCTGGGTTCAAGCGATTCTCCTGCCTCAGCCTCCCGAGTAGCTGGGATTACAAGCACCTGCCACCATGACCGGCTAATTTTGTATTTTCAGTAGAGACGGGGTTTCTCCATGTTGGTCAGGCTGGTCTCTAATTCTCGACCTCAGGTGATCCACCCGCCTCAGCCTCCCAAAGTGCTGGGATTACAGGTGTGAGCCACCAGGCCTGGCCTAAGAATCTACTCTTTTAAGAAGGTTGGATGAGAAAGAAATAAAAGCGAAGGCTAAAGCAAGAGGAGGCTGCTGAGTGGAGGAAGGTATTTCATTTTATTATGTCTGCTGGGCAAAGATCAGTGAAGAGGCCGAAGTTGGTTACAGGAGAGATTGTGAATAATGGATGGAGGTGGGAAAGGACAGGATATAACGCACACCTGCAGGGCCTAGTCCCAGCCAAGGGAGCTGGAGAGTGTCTATTCTTCCCAAGAAGGAGGAAGGAAATCAGAAAGTTTCATTCAGTGGTTCTCACATTAAAATCACTGAGGTATCTTAAAAAAAATGCCAATAGCTGGGTCACACCTCAGAAGTTTCTGGTTTAATTAGTCTGGGATGGTCCTGGGCATTGATGTGTTTTCAAAGCTTCCCAGGTGATTAAAATCTGCAGTCAAAGTTCACAACCACTGGTTTAATTGCAGGTAACATTTTAGATTAATGATAATGGGATTGGATTTGAGGAAACTCACACTTAATAAAGGTTGGATGAATAGGGAGTGGTCAAGGTTTCATAGATGAGGAAGGGAGAAAGAGAAGGAAGCTAGAAGGGAAGGCAGCTAATGCTAACTTATTGAATTTTATGTGCCAGAGATATAGAAATGAATGAGGCATGGTCCTTCTTCTTAGAGATCAGGATCTCACATGACAGACACTTCACCACAAGCCTATGACATAATACAGTTCTTGACCAGTTAAGTTTTTTTGTGTGTGAGCTACTTTTATTCTTTTTTTTTTTTTTTTTTAACTAAAAGTGAAGGGGGAAACCCCTCACACCCAGAACCCAGGTATTTCCCAATATAGACTGGGTCTGGAAATCCTTTTGTGAGCATTGAGAGTAGCCTTTCTGGGAAGGTGGGTGCTGGGGAAAGATCTGTAACTATTCCGGGAGATCAACTTGTACCCAGGCTCATCAGCAGGGCTGGAAGTAGATGGTGATTGTGGCCCTGCATGTGGGTACATTACTGCAGTCACCTGTACCTGGGAGGTGGCTAAAATTGCTAATTGCTTACATGGAAACACTTTGATGGCCATTCTGCTATAGTGTGAAGCTTCTATGAGTAAGGTACCAAGGATTCCCTTTCTCTGAGCAGCATTGTAAAAAGGCCCTACTTTTCATCAGAGCAGAAAACCTAACTTTTGCTACTGTGGTCTGGGCCTGACCTCCAGGGACAGCTTCATCCACACAGGAAGTAGGTAGGTGCTTCTCTATAGTCTGGACCTTCCCTCAGAGAGAGTCTACTGTCACTTCTTGAGTTCCTTGAATCTTCCCCAGGAGGGTCCAACTCCCAGGGCTCCTGGGAAGCCTCTGATCTGACCCCACCAGCCCCACCTCCACCTAGTGAGCTGGTGAGGTGTTGAAAGGGCTTTAATGGAGGGCCCTGGCTTTTAGCTAGGGGCCTCCTTCCCCGAGGAAGAGTACTGAAAGAAGTGTCCTAGAGAAGTGTTCTCTCCTAAGAGAAGTATCCTAGGCACAGAACAGAGAGGGGAAACTCGACTGGGAATTGACTGTGGCACTATGAGTATATGGAGGGTGTTCCTTCTGTTACCTCATTAGACCCTTTTTATATAAGCAGAAATTGAGGCTTGAAGAAATTAAGAAATTCGACTATGTCCTCAAGGACAGGAGCTGTACAAAATCCAATCTGTTCCATTCTATTGTCCCTCAGGCTCTTGGCCTCCCTCTGTTATTGTAGGTTGGCCCCTTTAGGAAAATCTCAGTTGAATGTCATTTCAGTGCTCTCCTTCCTTCTAAAGAATTAAGCTAGGTCCCTTAGACCATAGGGCACATGGGCCTTCTAGCTGGGTCTCTGTTTGCTTACTCAGTGACTTGGGGACGTGTGAAATCCAGATGGGATTCTATCCTGAGGTGAAGGTAGAAGGTAATACAGAGAATTGCTGAATGGGACAGACCACACCAATAAAATTTTTTGTTGGACTCTGTAATCCAGTGTTTTCATTGCAGAGATGTAATTGAAAGCCCCCAACCTCACCGTCAGAGAAAGGAGGGACTAAGCTTATTCTAGCCTGATGCCTGATACCTGTTAATTGGGAAGCCTTGTCTGTTAACATCCTGACTTAGGTTTCAAGCTTTCAGTGGGGCCAGACTATGGAATTATCTGTAATTCTGGCATCAGAAGCCCTTTTTCCAGTTCTTTGGGCCATTTTGGGGTCTGTGAAACAGGCTAGCAGCATGTGAAGATAATTCACACTAAATCTGCCTGAGAGTCAAGACAGTGCCACGGCAGCCCCGACTCTGTGTCAAATTACACACTAGCTGCCTAGCACTGGGGTGTGCTTTGGGGCAGGGCTGGGGACACCCATGTCCTCCCTACTTCCCTTAACCCTTCCCCAGCTCTCCTGCCACTCCCTCATACACCTGGTCGTGGTCACTGCCAGGAGCCCCAGTGCGGCCCAGTGCCTGCACATGATAGGCACAAGGTGAATGAGTGCCTGGACGCATGCAGGGACTTGGGTACCTGAAATGATGATTCTGCATATTTCATGTAGTCTTGATGCTGAGTCACCTGCTTACCCATACTACTGGAGGAGGGGATGAGGAAAGACAGAGTTTGGGCAAAGGAGAAAGGAAGTGTGTTTTACTGTTCTGCATCTTTGAACAATGCAGCATAGTTGGTTCTGTCCTCATCTTTGGACAGGTTAGAATGAACCATCAAAAGGGGTGAGATTAGGTCTCAGGAAATAGTTTTCATCAGGGAGGAGCAAAAATTCCCAAACAAGTGAGGAACAGAGGCTGGGAGTCTCTTTCTCTGGGATTCCTTAATCACAGGGTTGTTCAAGCAGGTGCCAGGATTGGAAACTGAAGGAGGCTGAGATATTGAAAAGGCCTTGGCCTGCTTAGGGAGAAGTATGTGAAGATGCTTTTGAAATGATACTACTCTAAGTGGCGGGTTGCACGGCAATAACATTAATGATAATTGAATACTGCTTTCACTTACTCCAAGGGGAACATGGACTTCCCACAGCCCAGGCTTTTACGGTGTGGGTTCACTCTTGTAGGGTCACATGTAAAAGAACCCTAACTGGTTTCTTGGCATACTGGGAGGCACAAATGCCCCAAACGTGTAGGATATTTTGTGAGATCCTACAATCCCTGTGTGGCACCTTCAACTCTAAAGTATCTGAAACTCCTGGGATGGACAATCTGCCTGCTTGGGGTTGGGGACCCAACTGGCCAAGGCATTTTTCCTCTTGGAGGTTTCCTGGGAGAAGGCCCCCTCTCCTCTGCCATTCAAACTCCCAGGCGCCCGCGTCTTTTCCTCCTCCCCTTCTTCCCTAAGGCAGGGTTCCCTTTGTAATTAATCCCAACACTCAAACCAGAGGGGAGGAAAAATGTGTTAATGAGGGAGCGTCCCAGACTGACTGGGGCGGTCGCTGCTCGCAGCTAGAACTCCAAGTAATTAAATTATTTTTGGAAGGAGGGGATATGGTGGTGATGGTGTCAGGGAAATCCCCGTATGCATGGGAAGAGGCGTGCGCCTCTCGCCACTAATTAAAATCAGGGATGACCCTCCCTTCTCGGACCCCTAGGGGGAAAAAAAAAATCAATCTTCCCACGTCCCAGATTCCATTGGATTTTGTGTAGTCGGGTCCGTGGCCCTAAAGAGAATATGGCCAGCCCCAGGGATCTGGGGGCTCCTTCTCCGACAGGAGGGGTCCAGGAAGACAGCCCCAGGAGGGACTGCGGGCTGGGCCAAGTCCAAGAATCGAGGCATTCCCCTGCCCACCGTTCGGGACCCGAGTGTCAGCCCCACCGCGGATTCCCAGGATCGGGGAGGGCCGCTGGGCATCTGAAGGCGCAGGGCTGGGGGAGCGGCGACTCCGGGAAGAGCGGGGCCGCAGACAATGGACGCGGCGGTAGGAGGGGCGGCGGCTGTGGGAACAGCCGGGAGGCGGCACCCGGGAGCTCGCGCTCCCCCGCCCCCTGCACCCCCCACCCTCATCCCCTCCCCCTCCGCCCCCTCCCCCCTGCGCCGCCGGCTCCCGATCTGATTCCTGATCCTTGATTCCTTGATCCTTGGTCCCGCCATGGGAGCCTGAGCGCCCCCTATTCCCCCCTGGCCCCCAGCCCCCGGGGCCTTGAGGGGGAAGAGGCAGCGGTCTGGGACGGAGCAGGGGGTGACCAGACTCAAGAACCCCCCCCTCAACATCCCCCATCGCGCGCGCTGCCTGTCCAGGAGCGCCGAGTTCGGAGCGACCCGGAGCGCTGCGGATACAAAGGCGACGGGCCGAGCGGGGCGCCCGCGGAGCCCACCCGGCAGTTCGCAGCGGCGGGTGAGTGCCGGGCCGCGGGGGCGCGGGCAAAGTTTGAAAAAAAAAGAAGAAAGAAAGAGAGAGAAAAAAAGAAATGGAAAAGGAGGAAAATCATGCAAGGGGCCAGGGGGTGCCCGACCCCAGAGCGAGCGGGGTGGCTTATGGGGGAAGGGGGGCTGGACTCCGGGCAACCCCCTTCCGGTCCGCTTCCCCACTGCACAGCGGAGTACCCCCCCCAACTTTGGGGAGGGGAAGGGGCTCGTGGGGAGGGGGCGGAGCCCAGGCCTGGAGAGCCGGGGACTTTCCTGGGCCCGGGCGGGGGCCTTAATGATCCCAGGGGAGCCGGTTGAAGCCGGAGACGGGGAGCTTGTGTTGGAGGTGGGGGGAGAGGCGTGGAAGGATCGGAGTCTGGAGGTATTGGAAGCCAAGGGTGTTTTGGGGTGCATACACCCCTCAGGAGCGTGGGGAGGGACGGAGGCAGGTATGCGTTAAGGGTGTAGAGTGGAGTCAGGGGGGCGGGTTGGGCAGAGTAGATAGGGTGTATGTACAGACCGAGGATGGGGCTGGAGGCGGTAGACTGTGTATAGGGGCCGAGGGGACAGGCGCTGGCATCCCTCTCCCCACTCATATTTACCCATCTGGGGGACTGTGGGCTCTGCGTTAGTGAGTTTTGAAGGGTTGGTGGAGGATCCGTGTGCATGATTCTTTGTTTTGGTGTGTGTGCACGCCTTGACGTGCTGCATGTTCCTGCAGGTGGGCCCCTGGTTTGGATGTGTAGGTGTTTTTCTGTGCTTGAGTGTGTGTGCACCCAGGGAGCGGCTGACCATGCATCTGCTGTGTGTTTGGATATGTGTTTATATGTATACTTAGGGGAGGGCGTGTATGTCTATGTGTGTGTACTGGGAGAGGGGTTCACGGGAAAGAGGTGTGTAGGTACTGAGGAAGGTGGGTGTGTAAGAGCAGAATGGAGTGTATGTGGATAGGTGTGTGTGCACCTGTGTACTGGGAAGGGGTGTGAATCTGTGTTCTCTTGTGTGTAACCTGTGTTGATGGGTATCAATGTGTGTGCCTGCCTTAGCTGGTATGTATGTTTCTGAGTGTGTGTCGGGGGTACCTCTAGACTCTGCAGGCAGATTTTCCTGGCAAAAATCCCGAAAAGAAGGCTGTCTGCAGGATTTTGAGACTTCGTGGATGGCCTCGCCTGGGTTTAGGGGTAGTACCTTAAGTATCTGAGACCTATGGGTGGGAGGGAATGAGTTGTCTTATGAAGTGCCTGTTTTTGGGGGATGGGTTTTTCTGGAAGAGGGCGTGTGTTGTGGGGAATAGGGAACAAGGGGTCTGGTTGTAGTCCTAGAGGAATTTGGAAGATTGGCGGGGTCAGGGAGAAGAATAAGAGGAACTTCCTCCCCCATCGTCATAGGCTGGGTTCCAGCGCTTGGAGAAGCTACACTCTTGGATTCCCAGCCTTAGGTAAAAGCTTCAGGCCACAGTTCTCTTGGAAAGCCGTCTCAGAGTTTGCTGCTTCATAGCCTTCTAACTCTGCCCTGACTCTAAGATCCTAAAGTTCCTGAGGAGTCTTGAGATTTTGGTGTGGGATGGAAACAAGAGGAGGAAGCATGTCTGGAGGGTTGAGACCTGGTGGGGAACAGCTTGGGTTCCCTGCCCATGGGGTTGAGAAGGTGGCATAGGGTGTTTCTTCAGCAGCTTTTGCAAGTGAGTCTGTGTGGTTTATCAGACCAAAAAGTTTCCCTTTTCCCTGGTGTCAAGCATGATTGAGATGGAGCTGTGGGTGTGGGGCCAGGGCTGAGTGTCTGTGTGTCGGGAAAGGGCCAGGTACCCATTGCAGGCTATACTGCTATACTCATCATCATGATAGTGTGGTGGGAAGTCAGTGACTATCCAGGAAGTGAATGTCTCTTTCCACCAAGAAGCCACAGCTCCCTTCTCTCCCTGTCCTCTCTCATCCTTTCTCTTTTGGGGTATAGGAAAGGGGTTGCTCACCTCCTTCTTTAGGATACTAGCCTTCCCCCATTGCACACTCTTTTTGCTGCCAGTGGCTGGGTTGAGGCACCCAGTTTTAAGAGCTGAGGTGAGATTGTACATACCCATTATGGTCTCTGGGCAATTGCAATTGGAATGTTAGAGTCTCTAATGGGCATGTGCAATTGGAATGTTCCCTCTTTAGTCCTCAGGGCTCCCTACCCTCCCTAAGGCCTGGAGATAAGAGTAGTAGGGGTTAGAAAATGTTTGAACGAGGAACGGGGAACGGGGCAGAGTAGGAAAAGACCTTTAAAAGACCTTTTTTTTTTTTTAATGGATCATTCCCCCAAACCCAACACCTGTCTGATAGTTAGGGCTCCCAGGGCTAGTAAGGCACTTGCATCTAAGATGGTGTGCCCTGGCCCTCTGGGGTCCCTTGTTTGCTCTGTATACGCTGATCACATGCATGATATATTATGCTGGTGGGGGCTCTCTTCCAAAGAGGAGGAATTGTGGTCAGATAATAGGAAATGCCATTTCTGAAAGTACTTCCAGATTGGGAGTCAGTGGCCACGTTGGCCCCTCCTCACCCATTGTCTTGCTCCTGACTTCTATTTCCTCTAATTCTTCCGGGGCAGGCCTCTCTGGTGTGTTTGCCTCTCCTCCTGATCCTTTTAGATCTGAGGAAATATCCCCCCTTCCCTGGCCCTAGAGCAGGACAGTTTTTTATCTGCTCATCTGGTTTCCAGGTCCTTCCAGTTAATGGGGAGGGAACTTGACTAACAGAAGCTTTGGCAGGGAAAAGGAAGAGATCTGATCCCCTCTGAGTTTTAGGGAACTCCAGTCTTCTCCTTCCCTCAAGTGTTCATCACATTGTGAGGCCAGAGAAAGGAGTCAGAGTTGGTTGGAATTAGTACTTAACAGTGGTGTGATCTGGGCAAGTAATAAACCCCATTCCCCAGCCTCTTAGGTGTCTTAAGGCACATCCTCCAAGCCTAGACTGAGCCCTTCCACAAGGAATCCCTGGTCCCCCACCAAGTGGCTTTCTTCCCTGGTTTGCTTTTAAATTCTGGCTTTGCCACTGTCTAATTCCGTGACATCAGACAAAACTGGTAACTTTTTGAAGCCTCACCTGTAAAATGGAATTAATAATAGGCCCTACTTCTTGGGGTTATGAGGATTAAATGAAATAATAGAGAAAGCACGTTGCACAGTTCCTGGCACATAGTAAATGTTAGCTGGATGGTTCGGATTCTGAGGGATAATCATCATTAAGGGAGAGAGGTCGGAGTCGGGATAGGAGAACTAGGCTTTGGTTCTGATCTTCCTTTGGCCGACCACATTAGGCACTCTCTCCTATCTGCCAGGCACAGTGTGAAGCACAGGGGATGGAGGGGCAAATAAGATGTTTTCCCAGGGGAGACATGTGAAAACATGTTGATTCACTGCAGCCCAGTGAGTGCTGTGTGGAGGTGTGTTCAGGAGGCCACTGGAGCATAGAGGAAGAGTGCTTGGCCCTGGGGTGAGGTGCCAGGGAAGGTTCCTGCAGGAGATGCCCTGTTAGCTGGATTTTAAAAAAATTAAGGTGAAATTCACATAATAGGAAATAAACCATTTTAAAGTGAACAGTGGCATTTAGTACATTCACAGTGCTGTGCAACAACCACCTCTGTCTAGTCCCCAAACATTTGCACCATCCCGAAACAAAACCCATACCCATTACACAATTGTCGCCATTTCCCCTTACCCCAGCCCCTGGCAACCACCAATTTGCATCCTGTCTCTATGGATGTACCTATTCTGGATATTTCATACAAATGGAATGATAGAATGCATGACCTTTTGAATCTGGCTTCCTTCGCTTAACATAATGTTTTCCAGGTTAATCCACACGGTAGCATGTAGCATGTATTAGTACTTCATTCCCTTTTATAGCTGAATATTATTCCCTTGTGTGGACAGACTTTACCTGGTTAAAGGATGAGTTAGGCCAACAGGAAGGGTCTTAGGATGGCACTCCTGGTGGAGGCTGAGCGTGAGCAAGAAGGCACACAGGGTATTTGGTAGTCCTGTACCTTGCAGTATGAAGTGGGGATTTGGCCTCAGTTTCTCTGTCTATAAAACAAAGTTAATCATCCCTTTCCTGCTTGTGCTATGGGCTTGGTAGAGTTGGAGGTATTAGGGGAGAAGAGAGGCTAGGGTATTATTGCCTCTTCTCAGGGTCTGGGCTGGGGATGGGACTTTTAAAACTTGCTCTTTCCTCCTCTTTCCTGGGCAGCTCACTCCTGTATGCATCAACCCTCATCCTTGTGGGGAGCCATCTCCCTGTTCACTTGACATCAGCTTCCCCTCTCTCTGAATTGACCTGAAATTTTCCCTTTTACCTTCCACAGGTGGGTAACCCTGTGCATGATGAGATTTTGGCAGCAGAGGTGAAGGAAAGGCCTGGGACTAAGTCCTACTCACATTCTACCCTACGGCGGCCCTCCCCTTCTTTATCCTGTCTCTTGGTGATGTGGCTTGGGCAGCCCTCTCTCACCTTCTCTGTTGTAGTCTGGATAGAACTGTGGTGGGCCAGGGAGAATGTTTGCATTCCTTGTCTCTACCCTGCTTGGTACAGAGTAGGAGGCAGAGGCCCTTTATGGTGGGGCCCTTTGGAAATGAGGTTTTGCTGTGCTTTGTCGGATGCCCCTGGCAAGATTGGTAATTATAGACATAACAGCTGGGAACTGGTTTGAGAGAAGCAGGCTTGGAATCAGCAGACCTGAGGATATCCTGGTAATCAGGGTGGGGCAGGGAGAGGGGAGAGTGGGATGAAGCTGGGGGCTGGGTAGGGTGGGAGGCTTGGGGCCTCCTTCCCCTGCCGCTCCACACACAGCTGGGCTTAGAGCCTAGAGGAGAGTGGGAGGTGATTGGAACCCAGGTCTGCTTTACTGTAAGTGAGGAAGGAGGAAGGAGAGGAGGAAAGGTGGGGGATCCAAGGGCCTCTGAAGAAAGAAGCAGAGAGGAGGAAGAGGCATGTTGGTTGCTCTCTCAGGCAGTACCTGGATGTGGTCTAATTTAGAACAGGGACAACCCTGCACCTAGAGGTGGTTCCATCTTATTTTGGGGTGTTTCTCCTTACAGTGAGGTTATGGGAGCAGGAAGTGGAGGGGATTCGCTGTGGACCCACTAAAGGAGAAAAGGTGGGAACTAACATTTTTTTAAGCATCTATTGTGTGCCAGAATCTGTAATATTCTGCATACATTATTTTGCTGAAAACTCTTAACCTTCTGAAGTAGGCACTATTATTGCCATTTTATAGATAAGGAAACTGAAGTTTGGAAAAGGGGAGCGACTCACCTGAGATTACATAGCTCGTAAAAGGCTGTGCCAGGTCTGACTTCAGTGCTCTTCCTTTTCCCAAAGTCTCTTCACCTTCCCCTACTGTCATTCCAGTTCGGTCTGATTGCTCATTATTGCCTTTAATCTTGCACTTGAGTAATTCCCCTGTTTTCTGAAAAGCAAACATGAGTCCAGTGTCAGCCTGAGGAGTAGAGAAGCCTACCCTTGAGGGTGGGAGTCAGAGAACGATCTCATCTCCAGGAGGAGCACCTTGGTGTCATAAGCCTGGGGCGGGGCCAGCATCTGGGCAGAAACCTCTCCTGGGGTGGGTCTCTTTCTCCTTGCTGGGCCATGATTTTGGATGGGGGTTGGGGTAAAGGAGTGACTGTAGGCTCCGGCCACCATGGCCCGTGGGGTCTTGTTTGTGAATGGGAGGAGCCTGGTCCTTATTGTCTGTAGGGTTTTCTCACAGCCCCTAACAATGTCCTTCAGACTCCTGTTTTCACCAGAGTGTTCTTGGCTCCCTCAGCCTGGTCAGAGAGAGAGGGTGTGTTTGTTTGTGGGTCTAGGGAGGGGGTTCTGGTTTTTTTTTTTTTGAAACCGTTTCGCTCGTTGACTAGGCTGGAGTGCAATGGCGCGATCTTGGCTCACTACAACCTCTGCCTCCCTGGTTCGAGTGATTCTCCTGCCTCAGCCTCCCGAATAGCTGGGATTACAGGCATGCACCACCATGCCTGGCTAATTTTGCATTTTTTGGAGAGGCGGGGTTTCACCATGTTGGTCAGGCTGGTCTGGAACTCCTGACCTCAGGTGATCTACCTGCCTCGGCCTCCCTAAGTGCTGGGATCACAGGCGTGAGCCACCACGCCCGGCCCAGGGGGTCTGGTTTTTTAGGGTAAGTAGGGTTTAGATAGGAACAGGTGCTGAGCCCGAAGTGTGAATGCAGTCACTTAAAAAACAACAGACTGTGAACAAAAACATGCATTTTGACACCTGCTTTACTTCAGGAATGGAGGTGGCAGATATAAGGGATGGGAGAGTTGAGAATTTTCAGCAAAGAGTGAGAATCTCAGGTAGGGGGGTGGTCGCGATGGTGGAGGCCGGCTGGTACTTGGGCCTTTCAGCTGGATCTGGTTTTCTAGATAAGAACTGGCCAAGTTGCCAGATCCAAGGCATTGGGCTGAGGCAACAGGAGGTTCTCAGGATGGGGATACCCAGCCCTGCCACCCTCATCCCCAGTCACACTGCATCTCACACCCTGAGGCCCACTCTACCACTTTCCTACAATCCAGCCTTTGCTGACAGTGCCCCCATATGTTCTTCCCTCACACTCCATCCTCACAGCTCAACTCTCCCCATCCACAGCAAGCCCGAGGTTGGCTAACTTCCCCTTCCCAACTAGCTGCTTTTCACATCTTTGCACCCCAGGGCAGGGGCTGGGTGAGCAGGCTTTGAAGGTCTTTTGGGGCCAGGGACAGTTGGGGCCTACCTCGAGCAGCAGGCTAGGAAGAGGGGGGCATTTGTTTTTGGAGTGTACAGGACACTCACTGACTTACGGGTCAGCACAACTCACCCACCTCCCATTGTCCACCCTCTCCCTGAAGACACCTCAAGCTGCCTGCTTTCCTTCTTGGTTCTTCCACAGCTCACCTGGTGGGCAGGTACGGGCCAGTTCTCTGCCTAGGCCAAGGGAGGAAGCAGCTCAAAGCCTGGTGGTGGAAATTGTGGGGCCTGCCTGTTGGTAAAAATTAAATGGAGAATCCAGAAGCCCTGGTTGCCTTCCCACCAGCTTAGTGTCCCGTCTTCCCGCCGGCCCCCACCTGGGACAGATGCCAGGGGCATTACTCACCTTTTCTCCTGCAGCCTTTCCACCCCCAGTGTTCTCTTCAAGACGGACTAGGAATGGGTCTGGGGAAGGCTAGGGAATGGGGTGCTATGGGACATGAATGTGCACACGTGTCTGCTTTTGTGTGCTGTGTTGGGGGGCAGGTACCTTCTGGGAGCTGGGATGGGGGTGGGGGTGCCAGAGAGACAGCGGAGCAGGTCTCTACAGAACCTGCCTAGCCAGGGTGGGTGGAGCTGGGTGGGGCAGGCAGGAGTGATTCCAGGTTTCAGAGGGGGAACAGAGTGTGGGTGTGTATGCGTATGGGTGGGTATTTTGGTGTGTTTGCGGATTTAGAGGTCCTCGGCCTCACCCCCAGCCTTAGACTGAGGGAAATTCAGGACGTAGGTGGAGAGGGGCTTGGCTCTGGCTTCCCCAACTGCTTTTGAGGTAGAATGCAAGCTCAGGTATCCTGGCCAGGAGCCCAGTCTGTGGGCCCTTCCCCTGCGGTGCACCCTGCACTGGGGTCTGCTGGTGAGAAGCTGCTCTGGAAGCCTAGATGCCTGGATGACACAAGCATGGCCAGGATCCCACCCCTCCTCTGCCACTCAGCCCAGTGAGGAGAAGGATCCTGCCCCCACCCTGGGGCTATGAGGATGGTGAGCTCATCTCTGGGGCTGTCCTGGGAGAATGCCTGGTTAACAGGGCGGGGGTGGGGCACCTGGTGCCAGCTCCTGGGCTCCCTGCTCTGCCCTTCCCACCCCTCAGCCCACCAAGATACAGCTGTTCTCTCTGGCCTCCTGGGCAGCACTGTCACCCAAGGACAGCCTTTTTCAGGGTTTAGGAATGAGGGTCAGGGCAAAATCTTCATCCTATTTTTGGTCCAGGGCTGGAGCTGGTCCTTGCCCACTCTGTACCTTAGTCTTTTCGGTGATAGCAAAAGCCCAGCCTCTCTGGATGGGTGGCTTGCCCATAGCCCAAGGCTGGATGGGGATGAAGGAACATCAAGGTTCTTAGTTGTGGTAGATGGATGGGTGCAGGAACCACCCCTTTTGGGGATAGAGGCTCTTTGGTTCTGGCTGTCTTAGCTGAGGCCTGTCTAGTCTCTGTCTCTTTGTCCCTGGTGAGAAGAGGGGGCAGGACGGAGTCAGCAAATCCTCTCCTGTCGTGGCCCTCTTGCAGTTGTGGCTACTCAAGGAACCAGTGTCCAGAGCAGTCTCATGGAGAAACCTGGTCTCACTCCAAGAGGAGCACTCCTCAAAGTCAGTGTTACTACGATTTTCCAACAATTAGAGGAGGCCAGAAATGGGCTGCCGTAGAAGTAGTGGCCATGGGCTAGTCACCTTCTCTCTCTGGGTCCCACTTTTTTATTTGTAAAATTTGAGGTTGTCCCTCTAAGGCCCCTTTCAGCTTGGTGCTGGGAACTGCTGAGAAGAGGGTGGTTCAGCCAGCTGTGTCCTCCTGAAGGGAAAAGGGAAAGGGAAAGGGAAAGGGGAAGGGGTGTCAGGGGAATGATATGGGCATAGTCAGAGGTTCAGGTACCTTCCTTCCGTCTGTGGAAGCTGTGTTGGATGTCTGCATTTTCAACCCACACCCATCAACTTCAGCCCCCCACCAGGGCCTGACAGCGCTGCCTGGGTTGAGCACATCTGTGAAACTCAGGGGAGGTGTGTGACAAGGAGGAAAACCAAGCAAGGCTCTGAAGTGCGACAGCTGTGTCTCGAGTCTCTGCTCTGCCTTGCACTGGCCTTAGGCCTTGGTGAGGTACTCTGACTGTACTCTGAGCTAGCACGGAGAGCTAGCTCCTGGGATCCTGGGCTGGGAGGTTGGACCCTGGGCTTAGTTCTTGCCACCTCCATGGCTGAAGGTGGGCTTCCAGCACTTTGAGTGGAACTTATATTGATATCCTTGGACCTTGGCACTATGGATGGTGATGATTAGGGAGCCAGGCAGCTAGGGGGTGCCCACATGCATACCCCTGCCCACGGGCTGCAGTGGGAAAGGGGTGCAAGGCATATGCAGGAAGACCCAGGCTCCTGAGTAGGAATCGGAGACCTTTAGTGGGCAGGGGCCCACAGACGACTCTTCAGGCAGGTTCTGAAGCAGTAATCACACCCATTTCCCTGTGTTCAGGCAGAACCACCCTTCCCTAGTCCCTGACTACGGAGAGAAAAATGGTCCTATCAGAGATCTCTGCCCCTGTCTGAGGAGAACTTGAGGCTTCTTGTCCTCTTTCCCATCGTCTTCCCGTCTGGCTGGAAGTCTTTTAAAAATCAAACCCAAGCACCCTTCTCAGCTGCTTCCAGCCCTGTCCTCGGTGGAGATGAGGAACACTAGGTGCCCTTTTTAGGTACATGTTTTGCTCTGTCCCTGCCCCCCTTTTCTTCCGTGGCCTACTCACCCTGGTTTCCACAGCTCTTTCTCCCAGCCCCGTCTGCATCTATGCTCTGTCTCATTACCTCACCCCAGGCCTAAAGTAGCCGGGACTGGGCTGCGGGGTGGGCCCGGGCTAGAGCAGTGGCAGGAGGTGGCGTCTGGAGCTGCCTGCGTCTGGTCATCGGCCCCCAGCACGCGCCACACATGGGGGTGCTGGCGTTTGTGTTCAACGCCTTGCCCACTTGAGCCGCCTCCTTTGAGTGGGAAATGGGAAAGGGTTGGTCCGCCCTGGTCTGTGTTTTGGCCAACACCCACCCCCCTTATACACACACACACACACACACACACGCACGCACGCACGCACTACTCTAGGGCCCTGCTCCCTCTGCCTGTTGCCAGGTTCTGAGTGTATTTTTTCCAGAGGCCTCCAATTGTTTCCTGAAGAAACCTGATCCCAGAGCTCAGACAAAAGCTGGGGCCGCCAGAGGAGAAACCCCATTCTCTCCTCCTCTGTCCCTATTGCCCCCACCTCCATAACCTCCCTCCCTTTGGATGCTGGGTATGGGTTCCAGGACCCGGCTGCCATCACCTAGGCAACAGGGGGCTTTTGTTGCCATGGTGATCAATGTGGGAGAAGCTGGGCAGCAGGGACAAAAGCCCCCACATTCCCCCCTGCCAAGCTCCCCCCCAATCCCCTTGGGATGATACTGAGACACATTCCATTAATTTTATTTCTGAAAGGCCTTTGGAGGGGAGAAGGGTCTCCTTTTTGTAACAGGCTCTCTCTTCTCTCCCTCTCTCCTCCCTGGCCTCATTTTAACCCCAGATAATCCATGGTTGGTTTGAGCAGGGGACTGAGTGTGTGTGTTTGTGTCTTGGGAAGTGGGGGGCAAGGTGAAAGGCAGTGGGGCACATTCCTTTTCTATAGCCTCCCCCTTCCCCAGACTAGGGCAGCTCCCTGTCCTGCACCAAGTCCGGACTTCCCTCCCTGTCTCGTCATCCCTCTTGACGTTTCCACTTGTTGATCTCATCCAGCCATCCCCTCCCCCCATCTCTTCCCTGGGAACGCTGCCCACCCAGGGGACCCTCCAAACCCCTGATCCCTGAGACTGATTAAATAAGGGGAACTTCTGCCCTTCTCTTTACTCCCCTCTCCTCCCTCCTCCCAGGCCCCCCAGCAGCAGTGCTTGGATTAGTTCCCTGGTGTACTTGAAGACACAGCAGGCAAGGGTCTCAGAAGTCGGGTTCATTTTTGGCACCTGTGTTTGGTAGGGAGGAGACAAGCGTGTTTTGGTGCTTTTTGGGCACTCTGACTTGGGTTGGCAGGCCAGGGGAGCAGGATTCATGTTGAGTCTTTAGTAAGTAGCAGGGGAGGAAGATAGGGGGCACTAGGCTGGGCAGCTCAGAACAAAAGGGGACTGGTACCCTTGTCTGGTTTGAAATTTATCTGTAGGGGAAATGAAATGGCATCAGTTTACCTTCTGGGTGTGTTTGAAGTGGTGGTTCTGGTTGGTGTGTGTGTGTGTGTGTATGTGTGAGACTTCTTTATTTAGTTGTACTAACAGCAGGGTTTATTTATACCACCTCTTTCCCTAGTCTCAGAGGAAGTGTCTGAGGATTGGAGTATGAGTGATCCTGGAGCTAAAACTTGTTAATTGCTTAACTAATTACTAGCTGAACCATTTATAAAAGCACTTCTTTCACCCTCGTGATCCTTACGGCTACCCCATGAAAAGGCATCATTGTCTTCACTATTTTACTAATGAGCTTACCAGGCTACAAGCACAGAGGTGTTAAGTAACTTGCACATAGTCACACAGCTAGTCAGTGGAAGAGTTAGGTTTTGAACTCAGATCTTTGAGTGCACATCTCTGGCTCTTCTGGCTGTTGGCTTTGGCAGATGATGGGTATACAGGAGGATGAGGAGATGGACAGCCTGGGATCTAGTGTGTGTGTCTAGACTCTAGTCCGTGGCAGTTGTTTACTTCTCCACCCCCTTCTCTACCCCCATGTCACTCTGTGACCCACTCGTTGCCTTTGAGCCTCCTAGCAAAATTCAGTTTTTATGAAGAAGACTAGAAAGAATAGGCTGGAACCACAAGAGAAATGCAGGTCAGATGTCTAAACTATAAGGAGGAGTAGGCCAGTAGAATGGGTCCTCAGGAGAGTGGGTAGATGAGCCCAACATATATTTTTCAGGTAGGGGGATAAATAAGGGTCATTTTTGCTGCAAAGTTTTTTGGAAAGGCTTATGGTTGGGTTAAGGTATTATGTCCCTGTCCTCTAAGTGTGTCCTTATCACGCACGTGCTTTGACATGGGGATACTGACAAATATAACTAATCCTATGGAGGATTGCCTCCATTGAACTCTGTTAAGAAGATGAATGAATAGATTTCACATGCTTTCATCTCCCTACAGTCATTATAGTTTCCCTGAGAGCCAGAGAGGCATACAGTCATGGATGTTTTGGTCAACGATGGACCACATATATGATGGTGGTCCCATAAAATTATACTATTGTATTTTTACTGTACTTTTTCTATGTTTAGGTACACAAGTACTTACCATTGTGTTACAGTTGGCTACAGTGTTCAGTACAGTAACATGCTGTACAGGTTTGTAGCCTGGGAGCAATAGGCTATACCATAAGGCCTATGTGTGTAGTAGGCTATACCGTCAAGGTTTGTGTAGGTACATTCTATGATGTTCCCAGGATGCAGCTGCCTAATGACACATTTCTCAGAAAGTATCCCTGTGGTTAAGCGAGGCATGACTATGTTCATTTACTAGGTTGGTATCAGTTCCTTGCTCTGTGCCCATGGGAGGCGAGATGGATATAAATATGTATCAATCATATTGCTTATTCTCAAATTACTGATGGTTTAGAGTAGTTGGAGTAAAGGTAATGATACAAAGCAAATCCATTTTAGGTTTTTTTTTTTTTTGAGACGGAGTCTCGTTCTGTCGCCCAGGCTGGAGTGTAGTGGCATGATCTCGGCTCACTGCAACCTCCACCTCCCAGGTTCAAGCAGTTCTCTGCCTCAGCCTCCTAAGTAGCTGGGATTACAGGCACCTGCCACCATGCTTTTTAGTAGAGACGGGGTTTCATCATCTTGGCCAGGCTGGTCTTGAACTCCTGACCTCGTGATCCACCCGCCTTGGCCTCCTAAAGTGCTGGGATTACAGGCTGGGATTACCCGGCCCCATTTTAGTTTTTAACATAATCAGCCTCTCAGCAGCATTTGACCTGGTTGACTTAATTCCCACCTCAAAACACTGTTAAATTTCTGGCTGCCTTGAGACCCCACTCTTCTGGCTCCCCTCCTCCTCTGGCCTTCTCATCCCCTTTGCCTGCTCCTTTTCCTCTGGACATGTCTACCTATTGGGGTCCTTTATGTCCATGGAAGAGTTAGGTTTTGAACTCAGCTGGATCTGAGTTCTATCTATCCCCATAGCTTTTCACACACTCAGTACCTCCAGCTCAGACTGTCCTCCAAGTCTGGCTCGTCTGACACCTGGCTGCCTACTGTCTCATGGCCACTAACTTAGCAGGCTAGAAGCTGAACTAATTATCTTCCCTCACAAGGCTGCTTCCTCCCCAGTCTTCCCTACCCTACTGATGGTGCTACCATCTGCTCCCTTGCTCAGGCCGGGGATTCTTAACTCTCCCTTCCCGCTCATTAGGTCCTGTTGATTTGACCACCAACATTAAGTCTCAAACATGACTGTTACTCACTCTTCTGTGGCTCTACCCTTAGCAAGCCTGTACTACTGCAGTCGCCTCCTTATTGATCTCCCTGTTTCTATTTTTCCCTCTTTTCAATCCATATCTGCATAGCTAAAATCCTTCAAAGTTTTCCTGTGGCCTTAGAATAAAATAAAGCTCAAGCTCTTCACCTGGTGCCTGGCTGTCTCTGCAGTGCCACCTTCTACCACCCACTCTCTTCCTCAACTCTAGCTCCACTGGCCTTTGTTGGTTCTTTAAATACAACAAGCTCTTTCCTGCCTTTGGCCTTCACACATGTGATTCCTCTGCTCCATGGGCATTTTCCTGCACTCTTTGCTTGGTTAATTCCTATTTCTTCTTCAGGCCTCTGCTGAGGTGTCCTTTTCTCAGACTTTCTAGAACCGCTAAGTTTAAAGTGGTAGCCCTTACTCCATGGGTGTCTCTCATAGTTTGCTGTTCTGCCCTTCCATCATGCCTGCAATCGGTCGTTTATACTTATCTGCTTACTTGTTTGGTGTGCCCCTTCCCTGCTAGACTGTAAACTCAGGGTCTGTTATACCACTTTATACCTAGCAGAATACATGGTTCATAGAAGGTGCTCAAACAAGATTTGATGCGTCAATGACTGAAGATAGGAAGTAAGCGCTCGGTGGATGGTGATGGCTGTTAGGGGAGTCAGGGTCAGCAGGGAAGATAACATTGGGTCTAGAGTAGGTGGGGGCTCCTATGAGGGGGTGGGGCCGGGCTCTGAAGAATGAGCAGGATTTGGGTGGGGGTTAGAGAGAGGAGAGGTCATTCTCCTCTGCAGAATCAGAAGGTGAAGTATGGTTGAAGATAAGCCTATAAATAGGCAGATAAACTTGTGCCTTGCCTGTTTCAGAACTTCAGGCAAGTAGAAACTTGTCTTCTCCTCCCATCCCCTACCATATTATCCATAGTTTCCACCCCTCACCCTCACCTGGGGCTGTGCATATGTGTGGCAACCTCAAGGAAGCTGCCAGCCTGATCTTACCGGTAACACTGGGTGTGTTTGAAGTAAATGCTGGGGAGATGGTATCAAGGGAAGCAGCCCACTGTGGGCACACTCAGAAAGTATGAGTGAGGGGAGGAGGTGTAGCATGGGGAGAAGAGGCCTGGGGTAGCCCCTGGACAGAAGCCCGCTCCTTTCTGCTCTCTGAGGTGTCCACTGATTCAGCCTGTTGGCCTGGCCAGAACCTGCCCTCTTCATGCCTCGGTTTCCCTGGCTGAGAATAGGGAAGCAATGCCCTGCTCCTCCCTTCCAGAGGGCTTGGGGTTGGGTCATTCTGGGTGAGCCTTCCTGCCCTGGGAGCCTTTGCTGGCCATCTTCCCCCATGCCTGAGTCCTTGGCACAGCCTGGCAGGGCTCTTTCTAGAGAAGGGTAGGAGGAACTGGGCCCAGTGGACAGCAGGAACCTGGGTGGAGATATTCTCAGGCTATGGCTGGGCTCATTTGAGCCTCCTGTGGCTGTTGTGTGCAGATGGTCTTCCTCTGCCCTGACCCCACAGGGAGCTCGAGCCGCCTCTAACTAGCTTCTTCCTCTCACCAGGAGCGTCGCTGGATTTTCTCTGAGACAAGCCCACCCGTCCAGCAAAATAGAGTCCCTCAGGGTGACAGTTGACTTCCTGAAGGTGCCTCTTGGCCTAAAGAAGCCGGTGCTGAAGGAGGTGGCTGTGGGGCCCCCCAAGAGGCCCCAGCCTGCGGCCCTGGAGCGCTACAAGGCGCGGCGTTCAGACGCCATGGACACCGAGTCCCAGTACTCGGGCTATTCCTACAAGTCGGGCCACTCCCGCAGCTCCCGCAAGCACAGGTGGGCAGGCATGCAGGGTGACATGCGTGGCGGAGGGAGGGTTGGGGGCTGTTAAGAGGTGGGCACGTGCAGGGGTGGTAGGGTAGAGTGGCTGCTGAGAAGACCCTGGTCCACCACTGGACTTTCTGTGCCTTTTCTGGCTTCCTGCCGCAGGGACCGCCGGGACCGACACCGCTCTAAGAGTCGAGATGGGGGCCGAGGGGACAAGTCGGTGACAATCCAGGCTCCCGGGGAGCCCCTGCTGGACAATGAGTCCACACGAGGGGATGAGCGGGTGAGCACTGGGGATGCGGTGGTCCAGACCGGGCATTTTCAGACTGCTCCTGAGGGGCTGGAGGCTCCACGGAGTGGGGGAGGGCTTGGAAACCTGGTCTCAGACAGCCATCAGATCGGGGAGTGTGTTTTGTGTTACACTTAGCTTGGCTTAGTGTCTTAAGGTAGGACCTTCAGGAATTTCAGTATAGAGATCCCTCTGGAAGCAGCAGCCTCTCCTTCCTTATCTCCAGAGGAGTGGGGGGTGACCTGGGCTGTATGATGGGAATTGGCCAGCTCCTCTGGAGCTGCCGCCAGCCAGTCAGGCCCGCTGGGAGTCTGGAGCAGGAGGGTGGTGGTGGTGGCTGGGCCTGGGGTATGTGTGAGCAAAGCTGAGTATTCCTGGAGCCTCGAGATGTGGGCACTCTGTGCCCTCTGGTGTCAGCCTGTAGAATGGCGTCACCTAGATCTTGGGAAAGGAGTATGGGAAGAGTAGATGGAGAAAGCCCAAGGGACAAGAAGTAAGGCTGAGGGATGGAGCAGGGACCCCAGGAGAGAGTTCTCCAGGACAGGGGTGAGCAGGTTTTCTATTCTAACCTCTGCTGCCCACTGTGCTCACCTGGTAGGGAGGACAGTGGGCAGAACACAGTCCTGGAATAGGGCAGAGGCAGGATTTTAGGTGACACTGAGGTTGCCCAAGTCTCATTCCCCTTGGGATCATCTTTGGGGGCTGGAGATTCCCAGCTCCTTTTTCCTCAGAAGAAATCTCTGTGGCTGACATTGGGAATTCCTGGGCCTTGGGAGCAGGTCAATACCTGAAGGAAATGTTCTTTTTCCCTCTCTCCCAATCCCTTCTTCCTGGGGCCTGGCCTCCTGAGTTCTTGAAGTGACCCTGAGACATGACCAGCTCACCTGCTACTGGGGAGGAGATCCCAAGCCCTTGGTCCTTGGAGGGGGTGGGCAGTATGTCTAGGGGTCAGAGGGCGGGGAGCAGACCCAGGGCTTTGAGCTGAAGGCAGTCAGTGCATCTGCTTTCTATCTTCACATCAGACTCGTTCCCCATCCTGTAGAGAGGAGGTTCCTCAACCTCCCTAATCACTGGTGCTGTCGGGCTGCCTTCATCCTGTAACCTCAACCTCCTGGGTGTCAGGTTGTGATTCCATATCCCCAGGCTGTCCCAGGAGCGAAGGGTGGGTGCTGAAGGCAGCTGGTGGTCTTGGGACTCCTCCGTGGGATGGCCTCCAGCCACTGCAGAGAAACAGCTTGAGCAGACCACACTTAGAGGGACACCTGGGGACCTCAGCCTGGCCACCTTCTTGCCTCCAGAGACAGGTAGCCTCTGCACTGTAGACATTTAGATGGCCCAGCAGAGGTGGCCTTGCAGACCAGAGACCCAGAGTGGCCTTGAGTCTGCACAGTGTCCTTCACGCCTTCACCCCTTTACCCCTGGGGTCTTCTGTTCTTCTCTGTGCTGCTTTGATCAGGTTTACTCCTTCAGTGGCTCTCCATGCCTGGAGAACAGGTGCTTATTGCCCAGCCCAGCACTGCAGCGTGGCCTGCACAAGCCCTGCCTGGCTGCTGTCTGCCTTACCTTCCTGGTTGCACCTTGCTGTGCTTCTGCACAGGGATCCTCTGCTCTCATAGCCCTTGGGTGCCTCAGTTCATGCCATTCCTGCCCTGGAGGCTCCTCCTCTAGCTTCTGCCAAAATCATGGCATGCTGGAAGGAACTTAGATAGGACTTCCATAATTTTTTTTTTTTTTTTTTTTGAGATGGAGTTTCGCTCTTGTTGCCCAGGCTGGAGTGCAATGGCACGATCTCTGCTCACCACAACCTCCTCCTCCTGGGTTCAAGCGATTCTCCTGCATCAGCCTCCCGAGTAGCTGGGATTACAGGCATGTGCCACCACACCCAGCTAATTTTTTGTGTGTGTGTGTTTTTAGTAGAGATGGGATTTCTCCATGTTGGTCAGGCTGGTCTCGAACTCCCGACCTCAGGCGATCTGCCCACCTCGGCCTCCCAAAGTGCTGGGATTACAGGCGTGAGCCACCGTGCCCAGCAGGACTTCCAGAATTAATGTTAATGTTTGAGTGATTCATGTGGATCTTGTTAAAATGCAGATTTGGTTCAGTAAACATGCGGTGGGCCTGAGGTTCCGCCTTTCTAACAAGCTCCCAGGTGATGTCCACACCGCTGGTCCACAGATCACATTTTAAGTAGCCAGCCAGCCCTTAGAAATCATTTAGTTCAGTGATTCTCAATCTTGGATGACCATTACAATCATCTGGGGAGTTTTTTGTTTTTTTTTTTTAAAGGTTCACAAGCAGATTGCACTCTCCAATAATTAGCATTATTTTCCAACTTCCCTAAGTGTTCTAATGTGTGCATCTGGGATTGAGAACATCTTCCTTGGAGCCCCCTTCCCCCAAGGATCAGCTCAGGTCCCACGGTTTCTGGAAGCCTGCCTGCTTTGCTTGGCGAGTTTGCCCTTGGATCCCAGTCACTGCCTGAGCAGCATCTTCAGCATTTGTCCTGTGCTGTCTGCTCTGAGGGTCATTGCCGCATGTGTGGTTTTTTCCTCTCTCACTGACCAGTGTCCAGCTCCCCGAGGGCTCGGGTCTTGGATTTGGCCATCTGCAGAGGCCAGACTTTGACACACATTGGAGCTCAGTAAATACTTTGATGGTTGCGTATTTGTTGATTACCCTCTCTTCTTTCTGCCTTCTCCTTTCCCATGTGTTCTTCTCTGTCTCCTGTCCCCTCACCCTTTCTCCTGTTTCCCTCCTCTTCCTCTTCTTATCCTTTCCTCCTTATTGTGTGGCTGGCCCCCTTCTGCCTGTAGGATGACAACTGGGGGGAAACGACGACAGTAGTAACGGGCACCTCAGAGCACAGCATCTCCCATGATGACCTCACACGCATCGCCAAGGACATGGAGGACAGTGTCCCTCTGGACTGCTCCCGTCACCTGGGTGTGGCAGCGGGGGCCACCCTGGCACTGCTGTCTTTCCTCACGCCTCTGGCCTTCCTGCTGCTGCCCCCACTGCTGTGGCGGGAGGAGCTGGAGCCTTGCGGGACGGCCTGCGAGGGCCTCTTCATCTCTGTCGCCTTCAAGCTGCTCATCCTGCTACTGGGCAGCTGGGCTCTGTTCTTCCGCCGGCCCAAGGCCTCGCTGCCCCGCGTCTTTGTGCTGCGTGCCCTGCTTATGGTGCTGGTTTTCCTGCTCGTGGTCTCCTACTGGCTCTTCTATGGTGTGCGCATCCTGGATGCTCGGGAGCGCAGCTACCAGGGCGTGGTGCAGTTCGCCGTGTCGCTGGTGGACGCCCTTCTTTTCGTGCACTACCTGGCCGTGGTCCTGCTGGAGCTGCGCCAGCTCCAGCCTCAGTTCACGCTCAAGGTCGTGCGCTCCACCGACGGCGCCAGCCGCTTCTACAACGTTGGCCATCTCAGGTACTAGCCCACGGCTGGAGAAGGGTTGGGAGGGAAAGGGCATGGGAGGATGTGGAGTGACTGCTAGGGTGGGAGGGTATGATGGTGGGCTGGAGGTGATGGGCTTGGAGGGTTGTGTGGGAGGGAGTTGAGTACTTTGCACCAAGTAGGTTTTCACCAATGTTTGCTGCTTGATAGGCAGGTTCATGTACACGGTCTTGGGGCAAGATCAGTTGGGAGTTATGAGATGGGAATGAATAGGCATTTAGAGGTAGGGAATATTAGAGGGGGATGGACCAAAGGGAAGAAATATGGGGGGGTGCACAAACAGGGGCTTTTTGGAATCCCTTTTCTAGTCCTTTCTGGGAGGCGCAGCTTCTTGTGAGCACTCAGAGTGGCCTGTGAAGTGACCTGGCCAGAGGAGGGATCCCCAGAGAAAGAGATAAGGAGGAGAGTTCTTCAGCTCCCAGTAAACAAGCTACCCCTCGAGGCCACACAGAATATCAGTGGCACGTCCTGGGTCCTGTAGAGGATCTTGGGGGAACGCTGAATGGGGATGAGGTGATCTTTGGCTGGGGACCCAGGCCCAATGCCCTTTCTCTGCTAGGCTTTGGCATGGTGGGGAGGGACTGGCAGGCCCAGCCCTGGGAAAGGCTTGGGAGCCTGGTAAGTAGACCTCAGGCCCGGAGTCAGGCTTCTCGGAAGCAGCTTGTCCCTGTCCTGTGTCCTCTCCTGCCCTGCCAACCTGCCCTAATGTGTCCCTTTCCCCTGTGCCCCTTGGTCTGTCCCTTCTCCCACCCCCTCCTGCCGTCTCCCCCACAGCATCCAGCGCGTGGCAGTGTGGATCCTGGAGAAGTATTACCATGACTTCCCTGTCTACAACCCTGCCCTCCTCAACCTGCCCAAGTCCGTCCTGGCCAAGAAAGTGTCTGGCTTCAAGGTGTATTCCCTCGGAGAGGGTGAGCAGCCCTGCTCCTCTGCCCTTCCCTGTCTCTTCCCAAGCAGGACTCCAAGTTCCCGCCTCTCTTTTACCCTTTGTCCCTTGCTTTTTCCTTTCCTTAGCCCATGTTCTAGCCGCTTCTATTCAGTCATTTCCCTTGACTCCAGGTGGCTGATCTTAGCTGCTCATCCTACTTGCTGTCCCTTTATGCTATGGCATGTCCCCTGATCTGGCTCCTCTGTGTCTCTCATCAGCCCTGGTCTAAGCCCTTTGGCTCTCGGAGCTGCAGAACCCCCTGCACTGGGGAGGAACAACTGCAGGACTCTTGCGCTTCCAGTGCCTTCCTTGTTGCTTTCCTATGGCCTCTCCCAGAGGTGGCCAGGAGGGTTGGGATTAGGAGGTATTGCTGGGTGGTGGGAACAGCTTCTTCTGGACATGTCAGGCTGCTGTCTCCAGAGCTCCTGGAGTGGGAAGAGAGGCCACACTCTGATGTGACCATCTCCTCTATCCTGTTCCTGTGCAGAAAACAGCACCAACAACTCCACTGGCCAGTCTCGGGCTGTGATTGCAGCGGCAGCTCGGAGGCGGGACAACAGTCACAATGAGTACTACTATGAGGAGGCTGAGCATGAGCGAAGGGTGCGCAAGAGGAGGGCCAGGTGGGTCCCTGGGGGAGAAGAGGAGAGGAGGTGCTTGTTGGGTGAATGGGGAGAGGAAGACCAAGGAACTTCTGTAACTGCTGGAAATATAGGGCAATGATGACATGAGTTGGGGGTGTGTGCTTGTTTTCCGTTGCTGCCCTAACAGATTACCATAAACTTAGCAGCTGTGAAACAGCACACATTTATTATCTCCCAGTTCCATGGGTCAGGTGCAGGCTGGCTGGAGGCTGTGCTCAGGCCTCACAGGCTGAAATCAAGAGGACTCTCATCTGAGCCTATGCTTTCTCTTTCAAGCTCATTATTATGGGGAGAATTCAGTGCCTTGTCACATAGCCCCATAGGCAGTTTACATGATGGTAGTGCACTTTTTTTTCCAGCAGAAACAGGTCTCTGACCTCTGCCACCAGCTGGAGATAATGCTGATTTTAAAGAGCTCATGTGATGAGATCAGGCCCTAAAGGACAGTCTTCTTTTAAGGCCACTGACTTGGCACATTAATTACATCTGCAAAATGTACCAAGATTGTTGTCTAATGAGGGGATGGGAGTCTGGTAGAAGTGGAGGGTATCTTTGAATTCTGCCTGCCACAGTGGGGTAGGGACCCAATAAAGGGATGTGAGCTTTACCTGCAACAGCATGGACTCAGGCTAGACTAGCCTGCCTGCCAGTAGATCTTGAGAGGACTCACCAGATGGTGCTTTTGTTGCCTTCAAAAAATGACGTTTTATTGCCTATATTTTGGTAAATTCTTAAATGCCATCCTAGCTTCTCCCTTTCCCTATTCATATTATTAAGTGAATTTAGTCAACCCTGAAGAATCTTACTTGGTGCCTACTCTGCCGGGTTCCATCTTGGTCTGTCGGGAGTTCCCTGAGGGAGGAGCAGAGTGCCTCAGGACTTGACCACGCACCTGGCCTCCGCCCCATCTCCCACATGAACTCCAGGCTTCAAGGGCAAGAGGTAGCCCTTACCTTGTTCCTATTTGAGGCTGGCATCCCCTGTAGTAGAACAAAGATCACCAACTCCATTTCTGTGGCATTCCAACCTGTCTCTAATTGTCTTGGAAATGGCCTGAGACTTGGGAAGGAAACCAGTGATGTCCCTACCCCTTTATCTTCTGCCCTGACCAGGGTCATCCAATCTCCTGTACTGCCACCACCATTTTTGGCACATAGAGGACTCTTTCCTTTCCCCATTACCTTGCTTTTAACCAGGAGCAAACTTTTTCCTTTGTTTACCTGAGATAAAAGGATCTTTTCAAAGGGAATTTACTGAGAAATGTAGGGGAAGCAAGAGAATAAAGGAAGAAATGATAGACATACACAGATCCACACCTATATACCCAGAGTCCCATCTGAAATGACTCAGGTTCCTGGGTTCTGCATAGAAGGCCTCACTTTCTTTCTTTGTCCTGTCACTTCAGGCTGGTCCTGCTCTTAGGCCAGGGGGCTTTTATTTTGGTTTTTGGACTTGAAGTGCAGATAATTGCATTAATTGCTCTTTTCAGCTTCTAACATATTGTCATTATAGAGTTTTTCATGGTTCTTTATTCTGTTTCTTCTTTTCCTCCAGTTCCCACTTTCACTCCAGCGCCACATTTTAGGCATCCTGTTGAGTGTGTTTGACTTCCTTAAAAGCTATATGTATCCTTGTGCAAAGTTAGTGTTAGTGTAGTGATCTTTGTTGGTGTTGGTGTGTGTGTCTGTATGTATGCTTTTTTTTTTTTTTTTATTGAGATGGAGTCTTGCTCTGTCCCCCAGGCTGGAGTGCAGTGGCATGATCTCAGCTCACTGCAACCTCCGCCTCCTGGGTTCAAGTAATTTTCCTGCCTCAGCCTCCCCAGTAGCTGGGATTACAGATGCACACCAGCATGCCCAGCTAATTTTTGTATTTTTAGTAAAGATGGGGTTTTGCCATGTTGGCCAGGCTGGTCTTGAACTCCTGACCTCAGGTGATCCACCTGTCTCACCCTCCCAAAGTGCTGGGATTATAGGCATGAGCCACCACACCCGGCCATCTATATGCTTTTAATGTAAATGGATTTTTTTTTCCTGCTTCCTCCTTAACACTGTGTTTTTGAGATTCATCCAAGTTGTCTGTACATCTAGTTTGTTGCATCTTTTTGCTGCATAGTAGTTCATGGAATACTCCCAACATCCTATCCAATATTTGGTTTATAGTTACCTTCTTTCTTTTTTCCATTTTGATGGAAAAGTAATATTTTACTAACATTTTCATTTGCATCTCTCTAATTGCTAGCCAGTAACTACTTCGTATATCTTTTAGCCTTTCAGTCCTCTTGTGAATTTTCTGTTCACCTCCTTTGCCCTTTTTTCTCTAGGTTTCCTGTCTTTTTCTTCTTGATAGAAATTGTAGCAAATTCTTTGCATGTTCTAGATCTGAATCCCTTGTTGGTTTTAGATGTGTATATTTTCCCCAGCTCCATCAGATGTCAGTTAATGTTGCCCATGCTGTCATGGTTGAACAGAAATCTGTCATTTTGATGTAATCATATCTATTAATTGTTGAGCCAATGAAGTATGATTTGGGGGTCTTATTTAAGAAGGTTTTCCTTAAAGTTTGGTGGAATGCTTTGTCTTTCCTATAGCATAGTTCCTAGTTGTCTCTCTGGGTTTGACACTAGGTTTGCCCTCTGAGTCCCTGGGCTGGGCCCACTGAACTCTGTGGCTGTTTACTGTTCCCAGTGGCAGAAAGGCACTATTGCCTCTGGCTTTGTATTACTTTGGGTGAGCACAAAGGCCTGACCTCATTCAGGCTGCTGGAGTGTTGGAGCTAGGGGAGAGGGGTGGGGTGGGGGAAAGAGAGGTGGGCATCTGGCCCAGTCCCCTCCTGTCCCCTAGGCTTGTAGTGGCGGTGGAGGAGGCCTTCACTCACATTAAGCGGCTGCAGGAAGAGGAGCAGAAAAACCCCAGGGAGGTGATGGACCCCCGGGAGGCAGCCCAAGCCATCTTTGCATCCATGGCCCGTGCCATGCAGAAGTACCTTCGGACCACCAAGCAGCAGCCCTACCACACCATGGAGAGCATCCTGCAGCACCTTGAATTCTGCATCACGCATGACATGACGCCCAAGGTAGGCCTGCCCTGCTGCCAGCATCCTTCCTCCTTCCCCAGCTCCTCTTCTTTCCCACCTTCATTTTCCCTTATTCTCTCACTACTTTCCTCACTGTCCACCTCATTTCTCTCTCCTCACCACCTCCTTTTTATAATCTTCTCTCTCATTCCTATTCCACCTGCCCCATCTGTGTGGGGTGAAGTCTTTAGGTAGATGAGGAGAAGGGAGTCCTCAGGACCATTTTGGGGATGGCTGAGACTTATTTCTCATCTCTATGAGGGCTCCGGAATTACCAGATCCAAAGGCCCACTTTCACCTCCATTACCCTCTTCACCTCCACTAGCTGGTCTTGGCTTTGTGTCATTTTGAGCCATTGCCCACCTTCAACTCTATTGCCAGCTTCCTAGAATTGCTTTCCCTGAGCCACCCTTGGTGAGCAGGTAACTAAAGATGTTGCACTTTAACCTTGACACCTTTGGCTCCCTCCTGGTGCAGACCTGCTTGGCACGAATCATACAAGCTGTGTGGGAAGGAAGGAAGAATGAGGGAGGGCTTGCCCAGGTCACAGCCTGGTGCAGGGAGAAGAGCAGCAGATGGGGGTCAGGGGAGCCGAGTTCAGTCCTACCTGATGAGCCACATCCCCCTGTGCACTCCGGCTTCTTCATTTATAAAATGAGGGTCTGAAGCAGATGATCTCAGGCCCCTTCCTGCTGTAACATTCTGAGGTTCTAGTTCATATGCATAGAGTGAGCTCAGGGACGTCCTTCTTGTCTTTGGAAACTATGACCTAGGGGATGAAGGACCGTGGGTAGATGACAGAGATTCTTATGCAGCCCCTTCTTTCCACTTCAGGCCTTCTTGGAGCGATACTTGGCGGCTGGACCTACCATCCAGTACCACAAGGAACGCTGGCTGGCCAAACAGTGGACATTGGTGAGCGAGGAGCCGGTGACCAACGGCCTCAAGGATGGCATCGTTTTCCTCTTAAAACGCCAGGACTTCAGCCTGGTGGTCAGCACCAAGAAGGTCCCATTCTTCAAACTCTCCGAGGAATTTGTGGATCCCAAGTCACACAAGTTTGTCATGAGGCTGCAGTCTGAGACCTCAGTGTGACTGTGCAACAGCAGGGGGAGTGGGAAACTCTGGGGGGTCCTGAGGGGGTGGGAGGGGGCTTGGTTCTCAGGCCCAGCCACATTCCTGCCACCCTTCTTCTTCTTGCTCTTTTTTTTTTACTTGAATTAACGCACCCCCACCTTCTCTCCTCGCTTCTTCCTTATTTTACCCCATGTGAACCTGGAGAGACCATCCTGCTGTCAACAGTACCTGGGAAGGACTCCCACCTCACCAACAACTTTTGTATTACTCTAGGCCCTGCAGGAATCAGTGCCTCTCTCCCTCTTCTTTCCCTAGTCTTTTCCCAGATTACAGTCTCTCCTGAAAGGGCACAGGGCCCTGCTGATTGTACTTTCCCCTCCTGAGCCCCGACTCACAAATCCAAGTTCTTAAAACATTTCTCTTCAGTGGCCCAACAGGGTTTCTCTGGGGCACATGGACATGACTCCAGAGAGCCACAGTGCCAAACTCCTCCAGGGCAGCAACTGGCCCTCCTGTCCCTCACCCCAGCCACAACAAACCCTGGGTTCTAGGGCAGGGATACTCCTGCCACACAGCCCGAGTTAGAAATCTCCTTGCTAGGAGCATTTGCTTCCACATATATTTAGAGCAAAGAAGGATCCCATCCTTTTCCCAGAAATCTCCACCTAATGTTTTTGGTTTGTATGGTCACGTGACCATAGGCAACCACGTGGAAACCCTCTGTGACCACTTTTCCAGGGACTTAGGGGAAGGTACCTTTCTTCCAATGTGTCTTCCTAGGCAGCCCCTGAGGAGGAGGGCTGAATAGATCCCTGAGGTTTTGGAGAGACCCCCATCACTGACTCCTGCTCCCTAACCCTACCCTCACTTTCGTCCCCGCTCTTCCCAGTGAAGGATGGTATGTAGACTCCTGTACAGACATAGTGGCTTGCAGACCCTGACCCAGCCCCTGTGGTCTTAGACAAATGTTTTTATTTTTGTCACCAGCCACCCCTGTCCTGCCGCCTTCTCTCGACTCCAGAGACCTGTTGCCTCATCTCTTTTGGGGAAGAGCCGGCAGCTCCTCCTCATCCCCTGCCTTAAGTCCAGTTCTTTGCCTCAGGGGTCTCGTTTCCTTGGCCTTCCAGGGTCCCCACCCCTTTTCTCCCTGCCTGATTCTCTGAGCTCTGGGCTCCGTCTGTATTGGGTTGAGGGGCAAGGATTACTGCCTTTTGTAGGTACTTCACCCCTCACCCCATTTTAGCTTCCATAGTCTTTGCACCAAATCCAAATTCTTGATAATTTAGATCTCATTTTGAGCAAAATTTGCTGGCCCTCTAATAAATATTTTCAATATAAATCTGAGCCTTTGACTCAGACATTTTTGCCAAGGAGAGTAGAATTAGGAAGTACCCATATACATCCAGCCAGGATCCACATGGAGGACCTTTCTGATGGCTGCAATGACTAGGCCATTCCTCTGAGTAACTCACAGTGTCCTTTTGTAGGCCCTTCTTTTCCCTGAAAGACTGGTTGGTACTTACCTTGCAGAGCACATCCTGGGATAAGATCCCCAGTGTCTCCCCTGGGAGGCTCCCCCTCTGTGTAGCACCAGCCCTGGGAATGATGGAGCCTAGTGATCGGGGTTTCTCCTGCTGTCCTTTCTGCAAAAGTTCACTTGTTTACCCACCGCATGCTAGAGAGGAGCTCATTGGCCAATGCTTACCTTGTCCCCAAAGGGGTGGGTTGTGGAGCTCACTTAGGCAGGGCCTCTGGCTGGGGCCAGGGTTATGAGATAGGCCTGTATGAAATATGTCCTGTTCTGGGGGTCTGTCTCTTTTCTTCTCTTCAAAAACTTTGTGTCAGAGAGTCCCTTCTGAGTCACATAAATACCTCACTATCCTGGAAAACAGGGCCTGGATGGTGACTGGGGTCATTGCCTTTGTGGACAGGATGGAGTGTGGTGTGGTCTGAGGAGCAGGTTGGGGTGGGGGAGAGGGAAAGGATTTGGGATCTTAGTTGCTGCCCTAGGTTAGGGGCTGGGGAGTGTTTATTTTAAGATCCTGCCATGTTTTTAATCACTGTGATTTTTTTTTCATTCCCCTTTCCTAAAAAAAATTTTTTGCCTCCAACTCTCTAAGCACTAAGGGCTGTGCCTGAGAATGGTAGCATTTTGGTCTTTTGCTTCAGAACTGTGGTATCTTTGTCTTTTTTCATTATTATTATTATTATTATTATTATTATTACTATTGTTTTTTAAAATGTCAGGATGAATTGTCAGACATATGGCCATGTGTTTGTCCTCTGCTTCTCCCCTGTGGGAAGTTGTCTCCATGCTGTGAACTGCTGTGGGGTGTGCAGCTGACTCAGTCCCTCTGAGCAGTTTCCCCACTGTGTCTGTCCCATCATGCGCTGGATCTGCTCATTCTCCTGCTGTGGGGGTATGCCCACCTCTTACCCCCTTGACACCATAGGGCTGCTGTGGCTGGGCCTCACCAGCACTGTCTTTTGTGTGACTCATGGCATCCTCGTTCATCCCCACCGTGCCTAGCAGGCCTTCCTTTTCACCACCTCGGAACGCTTGCCTTTCCTCCCTCCACAACAGGACGCTGTGCCTCAGTCCTTCACCTACCTCGCCACTCTGCCACTGTCCCCATTGGTCCTTTCTCCTAAACTGGTCTTTGTGCTCTCTTTGTTTTTTCTTATTTCCCTCTTGTCTCTCATTTTTTCTTCCCATTCCCCTCCCATTTCAGCCCTTAACTTTTCTCTTTCCCATCTCCACTCAGTATTCCAATGGCAAACCCTGATGATGTAACACCTGCGATGAGACATCGGACTCTCCGGAACTTTCTCATCTGACACGTCTTTTTCCCAGGGTTCGTACTTCTCCTCCATTGGTCCCAGGCTAACTCCCCTGTTCCTCTGTGGTGTCTGTCAGTCCGTCTGTCTTCTCTTTCCTCTGCCCTTCCCACAGGGCAGTATCTGCTGATGGATTCAGTCCTGGTGTGTGATTGTTGTGATTTGTTCTTCCGTGCGCAAAAGGAAGAGGGCTTTTTGAGTCCCTTCCAAGTGAGATTGTAAATGTAGAATTTTCCACTGTTGGATCTAGATTTTTTTTCCTTTTTTTTGGGGGGGTGGGGTTACAGAGCTGAGACCTTGTGCATGCATGTAGAAAATTGTAAAATGTAAATTTTTTTTAATATATAAAAAGCTTGTTTCTACAGTTTGCAGTGGATCTAAACATTACGGCAATTTTAGGATTTTTTTCTTAAACATAGGAACTAAAACTGTACAAATTTTTTTTATATAAAATAAAGACATTTGACTTTTGTGGGGGCATTCTGTTGCTTTTCTTTCTTTACAGGAATGGGAGCAAATGAGGGCCAGGGAATAATGAATATATTCCTTGTTAGGGAGGGAATGGGCAGGAGGGGGCAGTGTGAGCTCATCATTGCTCTGCAGGCCTTCAGGGTGTGTTGGAGAGAAATGGGAAAATGAAAAAGGAAATTGCTTATTCTGAATCCTGATTCTAAAGAGAGAGAAACAACAATGTGAGGGCTTAACCACTTCCTGGTGTAGTTGTCAGGATAGAGAAAGAAAGATTACTTCCTGGGTCCACCCTCCTGAGCAAGCTTGTGTCTGTATGGCCTCTAGGGCAGGAGTGGGTTTCTAAAACGTATTTCTAAAACATAAAGTGCCATAGGAATTTCAGGGGATAGTTGAGATTTCAGTCAGTGGTGACAGCCCATCACAATTCATTGAGACAAGTTTCTGTAGTATATATATTAGTTCTAAATATGTAGAGAGTTCAGTGCTCTGTTGTCACTGTAATGCATGTAATCAGGTACTAAAATCACCCTCAAGAGATTGGGTCCCTTCTCCCAGTCTTACCTGGGCCTGACCTCTGTGACTTTGGGCAAGATGCTTAGCATGTAAACAGCCTGCTAAGGTTAAAAACAAGCATTTCTGTATGGAGGTGGCCTATTCACTAGATTTCCTCCTCCTCTCCCCTGCCTCATACTCTGCCAGGCTCTGGGGATGCAAAGGCAAGAGAGGCTCCATCCTGGAGGATGACCCAGTTTACAGGGGTGACAGGCTGGGTGACCCTAGTGCAAGGCTTCATGGCGTGTTCTCAGGCAGAGTGTAGACAAACCCTGGCTGGATTCCAAGGAGCTCGGGGAGTTTCCTTCAAGAAATCTAGGAAGTTTGTTTAAGACTCAAGATGGGGGAACACACTCACCTTGAGATTACATTTTGTTCATCTAAGTATTCCTAGAATTGAAACCAGTTCCTCGCATATAGTTGGTCCTCAATAAAAAATTGTTGCATGAATAATGAACTGAACAACTAACAATACAATAGGGGCTCATGAAAGGGATCATATACTTGCTTCTCCCTTTAAAATTGCACTCCAGTCTTTCTCATGTGAAAACAAACAAAAATACTTCCCTTGAAATTGCATCCCCATTCTCACGGCTCTGTTCTTTCTGTAACTAGGTTTGTAGAATAGTTTCACTTGCTGTTTCCAGTTCATTTCAGAGTCAACTTGTGACTTACATTGTGACCAAATTTCTACCTTAGCATGCCTCTGAAATTATTCTTGTTCTCAACAGCCAAGTATAGTAAACACCTTTTAAGTTTATTCTTTATTTAGTGCCTATGATGTTCCCAGCCTGATACTAAAGTACTTTCTCTGGTAAAGATACTGGATATGGTCCTGCCCTCACTGAGCTAACCTTGGTGGACCCTTGAGAAGGCTAGTTAACCTCAGGGACCTCCTCTTGTAATGCTGGCCCCAGGAATTCATAGATTTAAAGCCAGACCTCAATATTTGATTGATAAGATCATATTTTCTCTAGAGGTTTGCTGCAAGCAAAAGTGATAATCCTGACCATTTGTCAGGCAGCAAAGGGTATTTGTAACTTTTGTTTGAAAGGATGTGTTTTCCACAGAAGTTCTTCACATAGCACTGAAGTTAGGGACCCAGCTTGGTGGATTGTCAGGGTCATGCCTGGGACTTCATGACATTATATGTGATTATATGTGATTACATATGCTGCCCATGTGTGATTTTTGTTTTTTAGCCTTTGCCTTTGAAATACAGCCGAGAGGGGGAACTGGGGGCTGGGGCTCTGGCTGAGGAGACATAAAGATCTTTAGACCAAGGTCTCAGTGATTTGTTATTAGTTTTTTATTTTTTAATTTTAATTTTTTTGTTACTATTTTTTTTTGTTTGTTTGGGATAGTTTAATGGCTTCTACAGACTGAAAGTCAGCTTGCTTAAGGTAACCCTTGGCTTTTTTGTTACTTTAAGCATATGATAGTAATGCTCTTCCAATTGCCAGGAAGGCTGGGGTAGGGGAAAGTCAGCCTTTGGAAAAGCACTGCAGCATTAGTGTACACATGGTCATGGAAGATGCTAGAGAGATAATAAAGGACCACCTACATAGTAAATCTTGGAGAATAGTCATCCCTGTCTAGCTCCCCAGTTTCTTTTCAGGCTGAGAATGGGGTCCATTTCTCTTGGTACAAACGGCAGGGCAGACATGACATCCTACCTGCTCATAACAGTGAATGCCACATTTGAGTATGTAGAATAGTGGGAGAAGGTACTGGTTTAGAGTTGGGAAACCTGGCCAAGGCATTGGCTTCTCTCATTTCATCTCAGCAAGTTTTGGGGGCACACTTACTGTGTGGTAGGCATTGTGATACAAAGATAAATAAAACATTGGCCCCCTCCCCTTGGAGCTCATGGGACTTTTGCTAGATAAGTTGGGAAATTTTATTTTGTCATATGTTGTAGGCAACCCGAGGAAGCACACTATTTTCCTGGAGGTGGTAAATACCATCTGTAAAAGGCAGACTGAAGCCAACAGTGTGTGAGGGTATTGAGCCTGATATGTAAACTATTTTGATGTCACTTGTCAAAAATAGCCATCTGTACTCTGATATCCTGTAAGGGGAATGACTTTGGTTATAAGGTTATAAAAATTAGGAGTATGGCTGGGCGCAGTGGCTCACGCTTATAATCTCAGCACTTTGGGAGGCCGAGGCGGGTGGATCACCTGAGGTCAGGAGTTCGCGACTAGCCTGGCCAAGATGGTAAAACCACGTCTCTACTAATAATACAAAAATTAGCTGGGCGTGGTGGCACATGCCTGTAATCTCAGCTACTTGGGAGGCTGAGGCAGGAGAATCACTTGAACCCGGGAGGCAGAGGTTGTGGTGAGCCGAGATTGGGCCACTGCACTCCAGCCTGGGTGATAAGAGTGAAACTCTGTCTCAAAAAAAAAGAAAAGAAAGAAAAGAAAAAAGAAAAAAAAAATTAGGAGTATGAGATCTTCGGTTGTGTATTGTCCCTTCTTGCTTTTGGGCACAATTAGGTCATGCTGCTGCTTCACTTAGGGTAAGTATGTGGTTAAAAGTATGTGGTTTTAGGATTTTTTAGGGCAGTGGAACTACTGTGTATGTGCTATAAATGTGGATACTTGGCATTATACATTTTTCCAAACCCATAGGATATACAGTACCAGTAGTGAAGCCTAATGTAAATTATAAGCTTTGAGTGATTAATTGGAACAAATGTACCACTCTGGTGGGGGATGTAGATAATGGGAGAGTCCATGCAAGTGTGGGGGCAGGGCATGTATAAAAAATCCCTGTACCTTCCACTCAATTTTCACATGAAACTAAAACTACTCTAAAAAGGCTATTTACATTTGAGATCAGGAGTTCGAGACCAGCCTGGCCCACATGGTGAAACCCTCCCCCGCTGTCTCTACTATAAATACAAAAATTATTTTGGTGGAATGCGCCTGTAATTCCAGCAACTCGGGAGGTCAAGGCATGAGAATCGTTTGAACCCGGGAGGTGGAGGCTGCAGTGAGCTGAGATTGTGCCACTGCACTCCAGCCCGGGCAACAGAGCAAGACTCCATCTCAAAAATAAATAAATAAATTACAAACAAACTCTATTTAAAAAAACCTGACTAAGAAGACATCAAGCACAACTTTACCTAATTCTAGACACCGCTCTAGTAATAAAAGTGATAGTATTATAGGTACTTGTGATTCAGGGGAAAAAAATGCAGGTGTGTGCTGTTTCCCCTGAATCCCTTAACAGTGTCACTATGGAGCTTGGAAATCTGTTAAAGACCACTGAAGAGGAAGCTGAAGCTCTGTTGGTCCATCAATAATACTGTGACAACCAAAAATTTGCATGAGGGGACTTAAATGAGTCAGGAAACATGTGATTTAACTTAGTGAAGATTTTCACTCCTTTCAAGTTCCTGTTAATGTTAGTTCTCTTTGACATAAGAATGTGTGATTTTAGGGTGGGGTTGGCTGGGATGGTTTTTACTGTAATAAAGAACACTTGTTGAAGGACTTCTTGTCTTCTGTCAGTTTACTTATATCTTAACACAGTACCTCTGGCCTCAAAGATGGAATCCAGTTGAAGTGAAAGCAGATCCAAACTGTATCATCAGGGAAAGCTGAGCTTGTAGAATTCATTTTCAGTGACTGGTACGAGATTGTGTACTTCTGGTTTGGAGCATATTGAAGAATTCGACCCTGGGCAACCTTTTTCCTGGAATTGAAATGTTCATCGGGTTTTTACTCTGTCTTGAAATAGGTCCCCAAAATAGAGTTTTTCAAACTTTAATGGTGCGTATAGCAAGTGTACAAATCACTTGGGGATTATGTGAAATACAGACCCTGATTCAACAGGTCTGGGTAGGGTCTGAGTTTCTTCATTTCAAACAGGTGCCCAGGTGTCTTAGTCAGCTCAGGCTGCTGTAACAAAATACCATAGACTGACTGGGGGTCTTAAAATCCAGAAATTTATTCCTCATAGTTCTTGAGGCTGGAAGTCCGAGATTGGGCTGGCAAGCATGGTTAGGATCTGATGAGGGATCTCTTCTTGGCTTATAGGATGCTGCTTTCTTGCTGTGCCCTCACATGGCAGAGAGAGAGAGAGAGAGAGAGAGAGAGAGAGAGAGTGAGAGAGCGAGGTTTCTTATGTCTCTTCTTATAAGGGCACTAATTCCATCACGAGGGCCCTAGTCTCATAACCTCATCTAAATCTAATTACCTCCCAAAGGCCGCATTTCCAAATAACATCAAATTGGGGGTTAGGCTTCAACATATGCATTCTGGGGCAACACAGTATAAAGCACCAGGTGCTGCTGCTGATGTTCTACAGACCTTATTTTGAGCAGCAAGGCCCTAAAAGAAGCTTAATATACCCCTGAAAATTTGAGGGTCCTAAACACGCCTTACTTAACTCTAAGATAATTGATGCAAGAGATCAAAATTGTTAAGAGGTCTAAATTTTATGAATGTAATAAATAGTTTGGTAAGGTCATTGTTGCTCATGCTATAAAATTGTGCCACCTGTATCAAATTGTGATTTTATGAGAATCTTAAATGATATGTTGTGAGATAGGCCTTACGTGTGGAGTTTATACAAAAGCAGTTCAGTATGCAACTTAACTGATCCATGAGACGTTAATAATGACACAAAAAAAGGGCCAAAATGAGATCTTATCACTAAAGGCCATAGAAATTGAAGGAGCAGTTTCCAATATAAATTATCTTTGGCTAGAAATTTTTTTGCCAACATGACTGTATTAGTCTATTCTCATGCTGCTATGAAGAAATACCCGAAACTGGTTTAATTGACTCAGTTTCTCATGGCTGGGGAGGCCTCAGGAAACTTGCAATTCTGGTGGAAGGGGAAGCAAACACATCCTTCTTCACTTTGTGGCAGGAGAGGGAATGAGAGCCAAAATGCTGCCAGTCTCTTTGCGTTGCAAGAGTGACATTTACTTCAGTTCTTAACAAGTTCCTCATCTCCATTTGAGACCACCTCAGCCTGGACTTCATTGTCCATATCACTATCAGCATTTTGGTCAAAGCCATTCAAAAAGTCTCTAGGAACTTCCAACCTTTCCCACATTTTCCTGTCTTCTGAGCCCTCCAAGTCTCTAGGAAGTTCCAAAGTTTCCTGTCTTCTTCTGAGCCCTCCAAACTGTTTTAACGTGTGCCTGTTACCCAGTTCCAAAGTCACTTCCACATAATTGGATATCCTTATAGCAGTACCCCACTCTCTGTTGTACCAATTTACTGTATTAGTCTGTTTTCATGCTGCTATGAAGATATACTCAAGACTGGATAATTTATAAAGAAAAGAGGTTTAATTGACTCACAGTTCCTCATGACTAGGGAAACCTCAGGAAACTTACAATCATGACAGAAGGCAAAACAGGCATGTCTTACATGGCGGCAGGTGAGAGAAGTGAGTGCCAACTGAAGGGGGCAGCCCCTTATCAAACCATCAGATCTTGTGAGAACTCACTATCATGAGAACAGCATGAGGGTAACCACCCCCACGATTCAATTATCTCCGTCTGGTCTCTCCCATGACACATGAGGATTACGGGAACAAAAATTTAAGATGAGATTTGGGTGGGGACTCAGCCAAACCATATCAATGACCAATAGAACAGAGGAAATTCATGAGTTTTACCATATTTAGATAGTTTCAGATAAGGTGACTTAATGTACTTCAATATTTGCATTAATTGCTATGGGTATAGAATGAAAGTGTGATCCTTGAATATCTGAGACATGTCTCAGTTAATTTAGAAACTTTATTTTTCCAAGGTTGAGGACACATGCCCATGACACAGCCTCAGGTCATGATGACCTGTGCCCAAGGTGGTCAGAATACAGTTTGATTTTATACATTTTAGGGAGAGATGAGACATTAGTCAATGTATGTAAGATGAACATTGGTTTGGTCTGGAAAAGGCAGGACAACTTGAAGCAACGGTGGGGCAACTCGAAGTGAGGAGGGGGGCTTCCAGGTCATAGGTAGATAAGAGACAAATGGTTGCATTCTGTTGAATTTTTGATTAGCCTCTCCGAAGGAGGCACTCAGATATGCATTTATCTCAGTGAGAAGAGGGGTGACTTTGAATAGAATGGGAGGCAGGTTTGCCTTAAGCAGTTCCTCGCTTGACTTTTCCATTTAGGTTAGTGATTTTGGGGCCCCAAGATTTATTTTCCTTTCACAAAAGTAACACCATATTTCAATAATTGTAGGTAGCATCATATATCAATAATTTAGAAATATGTTCTCAAGTTTCTTTGCCCAAGTGGTGGTCACTGTACAAACTTCAAGATCTTAACGACCTTGTAGTTAAATGTTGCTGGAAACTGTCTTATCTGTGTTTACTGTTTTTCACTCATTCTGTCATTTAACCAATATTTGTTGAGCACCTTCTATGTGCCAGGAGCTATGCTAGGTATTGGTGGCATGGCACTGAATAACATGGACATAGTCTTTGTTCTCAGATAGTAATCACTTAATTTCAAAGGTGATGAATGTAGTGATGAAGTATAGGGGACTATGGGATCTTACAGTAGGAAACTGACCAAGGTTGTCAGGAAAGGTTTCCTTGAAATAAAGGATGGGGCACAACATCTTTTTGACTGGGAAGAGCTTCCTCATTCTCTTCAATAACCAAACTCTATCCAAGAAATTGCTGTCTAAAAATTGAGTGTCAAAGTAATTGGACCTTGGAAGTTGTCAAAAGATTTCTTGAGAAGGCTAGCAAGGATGTATAGCAAGGGGAATGCTTGTACACTGTTGGTGGGAATGTCAATTAGTACAGCCACTATGGAGAACAGTATGGAGGTTCCTCAAATAACTAAAAACAGAACTACTATATGATCCAACAATCCCACTGCTGGGTGTACGCCCAAAGAAAGGAAATCAGTATTTCGAAGAGATGTCTGCACTCCCATGTTTATGGCAGTACTATTTACCATAACCAAGATATGGAAGCAACCTAAATGTCCATCAATGGAGGAATGCATAAAGGAAATGTGGTACATATATACAATGGAATTCTGTTATTTGCAACGATATGGATGGAACTGGAGGACATTATATTAAGTAAAATAAGCCAGGCACAAAAAGACAAACATCACATGTACTCATTCACATATGGGAGCTAAAAAAAATTGAAGTTATGGAGAGAGAGACTAGAATGATGTTTACCAGAAGCTGGGGAGAATAGTAGGTACAGGGGGATAAACAGGGAGTGGTTAATGGATATAACAGTACAGTTAAATAGAATGAATAAGTTGTAGTATTTGGTAGCACAATAAGGTGACTGTAGTTAACAACAATTTATTGTATATTTAAAAATAACTAAAATAGGGGAATTGGAATGTTCTTAACACAAATAAATGATAAATAAATGCTTGAGATGATGGATACCCCAATTACCCTGATTTGATCATTACATACTATATGTCTGTATCAAAACATCATATGTGCTCTGTAAATATATACAACTATTACGTAGCCATATAATTAAAAATAAAAATGAATTTCTGAACAACTAAGGGACTGCTATTTTACTAAGACTCTGATGGCAACTGAAATAAAAGTTACAAATGAATCTTTTGTTTTAAGAATAAAATCAAAGACAGGGAGAAGAATTGGAACATCTAATGTACGCTGTGTATATGTACACATAATTGCTCGACACTAAAGAGAAGAGGACCTTTGTGGAGCCCCTCATGTTTATACCACAGAACCCATACCTGGTACTTGCTATTTCTCAGCTGCCATGGTTCTTTCTGAGGGCAGCGTCTTGCCAAAGCTTACCAACCGTTTCTGAAATAGTATTTACTATTTGAGGAGAGCTCTGAGTTAAGCATTTTCAGTTCAGATGTTGTTTTCCCCTTGAATTTTCAGCAAACCATGTGGAACCTCTGCTTCCTCAGATTCCTGGTATGGTGCCATATTGTGGTCAAAGAGATGTCCAAGAAGTCCTGTTTGCCTCAGATAGTACCTCACAGAGTGTCAGTATCTTAGGAGGTCATTACTGGTCCAGACATTCTGTCTTCATTAAGTAATCAAAGGGAAATAACATTCTGGAAATGGAATAAAACCAGCCATACATATAAAAGAGCAATTATAAATAAGAATGTTAATTTATCAATTTATAACAACTGATAGATCTAGTTTGGGAACTGGAGTTGGTCATTTGTACAGGTATATTCCTGATGGGACAGTTCAAATTGATAAATTAGCATTTGTCTATTAAATACAGAACCAGACAGGAGGAATTGGAAATTCTGAAGGACATCATTAAATGTTGCAGTACTTCAGTCCCCTTTTCTCTTTTCTACATACTACCCATGGGTATCCTCATCTCATCCCAAGGCTTTAAATACCGTCTGTGTACCAGATAGCACAGCATAGTAGTAATGAACATGGGCTCTGGGGTCAACCTGCCTGGGTTTTTCTTCTGGTTTTGCTCCCAGTAGCTATGTGGCCTTGAGGAAATTTTCTGTTTCTTTATCTTTAAAATGAAGACAATAACACAGTGCCAACCTCACAGGGATGTTGGGAGTGTAACTCAGAAAATATTCATAAACTACTTAGATATGCCTGGCATGTAGTAAGTACCCAATAAATGTTAGTTATATACCAAGTACTCCCAAATCTCTATTTCTTGCCCTGACTTCTCCCCAGAATTCTAGACTTATAAATCTAAGTGCTTATTTGACATCTTCACAAAGACATCTAAGAGATATTTCACACTTACTATAGAAATTAGTAGCCTAGGGAGATAAAGATAATGTTTGTCTGTGGGGCAGAGAGCAATGATTTTACCAGGCTCTTGAGTACGGATCTGTGTCAGTAAGCAATCTGCGCTTACTTTCAGTTTCAAGTGACTGGTGGTGATCCAGGTTCACGTAAACAAATTCTGTTTGTGGTCTACCCAAACATCTATATCCTCACTACCAACACCATTTATTTTAGCTGTGGGGACCCCTTAACTAGTGGCCACTGCCTTATTGCTTGTTGGCTTGTGCCATGGGGCTTACTGTTTCATCATAATAATAGCCCTCCCTCCTTCTGCCCAGAGGAGAAAGAACAAATACCATTTGGACAGCTTGCTTCAATCCAAACTAATACCCCTCAGCCCCATTAACAGGTAGAACAGTGGGTATCCTCATTCTCCACCTCTCACTCACTACTTGGATGAGAACAGTCACTACTGGATCCCCAGGAGTCTCTCAGATCTTCCAAACAGGCCTGCAAAAGGGCCATTGTACTTTCCTCTTCCCGAAAGCCCTATCTCTGTCAGCATCTCGTCCTCATTGCCAGAACTTCCAACAACTATGAAAAGCCTGAGATTTTATGCCACTTCTAAACTAATAAGTTTGTCTGTTAGTTTCATGGGTACTGACAAAAAACATGAGACTCCTGGGTCAGAGACAAAGGACTTTATTACACTTGGCCCAGCAGGTAGCATGAACTTCATATTTGCATTAGTTCTCCTTGCCTCTAAGTTCCACTGGGTGATACGGAGCAGCCAATCTGGATGCTCTGCATACAGTAAGTTTATGTCATGGTTGAGGAACCCTGGGATTAGGAAACCCTAGTATTTTAAAGAGCGTTTACTTGAGACACAAATATCTTAATACTGTGACCACTTTATGTAGTTCTTTCCCAGACTTCCTTTTTACTGCTTTTCCAATATTGTTTTTCATTTAAGTGACTGACAAGGTGGTCAACCTGTTAACATGCTGCCCATGATTCAATGTAGATATGTACCTCAGGCAATCTCTCCTTCCAAACAAAGTGTACAACTAGATATGCTGCTTCAAGTTCTGCCTGCTGGAGAGATTTTCTTTCATTACTGACTTTGAAGCCTCTACTGAGTGAGGTTCACTGTAGTGGAGAGGCCATTCTCATTCATCTGGGGCTGACATAGCATGCAAATCCAGGCCCATGCTCTTTCTTCCTCCATTAACTGTTCATAGGGAATTCCTCATGAGGCCGTCGGTGTAGAGCAAGGGAGAGGTGGAAGAGTAGCTGGAATTACAAAGTCCCCTGCTTATGCAGCATACTTGTGTATTCTGGACCTGTTCAGACCCATTTTTGTATATTCCACTTCTGTTTTATAATGAATTCCTGTTAGGTAATTCAGTTTTATATTTGGTGGTTCAGAAAACACCCAGTTCATGATGGACAGTTTGCGTTGCATGATAATTTGGTGTCCCGAGGCAGACATTCAATTTCTACCAGCTCTCAGAAGCAAGCTAGGAATTGCTTTTCAAATGGCGAAAGGTTGTCAGCACAAGTGGACATCAGCTTACTGCAAATCTCCTGGGGGGATATCAAAGACTTCCAAGGAGGAAAAAAATCAATCTAAATTCGATTACAAAGAAATGCAAGAGACTCCAGGCCTCAATTTCTTTGCTTTGTATAAAGGTAAAAATGATAGATTTATTACAATTTGAGTTATAAATTTAAATTTACAATTTAGTTACAATTTTAAAAGGCTAAAAGAAGCTTTTTTGTACCAAGCTGTAGAAAGTTTTAGTATAATTTGGTAAAACGATAAGAGAACTTAATTTTAATTAAGTTTTACTTACACTCCTAATAAAAAGAAACCATGTAATAAATTAAATTATTTTGTGAATTTGGGGTTAAATTATGTCTACCTTTTTTTGCTGTTTTTTCCACAGCATGAAATAAAAATGCAAGCATGGCATATTAATTAATTCAATAATTTGTATTTCTGTTTTAACAAAAAACTAAATTAAATGGAACTATCTAAATTTCAGTTGAATTAAGATAGTTAATTAAGATAGTTCTAAGATAGTTAATTAGAACTAATTAACAATTGTCCTATAAGTGAAATAAGTAATTATCGCCTATCCATTATTTAAAAATATGTAAATCTAAACATAGATATATGCAACTACATTGAGTTATAATTTAAATAAGTGGTATATCTGTATAACCGGTTCTTTTATAGAAATCTTAGGCAATATTGCAGATTATATAGACCTACAGAGCTAATCCATTTATACTGTACGTGTACAGTTTTAAGGTGTTATTGGTTTTCTGACCTTTTCTTTCCTTCCTTTGTTCCTTCCTTCCTTCTCTTGCTTTTTCTTTTTCTTTTTTTTTTTTTTTTTTTTTTTTGACAAGCTCTCACTGTGTTGCCCAGACTGGAGTGCAGTGGCAGGATCATGATTCGCTGCAGCCTCAACTCCTGGGCTCAAGCAGGAGTCCAGCTAATTTTCTATTTTTCTTTTCTTGCAGAGACAAGGTCTTGCTATATTGCCCAGGCTGGTCTTGAAGACCCAGTCTCAAGCGATCCTCCTGTCTCAGCTTCCCAAAGTACTGGGATTACAGGCCTGAGCCACTGTGCCCAACCCCATTTCTTAATAGTGTATTGCACCTGAATATTGATTTAAATATACTTTTGAAGTTTCTTAATGGACTTTGAATGCAATAGAATATTAAATTAATACTCAATAAATGTATAGTATAATATTGAATTAATAAATCTGGCAATTTTTAAAAACTTTAAAATCAAGACATAAGACATATAGTACATAGCCACTGTATAGTGCTCATGTGTTTTTAATCTCTATTTTTTAATATTTCTTCTGTAATCAATCACATTAAGATAATAAAATCAATACATTATAAACATTTAAAATAAAATACTTGATAATATGCTTTATAAATGAGAATTTTAAAGATTTAGATAAATACCATCATTTAAAATATTGTTTTGGCTATCAAACAATGTGAATGTCATACTAGGACTAGTAGCTGAAAAGAAGTGAAGATTTGCCTTTGATTATGAGTCTGTGCCTCTTGTGAGGTGCTAAAGAGTCTGTTTTTTGTTTGTTTCCATGTATTTTGTTCAGTTAGCAGAACATTGCTCTGCCAGAGTGGGCCCTCTTCTCAAAATTAACATTTAAGGCCGGGCATGGTGGCTTATGCCTGTAATCCCACCAATTTGGGAGGCTGAGGCAGGTGGATTGCTTGAGCCCAGAAGTTTGAGACCATCCTGGGCAACATGGCAAAACCCCGTCTCTACAAAAAATACAAAAATTAGCCATGCCTGTAGCCCCAGCTACTTGGGAGGCTGAGTTGGGAGGATCACCTGAGCCTGGGGTGTCGAGGCTGCAGTGAGCTGAGATCACATACTGCACTCCAGCCTGGGTGACAGAGGGAGACCCTGTCTCAAAAAAAAAAAAAATTAACATTTAAGTTGACTCTGGTTTTATGCTTTCGGATATTTCATTGATTGTGAAAACAAGGGTTTCTTACTCCTGGAAGAACAAGCATTTCTCAAGGTTCTTTTCTTACCCTCTTGTTGTGGTTGTAATAAAATCGTTGTTTTGGTTAATAACTCTGGACTTTTTTACTCACCAGTATCTTTGTTATGACCATTATCAATTGACTATATTCCCCTGGTAATTCTATCAAATGTTTCTCTTCTCCAAAATCAGATCTCATATTCAGAATTTTTGGAGACCATTAGAATGACTTTGTTTTTGCTTTTTTTTTTCACCCATAGTCTTTGGGGCTCCTTAGGTAGATGCTTGGTAGCACCAAGCTTGTGTGGTCTATCATATGGCAATTGTGAACAAAGAAAGGGCAAAAGGAATTATTAGGCATGGCTGGTTTGCTTCATGAGCCCAGAGTTATTCAATGGTATTGTACAGGTTATCCTCTATCAGGCCTTAGGGGAAAGGGGGCAGCTCAGCTCCCCTTGTGGGGGGCATTAGTAAATAGTTGGATTGATTTATATAAGCAAAGTGTTGTTCACCTACATATGCTTTAGTGACTATGTGTATCTTTATAGGATGTTCATCTAGTATGTTCATAAGTAAGGGCTTATTTGATGCTCTGCAAGCGATCTCTAAAAGACACTATTTCTCAGTTTGCAATATCCTTGTCTATTAATAGTAATCTGGGCACACATTTTATGGAACAGATTATAAAATCTGAAAACCTCAAGATTTATCAATGTTTTCACTGCCTTTAATTTCTTACAAAATTAAATGAAGGCAATAAAACACTAATGGAACTTAAAACTGGCCAACAGGTATAGCAGTTTATTCATTCAAAGTACAGTGACCAGATGTTCTGTCCATAAATATAATGAACATGACTGTTATAACAAATATAAGGCTAGCACTATTCTCAAATGAAATATGAACAAGTAGGTTCATGAGATGTCTGGTTACTAATGGCCATGCACTGGTGAGACATCCATGTGATGGATAATGTCGTCTTAAATTATTATAAAGCATTAAGGGCAATTCATTCAGAGTTCAAGAAGCCCTGACTCAATGGATGAGAATCAAGTTTCATTCCAAAAAGACATTGTTTGGACTTTACTGAGAGGGGTCTAATCCCGTTAAGCTATTAGTAAGGCCTCTGTTTAAGATATATGTCTCTTACAATAAGGAAATATTGCCCTCACCCATTTAAACATCTGCTTGCTATTAATCTCTGTTTTTCCTTAGACATTGGGACTAACAACAAATTCACCTTTTCTTTGTTTCTTTCTTTTTAAATTAATATCTATTTTTTAATTTCAATAGCTTTTGGGGTACCAGTGGTTTTTAGTTACACGGAAGAATTGTACAGTGCTGAAGTCTGAGAATTTAGTGCACCTGTCACGTGAGTAGTGTACATTATACCTAATATGTAGCTTTTTATTCCTCACCCCCTTCCACCCTTCCTGCTTCTGAGTCTCCAATGCCCATTAGACTTACTTTGTATGCCTTTGCATACCCATAGCTTAGCTCTCACCTGTAAGTGAGGACATGTGATATTTGGTTTTCCATTCCTAAGTTACTTCACTTAGAATAATGGCCTCTGGCTCCAAGCTGCTGCAAAAGGTGTTATTTCATTCTTTTTTATGGCTGAGTAGTATTCCATGGTATACATATATATCACATTTAAAAAATCCTCTCATTGCTTGATGGGCAACTGGGTTGGTTCCCTATCTTTGTAGTTGTGAATTGTGCTGCAATAAACATACATGTCCAAGTGTCTTTTTGATATATTGACTACTTTTCCTTTGGGGAGATAACCGGTAGTGTGATTGCCAAAGTGAATGGCAGATCTACTTTCAGTTCTTTGATAAATCTCCATAGTTTTCCGTAGTGGTTGTACTCATTTACATTCCCACCAGGAGTGAATAGGCATTCCCTTTTCACCACATCCATGTCAACATCTATTGTTTTCTGACTTTTTAATAATGGCTATTCTTGGCTGGGCTCAGTGGCTCACGCCTGTAATCCCAGCACTTTGGGAGGTCGAGGTGGGTAAATCACTTGAGGTCAGGAGTTCAAGACCAGCCTGGCCAGCATGGTGAAACCCCGTCTCTACTAGAAATACAGAAATTAGCCAAGCGTGGTGGTGGGCACCTGTAATCCCAGCTACTCGGGAGGCTGAGGCAGGAGAATCACTTGAACCCGGGAGGCAGAGGTTGCAGTGAGCCGAGATTATGCCACTGCATTCCAGCCTGGGCAACAGAACAAGAATCTGCCTCAGAAAAAAAAAAAAAAAAAAAAAAAAAAAGGCTACTCTTGCAGGAGTAAGGTGGTGTCTCATTGTGGTTTTAATTTGCATTTCCCTGATGATTAACAGCATTGAGCTTTTTTTTTTTCATGTTTGTTAGCCATTTGTATGCCTTCTTTTGATAAATGTCTATTCGTGTCATTTGCCCACTTTTTATGGGATTATTTGTTTTTTTCTTGCTGATTTGTTTAAGTTCTTGTAGATTCCTTGTAGATATTAGGCCTTTGTTGGATGCATAGTTTGCAAATGTTTTCTCCCATTATGTAGGTTTACTCTGATGATTATTTCTTTTGCTAAGCAGAAGCTTTTTAGTTTAATTAGACGTCATTTATTTATTTTTGTTGCATTTGCTTTTGGGGTCTTTGTCATAAATTCTTTACCTAGGTCAATGTTGAGAAAAGTTTTTCCTAGGTTATCATCTAGATTTAGTCTTTGATCCATCTTGAGATAACTTTTGTATATGGTGAGAGATAGCGATGCAGTTTCATTCTTCTACATGTGGCAATCCAATTTTCCCAGCACCATTTATTGAATAGGGTGACCTTTCCCTAATTTATGTTTTTGTCTGCTTTGTCAAAGGTTAGTTGGTTGTAAGCATTTGGCTTTATTTCTGGGGTCTCTATTCTTTTCCACTGGTCTATGTATCTAATTTTATACTGTATGGTAATTTTTATTTATTAAAGTAGGTGCTGACTACACAGGTGTTTATTATTATCCTTTTCTTAACTGATTTGAAATTTTAAAAAACGTGATTCTGTGTAGTGCTGCTAACTTTGCTAGGAGATTTGAAAGTTATACTATTCAAATGTTCAAGCTAATTGAATATTTGAATAGCACTTAAATTTCCAAAGCATTTTTTGTTATTTAATTTAATCAACAATGCACATAATTTTTGATTATTGGTTGTAAAGAAATCTGCTGACTTGCTTGATAAAATAACAAGTTTGCCAATACAGATATTCCTCAACTTATAATGGGATTATGTCCCAATAAATCCATCATAAATTGAAAATATCTCAAGTCAAAAATGCACTGAACATTATAGTTTAGCCTAGCTAAAAGTGCTGAGAACACTTACATTAGCCTACAAATGGGCAAACTCATCTAACACAAAGCCTATTTTATAAAAAAGTGTTGATATCTCATGTAATTTGTTGACTACTGTACTGAAAGTGAAAACCAGAATGGTTATATGGATATTTAAAGTGCAGTTTCTACTGAATGTGTATTGCCTTTGCACCCTCAAAAAGTTAAAAAATATTAAGTTGTTAAGTCTGGCACTGTCTGTATAGTGAGACTTCACATGACCTATGTAGCGTGGCTCCAGGTAACAATTCTCCAACTTGTATCTTGGTTCCCCATTTGCCTTGTCCATGGGCATCTTCATTCTGGCCCAACAGCAGACTCATCATTACTTTCCACTTACTTTTCCATAGCATGGTTAAGACCTTCCCTTCAGGAAAAACTTTACTCTTACCCAAAGGGATGAAATTTTTCCTTGGAACCTCAATAGGCCTACTACATAAGAATTCAGTTTTACAAGCTCCACATAGGAGCAACACATCACAGACAGGAGGGCAGGAGGGGTTGTTGTTTTATCATTGTGGTCCCTCAACCACTGTAAGGTAATAAGTAGGCCAAAATAATAGGGTAGATGGCTATAGAGTCCCTGAAATAAACTGATGAAGAAAAGTGGTCATTAAGATTTGCCAGGTTTCCCATCACTTGCAACATGCCACTCCAAGCTCAGCAACTGGATATGTGTCAAGTGACTAATGGGATGATATCTCAATTTTAACTTCACTATCACTATCCCAGTCTGGAATAAGGTTTTGCTAGACAAGTAAGAACCTTCTTCATATGTTGCTATGTCTGTAGCTGAACCATAATCTTCACTCAATTTTAAACACTGGAGTTGGTGTTTGTGAGTAACAACGGAACTGGGCTAAGGTGAGTTTTGGCCAGTGAACTGAGCAGCTAGGGCCTTTTTCATGCAAGGTCTAGGATAGAGAATAATGCATACAGTATGTCCATACTGACCACTTTTGCAGGTGGTCTGTATAAGGTAATTCAACAGCAGCAGAACCATTGACAATTTCTTACCTTTGGGCTACACTTTCTGGAGTTCATTAGCATCACTACCTGATATAAATTAATAATTTCTAAATTATCTAAATAATTATCTATGACTAAACTAGTCACTGTAAATAGAGTCACTTCATGTCACTTCATGATTTAATATACTACATTGTATTTTAATGAACTGTATTCATTCATTCATATATATATATAAAATATACCTATGTAAACATCATCTTTAGAAGGGCATCCTCTGGGTAAAAGACAATGTAAATGAAGTGAGGGAAGAACAATGTGGTGTATTGTATTCAGTCTTAGTGTTTTTTGTTTTTTTAGAGATAGGGTCTTGCTCTGTCACTCAGACTGGGGTGTAGTGGCGTGGTACTGCAACCTTGAACTCCTAGGCTCAAGCGACACTCCCATCTCAACCTCCTGAGTAGCTGGGACTATAGGCGTGCACCATTTTACCCAGCTAATTTAAAAAGTTTTTTGGGGGCTAGGCACGGTGGCTCATGCCTGGAGAATAGCTTGAACTCAGGAGGCAGAGGCTGCAGTGAGCTGAGAATGTGCCACTGCGCTCCAGCCTGGGTGACGGAGCGAGACTCCATCTCAAAAAAAAAAAAATTTTTTTTTCTTTTGCAGAGATGGGGTCTCATTATGTTGCCCAGGCTGTCAGTCTCAGTATTTCTTTTCATTTTGATGTTTTATTAGTGTTTGGTTTCTTTTGAGTTTCTAGAATTGCATTGGGACTTACTGGGGGTTGTCAAGGTTTGTTTTTACACCAGTAAAGGATGAACCCAACAAGGTAATGGCCCAGAGATTAGATCCAGGCATCTGTGACATTATGGGCTGAGGGGATCTTAGGAAATTTTTGGAAGGGTGTAACTGAGTACTTTGCATTGAATTTTGGGAAGTCTGTTGCATTCTCTTAATTCACCCAACAGTACCAGCCAAACTATAATACAAAACTTGAGGTTCTTACCTGAAATATGAATGAGAGAACTATGCTATGCTTACATTTCTACATAACTTGCCTTCTTTCCACATGCCTATTTTTCGTTTTGTTTGGTTTTTAAACTAAACTGGTTGAAACTGAATCAGCACGGATTTTAAGCTTTCTTCTGGTCTCAGGTTTAAACTGAGTTTCCAGTCTTTGGTGCCTATTGCTAATGGGATGGTGGTGGGGTGTTTACGAGGGTGGGGCGGGGACCGTTGGCACAATCCATCCTGTTTCCACAGCAGATACCTCCCATTTCCTGTTTATTTTTTTAACGTTCTATATAGAAATAGTTTGTACAACTTCGAATAAAAAAAAAGAGTTTCAGGGTGGAAAAAACCAAGCCATCTGCAAGCCCTACTGAGGCAGAAATCCACCCTAGTCTGGGCAGCCTGTGGCTTTGTCTGAAAAGGGACCTTACACATTCAGAGCTTCTGTTCCTGGTATCCTCAAAGCCTTGGCTGACCTTGACTCCCTGGCACAACTGGCTCCCCTGGAAAGGTGGCTTGGGATTTGTGAGTTCAAGACTCTCAGTTTTGCACTAGGAGACTGGGGTTAGGAAGAGCATGCAGTTTAAATCTCTGTTCTGTTCACTAGACTTCATGAAAGCAGTGGTGGTTCTATCTTAACTCCTTTTGGCTGCTTTGCCTCCAATGTCTCCATGCTGATAATGTTGCTCTTGTGATGAATGATAACGGACTGATATGGACGTGTAAGAGAATAAGAATAGTGACAGTCATAGTGCTTGCATGGAATCTTCTGTTTTTTTCAAAGCATATTCACATAATTCTTCATTTGCACCTTTCTGAAACCATCTGAAGAAATGTGACAGAAGAGAATGGGACCCAGTAACAAAACTAACATTGATAAATTATTTATGAAGTGCCAGGCATTAAGCTAAGCTATATACAGTATTGACAACACTTTATTTATGTACATACATATTTACATACATTTCATAATAACTGTGTAATATAGGTACTGTTATCTACCTCTACTTTACACAAGATGAAATCGCTGACAAAAAATTGATTAATTGGGCCAAGGAGACATAGCTTATAAGTGTTGGGCTGGGATTCAAACGTGGTCTGCCATCTGCAGAGTCCAGTGTTTAACCACTAACAAGTGGAATCTAGGGTAAAGGGCACCTGTGTGGTATTATAACTCAGGTTAGAATCCAATTCGTTACCTTAGAACCTGGGTTTCCTGACTTTTATCCAGTGATTGTTTCTTGCTTTTTTCATTCTTTTATTGTGAAATATGTCATACACAGACTATATTGGATGAACACACACATTCAGTTTTTGTTGAACCATGCATGTGAAATTGTCAATATTTGCTCAGATTTGGCACGTAACAATAGCAACTTCATGATTTAATATACCATATTGTATTTTAATGAACTATATTAATTCATTCATATGCATATATATATATATACACACACACACACATATATATATATATATATTTTTTTTTTTTTTTTTGAGAAGGAGTCTTGCTCTGTCACCCAGGCTGGAGTGCAGTATGTGATCTCAGCTCACTGCAACCTCCATCTCCTGGGTTAAAGCGATTCTTGTGCCTCTGCCTCCCGAGTAGCTGGAATTACAGGCATGCGCTGCCATGTCTGGCTAATTTTTGTATTTTTAGTAGAGAGAGGGTTTCACCATGTTGGCCAGGCTGGTCTCAAACTCCTGACCTTAAGTGATCCACCCGCCTTGGCCTCCCAAAGTGCTGGGATTACAGGCATGAGCCACCATGCCCAGCCAATTCATTCATATTTAATGAACCTATTTAATGAACTACTATATCCTGGTTTAATGAACTAGTTTAAAGTTAAGCAAACCCTAATATAAGCAGCACACAGTTTAAAGAGTAGAGCATTGCCCTCTATGTGCCCCTCCTCCTCCTCCTTGCCCTCTGTAGATAATACTATGCTGACTTTTGTGATAATCATTTCTTTTCTTTGTAGTTTAACAACTGTGTTGGCATCCTTACAGAATATAGTTAGTTTTGCTTGTTTATGTCTTTATATAAATGGGTTATACTGCAAGTGTTCTTTTTCAAGTTGCTTTTTTCATTCAATATTAGGTTTATGAGATTTTCCAGACTGATGCATGCATTTATAGTTTTAATTAATTAATTGATTTTTATTTCAATAGCTTTGGGGGTACCAGTGCTTTTTAGTTACATGGATGAATTGTAGAGTGGTGAAGTCTGGGCTTTCAGTGTATCCATCACCCAAATTAGTGTACATTGTACCCAATAGATAATTTTTCATCCCTTATTCTCATCCCAACTTCCCCCTTTGTGAGTCTCCAATGTCCATTACACCACTCTCTTAGATTTCCAATCCATGAGCATGAGATGTTTGTTTGTGTCATCTATGATTTCTTTCAGCAGTGTTTTGTGGTTCTCCTTGTTGGTTAAGTATATTCCTAGGTATTTTTTTTTGCTAGCTATTGTAAATAGGATTGAGCTCCTGATATGATTCTCAGCTTGGTTGTGTTGGTGTATAGCAGTGTTATTGACTTGTATACATTAATTTTTGTAACCTTAAGATTTGATGAATTCATTTATCAGATCTAGAGATATTTTAAACAACTAAACTAGATCTACACTTGGATCCAGCAATTCCGCTACTGGGTGTCTACCCAGTAGGAAGGAAAATAAGTCATATTAATAAAGACACTTACACATGTATGTTTATTGCAACACAATTCATGATTGCAAAGATAAGGAATCAACCCAAGTGCCCATCAACCAATGAGTGGATAAAGAAAATGGTGTATATACATGCCACGGAATACTACTCAGCCATAAAAAAGAATGAAGTAATGTATTTTGAAAAAACTTGGATGGAATTGGAGGCCACTATCCTAAGCGAGGTAACTCAGGAACAGAAAACCAAATACTGCATGTTCTCACTTTTAAGTGGGAGCTAAGCTGTGGGTATGCATTTATAGGGTTTTTTTTGTTTGTTTTTTTGTTTTTGTTTTTTTTTTTGAGATGGAGTCTTGCTTTATTGCCAGGCTGGAGTGCAGTGGCACTATCTCGGCTCACTGCAACCTCTGCCTTCAAATGATTCTCCTGCCTCAGCCTCCCAAGTAGCTGGGACTACAGGCACATGCCACCACGCCCAGCTAATTTTCGTATTTTTAGTAGACACGAGGTTTCACCATATTGGCCAGGATGGTCTTGATCTCTTGACCTCGTGATCCGCCTACCTTGGCCTCCTAAAGTGCTAGGATTACAGGTGTGAACGACTGCGCCTGGCCTATAGTTTTTATTGTTGTTGTATGATATTCCGTTCTGTGAATAAATCACAGTGTACTTATTCATTCTACTGTTGAAGAGCATTTTGGTTGTTTCTGGGTTTTAGCTAATTAGCACAACACTCCCGTGAACATTCCTACATGTGTCTCCCGGTGCAGATGGCAGAAATCCCTCCAAGTCTAGTGTACATATTTATGGGTAGATTTACTGAGTGGAAGACAAAGCTAAACCATTTACACTAAATGACTCTGCACCCAGCAGGTACCAAGTTTCCATTGCTCCACATCCTCTCTTACACTTGGCGTTATTAATTTTAATGTGTTTGTCATCTAGGGGTGTGTAGTGATCCTTCGCTGTGATTTTAATGTACATTTCCTGGATTATTAAAGAGGGTGAACAATTTTACGTATCTTCAGTGATCATTTGGATTTCCTCTTTGCCCTTTGGGAAATGCTGTTCATGTGTCTCCCTCTCTCTCTCTCTCTGTGTGTGTGTGTGTGTGTGTGTGTGTGTGTGTTCACAGGAATTCATTACATGTTTCTGGATATTAGTCCTTTGTCAGTTACATATACTGTAAATATCTGCTCCCAGTTGTGGCTTGGTTTTTACTTTCTTTATGGTTTCTTTAAGTAAAAGGATTTTTAAAAATTTAATGTATGTGTATGATTAGTGCTTTTTATGTCTTGTTTAAGAAATCCTTTTTTATGCCAAGATCATGAAGATATTCTCCTATATTGCCTTTTAAAATCTTTGTATTTTTGTCTCTTACATTGAGGTCTTTCATACTCTTAGAATTGAGTTTTGTGTATGGCGTCAGGTAGTGGGAGGAGGTCTAGTTGTTCCAGTGTGATTTATTTTTAAAAATCCATTGTTTTCCTACTGATACGCATTGCTATCTTTGTTATGTATCAGTTTTCCGTGGCTTTTTCCAGTGGGGTAATCACTGTCCCCTGTTCACTTTTGAGAACAATTGATGATTAACTTTATGTACTTGTTCTCTCCTCCGTTTATTTTTTCTATGTGGTTATTTTACAGATGTAGTATCATGAAAACACTACAGTGTAATCAGTATTATCTCTTAACTTCCTTGATTTAACTCTAGTCAGACTACCCATTCATGCCTTGTAAGTCCCCTTGGATGCTGTGTCCCCATCGGTGGCCTCGTCCCAAGTCATGCAAATCAGAGCTGCGTGTTTGGTAACTGTTATGAATAGTTGACTCTCAGGCTTTGATACCTGGGGAGAAGAAGGAGAAAATTCAAGTCACTAAGCAAATAATTTGGGCAGTGAACTAAAGGAGTAGTACCTGCAGAAGTTGCATACTAAGCTGGAAGCAAGAGGTTCTCCATCCTTTCTTTAGCTATTTTTTGTGTGATCCTGTTCTCAGTTTTCTTATTTGTTGGGCTACATGAGCTACACTATCTCTTTCACTTCTAAAATTCAAATGAGACTCTGTCACCATCTTTCTGTGTGACTATATGTATCTAAATATCTTTTTGGTTTTCCTTTCCATAGCTCCAGTTTCTCTTACAGAGACTATTTAGAGTGAGTACTAAGTAAATATTTGATTTCTTCCTGCTTTGGGTAGAACAGCGCTGATGTATCTAAGGAGGAAATGGAAAAGAGGACTCTTAGTTGATGAGAGTTGATGAGAAGTTTATGAGAAAGGGCGAAGAGCCACCCAGTCTGCCCCTGGGGTCACTTTGAAGCTTAAAACAATACGTCTTCTTTGAACCTGTTTCCTCCACTAGCAAATGAGGATATCAATAGCTACCTCACTTTATAAACTTGTTGGGAAGATCACATCAGATATTATACCTGTAAATAATAAAGTATCTTTTAAATGGAAACAACTGTATAGGCATTCACTAGGCATCCACTCTGCCACATCTTATTTGCATAGCTTCTTAAGGTTTCAAAGACCTTTCACACACATCTCACTTGACTCTTACAACCTACCTACTAAGGAGGCAAAAATGACAAGGAATAGTTGTGTTTGTCCAGGGGCACACAATCAGAATTTTAGAACAGATATTACCAGCTGTCTCGTTTACCTTTCCTAATCCTCATTGTACAAATTAAAAAGCTCAGGTTCAGAGAAGTTAGAAGACTTGGCCAGGATCACACACAAGTACACTATCAGGGAACATGCCTTCTTGCATCTACTCCAGTATTCCTCCCATGATACCATGTTGTCTCTAAAGAAGTTCTGGACTGTGAAATGCTTGAGGACTGGGATCATAAATCCAGCCTTGGTAATTTTGTTTCCAGATTGTAATTTTCCAGGCACCTAGCATATTTGCTATCCTTGCATTTCTTTCTTTCTTTCTTTCTTTTTTTTTTTGAGACAGAGTCTCGCTCTGTCGCCTAGGCTGGAGTGCAGTGGCCCGATCTCAGCTCACTGCAACCTCCGCCTCCCGGGTTCAAGCGATTCTCCTGCTTTGGCCTCCTGAGTAGCTGGGATTACGGGGGCATACCACCACACCCGGCTAATTTTTGTATTTTTAGTAGAGACGGGTTTTCACCATGTTGGCCAGGCTGGTCTCAAACTCCTGACCTCAGGTGATCCACCCGCCTCGGCCTCCCAAAGTGCTGGGATGACAGGCATTAGCCACCGCGTCCGGCCTGTCCTTGCATTTCTTGGTGGTTTACAGGATTATGACTTCTCCTTCTGTCTTTTCACTCACCCAATGTAATACACAAGGATCAATCATGCAAGTTATTATCAACTTAGTAAAAAGTGAGTAAATTTGCTGAATAAGATATGTTTTTTTGAGACAGCATCTCACTCTATCGCCCAGGGTGGAGTGCAGTGGTGTGATCTTGGCTGACTGCAACCTCTGCCTCCCAGGTTCAAGCGATTCTCATGCCTCAGCCTCCCGAGTAGCTGGGACTACAGGCATGCGCCACCATGCCTGGCTAATTTTTGTGTTTTTAGTAGAAATGGGGTTTCACCATGTTGGCCAGGCTGGTCTCGAACTCCTGACCTCAAGTTATCCACCCACCTCGGCCTCCCAAAGTGCTGGGATTACAGGCGTAAGCCACCATGCCGGGCCAGAATAAGATATTATATACCAAAATGTAAATAATCTTAGTTTTAGTGATTTTGGTCTACTTTACCGATAGGGCCTCTTGACACGGTTGATATCAAAGTGCTGCCTTGAACGGTTTTATGCGGTCCCTTGGACTTTCCCATTGATGTCTCCTAACTTTTTACTCTGTTGCTCTTTGTCCTTTACCCAGAACATGCTCCATAGCCATCCACCAGTGCCAGCCCATCTTTGAATGCTGTACTCAATTCCCTTGGCCTTTGCTTCTGCTTTAAAGCTGGCAGGCTTCTTTTACTTATATCAGCTTTCTGTTTGAACCTCAAATGCTCAAAAATAATTCCTTTTAAACATTTCCTGCCACCTTTCTTGGATACTAATGTAGTTCTCAGAGTGTATGGGGGATTACTCATATAAAGCCTCAGTGCTTCAAAGTGAGGAATAACTGTGTAATAAATAGATCTGGCCGAGGATGAAATGAGTGTTAAACAAGACAGTCGCTGATATCACCGGACGTTGTCTAGCTAGGCTGGGTAACTACCCATCAGACGTGTTACAGAGGCATTTAAACAGGTGATGGGAGTTTAAGGTGGCCTTAAGAGCTTTCCGACACTAAAAATGTCGTGATTCTGTGTTAGCAAATTTACTAGCAGATTGACTGCTCTTCTACTTTTATGAGTCTCCTAAACTGAAAATGGGCATGAGGGATCTTTTTGGGATGGTGAAATGTTCTAATATTAGACTGTGGTGATGGTTGTCCAACTGGATACATTTACTAAATATCGTTGAACTGAATACTTCACACCAATGATTTCATGGTATGGGAATTATGCCTCAATAAATCTGTTTTTAGAAAGTCTCTTAAGACTATAACTGCCATATTTTGAAAACAATGTATTTATTTTAAAACATACATTATATAGGTTTAAAGTGTATGCTAATAATTTATACACTTTTAAGAGGCTAGATATTCAAATAAGAAGTTAAATTTAATACCTGGAAAATTATCTAGAATATATTAAAATGATGCACACTTAAACATGGATGTAAATCACTACCAAAGCTGTTGCCCTATTTTAAAAAATTATTTAGTTAGTTTTAAATTTACATACAGTAAAACTTATTCTTTGTGGTATATAGTTTCATGGATTTTTGCAAATGCATATAGTCCTGTGACCACCCTCACAATCAAGATGCAGAACAGTTTCATCACCCTCAAAAATTCCCTTGTGCTACCAATTTGTAGTCATCCTCTCTCCCCACCTGCAACTCTGGCAACCACTGATGACTTCTCCGTCATTATAGTTTTGCCTTTTCAATGACATTATACAATATATACAGTTTGAAGAGAGATTTTCAAACTTAAAATTTATTCATTTTAATAGTTGAATTATGAAAATAATGGTTATTTTGGGGTTGGAGGGATTTCCCTGCTGGTAACTAGTCAGATGAAGAAGAGTGAGGTAGACGGAGGCAGTATAAGACTAGCCTGAATTCAGTCACACTTGTAGAATCACAGGTGGTTAGACTTGGAAGGGTTTTTGGAGTCATTTAGCTAACATCCCAATATGAAGAAACTGAGGTCCAGAGGGAAGAATGAGTCTCAAACTTGCGCAACTGTGTGGAGCTGGCCTAGCCCTCAATTTCCCAATAGTCAACTTCAGTATGCTTTCAACTACTATACGCCCTGATTCGTACTATCAGTTTTGCCTGACTCTGAGTTCTAGCACAAATTCTTCCCCTTTGAAATTCCTCTGCCACATCCCTGATTGCTGATGATCAAAACAATACTTGATATTTATCACTAGCACTGGAAAAAAGGACAATTTCTGAACTATCATCTCATTAAGTTATGATTCCTGACTCTTTGCATCATGAAACCATAACTCATTCACGACTCTTAACTCATCATTACTGGATGGGTGTTCATTCTGTTATAGGCAAAATGCCCAAGAGAAAATATACAATCCAGAATTAAGTCATTTTGAAAGGCAAGAACTGGAAAGACCATTAGAAATAACTTGAGGTGGTTTTTAGGCATCCTTAGGCATCTCCAAAGTTCCCACTGGGAGCACCTCAGGAGAGGGGTAAGGAAAAGGCTCAGTGGTAGCTGTGCCACCTCCTCTGATAAAACCATTTGTGATCACTTTCATTCTTCCTGAAAGGCTTCCTGTAACATTTCTTACAGCGCTGATATGCTTGTGGTGAATTCTTTCAGCTTCTGTATGTCTACAAAAGTCTTTATTTTACCTTTTTTTTTAAGGTTATTTTCACTGAGTATAGGATTTTATGTTGACAGGTGTGTGTGTGTGTGTGTGTGTTTCCCTCCTTGCTTTTAAGATGTTGCTCCAGTGTCTTCTGGCTTGCATTGAGAAGTCTCTTTTTTTTTTTTTTTCCCCCAAGACTGAGTTTCGCTCTTGTCGCCCAGGCTGGAGTGCAATGGCCTGATCTCAGCTCACTGCAACCTCCCCCTCCCAGGCTCAAGTGATTCTCCAGCCTAATCCTCCCTAGTAGCTGACATTACAAGTGCCCCCCACCATGCCCGGCTAATTTTTGTATTTTTAGTAGAGATGGAGTTTCGCCATGTTGGCCAGGCTGGCCTTGAACTCCTGACCTCAGGTGATCCACCCACCTTGGCCTTCCAAAGTGCTGGGATTACAGGCGTGAGCCACCGCGCCCAGCCAAGAAGTCTGCTTTCATTTTTACCTTTCTTCCTTTGTACATATTGTGTCTTTTTTCTCTGTCTGCTTTTAAATTTTTGTTTTTATTAATGGTTTTAAGTAATTTGATTATGATGTTCCTTGGCATACTTCTCTTAAATTTCTTATGATTGGGATTTAGTGAGCTTCTTGGTTATAAGAATTTATAGTTTCACCAAATTTGGAATATTCGGTGACTATTTCAATTTTTTCCTCCCTTCCTTCTACTTAAAAAATTAAAAGATATTTTAAATTGAAGCAGCCATGAAAGTACATGTCAGGCCTTTTATTTTGGGCAGTTGATTGGTGACTCCAGCAGCTGTTCTCTGACTCTACCTTGTATTTCCACTGAAGCCAGACTTTTAATGGGCTGCTCCTAACCAATGATTAAATGTGGTACAAATGTGAATGCAGACCTTTTTCTGCAAGATGCAGACTCTTCTGATGGGTGACTTTGACTTGAGGACTCCCCATCAGCCTGGCTGACACTTTTATTTTTTTGAGTCAGAGTCTCACTCTGTCACCCATGCTGGAGTGCAGTGGCATGATCAGGACTCACTGCAACCTTGACGTTCCAGGCTGAAGCGATCCTCCCACCTCAGCACTGCCAGCCCCCACTCACCCTGCTGCACCGCCCCTTGAGTAGCTGGCACTATAGGCATGTGCCACCATGCCCTGCTATTTTTTTTGAATTTTAGTAGAGATGAGGTCTCACTGTGTAACCCAGGCTGGTCTGGAACTCCTGAGCTCAAGTGATCCTTCTGTCTTGGCCTCCCAAAGTGCTGTGATTACTTACAGGCGTGAGCCACTGCACCTGGCCTGAAACTATCTTAGAACAGTGCAGAAGTCTGAGACTATTCTTACTTAATCCTTCTTCCTTTCCTCTCTTTTTCCCAGGGTTCGCATCTACATGGTCTAAGGAGTTTCCCTATCATCTCCATCTCTATCTTCTTTTTCCTTCACAGCCATCTCCCCCAATAAATCTTTGGCATCTGCTTCCTGGAGGATCTGAGCTAACACGTTTATTATTACCATTATTTTATTTTTATTTCCCATCAGTATAAGATTTCACTTAAATAAAAGGTGGCTCACACCTGTAATCCAGCACTTTGGGAGGCCGAGGCGGGTGGATCACCAGAGGTCAGGAGTTTGAGACCAGCCTGGCCAACATGGTGAAACTCCATCTCTACAAAAAAATACAAAAATTAGCCAGGTGTGGTGGCACGCGCCTGTAATCTCAGCTACTCGGGAGGCTGAGGCAGGAGAATTGCTGGAACCCAGGAGGTAGAGGTTGTGATGAGCTGAGATCACACCATTGCACTCCAGCCTGGGCTGATAACAGCAAGACTCTGTCTCAAAATAATAATAATAATAAATAAAATAAAATAAAAAGAAAAGATTCCATATCTAAAAGTGTTTGAGAACTGGTGATCTATTTTTTACCATGTTATAGTTGAGGGACTGAAGCTTGGAGATCTCTTTTGGATACTAAGTTTCCAAACTGAAATCAACCTAAATTATGACAATAGTCAAGTCATAAAGGCTTGTTCTTTTTTTCTGGGGTCTTGAGGCCCTGGACCAAAATTCGGCACCAATGTCCTAATCATGACATTACTACTAACTTCTTTATAGTACATGACAAGCTACTTACCTTCTCTAATCTTATTAAAGGGCTTGGGTTAGCTTATCTATACAGACTTTTTAACTCTAAAATGTAACTTTATAGGTGAGAAAACTTAAATAATTTACCTGACCAACTATCCAAAAACTTGTTAGAGAAAGACTGTATGGATTGGATTTTTTTCTCTAATAGCCAATACAATGCTCAAGACTTTTTCTTGTATTGAACTGTCTTTGGGAAAATATCCTGATAAACCACTCATGGCAAAAGATGTGGCCATGGACTTCAGGAACCAATAGAGTTTTTAAAAAATGGCTGAATTGTTCTGCATAAGCAGAGGAAGGAAGGAATTTGGTTTTGATCCTAGGAGGAAACAGGAAAGGGAAGGAGGAAGGAGCAAAGCCTTAAGAGGGTATAAAACCAGAGAGGTACATGGAGTGAAAATCCCTGGGGATAGAATGGAAAAAGGGGCTTTTAAGGTTAGAGATACCCAACGTTTAATTGGAAACTTTTTGCTGTATTATTGAGGTTTCTGGTGTTTGAAAGTAACATAAACCCAGTTCCAAGAAGCTTATACAAAAAAGGGATCTTAGTGGCTCACAACATTTGGAAAGATTCCAGGATTGTTTGCTGCATCCAAGGAAGAATTATAGAAACTAAAGCGGCAGACACCGTACAGAAACTTGAATTAACGCTGCCAAATCTCTTTCTCTCCCTCACTCCATCCTTTCCTTTCCTATCTTTCTCATCTCTGCTTAACTCTGTTTCCCTTTCCATGTTGACCTCACATTTTCCTATGACAGAAAGGACTTTGCCATGTGAAAGAGACAGAAAGGAGACATGGTTGCAGCCAGACTCAGCTCAGCAACCATAGAGAGCTTTTTTCTCTAAGTATCCATATAACAATTCCAAGGATGTGTTATAATTGTCCCGGCTTGGATTACATGTCCATCCCTTGTCAATGCCAGGGAAATAGAGCACCATGATTATCCCACACAGGTCATGTACCTCTGTTTTTGCCTGGGGCTAAGGGTCTTTAATGAGAAGAAAGGAGGTGGAAATTCTTGATGGGAAGATAAAATGATAGTTGCCACTTTGTGTTGCTTCAGTGTAAACCAATGCCTCTTTCAAAAACATTCAGTATAACCAGAATGTTCCATCCATGCAGCAGCCTTGTGTACATCGGGCTGTTTAGGTGAAAATTATGGCAAGGATGCTGGGCCTTGCCTAGGTTTAAGGTGGTAACAAATAAGGAAACACCCACAAGGGGTCAAATGACCTGTAATCTGAACTAATTCAACTGAATCAGGAATTTGGAGCCAGAGGTGACCATGGGAGCCATGTCAGGAAAGGATGTGGAATAGAGGCTTAAGTGCAGCTTATATGCCTTTGTGACCAGGAATGGAGCAGATGTACAATTGCTGGCTAGTTTTCCCATGGGGTATATTTTAGGTTCTTCAAAGATTCCTTTGCTGGGAACTTTTAACTGTAATTCCTGTGAGGTAGGTGGTGCTTCTTATGTGACTGGCTGGTTTTCACTTCAACTTCCGGGACTGAGCTTCCCAGAGTTGGTTATGGTTATCACTCTATAATGAGCTTTCAAACAGACTCCTGGCCAACTCTGACTTGGAAAGTCTATGTGTGGTCTTGGGAAACACTTCTGCATTGTTTTCCTACCATCTGTAGATGGTCAGTCCTCATTCTTTCTCTGCTGTGTGGCCTCAGGCACATCTATCAACAGCCTGTCTTCACATTCCTTATATATGCCAAACTCCAGAGGACAAATGTCACTCTGAGTGATCTTCCACTTATGGTCCTGTTGAAGCTCATTCAGCTGGCTTGAAGTGAAGGGAAAGTCTCCCTTCCCCATGGAAGGGCGCCCCCCCTTCCCCATAGTAGCACAGCATTCCAATGACTCTTTATGGAGAAATCCTCTCCCCTCCTTCTCTTCAACTTCGACTCCTGATATGGGTGATGTGCCAAGAGCCACAAAGCCAGCTTTTGGTCATCTCCTTTGTCAATCCCTGAAAAAGTGGGCAAGCTTTGTAATGTGGGGAGAGCTTAGCATCTATTGTTTTGTTTTGTTTTGAAAGCAACCACACCAAGGCTAACTGATTTTTGGAGCCTGGGCTCAAACTAAACAAGAAAGAATCTCATTTTAAATCCTTTTACACATGCATTATCTCACGTAATCGTTTAGGTATATTGGTCCCATTTTACACATGGGAAAACAGGCTTAGAGAGGTCAAGTGATTTGTTCAAGGTCTCATGGTAAGTGGCAGAAAAATCTAAACCCAGATTTTTTCTGACTCCAAAGTTAGTGCTCGTTCCACTTTGAAACTGTTAATTGATTACCAGAGTCCTGAGTCTTTTGGTTAATGCTCTGAGTTGGCATGGGGAGTCTTGTTCAAGCACTGGTACCTCTGACTCACGACTGTGTTCTTAGTCCATTCACCTCTGCACCTAAATTTTCCTTTATGTAAGTGTGTCACATAAGAATAATAATAATACTTTTTTTCCCTGCTTCCCAACAGAACTGTGTTGATAATGAGGTTTGAAGGTGGGTGGGTAGGAAAAATTTGTTAGAACTAAAAATGTTTAAACACCCACTACTATATGCCAGGCAGGCTCTGTGATAGGCTTTTTACAGACACTATTTAATTTAATCAAAGTTGACTAAAAAATATTTAGCAACTGGTCCAGCGCAGTTGCTGGCCAATCACAATGATGCTGGCTACTGACTGTCAAACTGTGCCAGGGAGACTGCTGGAAGAGGGGGTGCAAAGCACACAGGGCCAGCCAGCCAGCCAGCAAGGAGTGGCCAGCGTTACTCTCAGAGCGCCCCACGACAAAGTTCCTGCTCTTTTTAGTTATTTGAACACTTCAGAAGAAAGCAGCCACACCAAGGATAGCTATTATTATTCTCAGAGGTAGTTACTCAGAAGTTATTTGGATAAGGGTAAACAAGGCTAAGAAGTTTCATTTTTAGGGTTCCGCTTTCAAAGGAACACCGTTTTGCTCCTTTCTCTTATTTGTCTCTTTCTCATGCTGCTGGTGGACCAATGTCAAAATCTTGTGCTCAAAACCTTACTTCCTGTCCTTGTAGTAGCAATTCCCAATGGAGAAACATTTAAAGCACTGAAAGCAACACTCAAAAGAAGGAAAGAAAGGATAGAAAGGGAGGCGTGGGGGAAGATCATGAGGAAGGAAGGAAAAAAGAAGGAAAGAGAAATAAAATCAAAGAAGGAAGAAACAGTTCAGACCAGTTTGCAGATTTAGAAGTCATTTCTGGCTCCCTAACAGTTTTCATCCTCAGAGTGCTTTCAGGCCACCAACATGTTCACGCAATACTGGGCCGTGATCATCATGACCCAGGAGGGGAGGTAAGAGTGAAAGGTGGAGTCGACATTTACTGTGGAAAAACCAAGGACAAACAGGAAGAATTAAAACAGGAAATGACTCATGAACAATGGAAGGGGTGCTCCCCTCACTTTTATTATCCCCCTCAGAGAGAAAGAGTTTCCACTAGCTTTGTTTTTGGGAGTTTTTCTTCAACAACAACTCTAACTCTAACCCTCCTAACCCCCTTCTTTGAGGGAGACTCAGTTTTTCCAAAGTTGCAACACACTTCTCTACCCTCTTCTTTCACCCCAGCTTCTCATGAGGCATCTTAACACTGAATATTGTGTTCAATATATGCTTTTGAAGAAAACAGAGGAAAACGCAAAGATTAGTAAATGGATTATTTGAAAAAAACCATGGCAGCTGTTTCAAATTTTAGGGATGTTGGTAAAACTCATCTGAGAAGTAGAAGGCTATTGGGTTTAGACAAACTCCTTAACGGGCCACTTTGTTCAGATCTAGGCCCCATAGCATGTTCTGAAAAGAGATATACTGTGAGTAAAAATAGTTTAAATTGGTCTGTGTACTGGAGTCTGGAGTGACAGGTGTGTTTCAGTTTTTTCCTGGAAGAGTGGGGGAGTTTTGTGCTGGTAAACGTTTAACAATCACCTCTCCAATAACAACAACAACCAAACAATACAAAGTACTCTAAAACTCTGATTTGTAGCACTTGTCCATTTCTGTGGTAGCATTTCCATCAAGTCACTGAGTTAGGAAAAGATGTGCACCATTATATAGTGTTTCCTCTATGTGTGTGCAGTAGATGTAAATCCTCTCAAGAGCATAGAATAGTAAAGGATAGTAAAATAATTAAGAAGTGATGCATTTGAGTACTTACTACCCTTTTAAAAATATATAATTTATTTAAATATCAGCATTTAGTTACTGACGGGATGCTTAACAGCTAACTTGCAGAAATCCTGAAATTTTAGCTATTGACTCATGTGACTAGATTTGGGGGTCTGGAACCTGGAGAAAAGGAGAGTGAGACCCAGTAGGCTCCCGGGAAGGGTACATGCTGGGGCCTAAGGAAAATAGTACCCAAAGAGAAAGTTCCTGTGCAGGGATGACCAAAGGAATTTGAGGACAGTGATTTAAATAACTTTTATTTATTTATTTGTTTGTTTATTTTTGAGATGGAATCTCACTCTGTTACCCAGGCTGGAGTGCAATGGCGCTATCTCGGATCTCTGCAGCCTCCACCTCCTGGATTCAAGTGATTCTCCTGCCTCAGCCTCCCGAGTAGCTGGGATTACAGGCACGTGCTACAATGCCTAGCTAATTTTTGTATTTTTAGTAGAGATGGGGGTCTCACCATGTTGGCCAGGCTGGTCTTGAACTCCTGACCTCAGGAGATCCACCTGCCTTGGCGTCCCAATGTGCTGGGATTACAGGCGTGAGCCACCACGCCCAGCCAATAACTCAATTTTAATCTGTTTCCTAGTCTGTCCTCTGCTGTAGTCTCCTGCCCTTATCCTCAAATCGTCAGGCTTGTGTTGGTGTTCTTTTGATGGCTGGGTCCATGCTTCTGATGAAGCAGCATGGAGAGAAACATGGTTCTAGAAAGTGAGGTGATAACAGGGACTGGAAATTATATGGGAGCAGCAACATGGATGAGAGGCTACCAGCAGAATATAAGCACTGCTCCCTTCCCACCCATCCAGCAATCCTCACAGATGGAGGTCTCCAACTGGGTGTGGGAAGGTGCGGGAGGTATTTTATTTAAATGTTGAAGGAAAGGGTGACCTCAGAAGGCTAGAAGACCTAGAAACATTTTGTTTAAATATTTAATATTAAAAATGGTTTAAATGACTAAGAGTGACCCAAAGAGATAAGGTTTGATTATTTCATTTGGATATTGGACAAATGAAGAGTGGTTCTAGTCACTTTTCCATCCCCATTCCTCCCTTGGCAACAGGGCTGGTATGGCAATATGTACAAAAACTGAGCCCAAAAGTTGTGCCTGTAAAATTATTACAGAAATTGCCCCGGACTTCCAGAAATTGTAGACATTCAGATTCCCTGGCCAGGAGAAACAGTAAGTAAATAAGAGCGTATCTGCTAAGGTGGCCACCACCATTCCTTTGTCCTAAAGCTCTGTAGGAGAAGTCCTTGGGTGGTCTTTCAGAGCCTACCAACTCTTATTCATATAGAATCCAGGTTATTGTATTCTCACACCACAGAAAAAAGGAAACAGCTGGTTACAAAGTACTGGCATTATAAGAGACAGACTCTATGACAAAAGAAGTAACTACTGTTGTCCTGATAGGGAAAACCTAATAAGATACAAACACAATTCATCAAGAAATGGTGAAATAAGTTATTGTCATCTATTTAAGAAGGGAGATGTTAATAAAACAGTCTAGGCAGATTTTCATAAAAACTGTTTACAACAAAAAGATGTTACTTGGAGAAGTAAACTTTAGCTATCTTAAAAAATGCATTAATGTAAATCATTTTGTTCCTTAAGGATGCTGGATACATGCAGATTTGCTATCTAATTTTTACATTTGAGTTTTAGAAAGCCATCTGCAACCACTTTCCTAAATTATCAGAGTTGTCAGAATATTAACCGGAAGCTTAAATTATACCTCTGGCTACACTTTTCCACTTACTGTTCTGTTTTCATCTCATTCTCAACTTATTTATAACCAAACTTGTAAAGTCACCCAAACTAACCTCCTATCCACACTACCAAGTTTCCATTTTTGCACCACAATCACCAAGCCTGAAGCTTTGGATTCATCTTTGAACAACCTTCTTATTTCCTGTGTGCAATCAGTTTCAGCGTTTTGTCAATGCTTCTTTGGTTGCTCTTTTCCTCCATTTTTATTCCCCTGATTAACTTCATATTACCTTATACCCAAGTTATTCCATAGATCTCTAATTGTAATGGTCTCCAGCTTCCTGGGCTCTTTCTCCAGACTATCTTATTAACACACATCCATTACATTGGCTTTGGAAATCCAATTCTTTCTATGGTGTGCTGACTGAAAGAGTGAAATTTGCTTTTAGACCTGGATTTTGTTCCAGCGCTACTTCTTTCTCTTGTGGAAACTTGGGCAAGTCATTTAGCTTCTAAGCCTCCATTTCTTCAGCTGTAAAATGGAAATAATAATAGTGCGTAAACCGCAGAGCTGTTGTGAGGATAAAATGAGGTGTTTTTTTTGTATATGATATGATTCATATTCTTCTTACATTCTTCTATATTTCCCAAATTCCTTTTCATGATGATGAATTACTTTAAAAATATAAATAAAAATATTTATGGGGTACATTGTGATGTGTAATGATGAGATCATGATAATTAGAATATCCATCGTCTTAAAAATTTGTAATTTCTTTGTTTTGGGAACATTCAATATTCTTCTTCTAGCTATTTGAAACTATATAATATATAGTTGTTAATTGTAATCATCCTACAGTGGTACAGAACACTAGAATTTAGTCTAGCTGTAATTATGTATTCTTTAACAAATCTCTCCTTACTCTCCCCTTGCCTTACCCTTTCTAGTCTCTAATATCCTCTGCTCTACTTTTTACTTCTTTCAGATCAACGTTTTTCAGCTTCCTCATTTGAATGAGAACATGTAATGTTTAACTTTCTGTTCCTGGCTTATTTCTCTTAAAATAATGATCTCCAGTTCTATCTATGTTGCCATGAATGACAGGATTTTATTCTTTTTTTATGACTGAATATTATTCCATTGTGTGTATATACCACATTTTCTCTATCCACTTATCTTTTATTGAATACCTAGTTTGATTCCATATCTTGGCTATTGTGAATAGTTTGATTCCATATCTTGGCTCTTGTGAATAGTACTGCAATAAATGTGGGACACAGATGTCTCTTTGATCTACTGATTTCCTTTCTTTTACATAAATGCCTCATAGTAGGATTGCAGGATCATAAGGCAGTTCTATTTGTAGCTTTTATTTGTCTTTTTTTTTATTTTTTAGGGATGGTATCTCACTCTGTCACCCAAGCTAGAGTGCAGTGATGTGATCATAGCTCACTACAGCCTCGAACTCCTGGGCTCAAGCAATCCTTCCATCTCAGCTTCCCAAGTAGCTAGGGCTACAGTGCACCACCACACCCAGCTAATTTTTGAAAGCTTTTTGTAGAGAGGCGGTCTTGCTATGTTGCCCAGGCTGGTCTTAAACTCCTGTCCTCAAGCAATCCTCCTGCCTTGGCCTTCCAAAGTGCTAGGATTTCAGGCATGAGTCATTGTGCCTGGGCTTATTCTATCTGTATTTTCTTTAGGAACCTCCCTGCTGTTCTCCACAGTGGTTGTACTAATTTACATTCCCACCAACAGTATATGAGAGTTCCTTTTTCTCTGCATCCTCTCCAACATTTATTTTTTGTCTTTTTGATAATAGCCATGCTAAGTGGAGTGAGATGATACCTCACTGTGGTTTTGATTTGCATTTCCCTGATGGTTAGTGATGGTGAGCATTTAAACACGTATTTCAGCCAGACACGGTGGCTCATGCCTGTAATCCTGGCACTCTGGGAGGCCGAAGCTGGCGGATAACGAAGTCGGGAGATGGAGACCATCCTGGCCAACATGGTGAAACCCTGGACCTGCTAAAAATACAAAAATTAGCCTGGTATGGTGGTGCACACTTGTAGTCCCAGCTACCCGGGAGGCGAAGGTTGCAGTTAGCTGAGATCGCGCCATTGCACTCCAGCCTGGTGATAGGGTGAGACTCTGTCTCAAAACAAAACAAAAACAAAAACAAAAACAAAACACACATATGTGTTGGTCATTTGTATGTCTTCTTTGGAAAAGGACTGCTTGAATCATTTGCCCATTTTAATCAAATTGTGGGTTTTTGAGATTTTTGCTGTTGAGATGTTTGAGTACCTTGTATATTCTGGATATTAATCCCCTGTCAGATGAATACTTTACAAATATTTTCTCCCATCCTATATATTGTCTTTTCACTCTGTTGATTGTTTCCTTTGCTGTGAAGAAGCTTTTCAGTTTGATATAATCCCATTTCAAAATTTTTGCTTTTGTTGCCTGTGGTTTGGAGGTCTTATTCATACAATTTTTTCTCAAACTGATGTCCAGAAGTATTTCCTCTATGTTTTTTTTTCTAGTAGTTTTATGGTTTCAGGTCTTGCATTTAGGTCTTTGATTCATTTTGAGTTAATTTTTGTACAGGGTGAGAGGTGGGGGTCTAATTTCATTCTTTTGCATAAGTATATTCAGTCTTTCTAACACCATTTATTGAAGAGACTGTAGTTTCCCCAGTGAGTATTCTTGGAGGCTTTGTCAAAAATCAGTTAGCTATAGATATGCAGATTAATTTCTGGGTTCTTTATCCTGTTCCATTAGCCCATGTGTCTTTTTTTTTTTTTTTTTTTTTTTTTAAATGACAGCACCATGCTATTTTGGTTTCTATAGCTTTGTGGTATATTTTGAAGTCTGGTAGTGTGATGACTACAGCTTTGCATTTTTCCCCCTTCTTCAGGATTGCTTTGGCTATTCAGGATTTTTGTACTTCCATATGAATTTTAAGATTTCTTTTTTTAATTTCTGTGAAGAATGTCATTGGTATTTTGTTAGGAATTACATTGAATCTGTAGATTGCTTTGGGTTGTATAGTCATTTTAACAACATTAATTCTTCTGATTAATGAGCATGGGATGTCTTTCCATTTGTTTGTATCCTCTTCAATTTTTTTTCATCAGTGTTTTTTTATTTTTTTTCCTAAGACAGGGTCTTGCTCTGTTGCCCAGGTTGGAGTGCAGTATGCAATTTCAGCTCACTGCAGCCTCGACATCCCAGGCTCAATTGATCCTCCCACCTCAACTTCCTGAGTAGCTGGGACTACAAGCATGCACCACTACCCTCAGCTAATTTTTCTATTTTTTTGGTAGAGATGGGGTTTTGCCATGTTGCCCAGGCTGGTCTCAAACACCTGAGTTCAATTGATCCTCCCATCCCTGACCCCCAAAGTGCTGTAACTATAGGTGTGAGCCACGGCCCTTGGCAGTCATCAGTGTTTTGCAGTTTTCCTTGTAGAGGTTTTTTACCTCCTTGGTTAAATTTATTCCTAGGTTGTTTTTTTTTTTTTTTTTTGTAGCTATTGTAAATAAAATCATGTCATCTGCAAAGAGGAACAATTTGACTTCTTTCCAGTTTGGATGCCCTTTATTTTCTTCTTAAATGCTCTGGCCAGGACTTCTGACATGAGGCGATGTATACGCAATCTTGGCACACAGTGGCTTCCCCCATCTTACTCACCACTCCTGGTCAGACTCCTTTTTCATATCCTATTTGGGGGCAGCAGTCTGCTTTAGCTCTTCCCCTTTCAGTCTATGCTCACATGTAAATAATCTCATTTATTGTGCCTTTAAATATCACCTATATGTTGGTGATTGTAAGATGTAAGTTATCTATTCCCACTGGCATTTTTGGGTTGCTGGCTTCTTCAGCTCCAAGTTTGGGGTATATGAAGCAAGAAGAAAACTCAGGAAACTTACCATCTAGTCATTCCTTGGGTCCTCAGGTCCCTAGCCTGTCTGTCTTCTTCTGCCCACCTTTCTTCTTTTGTGTATATATAAATTACATATAATTATACATACTATATATAGTGATATATAATGTCTAGAGGTTTTTGTGGTTTTACTTAGTGAGAAGAATAGAAAAAATATATCAACTCTATCTTGGTGGCAGTGCTTATTGAGGTTTTTCTAAAATTAAAAAAAATTTTAATTTTGTTAAAAAACACATAATATAAAGTTACCCTCTTGGCCATGAAGTGTACAGTTCAGTAGTGTTAACTATATTCATATTATTGTGTAACAGATCACTACAACTTTTTCATCTTGCAAAAACTGAAACTCTAAACCTATCAAACAACTTTCCATTTCTCCCTTTCCCAGTTCCTAGCAACTACCATTCTACTTTCTGTTTCTGTGATTTTAACTACTCTAGATATTTGATTTAAGTGGAATCATACAGTATTTGTCCTTTTGTGACTGGCTTATTTCACTCAGTATGATGTTCTCAAGGTTCATCCATTTTGTAGTATGTGACAGAATTTCCATTAGGGCAAAATATTTAGTGAGTTTCTAATTTTAGTGATTATATGCTTAATCTACAAAAATTCGATTTTCTAAAATCTTGCTTTTTGTTTTCTTTATGTTTTTAGTAATTTTAAATATAAAAATTATATTGTCAACCTACTATTTTAAGTGCTTGAGAGCTTTAGTTTTCCTTTTTAAATTTGCTTTTCCTCATAACGAATTATTTTCTTGTGTGCTTCGGACTTTTTAATGTGTGCTTTGGACTTTTTAACGTGTGCTCATGTTTTGCAGGTTTTTGTTTTTTCTTCTCCTGTGAGAATCCCTAGCGGTCTAGGTTTTGGATCTATCCCGTCTGAGTAAGCTCTAGAGGGATATCACAAATTAAGATGAAGTTTGGTGTTAATTCTTGATTTGAGGATTCCAAGGCTATGTGAGGAGCATAAATTTAAACCCTAAACTCAATAGAAGATGGAGAGCCATGGTTTTGAATTCTCAGGTTCTTAGAGGAGACTTTTGTTTCTTCCACTCAGAGCTCAGGCAGACAGACAAGCTTCTTTGTCAACTCCCAATTCAGATGGATGACTTTTTCCCCTAATCTATCGGATAGTGCAGCTATTATATTGTCCCAACTTTATCTGGGGTTTTCTGTTTCATGTCACCACCTCGAAAGGTCTCAAGGCCTCATTTCTTGTTCCTATTGAGATTCAAGGCCCTGGGTTAACTTTAGCATTGTCTTTATTTTGAATTCTATATGGTTGAATTACTGAGTAGCTAGCTTCCAAGATGGCCTCCCTTTTTGCTGGTATTCACAGCTTTGTGTAATCCCCTTCTACATGGTACTACAGTTGCTCTATATGACCAATAGAAGACAGCAGAAAGGATGGCATGTCACTTTCAACGTTTAGTTTAAAAGCATCAGGGGCTTGATTACTCTCTTTATGACCATTCACTGTGTGGGAAGCTAGCTACCATGTCATGGGAACACTCAGGGAGCTTATACATCACCAGAAAATGATGTCTCTGGTCAATAGTGTATGGCAGATGCATCTGACAGCAATAATTTAAGCATACCCTGAGGATGACCTTATGGTGTAAGAAGAATGTTGATTCAAAGTTCCCAGCTAAGGAATCCAGTAGTGGCCAACCCAGAAGTTTACCCTTTATTAGGTTGGTGCAAATGTTATTGCAGTTTTTACCATTACTTTTAAATGGCAAAACCCACAATTATTTTTGCACCAACCTATACAAAGGACATCTGAGCCCTTGGCCCCTTCCTTGGAATGCAGGTTGTGCAAGGAACTGAGCTGAGGTTCTTTGTCTTGAACTCGGTGGAGGTTGCTAGATGAAGGATGCCAAGTGAAAATTCCTGTATAAACTGCATGCATTTTATGAACAGTAGCAATTTTTTCTGTCCAGGCCGTCGCTCCTGGGCCATTCTGTGTGTAAGTCCTCAATACACTCTATGTCTGGTTTGCTGGCTCTGGGTTTCTTCTTTGGCCTCTTGGACATGGTGCTATCCCCATTGGAATCAACAGGGTTCAAGGATGACAAATAGCCAATGAGGCCCTGATGCCCTCTAACAGTCATGTGAGTAAACTTGGAAGTAGATCCTTCAGCCTTCAGATGGCTCAGTCCTGGCCAGCATCTTGACTGAAACCTCATGAGAAATCCTGAACCAGAACCACCCAGCTAAGCCGTTCCTGAATTTCTGAAGCTTGGCAACTGTGAAAGCTAATAAATGTCTCTTTTTTCAAGCTGTTTAATTTTGGGGTCACTTGTTACATAGCGATAGGTAACTAACATGGGTACCATAATTGTTTGACTAGCTTAAGACCTTAAAGATATAAATCTAGCATTGATAATTTTGATGTAGTACCTTTATCTTTTTGGCTGATCTTTTTAAAACCATCCTTTTCTATACATCCATAAACTAGACCTTGCCAGTTATTATCTAAAACTGCTCCACTCTTCTGAAATATTAGATTCTATATCCTACCTTTGACTACAGCTTCATATCCTTCTATCTCTTGTGTCATTTCTCCACACAAATGATAAGGCTTATCAATGACCCACTCATTTATTCCCAGTTTATTTGTCTCCTTTCTGGCCTTGCTTAATTCTTCTACTATGGTCGACCTATTGCTTTTCTGTATGTTAAATACCTATGTCTTTTGGGAGCTGCTTTTCTCCCACTCTGTTTGGTGTTGGTGAAGCTGTTACTCATATGACCTAACCTTTCTCACCACAGCTGTGGGCTCCTGACCCCGGTTGACCAAGCAATCCCTATTGGGGATTGACAGGCACACTGTGAAAGAAAGGGTTGGAGTCTGCCTATGGCGTTATGTTTTCTAAGGAATACGTAAGACTAGAACTGCTGGAGGTTGTCCTGTTGTGCTTGGATATATTTTAAAGAGAATGAAGTCAAGCAAAGGCAAGCAGAGCTGAGAGATGAAGAGGGACAACATTCTTATGATGTTATTTGAACCATGGATCCTGTTGGACTTGAGGCCAGTTCTATTCCTTAGACATTCCAGCTATATAAACCAATAAATCCTTACTTAGCTTTTTTTCTTATACTATTTTGTAACATTTTTGTTTTTTAACAACCAAAAGCACCGTGACTAACACTCTTAGCCTGGACCTCTATTTCAGTTATAAATGCATTTGGTTGCAAATCACCAGAAAACACAAAAACCATGTCTTACATAAATAAGAGTTTATTTGCTCCACATGGTAAAGTCTAAGGTAGGGCAGTCCAGAGCTAATGCAGTAGCTCAGCAGTACCATCAGGAATCCAGGTTCTTCCTGTATTTCTGCTCTGCCATCCTTACTTGTGGATTTTGTCCTACTTATTGCCAAGTGGCTGCCACTTCTCTAGGTGCCACAACTGTGCTCTAGGCAGAAGGAAAGAGGACGTGGAGAGGCCGTATTTGCAGACTTCTGTTTATGTCTCATTGGCCAGAACTGTGTCCCATGGCTTACCCAACTGCAGGGGAGCTAGGAAATTAAGTGTTTAGCCTTTATTGTCTCTGTATTAGAAGTAGGCAAAGGAAAGAAGAGTTGGAAATGGACAAACCCAAATTGAAAACTTGGATTTTCTCTGGATTCCAGAACTATATCTTACATTTTCACCTGCCCTACAAACAACCAGCTACCTTCTAGCTTTACACATCATTCTGTGTTTGAATTCTGTGTTATTGGATAGAACCTACAAAATTGTAAATAATGGAACTTTTACAAATTAACGGCATTAAGGCACCCAGAACTGTTTGTTAGTTCTTTTTATTTTGTTTTCATTAGCTGCCTCTCCTACTACCTTTAATTGTTATTACAAATCTTTAACACACACTACCTTTATTAAGCCCTCTTCTCATATCCTTTTTACTCTCAAAGGATTGCAGTCCCTTGCTTTGCTAAGAAAATTGAGGCTATGACATACAAAGTTTCTCAGTTTCCTGTAACCAACTTTTCCTCTTTTCTTTGTTTCCTTTCAGTTTTTAAACTAGAAGCTACAGTTGTGGTCTTAACCTCACCCACAATCATTGTGCTACAAATTACCTGATGTTTATTTCAGTCATTATTGTATATCAACTGTTGTCATCATGTGGTAGTAGGCACACCATAAATATTTGTTGAATACTTATTGAAGCCGCCTTACAGAACTTTTCTACATCAATTATTCCTTTTCTCTCCTGAATCTTTTGCTTCTCCCTCTTGTACCTCCTATCTGTCAGTCTGTAAATATATTCAAACTGTTTTTTTTAACCCTGAAGGTAAAAAAGAATCCCAAAAGAACAAAAATCTTCCTTCTAATGTGCTTATATTCACCTCCTGGCTAACAGTTAATTTTTCTCTTTCTGTACTGAACCAAACTCTCAAAATAATAATTTCCATTTTCAGTCTCTACTTCCATTTCTTCTAGTCATTTCTCAACTCATTGTCTACTGGCTTCAACTCTACCATGTGAATGGGAGGTCCCTGATGATTTCCTACTCACAAAACTCATGTTACTTAAGTTTTATGTAGAATTTAGTTACACATTTTCTATTTCTTGTAACTGTCTTCTTCCTTAAATTTTGTGACACTAGGAATTTTTTGTTCCCCTCTCTATCAATTTTTTTTCCTTCTGTTGGGATTCTCATCATCAGTAATGTTACCCAGGGCTCTGTATGTGATCATCTTTTCTTTTCATTAAACACATACTCCTTACAAGATCTTACCAATACCATGGCTTCAGCTGCCACCCAAATAAAAATTGTTCCGAAGTCTGTATATCTAGTTCCAACCATATTCTTTTGTTAAGACCTTAAAGAGGTAAAAGAATGAATCACGTGAATATTTGGAAGAACAACATTTCAGGGAATGGAAATAGCAAGTGCAAAGGCCCTGAGGTAGGAGTGTCTTCATCATGTTCAAAGAAAAGCAAGGAAGCCAGTGTGGCTGGAGCTGAGAGAGTGCAGGAAAAATTAGTAGAAAATGAAGTCAGAGAAGCAGTGGGAGAGTGAAGGTCAAATCACATAAGGTCTTATATGCCATGTTGATGATCCTAACTTCTACCGGGAGTGCAATGAAAAGCCACTGCAGGGTTTGAGCAAAGAAGTGATATACTCTGACTGAAGTTTTAAAAGGATAACTTTGTGTTGAATATAGATAGAAAAGAGCAAAATAGGAATTAGAGCAACCAGAGTAGGAGTCTATTGCAATAATTTAGATGAGAGATAATGGTGGTGATCTGGACCAGAGTAGCGGCAGTCAAGCAGCTGGTCATGAATACATGTTATTGGAGAGCCAACAGCATATGATGACAGATTGGATGTTGGGTTCTGAGAAAAAGGAGAACTCAAAGATTTTTGGCCTGAGTAACTGGAATGATGGAGTTGCAATTTACTGAGCTGAGAAATACTGTGGGAAAAACAGATTTGGGGGAAGATTAGGAGGTCAGGTTTGGACCAATTAAATATGAGCTATTGATTAGACAATCAAATGTGAAAGTCTTGAGGCAGCTAGATAAAGAATGGAGTTTAGTAGTTAAGTGGGACTAGAGGTATAAATTTGAAATTCATCGTCCTGTAGATGGTATTTAAACTCATGAGGCTAGATGAGTTTATCACTGGAATGAACATAAAAGGGAAAGAGAAATGCTTTAAGAACCGAGTCCTTGAGCAATCTGGTGTTAAAAGGCAGGGGTGATGAGAATGAACCAGCAAAGGAAATTAAGGAATGGCCACTATGTGGGATGAAAATTAGAAGAGTGTGATGTCTGGAAAGATAAGTGAAGACATGTTTCTAAAAGGAAGGAATTGACTATGGCAAATGTTGCTGATAGATCAGTTAATTTGAGGATTGAGTGTTTCAGTGGGTCAAAAGAGTGGGAGGAAAGAAATAGGAATTTTTCGTAAAGGATGGAGAAAAATGGGGCAGTAGCTAGAGAGAGAAGTGGGCTCAAGAGAATTTTGTTAATTAGATGAGAGAAATAAAAACATGTTTGTAACTTGATGGGAAAGATCCAGTAAAGAGGAAATTTTGTTAAAGCGGGGAAAGGGTAGAATTGCTGGAGTGATGTCCTTAAGTAGGTGAGAAGAGATGGGTTCTAGTAGAGGAATTGTCCTTTACTAGAAGCACAGTTAATTCATCCACAGTAACAGAAGAGAAGACAGGGTAGGGTATAGAGGTAGGCAGGTGGTAAATGTTATGGTGGAAGTGCATAGAAATATTCTTCAGATGGCTTCTATTTTATCAATAAGGAAACTGGGAGCTAGGATGGGGGTAGAAGTATTGGAAGGTTCATGCTCTCATTACCTCTCTGCCCTCATCTCCTAGTTGTCTTGGGGAGTGAGAGAATGAACTAAGGAAATAAAGTATAATTATCTGTCATCATTGAGATTATGGATCATAACTTTCAGTAAGACTAGTCAACATGGTTGTATGCTTTTCTCTGACTACCTTTAGTTATGCAAATTCAGGCATGATTGAGCCAAACAGTTGGATTTAAGTAGTATTAACTTATTATTATTATTATTATTATTATTATTATTATTATTATTATTAGGCCTGGCAGTTACAACATAAAGTTGAGGGACAACGGAATCAACTGCTTTGTATGAAAGAAAGTGGTGAGAATGACTTTTATTTAAGCTGAATAAGGAGGAAAGTGATGGCACAAGGGGTGTGAAGGATAGTGAAAAGTGCTTGGATCAATGGATTGTAGGCCAGAGGATGGAAGTTAAAGGATTGTTGGAGTTGGGGCACAAGAGGAAATGAAAAAAAAGATATAAGGTAGTGATTAGAGACAATGGGGTGCTTGAAATTAAGATTATAGAAGGGTTATAGCTTTTGGTACTAGGGTATGACTATGGAAGTGAAAGGCTGAAAGGCTAAAGGATTAAAAAAAGTAGAGGCTACAGCATCATTGGAGGAGAGGAGGTCAAGGATCAGAAAAGCTGGGCTAATGGAAAGATCATCTGCATGGAAAGAATTATGGAGTGGTGTCGAAGAATGTAAGAGCCAACCAGAAGCTAAACTCTTCAAGGAATAGGAAGTGGTGCCCTGAGGATAACAGATGACTGCAACAGGAAGAGTAGTGGTGGTACAATCTTGTAACATGAGATTCAAGGTTAAAATTGCTCATCTTATGGTCATGCATGACCTTCTAGTTACCAAAAATGGATCTGAAGTTTTATACAGAATTTGTCATCACTTCCACTTTCATGAAAAAAATTTTTTTTTTTTTGAGATGTTATGACCCTGGGATCTGTTGGTTTTCCTACCTCTCTATCAGTTCCTGCCCCCACCTCACCCCCTCTTTTTTGTCATCTCTTGGATTCTGCTTCTCAGTGGTAATTGCCTGGAGCTCCCTACATGTCCTCTCTTTTCACAGTTCACACACTTCCTGGGTGATCTCACTAATCTCATGGCTTCAACTTCCACCCAAATGCATGTGGCTTCCAAATCTGTGTCTCCATCCCCAACTATGCTCCATTGCTTCAGTCCTGTGTTTCTGACTGCCTACCAAGTTGCCCTTGGATGATTTTCAGGCAGCTTAAATTCATTCAAGACTGAATTAGTTATCTTCCTCTCCAAACTTCCTTCTTCATTTTTGAATTTCAGTCTACCACTAAGACACTTTTAACTCATCATAGTCCCTCTTCCTCATCTCCTATATGCAGTCAAGTCACCAATGCCTGTGGATTATATTTCTGAAAGATGAATTCTATTTCTGAAATGCTAACACTGATTAAATCCAGCTCTGCCTCCTTCAAAGCTATTTCTGCCCAACAAAAAGCTGAGGAACAAAAACAGAGGCATTGTCCTAGCTTTATAAGTCTAGGAAATATAGTTTAATAGATGTTCTATTTCTTTTTTTTTTTAATTATTAGTATACTTTAAGCTCTAGGGTACATGTGCACAACGTGCAGGTTTGTTACATATGTATACATGTGCCATGCTGGTGTGCTGCACCCATTAACTCGTTATTTAGCATTAGGTATATCTCCCAATGCTATCCCTCCCCCCTCCCCCCACCCCACAACAGTCCCCAGAGTGTGATGTTCCCCTTCCTGTGTCCATGTGTTCTCATTGTTCAATTCCCACCTTTGAGTGAGAATATGCGGTGTTTGGTTTTTTGTTCTTGTGACAGTTTACTGAGAATGATGATTTCCAATTTCATCCATGTCCCTACAAAGGACATGAACTCATCATTTTTTATGGCTGGATAGTATTCCATGGTGTATATGTGCCACATTTTCTTAATCCAGTCCATCATTGTTGGACATTTCAGTTGGTTCCAAGTCTTTGCTATTGTGAATAGTGCCGCAATAAACATACATGTGCATGTGTCTTTATAGCAGCATGAATTATAGTCCTTTGGGTATATACCCAGTAATGGGATGGCTGGGTCAAATGGTATTTCTAGTTCTAGATCCCTGAGGAATTGCCGCACTGACTTCCACAATGGCTGAACTAGTTTACAGCCCCACCAACAGTGTAAAAGTGTTCCTATTTCTCCACATCCTCTCCAGCACCTGTTGTTTCCTGACTTTTTAATGATTGCCATTCTAACTGGTGTGAGATGGTATCTCATTGTGGTTTTGATTTTCATTTCTCTGATGGCCAGTGATGATGAGCATTTTTTCATGTGTTTTTTGGCTGCATAAATGTCTTCTTTTGAGAAGTGTCTGTTCATGTCCTTCACCCACTTTTTGATGGGGTTGTTTGTTTTTTTCTTGTAAATTTGTTTGAGTTCATTGTAGATTCTGGATATTAGCCCTTTGTCAGGTGAGTAGGTTGCGAAAATTTTCTCCCATTTTGTGGGTTGCCTGTTCACTCTGATGGTAGTTTCTTTTGCTGTGCAGAAGCTCTTTAGTTTAATTAGATCCCATTTGTCAATTTTGGCTTTTGTTGCCATTGCTTTTGGTGTTTTATACATGAAGTCCTTGCCCATGCCTATGTTGTGAATGGTAATGCCTAGGTTTTCTTCTAGGGTTTTTATGGTTTTAGGTCTAACATTTAAGTCTTTAATCCATCTTGAATTAATTTTTGTATAAGGTGTAAGGAAGTGATCCAGTTTCAGCTTTCTACATATGGCTAGCCAGTTTTCCCAGCACCATTTATTAAATAGGGAATCCTTTCCCCATTGCTTGTTTTTCTCAGGTTTGTCAAAGATCAGATAGTTGTAGATATGCGGCGTTATTTCTGAGGGCTCTGTTCTGTTCCATTGATTTATATCTCTGTTTTGCTACCAGTACCATGCTGTTTTGGTTACTGTAGCCTTGTAGTATAGTTTGAAGTCAGGTAGCGTGATGCCTCCAGCTTTGTTCTTTTGGCTTAGGATTGACTTGGTGATGCGGGCTCTTTTTTGGTTCCATATGAACTTTAAAGTAGTTTTTTCCAATTCTGTGAAGAAAGTCATTGGTAGCTTGATGGGGATGGCATTGAATCTATAAATTACCTTGGGCAGTATGGCCATTTTCACGATATTGATTCTTCCTACCCATGAGCATGGAATGTTCTTCCATTTCTTTCTATCCTCTTTTATTTCATTGAGCAGTGGTTTGTAGTTCTCCTTGAAGAGGTCCTTCATGTCCCTTGTAAGTTGTATTCCTAAGTATTTTATTCTCTTTGAAGCAATTGTGAATGGGAGTTCACTCATGATTTGGCTCTCTGTTTGTCTGTTATTGGTGTATAAGAATGCTTGTGATTTCTGTACATTGATTTTGTATCCTGAGACTTTGCCGAAGTTGCTTATCAGCTTAAGGAGATTTTGGGCTGAGACAATGGGGTTTTCTAGATATAGAATCATGTCATCTGCAAACGAACAATTTGACTTCCTCTTTTCCTAATTGAATACCCTTTATTTCCTTCTCCTGCCTAATTGCCCTGGCCAGAACTTCCAACACTATGTTGAATAGGAGTGGTGAGAGAGGGCATCCCTGTCTTGTGCCAGTTTTCAAAGGGAATGCTTCCAGTTTTTTTCCCATTCAGTATGATACTGGCTGTGGGTTTGTCATAGATAGCTCTTATTATTTTGAGATACGTCTCATCAATACCTAATTTATTGAGAGTTTTTAGCACTAAGCGTTGTTGAATTTTGTCAAAGGCCTTTTCTGCATCTATTGAGATAATCATGTGATTTTTGTCTTTGGTTCTGTTTATATGCTGGATTACATTTATTGATTTGCGTATATTGAACCTGCCTTGCATCCCAGGGATGAAGCCCACTTGATCATGGTGGATAAGCTTTTTGATGTGCTACTGGATTCAGTTTGCCAGTATTTTATTGAGGATTTTTGCATCAATGTTCATCAAGGATATTGGTCTAAAATTCTCTTTTTTGGTTGTGTCTCTGCCTGGCTTTGGTATCAGGATGACGCTGGCCTCATAAAATGAGTTAGGGAGGATTTCCTCTTTTTGTATTGATTGGAATAGTTTCAGAAGGAATGGTACCAGTTCCTCCTTGTACCTCTGGTAGAATTTGGCTGTGAATCCATCTGGTCCTGGACTCTTTTTCATTGGTAAGCTATTGATTATTGCCACAATTTCAGATCCTGTTATTGTTCTATTCAGAGATTCAACTTCTTCCTGGTTTAGTCTTGGGAGAGTGTATGTGTCGAGGAATTTATCCATTTCTTCTAGATTTTCTAGTTTATTTGCGTAGAGGTGTTTGTAGTATCTCTGATGGTAGTTTGTATTTCTGTGGGATCAGTGGTGATATCCCCTTTATCATTTTTTGTTGCATCTATTTGATTCTTCTCTCTTTTCTTCTTTATTAGTCTTGCTAGAGGTATATCAATTTTGTTGATCCTTTCAAAAAACCAGCTCCTGGATTCATTAATTTTTTGAAGGGTTTTTTGTGTCTCTATTTCCTTCAGTTCTGCTCTGACTTTAGTTATTTCTTGCCTTCTGCTAGCTTTTGAATGTGTTTGCTCTTGCTTTTCTAGTTCTTTTAATTGTGATGTTAGGGTGTCAATTTTGGATCTTTCCTGCTTTCTCTTGTGGGCATTTAGTGCTATAAATTTCCCTCTACACACTGCGTTGAATGTGTTGCAGAGATTCTGGTATGTTGTGTTTTTGTTCTCGTTGGTTTCAAAGAACATCTTTATTTCTGCCTTCATTTCGTTATGTACTCAGTAGTCATTCAGGAGGAGGTTGTTCAGTTTCCATGTAATTGAGTGGTTTTGAGTGAGTTTCTTAATCCTGAGTTCTAGTTTGATTGCACTGTTGTCTGAGAGACAGTTTGTTATAATTTCTATTCTTTTACATTTGCTGAGGAGAGCTTTACTTCCAACTATGTGGCCGATTTTGGAATAGGTGTGGTGTGGTGCTGAAAAAAATGTATATTGTGTTGATTTGCAGTGGAGAGTTCTGTAGATGTCTATTAGGTCTGCTTGGTGCAGAGCTGAGTTCAATTCCTGGGTATCCTTGTTAACTTTCTGTCTCGTTGATCTGTCTAATGTTGACAGTGGGGTGTTAAAGTCTCCCATTATTATTGTGTGGGAGTCTAAGTCTCTTTATAGGTCACTCAGGACTTCCTTTATGAATCTGGGTGCTCCTGTATTGGGTGCATATATATTTAGGATAGTTAGCTCTTCTTGTTGAATTGATCCCTTTACCATTTTGTAATGTCCTTCTTTGTCTCTTTTGATCTTTGTTGGTTTAAAGTCTGTTTTATCTGAGACTACGATTGCAACCCCTGCCTTTTTTTGTTTTCTATTTGCTTGGTAGATCTTCCTCCATCCCTTTTTTTGAGACTATGTGTGTCTGTGCACGTGAGATGCGTTTCCTGAATACAGCACACTGATGGCTCTTGACTCTTTATCCAATTTGCCAGTCTGTGTCTTTTAATTGGAGCATTTAGCCCATTTACATTTAGGGTTAGTATTGTTATGTGTGAATTTGATCCTGTCATTATGATGCTAGCTGGTTATTTTGCTCGTTAGTTGATGCAGTTTCTTCCTAGCATCGAGGGTCTTTACAATTTGGCATGTTTTTGCAGTGGCTGGTACCGGTTGTTCCTTTCCATGTTTAGTGCTTCCTTCAGGAGCTCTTTTAGGGCAGGCCTGTTGGTGACAAAATTTCTCAGCATTTGCTTGTCTGTAAAGTATTTTATTTCTCCTTCACTTATGAAGCTTAGTTTGGCTGGATATGAAATTCTGGGTTGTAATTCTTTTCTTTAAGAATGTTGAATATTGGTCTCCACTCTCTCTGGCTTGTAGAGTTTCTGCCGAGAGATCAGCTGTTAGTCTGATGGGCTTCCCTTTGTGGGTAACCCGACCTTTCTCTTTGGCTGCCCTTAACATTTTTTCCTTCATTTCAACTTTGGTGAATCTGACAATTACGTGTCTTGGAGTTGCTTTTCTTGAGGAGTATCTTTGTGGCATTCTCTGTATTTCCTGAATTTGAATGTTAGCCTCCCTTACTAGGTTGGGGAAGTTCTCCTGGATAATATCCTGCAGAGCCTTTTCCAACTTGGTTCCATTCTCCCCATCACTTTCAGGTACACCAATGAGACGTAGATTTGGTCTTTTCACATAGTCCCATATTTCTTGGAGGCTTTGTTCATTTCTTTCTATTCTTTTTTCTCTAAACTTCTCTTCTTGCTTCATTTTATTCATTTCATCTTCCATCGCTGACACCCTTTCTTCCAGTTGATCGCATCGGCTACTGAGGCTTGTGCATTCGTTACATAGTTCTCGTGCCATGGTTTTCAGCTCCATCAGGTCCTTTAAGGACTTCTCTGCATTGGTTATTCTAGTTAGCCATTCGACTAATTTTTTTCAAGGTTTTTAACTTCTTTGCCATTGGTTCGAACTTCCTCCTTTAGCTTGGAGGAGTTTGATTTTCTGAAGCCTTCTTCTCTCCACTCATCAAAGTCATTCTCCATCCAGCTTTGTTCCATTGCTGGTGAGGAGCTGTGTTCCTTTGGATGAGGAGAGGCACTCTGATTTTTAGAGTTTCCAGTTTTTCTGCTCTGTTTTTTCCCCATCTTTGTGGTTTTATCTACCTTTGGTCTTTGATGATGGTGATGTACAGATGGGTTTTTGGTGTGGATGTCCTTTCTGTTTGTTAGTTTTCCTTCTAACAGTCAGGACCCTCAGCTGCAGGTCTGTTGGAGTTTGCTGGAGGTCCACTCCAGACCCTGTTTTCCTGGGTATCAGCAGTGGTGGCTGCAGAACAGCAGATATTGGTGAACCGCAATTGCTGCTGCTTGATTGTTCCTCTGAAAGTTTTGTGTTAGAGGAGTACCCAGCCGTGTGAGGTGTCAGTCTGCCCCTACTGGGGGAGTGCCTCCCAGTTAGGCTACTCAGGGGTCAGGGACCCACTTGAGGAGGCAGTCTGCCTGTTTTCAGATCACACGCTGCATGCTGGGAGAACCACTATTCTCTTCAAAGCTGTCAGACAGGGACATTTAAGTCTGCAGAGGTTACTGCTGCCTTTTGTTTGTCTGTGCCATGCCCCCAGAGGTGGAGCCTACAGAGGCAGGCAGGCCTTTTTGAGCTGTGGTGGGCTCCACCCAGTTCGAGCTTCCTGGCTGCTTTGTTTACTTACTCAAGCCTCGGCAATGGTGGGCACACCTCCCCCAGCCTTACTGCCACCTTGCAGTTTGATCTCAGACTGCTGTGATAGCAATGAGTGAGGCTCTGTGGGCGTAGGACCGTCCAAACCATGTGTGGGATATAATCTCCTGGTGTGCGGTTTGTTAAGCCCGTTGGAAAAGTGCAGTATTAGGGTGGGAGTGACCCGATTTTCCAGGTGCCGTCTGTCACCCCTTTCTTTGACTAGGAAAGGGAATTCCCTGACCCCTTGTACTTCCTGGGTGAGGCCATGCCTCGCCCTGCTTTGGCTCATGCACGGTGCGCTGCACCCACTGTCCTGCACCCACTGTCCAGCACTACCCAGTGAGATGAACCCGGTACCTCAGTTGGAAATGCAGAAATCACCTGTCTTCTGCATTGCTCACGCTGTGAGCTGTAGACTGGAGCTGTTCCTATTCGGCCATCTTGGCTGCCCCTCTATTTCCTCCTGTGTCTTAAATTGCCATGAATTCACCTTGTGTTTTAAGTTGCCATGAATTCACCTTGTGTTTTGGATTGTTGTTGGATCCTGAGAGGGATGTTCTACTTTCCTTGGGTCATTAGAAGTCAAAGGGAGAATGAAAAACAGAATTTAAGGTGATTACGAGACATCCAGGAAAATATCCAGTCAGCAGAACCTAGGGAAACAAATCTAATTATGGGACATAAATAATAAGAGAAACCAAGCTAAGGAGAGGTAAGGAGGAGACAGAAAGACAAAAGTAGGATGAGGTGACTTAATGGGCATTAAAAGGAGGGAAACCTCAAGGGTGATGGGGGGATTGTGTAATGTCAAATGCTGCAGAGAGCACCAGAATGCAGAGAAAAGATCCCTGCCTCTAGAGGTTGGTATCCTTCAAGAATGCAGCTTCAGAAGAGTGGGCTAGGGGTGAGGAAGCAAAAGCTTTGGATGTGGCCATTCTAGTCGTCTGGTAGTAAAAGGTCAGTGATGATGTCCCCTTCCTTTCTTCCCACAGAGAGTGCTTTTAGATGGCCTCTGGGAAGGGGAAATTCAGGGGGTCAGACTTGCTCCCTCCCCATTTGAGAAGTCACTTCTTAGTCCATTCTTTTCATCAACTTGAAACTCAGGGTGAAATGTCTATCCAGTGACCTTGGACAGGGTAGCCTTCTCTCTGTTCTGCATCTAGCTGTGGCCCTGCTTCCTCATATCAAAGTATACACTGAACCCTGAGGGAGGCTAAATGATGAAAGCTTCAAGTAAGTGTCCTAAAGCTACACGGGGTTCAGGTGTTGGCTTGAGGGTGGGATGGGGTGTGGACAAGTGAGATCAGACATTGTTATTTTGGGACTAGTTAATGTGCTCTTTTGACCAACATGATGTGGGGCAAAGCTTCATGGTGTAGGTAAGAGGTTGGAAACTTAACTATTTTCAGTACTAGGTAGGTATCTTAAGTGAGTGAAGCAGGCAGGGCAGGCCAGGAGTGAAATGTGAAGTGCAAGCCCCATTTAGAATAGAACAGAGGCTACTCAGCACCAGCTAATTGTTGCCTCATAGGGATGTGGTCCCAGTATCCATAAGGCACAGAAGTAGGAAGGAGAGTCTAGATTATTCTAGGAGCTGAATAAAGAACAGTGTGGCTGGAATGCTGTGAAAGAAGGAGTAGAGATGTGAGTAGGGGTCTTGTAGGCCTTGTCAACACTTTGTGACCTCCTAGTGGGAATGACTGGGGGCTGGCAGAGTGGGAAGAGTATTTCTATTCCCTTTTATTACCTTTCCAGGATAGCCAATCACAGCCATCTTACCTTATTCAAAGTAGTTTAATGGGGCTACCATTTCCTTAATTCTACAATAAAAATATTAAAGAACAAGCTTACCTCCTGGGCAAAGAAAGTTTGTTTTTTGGTAGGAATTTTATAAGCATTGCATGTTTTCTTCCCTGCTTGCAAAATGCATGATTCATCTTTTAGGAATGGGGCATCTGGGTCTTAATGTATTTAACTTTAGAACAATAGATTAGGTTTTTGTTGATTAAATCCATTTGTTTCCCACAAGAAAACAAAAATGATTAGTTATATGGTGAGTACTGGGTAGTTTTCAGTTTTGTAAAGGAGATCTGTTCAAGAGTGTCCCATAACAATGATACCATTTACTGATATGAAAAAGCATAGTAGAAGAAAAGGCTTGATAAGAGAAATCAAGAGGTTTGATTTTTTTTTTTTGACAGAGTCTCACTCTGTTGCCCAGGCTGGAGTGCAGTGGCATGATCTTGGCTCACTGCAACCTCCGCCTCCTGGTTTCAAGTGATTCTCCTGCCTCAGCCTCCTGAGTACCTGGGATTACAGGCACCCAACATCACACCCGGCTAATTTTTGTATTTTTAGTAGAGACCGGGTTTCACCATGTTGGCCAGACTGGTCTCGAACTCCTGACTTCAAGTGAGCCACCTGCCTCGGCCTCCCAAAGTGCTGGGATTACAGGCATGAGCCACCACATCTGCCCAAGAGTTTTTATTTTTTAAAAAACTTTGATATATCTACCAGATATGCAAATGGTGATGCCAAGTAGGCAGTTAATGAGGTAAGCCAGGAGGTCAGGACTAAAGATGTGTTTGGGAACCATTAGCTTATAAAGGCTATTAAGGCAATAGGAATGGCTGACATCAGATAAGAAGAGTACTTAGATGGAGAAGTGAATGGGACCCACATGTGAGCCTTAGCTTCAGTCTTTACTGGTCCTGTGGAGGAGGCAGTGGATCTGCAAAGAGCCTGAGAAGCAGCTAGGAAGGAAGGAGTAAAACTCGGGGAATGTAGTGTCACAGAAGCCAAGAGAAGAGAGTGTGGTATTTATGATAAAAAGGGAGAAGGTTGAAGAGATTGAAAGAAATATAACATCAGGAATTCTATGTTTTAGTAGCTGGTCTATAAAGACAAGTGAGCTTAGCTTTCTTATGAGTTCTTTTCTTACTCACCTCTTAGATGTCTATAGATACGCCCTTAGTTTTTGTTTTGTTTGTGATCCTCCCCAGTGCAGTCCAGATTCAGGGTAGATTCTGGTAGATTTCTGACTAGATGGATTAGTTGTGCCTTCCATGACATATCCCCTAATTTTCTTGCTGGTTTTGGGCACCCTAGATGTTGCAAATATTTTTCTATCTGCACTGACTTTACAGATTATTCCTTTTCCCTCTCTGAAGAACCTTGGAATTCTTCAAAGTTTCCACACACACAAAAAAAGCTTTATATATATATATATATATATATATATATATATTTTTTTTTTTTTTTTTTTTTTTTTTTTTTTGGGTCCCCTTGAAAGGAAAGCACTCTCTTACCTGCCCAGTGAGATTTCCTGAGCTTCAGGTCATGTTGCACGAACATGGCAGTAACCCTCTTTTTACTCTTTTCTTTGAAGTCTCCATGAACCCAGAACCTATTCCTTGGAAACTCTTCCTTCTTCTTGATTAAGCTTCCCTATCTTGTCCTACTCCACTGACTAATACTGTAATTGATGGCTGGTATTTGAGATTAATTAACTTTGATGAGCTTTGTTTTTTTCTATTCTTTTCAGCCATTATTTCAGTTTTTCCCCATTCCAACTCTCCAACCCCTTCCCTTTGAATCCTGTGGTCTTGAGAGCTGATCTCTGTCACGTCTTGTTGTGCTGAAGGTTTGTGAGATGATTCTGTGTAATTCAGTAATAATTAATTTTTACTATTATTAATTTATACTAATTGTATCAGTAATTATACCAACAATGCTGACTGACATTTATTGAGCTCCTTTATGTGGCTGAGAGCTATGCTAAGGACTCCAGGTGTATTGTCTTATTTCATTTTCACAAAACCCCATTACATATTCATTTATTTATTAAAAAATTTTTTTGAACACTTGCTATATGCTAGATACTGTGTTAGGTGCTAGGGTTACGGTGATAAACAAAACAGTTATTGTCTCTGTTTCTGAAGAGCTTAGGGTATAGTGGGAGAAATAGATGTTAAAAAAGTAAAAATAAATATTTAATGATATGATAAATGACATAGAAGGTGTAACAGAATAATAAGATCTATTTCATTTTATTTTATTTATTTATTTTTTGAGACAGAGTCTCACTCTGTCACCCAGACTGGAATACATTGGCATGATTTTGGCTCACTGGAACCTCCACCTCCTGGGTTCAAGCGATTCTCCTGCCTCAGTCTCTCAAGTAGCTGGGATTTTAGGGGTGCACCACCACGCCTGGCTAATTTTTTTGTATTTTTAGTAAAGACGGGGTTTCACCAAGTTGGCCAGGCTGGTCTTGAACTCCTGACCTCAAGTGATCTCCCCCCTTGGCCTCCCAAAGTACAGGGATTACAGGTGTGAGCCACCATGCCCAGCCTAGAAGATTCATTTTAGAAAGAGTGGTCTGGGAAGGTTTCTCTTAGGAGGTGACATATTTAAAATTAAACCTAAAGAATAGGAGGACCCCAGCAGGCAGAGGAAGGGCCTGCAGGAAGATGTAAATAATTAACATAAAGAACTTTTCCTTTAATAGAGGAGCTGAAAGAAGATCAGGGAGGCTACATAGAGAGTGTCAGAAGGGTAATGCTAGCTGAGGCTGGAGGTGGGCCAGACCATCCAGGGCCATGGAAACTGGATTTCTTTCTGAGTGCATTGGGAAACCTGCAGGGTTTTAAGCAGGAAACTGAAGGATCCAATTTATATTAAAAACATTACTCTGGCCATCTTGTGGAGAGTGGGTTGGAGAGGGACAAGAACAAAAGTGAGGACAACTGTTCTGATCTTAAGGTAGGATTCAGGTTAGAGGTGGTGATGGTTGGATACAGGATGGTGGTCAAGGAGTTGGAGGAGAAGTGGAAGGTCCAAGAAATATTTCTGAGGTAGAGTCCAAAGGGCCTGGTGACAAAGACACTGGAGTCAGGGATGACTTAGATTCTTGGCTCAAACAATGGAGCTGATGTAATACCATCCTCTTCCTTTTTCAGTCTGGGAGACTAAGGCTCCAAAAGGTTAGGCAGTATGTCCCAGGAGATGTGTCTAATAAACATTGTACAAGTTGAGCATCCCAAATCCAAAAATCCAATATCCAAAATGCTCCAAAATCTGAGATTTTGAGCACTGCATCGACATCAATGAAACTCAAGGGAAATGCTTATTGGAGCATTTTGAATTTTGGATTTTTGGATTTGGATACTCAACCGCTAAATATAATGCAAATATTCCAAAATCTGAAAAAAAATTGAAATCTGAAACATTTCTAATCCCAAGCATTTCAGACAAGGGATGCTCAACTTGTATCAGGATGGGCCCATCCAACTCCAGAGACTACACATGTAACCAACACACTGCATTATTTCTCAATAAGTCAATCCTGCTGCTTTCTAAAAGGAGAGAAGTGGTTGTCTTCTGGATCATAAACTCTCTGTCAACCATAATTCCATTTGCTTAGTTATCAAAGAGAGAGTCAATGTGCTGGTGTGTTATCTTTAGCATGTTTTGGCCTGAAGTGGATTGGAAAATATTATTTGAACCACATGCTGGAAATGATGTTATCCTTAGGTGTTTGACTCAGGTAGGCAGGTTTAAGTCCGAAGGACTGGAGGTGATCATCCTATCCTAGATATTCAAATTCTGTTGCCAGGAACAACAGGAACCAAGCTTCCTGTTCTTTGTTCTGTCTCATGGGATCAGAAGACGTGTCATTCCCGAATTCCTCTGAGGCCTTTCAGCAACTTACACGACATTGTCAAGGGCAGTTGCCCTGGAAAAAGTGGGTTTACTCTGTGGGAAAAAGAGGAAGATGAGGTAGGTTAATTGGAACTGGAACCTCAGCCCACCCCTCATAACTACAGAGAGAGGACTGGAGACTACAGAGAGGCAGATAATAGAGATATTGATAGCATAGGGCAGGATTAAATTTAAAAACATGTAATTGAAAACTCAGTTATGCATGGTGATCCTAATACAAAATAACTTCTTGATTATGTTTTGGTGATGTCCTGAGACTTTCCGCATGCTGCTGCTGTTTGTGCATCTGTAAAATGACCCTTTTATTTTTACTTTATTTGAAAAATCATAGGTCTGTGGAGAGAGGTAAGAATATAAAAACATGGAGCAATCGTGGGCTTACCTCTTTGGAATGATTAATTGTGGAGTAAATTGTGATAGTATCATTTTCTCTAGGTGTCCAGATTTCTGTTTCCTGTAAAAAGAATCATACCAATTTGGCTTACACAGAGACAAAGAGATTAATGCATAGATATATTCTTAGGAAAGACTGTGTGACAAAAAAGAGAATATGTCAAAGTTCTTCCAGAGGAAGGCTGGGGAATGTTCAGTGGAAGACCAAGCACGACTAGCTATCAAACTTGTGAGGATTTAGTGGCATTTCCTGAGCCCCAAACAGAACAGCAACACTGCAGCAAACCAATGGGCTCAAGAGCCAGAGAAAGGCAGCCTTGCTGTATGAAGGGAAGGAAGTATTCTTGTCCTTTGTCCAGCTCTACTTTCCTTCCTCCATTTTTAAGAAAAAACTTATATACCAGATAGTTTATTATATGTTTTGTCTCAAATTTTTACTAGCTATGACTGAAACTACCCATTTTGCCTGCTCCATCTTTTGCTATAATTCTAACTGCCTTGTCATCATGTCATTGGGGTCTTCTCAAGCATGGGGAATTGGTAGAATAGGAACACTTGGCCTTAAGAATGGCTCTGCCTGGAATGCACATTACAGAAATAATAGCAGAAGTCCCTACGGCCCTCAAAGAACCTACTCAAAGATTTTGACACTTTAAATTAATGAAGAAGTATTTAGAGAATTATCAAGATCTCTACTGGGCACAGTGGCTCATGCCTGTAAACCCAACACTTTGGGAGGACGAGGCAGGCGGATCACTTGAGCGCAGAAGTTTGAGACCAGCCTGGGCAACATGGTGAAACCCCGTCTCTACAAAAAGTAGAAAAATTATCCTGATGTGATGGTGCTCGCCTGTAGTCGCAGCTACTTGGGAGGCCAAGGTAAAAGGATCACCTGAGCATGAGGAGGTTGAGGCTGCAGTGAGCTGTGATTGTGCTACTGCACTCAGCCCTTGGTGACAGAGTGACACTCTGTCTCAAAAAAAAAAAAAAACCAAAAAACAAAAAACAAACCAACAAAAAACAAAAAAACCTCAAACTCTCCAAAGCACATTTTTTTTTTCTTTTTGCTAAAGAGAAAGCTAACCAATTTGTGGGAAATTAGTTTTTTGATTTGTCAGAGTGTGAGTTGACTTGTTTTCAGGAGGAATTTGCAAAGGCAAAAGAAATGTCTGAGCAAGTGAGAGTACCCCTTCTTGCTTCCTGTCATCAAGGATCATACTTTGCAAATATAGGTGAAGGGAATCCAAGATTTCTAGCTAGATCATTGCTTACATCATTTTGAAAATGCTAAGCTTTCCTGGCTTATTTTTCAGAAAACTGGCCTCTCAAAATGTATGGTATTATTTAGAGATGTGCCACCTGCAGGTCCTTTATTTAGGGGTGGTGGGGAGTTGCTGATACATGACAGATGAGTTGCTGATGCTTGACCAGCCATCCTGTTATGCTGCTAGATGAGAGGGGAGGGGTGAACCATTGCTCATGGTTTAGTGGCCTCTACTGTGCCCCCTTCCCCTCTTGAGAGACTACTTCTGAACTCCCCTAAGACCCCTACATGCAGAGTGAGAAGTCAGCCACCTGCTATGGAACTACGTCCATAGGAAACTTTCAAACTTAGTGGAACTCTGACCCATTCAGCAAGTATTTACTGATCATTATGCTAGGATATAGGGCAAGAGAGAGGAAGACATAATTTGTACTTTCAGTCAGCTTGTAATTAAGCTGAAGGGACAAGACTTACTGATGCATCAAGCGGTTGGAGAACTGTGTAAGGCAGGGTATGAATAAACATTCCCTTAAGGGTGAGAAAGGCAGACACCAGAGTGGTCTAGCGCATAACTTTGCAGCCCCTGTCGCTGTGGCTGTCTTCTCCTCCCCTCAGTGGTCATTTGTTCAGTCAGATGGTTATGGTGACAAGTTTGTGAACAATGGCTGTAAAACTGACAACAATGGCATATAAAGCTGAAAAGACTCACCCTGTTTGAATGAGTGACTGAAGCATACACAGTGTTGTTCGTTGGAGACACTGAAACATACTCTAGGTTCCTTGCGGACTCTGCTGTTAACATAGGAAGGCACAGTCAATGGCACAAGGACTCTGGGACTTCTCTCCCAGGACTTCTCCCTCCCCAGAGCACACTGTGTCCCCAGATAGGCAGGTGTTTGAAGCATCTCCTTTCCTGAGGGATCATTCGTTCTTGACAGTCTTTGGAGCTCTGGGTGAACCTTCTCAGTCATGTGGTCTATTTCTGACCACATCTCTTGGGGTAGAAGGTGGTGTTGAGGTCCCCTAAAGCTTCAGAGTCTCCCTCAGGCTTCACATGTGGGTCAGGAAGCTCCTGGGACCAAATAGCCCTGCCTATGGAAGGGCTAAAGACACCTCATTGGCAAACATAATGGAGCCAGTTATTTCACATTTGGGATATTATTAAGCTTTTCAGAGGTCTCTACAGCGGATTTGATTATTTTGGAGATGAGGAACTGGAGGCTCAGAAAACTTAACTGACTTGTGCAAAGCCATACAGACAGTGATGAAACAGCAACTCAAATGCACGTCTTCTGACTTCAAACCTTATGCCTTTTCCTCTGCAAGTGATGTCATGCATCACTCATGCATGAAATGAGACCCAAAGCCAATCTGAGTCCAGAGCCTGTGTTTGTGTTTCTATATCATGTTTTCTCTTTCCACTGTGTCTATCCATTGCCCAGACCCTGGCTGAACAGTAATGATGCAGTCAGACAGTTTGGTTTTGTGCCTTGGATGCTCTAATCCTGCCTGTGCCCTGGACTTGCTGGGTGACAAGGGATGATCCCTTTCACTGGGACTTAGTTTCTCCATCAGCAGGGTGGTGAATGAACCTGATATCACCAAGAGAAACTGTGTGAGTGACTGGTTCACATGCCTATGCCTGTGAACCATGTAGGACCCATGATTACAGATCATCTCCCCTCACAGCATGTGGTCTGAGTAATGACATTCTGACTCCTTCCTCTGTCATTATCCAGCCCTCTGCCATCCCCCTCTCTCTTCCATTTGGCTCTTCCCATCTGCTTTATGATGGAGAGTTAAGAGTCTGAATGCTCACCGGGGCCCTGTGTTCGCTGAGTAGACAAAGATAGGGAATCTGAAAAATAAAACCAGAAAATTGAAATGTGTGACAGCAGTGGGAGAGGCATTTCACCCCTAACCCCGTGAGTGTTGGGATGTGGTGGGAGGGGACCCAAAAGGAAGGGCAAGCAGCCCTGAGACAGGGTCCCACTTTTCCCAGTAGGACATTTCTCTCAGGATATTAGCAGGTGCAAGATCACACCCAGGGATTATCTCAGTGGACTAGCTGAGCCAGGGTTTGCAGCCTCCCTCCCTCCTCCTGTCTTCCACAAGAGATCCTTGGGAATCAGAGGCCCCAAACTCTCAATCACTGGAACCTTGGAGAAGAGACAAGTAGGAAGAAAGGAAACCTGCCTCTTCTTTTCCTCAAAACAAGTAACAGCAGTATGATGAAACCGAAGACTATGCATATCCCAGAAACCATAAACAGAATCATTTTGGTATCTGTATATTGAATTTTAACATCTGAAAAGAGAAAAAAGAAATGACATTTGAGACACATCAAGTGAGGCCCACTGTTCTTGGAGCCTCCGTGGAGCCTCTTCTAGGCCATCTTTGGGGACTAGGTAAGTTTGTCTATAGCCGGAGGCTCTGGGGTGGGAGTCCTATGTGGCAGGCAGGGGAGGGTGGGGCCCAGTGGAGTTAGGGAGAGAAAGCAATCCTACATTCCCAGGCCTTTGATTTTGGGTTCTGAGTAGGTTGGACGAGGGGTTGGGGAATGGAGAGGAAGGAAGGAGAGTCCTCTGGGAGTACTGAGAGATGCAGAGCTCCAGAGGGCATCTGTCCCCTCCCAGCAGCATTTTCTGCCTCCCACTGGGCCACTGTATTGGAAATTACGTAGGATGTGAGGACGCGTTAAACCCCATAGCTGCTCAAGGCTCTCAGACCTGAGGCAGGCTGTTACCTTCGCAAAGCTTCTGGGCAGAGACAGAGAAGGATAAATTACTGACAGCATTCTCTGCTATGCAGGTGTAGTCCTGTTCACTGGAAATCCTGGGGTCCCAGGAGACAGTGAGGTTTGGCTGACTTGAAAGTGTGTTTCCCAAGGCCTCCCATCTGAATGAGACATTGTCATCTGCATCCTCCACAGAGCAAGTCAGATGGAGCTCACAGGTCATATTCTGAAATAGCTGACTGTGATTGGTAACTTGTATGTTCCTCAGTTGTCCTGTTTGCAGAAAAAAAAAAGATCCAGATTAAGGACAAATGTCTTGGCTCAACCCCCTGTGAAAAATATCCTTCACCTCAATGTTTTGTATTTCACCTTTGCTGTGTGTTATGGTCTGTAGACTCTGTAAATGACTCTGCTTATATTGCCTAATTGATGGTAGCAAGGTCTGGGATGACCAAATGATGCGGGACATCAGTATGGGGCAGGATAGTCAGCAGAAGAAGTGGGAAGGGAGAGACTGAGGTTTCCATCAACTAGCTGGGTAGTTTTGGGGTGGTTATTTTATATTTCTGGTCTCCAGTTTATCCCTGGGTTCCCTTCTAGTCCTTGCACTCTGCCCCTGTGTAAAGACAATTTGGAGACCAAGCCAAGAACTCTGAGGGCAACTCAGTGATGTGAGAAGCCAAGAGACCAGGTGGAAGAGTCCTGTTTCCTCTGCTATCAGAATTACCTAATTGGGGTGGAAGATGGAAGCATCACTTCCTTGGGGAATTTGAATCTATGGGGATCCTGGTTCCTATTGTATCTAAAGCTGGCTCCAATAGTGAGAAAGAGACTCAGATGTAGAAGGTCAGCAAGACAGAAAGGAAAATGCTGAGAACCAAAGAAGTGGGGAAGGAAGAAGTGAATAAGGTGAGAAAGCAAGCAAGCAATTCTGGGGAGCAAAGAAGTGCGGCGTATCTAGGCATGTGAGATGACATGTGATGTAGGTATTTCTGAGAGCAAAGACCAGGAAATATTGCCTAGTAAGATGTAACTGTGAACCAATGGGAACATGGGAGCAAGACAGAAAAGGCCACTGACTTAGCCTTGGCCTGAGGTTTGAAGTAAAGATGACCCAACCAGGAAGAGAATGACTCCAATTCTCTGATTAGAAGAGACCGAGTAGTACTTTGAGCTTAGTTGAGTAGGAGTTGTGGAGTATCTGTACTGAAATATTGCCAGAACAGAGTATTCATGTATGGGAAAAGTGTTGGATTTGGAGTCAAGACCTGAATTTTGTAATTTACTGGCTACATGACCACGGACAAATTATTGCTATATCCAAGCCTCAGTTTCCTTATCTGTAAGACCAGGTAATAATACCCACTTCTCAGGTAATTTTGAGGAATAAATGAGACAGTGCCTAGTACAGGGATGGCAAATATTTGGCATGAAAATCACATCTCCCTCATCCAGTGTTGATGGCTGAACTGAAAAAAAAATCCATCTTGTTACCTTTTTCCACTTAATGAATATGTAAGGACATTTCCACAGGTATATAAGTGTGTAAGTATATCTCAAACTTGGTATAGTCTAAAGGACTCCCGTTTTTCTCTCCCAAACCTTCTCAACCTGCAGTTTTACCCATCTGACTTGTTGACAACTGCATCCTTCCTATCACTGAGGCCAAAACCTCTGGAGTTATCGCTGATTCATATCTTCATCTCATACTCCCACATCAGGAAATCCTGGTGGCTTTACCTTCAACATATGTCCAAAATGTAACCACTTCTCACCATCTCCACTGCTATCACCCTGATCCAAGCTAGCATCAACTCTTGTTTGGACTATTGCAATGGTCTCCTAATTGGCCCATTGGCTTCTACCCTTCCCCCTTGAACTCTACTCTCAACAGATCAGCCAAAGGAATCCTTTAGACAAGTAAGTCAAATCATATTACTTGTTTGCAAAACCTTCTGATGGTTTTCAGTGTCACTGAGAGTAGATGCCAAAGTCTTTGTGATGGCTCTCAGTCCTTTTGCGATGTGGCCCCTGTTTCCTTTCTGGCCTCATTTTCTATTACCTTCCCCTTACTCTGCTCCTGGACGTTTGGCCTCCTTGGTGTTTCTTGAGTAGTCTAGGCACAGGGGATCTTGCTATCTATGCGGATGGCGTGTCTTCCAGTTATCTGCGTGGCACACTTCCTCACTTCCAACAGGTCTTGGCTCAAATGTCATCTTTTCAATGAAGCCTGTTCTGATCACTTCTTTTAAAATTGTCCCCTGCTCCCTGGCACTCTTGATGCTTCTTATGCTGTTCTAATCTCTCCTTTGTTCATACCATTCAGGGCTTTCTTACATGCTGTATCACTTGTTTATATGTTATGTGAATTGCTTGTTACCTTCCTCTACTTCCCTTCCAGAATGTCTGCTCCATGAGGACAGTGATCTTTGTCTGTTTTGCTCACTGATGTATTCCAGGTGCCTATAACAGTGCCTTGGACGTTATCCATGTCTAACAAATATTGTTGACTCAATTAATAAACCTATCATGGCTTCAAGATTTTCTTAACACTGAACTCTAGGCAGTTGTATTAGTTTGTTTTCACGATACTATAAAGATACTACTCAAGACTAGGTACTTTATAAATGAAAGAGGTTTAATTGACTCACAGTTCTACATGGCTGGGGAGGCCTCAGGAAACTTACAATCATGACGGAAGGGCAAGGGGAAGCAAGTCACGTCTTGCATGGCAGCAGGAGAGAGAGAGAAAGGGCAAGGAAGTGCCACGCTTAATACCATCAGCTTTCATGAGAGCTCACTATCATGAGAACAGCATGGGGGAAACCTCCCACATGATCAAATCACCACCCACCAGGTCCCTCCCTTGACATGTAGGGATTACAATTCGAGATGAGATTTGGGTGGGGACACAGAGCCAAACCATGTTAGCAGTCACTCCCAATTAATTGGTATTGGCCCATAAAATCAAATCTTTGCCATTCATATCCTGGCACATACCAAGAGATTGATCAATGTTAAAAATCAAACCTATATAACTTATACCTTGAAATTCCTTTGCACTATTGTAAAACTACCTGGTGTAGCTTACACAGTTCTCTGTGTATGTGACTTTGAAGGAGATGGCACTCTAAAAAGCCCTGAAAGAGATCAGCATTGAGCCTCAAGAGGGTGGCTGTCACAAGATAAGTCATACCTGGTCTTCTCAACAATGTTAGAGGAACATTATCTCAGCAAATGTGATGAAGCCTGGTACCCATTTCAGGCTTTCCATTGGATGAGTCTCTCTTCTCTCCAGTGTCCTACACTGCCTTGATAATTACTGGTCACCCAGGGTGATTCTGCCTGTAGTGGGTTGAATAATGACCTCAGAAAAGATCTGTCTGCGCCCTAATTCCCAGAATCTGAATATTACCTTATTGGAAAAAAAGGGTCTTTGCAGATGGAATTATGTTATATGACATTATCCAGTATAACCTGGATAGTCCCCAAACCCAATGACAAATGTTCCCATAAGAGAAAAGCAAAAGGATGTTTGAGACAGACAGAAAAGAAGGAGGCAACCTGACTATGGAGGTAGAGATTGGTGTGATGCAGCCACAAGCCAAAGAAAACCAAGGAGTGTTGACAGCAACCAGAAGCTGGGAGAGGCAAAGAGCAGATTGCCCGCTACAGCCTCCAGAGGGAGCACAGCCCTGCCCACACTGTGATTTTGGACTTCTGGCCTCCAGAACTGTGAGAGAATATGAATTTCTGTTACGCCACCTACTTTATGGTATTTCTATTTCAGCAGCCTCAGGAAAGTAATACATTGCCCCAGGGTGATTTTTCCTTTTTAGTTAGAATCGCTTGTATAGAAGTTTTCCAGACATCACCTCTTTCCCATTACATTTACCTGTTTGGTGTTCTATTCTTCAAGAACATGATTTTGACTAATCTAACACGATAAACCTACCAGATATTCAGGGGATACTAAAAGTTAACATGTAATCTGTCTGTGGAGACCTTTTATTTTAACAGTGCTTTTTTGAGTACCATGTCTTAACCCAAAGGACTCTGAGTGAATTTTAGACACTACAGGCCCTCAAGTGGATAAAAATTACAGAATTTCCGTGGCCTTTAATGTTTTCTGGTCTGATTGCCAATTTAATGCTTGAATCTCCTGCTAAGTGATTATTCTAAAGCCATTAATGGCATCTCTGAATATCACTGATTGCTAGAGAGGTATTTTTCTGATATTGACTCATAAGAAATCTCATTATAGTTTCCATAATTTTATGTTGATAACATTTTCATTCTTTTTAATCTTGGGAAGGCAGATTGTTGACTGGTGATTAATATGAGCCATCGGGGGAAAATATTGTTAAAAATTAAATAACCTTGACAGAAAGGATGTTTCTCATTATCAGCCTATCTTTGCAGATAACTTTCTAGGTAGACCACTGTTCTGTACACTGACCACTCTACTGGGTCAGACTAGCCTTTGTGAAAAGGGAGGTGTCGTGGCAGGTAGTTATGTGGGAAGTGCTACCATTACTATCTCTGTGACTTGTAGGCAAATCACTGTGACTGAGGCTGTGCCTCAAGGGTATAAGGTCTGTACCTACCTCATGGAGTCTTTGTGAGAATTACATGGCAAATACATGTAGTGCACAAGGCAACACTATCATAAATATTTGACTTCCATTACTTCTGCTACATTTCTGGTTGAAGAAGACCATTTTATCGGAGTGAAGTAATTCTGGGCTGGGACACAAGACTTAGGCTCTGTCTTCAGCTCTGTCATTAACTGGCTTTGCAGTGTCATTGTGTTGACACTGACTCAATGACTCCAAATGCCATATTCTTTACCACTAGGCGACAGTGCACATTTGAAGTCACATAGGATTGGAATACATGTATATTTTTCAGTCCATATGGAATTAAACCCCATATTTTGACTTACTTAATATCCTCAGAGTGTAACTGGACAGCTTTGCAGAGGTCTTTGTGGATATCTGGGCTCTGTAAGAGCCTGTGTCTTCCATCTTCAGGTTGCTGAGTTGCAGGGAGTAGGACTGGGTGAAGTTCAGTCGCTTTCCCTGTTTCGGATTAGTCACGTGGATTTCTGGACTTTTGGTTTCATGGGGTACTATGAAGGCAAGAGATGTTTCATTGAAAAGCCAAGTGATGAAGTTGACCTTCTCTCCTGCAGGAAACTCCAGGGGAAGAGTTACTGACTCCCCCAGAATCCCGTTCACCATCAATGGGGTTAAGCTGCTTTGTGAAACTACATTCCCTGTAAACACAGAAGGAAAGGTTTTAAAAATGTTCCTGACCATCTCCCTGCCAAGTCCTGCACCCTTTCACCTAACGCTGCCAGTCTGTTAGAGCTCTCTGATACCAAAACTCAGAGATATGACAGAGTAGGAAAGGGTAGGAGATGTTTCTAAATGAATAATCACAGTCCCAGAGCTTCACCTCCAGCAAAATGTCAGCCACTCTTGGTTAGTAGGCAGCTAGTCTAGATGAAACCGGCCCAGTCCACGCTGGGTCCTACACTGGCTGGTCACTCCTAGGTCATAACTATACTTTGTGATCCTAGCCTCTGAAGTCCTTGGACATTAGGTTGAGGGGGACAGGAAACTATAGACTCCAAAAACTGCAAGTCTTTGCTAATAAAGCATAATTAAAGCCTGATATTTACTGATTACTTACTGTGTGTCCAACATAGTAGGCTTGTGCAACTTAGAAGGCTGGTAACAGGGACTAATATCAGGGATTTATAGGATAGTCAGTTCTTCTTATATATTATTTCATTGACGCTGACTACAGTCTGTGAGGCAGGCAGGATGGATATTATTACTTCCATTTATAGATAAAGGAACTGAGCTACAGAAAAGTTAACTAATTTTCCCAGGGTTGCACAGCTAAAGAATAGCAGAGTCAGGATTCAAACCCAGGTCTTCTGACTCCAGTGACTTTGTGCTGTCTTCATGATACCAGAAGATTTTTTTTTAATTCTCTCAGAAAGATTATAGTTTAGTTATTGAGGAGACAAAATGGATACATATAGAAATAATAAATATAATTTCAAAGTAACACATGATGGCCACATTCTTGTGAACTTATTCAGAACTATCAATGTTTAAGCAAAAACGGTGAAATGGTCACAATGATTCTTAAAGAAGATGCTTCCTTAGCATCCTTTCCCAAATTCTTAGCAATTATTACACTATTTTGTAGTTTTGTTCACCTGTTTGTCTAACTGACCACGCCTTAATTAGCCTTGCATGTCAGTACTCAGCACCATGTCTGACACATAGTAGAGTCTGTGGAAATGTTCTAGTGGGTCAATGAATGAATAACTATAACAATTACCTCAACCTTCTCAGGATCTCTTGCTTCTTTTTCTTAAAAATTTCAACTTTTATTTTAGATATGGGGGTACATGTGCAGATTTGTTACATGGGTATATCACACCCAGATAGTGGACATAATAACTAATAGGTAGTTATTCAACCCATTACCTGTTCCCTTCCTTCCCCCTCTAGTAGTCCACAGCGTCTATTAATCCCATATTTATGTCCATGTGTGCTCAGTGTTTAGCTCCCACTTATAAGTGAGAGCATGTAGTATTTGGTTTTCTGTTCCTGTGTTGGTGTGCTAGGATTATGGCCTCCAGCTCCACCCGTGTTACTGCAAAAGACATGATTTAATTCTTTTTTATGGCTGGTTAGTATTCCATGGTGTATATATACCAAATTTTCTTTATCCAATCCATCATTGATTGGAACCTAGGTTGATTCTGTGTCTTTGCTATTATGAATAGCATAGTATGAACATACAAGTGCATGTGTCTTTTTGGTATAATGATCTATTTTCCTTTGGCTATATACCCAGTAATGGGATTGCTGGGTTGAATGGTAGCTCAGTTTTAAGTTTTTTGAAAAATCTCCAAACTGCTTTCCACAGTGAAAATTTATATTTCCCAATAACAGTGTATAACTGTTTCCTTTTCTCTGCAACCTCACCAAGTGGGACCTAGCACCTGTTTTTTTTTTATTTTTTGACTTTTAATAATAGACATTCTGAAAGAATGAAGGGTCCAGTTTCAATCTTCTGCATATGGCTATACAAAAATACAAAAAAGTGTATTAGTGTATTCTGAATTTTCTGTTCTCTTCCAGCTGTCATTCTGACAGAATGGCTATTATTAAAAAGTCAAAAAAGTGTTATTTGTCCATTTTCACACTGCTGATAAAGACATACTCAAGACTAGTAATTTATAAAGGAAAGATGTTTAATTGACTCACAGTTCCCCATGGCTGGGGAGGCCATGGCACTCACAAGCATGGTGGAAGGTGAAGGAGGAGCAAAGTCACGTCTTACATGGTGGCAGGCAAAGAGAACATGTGCAGGGGAACTCCCCTTTATAAAACCATCAGAACTCATGAGACTTATTCACTATCATGAGAATAGCACAGGAAAGACCTACCCCCAGATTCAATTACCTCCTACCAGGTCCCTCCCATGACATGTGGGAATAATGGGAGCTCTACAGTTCAAGATGAGATTTGGGTGGGGACACAATCAAACCATATCAAAAACCAAACCAGCATCTATTGTGTTCTTTTTTTTGACTTTTTAATAATAGCCATTCTGACTGGTGTGAGATGGTATTTCATTGTGGTTTTGATTTGGATTTCTCTGATGATTACTGATGCTGAGCATTTTTTCATGTTTGCTGAGTGCTTGTATATCTTCATTTAAGAAGTGCCTGTTCATGTCCTTTGCCCATTTTTTAATGGGGTTATTCGTCTTTTTGCTTATTGGTTTAAGCTCCTTATAGATTCTGGATATTAGACCTTATGTTGGGTACATAGTTTGCAAATATTTTCTCTCATTCTGTAAGATGTCTGTTTACGGTAATGATAGTTTCTTTTGCTGTGCAGAAGCTCTATAGTTTACTTAGGTTCCACTTGTCAATTTTCGTTTTTGTTGCAATTGCTTTTGGGGACCTAGCCAAAAATTCTTTGCCAAGGCCAGTGTCAAGAAGGGTATTTCCTATTTTTTTCTAGGATTTTTATAGCTTGAGGTTTTACATTTAAATATTTGATCCATCTTGAGTTAATTTTCGTATATGGTTAAAGGTAAGGGTCCAGTTTCAATCTTCTGCATATGGCTAGCCAGTTATCCAGCACCATTTATTGAACAGGGAGTCCTTTCCCCATTGCTCGCTTTTGTTGGCCTTGTCAAAAATCAGATGGTTGTAAGGGTGTGGCTTTATTTCTGAGTTTTTTGTTCTCTTCCAGTTGTCTATGTGTCTGTTTGTGTAACGGTACCATGCTGTTTTGGTTACTATAGTCTTATGGTATGGTTCAAAGTCAGATAGTGTGATGTCTCTGGATTTTTTGTTTTTGCTTAGAATTGCTTTGACTATTTGGGCTCTTTTTTTGGTTCCATATGAATTTTAGAATGGTTTTTCTAATTCTGTGAAGAATGACATTGGTAGTTTGATAGGAATAGCACTGAATCTAGAAATTGCTTTGTGTGGTATGGCCATTTTAACGATGTTGATTCTTCCAATCCATGAGCATGGAAAGTTGTCATTTCTGAGGGTTTCTTATTTCTTATAGGAGGAGCTGAATAGGGAAGGAAATGTCTCTTGGAGTCCTAGTGCTCAGCTCCTGGGTGAGCTTGCACTTCCTCTCTCTTTCATGAATTGTCATATGGGTTCCAGGCACATGAACATTGCTGTCATCAACATCTTTCCCATCAGCATTTTAACACACTGTTATTTGTCATCTTTATTCCTCTTTCCTCTGAATCACATGGGTGAATACCACAAGCAACATTTTGAGCAGAATGTCCAGATACCAGAGAATACAAATATATGATTCTATTTATTTAAAGTTGATAAACAGACAAATCTATGCTGTCAGAAGTCAAGAGAGTGGTTACCTTTGAGGAGGGAGAGGTGGTGAATAGGAGGGAGTATAAAGGAAGGATCCTGGAATACTGATAATGTCCTATCTCTAGATCTGTATTTGGCTACACAGATTTGTTCATTTTATGATAATTCATTGAGCTGACATTTAAGATTCGTATAGTTTTTCTCTTTGTATTTCAGTTTAAAAAGTTAAAACAGTAACAAAAGCAGAGCAAAACAAAATCATGTCTATGGTCTATAAGGACCAAAATGATCTGGCCATTTCTCTTTCTTTGACCTAATTCCTATATTCTCCCCCTTGTTCACTTTGCTCCAGCCCCCTTGGCTATTCCTTGAGCAGGCCAGGGCTTTTGCATTTGCAATCCTTTCTGTCTGGAATGTACTTTCTCCAAGTATCCATGCAGCTCACTCTTTTGCCTCCATAAAGTCATTAATGCAAACATTCCTGCTCAGAGAATTTAAAGAAGTGTGACCACTCTTTTTGCACCATCAGCCCCCATCCACCCTTGCACATCCAGCTGCCTTTGGATTTACCATCTAGTACTTACCATCTAGTATACTTTATAATTTAAATATTTGTTTTTGTTTATTTTCTCACCTCTCCACTAGAATGTAATCTCCATGGAGACAAAGATTTTTGTCTGTTTTGTCTACTATTGTGAACATTCTTGAACAGCACCTGGCACATAGTAAGCATCCCATGAATATTTACTGAGTGAATGGACATATCTCCATCCCTTCTCTTGGAGGTTTTCTGTCTAGAATGTTAAAGCTCAGTTCCTTTTGGTAGGGAGTCTGGGCTTACTCAGTGGCCTAAGGACTCACCAGGAGCTGTTCTTCCCTTGCCTGGAACGCTTGTTTAAGTTCCATTGATTTTATAGATTGAAATAATTAGTTTATGTAACAAGATTTTATCTATGGCTATTTATGCTGCTTACAAGAAGAAAGTCAAGGCTAAGGCAGAGTGGTAGCCTGTCTAGGCATTAAAGGAGTGCCCCAAAACAGAGCCAATCTGCAAAGACAAGCACAGAAATTTATTTATTTGTTTGTTTGTTTATTCATTCTGGTGTTCAAATATTCTAATATTTGCTAACTTCCATGCTAATTCAATTAGTAAAACCTTAGGAACCATGGCATATTTATTAGGTCTGTTTTATGTACCAGTTTCTAGACTGGAAACTGGGAATATAAGATACTGTCAGTCCTCTGGGTCCATCATCTGATAGAGGAGCCTGACAGGTAAATGAGTAGTTAGTTCTGATGTGGTGGGTTGGGCATTGAGCTAGTGTAAGGCTTGCCTCTGCATTGCCCTCGTATCACTATTGCAGTTATACATGCAATTGCAAGCAGTTCTTTCTCTTTGTTATAATTACAAGATTATTTTCTTTTCTTTTCCATAATCTTGAGGTCAGGGATTCTGATTATTATTTCTATATTCCTAGAACTTAGCACACAATTTCTAGCTCAATAAATGTTGAATTGTTAGAGATATGTGCTCCATGGGAGCAAAAATTTAGAGAATCATGAACTGGGAAGAGTTGGGAGTTGTCAGGGAACAGTTCACAGGAGATGACACTGTAGCAAAGTCTTGAATAAAAGCTATGAGTTCTCCATTACTTAATTATTTGTAATTCTTCCAATAATGCCTTGCTTTTTTTTTTTTTTTGCACTGCTTTTCCCTCTGCTTAAAATGCCTTTCTTCATCTTTCCTACATGGTAAGCTCCTATTTATCCTTCAAGGATGAGCTAAAATATCTGTTTGCCTCTTATATTTATGGGGGTTTTGCATTGGTACATGGGGAAGGGGAGAAAGGAGTTTGTGGTGAAGCAAAGGGAGAAGGAGCACAGGATGGATGAGATGGTAGGAATAGTTCCCCACAGACCCAAAACCAAACCAAAGCAAAACTAGATTTGAGACAATATGCTTAGGGACAGTGAAGGTCAGATGCTACTGAAAATGTTTAAAAGACCCTGCATGAGACTTTGGACAGGAGCAGAGCTGCTTCAGGGCCAAGGTGTTGTGGTGTGGCCCAGAGGGCACATGGAGGTCCTTTTCTCTGCTCTGCCAGGAATCAACACTGATGCTTTGGGAGCATCCGGGACCAGCACCCTTGGCATGGACATTGATGTTCTTGGAATAAGCAGGGCATCTAAATGGCTCTGCTGGCATCCTGTGTGGGGGACTAGAACCAGAAAAGGAGATTAAGAATGGGAAAGATGCCTCATGTTGGCTACAACTCGTAGGCTGCTTTGGGGACTCATGGGAAGCTTTCCTTTGAGACTCTCATAAGTCACTGGGGAACTCCTTGCAACATGAAGGTGATGCTGAGGTCTTGCCCATCCACTGGTGAGGATGTCAAGACAGCAGACATTTGGGGTACATTTGTTTACAAGTTTCATCTACTGTATGATGTGTTTTGGGGAACTCAAATAATATCTTAGTCAGCATTGTATTTCCCCATAACCTGGTCCAGGGAACTCAGTGAATGTTAAGTAGATTGGAATTAGAATAGAGAAGTTTTTAAGGGTTACCTGATTAGTGGAGGGTTAGTTTGGAAGGTATTAAAAAACATGAAGTATTTTTGAAAATTGGCAAAGTATAAAGAGAGCAGTGTCTTAGGAAAGAGAGGAGAGAGGTAGAACTAAGCAGATTCTGAAAAAGAGAGAAAAGTCAAGGAACTTTGGGTTTCTAACCTGAGGGACTAGCTTAGGCCCATCTATAGCTAACAGGAATATAGCAAGCTGTGTTAGCTCCACAGGAGGCAAATGCAGTATGAAAGAGAGTAGGGGCTGATTTCTCAAGAGAATTTAAAGAGAAGGGAGGAGAAACATAGTCAGGATATTGAGAAGGTAGGACAAATGGAAGTTACTCTTTAGGTAACAGAGTCCTGAGCAAATTTGGAGCAAAGGGAAGCAGCTGGGAGAAAAAGAAAAAACTTAAGATATGGTGAAAGGGAGTATTCAAAACGGTGTCATTTCTGAGGAGGAAGCCAGGGTGGGCTTAGGAGCATAAGTGAAGAGGTTAGTCTTGGGTAGACGTGGTTCTCCTTTTCTTTTGAGACTGAAAAGAATAAGGTTAAAGATCTCAAAAGATTTAGAGGGTAAAGGGGAAGAAGTTGGAATATTTCGCTTATGTTTTTCTCAAAGTTGTTCTAAGAGAAGTAGATCTCATAGAATCTAGAGGAAGACGGATGAGACATGTAAAAGCTGCTATGAGGAATTTGTTAGGAAACTGACAAGTCATCAATAAATGAGTGTGGAAGCAGTGAGGAGGAATTGGCCAAGCTTGGTTGACACGCACCATTCATGGAGTCCATCCAGTTTTGCATTGGCTGGTGCGAAAGTGATTGCGGATTTTGCCATTACCTTCAATGGGAAAATCCGCAATCACTTTTGCACCACACTAATAACTTTCTCCAATGATTATAGCACTTGTAGCCCAGGAACAGGGAAAGAAGGTGCTGGGGATCACCTAATATTAGCAATAGGCATAGTATAGGTAGGTGTGGCATCAAAGGGGAGAGGGATTTCAGGGGAATGGTGACTACTTTGTTGAAATTGCTGGCCTAAAGTCTGAGGGTCAGTGACATTAGTCAAAATGGCACAATAAATAACTGCAAGGGTCCATCCCTCCACAAAAAACATGCACACTCATGCGAACACACACAGAGTGAGCAAACATTGTCAGAATCAACTTTGTCAGAACTGTAGAAACTAGTCAAAGGTTTATAGCAACCAAACAAATGATGGGTCAAAAAAAGAGGCAACTTAAAAATGCTAGGAGTTCTAGTCTGGCCAACATGGTGAAACCCTGTCTCTACTGAAAATACAAAAATATCAGCCAGGCAGAGTGGAACATGCCTGTAGTCCCAGCTGGGGAGGATTGTTTAAACCTGGGAGGCAGAGGTTGCAGTGAGCTGAGATCATGCCATTGCACTCCAGCCTGGGTGACAGAGTGAGACTCTATCTCAAAAAAAAAAAAAAAAAGCAAAAGAAAAAAAGGAGTTAAAAAAAGCCAAATACATAGAAACAAAGTATAAAGCAGTGGTTATCAGAGGTGGAGAGAGGGAACAGAGAGGAAATGGGGAGATGTAGGTCACAGGGTACAAAGTTGCAGATATGTAGGGTAAATAAGTCTAGGAATCTAATATACAACATGAAGGCTATACTTATATTATTGTATTGTATACCGAACATTTGCTCAGAGTAGATTTTAGATACTCTTACCATACTTGCACAAAAAGGGTAACAGTGCAAGATAATGAATATGTTAATTTGCATGACTAGGGTAACCATTTCACTGCATATATCAAAATGTCATGTTGTACAGCTTAGATATACACAATTAAAAAAAAATCATTGGGGAGCTTTGCAGAATGTTTGATTGCCCTTTCCCCGATCTTTTTTCTCCAACTTGATAGCAGTCTTGAAGACAGCCGTCTACATTTTCAGTAGGAGACCATGGTCACTGGTTCCAGCAGGCATAGAGCAGAACTGGTTCTGAAAGAATTGTATTTGTCTGTTTTCAACTATCTGGATGCTCCCTAAAAAACTGAGGAAAAGCACTTGTCTTTGTCTCAACTACCTCTCTTTCAGGTAGAAAATTAGCCATGCAGAGGACATTTCTCATAAACACTGAAAGGCAATGAATAACCCATCAATACCTGGGGCAAAACATTATAGTGGAGGCAAAAAATAGATATGTCGAATGCCTGGGAAGAAAAGCTGGGGAGAAAGATTCTTAGAAGAATTCAGGCATTAAGAAAATGTCTGCTTATACCAGGGAATTTGGAAAGCCACATACATGCCTAGGGCAGGGTGCATACTTAGAAAAGTTCTGAGAAGACTCTAAGATTTTATCTATGGCTGATAATTATGCTGGGTACAAGAAGAAAGTCAAGGCTAACGCAGAGTGGTAGCCTGTCTAGGCATTAAAGGAGTGCCCCAAAACAGAGCCAATCTGCAAAGACAAGCACAGAATTTATTTATTTATTTGTTTGTTTATTCCTTCTGGTGTTCAAAGAAATATCTGTCAAAACACTAGTTGACCATAAGCTAAAGAAAAAGACATTTTAGAGACTACATGTGACAAATAATATGTTTACAAAAATAGTTTAGAATAGTCACTAAAAAAACAAGAATTACAACCCAGAGCAAGGAACAAAACAAAATACTGAGGAAGGGGAAGAGTCTGATTTCCAGAGTTATCATATTATGGTATTAAAAATATCTAGTTTCAACAAAAAATTATAAAGCATGTGAAGAACAAGAAAGTGTGACCCATTCACAGGTGAAATAAACAGAAATTGTCCCTAAGGAAGGACAGATACTGGATTTGCTAGACAAAGTCTTTAAGTCAACTGTCTTTTTTTGAGACAGGGTCTCACTCTGTTGCCCAGATTGGAGTGCAGTGGTGTGATCTCAGCTCACTGCAACCTCTGCCTCCTGGGCTGAAGTCATCCTCCCACCTCAGCCTCCTGAGTAGCTGGTTCTACAGGCACATGCCACCATCCCTGGCTAATTTTTAAAATATTTTGTAGAGATGCAGTTTCACTATGTTGCCCAGGCTGGTTTGAACTCCTGGGCTCAAATGATTTACCTGCCTCGGCCCCCACAAAGTGCTGAGATTACAGGCATGAGCCACCCTGCCTGGCCTCAACTATCTTAAATATGCTCAAAAAGCTAAAGGAAACAATGGACAAAGAACTAAAGGAAATCAAGAAAAGGATATATAAAGAAAAGAGAATATTTTTAAAAGATAGAAATAATAACAAGGAGCCAAGTAGAGATTCTGGAGCTGAAAAAATACAATAATTGAAATAAAAAATTCACTAGAGGCTTTCAACAGAAGCTCTGTGTAGGCAGAAGTAAGAAATAGCTAATTCAAAGCTAGGTCAATTGAAATTATCCAGTTTGAGGATCAGAAAAGAAAAGAGTGAAGAAAAATGTACAGTGCTTAAGAGATTTGTGGGACACCATCAAAAATACCAAAAAATAAGCATAATAGGAGTCCAAGGAGGAGCAGAGAGAGAGAAAAGGGCATAAATAATATTTGAAAAAATAATGGCCCCAAACTTCCCAAACTTTATAGAAGACATGAATTTATACATCCAAGAAAGTCAATGAACTCCAAGAAGAATGATCACAAAGAGATCCATAACAAGACATATTATAATCAAACCAGAAAAATGAAAACAAGGAGAGAGTCTCAAATGCAACAAGAGAAAGCAACTAGTCATGTACAAGTCATGCTCAATAAAATCAACAGCCAATTTCTCAGAAGAATCCATGATTGCCAGGAGGCAGTGGGATGACATATTTAAGGTGCTGAAAGAAAAAAAAACACCCATCAACCAAGAATTCTACATCTGAAAAAATTATCCTTCAAAAATGAAGGAGAAGTTAAGACATTTGCAGATAAACAAAAGCAGATAGAGTTTATTGCTAGTAGACTTGTACTGTAAGAAATACTAAAGGGAATCTTTCAGGCTGAAATAAAATCACACTAGAAAGTAACTCAAATCCCTACCAAGAAACAAAGAATGAAGGTAAATCTGACTGCATAGATTAATACAAAAGCCAGTATTCTTGCATTTTTGCTTTGCAACTTCTCCTTTTTCCCACATGATTTAAAAGACAAATGAGTAAAACAATAATTATAAATCTGTTAATGAGCACACATGCACAAAGATGTAGTTTGTTACAACAACGTAAAGGCAGCAGAATGAAACAACATTGGAGCACAGTGTTTGTATATTATTGAAGCTAAGGTAGTGTGAATTCAAAATAGCTTGTTATAAGTTGAAGAGGTTAAATGTAACACTGAGGATAACAATACAATAACTAAAAATACAGGAAAGGAAATGAGAAAGGAATCTAAACTTAAAAATATAAACTATACATGAAAGAATAGAATAGTGGAGGGACTGAGGGGAAAAGGTTTAAGACATACAGAAAAGAAATGGCAAAATGCAAGAAGTAGGTCCTTACATATCAGTCATTACTTTAAATGTAAATGAATTGAACTCTTCAATTAAAATGCAGAGATAGGCAGAATGAATTGAAAAAACAGGATTCAACTATTTTCTACATACAGAGATTCACTTTAGATTCAAAGGCACAAATACTTTTAGAAGAAGAAGATGGAAAATGATATTCCATGCAAGTAGTAACCAAAAGAGAGTTACAGTAGCTATACTAATATTGGCAAATAGACTTTAAGTCAAAAATTATTAGTAGAGGCAAAAAAGGACATTATACATTAATAAAAGGGTCAACCCTGCAAAAAGTTATAACAATTATAAACACATATGCACCAAACAACAGCCCCAAAATATATAAAGCAAACAGTAACAAAATTCAAGGGAGAAATAGATAGTTCTACAGTAATAGTTGGAGACATCAATACCTCACTTGCAATAATGGTCAAAACAACTAGAGAGAAGATCAATAAGGAAATAGAGGACTTGGAAAACATTATAAACCAACAATACCTAACATATATATGAAAAACACTACATCCAAACACAACAAAATATACATTTTCCTCAAATGCACATAAGTCGTTCTCATAGGACAGACCATATATTAGGCCACAAAAACAAGTCTCAATAAATTATAAAAGACTTAAATATATGATGTCTTCTATGACCATAAATGGAATAAAACTGGAAATCAAGAACAGAAGGAGAATTGGAAAATTCACAAATATGTCATAATTAACATAGTGTAAAATAATCAATGGATCAAAGAAGAAATAACAAGATGAATTAGGATATATCTTGACACCAAGTGAAAACAAAAACAAAGCTTACCAAAACATGGGATGGAGCAAAAGTAGTGCTCAGAGGGATATTTTTATCCCTCTGAAAGAAAGAAGGAAGACTAGGAATCCAACTTAAAAGGGATGTGAAGGACCTCTTCAAGGAGGACTACAAACCACTGCTCAACAAAATAAAATAGGACACAAACAAATGGAAGAATATTCCATGCTCATGGGTAGGAAGAATCAATATCATGAAAATGGCCATACTGCCCAAGGTAATTTGTAGATTCAATGCCATCCCCATCAAGCTACCAATGACTTTCTTCATAGAATTGGAAAAATCTACTTTAAAGTTCATATGGAACCAAAAAAGAGCCCACATTGCCAAGACAATCCTAAGCAAAAAGAACAAAGCTAGAGGCATCTCACTACCTGACTTCAAAATATACTACAAGGCTACAGTAACCAAAACAGCATGGTACTGGTACCAAAACATATATATAGATCAGTGGTACAGAACAGAGGCCTCAGAAATAGCACCACACATCTACAACCATCTGATCTTTGACAAACCTGATAAAAACAAGAAATGGAGAAAGGACTCCCTATTTAATAAATGGTGCTGGGAAAACTGGCTAGCCATATGTAGAAAGCTGAAACTGGATCCCTTCCTTACACCTTATACAGAATTTAATTCAAGATGGATTAAAGACTTAAATGTTAGACCTAAAACCATAAAAACTGTAGAAGAAAACCTAGGCAATACCATTCAGGATATAGGTATGGGCAACGACTTCAATACTAAAACACCAAAAGCAATGGCAACAAAAGCCAAAATAGACAAATGGGATCTAATTAAACTAAAGAGCTTCTGCACAGCAAAAGAAACTACCATCAGAGTGAACAGACAACCTACATAATGGGAGAAAATTTTTGCAATCTACCCATCTGACCAAGCGCTAATATCTAGAATCTACAAAGAATTTAAACAAATTTACAAGAAAAAAAAAATCCCATCAAAAAGTGGGCAAAGGATATGAAGACACTTCTCAAAAGAAGACATTTATGCAGCCAACAGACATATGAAAAAATGCTCATCATCACTGGTCATCAGAGAAATGCAAACCAAAATCACAATGAGATACCATCTCACACCAGTTAGAATGGCTATCATTAAAAAGTCAGGAAACAACAGATGCTGGAGAGGATATGGAGAAACAGGAACACTTTTACAATGTTGGTGGGAGTGTAAATTAGTTCAACCATTGTGGAAGACAGTGTGGCAATTCCTAAAGGATCTAGAACTAGAAATACCATTTGACCCAGCCATCCCATTACTGGGTATAAACCCAAAGGATTATAAATCATGCTACTGTAAAGACACATGCACACGTATGTTTGTTGTGGCACTATTCACAATAGCAAAGATTTGGAACCAACCCAAATGTCCAACAATGATAGACTGGATTAAGAAAATGTGGCACATATATACCATAGAATACTATGCAGCCATAAAAAAGGAAGAGCTCTTGTCCTTTGTAGGGACATGGATGAAGCTGGAAACCATCATTCTCAGCAAACTGTCACAAGGACAGAAAACCAAACACCACATGTTCTCATTCATAGGTGGGAATTGAACAATGAGAACACTTGGACACAGGGTGGGGAACATCACACACTGGGGCCTGTCAGGGGGTGGGGAGCTGGGGGAGGGATAGCATTAAGAGAAATACCTAATGTAAATGACGAGTTGATGGGTGCAGCAAACCAACATGGCACATATATACCTATGTAACAAACTTGCACGATGTGCACATGTACCCTAGAACTTAAAGTATATTAAAAAAATAAAGAAGGAGGAAATTTACACTTTAAAAAACTAGACAAAGAAGAGCAAACTAAACCCAAAGCTATTAGAATGAAGCAAATCATAAAAATTAGAGCAGAGATAAATAACATAGAGAATAGAAAAACAAGAGAAATAATCAATGAAACCAAAAGTTGGTTCTTTGAAAAGATAAACAAAATTGACAAACCTTTAGCTAGATTGACAAAGAATAAAATAGAAAAGATTCAAATTACTAAAAGTAGACATAGAAGTGGAGACATTACTACAGATCTTATAGAAATAACAACTAAAAGGATTAAGAGAACACTATAAATAACTATATGCCAACAAATTGAATAACCTAGATGAAATAGATTTCTGGAAACACATAAAATACCAAGACTGACTTAAGAAGAAATAAAAAATTAAAGAGGACCTATAACAAGAAAAGAGATTGAATCAGTACTCAAAAACCTCCTGACAAAGAAAATCCAGATGGCTTCACTGGTAAATTCTACTAATTATTCAAAGAATAATTAGTTTCAATTATTCTCAAGCTCTTCCCAAAAATAGAAGAGGAGAAAAACACTTCCTAAGTCATTTTACTAGGTCAGCATTACCCTGATACCAAAGCCAAAAATATCAGAAAAAAGAAAACTACAGACTGATATCCCTTATGAATATTGATGCAAAAACTTTCAACAGAATACTAACAAACTGAATCCAGCTCATATTAAAGGGATTATACACCATGACCAAGTAGAATTTATCTCAGCAATGCAAAAGTGGTTCAATACATGAAAACCAATCAATGCAGTATATGATATTAACAGAATGAAGAAAAATAGACTAATGGCCATCTTAGTTGATGCAGAAAAAACATTTGAAAAAAACCAGCACCTTTTAAATAAAAACACTTTAGAATCTAGAAATAGAAGGGAACTTCCTCAGTCTGATAAAAGGCATTTATGAAAACCCACAGCTAACATTTTACTCAAGGATAAAAGACTAAAAGCCTTTCAAATAACAGCATGAAAAGGCAACAGTGCCCAGTCTCACCACTTCTATTTAATATTGAACTGGAAGTTCTAGCCAGAGCAATTAGGCAAGAAAAATAAATAAAATGCATCTCAATTGAAAAAGAATGTGTAAAACTATTCCTATTCACAGATAACATGATGTTGAAAATAGAAAATCCTAAAGAATCCACAAAAATGATCAGAGCTAATAAATAAATTCAGCAAAGTTGCAAGATACAAAATCAATGTATAAAAATCAGTTCTGTTCCTACACACTAGCAATGAACAATCTGAAAAAGAAGTTAAGAAAAGCAGTTCCATGTACAGTAGCATTCAAAAGAACAAAATACCTGGCAATAATTTAACCAGAGAAGTTCAAGATAATACACTGAAAACTAAATAACATTTCTGAAAGAAAGAAAATCTAAATAAATGGAAATACATCCTATGTTCATTAATTGGAAGATAATATTAATATGCCGATACCACCAAAAGCAATTTATAGAGTCAATGCAATCCTTATCAAAATGTTGATTTTTTTTCATAAATGGAAAAGCTAATTCTCAAATTTATATGTGATTTCAAGATGCCCCAAGTAGCCAAAACAATATTGTAAAAGAAAAGCAAAATTGGTGGACTCACACTTTCCAATTTCAAAACTGATACAGATATGGTAATCAAAACAGTGTGGTACTGGCATAAAGATAAACTTATAGATGTCTATATGAAATTAAATTGAGAGTCCATAAATAAACCCAAACATTTATGGCCAGGTGATTTTTGACAAGAGTGCTAAGATCATTCAATAGGGAGAGAATGCTCTCTTTAACAAATGGTGCTGGGACAACTGGATATCCACATTCAACAGAATGAAGTTGGGCCCCTTCCTCTCATTATATGCAAAAATTATCTCAAAATGTATCGATCACCTAAATATAAGAGCTAAAACTCTTAGAAGAAAACATAATGATAAATATTCATGATTTTTGATTTGGGAATGGATTCTGATATATGACACCAAAAGCATAAGTAAGAAAAGATAAAATGTGGGGAGGGGCCAAGATGACTAACTAGAAACAGCTGTGGTTGGAGGATCCCACTGAGAAGAACGAAAACAGTGAGTGAATCCTGCACCAGCAACTAAGGTATCCAGGCTCACTCATTGGGACTGACTAGGTGGTTGGCATGACCCACAGGGAGTGAGGAAAACAGGGTGGAACAACAGCCCACCTGGAAGCTGATGGGGCAAGGGGTGCTCCCACCCCCAGCCAAGGGAAGTGGTGAGTGATTGTGCTACCCCACCCAGGAAACCATGCTTTTTCCATGGATCTGTGCAACCCATGGACCAGGAGATCCCCTCGTGAGCCAACACCACAAGGGCCTTGGATCCCAAGCACAGAGCTGTGCAGATTCTCAGCTGCCACTTGGCTGGAGACCGTCTAAGACTACTGAGTTCTTGGGGGAAGGGGCAGCAGCCATCACTGCAGCTTCTGTCTGCTGCTTTCCCCTGCCAGTGCCAGAGGGACTGGTGGTTTGGAACCAGGAGGAATTCCCCATGGTGCAGCACAGCAGCTGTGGCAGACTGTGGCCAGACTGCATCTTTAGGCTGGACCCAGACTCATCCCTCCTCACTGAATGGGACCTCCCTGTGGGAATTTCAGCAACTCCAGCCAAGGGTTTATGGACAGAACCCTGATCTCCCTGGGATTGAGTCCCTGTGGGTACTGGGGCTGCGGACTCTGTGGATCATCAGACTTAGTCTTTTCCCCTGCTGGCTCTGAGGAATCTGGGCAGTCTGGATAAGTAGGATCCCCCCCACCACAGCACATCCTTTCTGCCAAGGGACAGACAGAATGCTTCATTAAGTGGGTCCCTTATCTTGTGACTCCTGACTGGGTGAGACTCCCCAGCAGGGGTTACCAGACACTTTATACAGGAGCACTCCCACTGTCATCAGTTTGGTGCCCCTCTTGGACGGAGCTCCCAGAGGAAGAAGCAGGCAGCCATCTTTGCGGTTCTGCAGCCTCCACTGGTGACACCACCAGGGTGGGGAGGGACCCAGGTGAATAGGATCTGGAGTGGGCCCCCAGCAAACTGCAGCAGTCTTGCAAAAGAGGGTCCTGTCTGCTAAAAGAAAAACAAACAGAAAGCAACAACAACAGCATCAACAAAAAAGTCCCCACAAAAAGCCCATCCAAAGATCAGCAGACTCAAAGATCAAAGCTAGATAAACTCAGGAAGATGAGAAAGAATCAATAAAAAATGCTGAAAACTCAAAAAGCCAGAGTGTCTCTTCTCCTCCAAATGATTGTAACACCTCTCCAGCAGGGCACACAACTGGGCTCAGGCTGAGAAGGATGAACTGACAGAAGTAGGCTTCAGAAGGTGGGTAATAATGAACTTTGCCGAGCTAAAGGAGTATGTTCTAACTCAATGCAAAGAACCTAAGAATCAGGATAAAACATTACAGGAGCTATTCATCAGAATAACCAGCTTAGAGAGGAACATAAATGACTTGATGGAACTGAAAAACACAACATGAAAACATCACAATGCAATCATAAGTATCAATAGCCGAATAGACCAAGTGGAGGAAAGAATTTAAGAGATTGAAGACTATCTTGCTGAAATAAAATAGGCAGACAAGATTAGAGAAAAAGGAATGAAAAGGAACAAACAAAATCTCTGAGAATTATGGGATTATGTAAAGAGACCGAACCTACAACTGATTATGGTACCTGAAAGAGACAGGTGAATGAAACAAAGTTGGAAAACATACTTCACGATATCATCCAGGAGACTTCCCCAACCTAGCAAGACAGGCCAACATTCAAACTCAAGAAATACAAAGAACCCAGTAAGATACTCCATGAGAGGATCAACCACAAGACACATAATTATTAGATTCTTCAAGGTCAAAATGAAGGAAAAAATGTTAAGGGCAGCCAGAGAGAAAGGCCAAGTCACCTACAAAGGGAAGCCCATCAGAATAACATCAGGCCTCTCAGCAGAAACTTTACAAGCCAGAAGAGATTGGGGGTCAATATTCAACATTCTTAAAGAAAAGAATTTTCAACCCAGAATCTCATATCTGGCCAAATGAAGCTTCATAAGCAAAGGAGAAATAAAATATTTTTCAGACAATCAAATGCTGAGGGAATTCATCCACCACCAGGCTTGACTTGCAAGAGCTCCTGAAGGAAGCACTAAATATGGAAAGGAAAAGCCATTATCAGCCACTACAAAACATACTGAAGTACACAATGAAGACCAATGAAACTGTGAAGCAACTACATCAATAAGTCTGCAAAATAACTAGCTAGTATCATGATGACAGGATCAAATTCACACATAACAATACTAACTTTAAATATAAATGTGCTAAGTGCCCCATTTAAAAGACACAGAATGGCAAGCTGGGTAAATTGTGAAGACCCATTGGTGTGCTGTATTCAAGAGACTCATCTCACATGCAAACACACACATAGGTTCAAAATAAAGGGATAGAGGAAAATCTACCAGGCAAATGGAAACCAGAAAAAAGCAGGGATTGCAATCCTAGTTTCTGACAAAATAGACTTTAAAGCAATAAAGACCAAAAAAGACAAAGAAAGGCATGGTAAAGGGTTCAATTCAACAAGAAGAACTAACTATCCTAAATATGTATGCACCCAATACAAAAGCAGATTCCTAAAATAAGCTCTTAGAGACGTACAAGGAGATGTAGACTCCCACACAATAATAGCGGGAGACTTTAACATCCACTGTCAATATTAGGCAGATCATTCAGACAGAAAATTAACAAAGATATTCAGGACTTGAACTCAGCTCTAGATCAAGTGGACCTGATAGACCTCTACAAAACTCTCCATCCTACAACAACAGAATATTCATTCTATGCATTGCCACATGGAACTTACTCTAAAATTGATCACATAATTGGAAGTAAAACACTCCTCATCAAATACAAAAGAACTGAAATCACAACAAACAGTCTCTCAGACCACAGCATAATCAAATTAGAACTCAAGACAAAGAAACTCACTCAAAATCACATAGCTACATAGAAATTGAACAACCTGCTCCTGCATGACTCCTGGTTAAATAATGAAATTAAGGCAGAAAGCAAGAAGTTCTTTGAAACCAATGAGAACAAAGAGACAATGTATCAGAATCTCTGGATGCAGCTAAAGCAGCTGTTAAGAGGGAAATTTAGAGCACTAAATGCCCACATCAAAAACCTAGAAAGATCTCAAATTGAAATGCTAACATTAAAACTAAAAGAACTGGAGAACCAAGAGCAAACAAACTCCAAAGCTGGCAGAAGACAAGAAATAACCAAGATCAAAGCAGAACTGAAGGAGATAGATAAAAGAAGAATGCTTCAAAAAAATCAAGGAGTCCAGAATCTGGTTTTTTGAAAAACTAATAATATAGATAGACTGCTAGTTAGCTAGACTAACAAAGAAGAAAAGAGAGAAGAATCAAATGGACACAATAAAAAATGTTAAAAGAGGATATCACTACTGACCCCACAGAAATAAAAACAATCATCAGAGAATACTATAAACACCTCTATGCACATAACCTAGAAAATCTAGAAGAAATGGATAAATTCCTGGACACATACACCCTCCCAAGACTGAACCAGGAGGAAGCTGAATCCCTGAATAGACCAATAACAAATTCTGAAATTGAGACAGTAATAAATAGTCTAAAAGAAAAAGCCCAGGACCAGAAGGATTTACAGCTGAATTCTACTAGAGGTACAAAGAGGACCTGGCACCATTTCTTCTGAAACTATTCCAAACAATTGAAAAGGAGGGACCCTTCCCTAATTCATTTTATGAGGCCAGTATCATCCTGATACCAAAACCTGGCAGAGATACAACAAAAAAGAAAGCTTCAGGCCAATATCCTGATGAACACTGATGCAAAAATTCTCAATAAAATACTGGCAAACCAAATATAGCGGCACATCAAAAAGCTTATCCACCCTGATCGAGTTGGCTTTATTCCTGGGATGCAAGGCTGGTTCAACATATGCAAATCAATAAATGTAATTCATCTCATAAACAGATCTAAAGACAAAAACCACAGATTATCTTAATAGACACAGAAAAGGCCTTCTATAAAATTCAACATCCCTTCATGTTAAACACTCTCAATAAACCAGGTATTGATGGAACATATCTTAAAACAATAAGAGACATTTATGACAAACCAACAACCAATATTATACTGAATGGGCAAAACTGGAAGCATTTCTTGTGAAAACCAGCATAAGACAAGGATGCCCTCTCTCACCACTCCTATTCAGCATAGTATTAGAAGTTCTGACCAGGGCAATCAGGCAAGAGAAAGAAATAAAGCATATTCACACAGGAAGAGAGGAAGTCAAATTATCTTTGTTTGCAGATGACACGATCCTATATCTAGAAAACCCCATCATCTCAGCCCAAAAGCTTCTTAAGCTCACATGCAACTTCAGCAAGATCTCAGGAAACAAAATCAATGCAGAAGTTACAAGCATTCTTATACAACACACACAGGCAAGCAGAGAACCAAATCATGAATGAACTCCCATTCACAATTGTTACAAAGAGAATAAAATACTTAGGAATACAGCTAACAAAGGAAGTGAAGGAACCTCTTCAAAAAGAACTACAAACCACTGCTCAAGGAAACCAGAGAGGACACAAACAAATGGAAAAATATTCTGTGCTCATGGATAGGAAGAATCAACATCATGAAAATGACCATACTGCCCGAAGTAATTAATAGATTCACTACTATTCCCATTAAACTATCATTGACATTTTTCACAAAATTAGAAAAAACTATTTTAAAATTTATATGGAACCAAAAAAGGGCTCATATAGCCAAGACAATCCTAAGCAAAAGGAACAAAGCTGGAGGCATCATGCTACTGGACTTCAAACAATACTATAAGGCAGCAATAACCAAAACAGCACGGTACATGGTACTGGTACAAAACAGACACATAGACCAATGGAACAGAATAGAGAACCCATAAATAAGACTGCACATCTACCACTATCTGATCTTCAAAAAACGTGACAAAAACAAGCAATGGGGAAAGGATTCACTATTTAATAACTGGTGCTGGGAGAACTGGCTATCCATATGCAGAAAATTGAAACTGGACCCCTCCCTCACACCTTATACAAAAATTAACTCAAGATAGATTAAAGACTTAAATGTAAAACTCAAAACTATGAAAACCCTAGAATACAATCTAGGCAATGCCATTCAGGACATAGGCATGGGCAAAGATTTCATTATGAAATCACTGAAAGCAATTGCAACAAAAGCAAAAATTGACAAATGGGATCTAGTTAAACTGAAGAGCTTCTGCATAGCAGAAGAAACTATTATCAGAGCCAAGAGGCAACCTACAGAGTGGGAGAAAATTTTTGCAATCTATTCATCTGTTAAAGGTCTAATATCCAGATTCTACAAGGAACTCAAACAAATTTACAAGAAAAAAATCAAACAACCCCATTAAAAGGCGAGCAAAGGACATTAACAGACACTTCTCAAAAGAAGACATTCATGCAGCCAACAAACATGAAAAAAAGCTCAACATCACTGATCATTAGAAAAATACAATTGAAAACCACAATAAATTACCATCTCATGACAGAATAGTGATTATGAAAAAGTCAAGAAACAACAGATGCTTGTGAGGTTCTGGAGAAATAGGAACACTTTTACACTGTTGGGAATGTAAATTAGTTCAACCATTGTGGAAGACAGTGTGGCAAATCCTCAAAGATCTAGAACCAGAAATACCATTTGACCCAGCAATCCCATTTCTGGGTATATACCCAAAGGAATATAAATCGCTCTGTTACAAAGATATATGCATGCATATGTTCATTGCAGCACTATTCACAATAGCAAAGGCCTGGAATCAACCAAAATGCCCATCAATGACAGACGAGATAAAGAAAATGTGGAACATATACACCATGGAATACTATGCAGCCATCAAAAGGAATGAGATCATGTCCTTTGCAGGAATGTGGATGAAGCTGGAAGCCATTATCCTCAGCAAACTCATACAAGAACAGAAAACCAAACACTGCATGTTCTCACTTGTAAGTGGGAGCTGAACAGTGAGAACACATGGACACAGGGAGGGAAACAACATGCACTGGGGCCTCTTGGGGAGTGGGGTTGGGGGAGGGAGAGCATTAAGAAAAATAGATAATGCATGCTGGGCTTAATACCTAGGTGATGCGTTGGTAGGTGCAGCAAACCACCAGGGCACAGGTTTACCTATGTAACAAACCTGCACATACTGCACATGTACCCAGAACTAAAAATAAAAATTAAAAGAAAGAAATGTATTAATTAGTTCCCCCAACAAATATTTTCTGAATATCTGTAACTATGAATTCCATTAAACTTACTCTTCAGGTGTTAAAAAAAAAAAGAAGACATTTATGTGGCCAAGAAACATGGAAAAAAGCTCAACATCACTGGTCATTAGAGAAATGCACATCAAAACCACAATGGGATACCATCTCACACAGGTCAGAATGGCAATTATTTAGAAGTCAAGAAAAAACAGATGCTGGCAAGGCTGTGGAGAAATAGAAACTCTTTTACACTGTTGGTGGGAATGTAAATTAGTTCAACTATTCTGGAAGACAATGCGGGGACTCCTCAAAGACCTAGAGGCAGAAAGACAATTTGACCCAGCAATCCCATTACTGGGTATATACCCAAAAGAATATAAATCATTGTTATAAAGATATGTGTATGTGCATGTTCATTGCACGTGTATCTTCATTGCAGCACTATTCATAATAGCAAAGACATGAAATCAACCCAAATGCCCATCAATGATAGACCGGATAAAGAAAATGTGGTACGTATACACCACGGAATACTATGCAGCCATAAAAAGGAATGAAATCATGTCCTTTGCAGGGACATGGATGAAGCCAGAAGCCATTATTCTCAGCAAACTAATGCAGGAACAGAAAGCCAAACACCGCATGTTCTTTAAGTGGGAGCTGAACAATGAGAACACATGGACACAAGAAGGGGAATGACACACACTGGGGCCTGTCGGGGGTGGGGCAGGGGGGAGAGAGAGCATCAGGAAAAATAGCTAATGTATGCAGGGCTTAATACTTAGGTGAGGTTGATAGGTGCAGCAAACCACCAGGGCACATGTTTACCTATGTAACAAACTTGCATATCCTGCACGTGTATCCTGGAACTTAAAATAAAATGATAAAAAAGAAAAAAGATAAAAATAGGTAAATTGTGCTTCATCAAAATTAAAGACTTTTGTGCATCAAAGAACATTATTAAGAAAGTGAAAAGACAACCTACAGAATGGGAGAAAATATTTTCAGGTCATGTATTAAAGGTCTGGTTCCAAGAATGTATAAACAACTCTTATAACTCAATAGCAAAAAGACAAATAATTCAACTAAAATGGGCAAAGGACTTGAATAGACATTTCTCCAAAGAGGATATACAAATGGCCAATAAACACTTAAAAAGATACTCAAAATCATTTGTCATTGGGAAAATGTAAATCAAAACCACAATAATATACCACTTCACACCTATTAGGATGGTGATAATAATCTTTTTAAAAAGGAAAAAAACAAGTGTTGATGAGGATGTGGAGAAATTATAACTCTTGTACACAGCTAGTGGAAATGTAAAATGGTACAGCCATTGTGGAAAACAGTTTGGCAATTTCCCAAAAAGTTAAGCATAGAATTATATGATCTGACAAATCCATTCCTAGGTATATACCCAGATAAAAACAGGTAGTCAAATACTTGTACACATAGCAGCACTATTCGCAAGAGCCAAAAGGCAAAAACAACCCAGGTGTCCACTGATAGATAAATGGATAAATAAAATGTAGTATATACAGAATACAAAATACTATTCAGCCAAAAAGGAATGAAGTACTGATACATGGTTCAGCATAGGTGAACCTGGAAAACATGATGCTAAGTGAAAGAAGTCAGACACGAAAGGTCATATATTGTGTGATTTCATTTATATGAAATTATCCAGAATAGGTAAACCCACAGAGACAGAAAGCAGATCGGTATTTGCCAGGGGCTGGGGGGGAGGGGAGAATGGGAAATGACTGCTTAGTGGGTACAGGGTTTCCTTTTGGGGTGATGAAAATGTTTTAGAATAATAGAAGTGGTGGTTTCACAAAATGTACAAAATGTCACTTTAAAATTATTACATCCTGTTACAAGAATTTCACCTTAATAAAAAATGTCTGAGTGTGAACAGAGAAACAATCAAAGCTGAATCTGGGTTAAGGGACCAAAAACAGAGGCATGAACACCTGGAGGTCACATTGGAGATTGCAGATTCTGAGAGGTGGAAAAACACGTGTCTGAGGATAATGAAAAAATATAAAACAGCTCTCTGCCTGTTGAGCACAATAAACATTTGAAAGATGTGGACGGTTGGTAAAAAGTAGATAACACTGCTCGGGGGCCATCAGGTCACAATCTCTTCACAGAAGAGCATTGCACATTTTGACTCAACCTCAGAATCAGCCCTCATGTGTTTGCTTTACTTACATTTCCAACCACTGCTCTCTCCTGGACCTCAGAATACCTATATCTGCTTCCTGCAAACACACTCAAAGTTAGTTTCTATTTCTTCCTCCCTACAATCCCAGTATGACTGAAGTCCATTGGAATTTAGAACCTTGCTGCTTAGTGTGGTCCATGGACAGGCAGCATTGGTGTCACCTGGGAGCCTCTTAGAAATGCAGAATCTCAGTCCCTATTCCCCAATCAGCATTTTAATAAGATTCCCCCAAGTAATTTATATGCACATTTAAGTTTGACAAATTTCCAACTTTCCATCTATAAAAATCAAAATGAAGAAACAAACGAGATTTATTTTCTCTAGGAAGTCATGATGCTTGATTTTATTTACAATTATTGTTTTGTTCTGTTAGTTTTGCCACCCAGGGCTTGAGTTAAAGGAAATGGGATTATTTTTCAATATGGTTTGTCTTTTCCACTAAATTTTCTAAAAGGAGTCAGGATAGTGCCCAACCCACTTCAAAGAATGTAGGCTGGCATGAGTCATTGTTTTTCATGGTTGTTTCAAAGATTAATTTCATTTGCCCCACATTTTTGCAACAGTGGTCTTCTTTCCCTTCCTAAATCACTCCAGGCTCTTTCCTGCATCACGGCTTTTCACACATGATTCCCTCTGCCCTAAAATCTTCTTCATTTGACTTTTCCTGTTTAACTTTTCACACCCTTTAAATATCAGATGAGATGTTACTTTTCCAGGAAGTCCTTTCTTCATCACTCCGTCCAAAGCAGGTCCCCGTGTTTTTCTCTATGAAGGTGCCCTGCTTATTTTTTTTGCTGGCCTCACATTTTCTAATTATGTACACATTTGTGTGAATGTATGACTGTGTGTAAGCTAAGTAGCATAGTGAAGTGGCTATGAGCACAGACTCCGGAGCCAAGCTTCCTGATTTCCAATTCTAGCAGCCACTTCTCTCCTCCTGGGTCTCAGAACACCTGCATCTGCCTCCTGTAAACTCATTCAAATGTGTTTCTCTTTCTATACCCATTTCCCCCATAAATGTGGGGCAGTGAGCAAGTTACTTTAGTGTTCTGTGCCTTCTTTCCCCATCTGTGAAGTGGAGATTGGAGCACTGTATATTTCATAGGGTCATTATAAGAAGTATTCATGGAAATAGGGAGAAGAAGAGGAGTTTTAACACAAGGACATTCAGAATATTTTATTCTAGAGGTGGAAATAATTTTGCAGGGTGGTAAAAATGAAGCAAAAACTCAAGATTCTGCTCCTAGATCAGGAAGTGGCTCTTGAATGAAGGAAAGAATTCTCTCTCTTTCTGCATTTTATATATATTTCCCAAAGTTCTGTTCTCATTCCAGTTTTCTCCTCAGCTTAACATATCTCTATGCCATTGATTTTTAAGTCTCTAGCCTCAGCTCTACCCCTAGTCCTAAGTTCCCAGGATCCTCCACGTAACTTCCTCATGTATAGCACACTGACATCCTAAAATCAGTAGGTCCAAAATTGAACTCACCTTCCTCCTGTGGCTGCTCTCCACCTTCCAATTTTGTCACTTTCTTTGGCTATCCTGTCTGAAATTTCACTGCCGTCTTTACCATATTTCATCTCTCCCTTTCCTTCTTGATTTATTTCTTCCTACCCAATACACTATTTTACTTGTTTATCTTTTTTTACAGTTTGTCTCCTGCTAAAATGTTAACTCCATGAGGGCAGGAATTTTTGCTTGCTTTGTTCATGATGTATTCATGCAAACTAGAAGAGTGCCAAGCATTCAGTAGGTGCTCAATGAATATTTATTCCTTTCTCATTCCAATTACCAATTACTCTACTTAACTCCATATTGATGGGATCTCTTGCTTCAGTCTCTTCTTTCTCTTATGCTGCTGCCACACTTGTTGAACTGTTATTTTTTCTCATAACTATTACAAGAGCTTGTCGCATGCTGGCTAATGAAATTTGGGCAAATTATTTAAATTAAGTTCACCTCAGTTCTTCATTTTAAAATGGAGATATTAATAGTATAAATTCATAGAATTCTCATGAGACTCATAACGTGTGTACAGCACCTGGCACAATACTTGAAATACAATAAGTGCTCAGTGAATGCTTCCTACTTTTATCTGCTACCCTGGGCTAGCTCTGGACTAGATTTCCATTGGTCTCCTGGACTATCTCTGCCTGAATGCTACACTTTGTCTCCCGTGGACCACTTGTAGTTCCCCAAATGTGATATGAATCTTCATCTTCTCCATATAATGGACAGCAGGAAACAAGAAGCCAGCTGGATCAGTTCATTCTTTTCTCACTGCCATATATAATGCATTGCTGGACTAGCTAGCCCTAATTTGCACTAAAGGAGGGGAGAGATGGAAACCTTTTTTTTTGCAATGAGCAAAAGGTGAGAGGGTTATTTTTGGTGTGTTTGGTTGGGCCCAGAAAATTTGGCTCAACTGAATAATAGGTTTTTAATAATTTAGATGAGGATAGTGAGGTTCAGGAAGGATAAGTAACCTCCCTGAGGTTCACAGTACGATAGTAGATACATTGGTATGAGGGCCCATTTTCTTGGTCTTGGTACTCTTTATAACACAAGATGCTGGTCATAAACCACAAACAGTCTTGTCTTCAAAAGCTTATTTCCTCTGCCCCAGCAAATAACTTTCTTACATGCAGACACAATTGAAATTGTTCACCGACAACCATCTCAGGCTTATCGCATCCAAAGTTGAGAGGAGGTAGTAGTATATCAGGTAACACTGCCAGCGTCCCCTTTCCCGCCCCAATCCCTTGGCAGAGAGCCAGACAACTGTATACAGACGATTTAGGTTGAGCAAGCTGCACAAAACCAGGGAGTCACTCAGTGACTACACCGATCTGGATTGACATTTACCTGGGCCAAAGCAGAAGACAAACAGGAGCGATTGGAACAGCCACAACATGCTTTCCGCGGTGAAGACTGGTGCTTGAGACCTTGAGGCAGTCAATGTTTTTGCCCTTCTGTCATAAACTGAAAATACTTCTGAGACTTCCCCTTCCTCTTAGAGGCGTGGTGACAACTTCTTCCCCTGCACTAAAAATCCTAATTTGTAACTGTGTTAATTTTTTGTTTACTTTTTTCTGAGCTAAGTGCACAAATTTTTTTTTTTTTTGGAAAAGAAGATAAAGTCCTTTATTGCATCTTTCATAAACTTATATGTAAAAGTCTGTAAGGAATTTCCTAAAATCTACTAGAACAAATAAATGAGTTCAGCAAGGTGAAAAGATACAAAATCAAAATATAAAATTCAATTGCAATTGTATATACTAGCTATGAGTAATCCAAAAATAAAATTCAAAAAACAATTCCACTCTAATTACATTAGAAAAAAATATTTAAGTATAAAGCTAAGAAAAAGCCAAAAGAAAACTGATTTTTTAAAATTATACTTTAAGTTCTAGGGTACATGTGCACAATGTGCAGGTTTGTTACATATGTATACATATGCCATGTTGGTGTGCTGCACCTATTAACTTGTCATCTACATTAGATATTTCTCCTAATGCTATCCCTCCCCTTGCCCCCCACCCCGTGACATACCCCAGTGTATGATGTTCCCCTACCTGTGTCCATGTGTTCTCATTGTTCAGTTCCCACCTATGAGTGAGAACATGCGTTGTTTGGCTTTCTGTTCTTGTGTTAGTTTGCTGAGAATGATGGTTTCCAGCTTCATCCATGTCCCTGCAAAGGACATGAACTCATCCTTTTTTATGGCTGCATGGTATTCCATGGTATATATATGCCACATTTTCTTTATCCAGTGTATCATTGATGGGCATTTGGGTTGGTTCCAAGTCTTTGCTATTGTGAACAGTGCTGCAATAAACATAAGTGTGCATGTGTCTTTATAGCAGCATGATTTATAATCCTTTGGGTATATAACCAGTAATGGGATTGCTGGGTCAAATGGTATTTCTAGTTCTAGATCCTTGAGGAATCGCCACACTGTATTCCACAATGGTTGAACTAGTTTACACTCCCACCAACAGTGTGAAAACATTCCCATTTCTCTACATCCTCTCCAGCATCTGTTGTTTCCTGATTTTTTAATGATTGCCATTCTAACTGGCATGAGATGGTATCTCATTGTAGTTTTGATTTGCATTTCTCTAATGACCAGTGATGATGAGCTTTTTTCATATGTTTCTTGGCCGCATAAATGTCTTCTTTTGAGAAGTGTCTTCATATCCTTTGCCCACTTTTTGTTGGGGTTTTTTTTTTTTTCTTGTAAATTTGTTTGAGTTCTTTGTAGATTCTGGATATTAGCCTTTTGTCAAATGGATAGACTGCAAAAATTTTCTCCCATTCTGTAGGTTCCCTGTTCACTCTGATGATAGTTTCTTTTGCTGTGCAGAAGCTCTTTAGTTTAATTAGGTCCCATTTGTCAATTTTGGCTTTTGTTGCCATTGATTTTGATGTTTTAGTATTGAAGTCTTTGCCCATGCCTTTGTCCTGAATGGTATTGCCTAGGTTTTCTTCTGGGGTTTTTGTGGTTTTAGGTCTAACATTTAAGTCTTTAATCCATCTTGAGTTAATTTTTGTGTAAGGTATAAGGAAGGGAACCAGTTTCAGTTTTCTGCATAATTGCTAGCCAGTTTTCCCAACACCATTTATTAAATAGGGAATCCTTTCCCCATTGCTTGTTTTTGTTAGGTTTGTCAAAGATCAGATGGTTGTAGATGTGTGATGTTATTTCTGAGGCCTCTGTTCTGCTCCATTGGTCTATATATCTGTTTTGGTACCAGTACCATGCTGTTTTGGTTACTGCAGCCTTGTAGTATAGTTTGAAGTCAGTTAGCGTGCTGCCTCCAGCTTTGTTCTTTTGGCTTACAATTGTCTTGGCTATATGGGCTCGTTTTTGGTTCTGTATGAAATTTAAAGTAGTTTTTTCTAATTCTGTGAAGAAAGTCAATAGTAGTTTGATGGAAATAGCATTGAACCTATAAATTACTTTGGGCAATATGGCCATTTTCATGATATTGATTCTTCCTATCTATGAGCATGGAATGGTTTTCCATTTGTTTGTGTACTTTCTTATTTCCTTGAGCAGTGGTTTGTAGTTCTCCTTGAAGAGGTCCTTCACATCCCTTGTAAGTTGTATTCCTAGGTATTATATTCTCTTTGTAGCAATTGTGAATGGCAGTTCACTCACGACTTGGCTCTCTGTTTGTCTATTTTTGGTGTATAGGAATGCTTGTGATTTTTGCACATTGATTTTGTATCCTGAGACTGCTGAAGCTGCTTATCAGCTTAAGGAGATTTTGGGCTAAGACAATGGAGTTTTCTAAATATACAATCATGTCATCTGCAAACAGAGACTATTTGATTTCCTCTCTTCTTATCTGAATACCCTTTACTTCTTTCTCTTGCCTGATTGCCCTGGTCAGAACTTTCAATATTATGTTGAATAGGAGTGGTGAGAGAGGGCATCCTTGTGCTAGTTTTCAAAGGGAATGCTTCCAGATTTTGCCCATTCAGTATGATAATGGCTGTGGGTTTGTCATAAATAGCTCTCATTATTTTGAGATACGTTCCATCAGTACCTAGTTTATTAAGAGTTTTTAACATGAAGGGATGTTGAATTTTATCAAAGGCCTTTTCTACATCTATTGAGATAATCATGTGGTTTTTGTCATTGGTTCTGTTTATGTGATGAATTACATTTATTGATTTGCATATGTTGAACCAACCTTGCATACCAGGGATGAAGCCAACTTGATTGTGGTGGATAAGCTTTTTTTTTTTTTTTTTTTGAGGTGGAGTCTTGCTCTGTCGCCCAGGCCAGAGTGCAGTGGAACAATCTTGGCTCACTGCAAGTTCCGCCTCCTGGGTTCATGCCATTCTCCTGCCTCAGCCTCCTGAGTAGCTGGGACTGCAGGTGCCCACTACCACGCCCAGCTAATTTTTCTGTATTTTTAGTACAGACAGAGTTTCACTGTGTTAGCCAGGATGGTCTCGATCTCCTGACCTCATGATCCACCCACCTCAGCCTCCCAAAGTGCTGGGATTACAGGCACGAGCCACCATGCCCGGCTGGTGGATAAGCTTTTTGATATGCTGCTGGATTCAGTTTGCCTGTATTTTATTGAGGATTTTTACATCAATGTTCATCAGGGATATTGGCCTAAAATTTTCTTTTTTTGTTGTGTCTCTGCCAGGTTTTGGTATCAGGATGATGCTGGCCTCATAAAATGAGTTAGGGAGGAGTCCCTCTTTTTTTATTGTTTGGAATAGTTTCAGAAGGAATGGCACCAGCTCCTCTTTGTATCTCTGGTAGAATTCGGCTGTGAATCCATCTAGTCCTGGGCTTTTTTTGGTTGGTAGGTTATTAATTACTGCCTCAAATTCAGAACTTTTTATTGGTCTATTTAGGGATTTGATTTCCTTCTGGTTTAATCTTGGGAGGGTGTATGTGTCCAGGAATTTATCCATTTCTTCTAGATTTTCTAGTATTTGTGTAGAGGTGTTTGTAGTATTCTCTGACGGTAGATTGTATTTCTGTGGGATCAGTGGCAATGTCCCCTTTATCATTTTTTATTGTGTCTATTTGATTCTTCTCTTTTCTTCATTAGTCTGACTAGCTATCTATTTTGTTGATCTTTGCAAAAAACAGCTCTTGGATTCATTGATTTTTGAAGGGTATTTAGTGTCTCTATCTCCTTCAGTTCTGCTCTGATTTTAATTATTTCTTGTCTTCTGTTAGCTTTTGAATTTGTTTGCTCTTGCTTCTCTAGTTCTTTTAAGTGTGATGTCAGATGTGAATTTTAGATTTCTCTTGCTTTCCCTTGTGAGCATTTAGTGCTATGTTTCCCACTACATACTGCTTTGGCTGTGTCCCAGAGATTCTGGTACATTGTGTCTTTGTTCTCATTGGCCTTAAAGAACTTATTTATATCTGCCTTAATTTTTTTATTTACCCAGTAGTCATTCAGGGCAGATTGTTCAGTTTCCATGTAGTTTTGTGGTTTTGAGTGAGTTTCTTAATCCTGAGTTCTAATTTGATTGTACTGCGGTCTGAGAGACAGTTTGTTATGATTTCCATTCTTTTGCATTTGCTGAGGAGTGTTTTACTTCTAATTATGTGGTCAGTTTTAGAATAAATGTGATGTGGTGCTGAGAAGAATGTGTCTTCTGTCAATTTGGGGTGGAGAGTTCTGTAGATGTCTATTAGGTCCTCTTGTTCCAGAGCTGAGTTCAAGTCCTGGATATCCTTGTTAATTTTCTGTCTCATTGATCTGTCTAATATTGACAGTGGGGTGTTAAAGTCTCCCATTATTATTGTGTGGGAGTCTAAGTCTCTTTGTAGGTCTCTAAGAACTTGCTTTATAAATCTGGGTCCTTTGTATTGGGCACATATCTATTTAGGATAGTTAGCTCTTTTTGTTGCATTGATCCCTTTACCATTATGTGATGCTTTTCTTTGTCCTTTTTTATCTTTGTTGTTTTAAAGTCTGTTTTATCAGAGACTAGGATTGCAATCCCTGCTTTTTTTTTCTTTTCATTTGCTTGGTAAATATTGCTCCAGCCCTTTATTCTGAGCCTATGTGTGTCTTTGCCCATGAGATGGGTCTCCTGGATACAGCACACTGATGGGTCTTGACTCTTTATCCAATTTGCTAGCCTGTGTCTTCTGATTGGGGCATTTAGCTCATTTACATTTAAGGTTAATATTGTTATGTGTGAATTTGATCCTGTCATTATGATGCTAGCTGGTTATTTTGCCCGTTAGTTGATGCAGTTTCTTCATAGTGTCGATGGTCTTTACAATTTGGTATGTTTTTGCAGTGGGTGGTACCGGTTGTTCTTTTCCATGTTTAGTGGTTCCTACAGGAACTCTTGTAAGACAGGCCTGGTGGTGACAAAATCTCTCAGCATTTGCTTATCTGTAAAGAATTTTATTTCTCCTTCACTTATGAAGCTTAGTTTGGCTGGATATGAAATTCTGGGTTGTAAATTCTTTTCTTTAAGAATGTTGAATATTGTCCTCCACTCTCTTCTGCCTTGTAGGGTTTCTGCCAAGAGATCTGCTGTTAGTCTGATGGGCTTCCCTTTGTGGGTAACCCGACCTTTTTCTCTGGCTACTCTTAACATTTTTTCCTTCATTTCAACCATGGTGAATCTGAAGATTATGTATCTTGGGGTTGCTCTTCTCGAAGAATATCTTTGTGGAGTTCTCTGTATTTCCTGAATGTGAATGTTGGCCTATATTGCTAGGTTGGGGAAGTTCTCTTGGATAATATCCTAAAGTGTGTTTTCCAGCTTGGTTTCATTCTCCCCATCACTTTCAGGTACACCAATAAATGAAGGTTTGGTCTTTTCAGATAGTCCCATATTTCTTGGAGGCTCTGTTCATTTCTTTTCATTCTTTCTTCTCTAATCTTGTCTTCATGCTTTATTTCATTAAGCTGATCTTCAGTCACTGATATCCTTTCTTCTGCTTGATGGATTCAGCTATTGATACTTGTGTATGCTTCACGAAGTTCTTGTGCTGTGTTTTTCAGCTCCATTAGGTCATTTTTGCTCTTCTCTAAACTGGTTATTCTAGTTAGCAATTCCTTTAATCTTTTTTCAAGCTTCTTAGCTTCCTTGCATTGGGTTAGAATATACTCCTTTAGCTTGGAGGAGTTTGTTATTACCCACCTGCTGAAGCCTATTTCTGTCAATTCATCACACTCATTCTCCTTCCAGTTTTGTGCCCTTGCTGATGAGGAGCTGTGTTCCTTTGGAGGTGAAGAGGCATTCTGGTTTTTGGAATTTTTAGCCTTTTTGCACTGTTTTTTCCCCACCTTCATGGATTTATCTCCCTTGGTCTTTGATGTTGGTGAGCTTCAGATGGAGTTTCTGTGTTGACATCCTTTTGGTTAATGTTGATGCTATTCCTTTCTGTTTGTTAGTTTTCCTTCGAACAGTCAGGCCCCTCTGCTGCAGGCCTGCTGGAGTTTGCTGGAGGTCCATTCCAGACCCTGTTTGCCTGTATCATTACGGAGGCTGCAGAACAGCAAAGATTGCTACCTGTTCCTTCCTCTGGAAGCTTCATCCCAGAAGGGCACCTGCCAAATGCCAGCTCGAGCTCTCCTGTATAAGGTGTCTGTCGACCCCTGCTGGGAGGTGTCTCCCAGTCAGGAGGCATGGGGGTCAGGAACCCACTTGAGGAGGCAGTCTGTCCCTTAGCAGTGCTAGAGCGCTGTGCTGGGAGAACCGCTGCTCCCTTCAGAGCCAGCAGGCAGGAATGCTTAAGTCTGATGAAGCTAAGCCCACATCCGCCCCTTCCCCCAGGTGCTCTGTCCCAGAGAGATGGGAGTTTGATCTCTAAACCTCTGACTGAGGTTGCTGCCTTTCCTTTAGAGATGCCCTGCCCAAAGAGGAGGAATCTAGAGAGGCAGTCTGGCTACAGCAGCTTTGCTGAACTGCCCTGGGGTCTGCCCAGTTCAAACTTCCTGGCAGCTTTGTTTACACTGTGAGGGGAAAACCGCCTACTCAAACCTCAGTAGTGGTGGATGCCCCTGTCCCCACCAAGCTCGAGCTTTCCAGGTCGGCTTCAGACTGCTGTGCTGGCAGCAAGAATTTCAAGGCAGTGGATCTTAGCTTGCTGGGCTCCATGGGGGTAAGATCCGCTGAGCTACACCATTTGGCTTTCTGGCTTCAGCCCCCCTTTTCAGGGGAATAAATGGTTCTGTCTCACTGGTGTTCCAGGTGCCACTGGGGTATGGGAAACAAAACAAAACAAAACCTCCTGCAGCTAGCTTGGTGTCTACCCAAATGGCCACCCAGTTTTGTGCTTGGAACCCAGGGCCCTGGTGGTGTAGGCACCTGAGGGAATCTCCTGGTCTGCAGATTGTGAAGACCATGGGAAAAGCGTAGTATCTGGGCTGAAGTGCAACATTCTTCATGGGACAGTCCCTCCCAGCTTCCCTTGGCTAGGGGAGAGATCCTCAACCCCTTGCGCTTCCAAGGTGAGCTGGGTACCTCAACTGGAAATGCAGAAATCACCCCACTTCTGAGTTGATCTCACTGGTTGCTGCAGACTGTAGCTGTTCCTATCTTGTCATCTTGCCCAGTAGTCAAGTGCACAAATCTTAATTGTGCAATGTGAATTGGAAATTTCACTTTCCATCTATATACTTTTTCCATTTGGAGGTGATTATTTTATTGTGGTAAAATAACCTAAATTATATATCGTGGCTATGTAATCTAAAATTTATCATTTTAACCATTTTAAGTGTACAATTTAGTGGCATTAATGCACAATGTTGTGCAGTCATCAACACTATTTCCAAAGCCTTTTCATTACCCCAAACGGAAACAGTGACCATTAAGCAATGGCTCCCCGTTCCCTTTTCCTTCAGTCCCTAGTAACCTATAATCTACTTATTGTTTCTATTAATTTGCAGGTACCTTATATAAGTGGAATCATACAACATTTGTCTTTTTGTGTCTGGCTTATTTCACTTAGCATAATGTATTCAAGGTTTATCCATGTTGTAGCATGTATCAGAATTGTATCCTTTTTTACAACTAAATAATATTCCATTATATGTATGTACCACATTTGCTTATCTATTCATCTATTGGTGGATACTTGGGTTGTTTCTATCTTTTCTCTATTGTGAATAATGCTGCTATGAACATTGGTGTACAGGTATCTGTTTGAATTCCTGCTCTCCATTTCTTTGGATTCACCTAGGAGTGAAATTGTTGGATCATATGGTAATTCTATGTTTACCTGTTGAGGAACTGCCAAACTGTTTTTCATGATGGCTTCATCATTTTACATTCTCACCTGCGATTGGAAAAAGGGTTCTAATTTTTCCATATCTTTGCCAATATTTTTTATTTTTCATTTTTTGATAATGATTATCCTAATGAATGTGAAGTGGTATCTCATTATGGTTTTGACTTATATTTCCTTAATTACTAATAATGTTGAGTATCTTTTCATGTGCTTATTGGCCTTATTGGCAATTTGTATATCTTCTTTGGAATAATATCTATTTAAGTCCTTTGCCCAAATTTAACTTGGATTTTTTTTTGGGGGGGGGGTTGTAGAGTTCTTTATGTATTCTAGATATTAATTCCTCATCAGATATTTGATTCTCTCTCTCTCTCTCTCTCTCTCTCTCTCTCTTTCTCTCTCTCTCTGCCCCACCCCCCACCTTACCGAGGCTGGACTGTACTGCCGTGATCTCACCTCACTGCAACCTCCCTACCTCGGGCTCCCTTGATTCTCCGGCCTCAGCCTGCCGAATGCCTGGGATTCCAGGCATGTGCTGCCACACCTGACTGGTTTTTGTATTTTTGGTGGAGACGGGGTTTTGCCGTGTTGACTGGGCTGGTCTCCAGCTCCTGACCTCGAGTGATCTGCCCGCCTCGGCCTCCCGAGGTGCTGGGATTGCAGACGGAGTCGCGCTCATTCAATGCTCAATGTTGCCCAGGCTGGAGTGCAGTGGCATGATCTCAGCTGGCTACAACCTCCACCTCCCAGCTGCCTGCCTTGGCCTCCCAAAGTGCTAAGATCACAGCCTCTGCCTAGCCGCCACCCCGTCTAGGAAGTGAGGAGCGTCTCTGCCTGGCCGCCCATTGTCTGGGATGTCAGGAGACCCTCTGCCTGGCCACCCCATCTGGGAAGTGAGGATCGCCTCTGCCCAGCCACCACCCCGTCTAGGAAGTGATGAGCGTCTCTGCCTGGCCGCCCATCATCTGGGATGTGAGGAGCACCTATGCCCGGCCGCCCCGTCTGGGAAGTGAGGAGTGCCTCTGCCCAGCCGCCACCCCATCTGGGAGGTGAGGAGCATCTCTGCCCAGCTGCCACCCCGTCTGGGAAGTGAGGAGTGCCTCTGCCCAGCCACCACCCCATCTGGGATGTGAGGGGCGCCTCTGCCCGGCTGCCACCCCATCTGGGAAGTGAGGAGCGCTTCTGCCCGGCCGCCCTGTCTGGGAGGTGAGGAGCGCCTCTGCCCAGCCACCCCATCGGGGAGGGGAGGAGTGCCTCTGTCCAGCCACCCTGTCTGGGAGGTGAGGAGCACCTCTGCCCGGCTGCCCTGTCTGGGAAGTGAGGAGCCCCTCTGCCTGGCCACCCATCATCTGGGAGGTGAGGAGTTCCTCTGCCCGGCCGCCCTTCATCTGGGAGGTGAGGTGCGCCTCTGCCCAGCCACCCCACCTAGGAAGTGAGCGCCTCTGCCCAGCCACCCCGTCTGGGAGGTGAGGAGCGTCTCTGCCCAGCCACCCCTTCTGGGAGGTGAGGAGTGTCTCTGCCCGGCCGACCTGTCTGGGAAGTGAGGAGAACCTCTGCCCAGCTGCCTATTGTCTGGGAAGTGAGGAGCACCTCTGCCTGGCCACCCCGTCTGGGATGTGAGGAGCACCTCTGCCCGGCCGCCCCATCTGGGATATGAGGAGTGCCTCTGCCCAGCCGCCACCCCGTCTGGGAAGTGAGGAGCACCTCTGCCTGGCCACTGTGCAATCTTCCAAGTGTGAAGTGACAGCCTTTCTGCAGGTGTACCCAACAGCTCTGAAGAGACAGCAACCATTGAGATCGGGCCATGACAATGGCGGTTTTGTCGAAAAGAAAAGGGGGAAATGTGGGTAAAAGAAAGAGAGATCAGGTTGTTACTGTGTCTGTGTAGAAAGAAGTAGACATAGGAGACTCCATTTTGTTCTGTACTAAGAAAAATTCGTCTGCCTTGGGATGCTGTTAATCTATAACCTTACCCACAACCCCGTGCTCTCTGAAACATGTGCTGTGTCAACTCAGGGTTAAATGGATTAAGGGCGGTGCAAGATGTGCTTTGTTAAACAGATGCTTGAAGGCAGCATGCTCGTTAAGAGTCATCACCACTCCCTAATCTCAGGTACCCAGGGACACAAACACTGTGGAAGGCTGCAGGGACCTCTGCCTAGGAAAACCAGAGACCTTTGTTCACGTGTTTATCTGCTGACCTTCTCTCCACTATTATGCTATGACCCTGCCACATCCCCCTCTCCAAGAAACACCCAAGAATGATCAATAAATACTAAAAAAAAAAAAAAAGATATTTGATTTGTTAATATTCTCTCCAATTCTGTGTGTTGTCTTTTCACTCTCTTCACAGTGTCTTTTGATACAGTATAATTTTTTATTTTGGTGAAGTCTAATTTTTTTTTTTTTTTGAGATGGAGTTTTGCTCTTGTTGCCCAGGCTGGAGTGCAATGGTGTGATCTTGGCTTATGGCAACCTCTGCCTCCCGGGTTCAAGTGATTCTCCTGCCTCAGCCTCCCAAGTAGCTGAGATTACAGGCATGCGCCACCATGCCCAGCTAATTTTGTATTTTTAGTAGAGACGAGGTTTCTCCATGTTGGTCAGGTTGGTACTGAACTCTTGACCTCAGGTGATCCACCTGTCTTGGCCTCCCAAAGTGCTGGCATTACAGGTGTGAGCTATATATATTACAGATATAGAAAGAAATATCTAGATTTCTTTTGGTGCCTGTGCCTTTATTGTCATATTTAAGAAATCGTTGCCAAATGCAATGTCATTAAGATTTTCTATATGTTTTCTTCTAAGATTTTTATAGTTTTGGCTCTTACAGATAAGTCTTTGTTATGTTTTCAGTTAATTTTTATATATAGTATGTGGTAGGGGTCCAACTTCATTCTTTTGCACGTAGATGTCCAGTTGTCCCAGAACGAATTGTTGAAATGACTGGCCTTTCCCTCATTGAGTGCTTTTAGAGCCCTTGCCAAAGATCGTTTGACTACATATTAAAGGGTTTACTTCTGGGCTCTTGACTCTATTTCATTGGTCTGTATTTGATTACTGTACCTTTGTAGTAAGTTTTGAAATCAGGAAGTATGAGGCCTCTAACTTTCTTCTTTTTTGAGACTATTTTGGCTACTTGGTGTCCGTTTAGATTCAATATGAATTTTAGTATGAGTTTTCCTATTTGTGCAAAAAAATCTTTGGGATGTGATAGGGATTGCATTGAATCTGTAGATTGTATTGCCATCTTAATAATATTAAATCCATGAACACAGGATGTCTTTCCGTTTATGTATGTCTTCTATAATTTCTTTCAGCAATGCCTTAGAGCTTTCAGTGTACAAGTATTCCCCTACTTGGTTAAGTTTATTCCTAAGTATTTTATTCTTTTTGAAGTTATTGTAAATTAAATTGTTTTTCTTATTTTTTGGATTGTTTATTGTGAGTTTATAGAAATGGAACTGATTTTTACAGTTGATTTTGTATCCTGTAACTTTGCTGAATTTTTAATTAGCCCTAAGAGTTTTTGTGTGTGTGCTTGTGTGGATTTTATACACATGAGATTATATTATCTTTAGGATTTTATATATATGAGATTATATTATCCATGAACAGAAATCATTTTGCTTCTTCCTTTCTAATTAAGATGTCTTTTATTTCTTGTTCTTGTCTAATTTTTCTAGCTAGATCTTCTAATGCTACACTGAACACAACTGGTAAAAGTGAGCATCTTGTCTTGTTCCTAATTTTAGGAGAAAAACTTACAGTCTTTCACCATTGTATGTGATGTTAACTGTGGATTTTTAATATATGGGCTTTATTGTGTAAAAAGTTCCCTTGTATTTCTAGCTTGTTGGATAGTTTTTATCATGAAAGAATATTGAACTTTGTCAAATGCCTTTTCTGTGTCAATTAAAATGACCAGTTTTTTTCTTTCATTCTGTTAATGCAATATATTACATTGAATGATTTTTGTATGTTGAACTATCCTTGCATTCCAGGAATACATTTCACTGTCATGTTGTATAATCCTTTTAATATGCTGCTGAATTTTGTTTGCTACTTATTTTGTAAGAATTTTTATATAAATATTTATAAGGAATATTGGTTTGTAGTTTTGTTTACTTTTAGTGTCTTTGTTTGGCTTTCGTATCAGGGTAGTGCTGGTGTCACAGAGTGAATTAGGAAGTGGTCTCTTCTTGTTAAGGACTGAGTGTTTATGCCTCTACAAAATGTATATATTGAAGCTCTAACCCCCAATGTGATGATATTTGGAGATGGGGACTTTGAGAGATAATTAGGTTTGGATGAGGTCATGTGAGTGGGACCCTCATGATGAGATAAGCATACTGATAAGAAAGGAGAGACTAAAGTTCTTGCTCTCTCTCTACCACATGAGGGCGTATTGAGAAGTTGGCCACCTACAAGCCAGGGAGAGTTTCACCAGCAATTGAATCAGCTGGCACCTTGATCTTGGACATCGAAGCCTTCAGAACTGTGAGAAATAAATTTCAATTGTTTAAGCTACCAAGTCTGTGGTATTTTGTCATGGAAGACAGAGTGAATTAATATATTTATCTTCAATGTTTAGAAGAGTTTAAGAAGGATTAGTGTAAAATCTTTTAAAACTCTTTGGTGACCAGTGAAGCCTTCTGATCCAGGACTTCTCCTTGTTGGGAAGTTGTTTTAAAATTATTTACTTAATATTCTTAGTAGTTATAGGTCTAATCAGATTTTCTATTTCTTCATGATTCAGTCTTTGTAAAAATTGTGTCTACTTCATCTATGTTATCCAATTTGTTTGTAGTAGTCTCTTCTATTCATTTCTGAAAAATTGGTTGTAGTGTCCTCATTTTCATTTCCAATTTTAGTAATTTGAGCACTCTGTCTTTTTTTCCATAACCACTCTAACTAAATTTGCCAATTTCGTTGATCCTTTTAAGTAATCAACTTTTTGGTTCATTAATTTTCTCTATTTTATCTCTGGTCTAATCTTTATTATTTTCTTTATTTTGATAGCTTTGGGTTCATAGTAGTGGCACTTTCCCACTTGAGATCTGAATTAAGTGAAATAGAGACCAGTTCTTCATGGACTCCTAAGACAGATTAGAATATTGCAAATAAGATCTGTTATGTTCCCTCCCATTCAAGAGAGGGAACTGAGAAGTGAACTCCTGCCTCCTCTAAACAAGCTTTCTGTTGGGATGAGGAGGGGATGGGGCAAGGGCAAGAAAAATGCCATGGAACTTTTCCTACCATTTCAAAAGTGGCTTTTTCTTCATTGGGCATTTGATTGGTTGTTATAAAACTCTGACTGTTTTCCAGAGTCCCTATAAGGTTAATTCAACCATTTGGGTTTTTTTTTGTTTGTTTGGCTGTTTTTTTATTACTCTAAGTTGGGGGAAAGAGAGAGTTTGGAATTTCCTAGTCCACCACTTTGCTGACATCACTCTCTCTATCTCTATACTTTTACACTGATTTTTAAAAAGATGATAGAAATGTGTTCACATATTTCTTAAGTAACTAAAAATTAGTGACATTATCCAAGATCTTGGTGGATAAATAATATTCTCTCTGAAGAACCAATGCCCCTTAGAAAAATGACTGATTCTAGATGTGAGATAGCCTCTTATATGTATTTCTTGACTCACTTTACTAACAAGGATCTTCAATACAATACAGTTGAAGAGTAGCAGTGATCTTGTATTCACTGAATACAAGAATGGTTACTTGTATTCATTTCTTTATTAAGAATGCCTCTAATGTTTCCAATAAATGTTTGCTACATATGCTGTATCAAGTTGTAAAAGTTTAACCCGAGCCAGTCATTTGCTTATTTGCTCTCAGCTCTATTCCCACCCTTCTGTGTTCCTTGTTTTTCAGAAGGTTAGAAGTCTGCAAACTACATTTATCATTTCCATTGTCAGATGGCTTCTGATTAGATTTTGTCACTGGGTGGTATTGGTTAAAGTTGGATGGAAGGAATAAATTATATATTTTTCCATAATCTTGGTTTCTGGTAATGTTTTCAGTAGTGGCAGTGATAGCAGAAGATGAGTACCGCTTCAGGGTTCCTGGTGTAGCAGTGCAGTTCCAGCAAGCATGTCAGAAGTCTTGCTAGTGTGGTACTGGTGGGATCAGGCTTTGATGGTGGCATCTGCAGTGGTGAGTTATTTTTGTCTCCCAGAGTCTCACAGTTTTGATGAGACTGTGAACTCTTAGAATCTTGAAAGCTGGCAGCACTGATTCCCAAGACAAATTTCCATAGGGACAAAGTTCCATAGCAACTTCCTGGAATTATTAATTGCTTGGTAACCTCAGCTTCCCTGTTTTACTCCTCCATCACTTTTGGAATCAATTCCCTATATTCAGCTTGTTGAGTTTTCAGTATTTAACATGGTCTCAGTTTTTTAAAATTGGATATTGACTAAAACACATTCTATTTTTAGCTTTCTTGAAAACTTTTTAAATCAGTCATGGGTATTCAGTTTTATCAAATATATATTGTAGACTATGTCAGGATGATTATTTTTTTCATCTCCTTTAATCTGTTTGAACAGCAAATTACAATAGATGGTTTCTTAAAGATAAATCATCCTGGCACTCTAAGGATAAAATCCTACTTGGTCGCATTTTTTTTTCTTTTAATGCATTGCTTTAAAATTGACTGAAGTTTAAGATTTTTAACATTTATATTTATAAGTGAGATTGGACTATATCAGGATGTGGCAGACTTTTTCTGTAAAGGTCCCAGTAGTGAATATTGGACTTTGTGGACCATACAATCTCCTTTGCAACTACTCAACTCTGCTGGTGTAGTATGGAAGCAGCCATAATAAACACATAAAAGAATGCGTGTTGGCTGTGTTTCAATAAAACTTTATTTATGGATGCTGAAATTTGAATTTCACATAATTTTAACATGTCCCAAAATATTATTATTCTTTGAATTCTTTTCAACCATTTTAAAAATGTAAACTATTCTTAGTTCGTGGGTCAAATAAAAACAGATGGCAGACTGGATGTGGCCACACGCCATAGTTTGCTAACTCCTGGCCTATGTATCTCTTTGTGGGGGATCATCCTTATCTGGCTTTGGAATCAGTGTTATATTATAGTATTTAATGAATTTGGAAGCTTCCCACTGTTTTCTATGCCTTGGGACAGTTAAGATGACTGGGAATTATCCTTTCATTGTAGGTGATAGGACTAGCCCTTAAGACCATCTAGGCTGGTACACTTTTGGCAATTAGACCACTGAATATCTTTCCATTTTTTTTCAGGTTAAAGAATTTCTTCTAATTATAAACTAACTTTCTCTCTCTCTTTCTTTCTTTCCTTTCCTTTTCTTTTTTTTTTCTTTCTTTTCTTTCTTTTGAGAAAGAGTCTTGCTCTGTTGCCCAGGCTGGAGTGCAGTGGCACCATCTCAGCTCACTGCAACCTCTGCCTCCCGGGTTCAAGCAATTCTCGTGCCTCAGCCTTCCAAGTAGCTGGGACTACAGGTGTGTGCCACCACACCCGGCTTTTTTTTTTTTTTGTTTTTGTACTTTTAGTAGAGACGGGGTTTCACCATGTTGACCAGGCTGGTCTTGAACTCCTGGCCTCAAGTAATCCACCCACCTCAGCCTCCCAATACAGGCGTGAGCCACTGTGCCAGGGCTTAATTATAAATTTTCAACTTATAAGTTATTACATATACAAAGCCTTATACCACAGCAATCCATTGGTCCTTTCTGCCACCAGATGACATTAGCATGGCCAATATAACCATTATTTGTGTTTTGGAAAGATCACTCTGGTTGTGGTGTAGAGAATGGATTGGACTGGGAGCAGGCACGACTGCAAGAGGTCAAGTGCTATTGTCTGGGTAAGAGATGATGGCAACCTGGACTACTGTAGTTAGTGGTGAAAGAGAGGTAGATAGATTGTAGTGACATTCAGGAGTTGTGTTGGGGTTTTCAAGACCACCCCCAGATTCAGTCATTCAGTAGGAGGACTCACAAGACTCAGCATATAGCCATAGTCATGGCCGATTTATTACAGTGAATAAACACAAAGAAAATCAGCAAAGGCAAAAGGGCAAAGTCCAGAGGAAACCAGGTGCAAGCTTCTAGAGTCCTCTCATAGTGGAGTCAAACAGGATGTATGTAATTCCTTCAACAACATGTTGTGTCATGTTTGAAATGTAATCTACCAAAGAAGCTCGATGGAGCCTAGGCATTTAGGGTTTTTCTCTGCAGGCAGTAACGTAGGCACCCTCTACCTAGCATGCACCAAAATTCCAGAATCCAAGAAAGAAAGCAGATATTCAGCAAAAAACAAATTGTTGTGCCAACAATTTAGGTACAGTGTAAGTACCTTATCAGGGAATTCTTATCAGGGAATGGTAGGAACCGTCCCAAAGTCCAAGTTCTCAGACACCAGCCAAGGGCCAACCTTATAAGCATGCCCTTCAAAGGACAGCAGTTTTAGCCCTGCTGTGTTAACTCTTCTGTGTCTCCTGCATAGCAGGTAAAATCAATATTTTCTAGTGCATTTCCAACCAAGGGTTTTATAGAATCTATGAAGGTAATATACTTCAGAAATAAACAGTATACCTGGCTTTGTCGTTGATACATATGCCAAAGGATTGTAACATGCCAGCTAACACAGTTAAAGGCTGATAAGCTATTGCGTCTTCAATAATTAAAGTATTACAAATTGAGGACTACTTGCACTGGGTCAGGCACTGTGGATACAAATGGTGACAAAACCACGCATGATCTGTGTCCTGATGGAACTCACAGTCCAGTGACGGAAGAGAGGAATTAATAAAATAATCACAGGGAGAAATATTTAAAGACAAAATTGAAAACTGCTGTAAAGGCAAGAGGTGTTGTACTATGAGCGCAAAACACGGGCATCAGATATGGCCTGGAGGAACAGGGAAAACTTCCCCCCAGGAAGGGACGCTTGAGCTTATCCCAGAAGAATGAATGGGCATTGTGTGAATGAGTGAAGCTGTGTATTGGAGGTAGTGAGGGTAAGGAGGTGGAGGTAATTTCAAGCTGAAAGTCCTATGGCTAATGTGTAGATGAAATGAAATGAAATGTGCCAAACCTCAGAAAGCACTGGAGAAACACTAGCGAAATTTATCTTCTCAAACGGTTGCTGTATCTGCCTACAGAGTTTCTACACAGGGACTCCGAAATTCTACATGGGTAGCAGTCAATTTCAACCCCACAAGAAGATGTAGGTGGGGAGCTGGAAGACCAGGCTTATCTGCAAACGCTGGCTCAGAACAGAGCAGCTGTGGCCTCTGATAAGCAGGGAATAGAGGAAGTGGTTTTGTCTCAGGCCTAAAAACCATTTGCTATCTCACAGCGCCTGTTAGTAAGTCACCTCCCCTTCAGTGTTTACCAAACATTCAGAGGCCCTGCACCTACAGTTCTGTGGAAACCACAACCTCATTCTCCTCAGTTAAAAGCCCAGTCTTTTTATCCCTTTCCTCCAAGTGGCACTATGGGTGACACAGAGAATTTCTACTCTCCAATTTGGGACTCGGACTCTGAATGTGGTTTCCAGGACTCTCTTTCCTCTTCTGATATGTGGGTGCCAATCCAAATTCAGTTCAACAAATACTTACTAAGCTCTGCTAGGCATTGGCTCCTGTGATAGGGCACTGTGAGTGAAAAATGAATAAGACAAAGCTTCTTCCCTGGAGGGAGATGACCCCCAAAACGTGATTTAAGTCCTCAATTTCCTCTCTCTAGGTTGACCAAGGCAGAACTCTCTTCTCCACCTTAACCAAGCACCTCTGCTGCCCTCCGGGTTTTTTCTGTTTCTGGCATTTGTCCTTCCTGTCTCTAGCTTCTCAGTCTCCTCTCAAGGTCCCAATCATCTCTCTACATCAGCTTTTCTTTTTTTCTTTGTCTGTCTTATACCCTCAATCCCTTGGTCTCTTGTGTCCACTCAGGGCCTGGGTTTTCAGACAGCACAGGGCTTTTATCATGTGGACTGTCTCCTTTGCTGTTTCATCTGTTTACTTCATTTTTGTTGCTCTCAAAAACCAAAACAAAGTAAAACACAAAATAGATGCATTATAAAATAATATTTATTGTGTCCTGCTGAAATGGAGCTTGTAGTCTCATTTCTTAGGCACTTACAAGGTAAAATTTATGAACCATACTTTATTAATGGGCATTTACAAATGCCTGAAATAAAAGGTGACTTGTAGAAGGGATAATATATCTTATTGCAAACATGACACCTAGCTTCTGGAATACGGTTAGTGGCATTTGCCACTAGTGAGCATAATTTCCATGTTCAAATGAATAATGAACTAATCAAAAAACCTTTTTTTGAGGAACTGAGGCACTCAGACACAAAACACAAAATTAGGCACTCAGACAAAAAGCAACTTATTAGCCAGTTGGAGAGAGAGCTAAGAAATACCATATCTATATAATTATCAGAGAATGTGATAAAAAGCTACTACTCTGTACTTGTGTGCCAAATGCTGTAAAAGTATAAATAGAGGGCAATATATTTCGCTTTGGACGGGAGGTTTTAGAAGGCCGCACAAGAGGGATATTCAGTCTGATGCTTGATGTAGACAGAAGGGAGAGAAGGGCATCCCAGACAACATGGGCAAAGGCATGGGAGGATTTGGTGGGTGTGTGGGCCCATGATAATTCTGTGTGGCTGGAGCCTTAGGGAGCAGGCAGGAGACAGCCTGGAAGGTCTGATGGGTCAGATTGCTAAGGAGTGTGGTTCCCCAGGAAAAACATTTTAGTGTGGAAGTGAAGTGATAAGATCCTCATTTTAGAAAGATTGCTCTTTATGTAATAGCAACCCAGGTAACACGTGATAAAGCAATGATCTGAGGGAGTGAGCATGTAGAGGGAAGGTGTATTAGAGAATTAGGCCAATTAAGGGCACATGCCTGAGAGGAGCCATATAGAGAAGTTGGAATTGACAGGACCTATTCTCTGACTAGATGTAGAGGGGATCTGGGGTGACAGGGAGAATGAAGGAGCCAAGGATGAAAAAGTTTTCTGCCTTGGGTAGCTGCTGATTGGTGAAGCAGTGAAGAATAGCAGTTCTGCACCCAGCCCCTGGAGTTGAATCCTGGCTTTTCTATTTACTAGGATGAGCTACTGTGATTCAGCCTTAAAGACTTCACCTTTCTGTGACCCAGTTTCCTACTTTGTAAAAGAGAGCATGGTTGTATCTTCTTCAGAAGGCAGATGAGATTTAATGTTTCTTATGGACTTTAAATGAGTAAATGTAAAACAGGACAGGGAATAGTACATAGTAGGCACTGGATAAATGTTAATTATTTTGATTATGGTGGATCATTAGCATAGGAAAAACACAAGGAAAGCAAGTTGGGAGGTCAGAAACAGACCTGTGAGTTAGATTTTGGACACGCTAAACTTGAGGTGACTTCTGACATCTATGCAGAGATGACCCATAAACTATTGGAAATACAAGTTGTAAATGAAAGAGTTGAGATTATGAGCATTTAAAAATTCTCTGATGAATAATCTATGTAATTATTTGCCTACAATAAGAACTTATAAGAAAAATATTTCTCATTTGCAAAGATTTGGCCATTTTCCAGTCTCAGAATTGATCCATCCCAAACCCAGAGACTTGTACAGGGCTGTTGAGAACTGTCTGGGCAATCAGCCAGCAACAGTTAATAATTATCATCCATTCCTTTATGAATTCCCAAAGTCTGCAAGTCTCTAGAGAATGTATTAGTCATTACTTTCCTCCCTCAAGTCAGAATTCAGGACTTTTTTAATGGTCCTTTGTCGAAATGTATTAACACTTTCATATGTTTTGAAAAATTACTGGACCCCTCACACTTGGATGGGGGCTTATTTAAGTCTAAACATGCACAGTTGTTTTTTTTAACCACTAAATTGTTCAGCACAATTCCCCAAATTCTTATCTCTTCTTTTGTTTCTGTTATTTTTGTGATTTTTAGTAGTGGAAATTTACAGTTTCTCTTATTTTATATTAACTCATCAGAATGTTTATGACCTGAAACCCCTGCCTGTCCAAAATGCATATAGAGAGCTCTATCCAACCTTCTTTAATTAAATGGGCATTTTCAGCAGGAAAGTTGAGTGGTTATCCAGATAGCAATGGAATTAATATATTAATATATTTACTTTGAGCTGCTTTTAGTACCTTAAAATATTACTATATGCAAATATTCATTTAGTAGATATTTGTGGTCCACCTATTATGTGTCAAGCAAAGTGCCAGGTGTGTGTACACCTAAGGCCAAGTACCAGGTAGGGAGAATCCACAGGAGGTAAAAAAGGGCCACATGGCAGAGTACAAGTGCATGGCCCTTGGTGACAAGAAGTCTTGAATTCAAATACTGTCTTCCCAGCTTTCCAGATTTGCCAAGGTATTCATATGTCAGCCTTAGTGTTAACTGGAAGAATTAATTTCTACTTTACAAGGCTGTCATGAGTATTGACAACAATGTATGAAGCATCTAGTTTAGCAGTTGGTATACAAAATAAGCCCTCAATGATTCTTACAGGCTCCCTATCTTCAAGGAGCTCTCCATTATTATTTATTATTATTATTATTATTATTATTATTTAGGTATATCCCCTGTTCTCTCAGTCTAACTGGGGAGGCAGATATAGCATCAGGTAAGTAGACTGTGGTATAATAACGAGGGGAACAAACATTGCTTATAACAAAATATATCTGAATAAGGAGGGATGAGAGTTAAAAGTTTGATATACAACATTAATTTTGCATAATACTAGCAGCATTTCTGTTGTAAGAAGCTTATTTCATGAATTTAGATTAGCATCTTCTGAAGATTTCAGGCCTAGAACAGCTTATAAAAAATTTCCCGAACTTTGCCATGCACAGGCACATTCCTGTATGAGCAACACCTCATTTAATCCCCACATCAACCTTAAAAGGTAGGCACTATTATTATCCCCATTTTACAGATGGACAACCTGAGGTACAGCGAGGTTAAAGTAACTTGCCTAAGGTCACATGACTAAGAAACCAGGATGCAGACCCAGGCACTCTACTGTCAGAGCCCACATTTATGACCACTCATTATATTTCCTCTTATTGTCTTTGTTCTTCAAACTTTTTTTTTTTTTTTTTTTTTTGAGACGGAGTCTCACTCTCTCGCCCAGGCTGGAGTGCAGTGGCGTGATCTCGGCTCACTGCAACCTCCACCTCCCAGGTTCAAGTGATTCTGTTGCCTCAGCTTCCTGAGTAGCTGGGACTACAGGCACGTGCCACCATGCCCGGCTAATTTTTTTGTATTTTTAGTAGAGACGCGGTTTCACAACCTTGGCCAGGCTGGTCTCGAACTCCTTGTGATCCACCCACCTTGGCCTCCCAAAATTCTAGGATTACAGGCATGAGCCACTGCGCCTGGCCTTCAAGCTTCATTTTACAATCAGTAGACACTGTCACTAATTATTGAGAAAATTTATACAAATCAAGGGAAATTCAGAGAAAAGTCAAACAGAAGAAAAATAATGAGTCTGGAAGAAAATATAGCCCAGCCATTCCTTCTCTCCAGGCAGGACCTAAGAAGTGCTCTCTGTGGACACGGCCCAAACCAGACAGGCCCCTTCCTGCCTGTGCCCGATTTCCAAGCTGGCCCAACCAGGCTATTCCCTCATAGCCTGTGTAGTTTACAGTGTTCTACAGATTTTTTAAATCATATTTTAAACAAGCTTCACTTTCTTCTTCTAAGAATCATGAGCTGCAACATTCCTCATTTTCTCAGTTGAGTCCCTCAGTAAAGCCCAAGGTGTCTGCAGGCAGGACTGTCCTAACCTACTAGAACTTTCCACCAGAGGGCTCTGTCTCTGAGACTTCCATTTTGATGCACATTTTTAAAAACTGGCACACTTTGGTCTGATACAAGATCCTGTTCCATGATGCTTTGATTTTATAGACCTCTTGGTCACAGTCTAGTTCATCTGGAAAGTTGTGGAGGGGAAAATAAGATCACATGCATTTTACAGAAGGAAAATCTAAGAACTAAGACCTAGAGAGAAGGGTGAACAGATAACGTGTTCATGAATCAGGAGATTCATAGCAGAGAAACTGAGAGGAGAGACAAGAGTAGGGTGTCCTGAGTCCAAAGGCTACCTTCAGAATTCCTGGGCTCTGGCTTCATCCCAGGTTTGCTCTTCTGGAAGACCTAACAGATCTAACCTGCTTCTGATTTTTATTTTTGACAATATGCATAGGGGCATTAGGACACTAGTAATTTTACTTGAGTGAGCATATTAGGAAGAGGAAGAGGGCAAGTTAGAGAATAAAGATGTTTGGGAATGAGTCTTCAACGCATCCACAGAGTGAGGAGTGGTTTTATTTTAGGATAAACGCAGCCTGTTCAGTGTCACTTTGGAATTCCTCCATCCTTTATGACCAAGCCTCTTTCCTCCTTCCTGCACGTCTCTTCTTGGGGTGCTGTCTTTCACCTCCTTACAACTGGTTAGGTGCTTCAGCTGACCTCTTAGTTGGTCTGCCTAACTCTGAAAGTCTTCTCCCTCCAAAGTGCCTTTACACTAGGAACAGCCTCTGATGTATGCATCCTGATATTATTTTATTTTATTTTTATTTTTTGAGACATGGTCTCACTCTGTTGCCCAGCCTGGAGTGCAGTGGCAGGATCTCAGCTCACTGCAACCTCCACCTCCCAGGTTCAAGCAATTCTCCCACCTCAGCCTCCCAAGTAGCTGGGATTACAGGTGTGCACCACCACGCCCAGCTAATTTTTTTGTATTTTAAGTACAGATGGGGTTTTGCCATGCTGGCCAGGATCCTCTCAAATTCCTGACCTCAAGTGATCCGCCCACCTTGGCCTCCCAAAGTGCTGGGATTACAGGCGTGAGCCACCGTGCCCAGCTGCATCCTGATATTTAATGCTTGCCAGAATTTGATTGCACCATGCTTATTGGCTTCTATCTTTTTTTTTTTTTCGAGATGGAGTCTCACTCTGTCTCTCCCAGGCTGGAGTGCAGTGGTGTGATCTCAGCTCACTGCAACCTCCACTTCCTGGGTTCAAGCGATTCTCCTGTCTCAGCCTCCAGAGTAGCTGGGACTACAGATGTGTGCCACCACACCTGGCTAATTTCGTATTTTTAGTAGAGATGGGGTTTCACCATGTTGGCCAGACTAATCTCGAACTCCTGACCTCAGGTGATCCGCCTGCCTTGGCCTCCCAAAGTGTTGGGATTACAGGCGTGAGCCACCACCCCAGCCGGCTTCCGTTTATCTGTAATTCCCACATGTACAATGTAGTGAGGAAAACAAATAATTAGTTATGCTGTAAGGCTGAATGAGATGAGTTTTAGTGATAGAAGGACCAAAGAGGAAAAAACAGCAGTGTGAAAAGATCCCTGATTAATTTTGATTCCTGATACCAGGGAAAGCTTTACAGAAGAGGTACCTTTTGAGGTGGGCATTGAAGGACATGTAAATGGACATGGGGTGAGGGCACACATCTGGCTGGGACACTCTGCCACACATAGGCAAGGGACTGTGAGCATGCATGGTGCATCTGGAGAGGTGCTCTGAATACACCCCACTGATCCAGGCCCCTGCTCATTTTTCATGCTTCTCTCACTTGGAGGCCCTCTGTCTTCCTCATTCTCTATCCAAATTTCATCCATCCTTCAAGGCCCAGCTTCAGCCCTGCCCCCTCATAAGGTATTTTTCTGACTGTTCATGCTATTACTTGCAGCTGCAGTTCAGCGTTAACTGTAGTGTCTGTGCTGGAATTGTCTCCTGAGCTACACAAGAGCAGACATTATGCACATCTTCTACTTTGGGGCCTTGCAGCTCCTAACATAGTGCTAATGGTAGTTGGTGCTAGATGAGTCTATGGATTCATTTACTGGGACTGATGTCTTTATCTGCCTAATTGCAGCCCATTGCTGTCCAGCCTAGGACTATTCATTGGGATTTAGGAGTTAGCCGATTATACTTGCTAACACATAAGGGAAACACTTCCTTAAATGATCATATGAATGTCTTGCTCAGTTGTGAATGATTCTTCCTCATTGAGGAGAGTTAATGCCTGTGTAAGCTGGCTGGTGATCTGTTTGTGGGGCATGCCAGGGTGGCGGCACTCTGCCTCAGCTTAAACTCTAGTTCTCTGAGTCTTTGGAACTGGGATGAACCCAGTTTCATCATCTGCACCATCATCTCCCAAGTTCCTTCTGGAGAATGACTCTGCTTCTTGCAAGGTCTTCTATTTTGATGGTTGGATTATACCCAGTTCCCCAGAAGTGTGAGAAATATAAGCTGGTCAGTTCCTTTTGGAGAGTGGGAATACTGGGCATGGCTGCTTCTTCTGCTGAGGCTGCTTGGAGTGATACAGAAGGAAATCTTGGCCAGAAAGAAAATCCTATAAGGCTTCTGAAGTAGCACTCCAAGAAAAGTGTCCCAGCAGTCTCTAGACCCTGCAGAAAGAACATTTTCCAACACTCCATTTGGAGAGTGTGTCTACATGGCTGAGAGCCACAACTCTGACAGAGACCCACACAGCACTGTCATCTGTGTTTGGACTTACTAAGCCTGTTATGCCCTGCACAAAGATTCCCAGACAAAGGGATGAGTGTGCTTATATGCAGCCCACATTCTGCTCTCCAAGCCATGCACTCGGGGGAAGGGCTGCATCTGCCTCAAGCGAAGGGTACATTTTCCTAATTTGCTCAAGATGCGTGGTGAAGGCCACGCACCAGGGATCTTCACACATACTGACTGTGAGCAGAGCATCTTGGCTGGTGTGCCATGGCCTATTACAGGTGTGCAAAATATTGATCCCCTTCTCCCACAGTTACTGGGCAGGGTTGTTACCTCCAGTCACAAGAGGCCTCTAGTCATATGCAGCTTCCAGAAGTGAGCAATCTTGCTTGTTTATCCCAGTGTGCCATAAAAATATTATTTTCTACATGTGCTATGATGGGAAGAAGTTTGGGAAAACTATACTAGGTAACCTGCTTTGTCATTCATTCAGAAGGGAGTCATTTCAGGAAGGGTATGCATCCATTTGTCCATTTAGGCACAAGCTATGCCCAGCAGAAGGTTTCCTGCTTTGCTTACAGGCTGAGATGTGGCAGTTTGCAATCTCCCAGTAAGAGTTGGGCAGAGAAGATCTGGATCCAGGGAACCTGCCAGTATTGGTGGTTGTAACTCAGTTTCCAGAGGGAGAATTCAGCCCAGCAGCCTAGATCACAATTTCATAGCTTGAAGTCCCAGGAGGTTTACTGTCCTGTGTGCTGGCTTTCCCCATCTGTGCAGGAGAGAAGCGTGAGAAAATGTTAACTGAGAGGTGCTGCTGGGGAACTCCAGTCCTGCAAGTTCCCAGAGGAGTTAAGCAAATGGCACGGGGGAATGCCTTAGATTTGCCTCATGCTGGGGAAATCTGGGGTAGCAGGGCCTTGTTCTTTGCTGAGTCCCTCATGTCTGCTCCAGCTACCCCCCATTTGGGAGGCCCTGAGCAATTAACTTCTTAGCCCAGAAAAGAGCAATGGGAGGGAATGGGGGCGGGGGCATATTTGGAATGGATTTTGATTATAGACTTGAGGCAACATTCAGGTTCAAGCTACCTGCATTCCTTGTTCCTAGTTGACCCCTAGTTTTTTTGTATCCCAATAACTCCACTTTCACCTATACATAGTGGGGACTCACTGCCAGCATCTCCTGTGCTCTAGGCATTTAGAGGGCTGCAAACAATCTTCCCATTGGTTTGAGGAGTCTTAGGTTTTCAATTAAATACTGACCCAATAATTGTTATCTAACTTGTCTTTAAGGATTTATCTTGAGATGTCACAATCCAGGATTCCATGATTAATCCCTCGAATTTTATCTCCTTCTAAGTTAAGTTACTCTTGTTCCTCCAACTCTCCTTGAGATCCTGGCACAAATATGCTGGGCACCCTGACCCTCACTTCTTGCCTGTCCTCCTTTTCTTCTCCTCTTCTTTCCTCATTCCTCCCCTTCTTTTTCTTTCCCTCCTTCCCTCTCCTGATCACTAAGAAAGTAAATGTCCCTCTATCTGGTTGTCCAGTCCATTTGGCTTATCTTTTCAAGCAAACTGCCCTGTGCTTCAAGTCCTCCTTAAAAGGAAGTAGCACTGCCCTGCTTGTCGAGCTCATAGATGTCCTCCCTATTGCCTTATAGGATCACTCTCAATTCGTACTCAGTTTAGCTTCCTGCTTGGTAACTCAGCTATTAAACAGGAATACTTAGAAAACATGATTCTTTAAGCAACCCTAAAGCTGTCCTGATTGTAGCAGCAGTGAGGACCTTCAGATAGTGACAATCCCTCCTTAGATCCCCAAAATTTAAAGTCCTGTCAGAGGGCTTTGCATATGACAGAGAAGGACATAAGGCACAGGCATAAGGCACAAGGCACTTGGCACTACAAATGGTTGTGCAGGCTGCGTGTGGTAAAAGAGCAGCTGAGGGAGCAAATGAACTGAAATTCAGCTTCTGCTCCATTGCACCCATCTGGGCATCTGGCATGGGCCTGTGTTTGCTCAGAGGGAAGCACCTGTTTTCTCATTTTCACACTGTGAGCTAGCAGTGACCCCAGGTATTATACGGGATGGAGTTCCCATACCGTAGTTCAGAGGCATAGGGACTTCTGCATTTGAAGGGTGGGATCAGCATCCCAAGTAAGATAACTCGTGGATGGCCATTGACCTAGGGAGTGGGGCTTTGTGCATGGGTGGAAGTACATATAGACCAAAAACCTAGGCAGTGGGTCCTGAGAACTACAAGGAGTCCCAGGGGAACCAGCTAGCCCCTGGTTGGATGGACCGGGTGCACCAGAATGGCTGGAAGAGTTAGGAAAGCAAGGATAAAAAGCCAGAAAGGGGTTACCTTATCAGCAAACTGCACTTCGGAATAAACTGTGTTCACTGGCTCTTCCTTGGAGGGAAGCACCTGTAAAACACACATCTTCCCCTCAGTGAGGGAGCCCAGGCCCATCTACAAGTCCCCTTTCCTAATTCTGCCTCTACCCACCATCCTTCCCTGGTCCCACATTTACTGGGTGGCCTCCCCTTTGGCCTCAGTTCTGCCTCCATCCAACTCTGGAGAGGCTTAGGATCAGGAAGGGATAAGGTGGGGGTGAATGGGTAGCAGTTGGGCAGGGTCTCGGGGGTGAAAAACCTCAGGGGCCAAGAGGAGGGATCCCATGGTTCAGGATGAGTCCTGCTCAGTCAGGATTTTAGCTTTCCATGGGCTCTATGGATCCAGCTGCCCTATCAGTCCAAGCACAGCGCTAGACTGACCAGGCAGACCTCAGTCTCCCCCTTGATTCCTTGCAGACTTTAAGGAGGCAGGCTGGTGGGGACACAGGAGAGGGCGATCCAGGGTGGAGGGGAGGGAGGGGCAGGCAGGTAAAGGGCGGATGGGAGGAGGGGTGTGGAACAGTGACTCTGAGTCTGAGGAAAGCAAGCCGCTGCTGCTAGACCAGGAGGGGCATTCAAGGGAACTTGTCTGTCAGTTCTGTTGCCTCGTAGCCCCCTTAGCAACCTGTTCACCACGTTGGTAGTCACATAGCAGCCCTCACCTCACTCCAGTAGCTCCTCTGTTGTGTGGCCCCTCTAGGGGGCGCCTTGCTCCTAGTCATGGCTCATCTAACCTGGAGCCGGGCCCACTGTGGGACACTCAGTGCCTCAGCCCATGGAGGCTGCCATGGGGTGACAATGGGTCACGTTCCTGTCCTCATAGAAAGATCCGTGGCATCACTTCCCTGACATGGTATTTCCTGGTTGGAACCTCTGGACTCTTGGCCGTGGCTGCTTTCTAGACAACAACAAGCAGAGGCAATGGCTGCCCATGACTCCCTGTCATGGAGATGGTGGCACAGGGGTGTCCATGAATTGCATCAGCTCACCTTGGACTGCAGGATTTCATCATAGATTCTGGACTCTGCTGGCTGGGTGTTCCTTGAAGCCATGATATATGTGTATATGGTTTTCTTTGAGGCAGCATCTGTCTCACAAATAAATATAGACCCACAGTCTGTGAAAGGTGGTTTTTTTAGCAATGATCTATTCCAATGTTCTCTTTTTAAGATGAAGAAAGGAAGCCCCCAGGGATTAAATGGCTGCCATCCTTTGAAATGGATGCTTGGATCCTCAGAATGTCTCAGGAGTCACTTGGCTGAGGCCTCACCCACAGGTCAATGGGAATTCTCTTCTACTCTAGAGTCCAGATTAGGCCAAAGACAATTTCCCCAACCCCTCCCTGTGTGGCCAGTCAAATGTAGCTCTTCTACCCAGGATCTCCCTTCATGTTTCTGACACTTACCACTGACTGTCTTGCATGGCTAGTTGACTTTCCATGTCACGGTCTTAGTTTTTTAACTTGATTGATTCTTTCTAGTTATATACTATTTTACATTCTTTTGGTGCAGACCTTGCTGTAACCATCTCAATGTTAAGCCCATAGTAGATGTTTCATGAACATTTATTGCTTGTTTGATTGATTCACAGTCTGTTTTTGTTTGTTTTTGAGACAAGTTCTCACTCTGTCACCCACGTTGGAGTGCAGTGGTGCACCAACTCATGGCTCACTGCAACCTCTATCTTCTGGACTCAAGTGATCCTCCCACCTCAGCCTTCTGAGTAGCTGGGACCACAGGTATGTGCCACCACACCCAGCAAATTTTTTGTATTTTTGGTAGAGACAGGGTTTCACCATGTTGCCCAGGTTGGTCTTGAACTCCTGAGCTCAGCTGATCCACATGCCTTGATCTCCCAAAGCGCTGGGATTACAGGCATGAGCCACAGCACCCTGCCAGTTCACACAGTTAATAAACATTTATTAAGCACCTTCTATGTGCCAGGCTCTGTGTGAGGCCCCAGAGAAGAAAAGACAGTAGACAAGTCTTTCCTTTTAAGAATGTATAGGCTAGAAGAGACATTCACGTCAGTGTACTCCTTTGCTTTGGTACTAACACAGAACATTTTAGGGTCAAGGTGAAAAAAGAAGGCCAGAATTTTGGGCCTTCATAATCCAGGGCACCAACATACCTACAAATAACAGGTCTGAGCTGAGCAGTATTACAGGGCTCCAACATTCAGAGTTTAGTCCTATCACTTATTTGGTGAGTATGAGACAAACTGAGTGCTCTCTCTTGTCTCATTTATAGATGCAAAGAATAGCCCTTTCTCTTCCCAAGAGTCAGCGAGGGATTGAAGACAATATCTCTTTGAGGGACCTTGCAGATCACCTGTGGTTCAAGCAGGCTATGCCTTCTCCCCATTGTGAGGCCATTTGAGTATGGCACACGTCACAAATCCCCTCCCCCCTAGAATGCCTCCTCCGTACCATGCCCCAGGCCAATCAGTTATCAGTATACTAGCTAACATTTATCAAGTACTTACTATGTACTGGGAATTGGGCCAAGTATTTTGTATTTCTAATTCCATTTAATCTACTTAATAAGTATATACAGCACACCTTATTACTGTGAATATTTTACAACTGAGAAAATGGAAGCTTACAATGATAAAAAAACTGGTAGCTGATAAATGGTCAAGCTGGGACTTTCACGCCTAGACTGACTGCAAATCACGTGCTTAGTCTTAACCACTCTGTTGGGAACTCCCCATCCCTCCCAATTGTTATTCAAGGAACTTTGTGGCTGAGAACTTACAAGGGTTCTTAGTGAAGGTGTTCAAGCAGGAACCTGAGGAATCAGACCCAAAGGAGAGTCAGGAACATGGAAGCAGAAGTTCCATGTTTTTTATTGTGATTGGTGGGAAAAGGAAGTTCTTGGGTGGACATGGGATGTGGGTGAATCGGAGGGTATAATGATTCCTTGAGGGTCTAAGATCAGGTTTTCTGAATGGAGAATGGCACAACTACAGAATGATCCAGAGGGATTCAGAGGGACATAGTGACAACCATGGAGTACAGGATTAGTATATGTTTCTCAATGACTCTCCAATAGTCATAATCAAAATACAATGAAATTGGAAGTGACCCTGGAGATCCTCTAGTCCAAACATTTCACATGTGAGGGCCCTGAGCTGGAAAGGTGAACACACTCGTACAGTGAAGCACAGCTTGTTCATGTATGTACTAAGCTCGAACCCATGTTCTGGGCCCACCAGCTACTGGTGATCTCAGGAATGGATTCTGAAGACCATTCAGGGTAATGTCATACCATCCTCAGAGCCATCATTCTGGGAGGTGGTGGGGTGGAGATCGGAAAAAGGCAGATTCCCTGGAACAATGGGCCTTTCAGCTAAACCTTGGATAAATGGCTTCAGTCCCAGGAGGAGAGAAGGTGAGTTTCCACATTTTACCTTCTGGGAAAATCCTACCTTGTCTTCTCTTGAACAAACGGAACAAAAACACTGAAGACAGAATGAGAACAAGCAGAAAGAACATAGCCAGCACGCTCAGCAACCCGGTGTGGTGAGTACGGAAGCCCATTGCGATGTCTGGAAATAGAAGATGCAGTGAGTCTTGATTCTCAGGAAATAGGCCCAAGAGGCTGGGCAGGTTTGCCCACAGTCAGGGGCATTATGAAAATTGGGTGCCCTCCGAAGGAGTGCCAAAGCTCCTAGGGAAACTAAACTTTCTGCTATTAAAAGCCAGGATGAGAAATTGAATCAGAGAGTTGATCAGGGGCTGCCACAGAACACCCAGAAATGTCTAGCATCTCTCAGAAGGCTTTGGCCTCTTTCCCAGTAGGCTTCTTGGGAGGTGATGCCCTCAGTGACCAGGCCAAAGATAAAGGAAGCACATCTCCCTAGAGAATGTGGCCCACGTTCAGACCTTGCAGCTCCTCAGAGTGATCTCTGAGACTCACCAGGAGAGATGGGCAGAGCTGGTTACCTGCACAGAGCTGCCGGGCAGAGATGGAGTCAGAATTGTTGCTGACAGGGTTCTGGGCTGTACACGTGTAAGTCAGCTCTTGGTCCTCAGGAGTCTGGAAGATTTGAAGGACATTACCCTCTTCTCCCAGGGGACTCCAATTGTATGTCACATTCTTTTCTTCTTTCTCTACAGAGCATGTCAGTGTGACATTACAGGTGCTGTTCACAGATGCCATTAAACTCTGTGTAATTTTTGGTTTCCCAAGCCGACCTGTGGGGGCAAACACATGAGCCAATAGTGAGCTGGAGCTGGCTTGTACTAGTTTGTGGGAGCCAATTGTTAAATTCTCAGAAATTTGCAAGCCATCATTAAAAATTAAATTATAAAAACATAATTAAATAAATTATGTTAAAAATAAAGATAATAAATCCTCAAAACTCATCACTTTCTAATCCTTTTTTTGACATTTTCCTGCTGTCTATGCTCTCGAGGTTATCTACATCTATTGTATCTGTCCTTTGTTAACAGAGTATCTGTCTTTCTAATTCTGCATGTCTTAAAATCAGCCATGGTAGGAGTATTACCCCACAGAAATTTGCAATTGCTATAAGCTAGGACTCGATTTACTGTTTTGATGATTGTTGCTCTAGACTTAAGATAGCAATGGAGGAATGCAGATGAAACTTAAAATTGTATAATATCTGTAGCCATTACATTGTGAATAGCACAAAAAATAGGAAGTATTCTTCTGGTATTTGGAAACCATTATCCAATTCAGCAAAGAAGTCGCTCGTGTCATTGATAAACAAATGAAGCTCCAATATATATGTCTTTGTTGAATCACTTTTTTCTTATTATTTAACTGAAATGAAAATATCAACCGATGTTTGTGTTGGAACTATACTCATACATCAATTACAACTATAAGCTGATTAGGGATATAAATGCTTAGCAAAAATCAATGAAAGCATTCTGTAAGAATAATTGGAATTTATCCTCTAGTGCCCTCTCAGCAAAATAAATTCTATATAGAATTTACAATAAAGACTATTATATATTTATTATCATTAATGAAACTGTGTGCTACACATCCTTCAAGTCAATAAAATTTGTACTAAACATAAATTTTATATATATATATGAATACACACACCCAATTAAGAGCTAATTAAATATTTATCAGCACACAACTACATGAAATAATCTTTTTTTTTTTTTTTTTGAGACGGAGTCTTGCTCTGTCACCCAGGCTGGAGTGCAGTGGCATGATCTCGGCTCACTGCAAGCTCCGCCTCCTGGGTTCAAGCCATTCTCCTGCCTCAGCCTCCCGAGGAGTAGCTGGGACTACAGGTGCCCACCACCACGCCTAATTTTGTTTTTGTATTTTTAGTAGAGATGGAGTTTCACCGTGTTAGCTAGGATGGTCTCAATCTCCTGACCTCGTGATCCACCCGCCTCGGCCTCCCAAAGTGCTGGGATGACAGGTGTGAGCCACCGCACCCAGCCAAAATAATCTTTAAAATTTTTTTTCATTCTGTTTTCTGGTGTATGTATATTTTCTTTATTTTTTAAAAACTATCCATGGTGGAAAGCTATAATTTCTTTAAAAGTTCATTAAAATGTTTTTACTTAAGCAATCAAAAAGTAAACTATAAAAGTTGAAGGCTAGTAAAGGGTTACTAAAGAACAATAATAATTCAAGTGATAGCTAGGACTGGAGCTGGCATGGGGAAGCGTTAAGGTCTTTTCTTTTACCAGGAATAAGAAAATGACCACATTTGGAGTTAATAAGTTCAGCGCCCTCTCAGCAAAGTTGCTGTGGTGGGGTTTGTTTCTTCCACTGTAGCTATGTGAGGAAGGGAATAGAGGAGTCAGAAGGAACTGGTGCACAACTAGAAAGGCAATAAATTCAGAAGTGTAGACACAAGATATAAGAACCATTATCTTGCGTTTGTGAAGGAACTCAACATGAACAGTAAGAAGCTGTAAAAATGTTTGATTCCAAGCTAGCCAGAAATTCTGGTCCTAACAATCTTTTAGAGGGATCTATTCCATATTAGAATTAGTGAAGACTTGGAATAAACCCAAAACAAGTTTGGGGTACAGACCTGGATTAACTATAATAGTGACTGATACGATATCAATTAGTAGAAAGTGAACAAAATTTTGTGTGTGTGCGTGTGTGTTTCTTTAGAAATTTGATTTACAAAAATGCCTAGGGAGTGCTTGGTGTTTACCAATTGTTGGGGGTAGGTGTTGAGGTAGGGGACAGTGGTAAAGAAGAGGATCCCATCTCACTTTTCTCAGCAGGAACAGAGGTGTTGCCTGCACAAAGATGCTGGGAAGAGAAAGTCAGAGTCATGGCCGACAGATCTTCATCCTCCCAAGCCAAGATTGTGGAAGCCACTGGAGACCTGGTTCAGAATCCAGGCTCTACTGCTCTCTAGCTATGGAATAATGGAGAAGGTATACAGATTCATGGAGCTTCAGCTCCCTTATTTATAACATGAGGGTAAAAATTTTTCCCTAAATACAATTGTTGTGAGGATTAAATGAGATTTTGAAGATAAAGATTATTCTAATTACCTATTTACTTATCTATCATCTATCTGTCTGTCTATGCTGGTATGCACATTAATTATCTATGGAAGACACAGAAGAAGCTGGCTACAGCCACTGCCTCTGAGAAGAGAGAGTTACATCTCATTGTATTATCTTTTGCTCTTTTTGTGCATACAGTGCTTAAATATGTATAGTCTATATATTTTTAAAATAGATATTAGAATGCCAAACACATAAATGATGTTCAATAAATGTTAGTTTCCTTCTCTTTATTTTCCCAGCTAACTACCCATAAGGTACAGATTTTATTGTATATACAGTACAGCTTTCTCTAAGATATTACTGTACTGTGTCCTAATTGCACGTGGTAGAAGACTTTCTGAAGATTGGGTAGGCAAAATTAAACATATAAAGGGTTAAAAATCAATATCTTAAAATTGAATACCATCTTTATTTTCTCAGCTAAAGTTCTCGAATGAGTTAAATATTTTCTAAAGGGTTGACATTTGGGTATGGCTCTTTGACTACATTATTCAAGCCTAGTTCAGAGCCTTCTTCATCTAGGAAGTCCTTCATAATGAGATTTTTTTTAAGGGATAAGGATTAAAAAATTAATGATTACTAGTTATTGAGCATTTACTTTAAGGCAGGCACTATACTAGGGAGCTCAACTACCATTATCTCATTTAATACCATCAATTACGATCTACATTCTATAAGTGAGGAAACTTTGGAACAGAGAGGTTAAACAACTTGCCCAAGATCATACAGCTGGCAAAGTATGCCTAATCCCAACATTAGCGTTCTTTCCGCTATGCTGTCCATCGGTATAGAAACTGATTCAATCATCTTATATTAATCGAACATTCACAATTGCTAAGCACTGTGAAACCTGGGAATAATACTATTCATTCATTCTTTTTCAACAAATACTTCTGGAGCATCCACTATGTACCTGATGATGTTGGTGCTGGGAATACAGTGATAAACAATATACAAAGTCCCTGCCTTTATGGAACTTGCATTTTAGTGGGTGACCTATATACCTGAATTGCATCTGTCACAACATGGATTACCCACATTTCTGTGTTTTTCTGCAATGAGGCAGATGAACAGTGAAATCTTTGAGAAATGGCCAAGGTGTTCTCTATGCTAGAAACTAGTGTTGCCCAAAAGAAATGTAATGTGAGTCACTTATGTAATTTTAAATTTTCTAATAATCACATTTCAAAAGTCAAAACAAGCAGGTAATATTACTTTTAAATTATGCATTATATTTAACCCAATATAACAAAAATTTCTTTTCCCTAATATGAAAATTACTGAGGAGGGGGCGTCTGCCATCTCTGTGGTTCAGTAGCTTCAGCCATTCCAGCCTACCAGCTTTGGAGAGTTCAAATGATCTGGAGGAGGAAGGGTCCCCTACAACGCGGCACAGCTGCTTTGCCAGATCAGACTGCTGCTTTACTCTCACTGGGTGGGACCTCCCTGCAGGGGCTTCAGCCACTCTAGCCAGGGTTATACAGACAGAGTTTTGAATTCTCCCTGGGGCAGAGCTCCTATGGGGAGGGGCGGCCACCATTTCTGCCATTCAGTCAACTCAGCTGTTCCAGCCTGCTGGCTTTGGAGAGTCCAGAGAGTCTGGACAAGGAAGGGAGCCTCCAATGCAGCACACCTGCTCTATCAAAAAGCAACCAGACTGATTCTTTTTGTGGGTCCCTGATCCTGTTCCTCCTGACAGGTTGAGACCTCCCAACAGAGGTCCCTAGCCACCTCCTACAGGTGTATTCAGGCTGGCAACAGGTCAGTACACCCCTGGGATGGAGCTTCCAGAAAAAGGAGCAGGCTGCCATCTTTGCTGTTTTGCAGACTTCACTCGTGATACCTCCAGGTATAGGAAAAACTGAGGCAATTAGGGTCTGGAGTGGACCCTCAGCAAACTGCAACAGCCCCACAGAAGAGTAGCCTGACTATTGAAAGAAAAACCAACAAACAGAAAACAACAGCATCAACAAAAAAGACCTCAGAAAAACCCCATTGGAAGGTCAGTGACCTCAAAGATAAAAAGTAGATAAGCCCACAAAGATAATAAAGAATTAATGCAAAAATGCTGAAAACTCAAAAAGCCAGGATGCCTCTTCTTCTCCAAATGACCACAATACCTCTCCAGCAAAAGCAAAGAACTGGGCTGAGGCTGAGATGGCTGCATTGACAGAAGTAGGCTTCAGAAGGTGGGTAATAACAAACTTTGCTGAGCTAAAGGAGCATGTTCTAACTCAATGCAAAGAAGCTAAGAATTATGATAAGACAATACAGGAGCTGATAGCCAGAATAGCCAGTTTAGAGAGGAACAAAACCGACCTGATGGAGCTGAAAACCACAACACGAGATACTGATCACAAGTATCAACAGCAGAACAGACCAAGTGGAGGAAAGAATCATAGAACTTGAAGACTATCTTTCTGAAATAAGACAGGCAGACAAGAAAAAAGAAAAAAGAATGAAAAGGAATGAATGAAACCTCCAAGACATATGGAGTTATGTATAGAGACCAAACCTATGACCAATTGGGGTAGCTGAAAGAGATGGGGAGAATGGAACTAAGTTGGAAAACATACTTCAAGATATCATCCAGGAGAACTTCCCCAGCCTAGCAAGACAGGCCAACCTTCAGATTCAGGAAATGCAGAGAACACAAGTGAGATACTCCATGAGAAAATCAACCCCAGGACACGTAATCATCAGATTCTCCAAGGTCGAAATGAAAGTAAAAATGTTAAGGCAACCAGAGAGAAAGGCCAGGTCACCTACAAAGGGAAGCACATCAGACTAAAAGTGTACCTCTCAGTAGAAACTCTACAAGCCAGAAGAGATTGGGGGCCAATAGTCAACATTATTGAAGAAAACCATTTTCAACCCAGAATTTCATATCTGGCCAAACTAAGCTTCATAAGTGAAGAAGAAATAAAATCCTTTCCAAACAAGCAAATGCTGAAGGAATTTGCGACCACCAGGCCTGCCTTGCAAGAGCTCCTGAAGGAAGCACTAAATAAGGAAAGGGAAAACAGGTACCAGCCACTACAAAAACACACTGAAGTATGCAGACCAGTGACACTATGAAGCAACTACATAAACAAGTCTGCAAAATAACCAGCTAGCATAATGATGACACGATCAAATTCACACATAACAACACTAACCTTAAGTGTAAATGCGCTAAATGCCCCCAATTTAAAAAATCACAGAATGGCAAACTGGTATGCTGAGACCCATTTGTATGCTGTCTTCAAGAGACCCATCTCACATGCAAAGACACACATAGGCTCAAAATAAAGGGATAGGGAAAAATTTACCAAGCAAATGGGAAACAGAAAAAAGCAGAAGTTACAATCCTAGTTTCTGACAAAATAGACTTTAAAGCAACAAAGATAAAAAAAGACAAAGAAGGACATTACATGATGGTAATGGGTAACTACCCTTTACCAGGATAGTTAGGATAGTGCTAACTATCCTAAATATATATGCACACAATACAGGAGCACTCAAATCCATAAAGCAAGTTCTTAGAGATCTACAAAAAGACTTAGACTCTCACACAATAATAATGGGAGAGTTAAACACCCTACTTACCATATTAGACAGACCATTAAGGCAGAAAGTTTACAAAGATATTCAGAACCTAAACTCAGCTCTGGATCAAGTATACCTGTAGACCTCTACAGAACTCTCCACCCGAATTCCACAGAATATATATTCTTCTCAACACCGTATGCACTTACTTTAAAATTGATCACATAATAGGAAGTAAAACACTCCTCAGCAAACGCGAAAGACCTGAAATCATTCAGGGAAACAGTCTCTCAGATCATAGCACAATCAAATTAGAGCTCAAAATTAAGAAATTCACTCATAACCACACAATTACATGGAAATTCAACAATCTGTTCCTGAATGACTCTTGGGTAAACAATGAAATTAAGGCAGAAATCAAGTTCTTTGAAACTAATGAGAACAAAGAGACAATGTACCAGAATCTCTGCAAGGCAGGCTAAAGGATTGTTAAGAGGGAAACTTACAGCACTAAATGCCCACATCAAAAAGCTAGAAAGATCTCAAGTTAACAACCTAACATCACAACTAAAAGAACTATAGAACCAAAAACAAACAAACCCCAAAGCTAGCAGAAGATGAGAAATAATAAAGATCAGGGCTGAACTGAAGGAGACAGAGACACAAAAAACCATTCAAAAAATCAACAAATCCAGAAGTTGGCTTTTTGAAAAAATGAGAAAAATAGAGAGACTGCTAGCTAGACTAGTAAAGAAGAAAAGAGAGAAGAATCAAATAAACACAATAAAAAATGATAAAGGGGATATCATCACTGACCCCAAAGCAATACAAACAACCATCAGAGAATACTATAAATATCTCTATGTACATAAACTAGAAAATATAGAAGAAATGGATAAATTCCTGGACACTTACACACTCCCAAGACTGAGCCAGGAAGAAGTTGAATTTTTGAACAGACCAATAACAAGTTCTGAAATTGAGGCAGTACTAAATAGCCTACCAACCAAAAACAAAACAAAACAAAACAAAACAAAAGCCAGGACCAGACAGATTCACAGCTGAGTTCTACAAGAAGTACAAAGAAGAGCTGGCATAATTTCTACTAAAATTATTCCAAAAAATTGAAAAGGAGGAACTCTTCCTTAACTCATTCTGAGGCCATCATCATCCTGATACCAAAACCTGGTAGAGATAAAACCAAAAAAGGAAACTTCAGGCCAATATCCTTAATGAACATTGATGCAGAAATCCTCAGTAAAATGCTGGCAAACCAAAACCAGCAGCACATCATAAAGCTTATCCACCACGACCAAGCTGGCTTCATCCCTAGGATGCAAGTTTGGTTCAACATATCCAAATCAGTAAGTGTGATTCATCACATAAATAGTACTGAAGACAAAACCCACAGATCATCTCAACTGAGGCAGAAGGGCCTTCAATAAAATTCAACATCACTTCATGTTAAACACTCTCCATAACTTAGGTATTGAAGGAACACACCTCAAAATAATAAGAGCCACATATGACAAACTCACGCCAATATCATACTGAATGGGCAAAAGCAGGAAGCATTCCCTGTGAAAACCAGCACAGGACAAGAATGCCCTCTTTCATCACTCCTATTCAACATAGTATTGAAAGTTCTGGCAAGAGCAATCAGGCAAGAGAAAGAAATAAAGGGTATTCGAATAGGGAGAGAGGAAGTCAAACTGTCTCCGTTTGCAGATGACATGATCCTATATCTAGAAAACCCCATAATCTCAGGCCAATATTTTCTTAAGCTGTTAAACAACTTCAGCAATCCTCAAGGATACAAAATCAATGGGCAAAAATCACTAATGTTCCTATACACCAACAGCAGGCAAGCAGAGAGCCAAATAATTAATGAACTCCCATTCACAATTGCTACAAAAAGATTAATATGCCTAGGAATACAGCTAACAAGGAAAGTGAAGGACATTCACAATTGCTACAAAAAGATTAATATGCCTAGGAATACAGCTAACAAGGAAAGTGAAGGACCTCTTCAAGGGGAACTACAAACCACTGCTCAAAGAAATCAGAGAGGACACAAATAAGTGGAAAAACATTCCATGCTCATGGATAGGAAGAATCAATATCATGAAAATGGCCATACTGCCCAAAGTAATTTATAGATTCTAAGCTATTCACATTAGACTACTATTGACATTCTTCATAGAATTAGAAAAAACTACTTTAAAATTCATATGGATGAAAAAGAGCCTGAATAGCCAAGACAGTCCTAAGCAAAAAGAACAAAACTGGAGGCATCACACTACCCAACTTCAAACTATACTACAAGGCCAAGGTAACCAAAACAGCACGGCACTGGTACAAAAACAGACACATAGACCAATGGAACAGAATAAAGAACTCAAAAATAAGACCACACACCAGCAATTATCAGATTTTCGACAAACCTGACAAAAACAATGGGAAAAGGATTCCCTATTTAAAAATGGTGCAGGGAGAACTGGCTAGCCACATGCAGAAAATTGAAACTGGACCACTCCCTTATACCTTAAACAAAAATTAATTCAAGGTGAATTAAAGACTTAAATGTAAAGCCCCAAAGTATAAAAACCCTATAAGAAAATCTGGGCAATACCATTCAGGACATAGGCACGGGCACAGATTTCATGATGAAAATGTCAAAAGCAATTGCAACAAAAGCAAAAATTGACAAATGGGATCTGATTAAACTAAAGAGCTTCTGCACAGCAAAAGAAACTATCATCAGAGTGAACAAACAACCTACAGAATGGGAGAAAATTTTTCCAGTCTATCCATCTGACAAAGGTCTAATATCCAGAGTCCACAAGGAACTTAAACAAACGTTTAAGGAAAAAACAAACAGAAAAAAAACCACACACAGCCCCATTAAAAACTGGGCAAAAACCATGAACAGACACTTCTCAAAAGAAGACATTCATGCAGCCAACAAACATGTGAAAAAAAGCTAAACATCACTGATCATTAGAAAAATGCAAATCAAAACCACAATGAGATACCATCTCCTGCCCGTCAGAATGGCAATTATTAATAAAGTCAAGAAACAACAGATGCTGGCAAGATTGCAGGGAAAAAGAAATGCTTTTACAATGTTGGTGGGAGTGTAAATTAGTTAATTCCAACCATTGTGGAAGACAGTGTGGCCATTCCTCAGAAACCTAGAGGCAGAAATACCATTTGTTCCAGCAAACCCATTATTGGGTGTATACCCCAAAGAATATAAATCATTCTATTATAAAGATACTTGCACATGTATGTTCATTGCAGCACTATTCACAATAGCTAAGATATGGAATCAACCCAAATGCCCATCAATGATAGATTGGATAAAGAAAATGTGGTACATATATGCCATGGAATACTATGCAGCCATAAAAAGGAACAAGATCATGTCCTTTTCAGGGACATGGATGGAGTTGGAAGCCATTACCCTCAGCAAACTAATGCAGGAACAGAAAACCGAACACCACATGTTCTCACTTATAAGTGGGAGATGAATGATGAGAACACATGGAGGGGAACAACACACACTGGGACCTGTTGGAGAGGGGTTGGGGGAGAGAGAGGATCAGGAAGGTTAGCTAATGGATGTTGGTCTTAATACCTAGATGATGGAATGATCTGTGCAGCAAACCACCATGGCACACATTTACCTATGTAACAAACTTTGACATCCTGCACATGTACCCCTGAACTTAAAATAAACATTGAAGAAAAAAAAGAAAATTATTGAGATATTTTATATATTTTTTTGGTGCTAAGATTTCAAGATCTGGTATGAATTTTACACTTACAGCACATCTCAATTTGGACTCACCACATTTCAGATGCTCAAGAGCTGCATGTGTCTAGAGGCTACCATAGTGAATAGGGCAGCACTAGGTCCGTACTTTCTCAAACTTTGGCACAGGTGGGAATAATCCAGAGATAACATTAAACACAGATTCCTGGACTTCATTCATTCACAAAGGTCAGGGGGAGGACCTGAACATTCGCATTTCCAAAAAGCTCCCAGTTGATGCTGATACTGCCAGTCTACAGACCACACTTGGGGTAGCTTGCAAAACAAAGCACGCACATCTCCCAGTGAATTGTGGCAATTATAATGATGATAACAAATAGTTATAATATTTTACCTTTCAAAAGCACTTTGCATTAACTACTAGAAATTCAAATTAAAACTAAATTGAGTTATCACTGCACACCCATCAGAATGGCCAAAATGAAAAATAATAACACCAAATGCTAGTGAGGATGTAGAGAAACTGGATCACTCATACATTCCTGGTGAGAATGGAAAGTTGAAAATAGTTTATCAGTTTCTTTTAAAGCTGTAAATGCCCTTATCATAAAATTACATTCTTGAGCATTTATCCCAGAGAAATAAAAACTTATTTCATGCAGAAATGTGTACACATATATTCACAGCAGCTTTATTTGTAATAGCCCCAAACTGGAAAGAACTAAAATGTTCCTCAAGAGGTGAATGGTTAAACAACCTAGTGCATCCATACCGTGGAATACTATCTAGCAATAAAAAGGTATAAACTATTAGTACACACAAGAGTTTGGATGAATCTCAGTGACATTACGCTAAGTGAAAAATACCCAACCTCAAAAAGATACGTCCTTCATTATTCCATCTACATAACATGTGTGAAATGACATAGTTGTAGATGTGAACAAACTGGTTGTTTTTCAGGGACTGGGGAAGGGAAAGATGGAGATGTGGCTATAAAGGGAGAGTATGAGGGAATCTTGTGATGGTTAATCTTGATTATGGTAGTGGTTACACAAAACTACCCATGTGATTAAATTGTACAGAGCTACACACATACTCACACATAAATGAATGCATGCATACGTGGTGAAACCTAAATAAGCTCTATAGATTGTGCTAATGTCAATTTCCTGTTTTTGATATTGTGCTATAGTTATGCAAGGTGTTAACACAGGGTGAAGGGTACATAGAACCTCCCTGTATATTTATTTGTACCTTCTTTGCATCTATCATGATCTCAAAATGAAAAGTTTTTTTAAAGCACTTTGCATACACTATCTCATTTGATCCTCATGATAACCCTGGGAAGTGAGTAGTATGATCATTGACATTATGTAAAAAAGAAAACCAAGGCCCAGGGGACCAACTACTGATGGAAGAATTACATAGCTAAAAACAGGCAAAGTCAGGACTGAAATAAGACTACATCCTCTTATAAGTATTGATGTATCAATATGTAAGTATTTATAGATATAAAAAGATTTAGGGGACCCAATTATCAGAAATGTAGATGTGTTTCAGATAGCAAACTTGCAAAGTAAAAATAAAACACAAGCTCTCCGTCTTCCCATGACTTACGATAGATTTGCAGGTTGTAGCGCTTGGTGGTGGTGTAGGGATCAGCCTGTGTATTTATGTCTGCTTTGTAGTCTCCTGCGTCTTCCATCCTCAGATCGCTAATGACCAGATTGTAGTTCGGACCTAAGGCATGTATCCGTTCATAATAATTTCTGTGGGTCACAGTAACTACGGGTGCTGTTTCTGAGTCTCCTGGTGTTACATAAGCAACAGATGTTTTAGAAGTCCAAGCAATGATTTTAACTTGCCGTGGTTCTTGGATATTTACAGGGAAAGTGACTGACTCTCCCAGAATCCCATTCACTGTGAAGATTTCTGAGTCTTTTCCAGCTGCTTCCGGCCCTGAGAACATAAAAAGAAAACTGTAGCCATCTGACTGTTGCAGCTTTTTCACTTCCTAATCTTTTTGGCCTTGGAGCTCCCTGAGGAGCTGCCACAAATGCAGTTCACCCAGTTTCTTGAGGATGCCTTTTTTTTTTTTTGGCATTCTACTCTAGGTGTATTTAATATGTTATGACAACTAAATTTTCTAACGCATTCTCATTCAAAAACTAAGTTTCTCACTAGAGATCCATTTTGTTAAAAATATTTTTACCTAGACTTACAGACTCTGAAAGCTAGAAGGCATTTGAGAGGTGAAGGCCATAAGCCTCCACGTAGTCTAAGATATTAGGTGCACTTCTTTCCCAAGATCATATTGCCAAGTGGTGGAAGAGCTAGAACAAGAACCTGGAATATCTTGGCTGATGGACTCTTGGGTCATTGCTTTTTATTTTCCTGTGATCTCTGTAAAAAGCAAGTAACACTTTTGTCTCTTTTCTTGGAAGATAGAAGCAGAGAGTGCTTTGGAGTCTCTGGAGAAAATATTCCCTAAGTTGGTGATTTTTAGGGATATTTTTCTGTTTACTTCCATATTCCTAGTCTCTAGAAGAGTGCCTAACACAGAGAAGGGGCTTAATAAATATTTGTGGAATTAATTGATAGAATTTACTCATGAGTTTCCTAGACTCTCTTGGAACAACTTCTGAAGTAAGCAAGTTTCGTTTATTCATTCATACATTTGTGAATGGTTGCATGTATTTATTCAGGATCAGTTTTGCTCCAGATACTATGGTGGGTATTTGTTAATTTAATTTATAATGTAAGTGTTTGTTGGACATCTACTCTTTTAAACAAGATACGAGGAGCTGAGGATACAACGGCGAGAAGAAACAGATATAATTCTTGCTCTTTGAGACTTACAATCAGAGGAAGATACCAATGTTGATCAGATAACCATAGAAACAAATGGATAGGCACAAAATATGTAAGCATTATGGTGATTTGAGAGAGACCAGCAAGGGGACTTGATCTGTTCTGGGAATCGAGGGAACATTTCCTAGTGAAAACTTAAGGATGAATACTTTTAAAATGTAACATGGGAAGATGAAAAGCTTATTTTCTCCTCCCTTTTCTCTCCTCTATCACTTTTGAAGATAAACTGATTTAATATATAGTTTGTAAAATGAGAGACAATGTAACTTCAAGACATTATTTTTCTGCTCTTTCTCCTCCTCTTCTTCATTATCCTATAATTCTCAATGAGGGCTCTTTAGTGAGAAACACTGTTTGGGGCAAGCATAGATGATATCCAAAGTATTTAATAACCAATATGACGTGGGCCTTGACCAATCAGAAAGGGTGTTAGCCATAAACAAACTAGTTGAGCGGTTCTGGTGTGTACTGGTTGCATGTAGGCTCTGATGACCAGACATCAGTTTTCCACATAAGTGGGTTCAGGTTGACCCTAAAGTTTATCCAAGGCTTGGTATACGGAAGAATAAGGATCATAAAGTATACACGTCCCTTGAAAGTGGCACAAAAAAAGCGATTTCTTAACCTGATGGTGTTGTCTCACTATGGCTACCCTTGCTCTTCAGCTCAGCAACCACTGAAAGAGCCCCAGGAACAGCTGATGTAAAGCTCTTTCCTTTCTGACCAACAGAGATTTTCCCGTAGGAGCAGTATCCGGGACAAGGCCTGAGGATTTAGTTGGGGGTTGGCTAAGTACAGAAGATACAACAGGGTGGGGAGTATGTGGAGTGGGAGTAGGAAGGGGGAAATTGGGAACCCTTATCTGCAAACATTTATTAACTGCTAATTATGTGTCAGATGCTGTGTTAGGGACACAGGGATAAACAGGACATCGTTGCAGCCCTGAGGAGCTCACAGCCTAGAAAATAAGACAGATGTGGTCACAAGTGAAAGACAATACAACACGATGAGTGCTAAATGGTAAAAGCAATAGAAATAAGCCATTGGGGTAGCGGGTCAGAAAGAGGCTAATGCTGCCTTTGGTGGTAAGAGTCATAGTTTGCCAAAATTTAAGAACATTAATTCTTCCCAGATAAACTGTTTTTCTGGGCTGACGGGTTCTAGGAGAGGGGTATTTGGAGTGTCCCAGCGTGAATCCCTGGATGGTCCAGGCATGGGCATGTGATCTATGCAGTTGCACAGAACCCTGAATTCAAAAGGACCCTGAACTGGACTTAAGGCTGCGTTGCCACCTTTAAATTCTACATACTATTTAAACAAGGGGCCCTCCATTTTCGTTTTGCACTGGGCCTCGCAAATTATCTAGCCAGTCCTGGTCTCAGATCTCCCACGTCTCAAGTCTTTTTTGAAGTCAGGCCCTAGTGCTTAATTGCCACACCACTCTGTGGATTGAGATTAGGTGTGAGGAGAGAGACAGAACATAGATTCCACAGACTCGTAATTTTGCTGGGTTCTCTCACTAAACCCCAGGAAGTATGTAGGTAGATTGTTAAGGCTGAGACCTTCTTAATATTAGGGCCGTTGAGCAGCCACAGTGGTTGGTGTGTGGTGCAGTTTTAAAAGTATGTCTCATCTCCTGTAGCAAGTCATTCAGGAAGTGTTGGTGGGGTATCAAAGAGCAATCAGGCAGTGGGGGTGGTGGGTAGGCAAAGCTGGGGGAAGCTGTTATTTGTGCTGCTGGTGTTGTTGGCAAGAATACTTTGCTTGCTGGAAAAGGCAAAGGGGTTGCACATGTTTAAGATGAAGATTCTGCCACCTTCAAACACTCCAACTGTGCTCTGAGAGAAGCAGCTGCAAAACCATTGCATGCAGTGGAAAGATAGGGAGGCAGAAGGTGTAGGTGCAAGTACTTCTACTTATGAACTGGACAACCTTAACGAGGTCACAAAACCTTTCTTATTTATTTATTTATTTTTAGACAAAGTCTCACTCTCTCACTGTCACCCACGCTGGAGTGCAGTGGAGTGATCTTGGCTCACTGCAACCTCCACCTCCCGGGTTCAGGCAGTTCTCCTGCCTCAGCCACCCAAGTAGCTGGGATTACAGGTGCATGCCATCACGGCTAGCTAGTTTTTGTATTTTTAGTAGAGACGGGGTTTCACCATGTTGGCCAGGCTGATCTTGAACTCCTGACCTCAAATGCTCTGCCCGCCTCAGCCTCCCAAAATGCTGGGATTACAGGTCACAAAACCTTTCTGAACCTCAGTTTCTTCATCCATAGAATGAAAATAATAATTATGCTATTTGTCCTGTTTGGTGAGCAGCAAATGATGTAATATGAGTAGAAATGCTTTGCTGATCATCAAGGTAAAATAAATGTTAGTTATTTCTGGAGTTGATACTGATATATTAACATTCATCGTATGTTCTTTATCATCACTTCAACAATTGGTACATGCCCTTTGGGCCTGCCCTAGGCCACCCTTATGATGGCGTTGGTGATGCCGGGGCCATACTGGAGCATATATCAAAAGCCATTTTTAAGGGCTAATTCAAGTAAAGCCTGGAGGGACAGTTTCAGGTACCCTGGATAGACTTTATTCTGCTCTTAAAAGATTTTAAGATTTAAAAGAAAGAGTGTCCATATCAATCAATCCCAATATTTATTTTTCTGGGTGCTAAAGGGACTCTAACATTATGTTATCACTGGAAGTGACCTTAGTAAAATCTAATTTCAGAGATAACTTGTGGCACAAAAACATCTTGAGGACTTACCATGAAATGCACTATGCTAGTCTATGGCAAAGACAGATTCTCTGCCTTTCGGGGGGAATTTGATACCCGGTTAGGGAAATAAGATACACACACACACACACACACACACGCACGCACGCACGCACGCACACACACAATTCTCCTTTGCAATATGAGATAGTGAATAATAAATTCAAGTGAATGGTAGAAACAGTGATTACGGTAGGAATTCTAAGAAGGGAGGGATTGCTGAGCTGTAGTGGTTAGAAAAAACATCTCAAAGAAAGTAGAATTTGAGGAGGATTTTGAAGGCTGAATAGAATTCTACTTGATGGAAAGGGAAAGGAGGGGTGTCTCAAGTCCTCGGATCCTGAACAAAAGTTTAGAAGCAGAACCTGTGATGTTAATTGGATGAATATAGATTTGCATATCAGAGTGGGGAGAGGTACAGCTGGAGATACAAATTAGGTTTAGATTTGAGACAGCCTTGAGTTTGAGGTCTCCATCAGAGGCAGAGGGGAACTATTAAGGTTTTTGCGAGTGAAGATTAAAATAATGTTTTAGTCATTGTAATGTAGTAATGATGTGTGGGGAGGAAAACAGGAAGGAGAGGCTGCATCAGAGAGGCCATTTAGGGATACTGTAGTCTTCTGGGCATGAACCAGGGGACGATAATGGGAATGGAAAGGAAGGGCTGGATTTGATGATAACACAAAGAAAGGCAAGAAATAAAGAGGCATCTGCTAGAATTCAATTGTTCATCAATATATTTTGAGTTTCTACTTTATGTCATTGAAAAACTCATAAAGTTTATGATGGAAAGAAGTCAAAGGGGGAAGAAAGTTTAGTGTTAGAAATATTAAACTTCAGATGATGGTGGACCATGTAAGTAAGCTCTTGGAATGATGGAAGATAAGGAGAGAGAATGGACTTGAAGTATTATTTGGGGCACTGTGGCAGAATCTGCTAGCTGTTTTCCAATATTTGTTCCCTCCTTCATTCTTATTAATAGAATCACTAATTTTTAGCAGGGCATAGAGCCACCCAGAGTAAAGACTATATTGTCCTGCTTTCTTCTAGCTAACGTTGGTCATATGACTAAGTTCAGCCCAACAGAATAAAAATGGAAGTGTTGTATATGACTTCTGTGTCTTTAAGAAGAGTGGGAACCTGGCATGGTGGCTCACATCTGTAATCCCAACACTTTGGGAGGCCAAGGCAGGTGGATCGCTTGAGTCCAGGAGTGCGAGACCAGCCTGGGTAACATGGCAAAACCCTGTCTCTACAAAAAAGTACAAAATATACCTGGGCATGATGGTGCACACCTGTAGTCCCAGCTGCCCAGGAGGCTGAGATGAGAGGATCACCTGAGCCCAAGGGGGTCAAGGTTGCAGTAAGCCAAGACCACACCACTGCACTCCAGCCTGGGTGACAGAGTGAGACCCTGTCTCAGAAGAAAACCAATAAATAAATAAATACATAAAAAGAGGGAAATTTGCTGTTTTCATCTCTTCCTTGCTTTTGCAGGCCAGAAGGTCATGACAGCTGGATCTTAGACAGACATTCTGAGTCATGAGGAGGAAGCCAAGTTCTGAGGATGGTGGAGCAGGAAGATAGAAGTTGGAACCCCAATGACCTTGTGAACTATTCTACTGACTGTGAACTGCCAACTCCGCACTTTTTTACATGAGCAAGAAATAAACCTCTTTCTTGTTTAAGCCATTCTTATTTTAGTGTCTCTGGTACTTACTGTAACACTGAAATCCAGCGGGTTTAGAGATCATCCACAGAAATGGCGTGGGTGAAGGAGAGGAGGGTCATTCAGGAAGAGTAAGCCTGAAGTCCACGACTGAGCCCTGCGAGAGTGCTCACATTTATAGAAGAGACACCATCAAAAGAAACAGAAGAGACCAAGCAGTAAGAGTGCAAGAGAGGCACCAATAGTGGGCCATATCACAGAGAGGAGAAAGAGTCTCAAGGAGGAGATTGCCACTGATGTCTAATGATTCAGCGTTCAACGGGATAAAGACTGAAAATGGCCCTGGGTTTGCCCGTTACGAGGTTATTGATGGCCTTTGAGAATGTAGTACAAGTAAGACAACTCGATGGAAGGCCAGAGTCTAGGGGACTGACAGAGTAGGTGGTAAAGCATGGAGGAAAAACTTGACAGTGAAAGAAGGGTGATGAGATAGGACAGTAGCTAGAAGGTCAGGTGAAACTAATTTATTTTTGTTTTAAAATAGAAGAGACTGGGGGCTGGGGGGGAGGAGCTAGGGAGGGTAAGCAGAGAGAGATGTCCCCAGTGGGCCTGCTCTAGGTTAGATGCTCCTGCTCATGGCCTCTCTGGAACTCCAGGTTTCCCTCTCATAGCACTTGCCACATTGTGTGGTGGTCATCAATCTGCGTGTCTGTGTTCTGGACACTGTGAATGACTGAGTCCAGGGGCCTTGCCTTAAACCTCTGGTATGCAGAACAGCACAAGATACACAGGCTACTAATGCTTGTCATGGAACAAAAGATGGAAAGGAAAGGGCAGGCAGTGGAAGCTGTAGATTTAAGGAGGGTCACACCCTCACCTGAAGTGGAAAGGGGAAAGGAAAGGATAAGTGAAAGAGCAAAGGTATTTTGAGATGTTATTAAAGACGGTGATAGGAAGAGGCTGCTTGGTGAAGTAGAGTGAGCATAGATTTGAGCCAGGTGGGCTTGTGCTCATGTTCAATCCCTGACATTTGCTGAGGCCCTGATCTTACTTGACTACAAGATGGGCTATAATAATGCCTGCCTTATAGAATTGTTTTGAGGACACATAGAAGGTGCTTAATACACAGTGGACATTTTGGAATAGATAGGATAAAATGGAAGATAGTCATTCTTGGTGGCCTTCATCTCTTCAGTAATGTAGGAGGGGAGACTAACTGGCAACAGTGAGGAGGCAAGAGTGGGACCAGCTAGGAGGTATACAGACTAAAGGTGCAGATTTTGAATCTAGGAATATTTGAACGTAGCTGTGTTATCTTGAGAAAATTATTGAAATTCACTGTTCCTCAGGTGCCTCATCTGTAAAGTGTGGATAATTATTAAATGCAATTGCGAAGATAAAGCACTTAGCACAATGCCTGGCACATATAAATGGTAGTTGCTATTATTTTGGTGAATGTAAAAATTGGGGGGGGGAATGTTACTATAAGGAACACCATAGGGAGTCAACAAGAGATTGATGAAGGGGATCAAGTGTTTGCTAACTACCCTTGAGAGCCCAGTGAAGAAGTGGTAACCCACATTTACAACCTTTTCCAAAGAGTGTGATTTCGTGACCTTCTTATGCCAGAACACAAATGGGAAAGGTAGGAGAAAGGCCATACCTCTAGAGGAGAAGCAAAGGCAAGAAAAGGCTGAAACCCTGGGGTGCAGGCTTAGATGGAAAAACCTGTTCACTGTGACTCTTAGGTAGCTATGGCAAAGAGGGAGCCCAGGACTCAGGGAGCAGGATGACCAGTGTTGAAAGAGATCACTGAGGACTGGTTGCTCACTGGAGGTTGCCTTCCCCTCCTGGATTGGGCTGGGGCACCCTTCCCAATGCAATACACCTTTCTGTGTCTAAGATGATAACCCTGTTTCCCTGGATGATCCTAGGGATATGGATGGATTTTACAAATGTACATTTCATGGTTAGGCAGCTCAAAGCCACTGACTAGAAGAAGACAATAGGGATCGTGAGAAAAAGAAGAATATTTGAAAAAACAAAAAACAAATAGAAAAGAATCAGAAACCCATATATATAGATTGTATAAAGATTGTTGAGGTATGAGGCTTTTAACTCATGAGAGGAAAATTCTTCAAGGCTGGGCAAGCAAAACTTACTGATGTTTTGGGTGGAATCCAAAGTCAAATATGGATGACAATGGAGAGGTTATATAGACCTAAAACCCCATAATTCTCCTTAGATTCTATTAAAAATGAACACAGTGTACCCTTGGAGTCTGGGGAGCTCTCTATTCTCCTTTCATAATCTTAACCATCACTACTAGGCTCTGCCTGATCTTCCCCTACTTCCCTACTCCAACCACATCAGCTCCCTCTGTTCTGTAAACAGGCCAAGGGCACTTTGCCTTAGAGCTTTTGCACCTGTTGTTCTCCTCTTTTCCTACCACACTCTTTTCAGCAGTCCCCCACTTTGTTCAGGGTTTTCTCCCAACATCATCTCATTAGAAAGAGCTTTCCTGGTCACTGTGCCTAAAACAGCAATCCCCACCCCATCCTTCTCTCTTGCCTTGCCTTACTATCCTTCTCTTCACTGCAGTTATCACCACTAAAGCATTGCCTGTGCTTATTTATTGATTGTCTCCCAACCCATCCCCTCAATACACTGCTACTATAATGCAATTATCAAGAATGTGAGTCTTTGTCTGTTTCAATCACTACTGTTCCTCCAAGAACTAGTGGATGATTATTAAATGTTTGTTGAAAAAATGAACACCAGCCTGGGAAACACAATGAGATCCCATCTCTATGAAAAAGAAAATAAAAAAAAATTAGTCAGGCATGGTAATGCATGCCTGTAGTCTCAGCTACTTGGGAGGCTGAGACAGGAGGATCACTTGAGCCTGGGAAGTCAAGGCTGCCATGAACCACGATTGTGCTACTGCCCTCCAGCCTGGGTGACAGGGCAAGACTCTGTCTCAAAACAAAAAACAAAAACAAACAAAAAAAAACAAAGCTTTTTTTTTTTTTGCAACTGACTCAATTAATCTTTTCCAACAATAGAAAAACAAGGCAGAAAATCTCAGCAAGAGAAAGAGTGAAGGCAAGAGAGGACTCTTTACTGATCTCTGGGTCTTGATGTGAAAGGTCAAGTATTTAAACTGATTATTAACAAGAATCAGATGGCTAACTGCAATTTCTTTCTATATTCTATACTGTTTGTGAAGAAAATTTTTTAGATCCACAAAATGGGGACCCACAGCATAGTTAGTAAAAGTGTCCTGAATCAGGGATTAGGAAACATGTTTGAGTCTAGGGTCTGTTGTTGACTAGCTAAATGACCATGAATGTCACTTACTTGCTAAGTCAGAGGGTTCTAGTTGGTAAAAGAAATAAAACAGAGCTGTCCTGCCACTTTGAGGAATTATTAGGATTAAATGACATGAGGGTGCTCTCAAGTGTGTGTACTAATGGAGGAGAGTCTAGTGGTCCTAAGGAGAGCCTTGCCTTGTGGAATCACCTGTATGTCACCATGGGTTAGTCACTGAGGCCTAGCCTGCCTGGGCTAGAATCCTGGCTCTGTCAGGGACTGGCCATGAACCCCAGGGAAAGTCAGTAACCTCTCTGTGCCTCAGTTTCCTCAGCTTTAAAATGAAGGTAATATTAGCACATTGGTGAAGGTAATAGTAGCACAATATTTGACCTCATAAAAATATTATGAGGGTTAAATGAATTGATATTTGTAGACCTCTTAGAATAGTGCCTGGCATATACTAGGCACTATATATGTTTGCTATGTAAAACAAATAAACATCTTCAAAGAGACTAAAATAACACCTCAGACAACTACGAAGGGAAAAATTAGAGTTGGGGTATTGGGGAGATGTTAAAGTCAGCAAGTAGCTATTAATAAGAGTGGAAATGGGGAAGACTGCACAGTTGCTTAACAGACACCTCCACCCCCTTACTTTCTTAGGATCCTCCAGACAAACATTTCTTGTTCTTTTTTTGTGGCACTAGCTAAACTTCCTCTCCTCTTCTCCACCCACTGCCTCCTAGAGTCAAAAAGTGGGGGTGGAACATCGCTGAGTATTGTAGGTCTGGGAGAGTGACCAGAGGTAGCTTTAGCATGTGGTGCCCAAAAGAGAGTCCATTATAACTGCTCACACTGAGTGAAGGGACATAGAGGGGAAGAGGAAGCACAGGGCTGGGCAGGCAGAAATTTTGTGTCATTCTCCAAAGCGACGGAAAGTCCTTGATCATGAGGTTTTAAGAAAAAGGAACCTACTACCCCCATGCAATAGTACATTGTTTTCCCCTGGGAGTTTTACTTTATATCACCTTTATTGGGATTTAGGTTTACTTGAATCAGTTCCTTCAAAACACACACACACACACACACACACACACACAAAATCTCAAAACAGACATGAGATCATAGCCATCCGTTTTAACATTGCTGCCCTCTATTAGCGTGTACTTGAACACTGAGTATAACAAAGGAAACAAGAGTACCTAGTCAGTTCCACCTATATCAGCCCCCAGCTGATTGCTCATACCTCTTTCCAAGTTTCACATAGATGAGCCCAGTGATCTCCAAACTTACAGGTCCATCCCTTTCCTAAGGTCCAAGACAAGAAAGGTTTGATTTAGGAATACTCCAGTAGCCTGAATGGCTTGGCACCGACCATCAGGCTCCTGTTGCGAAGGTGCTCTGGCTGCCTTGTTGGCCTCCATATTGATCTCCAGGACTGCTTCAAGCACTTGGAGCTGACAAGGTAGGCCTCCGCTGCCTTCCACTGAAGGCCTGAGTTATCACAGGGGGAACAGCTTTCCACCCTCTGTTTGGAAGCTGGGTTTTTGATAAGCAGTTTTACCCATATGTAATATATTTCCATTTCTATAACTGGATTTCTGCTTTTGAGCCCTTTTCTGAATGTCTGTGGTAGTCATCTGCTTAAATCTCATTCTAATACAGAGGCCTTGTCCTTATCTTGAAGACCCCTCAATGCAAGGACTTCAGATCAGTGGCAGGTTGTTTTGTCAGCATACTTCCACAGGTATGCTTCCTGTCTCTGAGCCCCAGGATGATGGTTGGGGTCCAGTTACCCATAGTGAGCCCACTCATTTCTTAGAATTTTAGGTCTCAACTGCTGAAATGCCCATGACCATGTTTAACATCCAACAAGACATCAACATCATGCTGATATTGGACTTTTATTTGTTTAAAGAAACTAATTCAAATCACATTTGAATAATATTAAAGTGAACGGTATTTGAAATATGTCTGGAGATGGTTGTTTGCTTGGGTATTCTGCCTCACTGCCCTGCCTAAACTTCCGTTATTGGCAAGGACCTGCCAACAGCTCCTTCCTCCTCTGTGGGTGGGTATAGAGAAAGGCACAGATTCTATCCGAATAATCCTGTCTTGACAGAAATAAATAAATCATCACTCTTTACTGACATATTCCCAAACATTAATAGTAGGGAGAGTAATTTACTCCACTTCAGCATCAATGTGGGTGGAGGCAGCATGACTCAGAGGTGAAGTCTAAGGACTCTGAAGCTTAAATTCTACTTCTTTCACTTTTTGGTTAAGTGGCCTTTGACTCTCTGTGTATCAATGCTTTCATCTGTATATGTGCACATAAACCGTATCTATCTCATAGTGTATTGTAAGGATTAAACAAAATAATAACTGTAGACTACTTAGAGTAATGCTGAATATGCAGTGATTGCTCCATAAATGGTTACTTATTACTATTATTGATGGGAGATAAGACAGGGAGTTGAAGAAATAGAAATACGAATGGGGCAGAGAAAAGGAAGAATTAAGAGTATGAGACAGTATATGTAGAGGGGGTGGGCAAGGATTAAAACTGGTGGACTCCTTCATCTCCTACCCTCAGAGTGGGAGTGTCTCCCAGGGTATGTGGAGAGACAGTCAGAGTCATGGTGTTTCCAAAGTCATGATCAGAAAGTTGGCATCAGAGCATAAGACTGTGAATTTTGACTCAGAGAAAACTTTTCCAACATGGAACAGTCATAAGTTTGCACACTCAGACTTTCCTTATGTCGGTGATTTCTGAGGGGAAATGGGGATTTCTCCCTGCATCTCTCCACTGCTTCTCAGCCTCTTCAACTGCTCTGAATTCCAGGGAAATGTGTAAAGTGTAGACTCCTAAGCCCAATACTGAATGTAAGGGACTACCTCTACCAGGAACAGCAGCAGGAGGAATTCATGGTATATTTTTGTGCTCAGAAAAGGTTTGCAGAATAATCCTTAAGAGGCAAACAGATAATTCAGTAAAGGTGGACAGTATGTAAAAAGTACTCCTGGCTTCACTTTTATAAAAACAAGCTCCCATTCCCCTTTCATGGATCCTTGATGAAATGAATATCTCACTCCTAGTTTCCTTTTCCAGAACCCAGACAACCAACACCTAAGCTCAAACTCCCACCACCTTTTCTCCTGTTTATGTTCCTTGGACAATTCCCTGACAGAGGAGTCCTGCCCAGGATCTCTGTGTGGTAAAGCCATGGCTCTTCCTAATAATGAATGAAAAGCGAGTGTGAAAAATAGTAGCATTAGCTGATATCTGTTAAACACTTACTATATTCAGGTACCATGGCAAGTGTTGTACATGCATTATCATCATTTTGATTCTCAAAACAATTCTACTGTATTAATACCTCCCCATTTTGAAGCTGAAACAAGAGTCAGAGGAGGAATGTAACTTCGTCTAGGTCACAAAACTTGTAAACAATTCACTACTAGCTGATTTGACAACTTTATTTCAGTTTCAGTAGATGAAAGAAGTGTATCCTAGAGCTACCTTTTATCTTAGCAGGTATTAACCTTTTGAAGAGCATCAAAAATTTGAAAGCAATGAGTGAAGAGGTCAGGTGGAGCAGAAAGAAGAACCAATGGGATTGGGATTAACCTTGGAATTAGAAAAACCAATGTCTATTTCCAGCTCTACCAATTTAGGTAGTGAAATTTCAGGTGAATTTTTAAACCCCTAAATCTTAATTTATTATTTTTCTTGCATAATGGGATTAATAACGTCTATCTTGCTCATCTCAATGGTTTTCATATGGATGACATAAGAATGTAGGCATAAACATTGTAGAATGTTTTGCAAATTAAGTGGTATCAAATGCTACCTTGTCTGGTCTCTCTCTGGAAGATTAGGGACATCCCTAGTACCATTCCTCATCTACTTGCATTTTCTGTCTGCCATTCTAGAGCGACCAGCAGAGGCTCCAAAAATTTGGTCTGACTAGTGGTTACAATCTCCATGAAGTTCAAATTAAAGGAGCCATAGCTTGAAATGGCCAAAGAAACCAGAGAGATCACAGTGCATTGATTCTACCTTTACAGAAAATCCAAACGTACTAGGTTCCCAGGGTTCTAACTCATGCCAGAATTCTGCTAGTGCATTTTCAGAACTGGCAAGAGATACTAGAAGTAGATCTAGAAGTTCCAAACATAGTAAATTTCTGTTAGAGCAATTGTTTGTATTTAAGGAGATAACATGTACAATGACACAGCACTCCCAGATCTATGTTAATGTTACAATTTTCTTTGTACAAATAACAATCAATATTCATGTCGTTCTTTTAGTTTACTGTTATGCCATAAGTAAGAAAAATAGGGTTTTTAATTCAAGTTCTCCAACTCTTTTTTGAGACTATTTGTAAAAAATGGGATAGTAATCTCTTCCTCATTTATTTTAGAGTTTGTTGAGGATAAAAGCAGAGTAATAGCTCTGTGTTTTGAAAATAAAGGGAGTTTATAGAGATGAGGCTCAACAATGATAACGATGAGTCATCCATCACTCTAACCTGATAGAACAATCAACTATAATTAGGAAAGACATTTTTCTCTCTCAAACGCCATCACAATTGAATGCCAAGAAGAAATTGCTTGTAAGTCATTCAAGCTTTTAGAAGATCTTTCTTTTGCCAGGCTTTTTGGGTGGGTTTACCAAGTGCTGATTCCTCTGAGAAGGATTTGCCTCAGACCTTTGGAAACTGAGATCTCCAGATCTCAGAAATATAACTCAGTAATATAAACTTTAAAGCTGAACCTAAACACTTAGGTTTGAATTTTAAGTCTCTCCCCAGCCAGTTGGATCCTGTTGAGTACAGTAGATACTGAGACCCAGGGTGTTCTGCTAAACACAGATCAAAAAGACAGTTCAATGTCTTCCTTAAGGGCAATTTTTAAAACTTTATGGAAAACTAGGAGGCGATCAGCAAGGGTCAGAACTCACAGGTTTGCAGGCAAAGGAGCAAGATCCATAGGTGGTGCTGAGCCATCTCTTTCAGGGTCTAACCTTCTGTGGAAAAGCACGGCACTGTTCTAGCAGAGTCAGTTTCACTTGAGTTTTCTTCCTCCTTTTTATAACGACATTTAAGAAAGGAAGTGCATGTTAACTGATTTAGTTAACATTGGTCTTTGTATTACTGTGCTAGTTTTTTCCAATTTAAAGTGCCTAGCATTAATTATTTATTCAACACATATTTATTGTGTGCCTACTATGTGCCAGGCCCTCTTCTGGGTGCTGGCAATATACAGAGCAACAAAACAATTGATCACCCTCCTTTCATGGCATTTATACTCTTTTTTGGAGTAATCAACAACTCTATAAGCAGTTCCAATTTAATGTAGTAAGCATTGCAATAGGAAAAATACAGGGAACTATGAGAGGAATAGGGGCATCTAACTCAGGCTAAGAAAAGTTGGAGTAGGCTTCCTAAAGAAACTGACAACCAACCTGAGACAGGCTCAAAGAATGAATTACCATTATTAGGCGAATGGCGGTGGGGGATATGAAAGAGGAAAAATGTTTTGACATATGGTAGGAGCTTAAAAAAACATAGCAATTAAAATTACATAATTATAGTTATATAAAATGATCACAAGTACATGATTATGTATTATAATGTATAATCAACATGTGATATTATTTAACATAATCAATATTAAGTATTATATTAATAATATATAATTATATTTATATATGATACAATAATATATAATTATATAATATATTAATATATAATATAGTATAACTACATACATATAATTATGTATAATTCCATGATATCATCATGAAACATTATGATTATGATCACACCTTATTAGGGACACAAAAAGTGTTTGATAAAAATGAAGTCAAAAGGGATTTTTAGACTATTGAATCTATTTTGCAGATGGAGAAACTGGCTCAGAAGGAGAGGAAGTGACTTTTCCCTATATCACACAGTGAATTAGGGAACTGAGTTAAAAGCCAGCAGTGTCACTTGGCAAAGACTGTGACTCCTGGGCATGAGAGACAGCAGGTGCAGAGGCAGGCTTAGGTGGAGTTGAGCTAGATGTAACAGGACTATTTCTTGTAGAGGGTCTTCATCTTGGTTAACAAGAATAAGAGTGATTGTGTAATGTGTGTATGGGAGATGTTGTCTGGGAATGGGGATAGAAATGAATATTTAAGTTTGACTCAGCTGTTTTGGGGAGTAATGAGAAGGCTGGGGACACTACCCCTGAGACCTGGAGGAGCTTTTTTTTAACTGAGACGAGTCCTCATGCTAGCTAGCTCATTCCTAGGTAACCTGGCCTCTAGAGTCACACATTAAATAATCCTGCTGATCATTTCCCATATATACTTACATAATACTGAATATAGTTGACCCTTGAACAATGCAGGGGTTTGGAGTGCTGTCCCCTCAACCAGTCGAAAATCCATGCATAACTTTTGACACCCCTAAACTCAACTACTAATAGCCTACTGTTGACAGGAAGCCTTACCAACAACACAGTTGATTAACACATATTCTATGTGTCATATACATTGTTTACCATATTCTTGCAGGAAAGTAAGCTAGAGAAAATAAAATGGTATTAAGAAAATCATGATGAAGACAAAATATATTTACTGTTCATTAAGTGGAATTAGATCATCATAAAGGTCTTTATCCTCATCATCTTCATGTTAAGTAGGCTAAGGAGGAGGAGGATAAGGAGGAGTTGGTCTTGCTGTCTCAGGGGTCCCTGGGGAAGAAGAGATAGAGGAGGTTGAAGGGAAGGTGGAAGAGACAGGCACAGTCGGTGTAACTTTTCAGAAGTATATTTAATTTTTGTCTGACTTTTTTGCTTGTTCATTTCTCTAAAAATATTTCTATATGGTACCCCTTCTTACTTCTACCATTTGTTTTAGTTTTAGTGCCTGTATCATACCATAGATGGGCCCATATCATAAAAGAAGTCAAAAGCGGTCCCGAATAGTCAGAAGCCTTCTGTCAGACTGTCTAATGTCAGCTTGTTTTCTGGCACTGCTGCTTCTATGTTTTCTTCCGCATTGTTTGATCCTGGCTTAGATGCATTCTTCTCCATCAAGTCATCTTCCATTAATTCCTCTGGTGTGGTGTCTATTAGCTCTTGAATTTTGCCAAGATTTATTTCTTGAAACCTTTTACCCCAACTTTTTTTTTTGCCATATCCACAATATCTTTCATAATTTCCTTGATTAGCTCTGTCATAAATCCTGTGAAGTCACGCACAACATTTGGACACAGTTTCCTCAAGCAGAGTTTATTGTCTCAGGCTTAATGGCTTTCACCACTTTTTCTGCAACAATGATAGCATCTTTAATGGTGTAATCTTTCTAGACTTTCATGATGGCCCTCTCCTGGGGTTGTCTTCCTAGGCATTGACAATTCTTTCCATAGAGTACGTATATAATGAGCCTTAAAGGTCCTTATGACCCCCTGTTCTAGAGGCTGAATTAGAAACATGTCTGGGGAGAAGTATACCATTTCAGTGCCTTTGCTGTTGAACTCCTGGGGCTCTGGGTGGCCAGGGGCACTGTCCAATATCAAAATAACTTTAAAACGCAGTCCCTTACTGGCAAGGTATTTCCTGACTTCAATGACAGGGTATTGATGAAACCAATGCAGGAAAAATGTTCTTGTTGTTCAGGCCTTCTTGTGGTACAATTAAAACACTGGCTGCTGGTGTTTATCTTTTCCCTTCAAGGCTCAAGGGTTAGCAGACTTATAGATAAGGGCAGTTGTGATCATAAACTCAACTGCATTTGCACAAAACAGTAGAGTTATTGATTTCTCTCAGTTCCTGTATATTTTTGTTTATGGTGATATGTAATTTACTGGAGAGATGAATTTCTTATGTGGAAATGGTATTACAAGATTTTTTTTAATACTGTGTATTTTATTTTACGTTTATGTAACTTAATTTTTTTATTATTCTACTTTAAGTTCTGGATTACATGTGCAGAACGTGCAGTTTTGTTACATAGGTATACACGTGCCATGGTTGTTTGCTGCACCCATCCACCCGTCACCTACATTAGGTATTTCTCCTAATGCTATCCTTCCTCTAGCCCCCCCCATCCCCCACAGGCCCCAGTGTGTGATGTTCTCCTCCCTGTGTCCATGTGTTCTCATTGTTCAACTCCCACTTATCAGTGAGAACATGAGTTGTTTGGTTTTCTGATCTTGTGATAGTTTGCTGAGAATGATGGTTTCCAGCTTCATCCATGTCCCCGCAAAGGACATGAACTCATCCTTTTTTATGTCTGCATAGTATTCCATGGTGTATATGTGCCACATTTTCTTAATCCAGTCTATCATTGATGGACATTTGTCCAAGTCTTTGCTATTGTGAATAGTGCTGCAAATAAATAAATAAATAAATATGTGTGCATGTGTCTTTATCGTAGATTGATTTATAATCCTTTGGATATATGCCCAGTAATGGGATTGCTGGGTCGAATGGTATTTCTAGTTCTAGATCCTTTAGGAATTGCCACACTGTCTTCCACAATGGTTGAACTAATTTACACTCCCACCAACAGTGTAAAAGTGTTCCTATTTTTCCACAACCTCTCCAGCATCTGTTGTTTCCTGACATTTTAATGATTGCCATTCTAACTGGCATGAGATGGTCTCATTGTGGTTTTCATTTGCATTTCTCTAATGACCAGTGATGATAAGCATTTTTTCATACATCTCTTGGCTGCGTAAATGTCTTCTTTTGAAAAGTGTCTGTTCATATCCTTTGCCCATTTTTTGATGGGGTTGTTGCCTTTTTTCTTGTAAATTTCTTTCAGTTCTTTGTAGCTTCTGGATATTAGCCCTTTGTCAGATGGACAGATTGCAAAAATCTTCTCCCATTCTGTAGGTTGCCTGTTCACTCTGATGATGATGATAGTTTCTTTCGCTGTGCAGAAGCTCTTTAGTTTAATTAGATCCCATTTGTCAATTTTAACTTTTTTTGCCATTGTTTTTGGTGTTTTAGACATGAAGCCTTTTCCCATGCCTATGTCCTGAATGGTATTGTCTAGGTTTTCTTCTAGGATTTTTATGGTCCTAGGTCTTATGTTTAAGTCTTTGATCAATCTTCAGTTGATTTTTGTATAATGTGTAAGGAAGGGGTCCAGTTTCAGTTTTCTGCATATGGCCAGCCAGCTTTCCCAACACCATTTATTAAATAGGGAATCCTTTCCCCATTTCTTGTGTGTGTCAGGTTTGTCAAAGATCAGATGGCAGTAAATGTGTGGTGTTATTTCTGAGGCCTCTGTTCTGTTCCATTGGTCTATATATCTGTTTTGATACCAGTGCCATGCTGTTTTGGTTACTGTAGACTTGTAGTATAGTTTGAAGTCAGGTAGCATGATGCCTCCAGCTTTGTTCTTCTTGCCCAGGATTTTCTTGACTATGTGGGCTTTTTTTTGGTTCCATATGAAGTTTAAAATAGTTTTTTCCAATTCTGTGAAGAAAGTCAGTGGTAGCTGGATGGGGAGAGCATTGAATCTATAAATTACTTTGGGCAGTAAGGCCATTTTCATGATACTGATTCTTCCTATCCATGAGCATGCAAGGTTTTTCCATTTGTTTGTGTCCTCTTTTATTTCCTTGAGCAGTGGTTTTTGAAGAGGTCCTTCATATCCCTTGTAAGTTGTATTCCTAGGTATTTTATTCTCTTTGTAGCAATTGTGAATGAGAGTTCACTCATGATTTGGCTCTCTGTTGTCTGTTATTGGTGTATAGGAATGCTTGTCATTTTCGCACATTGATTTTGTATCCTGAGACTTTGCTGAAGTTGCTTATCAGCTTAAGGAGGTTTTGGGCTGAGACAATGAGGTTTCCTAAATATACAATCATGTCATCTGCAAACAGAGACAATTTGACTTCCTCTCTTCCTATCTGAATACCCTGTATTTCTTTCTCTTGCCTGATTGCCCTGGCCAGAACTTCCAATACTATGTTGAATAGGAGTGGTAAGAGAGGGCATCCTTGCCTTGTGCTGGTTTTCAAAGGGAATGCTTCCAGTTTTTTCCCCCATTCAGTATGATACTGGCTGTGGGTTTGTCATAAAGAGCTCTTATTATTTTGAGATATGTTCCATCAATACCTAGTTTATTGAGAGTTTTTAGCATGAAAGGCTGTTGAATTTTTTCAAAGGCCTTTTCTGCATCTATTGAGATAATCATGTGGTTTTTGTCATTGGTTCTGTTTATGGGATGGATTACGTTTATTGATTTCCATGTATTGAACCAATTACACAATTCTGACTGAGAAATTAAAATTGGGCGAACTTATCACTCAATGAGTGCCAAAGTTGTTGCTCTCAGATCAGCTGAAGGCAAGAGCAAAGCTTTCAATGGAAATTTTAAAGAAGCAGGATGATCCCACTTTGAAAATGCTTTGTAGAAGCATTTCTTCAAAGAATTATAACAGGAGATGTAACCTGGTTTTATCAGTATAATCCTGAAGACAATGCACAATCAAAGGAATGGCCACCAAGAGGTGGAAGCTGTCCAGTCAAAGCGAAAGTGAACCAGTCAAGAGCAAAGGTCATTGGAACAGTTTTTTGTGATGCTCAAGGCATTTTGTTTGTTGACTTTCTAAAGGACCAAAGAACAATAACATTTGCTTATTATGAAAGTATTTTGAGAAAGTTAGGCAAAGCTTTAGCAGAAAAATGCCCAGAAAAGCTTTGCTAGAGTCTTTCTCTACAACAAAGCTCCTGCTCATTTTTCAATAGGAAATCTTTAGGATCAACTTTACTGTCCTGATTTGGCTCCTTCTGACTTCTTTTTGTTTCCTAATCTTTAAAAAATCTTTAAAGGACACCCATTTTTGTTCAGTTAATAATGTAAAAATACTACATTAACATAGTTAAGTATCCAGGACACTCAGTCCTTCAGGGATGTTCTAAATGGTTGGTATCATCACTTTCAAAAGTGTTTTGAACTTGATGGAGCTTCTATTGAGAAATAAAGTTTACATTTTTAGTTTTTCTTTTTAAATTTCATTTTTCATAAATGTTTGAAGTCTGAGATTGAAGAGATTGGTATTTCTGGACAGAAATAAAAACCCAGAAAGGAACCAAATGAAAGTTCTAAATTGGTTCCAGCATTTAGGTTTGCAACAAGAAAACATATACTAGTTTTATTCTTGTTCTTTAACTTTTCCATCTGGAAACACTTAAGATTTTCCCTTTATCACAGAAATTCAAGATTTTACAAGGATGTGTCCTGGTGTGTTTGCATGGCATATTTCTGGCTGGAATCAGTTGTATTTTCAGTCTGATGGTTCAAATCTTTCTTTATCAAAGGGAATTTTTCTTCTGTGTCTTTGATTATGGCTTCCTTTTTGGCCTTTCTACTTGCTCTTCCTAAAAGTCCTCCTAAATATTTAAAGCTATCCTCTATATTGCTGAATTAATATCTCCTGATTTTCTCTTTGTCTTCTTGCTTTACATACTGATAGAGTTCCTTATAGACACCCTATAGAATGTCTTCCAAACATGGGTTCTCAGCTATGTTTACAGTTTTCAGCTATTTGCTTGAGTTTTAAACTTTGGTAATACGCTTTCATTTCCAAGTCTTTTCATAGTCTTCAGTTGTACCTGATTCATAATTATCTTTAATTCCATGTTGAAAAATTCTCTATACTAGATAAAGGGTAAATTAAAAAACAAAACATAAGAATAAAACTCTGGAAAACAACTATAACTGAAAGAAAAGAGAAGAAAGAAAGAATTATTAAAGCAATAGGAGGAAAACAGGAGAGTTGATGTCATGAAAGCAAAACAACGAAGGGTTTGAATAAGAGAAATATGAAAACATTTTTAATTCTGCAAATAATTAAAAGGGAAATGAAAGAGTACATGCAATTTTTGTAGTGTCAAGCAAAGTTTAGGCTCTGAACAAGCAATACAAAAAACCAAATAGCATAAAAAGACTCCAAAAACGTTTGCCTCTGTGACCAAAGCTTTGAGCTTTACAATAAAACCATCAGGATGAATAAGCTAACTACTCTGATTTGATCACTATAAATTATATATATCAAGACATCACTATGTAACTCATGAATATGTACAATTATTATTTGTCAATTTAAAAAATTAATTAAATCTTTAAAAAAGAAGATTACACACTCTCAAGTGTTGGAGTCACAAAACTTGAGTTTCAAATTCAGTTTTCCTACTTATTGAGTGGAATACTTGTATTAATATCAGGTGGTCAAGTTGAATACTTGTCTCAATATCAGGTGGTCAAGTTGAATAACCTGTGAATTCTTTTTTTTTTTTTTTTTTTGACAGAGTTTTCGCTCTTGTTGCCCAATGCAATGGCACAGTCTCGGCTCGCTGCAACCTCTGCCTCCCAGGTTCAAGTGATTCTCCTGCCTCAGCCACTCGAGTAGCTGGGATTACAGGTGCACACCACCATGCCCAGCTGATTTGTGTATTTTTAGTAGAGACAGGGTTTCACCATATTGGCCAGGATGGTCTTGAACTCCTGACCTCAGGTGATCCACCTGCCTCGGCCTCCCAAAGTGCTGGGATTACAGGCATGAGCCACCCCGCCCGGCCTGATTTCTTATCTAAAGTTTATTTAGGATAATTGAATGGGAAAACAAATTTAAACTAACTAATACAGGAATCATCAAAATACAGCCTTTCTGCTGCCTGTTTCTGAATGTAAAGTTTTGTTTGTTTGTTTGTTTTTGAGACCGAGTCTCACTCTGTAGCTCAGGCTGGAGTGCAGTGGCGTGATCTCGACTCACTGCAACCTCTGCCTCCTGAGTTCAAGCGATTCTCCTGTTTCAGCCACCCGAGTAGCTGGAATTACAGGCATGCACCACCACACCCAGCTAATTTTTGTATTTTTAGTAGTGACAGAGTTTCACCATGTTGTCCAGGCTGGTCTGGAACTCCTGACCTCAGGTGATCCACCCACCTCGGCATCCCAAAGTGCTGGGATCACAGGCGTGAGCCACCGCGCCCAGCGTATAAATGTAAAGTTTTATCGGAACATTAAAAAAAAAACAAAAAACAAAACCGAAAAAACAAAAAAAAACCTGTCATGAGAAAAGTGAAGGGAGGAAACCACAGTTTAGATGAGAACCAATATAAAGTTATAAGATGGCACTGTGATGCAAGTAAATGAAGGCTTGGGAGAAAAGGGGAAGGATCACTGCCCCCACCCCTCAACTGTGCCACCCTGATCAGGTTTCTTAACTGTTCTAAGTGTTGTTTTCCTCATCCGTAAAATAAGAATTGCCATATTAGCGTGTTAAGTTTGTTTTGAGTATTAAATGAGAATGTCTGAAAACACTTAGCAAAGTGCTTGGCACATTATAAGCTTTTAATAAATGTTCATTCTTAATAGTATTATCACTAATAGGTTAATTATAATACACCATTTGGACATTAATGATCTGGAAAACTATCCACCAGAGGGCAACAGATTGTAAAAGACTGGGCACGGAACAATAAGACAGACAAAATTATGATTTATTGAGTACTAGGTTTGTTTCCAGGGCTATGTTCAACACTTCCATATGACAAACAGTGAAAGAATTGGGATTCATTGGCCCGGAAAAGAGAAAACCTAGTGAGGGGGCTGTGATTAAGGCATCATGTGGATCAGTGTGATAATTACAGCCAGGTATTTGAAATGCTGGTGTTTGGTGTCAAGGGGTCTCCATGGACAGAACTAGTAAACCATAAATGTTGCTCCAGGAAAGTAGAGCATTTCAACCTACAGATTTCCCCCTAACAATTGTCATCCCGGAATCAACAGTTAAAGCCAAGACTGGATGGACCTTTGACATATATGTTATTGTGGGAATTTCTCATTGTGTAGTTGAATCTTGAATGTCCAAAAACAAACACGGTCTCGCTCTGTTGTTCAGGCTGGAGTGCACTGGCATGATCTCGGCTCACTGGAACCTCTGCCTCCTGATTCAGGCGATTCTCCTGCCTCAGCTTCCTGAGTAGCTGGGATTACAGATGTGCACCACCACATCCGGCTAATTTTTGCATTGTTAGTAGAGATGGGGTTTCGCCGTGTTGGCCAGGCTAGTCCTGAACTCCTGATCTCAGGTGATCTGCCCACCTCGGCCTCCTAAAGTGTTGGGATTACAGGCATGAGCCACTGCGCCCAGCCAAAATGTTTTCATTCTTATGCAGTTTTCTCAACTACCTAGTGTATGGGGTCATGAACTTAGAGGTTATTTATCTAATGGATTGTGCTTTTCTAGTTGACTCAAAAACACGATCAGCAGCAGCATGTGAGTAACCTAACATGATAAATATCAGGACGGGAAGGGCTAAATTTTGTGACAATTTTGGTATTCTCAACATGCAAGCTGAATTGAAGGACCTAATTACTTTCTCTGTATCAGCATAAGGAAATCTATTTTGGGGTAATGTAAAACAAAGAAGCTTGGATTTAACTGTTGGTCAGAAAGACCATGAAATGTCAGCTAAGGCTTACTGGCATTTTCTCCAATTACTTAGGGAAAACAATGAAAAGAACAGCAAGTCCCCTACACACACACACACACACACACACACACACACACACAAACACATATGCGCACACACATTTCTTAGGTTATTTGCTCAGAGACAATTATTAGCATCTAATCCATATCTTCAAAGCATAGAGAAAGGTTCTGCTTTTAAATAAAAACATTTTTCCCTTCCTTCTTCCTTCTCTTGCTTCCTCTTTTTCATTCCTATTTTTTCAAAACTGATTTGAAAAGAAGATAACCAAATTAATAAGACTCATGTTAGTTTAAAAAGACATTCTTAATAATTCCAGTAATCTTGTATAGAGAGATATAGCTGAAAAACTAATACAACTATGTACCAGAATTATACTATTTTTGTTATTCTATTTATGTTACTATTTATGCTTACAAAAAAGACAAATAAAGATCTAATAATATGGGAATTAAGCAGAATAAGGAAGAGAAAAACTAACGTGTCTACCAGAAGGTTGCAACTGTGGCTTTGAATGAAAAGTCAATCTTCTGGTTAGTTGGACTCTATCCCTTTACCTCCATCCTGCATCATCAATTGCTGCCTCATTACTGGGCAACAACACAAACACACATAGATATATACTTTATAACCTAGTTGCAAAAATAATATCTCCTGACCTCGCTTCTTCCACTATACACTGTCTCATTTTCTTTGCTCTTATTAAAAGCAAAACATATTAAAAAATAAATATATTGTCATCTCTCCACTTCCTTACTTCACTTTATTTTATTTTTAGCCTTCTCCAATACAGCTCCTGAGTCCACTAAGGCTCCTTCTATCAAGTTTATCAGTGATCTCTATAGAACTCTATTGGTCAGTTCTTTATTCTCCTCTTTCTAGAGTAAATATAATTTTTTTTCTTTTTTTTGAGACAGAGTCATGCTCAGTCACCCAGGATGGAGTGCAATGGTGTGATCTTGGCTCACTGCAACCTCCACCTCCCATGTTCATGTGATTCTCCTGCCTCAGCCTCCTCAGTAGCTGGGACTACAGGCACCCGCCACCACACCTAGCTAATTTTTGTATTTTTAGTAGAGACAGGGTTTCACCATGTTGGCCGGCTGGTCTCAAACTCCTGACCTCAGGTATCCACCTGCCTTGGCCTCCCAAAGTGCTGGGATTACAGGAGTGAGCCACTGTGCCTGGCCTAGAGTAAAGATATAATTTATTATCCAAACAAGGAGATGTTTGGGATAAAGAAGCACTAGACTAATTGTTATTTGATTTTTTGAAATATTAATATATTGGGTGAAAAATATATTTTTATTAAATTGGTAAACTGGTAAAATAGTTTTATTAAAGACATTTTCATAAATAAAATTATTTCTAAAAATAAACATAAAATATATTTATGTTTATTGAGGTAAGATCAAAATTTTATTTATTACTACTTATATATTAAACTATATTTATATTATTGGTCATCTGCACATCAACAACAACATAATTAGAATAATTATTCCTGGTACATAGGCACACAGTTGCAGTTTTTTAGCCGTATCTGTCTCTCATACAAAGTCACTGGATTATTTTTCTAAAAATGTACTTTTTAACTAACTTTGATCTTATTACTTTAATTATCTTATAAAATTACCTGTAAGCTTCTTCAAATTTGCGTTTTGTGGTTATTTAATGGCAGCCACCATTCTGTGGTGAGCTAGATTTTCCACTTGCCTTGCAGAGCCCTTCACCCTCCTGCAGACTAAGTAGCTGGTGCCTGGTGTGTGAGGAAGCATGGTGGCTGGAGCCAAGGTCACAGTTGCAGAGGCAGTGGTGCAGCCTATAGCCAGGGCTTGGGGAGAGATAACTTTGCTGGACAAATGTATTGGTGCCTTAAATGGCTCTTCTTTATAGACTCAATATTTTAAATTGAGAAACTAATTTCTCTGTAAGTGCTGGGGTACTTGGTAAGCTCCGAGTAAATTCTGCTAAACGGAAGATATTCTGTATTTTAGTCTGTTTGGGCTGCTATAACAAAATACTATAAACCGAGTGGCTTGTAAACAACAAACATTTACTTCTCACAGTTCTAGAGGTTGGGAAGTCCAAGATAGGGGTTGGCAGATTCAGTGCCTAGTGCAAGCCTATGTTCTCATAGAAGACACCTTCTCTCTGTGTCCTCACATGGTAGAGGAGAAGAGCTAGCTTTCTGGGGTCTCTTTTATCTATTTTTTTAAAGTTTTATTTTATTTTAAATTGACAAATAATAATTATATATATTATAAAGTACAATGTGGTGTTTTAATACATATATACAATATGGAGTTATGAATTTAGGCTAATTAGCATATCCGTCACCTCAAATATTTATCATTTCTTTGTGGTGAGAACATTTGAAATCCTGTTTTAGCTATTTTGAGATAAACAATATATTATTATTATTATTATTATTATTATTTTTGAGATGGAGTCTTGCTCTGTTGCCCAGGCTGGAGTACAGTGACACAATCTCAACTCACTGCAAGCTCCGCCTTCCAGGTTCACGACATTCTCCTGCCTCAGCCTCCTGAGTAGCTGGAACTACCTGCTCCCGCCACCACGCCCGGCTAGTTTTTTGTATTTTTAGTAGAGACGGGGTTTCACCGTGTTAGCCAGGGACAATATATTATTATTATAGTCACTGTGCTGTGCAATAGAGCACCAGAATTTGTTACTGCTAACTAAAACTTTGTTCCCATTGACCAACGTCTTCCTTTTCCCCATCAACCCCCACAATCCCCAGACTCTGATAACCACTATTCTACTCTCTACTTCTATGAGTTCACCTTTTTTAGATTCCACATACAAGCGAGATCATATGGTATTTATCCCTCTGCACCTGGCTTATATCACTTAACATAATGTCCTCTAGGTTCATGACAGAATTTTCTGTTCTTTTGGTTTTGTTTGTTTTTTGGGGGGTGGAATAGTATTCTATTGTGTATATGTAGCACATTTTAAAAATCTGTTTGTGCACTGATGGACACGTAAGTTGTTTCCATATCTTGGATATTGTGATCAGTGCTGCAATGGATATGGGAATGCAGACATCTCTTTGATATACTGATTTCAGTTCCTTTGAGTATGTGCCCAGTAGTGAGATTGCTGAATCATGTGTTAATTTTCTATTTAGTTTTTTTGAGGAACCTTTATACTGTCTTCTAAAATGGCTGGAGAAAAAATTTACAATACCACCAACAGTGTATAAGTATTCCCTTTTTCTACATCCTTGCCAACACTTATCTTTCATCTCTTTGGTAATAGCCAATCTAACAGGTATGAGGTGATTGCTCATTTTGTTTTTAACTTGCATTTCTCTTATGATGAGAGATGTTATGTGGTTTTTCATGTATCTGTTGACCATTTGTATGTCTTTTTTAAATAAATGTCTACTCAAGTCATTTGCTCATTTTTAGTAGGCTTATTTGTTTCTTGTTATTGAGTAGTTTGAGTTCCTTATATATATTTTGGATTATTAACCCCTTATCCAATGTATGTTACCAATATATTCTCCCTATCTGTGGTTTGTCTCTTCACTCTGTTAATTGTTTCCTTTGCTGTGCAGAAGCTTTTTAGTTTGATGCAATCCCATTTATTCATTTTTGCTTTTGTTGCCTATTCTTTTGGTATCATTTCTAAGATATCACTGCCCAGGCCAATATTAAGGAGCATTTTCTCTATGTTTTCTTCTATTAGTTTTAGAGTTTCAGGTTTTACATTTAAGTCTTAATCCATTTTGAGTTGATTCTTACATAAGGGGTGAGATAGGGTTCATTTTCATTCTTCCGTAAGTAGATATTCAGTTTCCCAACACCATTTCTTGAAGAGACTATCCTTTTCTCATTGTGCATTTTTGGCACATTTGTCAAAAATCAGTTGACCATAGATGTGTGAGCCCAGTTTATTTCTGGGCTCTCTCTCCTATTCCATTGGTTGATGAGTCTGTCTTTATGCCACTATCAAGTTGTTTTCACTGCTATAACTTTGAAATATATTTTGAAATCCTGTAGTGTAATGCTTTCAGTTTTGTTGTTGTTGATTAAGATCTCTTTGGCTATTCAGGGTCTTTTATGTTTCCATATTAATTTAGGATTGTTTTTCTATTTCTGTGAAGAATGACATTGGAATTTTGATAGGGAGAGCATTGAATCTGTAGATTTGGGTAGTATGGACATTTAAGCAATATTAATTCTTCCAATCCATGAACATGGGATAGCTTTCAATTTTATTTGTGTCATCTTCAATTTTTTCATCAATGTTTTATAGTTTTCAGTATACACATTCTTCACTTCCTCATTTAAATTTACTCCCAGCTATTTTTTAAATGATATTGTAAATAAAATTGTGTCCTTGTTAATTGAGAGTTTTTAGCTTGAAGGGTGTTGAAATTTATCAAAGGCCTTTTCTTCATCTATTGAGATAATCATGTGGTTTTTGTTATCAGTTCTGTTTACGTGATGGGTTGCATTTATTGATTTCCATATGTTGAACGAACCTTGCATCCCAGGGATGAAGCTGACTTGATAGTGGAGGATAAGTTTTTGATGTGTTGCTGGATTCAATTTGCCAGTATTTTATTGAGGATATTCACATTGATGTTCATCAGGTATATTGGCCTGAAATTTTCTTTTTTTGTTGTGTCTGTGCCAGGTTTTGGTATCAGGATGATGCTGGCTGCATAAAATGAGCTGGGGAGGAGTCCCTCTCTTCTTATTGTTTGAAATAGTTTCAGAAGGAATGGTACCAGCTCCTCTTTGTACCTCTGGTAGAATTCAGCTGTGAATCCAACTGGTCCTGGACTTTTTTTGGTTGGTAGGCTATTAATTATTGCCTCAATTTCAGAACTTGTTATTGGCCTACTCAGGGATTTGACTTCTTCCAGGTTTAGTCTTGGGAGGGTGCATGTGTCCAGGAATTTATCCATTTCTTCTAGATTTTCTAGTTTATTTGTGTAGAGATGTTTATAGTATTCTCTGATGGTAGTTTATATTTCTGTGGGTCCCATGGTGATATCCCCTTTATCACTTTTTATTGTGTCTATTTGACTCTTCTCTCTTTTCTTTTTTATTAGCCTGGCTATTGGTCTATCTATTTTGTTAATCTTTTCAAAAAATCAGCTCCTGGACTCACGGATTTTTTGAAGGGTTTTTTGTGTCTCTATCTCCTTCAGTTCTGCCCTGATCTTAGTTATTTCCTGTCATCTGCTAGCTTTTGAATTTGTTTGCTCTTGCTTCTCTAGTTCTTTTAATTGTGTTGTTAGGGTGTCAATTTTAGATCTTTCCCGCTTTCTTCTGTAGGCATTTAGTGCTATGAATTTCCCTCTAAACTCTGCTTTAGTTGTGTCCCAGAGATTCTGTTATGTTGTGTCTTTGTTCTCATTGGTTTCAAAGAACATCTTTATTTCTGTCTTAATTTTGTTATTTACCCTGTAGCCATTCAGGAGAAGGTTGTTCAGTTTCCATGTAGTTGTGTGGTTTTGAGTGAGATTCTTAATCCTGAGTTCTAATTTGATTGAACTGTTGTCTGAAAAACTGTTATGATTTCAGTTCTTTTGCATTTGCTGAGGAGTGTTTTACTTCCAATTATGTGGTCAATTTTAGAATAAGTGGAATGTGGTGCTCAGAAGAATGTATATTCTGTTGATTTGGGGTGGAGGGTTCTGTAGACATCTATTAGGTCCAGGGCTAAGTTCAAGTCCTGAATATCCTTATTAATTTTCTGTCTCATTGAAACTAGGTATTGATGGAACATATCAAAATAATAAGAGCTCTTCATGACAAACCCAGAGCCAATATCATACTGAATGGGCAAAAGCTGGAAGCATTCCCTTTGAAAACTGGCACAAGGCAAGGATGCCCGCTCTCTCCACTCCTAGTCAACATAGTATTGGAAGTTCAGGCCGGAGCAATTAGGCAAGAGAAAGAAATAAAGGGTACTGAAATAGGAAGAGAGGAAGTCAAATTGTCTCTGTTTGCAGATGACATGATTGTATATTTAGAAAACCCCATCGTCTCAGCCCAAAATCTCTTTAAGCTGATAATGAACTTCAGCAAAGTCTCAGGATACAAAATCAATGTGCAAAAATCACAAGCATTCCTATACACCAATAATAGACAAATAGAGAGCCAAATTATGACTGAACTCTCATTCACAATTGCTACAAAGAGAATAAAATACCTAGGAATACAACTTACAAGGTATGTGAAGGATCTCTTCAAAGAGAACTACAAACCACTGCTCAAGGAAATAAGAGAGGACACAAACAAATGGAAAAACATTGCATGCTCATGGATAGGAAGAATCAATATCGTGAAAATGGCTTACTCCCCGAAGTAATTTATAGATTCAATGCTATCCCCATCAAGCTACCATTGACTTTCTTCACAGAATTAAAAAAACTACTTTAAATTTCCTATGGAACCAAAAAAGAGCCTGGATAGGCAAGACAATCCTAAGCAAAAAGAACAGAGCTGGAGGCATCACACTACCTAACTTCAAACTATACTACAATGCTACAGTAACCAGAACAATGTGGTACTGGTACCAAAACAGATATATAGACCAATGGAACACAGCAGAAACCTCAGAAATAACACCACACATCTACAACCATCTGGTCTTTGACAAACCTGACACACACAAGCAATGGGGAAAGGATTCCCTATTTAATAAATGATGTTGGGAAAACTGGCTAGCCATATGCAGAAAACTGAAACTGGACCCCTTCCTTACACATTATACAAAAATCAATTCAAGATGGATCAAAGACTTAAACATAAGACCTAGGAACATAAAAACCCTAGAAGAAAACCTAGGCAATACCATTCAGGACATAGGCATGAGCAAAGACTTCATGACTAAAACACCAAAGCAATGGCAACAAAAGCCAAAATTGACAAATGGGATCTAATTAAACTAAAGAGCTTCTGCATAGCAAAAGAAACTGTCATCAGAGTGAACAGGCAACCTACAGAATGGGAGAAAAGTTTTGCAATCTATCCATCTGACAAAGGGCTAATATCCAGAATCTATAAAGAACTTAAACAAATTTACCAGAAAAAAATAAACAACTCCAACAAAAAGTGGGTGAAGGATATGAAGAGACATTTCTGTTGTTTTGCATTTGCTGAGGAGTGTTTTACTTCCAATTATGTGGTCAATTTTAGAATAAGTGGAATGTGGTGCTCAGAAGAATGTATATTCTGTTGATTTGGGGTGGAGAGTTCTGTAGACGTCTATTAGGTATTCAAAAGAAGACATTTATGTGGCCAAGAAACATAAGAAAAAAAGCTCATCATCATTGGTCATTAGAGAAATGCAAGTCTAAACCACAATGAGATACCATCTCACACCAGTTAGAATGGCGATCATTAAAAAGTTAGGAAACAACAGATGCTGGAGAGGATGTGGAGAAGTAGGAACGCTTTTACACTGTTGGTGGATGTGTAAATTAGTTCAACCATTGTGGAAGATGGTGTGGCAATTCATCAAGCATCTAGAACTAGAAATACCATTTGACCCAGCAATCCCATTACTGGGCATATACCCAAAGGATTACAAATCATTCTACTACGAAGACACAGGCACAAGTATGTTTATTGCAGCACTGTTCACAATAGCAAAAACTTGGAACCAACCCAAATGCCCATCAATGACAGACTGGATAAAGAAAATGTGGCATATAGTACCACGGAGTACTATGCAGACATAAAAAAGGATGAGTTTATGTCCTTTGCAGGGACATGGATTAAGTTGGAAACCATCATTCTCAGCAAACTAACACAGGAACAGAAAACCAAACAACTCGTGTTCTCACTGATAAGTGGGAGTTGAACAATGAGAACACATGGACACAGGGAGGAGAACATCACACACCGGGGCCTGTCAGTGAGTAGGGGGCTAGGGGAGGGATGGCATTAGGAAAAATACCTAATGTAGATGACGGGTTGATGGGTGCAGCAAACCACCATGGCATGTGTATCCCTATGTAACAAATTTGCATGTTCTGCACATATGTCCCAAAACTTAAAGTATAATAATAATAATAATGAAGGCCAGAGGAATTACAAAGTCCTTATTTTTAAAGGCATCAAAGAGTCTTTAAAGAGGAAGTAATGGGATATCATCACCCAAAATTCCAGAGAGGCAGAACCTTTTTCAGATGACCTGACATCATCAACCATTTTTTACCTTGAGGGGAGAGTTGGGGGGAGATTTGCTGATTCTAGACATGAGCTGAATATTGAGCTTAGTGTAGGCTGAGGAGGAAAGAACAATAAAAATTTTCTTGACTGTGTTAGTGTAGAGGGAAAATTTGGAAGCTGCTATAGTCTGAATGCATCACCCAAAATTTGTATGTTGGAAACGTAATCTCCAATGCAACAGTATAGGGAGGTGGGGCCTAATGGGAAGTGTTTAGGTCATGAGGGCTCTACATTCAAGAATGGATAGCTGACATTACAAAAAGGGCTTGTGGGAATAAGTTCATTCTCTTCTGCTCTTCTGCCATGTGAAAAAACTTTATGGCCCTTCTGTATTCTGCCATGTGAGGATGCAGCAAGTAGGCCCTCAAAAGACCCCAGCACCCTGATTTTTAATTTCCCAGGCTCCAGAACTGTGAGAAAATGAATTTCTATTCTTTATAAATTACCCAGTCTCAGGTCTTCTGTTATAGCAGCACAAATGGACTAAGAAACCTGAGGTGGTCCCTAACATATGGCTGATTTTCTCACAGGATATTTACTAGTTTCTAGGAGTGCATGAGAGTCTGATGATCTAGACAGATGTCTTCTAAAAGTAGAGTGAAATCTTTCACAGTCCTGCATATCGTGAAAGAGACCTGCCCTGGTGGTTTCTCCCTTAGTTGATTTGCCAAATTTTGAAGCTATATAGTATGGGAGGCTGAGGAGCTGGGCCGAGAAACTCTGAAAAGAAGGGCTAGCTCTCCTATTGTCTTTCAGATTGGAGGAGATGGATGCCTGACAGTGTCTTAATCAAAGGCCCAGGAGGCCACCTTATATAAATTGAAATCCAGGCCAATGAAGCTGGATCCCTGACTGCCATGAGGTGATCAGTCTCTTATATCTGCCTAACAGAAAGAAGGGAAAACACTATCTGGTGGAAGAAAGTATAACTTTAAGCATCTCTGGTTCTTTTATATATAATGCACAGCATTAAATTTAAGAAATACCAGGCAGACAAAAATATGATTGATTAACAAGAGGAAAAAGACTTTAGAAACAGACCTATAGATATTAGATTAGGATGCAAGGATGTTTAAATAGCTATAATTAATGTTTTGAAGAGAATAGTGGAAAAGATATACACAATAGGTGAAAAGATATACACAATAGGTGAAAATTTTCTGTAGAGAATTTCAACAGAGATTTTGAATTTATTGAAAAATGAGGCCAGACACAGTGGCTCACTCCTGTAATCCCAGCACTTTGGGAGGCTAAGATAGGCAGATTGCTACAGCCCAGGAGCTCAAGACCAGCCTGGGAAACATGGCAAAACCCTGTCTCTACAAAAAATACAGAAATTGGCTGGGCATTGTTACATGTGTCTGTAGTTCCAGCTACCAGGGAGACTGAGGTGGGAAGATTGCTTGAGCCTGGGAGGTCAAGGCTGCAGTGAGCCATTATCATGCCACTTCACTCCAGCCTGGGCAACAAAGTGAAACCCTGTCTTAAAAAAAAAAAAATAAAGAAAGGAAAGAAAAAAAAAGGAAAGAAAAAAAAGGAAAGAAAAGTGAATTGAATATTATAAGAGATAGGAAAAAAAAAAAACTGTATGGACCCTTTGTCATGTAATACCCAACCATCCTTCTTCTCTTTGAAGAGACACCAGCTTAGGCACATATTTGAGACTGTCTCTTCCGGGTTTCCAAACCAATATCACTACTAATGCTCTCCTTCCTACTATTTAGCCATCCTGATGATCTTTTGGACAACATAGCTCTCAGAAAGAATGTTTCTGTCAGCCCCCATAAGGTGTCAGACTTTCAGTCTCTCTCCCAGGAGCCTATCCTTCCTAGATCTAGACAGAATGGGGCAGAGAAAGCCTGGCTGTTTATTTCACCAATGCAGATTTTCTCTACAGAGGCAAATCTCCTCCACAAAAGGCAGCTTTGCAGGGCTATTGCCATCTTCAGGTCATCTGAACAGCCATCTTGAAATATGTCAAAAAGTGTATTTGGGGGTGAATTTTTTTTTGTTTCCTTTAGTGATCACAAGTTGCATAGAAATGACAGTTATTTTCAGATATTTGGAAAATTATTATGCAGAAGAGGAATTAGGTTATTCAGAGAAAACCACTAGGAGAAAGTAGGCAAGTTCCAAGAAGAAGTATTTTAATGTACAAAAACTTGACTCTCTAGCAGTGGAACCTCTCTAACAATGAAACATGAGAAACCTCTCTAACAATGGAACATGTACCTTTGTTAGCTCTCTAACAATGGAACATGAGAAACTGTTGTGAGAGAGAAGTTCAGGGAAGACATGGAGGATGTTTGGCAAGGGAGTTTGGCCAGAGGAGGTGTTGGGTTTAGAGGGAAGGAGCAACTAATTATGCTTCCTCTACTTCTGATTTGGAATCAATTTTAAGATAGACAGAAGATTCATACAGATGGAGAAAAAGTGTCAGCTCTGTTATTGATAAAGCTGATTGGCAAATGTGGCTTTAGGCAAGTTAATGCATGATTCACACTCAGGACCATACTTGGCACTTAGAAAGCACTTGATAAATGTTGACTATCACTATCATTATAATCAGGAGGAGGTGGGAATGTAGGAGGAGAAGAAGGAAGAGGCCATAAGTGGGCAAACCCTCCCAACAAGAGAGTAGAGTCTGCCATTGTGAGCAGGTAGGAATAGACAAGAATATCTGCCTCCTACAAAAAGGCTGGTTCCAAGAAAGACAGCTGAGAAGGCATTGAGTGGAGGTTGCTCAGTTATCTTCCCAAACTCACAAAATAGTTTATGCACTTCTCTTTCCTGAGGTGAAGTGTTATGGGAAGTCAGGGACCCCAAACAGAGGGACCGGCTGAAGCCATGGCAGAAGAACATAAATTGTGAAGATTTCATGGACATTTATTAGTTCCCCAAATTAATACTTTTATAACTTCTTACACCTGTCTTTACTGCAATCTCTGAACATAAATTGTGAAGATTTCATGGACACTTATCACTTCCCCAATCAATACTCTTGTGATTTCCTATGCCTGTCTTTACTTTAATCTCTTAATCCCATCATCTTTGTAAGCTGAGGATGAATGTCGCCTCAGGACCCTGTGATGATTGCGTTAACTGCACAAATTGTTTAAACAATATGAAATCTGGGCACCGTGAAAAAAGAACAGGATAACAGGGATGTTCAGGGAACAAGAGAGATAACCTTAGTCTGGCTACCTATGGGCTGGGCGGAACAGAGCCATATTTCTCTTCTTTCAAAAGCAAATAGGAGAAATATCGCTGAATTCTTTTTCTCAGCAAGGAACAGCCCTGAGAAAGAGAACGCATTCCTAGGGGTAAGCCTCTGAAATGGCCGCTCTGGGGACGTCTGTCTTTTACAGTTGCAGATAAGGGATGAAATAAGCCCCAGTCTCCTGTAGCACTCCCAGACTTATTAGGATGAGGAAATTCCCACCTAATACATTTTGGTCAGACTGGTTGTCTGCTCTCAAACCCTGCCTCCTGATAAGATGTTATCAATGACAATGTGTGCCTGAAACTTCATTGGCAATTTTAATTTCACCCTGGTCCTGTGATCTTGTCCTGCCTCCATTTGCCTTGTGATATTTTATTACCTTGTGAAGCGTGTGATCTCTGTCACCCACATCCTATTAGTACACTCCCTCCCCTTTTGAAAATCACTAATAAAAACTTGCTAGTTTTGTGGTTTGGGGGCATCATGGAACCTGCTGACATGTGATGTCTCCCCCGGACACCCAGCTTTAAAATTTCTCTCTTTTGTACTCTTTCCCTTTATTTCTCGGACCAGCCAGCACTTAAGGAAAATAGAAAAGAACCTACGTGAAATATCAGGGGTGAATTTCCCTGAGAGTGGAGTAAATGAGTAGGGGAGAGGCCAGGCGTGGAATGTCACTCAAGCTAAAGTGCTTCCACTTGAAAAGGATGTCTACATTGAGGTAGGGGTTAGATTATCAAAAATTCTGATTCCATTTATTTAAGTGTATGGGCCTATATTTTTCCCTTTCTTCCTTCCCTCCCTCCCTCCCTCTCTCTGTCTCTTTCTCTCTTTCTTTCTGGGTTCTCTATTCTACTTCATTGGTCTATGTGCCCATTTTTATACCAGTACCATGCTGTTTTGATTACTATAGCCTTGTAGTATAGTTTAAAGTCAGGTAATGTGATGCCTCCAGGTTTGTTCTTTTTGCTTAGTCTTGCTTTGGCTATGTAGGCTCTTTTTGGGTTCCATATTAATTTTAGGATTGTTTTCTCTAGTTCCATGAAGAATGATGATGGTATTTTCATGGGAATTGCATTGAATTTGCAGACTGCTTTTGGCAGTATGGTCATTTTCACAATATTGAGTCTACCCATCCATAAGCATGGGATATATTTCCGTTTGTTTGTGTCATCTATGATTTCTTTCAGCAGTGTTTTGTAGTTTTCCTTATAGAGGTCTTTCACCTCCTTAGTTAGGTGAATTTCTAAGCATTTTAATTTTTTTGCAGCTATTGTAAAAAGGGGAGAATTCTTGATTTGATTCTCAGTTTGGTCACCATTGGTGTATAGCAGTGTTATTCACTTGTGTATATTGATTTTGTGTCCTGAAACTTTACTGAATTCATTTATCACATCTAGGAGTTTTTTGGATGAGTAGGGTTTGATACCTTCTACAATTATACCACTGGTGAACAGCAACAGTTTGACTTCCTTTTTACCAATTTTGATGCCCTTTATTCCTTTCTCCTGTCTGATTGCTTTGGCTAGGACTTCTAGTACTATGTTGAATAAAAGTGGTGAAAGTGGGCATCCTTGCCTTCTTCCAGTTTTCAGGGTGGGGGAATGCTTTCAACTTTTCCCTGTTCAGTATAATGTTGGCTGTGGGTTTGTCATAGATGCCTTTTATTACCTTATGTCCCATCTATGCCAATTTTGCTGAGAGTTTTAATCATGAATGGATGCTGAATTTTGTCAAATGCTTTCTCTGTGTCTAATGAGATGAGCATATGATTTTTGTTTTTAACTCTGTTTATGTGGTGTGTCACATTTATTGACTTGCGTATATTAAATCATCCCTGCATCCCTGATATGAAACCCACTTGATCATGGTGGATTATCTTTCTGATATGCTGTTGGATTCAGTTAGCCAGTATTTTGTTGAGGATTTTTGCAACTATGTTCATCAGGGATATTAGTCTGTAGTTTTCTTTTTTTGTTATGTCCTTTCCTGGTTTTGGTATTAGGGTGATACTGGCTTCATAGAATGATTTAGGAAGGATTCCTTCTTTCTCTGTCTTTTGGAATAGTTTCAATAAGATTGTTACCAATTCTTTGAATTCCTGATAGAATTCAGCTGTGAATCCATCTGGTCCTGAACTTTCTTGTTGCTGGCAATTTTTATATTATCATTATTTTTATCTTGCTGCTTGTTATTGGTCTGTTCAAAGTTTCTATTTCTTTTTTTTTTTTGAGGAGGAGTCTCACTCTTTCGCCCAGGCCAGAGTGCAGTGTCACTATCTCGGCTCACTGCAAGCTCTGCCTCCCTGGTTCACGCCATTCTCCTGCCTCAGCCTTCCGAGTAGCTGGGACTACAGGCACCTGCCACTGTTCCTGGCTAATTTTTTGTATTTTTAGTAGAGATGGGGTTTTACCATGTTAGCCAGGATGGTTTCGATCTCCTGACCTCGTGATCTGCCCACCTCGGCCTCCCAAAGTCCTGGGATTACAGACGTGAGCCACTGCGCCCAGCCCAAAGTTTCTATTTCTTCCTGGTTTAATCTAGGAGGGCTGTATGTTTTCAGCAATTTATCTATCTCCTCTCAGTTTTCTAGTTTGTGCACATAAAGGTGTTCATAATGGCCTTGAATGGTCTTTTGTGTTTCTGTCGTATTGGTTGTAATATCTCCCATTTTGTTTCTAACTGAGCTTATTTGGATCTTCTCTCTTCTTTTCATGGTTAATCTCACTAATGGTCTATCCATTTTCTTTCTCTTGTCAATGGACCAGGTTTTCGTTTCATTTATCTTTGGTATTGTTTTTTGTTTGTTTGAATGTCATTTAGTTCTGCTCTCATCTTGGTTGTTTCTTTTCTTTTGCTGGGTTTGGGTTTGGTTTGTTCAGGCTTCTCTAGTTCCTTGAGATGTGACCTTAGATTGTCTATTTGTACTCCTTCAGATTTTTTGATGTAGGCATTTAATCCTATGAACTTTTCTCTTTGCACTGCTTTTGCTGTATCCCAGAAGTTTTGATAGGTTGTGTCACTATTATCGTTCATTTCAAAGAACTTTTAAATTTCTATCTTGATTCCATTGCTGATGTAAAGATCATTCAGGAGCAGATTATTTAATTTCCATATATTTGCATAGTTTTGAGGGTTCCTTTTGGAGTTGATTTCCAATTTTATTCCACTGTGGTCTGACAGAGTACTTGATATAACTTTGATTTTCTTAAATTTATCGAGACTTGATTTTTGGCCTGTGTTCCATGTTCTGATGAGTAGAATATATATTTCACAGCTGTTGAGTAGAATGTGCTGTAAATATTTGTTGTTGTTGAGTAGAATGTGCTGTAAGTATTTGTTAAGTCCATTTATTCTAGGGTATAGTTTCTTTATTTTCTGTCTTGATGCTTTCTAGTTCTGTCAGTGCAGTATTGAAGCCCCCCACTATTATTGTGTTCCTATTTCATTTCTTACATCTAGCAGTGATTGTCTTATAAATTTGGGAACTCCAGTGTTAGATGCATATATATTTAGGATTGTAATATTTTCCTGCTGGACTAGTCCTTTTATTGTTATGGATTGTCCCTCTTTGTCTTTTAAAACTATTCTTGCTTTAAAGTCTGTTTGGTCTGATATAAGAATAGTTACTCCTGCTCAGTTTTGTGTCCATTTGAATGCAATATATTTTTCCACCCCTTTACCTTAAGTTTATGTTAGTCCTTATGTGTTAGGCAAGTCTCTTAAAGACAGCAGATACTTGGTTGGTGAATTCTTATTCATTCTGACACTCTGGATCTTGTAAGTGGAGCATTTAGGCCATTTACTTTTAATGTCAGTATTGAGATATGAGGTACTATTCTATTCATTGTGCTAGTTGTTGCCTGAATTGCTTGGTTTTTTTTTTCATTGTGTTATTGTTTCATAGGTCCTGTGAGATTTATGTTTTAAGAAGGTTCTATTTTGGTGTATTTTGAGGTTTTGTTTCAAGATTTAGAATTCCTTTTAGCAGTTCTTATAGTGCTGACTTTGTAGTGGCAAATTCTCTTGGTAGTGATACATTCAGCATTTGCTTGTCTGAAAAAGACTTTATCTTCCCTTCATATATGAAGCTTAGTTTTGCCAGATACAAAATTCTTGGCTGATAATTATTCTTTTAAGGAGGCTAAAGTAAGGATAATTACTTAGTTTAAGGATATGAAAGATAGGACCCCAATCCCTTCTAGCTTGTAGGATTTCTGCTGAGGAATCTGCTGTTAATCTTATAGGTTTTCCTTTATAGGATACCTGATGCTTTTGCCTCACAGCTCTTAAGATTCATTCCTTCATCTTGACTTTAGATAACCTGATGGTTTAGATTACCTAAACCTGTGTGTTTAGGTAATTATCTTTTTGCAATGAATTTCCTGGGTGTTCTTTGAGTTCCTCAGGAACACAAATTATTCTTAGGTTTGGTCATTTAACATAATCCCAAATTGGCTGGAGGCTTTGTTCATTAAAAAAAACTTTTTTCTTTGTCTGTGTTAGATTGGATTAATTCAATAGCATTGTCTTTGAGCTCTGAGGTTCTTTCTTCTACTTGTTCCATTCTATTGTTAAAACTTTTCAGTGTATTTTGCATTTCTCTAAGCATGTCTTTTATTTCCAGAAGTTCTTATTGTTTTTTATTTATAATATCTATTTCTTTACAGTGTTTTTGTCCATATCTTGTATTATTTTAAAAATTTCTTTAAGTTGGTTTTCACCTTTCTCTGGTGCCTACTTGAGTAGCTTAATAATCAACCTTCTGAATTCTTTTTCTGGCAATTCAGAGATTTCTTCTTGGTTTGAATCCATTACTGGTGAGCTAGTGTGATCTTTTGGTGGTGTGATAGAACTTTGTTTAATTATATTGCCAGAATTGTTTTTCTGGTTCTTTCTCATTTGGGTCAATTATGTCAGAGGAAAGGTCTAGGACTCAAGGGCTGCTGTTCAGATTCTTTTGTCCCACAGGGTGATCCTTTGATGTGGTGCTCTCCCCTTTCCCCTACAGATGGGGCTTCCCAAGAGCTGAACTGCAGTGATTGTTATTGCTTTTCTGGGTCTAGCCACCTAGTGGACCTACCAGGCTCCAGGCTGGTACTGGGGAGTGTCTGCAAAGAGTCCTGTGTTGTGATCTATTTTCAGGTCTCTCAACCACGGATACGAGCACCTACTCCAGTGAAGGTAGCAGGGCAGTGAAGTGGATTCTGTGAGAGTCCTTGGTTGTAGTTTTGTTTAGTGCACAGGTTTTCTCAAATGCTGGTTATGCTAACAGTGAAGTTGTCACATGGACAGACTCAGGACCTCTGGTTAGCCAGGACGTTACAAGTGGTGGAATTAGCTGTTGTTTTCTCCTTCCTTGGAGCAGGGCTATTTTGTTATGAGTTGCTATAATGGCTTGACTTGATTGGCCTCCAGCCAGAAGGTGGCGATTTCAAGAGAGCATCAGCTGCAGCAGTACGGGGGAATACAAGCTTGCCCTAAGGTCACCTGGATAAGTATTTGGGTTTCTCAGGTGATGGGAGGGCCATAGGGCTCCCACAAGATTATGTCTTTTGTCTTCAGCTACCAGGGCTGGCAGAAAAAGACCATCAGGTGGGGGCAGAGTTGAGCATGTCTGAGCTCAGACTATCCTTGGACAGGGCTTGCTGTGGCAACTGTGCGGTATGGGGGTGTGGTTCTCAGGCCAATGGAGTTATGTTCCCAGGGGGATTATGGCTGCCTCTGCTGCTTTGTACAGGTAGCCAGGGAAGTGGGGGAAAGCCAGTGGTGACAGGCCTCTCCCCACTCCCACACAGCCAGCAAGGCCAGTCTCACTCCTGCCATGCTCCCCAAAGAGCCAAATTTATATCCAAGCCTCTGGTATGCAGGGCTGGGATGTTGCCCTGGGATACTAGCCTCTCTGCTGAGAAGGCAAGCAGGGCTTTCAGGCCTCACCCCTCCCTGCCTGCTGTGGCTTCTGTGCTCATATCTGCACTTTCTATTCATCTCCACAGATCCTGACCAGGACAATTCGTACTCAGTCAAAATTATTACAAAGTTCAGCTGGAAGTTTCCTTCTCCCTGTGGCCCTTCCCCAATCCCACTGGCAGCCCTCCCCAAGGAACCCTGTGAGATAAAGTCAGAAATGACTTCCCTGGACTTCCTGGGGGACCAGGAGTGCCTGTAGGGCTCTTCCCACTGCTTCTTCTACTTTTGTATTTTGCTTGGCTCTCTAAATTCATTTCAGCTCTAGGTAAAGTTAAATTCTTCTCCTGTTATTTGGATTTTCAGGTTTCCCCAGTGAAGATGTGTGTTCAGAGGTAGACTTTCCCCCTCTCACACTTTAGGCACTCACAGTTTTTCAGCTATTTCACAGAGTTTGCAGTGGCAAGCCACTTCTTTCAAAGGGCTGGTGAATTCTTTCAGTTTTCCTGGTATGTTCCTGCAGCGGTTCTTGGAACAAAAGTTCATGATGTGAGTCTCCACACATCTGAGTGAGAGTTGCAAGTTAGTCCTGCCTCCTAGCTGCCATCCCCTGCCCCAGGGTAATTATTAATAGCATCTTCTTTTATTTTCCAATGGTTCTCAGTAGATCACATAGTGATCTACCTGTTATAATACTTCAATTGCCTGTGTTCTTTGTATCTCCTGCTGGATGACAAGCCAAACACTTAGTAGGAACTTAATAACTTTGTTGAATGAGTGAAGCATTGAGTAGAACTAGAAGTCTTCTGTGAAATAAACTTAGTACACTTAACCTTTTAGAGCCTTTCATCAATCCACATTAGCCTCCTTATCTCCTTTCAGCCTGTAAGAGCTGAGAAACCAGACACAGTTTCATCCAGTCTGTGACTAAGTCCACATCCTTTAGATACAAGGAAGTGGTGGGGATGCTAAGGTTGGGTGGATTGTGTTGCTATATCACCCTCTTGTGGCTGGTGTGTGAAACTCATCACGAAATCCTTTCTGTGGTATAAGTAGTTCTATAAATCTCAACCCAGATCTCATTTTGGTTTCAGGTTAGATTTGGTCATCATTATTTTTTAAAAAGTTTCCCGGGTAATTCTAATATTTAGGTAAACTTGGGTGTCACTGGCAGGTTTGGGCCATGCTTAAGTGACCAGGTGGCCACCTTTGACAGATCTACTTCTTGGTATATAGAAGCGTATTTAGTTTTCTCAGAGCTCACCAGGGGGCCAGCATATCTCTAGATCAGTGGTTCTCAACTGGGGGAGATTTTGCCAAGCAGGGGACATTTGGTAGTGTTTGGAGACACTTGATTGTCACAATCAAGGACAGGGCATGTGCCATACACCCAGTGGGCCGAGGCCAGGGATGCTGTTAAACACCCTACAGTGCACAGGACAGCCCCATGACAAAAAAATTATCCAGCCCCAAATGTCAATAGTGTGGCAGTTGAGAAACCCTGCTCTAGATTTTGTCCACAAGGGGAATTTGGCAGAGTTCAGGGAAGGGAATTACTCTGGCAGTGACAAAAATTAAACAATCCTTTCAACACAGTTCTCCATGTGGAGGGTGGTTCCTGACCTTTGGTGAAGGGGATGCCAAGCTAACCCTTGTCCACCTCCAGGAAAGGGACAACCTCACATCCTATCTGATCAAATCTGCCTCCTTCAGCATTTCATAACTATGGCATGGAGACATAAGGCCAGGAAACACATCATGCCATATTACTGTGTTATAAATCCTTTAGGAAACACAAGACAAAATTGCAATTTCCTTGATGGACTGGCTGTAATTTATTCATTTCCAAAAAGTAGAAACATAAACTTCAGAAGAAGAATCAATTCACAGTGGCTTCTCAGCCAGCACACACCACCCGCTGTAACAATCACATCCCCGCTGTGTGAATGGAGGAAGCGTCCTGAAGAGCCTGGGACTGTGCCCAGTTGTACTTCAGAACATCAGTCCCTTCAAACCGAGAATGGGTGTGTTCCTCCTGACTTCTCTAGAATTCAGACATGCTTGGTCAAAAGAAAACAGCATTAGAGGGGAAACACGGGGAAAACTTATTGTTTTAAGTCTGAGGAAAAGGCAAGCTCCCGCTCCCCATAGTGCCATTTGGGGGAAACTAGAGAGTTGTGAATGTATCACCAGAAGGGGTTGTTTTACCACGTGTAACCATGGTCTAGGGTGAGAGGCATAATGCCAGTGCTGTTTGGTGGGTGGCCCAAAAGACTCCCTCCCCAGTGAGGTCTTGAGCCCAGGGGTGCAGGATACTTGGAAGTGATAGCCTCTTCTTCACCCTTTGTTTCTGCCCTTCCTTCAGGTAGAATTCAGCTACTGGAAAAATCCAAGTGCTGGGAACTGAGCTTCTAGAGCAATCTGAGTTGTAGTAAAGGAATGGGTGCTCATAAGCCCGGGTTTACAAATCTTCATTAGTAGCTCCACAGTTTTGAGAGTAGACAGTGAATGAGGGTAAGGTTATACAAGGGTGGCGTAGTGGATAATTGTGAGGCTTTTTTGTCTGCCTACCACCTGAATCCCACTTCTATTATTTGTAGAATTCCTTAATTCATAAGAAGTGAAAGTGGAAAATGCCAGATATTCAATTCCCAGCCCCCCTTGGAGATAGGACATGGACATGTGACCTAGGATTGGCCACTCAATCCCAGACTTTGAATTATAAGCTAGAGATGAAAGGATGAAGAAGGGACCCTGGAGAATTCATTTTCATGGCAGACAGTGCAGCAGTAACAGTAATATCAAGTTTCCAAGTCCAGCAGAGACAGTGAGGCAGTGGTAGAGTCTGTGCCTAGTGCTGGGGACAGTGGCTGTGCATGAACAGGATCATCATCCCTGGGCTGGTTTTGTAATTTTGGCTGTGCTCCCAGCCACAGCCTAGTCTCTTCTTTTCCTGCTCACTTTCAAAGCATGGTTTTGCAGAAACTTCTAGCAGTTATTGGAACCAATCAGTATCTTTTCAATAGGTTCCTTTTCTACATAAAAAAGCCAAAGCCAGCTTCTGTTGATTGCAACTAAGAACTCTATTAAAGAAGCTGGTACCAGGAAACGAGATGCACTAAGCAACAGGCTTACAATGTGAATTGACCTCATAGAGGAGGTAAGATACAAGGCAATAAGGACCTGAGTTTTGAGCTGGGAAGTTGGTGCTCCTTATTATGCAATGGTATGATAGTGGCTGTTTCTTACAGTACTTACCAAGTTTATATAAGAAACAATAAGAAAAAGCAGGGCTTAAATTGAGGACAGCCTGTCTAAAAGCAGAGAATAGGAAAAAACAAAGGACTTTACTTAAAAAGTCTCTTTCTGCCTGCAGCTTGCAAAATAAGTTATTGAGCATTCAAAGATTTGAAGCTGTTAGACCAAAATAACTTAATTTTCTACTAGAGGATAAATTTAGTGTGAGGAGAGGTATGCAGGGAGTAGAAAGTGCCTAGGAAAGACCTTGACCTGCAATACCCCTTGAAGCCCTGGATATAAGAGGTTCAGAATCTGGTCACAGAGAGTCTTAGCTGAGGTTCCAGGTTTGTTGTTCAAGGGAATCAACAGAGAACTGGGATTTAAACATCATTTTGAGAAGTGAAAAATCACCATGGGACAAGTTCCTCTGAGTATTCCAAGCTCCTTTGTAACAGCACCATCAAACATTTGCTACGTTTTTCTTTAAAACTGAATGCCATTTGCACAGAACTGTACTTTTAAGGCTCTTACATGGTTTCCAGTCCACTGTTCAAAACTCAGAGATCTCAAAATCATTCTTTCTGTTTATTGACTTTTTAGCTTCTGGGTTTTGCAAATAAAATAATATTCTTAGCTTCCTTTATACAATAATATCAGAGTGTTTTATGTATAATAAGAAATTCACCCTTCAGCCTCTATTCACTCTTTATCCTGAGAGAGAAACTGAGGCACAGAGGCTTGATCAGGTCTGCAGGTTATCATGATCAGCTCCCAGAACAAAGTAAAGATAGCCAAAATGTAAACTTTTCCAGACTTTGTGACTGGTGGTCCAGTGTGTGAGATAGGTACTCAGATGTCCTGGCTTTCAGTCTGATTTTTATTATCCAGTTCCAGCCAAGAGCAAGATGCCCAAAGTCTGAACTCACATTACTGTCCATTTCATCTGCTACAACACAAAGATGGAACGCTGTTATCAAGTAACGCTCTGTTCTGCGCCTGCAGCCACTGCACAGCAAGCTAAATTCTTGGGAAGCCTCACTTCCTTGTTCATTTCACAGATGTATGTGGAAGAAACATCACCAGGGAGTTGATCTGAGAAGGGTACAGACGTGCAGCATGTCTGCCAGAGGAAACTTGGGGCCTGTGGCCAAGTTCAGTGTTCATTTTGGTTTTTCCATTTTCCTTCAGAAAGTCCCTTTGTTGGTCTCTGGTGTCAGCTCTCTGGAAGTGTCACACTAGCATAGACTGTGATGGAATTTGTTTCCTGGGGACAAAGCAGAAGTCTGTGAGTAGAGGGACTGGATACTCACTTCACAGAATGCAAATGAAAACAGCACTGCTGAGGAAAAGGAAAGGGTCTTAGAGATCATGGCTTGTGCAGGGTCTGTCACAGACAGGGCCTTGCTGGGACAGCACTTGGGTTCCCACACTGCTTCTCCACCTGCAACAAGGGCCACAGCTCCCTTCCAAGCATAAGCATGCTATTATGGGGAGCATGATCTGAGGACCAGCACTCAGTGCCCTGTCTCCCTCTTTGCCCTCTCCCCTTCCATCCCCTTGTAAGGAAAACCATTTGTTTTGCTGTTACATATGGGTCACAATCTGGGAAGCCAAGAGAGTTGTAAATTATTGAGTTTTTAAAAAGTCTAGTGGGACTCAAAGGGAGAAGAGAAAAGTGGTATTGGCAGGAGAGAGGAAGGGGAGAAGAGGGTTATGCGCAAAGATCTCTCATGTCAAAGAAACAAAGAAAATAGAATTTAAGGGTTTTGCCATAAAATGTTAACTATAGCATACTGTTTTTGTCCTTAAGTAAACTTCATTAAAAATCTATGTATTTTTTTGAAGCTTTGAAGTCAGGTTTATATTTTTACTTCCTTCTTAGATATGACAGTGAAGTGAGAATGGACCTCAAGTTGAAGATTGGTTTCATCTTGAAATATAGGGCACCTGCCCAGGCATTTCTGGATGAGTGTGTGTGCGGTAGGAGCTTTGAAAAATAAGGTGGATGCAGGCATTTGTGTGACCTTTGTGCCTCTATCATCCTGGGCTCTCTTCTGAAAGAGCCCAAATGGAGCAAAGATTTCAGCCCAGAATTTATTTCTATTCATTCAGTAAAGGAAAGATTCCTGTCCGAAGTAAACTTAGTCCCTGCTGATCTTGCAATAGGGTAGAATATGCAAGTATCATTTTGAGCTGCACCCCATATTCTCTTCTAGGCTTAACACCTATGCAGATCTCCACCCCTAAATATTCTGATTAAATGGGGCTGCACAGAGTCTAGGCATGAGCATTTTTACAATGCTTCCCTGGTGATTCTGTTTTGTAGCTGGAGTTGAGAACTCCTGGACTCCAGCTGCTGTTCTTAAACTTGAGTGTGTATCAGAATTACCTGGGGTGTGGGTTTTTTAAATACGTAGGTCTATGGCTACTCTCCATAGACATTTTCATTTAACAGAATCCTAGGTGGAAGTCCCTAGGAATCTTTATTTTTAACAAGTACGCTGGCTGATTCTGATGTGGTCCTTGGACAACTCTCAGGGAAACACTGGCCAGCAGGGGGTTAGCAGTGGCCCCGTGTGAGCAGGTATTGGGGGCTTCATGGAAACTGGAAAACCAAAGCCACAGAGACTCCTTTTTGCCTGCATGCTGTGGCCTCCCTTCCCCAGTCCAGGACTCATCAATCTGTTTCATTTAATTTGTTTTTGTTTTAATTTTTTTTTTTTTACTTTTATTTTAAGTTCAGGCGTACATGTGCTGGTTTGTTACATAGGTAAACTTGTGTCATGAGGATTTGTTATACACAGTATTTTGTCACCTAGGTATGAAGCCTAGTGCCCAATAGCTATTTTCCCTGATCCTCTCCCTCTTCCCACCTTAAAAAAAAAAAACTTCCTCATTTTCCCCTCCTTCATGTATTCCCTCTCTACGGAGAGTAGGCAGAGAGATGCCTCACCTGGACAGACTCTGGGACAGGCTCTGTGGCAGCAACATATATGGTGGTGCAAGGGTCCTGAGCTGGGAAGGAGTCAAGTTTCTTCTGAAGAGGCTACAAGAGAAGCAAAGAAAGCAGATTAGCTGAACAGAGAGAGCTAGTTCTCACCCAACTCTCCGATAGAGAAGCACAGACTCAAGAAGACTTGAGGCAGAAAGTTCCTTCCAGTCATTTGGTCCAACCTCCTTCTCAGGTGGGAATTCTCCCCCAAATTCTCTGGAACTCAATTCCCCAGGCTTTGCTTGGACTCCCCAAGTGGCGTCTTGGGGTGCACAACCTCCCAAGGCAGCCTCATCCATTGTCAGTGCTTCTCAAATGTTTTAAATGTCTTCCTCACAAGAAACTGAAATTGGTGTGGCTCTTACAGGGGCAGCTGGAGGGGACAGAATAGCAACAGAATTTAGTCCGTCTCACTCATATCACCGGCTACATGCAGAATTCTTGCATCCCACACTGCCATTCCTACTCTTCCTCCTCCTCACATATGTCTTCTCATTTGCCTCACAACCACTCTGTGTTAAATACTGTTGTTACTCACACTTCACCGATGATGAAGCTACAGCTCAGAAAGACCAAATGTTTTCCTAATGTGTACAAGCAAGAAGTGTCAAAGCCGGGAGTCCCCTGCCTTAAGCTCTTTTAACTTAAGGTGCATGTCCTTTCTATCACTATTCTTTTTTGGTCACTCAACTTATAATGACCTATCCCTTACTTAAATTCCTCAGGTATTTAAAGTCTAATTTACACTTTATGGCACTCTATGCTATATTTAAAACATTCTGATATATTTATGTGTTGTTTCTCCAGTCTATACATTCCTTGAGAAATAAGCCATATATTTTTGTACTCCCCACAGAACAGTATTGGACACATAAAAATAAACTCTTCAGCTGATATTTGTTGATGTTACTTTGAACGAATTAAAATCCACAATTCCTGGACAAAGACCTCAAAATAAATTGAGACCACATCCTTGTAAGATGCGGATGCCATCACTTACAATAGGGAAGTCATTAATTCAACACATTTTGGGGACACTGGTTATGGGATAATGCTGCTGTCCACTCTCCCTGGGTATAGAGCCAGACTTGAAGCCACACCACATGTGTTTTAATGCGAGAAAACTTGGAATTTTGTCATGTGATGGAAGGGTTAAGGAATTAGGAAAGTTTATTGGAGGAAAAAGGGATGGGACATAATTTTTCTCTTCATATATTTGATGAATTGCCATATAGAAAAGGAATTCAATTTGCCTATAAAGTATCTCAGGTTTAAACCAAGATTAGGATTTGGGGAAAATATTTTGATTCAATATAATGAAGATCTTTCTAATGGTAAAAGATGTTCAAATGTGGGATGAATTGCCTTGGCAGGCAATGAGCTCCTATAGTTATAAGTGCTTGGGCATGGTCTAGACCAGTGCTGCTGACTTTTATTATGCATATGAATTACTTGGGGATCTTGTTAAAGGGTTGATTCTATTTCGGAAGATCTGGAGCAGGGCCTGATTCTGCATTTCTAATAAAGTCCCAGGTGATGCTGATGCTGCTTGTTCACAAACTATATTTCAGTAAAAAGGAGCTAGGCAACACTTTGGAAGTAATGTTGTAGCAGATAATTCAAGCAGTAATTGGGTGGTTCAGATAGATGGCTTTCAAGATCCCATACAATTCTTAAATACATTTTGAAGAAATTTTGAGTTTAAGAAAGAATTTCTTGCAGTGATGAGATAAAGAGGCTATCAAAACAGTTTATTAAGAGACCTTTGGCCGGGCGTGGTGGCTCACGCCTGTAATCCCAGCACTTTGGGAGGCTGAGGTGGGTGGATCACGAGGTCAGGAGATCGAGACCATCCTGGCCAACATAGTGAAACCCCATCTCTACTAAAAATACAAAAATTAGCCAGGAATGATGGTGCATGCCCGTAATCCCAGCTACTCAGGAGGCGGAGGCAGGAGAATCCCTTGAACCAGGGAGCTGGAGGTTGCAGTGAGCTGAGATGGCGCCACAGCACTCTAGCCTGGCGACAGAGTGAGACTCCGCATCACCAAAAAAAAAAAAAAAAGAAGAGAGACCTTTATCAACAGATGCAACCTCTGCTGGTCTTCCTGTTTGGGAGAACTTTAGCATAACCTGACCTAGAGGCAGAAGGAGGCAAATAACTTACATTTTTAACATTAATTCAGAAGTTTTAGAAAGGAGAAAAATATGTAAAAGAAGTCACCCATAGTCCTATTAAGACTCTGTGTGTGCTTAAATGTTCACTTCAGGATTTTTATCCAGGCATAGGGAATTATTTTAAACATAAATATAATAAGTTAGTATATTTTTGTATCTTATTATCTTCTGTTAGGACCACTGATTTGTACATCTTTAGGGAGCATCATTTACAAGCAACTCCAGAGGCATTATTTTCACATAATTTTTGTGAATGGTGGCCGCTGGAATTAATTCTGCAAGATACTAGCTCTGATAAGTCCTAGAAGAGTTCCTAGCACACAGTAAACACTTGTTTAGTGATTTTCATGTTATTATATTCTTTATAAGATTATTTTATAGCCATTAAAAATAAGAATAAAGGCATTGTTAGTTTTTAAATAATTGTCTACATTATTACAGTCTTTATATTGATATAATAAAGACATCGCAAATATGAACAAAGAAAATTGTGAAAATGTGGGTAAGTCTAAGTATATATTTATATATATAAAACAATAATAATTATGTCTTGTGTGTTTAAAATATATATGAAATTCAAATAATGACAAAACGGTCACTTAAATCAAGAGGTGAAATTATTGTGGACTTGAAGTATTATGCAGGAGGGAAGTAAACCTTAGACTTTGGTAAGTCAAAGTTGTATTTTATAATTTCTAGGGTAGCCACTAAAAAGACTGAAAAAAGTTGTTCACTAATATGTAGAGGAGAAAATTTAATAATAAAAATATAACTTAAAAAAATTTCCACCAAAGAAACCCCAGTCTCAGATAGCTTTACTAGCAATTTGCTCTACTAGCAAATATTTAAGGGGAGAAATAAGACATCCTACCCAAATATCGCAGAGAATAACAAAAAGGAAATGCACCCTGTGGTGGGTTGAACTGTGGCCCCAAAAGATATGTCCAGGCAGAATGTCAAAATGTGACTTTATTTGAATAAAGGTCTTCACAGATGTCAAGATAAGGATTTCAAAATAAGGTCATCCTGGATTAGAATAAGTCCGAAGTCTGATGATGACTGTCCTTATAAGAGATGGAAAAGAAGAAGACACAGAGAGGGAGGTCATGTGAAGATGAAGGCAAAAATTGCAGATACACAACTACAAGCCAACAAATGCCACGGAGAGCCTGGAGCCACCAGATGCTGGAAGAGGCAAAGAGGATTTTCTCCTAAAGCCTCCAGATGGAGTGTGGCCCTGAGGATGTGCCTCCTTGATTTTGGACTTCTGACCTCCAGAACTGTTAGAGAATAAATTTCTGTTGTTTTAAGCCACCAAGTTTCCAGTAATTTGTTAAGGCATCCCTAGGAAACTAACATATACCCCAACTCCTTATGTGAATTAGCATAAATCTTTATATCAAAACCCCACTGGTTGGGCATGACTACCCAGGTCCCTTCCAGTTCTTAAAGTCTGAATTTTTAACAGGAGAGCGACCAACTTTACCGTGATGTGGGTATTAGGTAGAGTAGCTGTGTGTCATTTTGGGATCAATCTGAGGCTTGTGATTAAAGAAGAGTCCAGGAAGAACTCTGTTACTTATTTTTTTAAGGACATTTGAAATATTTCTACCTCAACTTGTATCCCAGTTAGATATATTCACAAGAATGCTATATACCAGCCACTGCAGTGCCTTCTTAAAAAAAAAAAGGCATTATACAAGAGAATTACAGGCCAATTTCACTCAGAAACATAAGTGGAAAACCAAACTCTTAACAAAATATTAGCAAATAAAATCCAGTAATGCTTAAAAAGGACTAGACTAAATTGGTCTACAACAAAATTAAGACCTTCTCTTTATCAGTAGGTATCTCTGAGAAATTCCAAAGGCAAGCTACAGATGGGTGAAGGTATTTGCTAACATATCTGCCAAAGGGCACATATCCAAAATATATGAAAAGCATATACTAGTCCATAAAAGAAAGACTAAACCTCAAAGGGAAATGGGCAAGAGATTAAATGGGCACTTTAAGAAAGAATTTTAATATGGCCAATAAACATATGAAAAGTTGTTCAACTTCCTTAATAATTACAGAGATGTGGAATAAAAGCATAATAAGACACATCCAACAGTAGGACTAAAATTAGACTGTTAATACCAAGTTTTCATTAGAATGCATAGCAATTGAGGCCAGGAGTGGTGGCTCATGCCTGTAATCCCAGCACTTTGGGATGCTGAGGCGGGCAGATCTCCTGAGATCAGGAGTTCGAGACCACCCTGGCCAACATGGTGAAATACTGTCTCTACTAAAAATACAACAATGAGCCAGGTGTGGTGGTGCGTACCTGTAATCCCAGCTGCTTGGGAGGCCGAGACAGGAGAATGGCTTGAACCCAGGAGGCGGAGGTTGCAGTAAGACAAGATCACGCCACTGCACCCCAGCCTAGGCAACAGAGTGAAACTCTGTCTCAAAAAAAAATTTAAAAAAAAAAGGCATAGCAATTGAGACTCTCATATGTAGCTGATAGAAAAGTAAATGGATACGCCCACTTTGAAAAACAGCTCGGCCTTATCTAGTCAATTTGGAGGTATGCATACTCTACGATTCAGCAGTTCTACTTCCAGGTATATCTAGGTATATACCCAAAAAAATATGTGCACATGTCCACTTAACGACTTGCATATGAATGTTCACAGCTGCAACTTTCATAATAGCCTCAAACTGGAAATAACCCACATGTCCATCAATAGTCAACTGGATAAATAAACTCTAGTATATTCATACGTTTATATTCTATGAAGCAATGAAAAAGAATGCATTATATCTAAATTCAAAGACATATATGAATCTCATAAAGATAATACTGAGCAAAATAAATCAGACATGAGAGAAAAAAGAATAAAGAATTCAATTTTTATAAAGTTCAAAAATAAAAAAGGAAAAAGCTAACCTATTTTTCTAGAAGTCAGGATAGTGGTTATCTTTGGGGAGGAGAGAGGAAGTAATGATTGGGAAGTGGCACAGGAGGCCTTCAGGAAGTACGGGCAATGTTCTAGTCTTTGATCTGAGTGGTAGTTTTATGGTATTAGAAGACTCAATACTGAGGCCAGGCACAGTGGCTCACATCTGTAATCCCAGCACTTTGGGAGGCTGAGGTGGGCAGATCACTTGAGGTTAGTAGTTTGAGACCAGCCTGGCCAACATGGTGAAACCCCATCTCTACTAAAGATACAAAAATTAGCTGGGTGTGGTGGCAGGTGCCTGTAATCTCAGCTACTTGGAAGGCTGAGGCAGGAGAATCACTTGAACCCAGGAGGCGGAGGTTGTAGTGAGCCCAGATCACACCACTGCACTCCAGCCTGGGCGATAAAGCAAGACTCTGTCAAAAAACAAAAAACAAAAAACAAAAAACACGCAACACTGAAAAATGTAATTTCTCCTCATATAGATCTGTAGACTCAATACAATTCTAATATTTTTTTTTCTTTTTGTGGTACTTGATAAGTTGATTCTAAAATACATATGAAAGTATAAAGGAACAAGAATAGCCAAAAACTTTTGCAGAAAAACAAATTAGGAAGACTTGCTTTACCAAATATCGAGATATGTGTTTAAGGGTAACTCACTGAGCTGACATTAATGTGTTGTGTATTTTTTTGGTCAGAGTTGATCCTTACTGAGGAGTGGGTATGCATGAGTGTGTGTATGTGAGAGTGAGTGTGTGTGTGTGTGTGTGTAAAATGGAGGAGAGGACTAAAAGTGTGATTAGAAGCAGCTGGAAGTAGCAGAGGAGGTGGAAGTTAGTCCCCTCGAGTGTTTGCAAAGTAAGACATGCCTGCCCAGCACTCTCCTAGGTGTATAGTGGCTACAAATAGAGTAGAGAACAGACTCCAGTCCTCAAAGACTTTCAGTCTTGCAGGTCAGCTCAGACTCAAATGTAGAACTGGGAGGACAGTCCTGAACTGATGAATGCCACTGAATTTTAAATTTTATTTAATTCAAATTAATTTAAATTTAAAAAGCTACATGTGGCTAGTGACTACCATATGTCATGCTTCACAGTAAAAAAGAGGGATGCTAGCAGCATAGGATAGAGTAGTGAGGGAAGACACTATGGTCAAGGTGAACCTGGTTACCTAAACAGGCAGATGAGAGCGTGGGGTGAAAGGGTTACTCTTGGGATTCTCATCTATTTAAATGGAGTTTAGTTGGGGGAAGGATGGAGCTGGGTTGTGTAATAAGCCCTCCAGGCCACTAGGGGACAGCAGAAATAAGAACTTTGTTCAAGAGTCCATCTCCTGGTTCTCAGAAGTGCATTTGCTGTCTTTTCATGCAATTTTCTAAGGTACTATCAAAACCATCTTTACCTTCACATCCTTTACTCAAGAATTTGCCTCTACCTACACCCCAAATGTCCAGATTCTGGCCTATACAATACCAAGAATTGCCTTCATGTTGAAAAACTACAGTGTCTCTACATCTAACCACGATCCTTTTAGCGTCTCTATCCCTTCCTTCAAGCATATCTGCTTCTCAACTTCACCATGCATCCAGTTTTTCCATCCTTCACTTCTTAGTCCAGTGATCACTCTGTCACAGTTTTCTTTCTTCCATCTCATCTTTCATCTCTTTAACCACACTCTAGCTAGAATTTTGAAGATCCTACCTTCCTTGTCACTTTTGCACTTAGTAAATCCTAAACTTGGATCAGTCCAACATGTCACACAATAGCTTTTCCAAACCTCCTCTCTCCTCAAGCCTGCACTCTTTTCCCTAGAAAAGGAAATAATTGACTAACATGGAACCTAGACTCCTACAATGCCAGAGCTGGAAAGAGTCATACAGTATGTATTTCCAGCTTCTTCATTTTTTTCCTGTGAAGACTCATGACCAGAAAATTATCCAGTGTTGCCCATTATTTCAAACACTGACGTTTAGTGACTTTAGGAGAACTCTTGTTCTTGACTCCTGTTCCCTACCTTCCTCTGCTCTGGATGGAAAACTGTGAATGTCCAACAGGCAAGGTAGACTGGCCAGGAATACTCTAGGAAACATGACAGGTTCATCTCAAACAAAATATAGAACTTACACCTGGTTTCTGGACTTGGGCATAGATCGTAAGGCTTTTTTTTTCCACTGTTGTCTGGTAATGGTTCGTTTTACCTGGTGAAAAGAAACCATAATGGTTATCTCCCTCTGGTCCCCAGCAGGAGCTCCTTACTCAGACCTGGTCTTTACTGTCCTTTGCATACCCACTTTCCCCAAGGGCACAATGGAAACAAAGCCCTGAGTCCCAGCCCCCCTGCACATTTGTCATATTGTCTTAGGTTAGTTACTTGATCACTCTAGGCCTATCTGTGAAATGGGATTTGAAATACCTGCCTCACGGGGCTGTTGTGATAATTAAATGAGATACCACTTGTAAAGTGTTTAGAACACTGCCTGGTGCATAACAAATGCCCAATACGCATTAGGTGTTTTTCTCATTGGTGTACCATTCAATTACTTTAATCTCTGTTGCTCAATGTGCATATCTGGTCTCCTAATAGGATTCTAAGTTCTTTGAGGGCAGGGCTAGTTGTTTATACCTCTTTTGTATTTTCCAGCTGGTAGTATGTTGCTTCACTCACAGCTTTCTCACCTCCCTATTTCTGGGGGAATTGATGTGTGGGAGGTAAGGGCGGGGGGACGTGTAAGAGGGATGTTCCACCTGGGACTATTTAGAAAATAAAGCAACAATGTCATTCTGTTGCCCACCATCTGGAAATTTTGCTCAGGGCCTAGGGTCTCTGGAAATTAATAAGTTGCAGAATATTTTAATTTTTAGCCAATTTTAAAAAGCTTTCTTTTTAAATTATAGGAGTAATTTATTCTCATCATAAAATAAAAATTGTGAAGAAATATATAAAGTATAAAGTAAAAAGTATAAATCCCCTTCTTCCATTAACCAACCCAATTTCATTCCCAAAAGAAACCGTATTTTTCAATACCTGTGAAAAGAAGTGGGAAAAAAAAGAAGAAACCATTTTTAAAAGTTTGATGTATATCCCTGTAGATCAGCTCTGTGCAACAGAACTTTCTGAGATGATGGAAATGTTCCATATCTGCAGTGTCTAATACAGCTTACAGACACGGGGCTATGGAGCACCTGAACTGTGACTAATGTCACTGAATTTTAAATTTTATTTAATTCAAATTAATTTAAATTTAAAAAGCCACATGTGGCTAGTGACTACCATATTAGACAATGCAGTTTTGGATATTTGCTATACTTATATAGACTTTTTTCCACACAAGAGGTGTCATTCTGCACACACTTCTCTGTAACTTGATCTTTTCACTTAAAATGTATTGAGGACATTTTTCATGTTAGCACAGTAGACCTATCTCATTCTTTCTAAAGTTGCACAGTATCCTTTGTATACATCATGCAGCAGTAAGGATGGTGGGAAAGTGGCAGACTGAAGGATGGAGGTTTATTATGGGATTATTGCAAAGTCCAGGCAGAGGCAATGGAGGCTGGACCCAGAAAATCACAGCCTTTAAGGTAGACTTATTTTAACACCAGTTAATTTATTCTCTTAAAAAACTGGGCTGGGTGCAGTGGCTCACGCCTATAATCACAGCACTATGGGAGGCTGAGGTGGGCAGATCACGAGGTCAGGAGTTTGAGACCAGCCTGGCCAACATGGGGAAACCCTGTCTCTACTAAAAATACAAAAATTAGCCAGGCATGGTGGCACGCGCTTATAATTTCAGCTACTCAGGAGGCTGAGACAGAAGAACTGCTTGAGCCCAGGAGACAGAGGTTGCAGTGAGCCGAGATCATGCCATTGCACTCCAGCCTGAGTGACAGAGCAAGAATCTATCTCAAAAAAAAAAAAAAAAAAAAAAAGGCACATCTCTGAGGAAATAGCATTTTTAGGAGAGGCACATTTTTCTTTGGAAGGGAAAGGCCCAGTGTGTATGTGGTGAGCATGGTGGAATGTGCTGCGTGAGGGTGTGAGTCTTGGGGAGGAAATGTGGGGCAGACACTGATGAAGTTCCAGGAATTCAAGGAAAGTCAACATGGGATTTTTTGTGTGTGGGTATGAGCACGGTGTGCCTAGTGGTTTCAACTTCGCTTTTTTGGTCAGAGTTGATCCTGACTGAGGAGTGTGCGTGAGTGCGTGTGTGTGTGTGTGTGTGTGTGTGTGTGTGTAAAATGGAGGGGAGGACTCAAGAAGCAGTTGGAGGTAGCAGAGGAGGTTCAAGTTAGTCCCCACGAGTGTTTGCAAAGTAAGACATGCCTGCCCAGCACTCTCCTAGGTGCTGTAGTGGCTACAAATAGAGTAGAGAACAGACTACAGTCCTCAAAGACTTTCAGTCTTGCAGGTCAGCTCAGAGTCAAATGTAGAACTGGAAGGACAGTCCTAAATGGTCAGACAGATGGAAGAGGTGAGGTTGATTGTTGCTGCTTAAAAGGACCATTGGACCAAGATAATTTAGTCTCAGGTTATTTTCCCCAGTGCAAGAACAGGTTTTTAGGAGTAAGCTTAACTCGGCTCCAAGTCAGCAAGGTCTTAGGCTCTAAGGAAAAAGTCTTGGCCTTAAAATTAGGACATCTACATTGTAGCCATCATTAGCTGTGTGGCATTGGACAAATCACGTCATCTCAATGGGTCTTTTCTCTTACCATAACTGTAAAATGAGGGCATAGAGTATCTAATATCCTTTTCAGCTTTTACCTGAAGCATAAAGTCTTATGTTACCATGACTTAAAATATTTTCAATCTGTTCTAGGTATTGTTTCCAGATGCTTCCAGTGCAGCTTCTCCTGGCCATAGCACTTACACATTGCCATTTTAATTCATCTACACTAAGAGATCTGTCTATCTGTCTATGTATCTATCTGTCTATGTATCTATCTATCTATCACCCATCGATGGGAACCACTGTGTTCAGTGTTTTCTGTGTATTGATACCAATCTCCACCACAATACCATGAAGTACATAGTATTACCCCTGTTTTGCAGACGAGAAGTTAAGTCATTTGATCACACAGCTTGTCAGTAGCAAAATCTGCATCTGAATGTAAGTTTGTCTAATGCCTATACCCACATTCTTTATCAGTGTATTCTCCTGGACATGAAATTGCCAAAGAGTCATGAAATTGAAAAGCCTTCAGCGTCAGGCTGCATTCTGATGATTATAGCATTAGAAGCTGCCAATATAATTTCTTTAGCAAGGTTTTATGAAAGGTGCAGCAACTAAATATAAATTTTACCGCAAGTTTGAGGCAGTTTTGTGTGTTGCTAACTTACAAGGGACAAATGGTGAATGGGGTTGAGGTGAGGATGGGTATGTGTGTTGGGGAAGGTAGTGGGGAATTGTGGGATGGGGAGCACTATTCCCTTAGAGCACAACCATGTGATAAGCCAAGTGTGGTTGAGGAAAGAGTATGGCGTAGGATCCCAGCAATTTTACTAGGTAGGTTAATGTGGATAAGTTAAGTTCAGTTTTCTCATCCTGGGTCATCTCACTATTTCCTTATAGTATGAGCTAAATGTGATTGCCCTACCCCGAGCCCCATAGGCTGTCAACCTAATTTCTATCTGAATCACCCATCCCTCCTACCTGGCTAACTCTTAGATGGAGGAAATGAGACACAAGTAGGTCGCTGTGCTATGATCTAGATTTTTTTATATATGCAAAACCAACATCAGAGTGCTGAGGTAAGGGCTTTTCTAAGAAGGTTGTGTGTAGATGACACTGATCTACTTGAGAATGAAATCAGTCATCAGCTCAGTGTTATGAGGATCAAGTTCTATCCTTACCATGGGAAGGCAGCCGGGGCATCTCTCCTGGTCTTGGGTCAGGACATTTTGACTCCAGTATTGGTTGGTAGTAGTCAAGGTGGCTGAGGGGAGCACAATGCCCTGAGATATTGTATCATAGGGAAATTTGGAAGAGAGGACAGGGGATGGTACCTCTAGGCACTTCAACTGCAGGGGAATAATTGTGCCTTATTGGTTTCATTCTAACCCTGGTGACTTTTTGGATGAGATCCAATAATTTTCTGAATTCTGTTCCCAGTGAATACTCTTAAACCTCTTGTTCACTTCTTCAGCATCCTGTGTTTACCCTGATGGCAGTGCTAGTCACACTAAACTGAAATTATCTGAATAATGTCTCTCACATTAGAAACCTGTGGCTCTTCTATTTCTTTCCACAGCCTAGTAGAGGGGATCAAGACATGTTGAATTAGACTGAATTAAGCAAGGTCCCAGGATATGTTTATCTACTATTTTTGCAAAGGTGGCCCCATGCAGAAAGCCAGAGTTGTGAGAGCAAGTCCGAGCCTGTGGAGAGAGGTCCCCTGCTTACCACAGAGAGTGTGATAAGAATCTATTTATTGCCAGACACCTACCTCTTCTTCTCAACTGTAGTATTACCACCATGATGAGAATCATGATGACACCCCCTAACAGCCCAGCATACACTGCCCATGGTTTTGTTTCTGGAAAAAAAAAGAAGTCAAAGAGCAATCTCAAAAGTATTCTGAGCTTAAAAACATCTTACATGAAAGTGGGATAATGGAGCCTCATGTTCTATTTCTGCATTCTCTCCCAAGGGAGACGTTTGTTTTCATGGTTTTAGAGGTCAGCTTTAGACCACTGAAAATTTTTGTATCTGTTTTCTTATTCTAATTTCTCTCACTATACTTTCACATTCTTAATTTCATGAAGATTTTTCTATCCAAATGCTTTATTTTTAACTCAACTACCACATGTCTAACATTAAATTATCTTCATCTCTCCTAAGTCAATCTCTCTGCCCAGTTTCTCCATCTTAAGATTGCTAATGTGTCCTGTATCCATTTTGGGTAAAGAGAATATAATGGTTCCATGTGCCGTCCCTGTGAATTCACGCTATTCTCATGAGACACTGGGAGGAAGAAAGATCTACTTATCTTTTTTAAAAATAAACATAATAGTGCTATTGTTGTCCTTTCATGCAAATAACTGGGTTGAACCCAGCAGACCTGAACTGAAAGGAAAGTATTTAGTCTTTCCTCTAAATCATCTTCATGTTTAAAATTAGCCCGAGAACTAATCATCAAGGCTCAAAATCAGAGAGAAAACTTTTATTGTTTTCTCTCCTTTACCCACTTTATCAAATCCTTTTGAACTAGGAGCAACACTTTGACAAACAGTGAATGAGAATTATCACCCCCAGTAAACAAGACATGTAGCTCAATAAGATTATAATGAACAATTATTGAGCACTTGCAATGGGCCACATATTTTTAGTGCATCATGTGTACTAACATATTTAATCCTCACAATAATCTTACAAGGTAGGTACACTCATTATTCTCATTTTATGGAGAAGGAAAACAGCCTGGAGAACCTCAAGAACTAGAGCTTGGTTTAGTAGTAGAAATGTGGCTGAATACTAAAGACAGACTTCTTGGAGAGTTAGAGAGACTTATGGGCTTGGAAAAAGTTATACCGGGGTAATGAACAGTGGGGACCGAGCTGAAGCCCTAGGGTTCTAAGTAGAATATTCGCACTAAGGTTCTAAATAGAGTAACACCAGATGTTAACATTAATGTGTAAGGGAAACTTATAAGGATGATTGTGGAATAAGCCTGCTTGTTGTTGAACCTGTGAGGAATTTGTGGGGCAGAAATTGAAAGAAAAATAGTCGGGTTCCAAAGGAAAGAATCATGGTGGACACAATCAGATGTTTACAGAGTTGACCAAAGATACAGACAGTCTCAATGAATTCATAAAATGCAGCCTACAAGATCCAAAGGGGCCTCCAGCCTGATAGCTGGCAAGAAGTTGCCTTCTGGATTTGAAAAGATTCTTTTTCTCCTTAGGCCTTTCACACATCAAGTTAGCCCAAGGAATCTCACTGAACTGACTTTGCAAACACCTTGGTTATAGGTTCTATCCCCTAAATTAAATGTTTTAATTTTGCCAGATACCAACTTCAACAGTCTTATGCTCTGATTAAAAAAAAAAGTTAGGAGGCAGGCAGAGAGTTCTGAATTTGTATAAAGCATGACATTTTGAATCATTGCTGATGCTGGAGGAAGGAGCAGCTCCACTCTGAGTGACTTATGGTCACTGAGAACCCTCTGTGCAGGAGTGTGTGTGTGTGTGTGTGTGTGTGTGTGTATGTGTGTATGTGTGTGTTTGAGACAGATTGATTCATTCAAGGTTTATGATATCGACACTAGGAACCACTGGAGAAATCACTCTAATACTAGGATAAGAAGCAAAGCCAGTAGCCTGAACTTTGTGTTTCGTCAGCCTATGGAACTGATCCAGCAAACCATTATAGTAGCACTTACTATTTTGACTAGTTCCTCTTTCTTCTTCTATCATAGATACTTTGGGAACTTCCAATACAACAACTGATTTGAGAAGAAACACCCCCACCATTTATATCATTTTAAAAGATAATATTTCTTTCCAATTTCACTTGAGATTAAAAAAATAAAACCAACAGACAAAGTAGTACCTCTGAACTGGAAAATAAAAGACAAAACTGCACCAGTAATGCCTGGTGAGTCAGCCTCCTCTCCCTCGCGCCCGACGCCGGTTGCTCTGCTGCCCACCAACTCACAGAAACTAACGATGACTGGGTGCAGCACCAAGGCTTCAGGACATGACAACGCCGGCCCTCTCTATCTTTTCTAGGGTCTCTAGAGGATGAAAGCAATCTGCTACCTTTGTCCTATGACAAGCTTCTGCCAGTCCATCTAGATCTGAGAGACAAGTTGGCCATGGTCCTGAAAGATATTTCATAAACTCTAATTTTTTTCCTCATCTTTGGATACAAATATGAATCATAGACCTTTTTAACCTTAAGGGAACTATAGTATAGTGCTTATTTCACCCAACCCACTAATTTTATTTTGAGGACACTGAGACACAGACAGGAGTATCCAGAGTCATAGAAAAAGTCAGTGGCAGAGCTGGATAAGATGGGAACTGCAGATTTTGTGGTTTGTGCTTTAGCCTCTGGAGATGCGGTCCCCATAAAGAAGGCAGTAGTGATGTCAAAGCCCTTTTGACTCAAACCTTTTGAGTCAAAAGCCCTCTGAGCAGCCAACCCATCCTTCATCATCCTCCATCCAACACATGCTCATTCCTGGCCCCAGGCTCCACTCCATACTCTCCTTCCTGCTGCACCCTAAGCTGTCCACCATGCCTGCCTAGCCTTGATGCCCAGGCCAATCTTCCTTTCTTTGTGTCACCTTTCCTGACCATCCCAGCTCTTGTTCTTCCCTGTCCCTTGGACTCCTGCAGCACCTGTGGTTTATGTCATGTATCTTAGAACCTGAGTTTTGGCAACATCATCTTTACCATGCAGACCATTTTCAGTGATGGTATTTGGAGCCAGATAGATAAGTTCAAATTCTGGGTCTACCACTTGATAGCTCTGTGACTACAGATAAGCTACTCATACCCTCTGTGGCTTCAACTTCCTCATCTGTAAAATGAGCATAACAATAAGTTCACAGTGTTGTTCTGAGAAACCCATATAGTAATGTATGGAAAGTGCCTAGAGCAATATCTGGAATCCATCATGTGGTCAGTAAGTGTCAATTACTTCTGCTAGCCTCAATTCTCCAAATAGTTGCTAGGTTCTAGGAGGCCAGAGACCATCTCTTACACTACTTTAACAGCTCTCTTAGTACTCAGTACATAATAGAGTCTCAGTAAATTCTTGTTGATTGATTGGAAAGACAAGAAAATGAGTTTGATCTTAAGTCCAAAGGAGTCTCTTCACCAGTGTCCAGAGATGCTTCAGTCCCATCTGTTCTTTACTTATGGCTTAGTTTCCCTACCTGTATAGTAGGCCCAAGTATTTTTATACTTGGTGCTCATCCATTTGTTGCTATTCTTTAATTATATTTACATGGAAATCAAATGTCAGAGACCCCATGCTCTTAGAAATTTGGATAAGTATGAAAAAAGTGCTACTATTACAGTTTGTTCAGGTCAAGCTGCACATGATTTCTGTAATTTCTGGGAGTAATTTCCTCATGGTTCTCTAAGTCTTTGCTCCTATAACTCTGCTTGCTCTACTCTGTGCTTCCTTGGGTGCAAGGTTTAGTCACTTCATCAGTGATATGGTTTGGCCACGCCCCCACCCAAATCTCACCTTGAATTGTAATAATCCCCATGTGTCAAGGGTGGGGCCAGGTGGAGATAATTGAATCATGGGGTGGTTTCCCCCATGTTGTTCTCATGGGAGTGAATAAGTCTCACAAGATCTGATGGTTTTATAAATGGGAGCTCCCCTGCACAAACTCTCTTGCCTGCTGCCACGTAAGACATGATTTTGCTCCTCATTCGCCTTCAACCATGATTGTGAGGCCTCTCCAGCCATGTGGAACTATGAGCCAATTAAACCTCTTTCCTTTATAAATCACCCAGTCTCAGGTATGTCTTTATTGGCAGGATGAGAGCGGACTAATACAATCAGTTTCCACAAACAAACCAAAAAAACTTTTTTTTAAAAACTTACACCAATAATTTTGTGGGTTTAAGTTCTCTGCTGAAGATTGAAGGGTCCCAGGGAGCAAATTCCATTGTGAACCAGGCAGCTTTCACCACCTAGCAGGTTCAGACTCTCTCTTTCTCTTCCCATTTCTGCACAAGTATCATCTTCCTCCATTCTCATACAGAACCATCCAACCCACACCCAGATTCCTGGGGGGTCTCCACCTGCCTTCTAGCATTTATTAAGGTACTATCATAAACAAATACAATTCCTTTTCAAAGAGGAATTCTAGTAGCAGTTCCTTGATTATAATATGTTTCTTTAAATATTATATTTTTCTAGCTAGTAAGATGTAGAAGTCCCACTTTGATTGCAAATTCCATGAAGGTAGGCCCTGTACCTTATTCTTTATTTGTATCCTCCATTCCACCGGAAACAATATAGGGCAGGAGGGCACTCAATATGCACTCGATGAACTAAGTTAAATTAAATGAGAGTCCACAAAAATGGATCTAGAAAAAGACTGTCACGTAGCTTTCTGTTTAAAAATTACCAGAAGGAATGCAGGGTCACCTGCTGAATGGCCCAAGGCAGGAATCAAAGGGAAGGAGAAGTGACCCACTTGGCTTATACTTTACAATAACAAGATGGAGCCAGGAGGCAAGTGTGTGTCTGTGCCATCGGCGCTTCACCTGTGCTCCCATTTTCAAACCACCATTTCCTGTGGCAGAAGCTCCAGCTCTTCTTCTCTTTGCTCAGTCATGTAGTGAGGCCTCTCTGGATGGTGATGCTGAGAAATCAAAGTTGTCTTGGGGTCTAGAAGCTCCTGACTCCTTCATTCACAAAGAAATGCTACCTGAACATTTCTGAACCAGAGGTTTGGAACTCCCCCTACTCCCGAGGCTCTTAGAGGCGGCCGAGCAGGCTGGTCAATAACTCACATGCCATTTGGGAAGAGTGCTTTGCTCGAGTCTCCACCCTGGGCCCTCTCCACCTATTGTCTGTGGTTTAAACGTGATAACTTGGCAGACAGTCACACATCCAAGGAAAAAGCCAGAGGGCGTTTTTTTTCTTGTCTCTGAAAGTGTTGTCACAGAAACACAGAAGCGTGTCTCTCTCTCTCTCTCTCTTCTCAAGTCCCAAAATCTTATTATTAATATTTTTTTTAGGGAAGATGAAAAAGAAAACTAAAAAGAATCTGAGAAACAAATGCAGTTCACCTAGGAGATACTGCGACGTTAGCGTAACGGTGGGAGCGTGCCGGATCTCCTTCCTGCCTTTCATGTGGTTCTGTCAGCAAAGGCTGCCATCTTCAAGAGATACATTCTTGTTCGTGGCAGTTTCCATTCAGAACTGGGGGTGGGGAAGGATCCTCATGAACCATATACTAATTTAAGTTCTGGGACCATCCAAGTAAACATTTTTACGGAGTTCACAGCTTCCAGAAAAATCACTTACAACCTGCCTATCCCACCCAGCATTGCAGAGGCTACTAGCTCCAGTGAGATTGCGCTCATGCTTTCGTGGTAATACGAGTCTTTTCTGGGCATGTAGCTGCTCAGCTAGGAGCTATGTGTCTCAGCTTCCCTTATAGCGGGTGTGGCCCATGACCAGGCTCTGGGCTGTGCAAAGTTTCCAGGTTTTTCCTTTCCACCATTGTTTTTACGCTCGCTAAATTGGGAAGACCCTAGAGAGAGACCTGTCTTAGTGCCTGGAACATCTAAGTGACTCTGAAACAATGGGAACTCCCTATTTGAAGAAATGACCTTGTTAGAAAGGGGAAGCCTCCGGAGCTCACTGGCAGGCGTCAGCCTTTTCTTTCACTGAGCTAACTCAGAGGTGCTGAGCCAGCGGTTTGCTGATCTGCTGAAAAAGATCCTCTCTTCAAGATGAGCTTCCAGGGGCATTCCTTTCTAGATTCCTTCATTCTAGCACAGCCATATCTATTTCAGAATACAGTCATCGAGGATGGCAGCAAGTCACACACTGTCCACAGCTGACCCACATCCACTGGCTTCACATGACCTAGCCAGAGTACTTCATAGCACCCTAAGAATTGGACTTTGCAATAAAGATGCTTCATTATGATAGACATTAACACACTGAAATGGCAATTGGAACAAGGATGAATACATGACCTGAACAAATGTCACCTAAAGAAAAAGATTTCAAGGAACATATAAGTTTTTGCACAGTTTCGCTTAAGTGAGTCCTGTCAAGATTCAGTGCTCACATCACATTGCATTCCGTCTCATCACACCATTAACCGCTGTGAGGTTTTCATTAATGAAAATGAAAAATGTCTTAAAATCACTGTCCTGATGACAGATGGCAAAGCAACCTCTAATAAACCCTCGGACCCCACCCTTTCATCCCAAGGCTGGGGTTTTCCTTTGTATGCCCTAGGAAAAATGTCTTTGTTAACTGACAGTTGCTGCTTTGGCTCGGGTCCCATCATTTTGATGGATGACTGCAATAATGGCCCCCAGGAACTGGTTTCTCTTTCTTCCCCACTTCCCTGCCCCAGTCTGTTCTCTATACTACTGGAGTTCCTCTTTGAAAAGCAAGACTGATGGTGTCACTCCTCTATCTAAAACTCTTTATTAGTTCCTATCACCTACAAGATAATACAGAGCAAGACCCAGCTGTATCTGCTCCTCCCTCTGCCTGGAATGTCTTTCATCAGCTTGGGTAATTTCTACTTATTTTTAAAACCCAGTTTATGTCACATTCTCTGGGATGCTCTCTCTAATCCCCCGAGACAGTGTTAATAATTCCCTCCTGTTTGTTGCCTTGCATATATTTCCATTTTACATCCGTCACACTGTCTAATCTCGGATCATTGTTTACTTATACAGCTGTCTTCTGCCTTAAGGCAAGGATCATGTCTTTTTTATCTTTGTGTACTGGCCCCTAGCACAATGTAGAGTGTAAATGTTTTGTCAAACTAAGTGCAGTGTTTTAAGAACTGGTAGTATTCGTTATTCATGCGCAAACACAAATCAAGGTACTGATACAATTCTGTTTTCAGTATTTAGGCAATCTGGTATACTGCGCAGGGCAGGCCACAAACCAGCTGTGTGATCTGGTTCTGAGGCAGGGAAGGTCTGGTCCCCTATCCCTGCAGGCTGGCAGGGTGGGGAGGAGGCATCTCTACTTTTATTACATGTTGAATTGTGTTTTCCCAAATTCATATGTTGATTTCCTTATTTGGACATAGCGTCTTCACAGAGTTAATTGAGTAAAACTGAGGTCATTAGGGAGATGTTTTGGGCTGAATTTTGTCTCCCCTCCCCCAAATTTCTATGTTGAAGCTCTAACCCCAAGGACCTCAGAATATGACCGTATTTGGAGGCAAGGTCTTTAAAGGTTATTAAGTTAAAATGAGGTCATTAGGGTGGCCCCTAATCTAACCTAACTGGTGTCCTTATAAGAAGAGGAAATCTGGACACACAAAGAGACACCAGGAAAGAGAAAGAGAGAGAGAGAGAGATCAGGGTGTGAGTACACGAAGGAAAGACCAGGTGAGAACACAGTGAGAAGGTAGCCATATGCAAGCTAAGGCGAGAGGCCTCAGAAGACACCAAACCTGCCAACACCTTGACCTCAAACTTCTAGCCTCCAGAACCAGGAGAAAAATAAATTTCTGTTATTTAAACCACCCAATCTGTTGTACTTTATTATGGCAGCCCTAGCAAACTGAGACAGGTGGGCCCTAATCCAATATGACTGTTGTCCTTATGAGAAGAGGAAATTTGGACACAGAAATACACATAGAGAGAAGATGATATGAAGAGACAAGGAGAAGACAGCCATTTACAAGCCAGGGAGAGGCGCCTGGGAGAGATCCTTCTCTGACAGCCCTCAGAGAAGAACAATCCTGCTGACACCTTGACTTTAGACTTCTAGCCTCCAGAACTGAGAGCCAATACATTTTGATTGTTTAAGCCACTCAGTGTGTGGTCCTTTGTTACAGCAGCCTTAGCAAACTCATACACAGTGGCAAGCCTCTATTGGCAGTTCTTATTGACACACACACACACTGAATCAAGGACTGTCTACTCTGGGAGGGACTTCATTTGTTCGCCCTTTTCATTTTACTGGGGATGAAACAGAGACCCAAGAGAGGGGAACGGCTGGACAGTTCTCTTACAAACCGAGCCGAGATCCTGACAGGGCCCTTCCTGTGGTGCCAGGTTTCTACTGCTTCCTGTCCCTCCACTCCTCACAAGAACCAGCTTCCTACTCAGTAAATCTGGTTCCCACTGGTGCATTCTTGGTCCTCAGAGTGGCTTAGATGGGTAAGTCCATCTTCACATGTTTTCTTAGAACGTCCTGAGCTGAGTGCCCTTAGTATAAGCTTTATGGCCCACCAACACTTTGGTATGCCCTAATTAAATTCTTTTTAAACTACATTGAGGAGCATGAAGAAAGTTCTGCCCCTTTTTTGGGTTAGGCCAGGGTAAAATATTCAGTGCCCTGTTTTTGTACTCTAATAGGGCAGCTATACCCAGAGAGGGCTGTGCTGAGGTAAGGGCTACTGCTTCCTCATTTACAATTAAAAAATACATTATATTTTTGTAGCTTTTATAATAAAAATTACATTTTTATTATGGTTTATAAGGCATTTTAAGTGCTTTATCTCTTTCACTAATGCCTATGAGGCTTCCAGAATCAGAAAGCCTAGCTCCATCACTTGCTCTGTGTGTGACCTTACTTAACCATGTTATAGCTTTGTTTCCTCATCTGTGAAGTGGGGATACTATCAATATTATTTTGTTGCTGTGAGGATTAACTGAGATGCCACATAACTGGCACATAGTAAACCATGATGACCCGCCAGTTGCTGTTATTTAGAGATGAAGAATCTAAATCTCAGAGGGATTGAGGCACTTGCCCTTGTAAGTAGAAAGGGCAGCATTGGCTCTAGGACTTCCGGGGTCACATTCTGTAAGCTACCCACTATGCTGCACAGCTTGCTTGTCCTGCCAGCACCTTCTAAATGACTGTGGGTGGGGAGAGCGCTCTGAACTGGGGGGTAGCCTCTGAATGTGGTTTGTATGCAAGGTGGGCAAGCAGCCAGACATATCCAGTAAGTGAGAGGACGGGGGACTCTGGCTATGAAATGTCTGGGGAGGAAACATGCAGGGGGTTAGACTCATTCAAGAACTTCCAGGGGCACACTGGAGGCCAGGTGGGATTTTCCCAGCAGTCCATCTGGGAATACTCCAGGGGAGTCTCTGTGACAGGCAGTGCTATGTGGAAGGGCATTACTTGGCTGAGTTCCCCTGTCCCTCAACCATGACCACCTGGGAAAGCCCTCCACATGGACACCATGGCTACTGTAGGCAGAAGACCCATTGGAACGATTCCTATGTCCCCCCAGTGGATGCAGAGAGGAGAATGTCAGGGTGTAAGCAATGCCTTGCAGAGCAACACCCTGGTCCTACAGTCCCTGAACCTGCCTGAGGCAGGGACACAAGATCTGTTAGTGAAAAGGGCCTGTGTTCTGTCCTGTATCCAAGTGGTTAAATGGGCTTACTTAGTAAGTTCTGTCTTCCTTTTGCTGACAGAATAATGATGCTTTTCTTTCTAGAGGAAGAACAGTCAGAAGATGTAGGTTTAGGGGTTAACTCCACTATCTACATGCCAAAGAAACTTGAAGAGGGTACTTAAATGGTATGAACGTCAATTTCCTCATCTGTAAAATGAAAGTATAACACCTATCTGGCAAGGTTATTGTGAGGATCAAAAGAGATTACACAGTTGAGAGTGCTTTGCTAATGATGAAGCGCTGTGCAATTTATTATTTTTCCTCAAACTTCACAGTCCAGGTCTTAGTCTCTCGTTCTGACTCCCCTGGCCCTGCTATGGGATTCACAGTCCATTCCATAAAACGAGGACCTTCACTATATCCTGTGTTTCATTATTAAGCAATGTTTTACGTCTTATCTTTACAATGAATTGTTAGAGAGGAGAGATCACATATCATATTTATTCACAATTTCTTACCAGGTAGGTGATCAGTAAATACTAATTGACGGTGTAGAACTGCCCCAGCATTAGTGGAGCATAGACTTGGGAGCCAGGCCCTCCCACCTGCAATCCCTCACCCAGCCAACCTTGCAGGTTGGAGTCAAGGCAAGAGGCAGAGAAGGCTACGCCTTGGAGACTTAGGCTCTGGGTCTGTCTCTATCACCTCCTGTTGGTTTCGTCAACTGTGAACTGAGCATAAAAATGCCACCCTGGTCAATATGAGAGTGAGCTCACTAAATGCACATGGTAAACTTTTGCAAACTATAAAGAAAATGTAAAGTATTGTTACTAAGGTGAATGCCATGGCTGGGGAGCAATTGGACCATGTGAAGACTGAGCCCATGCTCATTAAGGTGGCACACAGGCTGCCACCAGTGTACTCACCTGAGGGGTCTGTCCTGCATCCGGGCCACGGGCTGAAGGTCTGGGAATTGTTGCTGATAGGGTTGCTCACGGTGCAGATGTAGATATTGTCAGCATGCTGGGGGCCGAGGGTGAGGGACAGGAGGTGGGAGCTGTTGGCTGGGTTCAGTGGGTGGGTGCCCGCCTTTTCACTCCAGCTGTAAGCCACATGGTCCCCCTTCTCCACTGTGCAGCCCAGTATCAAGGTGCAGGTCCCGTTCTCCTGGGTCTTGTTTAAAACTTTAATTTCTGGAGTGGAGACCTGCTCTGTCAGGAGTGGGAGGAAGGGAGCCATCACTGAAGTGAACCCCTGGGAATTCTCACTTGACCTTTTTGTTAGAACAAAGTACAGCCTAATGGCATTTTCCCTCCCCCTCAATGTGATTTATTTCTAGTGGGGAATCTATTGCTTCACACTGTCCATCATGCCCCACTACATCCTATCTAAGACCACCTTGGGATAAAATAGAAAATAAGAATTTGCTTTTTAGGCCTCTTCTACCAATATTGTTAGGGCTCCACTCGCCCTTCCTGATGTCCTTGACCTAAGTTGCTATTCTCCTGTCTCCTATCAGTGGAGTTTGCTGTCAACTAATCCACCATGGTTTTTAGTTGGCTTACGTTGTTACTTCCTAGACCTAAAAGAATGGCTTTTTAGTGGTGGGATTTCATCTATCGTGATGTGTGTGGGAGGGTGTGTGTGTGTATGTGTGTGCGTGCGCGCGCGCGCATGTACACGGGCGCATGGGTGAGTGAGTGGGTGGGTGTGTAGTAAGTGCTTTTGTGTGTCTGAGATAGTGATAGGTCCTCAATTATAACCATAGGCCTCATCAATCTATCCCACTCTAAGGCCATGAAATAGGCCACATAAAAGGTAAATTCTTGCTTATTTAGCAACTATTATAGGACAAGCACAGTGCTGGTGTTTCACATTCATCATCTTTTTTTTTTTTTTTTTTGAGACAGAGTCTCGCTCTGTCACCTAAGCTGGAGTGCAGTGGCACAATCTCAGCTCACTGCAAGCTCCACCTCCTGGGTTCACGCCATTCTCCTGCCTCAGCCTCCCGAGTAGCTGGGACTACAGGTGCCCACCACCATGCTGAGCTAATTTTTTTTTTTTTTGTATTTTTAGTAGAGATGGGGTTTCACCACCATAGCCAGGATGGTCTCGATCTCCTGACCTTGTGATCCGCCCGCCTCGGCCTCCCAAAGTGCTGAGATTACAGGCGTGAGCCACCTCATCATCTTTTTTAATCTTCTCAACAATTATAACTCTAGTTGTAATTATTCCCCATTTTATAGATGAGAAAGCCAAGTCCCAGGGAGGTGGAATATCTTACAACTCACAGCTTCTAAGTGGCCAAGTTAAGATCTGAACCTAGGTCTGTCTGACTTCAAAATCCAAACTCTTCCTTTGGCTTGAGAAAAATGCCATGGTTGCAGAGACCACATTTTCCAAAGTAAGAATTTGATCACAAGATGTGACAAAAACAGGAAACATAGGAACCAAAGGACAGAATGTCTGGCATCCACACCGTTTTGGAAAATGCATCATGTGCAGCCTCCACGCTCATGGCAGTCGTGCCTGGAGCCACTGCTGGAAATGACTCTCAGGTACCTGGGGGAGGGCCATGGGAATTCCGCAGGCACTGTTTGAAGGAAAGGGAATGCTGGGTTGAGGGAGGATTGGTGAGAGTATTGCTGCCTTCCCTCTAGATATTTGAGAATTTCAAAGAAATGCTGGTTAGGTGGGAATTCCTGTCCCATCCCCAGAGATAAGGAAGTCATTTTGAAGAAGCAGGAAAGCCCCATGTGGCTATCAGGATCCCTGGGAATTCAGATGAGTCTCTGGGCCTAAGAGACACAATCCCTGGGTGCACTCAAGAGGGACTGGTAGTTAAAAAGGCTCAAAAAAGCACTGGCCTTGGATTCAGGTGGACTTGGTTCCTAGTTTAAGTACAGCAACTAAAAGACTTTATAACCAAAGCCTTTGTTTAAATGCCAAAAGGCACTTCTTCCACCAAGTAGGTATGATCTGGTGCCGGAATGCAGGGCTTAACAAGTGGTGTGTGGGCTGAATTTTAGCCATCTTTATCCAGAACCCCCAGTGCAGTGAAACACCTACACAAATGTGTGTAAATGTGCTAACCGCTTCTGGTTAGATTTCACTGTCCTCATGTAGGAGAGACTGGGTTTGATCTGTGGTATTCAACTTCTTTTAATCAGAAAAAAATCCTATTTTCAAATAAAATATTACTTGCAAACCAAGATCCTTGGGTCTATCGGCCCTCCAGCCCACAAGGAGCTGTGCCCCTTTCCTTTGGGAAATGGGAGTAAGAGTAACTAATGCTTAATCAGCTACCATCAATATGCAATTTGGAAAAAAAAATGTCAACCTTTAAAACGTCTTCCATGCAGCAGGTTTAAATACCCCCAAACTAGAAGATCATTCTAGTTACTTCCAATTCTGAATACCCTTTGCTTTTAAGAGAGACCTAAATTCTTGGTCAAAGGAGCACCTTGGCCCTTTAGTGTGGACTGGGGAAGCCGCCATTATTACCATAAAGCCTCAACTGCAGGCAAAAGCGCTGAACTGAAACATTTTTCTCCAGGGTCATAAGGTACCATCCCTCATCCTCCTTCCTGCTTTCCCGTATCCCCAGGGTGAGATTCTCCAGATAAAACTTGTAGCGATCTCCTAGATAACGTGGAGGGCCTGCTTCGGATGGATCAAGAGACACTATTTTGTTCTCGACACTGTTCTCCAGTGATTTTGCCATTGTGACGACAATGTGGATGCTTTTGTTCATGCTCTTATTTATCCTTTCATATGTCAGGGGCAGCAGCACTTTGCTTCCCAACTGCCGGAGAATCTTTGGGCAGTTCATCATGCGCCCACCTGTGGGAGGGAGGAGAAGAGAGTCCCTTATTATTAAGGCCTTTAGACAACATCGTGTCAGCAGATCAGGAAGGACAGACTGGAGGCTCTCCCTCTTCCTCTTTGGCTATCCCTGGGGTTGCCAAGTCCTTCGTGGTCTATAAGAACTGCCTTGAGGATCCCCACTATATTCTCAATACTTCAAAACTGTCAATAGAAATCTTCAAATTACTTAGGATAGAGTTGTATAGATTAACTAGAGTACTGGGTCTTTATCAACTCAGATTTATTGTTCAGGCATCTAAAAAGCACAGAGAAGTTAAATGGCTTCCCTAACTAGTAAGTGGCAGAGTCAGGATTAGAATTCAGTTCTGCTAATTCCTCTACCAGGGTTTTTTCCACCATTGAATATACAGGATGAAGGATGGAGAGCAAATAAAAGTGATTCTGAGCTCATGAGCCCAGGAAGCATTTCAGATCATGAGGAAAACAGAAAAATCTGAGGAATGTGGAGTCAGGAAGTGATAAGCCCAGTGTTCAAACTGTGGAATCCTCTCTCTCCAAACACCCTGAGATAGTTAATAATGTCGACAGTGAGATATTACTGTATTTCTCTTTTCCAAAAAAGCTGAGCCAACAACAAGGTTAAAAAAAAAAATACCAAGAGCCTTTCAAACCACTATGAGGGTTCCTGCTGCTGATTATTTCACACCTCCTCTCTCCTCAAACCCACAACCTGCCTTTCCCCCTCCTCTCTCATGTGACGACTTTGCTTTTTGTTTCACTGAAGTATAAAATAGAAAACACAAAAAGAGAACTTCCACTTATTACCACCACTAAATCAACCTACCTACCTGGATGGATGGTCTACATTCCCACTTAAGTCGAGCCTCTTCCTCCACGGAGCACTCACCTACTTCAAGGCTTTGTTTCGGCAATTGCCTCTGTCCCTCACATTATCAGGTTTTTTTTTACTAGGTTATTTCCATCAATACACAACATATAAACTTGTAGTTTCCTTATATTAAAACTATCTCCCCTGATCCCAGGTCCATCCCCAGATACCTCTCCATTTCTGTTTTCCTTTACAGCAAAGTGCTTTAATGTGTGTTTATAGTTTCTTTTCCCATTTCCAGACCCATTTTTCCTTGGACCCACTATAAACAGGTGTTCTTCCCCACTGCTCGCTGGAACCACCTTTGTCAAGGTCACTGTCTACTCCACTAAGCCAAGTCAAAGTTCTTATCTTACTTGCTTTCTCAGGGGTACTTGACATAGTTCATCCATCCCTCCTTCAAACGCTGTCATCATTTGGCTCAGGGAACAACATACTCTCCCGGTTTTTCTCCTATCCTATATAGGTTGCCTCTGCTCAGTTTTCTTGGCAGGAGCCTTCTGCTCTTCTGGACTTCTAAATACTGGAGCATCTCAGTACTCGGAGTTCTCATTCTCATCCACACTCATCCAGTTTCTCACCCAATTGCACAGTCTGACATATTTCTGGGATGCTACAGGGTTATATCTCCCAACCAAAACCTTCACTGCACTCCCAACTGCCTACACAAGACAGGACTTGGAGGTCTAAAGGGCATTTCAAACTTAGCAAACAAACTCTTGGTTCCAGAACACCTTCTGCAAACATTATAATTCAGCCAATTTGTCAGGCCAAAACACTGGAAACATCCTTGATTCCTTTCTTTCTCGCATACTCCAAACTCAATTTTTTTTTTTCTGTGAGATGGAGTCTTGTGCTGTCGCCCAGGCTGGAGTGCAATGTTGCGATCTCGGCTCACTGCAACCTCTGCCTCCCGGGCTCAAGCAAGTCCCCTGCCTCAGTCTCCTGGGTAGCTGGGATTACAGGTGCCTGCCACCATGCACTGCTAATTTTTTGTATTTTTAGTAAAGACGGGGTTTCACCATGTTGGCCAGGCTGGTTTCGAACTCCTGACCTCAAGTGATCTGCCCGCCTCGGCCTCCCAAAGTGCTGGGATTACAGGCATGAGCCACTGTGCCCAGCCATACTCCACACTCATTTTAACAGCAAATCCTCCTGGCTCTGACTTCAAAATATGTCTGGTATCTGAACCCTTTTCACCTCCTGCATTTCCACCACCATCATCCCAGGCCTGGGTACTGCCGTCTTCTTCCAGCTGATCTCCCTGCATTCATACAATAGATGGAATCATCTTTAAAAACCATGTCCTATTTTGTCTCTCTCCTGCTTTTAAATTTCTGTGGCTTTCTAGCACCGATAGAATAAAACCATAGTCCATTATTGATATGGCTTCAAAGGCCCTGCATGCCCAGTCCGTGGCACTGTTCCAACTCCATTTCCTGCCCTCCTCTTTGCTCACTGTGCTACGGCCACACTGGCTCCTGGCTGTTTCTTAAACCCACCAAGAACATTCCTGTCTCAGAACTTTTGCTTTTGCTGTTCCTCTCTCTGAAGAATTTCTTCCCTTCCATACCTGGGTAGCTCATTCTTTCACTTTATTTTAGGTATCTGCTCAAAACAGTTTCTCCTCCAAGAGGCCTCCTCTGACCATCTATCTAAAATAGCTTTGTGTTTCTTTCTGCACTTATCACTGCATTATATTATACTGTATATTTGTTTGTTTTATTTTTGTCTCTCCCACTAGAATGCAAAAGCCTCAAGAGGAAGAACTTCATTTTGTTCACTATTTTGACCCCAAGACCTACAAACAGGTGCTATGTGCTTAGTATATAGGAGGCATTTAATAAATATCTGTTCAATGAATGAATGCTGAAAACCATAATACCTGACCAAAGCCTCTTATTTAGGTTATTAGGTTTGTCATATATATATATATATATATATATATATATATATACACACACACACACACATATATATATATACACACACACATACATATATATATACATACACATATATATATATCTGAACTTAACCATAAGCTAGTGTTCATAAAAGAAGGAGCCCATGACTCAAAGAGAGCATAGATTGTTCTAGCTGATAAGAAAGTCAGAGAGTAAAATAGAACCATCAGCTTAAGTAATGCAGCTACCTAGAAGAGACTCTTTCACAACTGACTTGTGGCTAAGATGAGCTATTGGAAAATTGGACACACTGGCCCAAATATTCTTGTCACCAAAATACCCCGAAATCCCCATGTTGCTCAGTAAAGGGCTCAGCTAATAGTAGACTAGAGATTCAGTGATTGGGGAAGAAGAAAAAGAAGTCTATCTGGGCTAAAATCTGGCCTAGAGTGATTGAAATTCTTAATTGTTGAGGAAAAGTGAGAAAGGCAATTAGGCATTTGTCTTTTAAAATATTGCGAATATATTAAGCTTAAAACAGAGTGCTCTCCCCTGCTGCTTGATGACATGAGGAACATTATAGTTATTGTGGTGGTGGTGGTTGTTTTTACATTAATATACTGGGAAGCATGTTGGATTTTCTTCCACCACACTTATGGATGCCTGACTGTCTAGATAATGTGACCCCTTTGGTGGCTACATACCTGACTTGTAGGCACAGTACCTAAAAGAGTAACTTCTTGAATCCTGAACCTAAACTTCTGTGTATAAAGAAATGAGAAAAAATTTAAAGCCATATGTGCAAGTATGAACTTCCAGACTTTTGTATAAAAAGTTGTATAGATGAGCGTATACATATTTTTCTGGGAGCACATCCATAAATGCCATCTCTTAAAGGGATCTGAGATTCAAAACAAGATTAAAAATTGCTAGCGTAGTGTTGATTTTTAAAGACCAACTTTGATAGGGAGAAAAAAAGAATAAAAAATCCCATTTTCAGGCCATAACCCATCGCCACCACTCCCCAAAATGGCTCCCATGCACTCCTTCCCCACCTAACCTTGCACACTCTTTGCGCCATGGTTGCTTTCAGAACTTGGAGTTGATTGGGGGAGGAGAAAGAGGGATATAAGAGAGGTAGGGAATAACCAAAAAAATAAAAAAATAAAAAAATAAAATAAACGAAAGAACATAGAAGGAGAAAGAGGAAGAGGAAAAGGGAGGGGTAGATGAGAGAGGCTGAGTGGTTTTATGCACACTCAGTCATGAGGAGTGGAACCAAAACTTCATCAGGAAGAGACCCTTATACCCCACAACCCACATAAAGAATGATGACGCAATACCTGAGTGTGTGAGTGTTGGGGTCTGGAGGGGGTACTTGAGATCACCCTCACATAAGCACAAGGTGGAAAAATAAGTGGGGGCTTTAAAGTGGTTCATAAAACCCCTCGAGTGGCGTCCCTGCTCCTGAAACATCCTGCTAGATGAGTGTTTTCCAGTGTGTCTGTGATTCAGCCAGCCCTTATTTACTAAAAGAGTCTGGGAGGAAACATTTGTAGCTGTTAACACCAACTCACTTTCCTTCATGGGTAATTCTACTTCGAAAAATGAGTGATTCACATGGGCCTATGGAGTTTGGTCAAAAATTATTAATAGTAGGATTTAGCCAACCCTCTCACAAGATGGGCTTCTACCTAATGATAACTCTTTTTGTTTTATTGTATTATATTTTTTTGCCTAGCCCTGACACTTTCATATGTGCTTTTAGCATCTTGCTACAGTATTCTTTCAGGTACAGAAGGAACAGAACTTACAGACCCCACAGTTCTTTTGGTAAATTTAGGCTCAGAAAGAAAAGACATCTTGTCTGTGTTTGCTTTTTAAACTGTATCCCCATCAGTCAAAGTCCTATTTTTATTATTTGGCACTGCTGGGTCTTTCTATCTTAGACTATTAGTATGTACGTTCCCTAGCCTTAGAGGCTATAACCACTCTTTATTTGCCTAGCTAACAACTTCCATCTTTCTGGTCTCCATTTTGACATCTCTTTCATAGGGAAGACTTTCCTGACTCCTGACTTAGGTTGGGTTTTCCTGTCACAGACTTCCAATGGACAATGAACGCACTCCTTCATATCATTCATCACGTGTTCAACTCTGGTTCAATGCCTGTAATCCCCCACTCTTATAAGCTTCCAAGAGTAGGGACTGTGTCTGTTTTATTCACTACAGTATCCCTAACACCCACCTGGGACATAGTAGGAGCTCAGTAAATCCTTGTTGCCCAAGTGAATTAATAAAACAGAATGGGATGAATGAAAAATGAGCAAATGACAACACAGAGTCCAAGTTCTCCTCCCTCCAAAAGCAGAATGTACTCTGATTTGCCTTTATAGTATCCCTAAGAGGTATATTATGGAAGAAAGTGGTGGGGACCCTTTTCCCCACTTGCCAGCTGAGGACATGGAAGTGCCTTAAATATAAACCCTAGGTTTCAGGTACAACAGACAACTTGCCAAGAACACTTGAAACCCTTTACCTCTGCATTTGTGCCTCCTTCTAGAACGCTCCTTCTCAAGTTCCATAAAAATCAAGCCCATCGGACCCATTTATTTGGGGCTAAGTTTTTAATATTCATTTTTATTAACTTTATCCCAAATGTGCACATGAGATATACTGGATTAGAGTTAAATTTCTTATTAAATGACTCACAGTAAATAGTAAATGCTTTGGCCCCCCACTTCCCCCTAGGATGATGTGATAAGAGCAAGGTCAATTGCTCTATGTGAGTAAACAGACACTCCATAGGTAAGAAACAAGGACAAATTATTTTCCCTACCTATAAAAGAGGGAGGAGGCAGCTATCCCCCCTCCCCGTCTTAAAGGTCTGCTCCTTATTCCAACACTTTGGTAGGTAGATAAATCTCTCCAGGAGCCAGATAGTCCGTTACATGTCTTGGCTTTTATGGCAAGTCCTGGGACTTGACTCCAAGTTCTGGGGCTCATTCCTTCTTGCATGCTGCATAATGATGGCACAAGCTTATGCTGGCCTGCTTAGGAAGATAGTGACTCCAGGCTTCATGGCACCCTGGGCGCTCTACCTAGGGACCTTGTTCAGGCTATAACCATTTGCTCCTCTCGGGAAAAATTTTATTATTCGTTTGGATCAGAGCAATTACCTATGCAAATAACTACAGATTTAATTCTTATGGTATGAAAAAATGTCAGAGCTAGTACTCTTCACCAGGACACTGAAAAGTCGAGAGAAGTTTTATTTCCCCACCCTCTTTATCTCTGATTTCTTCTCTGCCATGTTAAAAAATTGATACATAATAGATGTATATATTTTCAGGGCACATGTGCTGTCTGATACACTCACATGTTGTGTAAAGATCAAATCGGGTTAATTGGGATATGTATCACCTTGAGTATTTCTCTTTTCTTTATGCTAAGAACATTTGAATTATTCTCTTCCAGTTATTTTGATATGTACAATAGATTATTGTTAACTATAGTCACCGTACTGATCTATCAAACACGAAGACCTATACATTTGGAAAGACACACAAGAAACTGGTCACAGTGGTTGCCTCCAGCATGAGGTATGGAAGGGAAATTAGTCTTCACTAAATACTCTTGTGTACTGTTGAAGTTTCATAGACATGACATGTTTTATAGATGTGATAATCAATAAACAAACTAGTTAACAAAAAAAAATTAAATGAACATTTGCATGATGAAAAAAAGTTTTCATTTTCCAAATTCCAGGTCAAATACTTCTTATATGCCCTCTACGTTCTTCTGTGATTTTTATCAGTCTCTCACCTTTTGGACATTTCTATACTTCAATTTATTCCAATTCAATTCAACTCATATTTTTCAATTATAGATAGCACATTCTAATTTTTACCATGGGACCTGGATACAAATTTTGGCATTCTCTCCACCCCTGCTTCCCAAACATAGGCTTGTCCAGTTTTACTCATTGAGGCCTCTGGAGTCAGGCAGCTATGTGAGCGCAGAGAAATTGCTAAACTACTCTGTGCCCCTTTCCTCATTTATAAAGTTGTAATGGTACCAATAATACATACATTTCTTATAGGGTTGGTGTGAAAATGAAATGACTGACACACATAAAGCATTTAGAACAGTGCCTGGTATATGGCAAGTATGCAGTATATACCAGTATTATTCACTCAACAAATATTTGTGGACAGGCTCTCAGTACAGACACAGTGTCAGGTGCTGGGCAGTGGCTGTTGTTCATTTTGTTTTCCCCACACCTTGCACCCTTGCACAGTGGCTGCCACATCATGTGTCCTTAATAGTTGCTGAATGGGATCATTCAAAGTCAAATCTATGGATTAAACCAATTAGCCCTGATACTCTGATTTCCAGTCCAGTGAGGGAGACAGTGAAAGTGACAGCATCACATCACAGTATTAATATTTTTGAGAAATAGAAGTGCCTAGATTGACATCTTGGGATAGAATGGGCCACTGAACACGCAAGGTTAGGCCAAGTCTAGAACCCACGCACTTGTCCCTCACCTTCCCCCAAAGTGTGTGAAGGGGGTGCAGAGGAACTGCATGGAGGAATAAAAAAAACTCATTGACATAAGGTCATCAATTATAACAAATGTACCATCCTGGTGGGGGATATTGATAATAGGGGAGGCTATGTATGTATGGGGCAGAGGGCATATGGGAAATCTCTGTTCTTTCTGCCCAACTTTGCTGTGAACCTAAAACTGCTCTAAAAAATAAAGTCTATTAAAACAAATCTCATCGGGGGAAATGAAAAATTCACTTTACTTGGGGAAGGGACATGTGGACTTTTTGATTTTTACAATTCTGACTGGGAATTAGAAGTTGAGCTGAGTAGAAATGAGAATGGGAGTGGATGCCAGTTTTACAAGAATCAAGCTTCTTGCTTGGGCAAATCTGTCATGACTAACCTGCCCCATTTGCAAAGCATTTCTGTCTGGGTTTTATTGGGGCTTCACAAAAGGGTGTGTATTTAAAAATAAAAACACTGAAAAACTTTTGTGAAGATTCAAAGAAGAAAACATGCAATGAAGTGAGCAGCCTCCGATTGGATAGACTTGCCTTGTGGGGCTGGGTTGCTTCTCCCTGACCGGCGACTTCCAAAGCCTCAATAAGACGAGCTATTGGTCAGCAGTGCCTAAGATGCTATGGGCCAGGCTGGCCAAGAGGCTAGCAAGCACAGAGATGGAAAAGTCCAGTTCACAGTTCAGCACCATCACTCCATCACACCTTACAGTCACCAAGAGGTGCTCCAGAAATGGTGCAGTCACAAATTGGTTGCAACAACGGAGGCTTGGCTTTCCCTGTGACCACTTAAAGTGGCTCGATTTGGTTTTCTGAGCCCCGAGCTCAGTTCTTCCTCCCCTAGACCTTGGGAAGTACGAGCCATGGATCTGCAGATTCCAAAAGAAAGTGGGCTGAGCAAGCCCTGTTCGTCTGGCTGTCTGGTAAAAGACACATCCATTGTGCAGCACCCCCACATCCCTGGCATATCACGGTGCTTTTCCTGGAAAAGTCCATATTGGATTTGCGGTCTTGAAAACCCCAAGCTTAAAACACCCTGGGCCTCAGGATTTCCCCCCGTGTCCGTAATGCCACCTCTTCTACTCCAGGCTACCTCCCACAGTCTAAACAAATAAGCAGAAGGAGATTCTCACCCCACTCACACAGGCAGTCCAAAGTCCACTTCTTGCTTGGCTTTTTCTTTCTCAAATACCTTTTCTCATAGCCCTGATACTTCTAAACAGAAAGCAATAGCCTGCCTTGGGAAGAAGATAGACAGAAAGACAGGAACAGAGTCCAGATCCAAAGGTAGCTCTTGTCTGGCCTTCCTGCTGGAGCTACTCTCTGAGGGTTCCCAATTTGCATTTCCCACATACTGTAACCAGCCCTAGCCTTCAGAAATCCCAACTTCTTCCCTCTTGCTTTCTTGGACCTTCTCTTCCAAGAAAATACACACCAGTATGACCGCACTGTGGCCACTGCTGGTTCTCAGCCAAAAGCCTGGAGTTTTCACTTCTACTCTCTCTTCCCACTCTAGCCAATGCTTTCTGTTGACCCATGCTCCTGGTTTGTCAGCCTGCATGTGCACAGATTCCCTCCCAGGGCAGGGATGTAGGGCAAATCTTCTCCCAGAGCTCAGTCCATCCAGCTCAGTCTCTCTAGGCTGGGTCTTTGCCAGAAGATGCCCATGTAAAACCAACCACTCAAGCAAGACTTCTACCAGGGCCTGTCACCCTAAGACTGGTCAGAAAAGTGACTGGAGCCTTTGGCTTAGAGCCCCTCATTTCCTTGGAAACTGGGGTTGGTGGGGCTGAGTCTTGGAAACCCAAGGGCCCAGGAACTTATAATGTTCCTTCCTCTTTGAAAGAGGCAGTTGAAACTGACAGCCAGTCCCTAAGGAAGAGTGACCAAACACAATACCCAGCCCTGCACCTTCTCTCCATCCACGAAGATACGCTGATTCCTGGCAGCTAACATGGGACTCAAACCATCAGGCAGATGAACACTCACCTGTTCCGTAGCTTGCCCCAAAAGCCAGGGAGAGAAACAGCACGAAGGTCAAGGAGAGGAGCCCCTTGGGATCCATCAGCCAATGAGGAGAAGGAAGGGATCCTGGCCGGAGCCTGGCAGCTGCTCACAGATGCCAGGCAGAAGCAAGCTTCGTGTCATGCAGCAGAGGCTGTCTGATTTATGTATCAGGAACCAGCAGGTTCCTGAACCCGCTTCCTGTATCACTGGGACTTTTTCTGCTTGTGTCTTGAGGATTGCTCATCTCCCATGAGGCTTTAAATCACTTTTTTGTTCTCAAGAAGCAGGCTTCTCAAGAAGCCAGGCACTTAGCCTATGGGAGCCAGGAAAGGGGGTGTGTAGTCACCTCGGCCAAAACCCGGCTTTGGGCAGAAACATGCGCCCCAGCTTCTTTCCTTAGCTGTCTCCAGGAACCGGATGTTGCAGATTCTCTGAGCAGTTCTCTCCGGTAAGTCTTCTTGGATTGCAAAGAAAAGATGTTTCATTGGATCACTCCTCAAATTTGGCAGTTCACAGCTGAACTTAGATAACTGCATTTTGATGAGCTAATAGACCTCTTACTTCTGTTTTATTTCATAATTTCAGATGACACCTCAACATGCAGTCTGGTGCAGGTGCCACTGTCACACAGAGATGGGAAGGGCATGTGCGGGTCACTTGGAAGAAACCCTGTGACCCCGATGAGTGCAATGTGGTATAATTTAGTAGCCCATGCTCCTAGTTTGTCTTCTTGCATGTGTGTGGATTCCCTCCCAGGCAGGGATGTAGGACAAATCTATCCCAGAGCTCCATCCTTCCAGCTCAGTCTCCTTGTTGTGTGTGTGTTTTCTCCTCTAATTTTTAACGTCTGTGGGTACATAGTAGATATACATATATGTGTGTGTGTGTGTGTGTGTGTGTGTGTGTGTGTGTGTGTGTGTATGTATATATATATGTATGGGGTATGCATATATTTGTATGGGGTATATGAGATATGTTGATAGAGGCATGCAATATGTAATAATCACACAGGGTAAATGGGATATCCATCACCTCAAATATTTATCCTTTGTGTTACAAACAGTGCAATTATATTTTTATTTTTAAATGTGCAATTAAATTATTATTGACTATAGTCACACTGTTGTATTATCAAATACTAGTTCTTATTCATTCTTTCTATTTTTTTGTACCCATTAACCATCCCCACTTCTTCCCCAACCCCCACTACCCTTCAGCCTCTGGTAACCATCCTTCTACTCTCTATGCCCACAAGTTCAATTGTTTTAATTTTTACCTCTCACAAGCAAGTGAGAACGTGCAAAGTTTGTCTGTCTGTGCCTGGCTTATTTCACGTAACATAATGATCTTCAATTCCATCCATGTCATTGTGAATGACAGGATCTAATTCTTTTTTAGCTGAATAGTACTTCATTGTGTATATGTACCACATTTTCTTTATCCACTCATCGGTGATAGACGCTTAGGTCGCTTCCAACCTTGGCTATTGTGAATAGTGCTGTAATAAACATGGGAGTACAGATATCTCTTCAATATACTGATTTCTTTTCTTTTAGGTGTATACCTACCAGTGAGATTGTGGATCATATGGTAGCTCTATTTTTAGTTTTTTGAGGAACCTTCAAACCATTCTCCACAGTGGTTGTACTAACTTATATTCCCAACAACAGTGTACAAGGGTACTTTTTCTCCACATCCTTGTCAGCATTTGTTATTACCTGTCTTTTGGATAAAAGCCATTTTAATTTAATTGGGGCTGTGTTGTATTCTGGGAGTTGCCTTTATTTTGGAGTTTGTGTCTAACTTTTCATTGAGGAGAAGGAACTAGTATTGGCAGAAGGAGGATCCCGCCCTTTTTCATGAGTTAAACTATAAGAATGGGATACTGGAAGTGTAACCAATGCTCACAGGGAGACTTGAAAGAGTAGGGAAGTGTTTTTAGAGTCCATTGTAACAGGTCATAGGCACTCTCTGATGGGCCTCCCCATGGGGATCAGGTAATAAAAGCTGGTGAGATATGTGAACTTTATCCTCACTGTTTTCTTCCTTCCTTTCCCCAGCACTCAACTGTCCTCCTCACAACTATTCCCAGTGGTGTGTGCTCGAGTCAGCATGTACCAACTCATAAAATTGTTAAATTTTCAGGAATCTGGATGGGCACAGTGGCACGCCTGTAACCCCACCATTTGTGGAGGCCTAGGTGGGAGAATTTTTGAGGCCAAGAGTTTGAAAATAGTCTGGGCGATAGAGTGAGACCTCATGTCTACAAACAATTTTTTTTAATAAAAATAAAAAATAGATTTTCAGGAATCTTGTGAGGTGCTTGATGAACATGGCCATTATTAAACATATAAAATTAAATTAAATTATATAAACTTACAGTTAAGCTGGGCATGGTGGTACATGCCTGTAGTCCCAGGTACTTGAGAGGCTGAAGCATGAGGACCCCTTGAGCCCAAGAGTTTGAGGCTGTAGTATCTTTATAGCAGTGTGAAAACGGACTATCATGATCATGCCTGTTGGTGTGGTTTGCCGCTGTGTCCCCACCCAAATTTTATCTCGAATTGTAATCCCCATAATCCCCAAGTGTTGAGAAAGGGACAAGGTGGGAGGTGATTGGATCATGGGGGCAGTTTCCCCTCCATGCCGGTCTTAAGACAGTGAGTGAGTTCTCACAAGATTGGATGGTTTTATAAGGCAGTATTTTCTGCTCTTGGCTGCTCTTCTCTCTCCTACTGTGATGTGAAGAAGGTCCTTGCTTCTCCTTTGCCTTCCACCATGATTGTAAGTTTCCTGGGGCCTCCTTAGCCATGTGGAACTGCAAGTCGATTAAACCTTTTTCCTTTATAAATTACCCAGTCTTGGGTAGTATCTTTATAGCAGTGTGAGAGTGGACTAATACACCTGTAAATAGCCGCTGCACTCCAGCCTGGGCAACAGAGCAAAACCCTGCCTTTAAAAAAAACTTCACAACTAAATAAATTATATTAAATAGAGGGAATAAAATCTCAAAGCTCATTGTTTCTTAATTATTTTATGACATTACTGATATCTATGTTCTTGAGGTAATTGACATCTCTTATGTGTCTACAGTGGAAATTAAATACTGGAACATTGGTGCTTCTGGACCTCTCTTCCCCACTCTGCATTCAATGGCATAGTGTTGGGAGCTTGAAACTGGCCATGGTGAGAGTTTATGCCATGGAAATCAGCAAGCAATATAAATCAGAACTTTACTGTTTTGTTGATTGTCTAAATGTAAGAAAGTAATAGAGAAAACATAATGATGCAGAGTAAACTTAAACATGTGCCATGACTATGGCCCTTACATTAGGATTAGCATAAAAAATTGAGGAAACATTTTTCCAGTATTCAAAAACTATCATCTGATTCAGCAAAAAGTCACTAGTGTCACTGATGAGCAAGTGATGTTCCAACATATGTTTTTGTTGTTTCACATTTCTTTAACTTCAAAAAAGACATTAACCAACATTCATGTTGGAACTACATTCCTTTGTCACTTGTAAACACAGTTTGGCTGTGGATATGAATTAAGCCAATATGAAAGCAAACAGCCTGTGAGATCTGTGGCTATATGGAATTTACAATAAAGAGGATTGTACATTTTATTAAAATACAATAAATTTTATTTTATAAATTGCGTGTTACACATTCTTCGTATAAGCAAAATTTATAACAAGCTCATTTACATATATGCATATATTATTTTTCAGAGATCTGGCTCTTAACCATTTACCAACACACCACTGTTACAATAACTGAGAATCCAAATGGTGGAGTGAATGGCATACTGTCTACGTATTCATAAAATATCAGTTGAAATAACTAAATGATGTGAGAATATTGGCATCCTGTAAAAATGGGAAACCAATGATCCAGGTCTGATTTCAAGACTGGTGTTCTCTCCTCAAGCTGCACGGCTCCTGGAATGCATGCTGTCTATTCATGTCAAACCTTCCTCTCTCAAAGACAGACACTTATTCTCTTGTTTACTTTGCCCTTCCTCTCATTTCCAGAATTAGACCTTCTCTAGACTCGCTATGAGGCCTCTCCACTCTGATCTCCTGGATCCCCTCTACACAGATAACTGAGCTAATGCTAGGCACTATATGAAGAGTTTTCCTGTTTGGTGCAATCTAGAACTAAATAAAAACATACATTGAATGAGGGTCAGAAATGGTTTAGATGAAGGTTCTGAGGTTCTAGAGTGGATTCTATATAGAGTCCTCTCTGCCCCCAAATTCTTCTTCACCTGGAACGTCAGAATGTGGACTTATTTGGAATCAGGATCTTTCAGATGTAATTAAGGTAAGAATTGAGATGAGATTATACTGGGTGAATCAGAGTGATCCCCAAATCCAATGAGAGTAGTGCATCTTTCTAAGAAATAGAAAAAGGACACACAGAGACACAAAGAAGATGGCCATGTGAAAAGACAAAGCAGAGACTAGAGCTATGCAGCCACAATTCAACGAACACCAGAGACCACCAGACGCTGGAAGAGGCAGAGAAAGATTCTCCCCTTGAGCTTTCAGAAGGAGCAGGTCTTGCCAATATGTTAATTTTAGACCTTGTGCCTACAGAACGGTGGGAGAATGAATTTCTGTTGTTTTAAGTCATCAGGCTTGTGATAATTTTTTACAGCAGCCACAGGAAACTAATACAGGACCTGAGGGGCAATGTGACTAACCAGAGATTTGCAGTTAGTACATTTAGTATACTGAGCTGCTTCCTTGAGCTATTAAGAGCAGATGTCAACAGACCAACAACAGAAGATATACAGGTGATAGTGCCTTGTAGTTACAAAGCCATTTTCAAAAGCCTTCACATTCACAGCCTTATTTGATCCTCCTAACAGCCCTGCAAAGGAGCTGGTGGTGTTTGTAAGGCAGGATCTGGACCAAACTTGGGAATCCTGACACTGATCAGAGCTCTTTCCTTTTTCCTGGTGAGTATCACCATGAATACTCAAGAGAATAAGGAGGAAGGAAATCTTGCTATTGAACTCCCTGGATGCCTGGGGTTTCCACAGTGTTACTTCATTGATCTTGGTAGCAGTAAGAAGCAGGAGTAGTTATCCCCATTTTACAAATTGAAGTATAGTGCTGCTAAATAACTTGCTCAATGGCTCAGAGCCAAAAAAAATGCAAGAGTTGGATTCAAACCCTGGATTATCTGACTCCAGAGTCTGTGCTCTATCCATTCACCATACCACTTGCATTATACCAAGTGTGGGGAAAAGAAAGAGAGATCAGACTGTTACTGTGTCTATGTAGAAAGAAGTAGACATAAGAGACTCCATTTTGTTCTGTACTAAGAAAAATTCTTCTGCCTTGAGATGCTGTTATCTGTAACCCTACCCCCAACCCTGTGCTCGCTGAAACACGTGCTGTGTCAACTCAAGGTTAAATGGATTAAGGGCTGTGCAGGATGTGCTTTGTTAAACAAATGCTTGAAGGCAGCATGCTTGTTGAAAGTCGTCACCACTCCCTACTCTCAAGTACCCAGAGACACAATACACTGCGGAAGCCCACAGGGACCTCTGCCTAGGAAAGCCAGGTATTGTCCAAGGTTTCTCCCCATGTGACAGTCTGAAATATGGCCTTGCGGGAAGGGAAAGACCTGACCGTCCCCCAGCGTGACACCTGTAAAGGGTCTGTGCTGAGGAGGATTAGTAAAAGAGGAAGGCCTCTTTGCAGTTGAGATAAGAGAAAAGCATCTGTCTCCTGCTCGTCCCTGGGCAATGGAATGTCTCGGTGTAAAAGCTGATTGTATATTCCATCTACTGAGATAGGAGAAAACCACCTTAGGGCTGGAGGTGAGACATGCTGGAGGCAATACTGCTCTTTAAGGCATTGAGATGTTTATGTATATGCACCTCAAAAGCACAGCACTTTTTGCTTTACCTTGTTTATGATGCAGAGACATTTGTTCGCATGTTTTCCTGCTGGCCCTGTCTCCACTATTACCCTATTGTCCTGCCACATCCCCCTCTCTGAGAAACACCTGATAATGATCAATAAATACTAAGGGAACTCAGAGACTGGTGCTGGTGCGGGTCCTCCATATGCTGAGCGCTGGTCCCCTGGGCCCACTTTTCTTTCTCTATACTTTTTCTCTGTGTCTCTTTCTTTTCTCAAGTCTCTCATTCCACCCGACGAGAAACGCCCACAGGTGTGGAGGGGCAGGAATCTTAGACAGTCTTCAGGCTCTTATTGGCCAATGGCTCATTATCTGTGAAACATTCCTTCTGGCACAGGCCACAGCGTGGGCAGTAGGAGAATCCTAGGTGAGCACTATTTCCCATCCTGGCCTCCCGTGTCTGTGGCTCAGCACCATTCTTTCCCTTTGGTGATGCAGAGCCCCAACCTGAGAATGAGGAGGACTATATTTCTGTAGAAAATAGCCTTCCCCAAAAAACCTCAAGTGGGTTATGCATGGAAGCCATCTCCTACCTCTTAAACTCTTCAATGGGTCCCTAAGCCTTGCCACTCTCTCTCCTGACACTGTGGCTACGGGCACCAACGTCACCTGCCTGACAGTGTCTGGTCTGGACTGCTCCTGAGTGTCTTGGCTTCCCAGCCAAAGGTCATCATCATCACAGCCTCTGACCAGAGGTCCCCTATAGCATGAACTGACCCCACAGAGAAGGGCCACTAAGGCCAGATCACCTGGCCACATGGAGCTCATCATGAGCACATTTATCTGGATAAGGAAAAAAAAACCTGCAAAACCAAAATGAAAATACAGAATTTCCCCAAACTCCGAAACCTCTCCTAGTAGACCTGACTGAAGAGTCTAAAACTGGCCTGGGGAAAGCACTGGGAAAAAACACCCTGGGGTCCACCCTGCTGGGTAAGATGAGGAAGCCCACAGGGCAGATGGCTGATATGGAGGCTGAGCAGACTAGTCAACCAGATAGCCCTGTTGTGGCGCTGGGGCTGTTAGGGTTGAGGGGAGAGTGGAAAGAAAACTGGGCTTTGAAGTGGCTCTAGCCCAGATCCAGGCCCAGGCTCTACTCAGCTCCTTTATGCTGAATGTTCATGCCTGCCATCAGCTCCCTGGCCAGATGGATGAGCTGAGTGATCAGGCCTGGGGAGGAGGGCTGAAAATCCCACTGGCAGTGCCTTCTTCCCCGTATCCAGTCTGTGGTGCTGGGAGTGCCCACTGCAAGGCCCTCACCAGGTGTCTCACATCAGTACCTCCTCCAGCAGTTCAGACCTGCTTTAGGGAACTGGAATCTGGAAGTGGAGAGACATCTGAGGGTCTTTGCCATCTGAGGACTTCCTCTCAAACTGCTGTCATTTCCACTGATGCTCCTCCATCCTTCCAGACCCCAGACCCAATATGTGGGGATCCCTGCCTTCCTGGGGCCTGCGCTGAACTGACTCTGAATTCTTCATGTCCCTTAAGGGGTGACTGTGACCGAGAAAGAGTCACTGCTTCACAGACTCTCTCCACAGCATTTTTAGAAGCATTCATGGTAGGAATGGGGTGCTTCCTACTACCTTTCAAATGACCTCATGCGGCAGTCATGTAATTTGCTAGCCTGCTTTTTACTGGCATACATTGTTAAAGAAAGGGAAATGCCCATGCCACTCTACTCCTCTAGGAAGGAATAGGGTTCAGGAACTGGTGACAGTGGCTATTAAGTCACCAGCCTCAGATCTTTTCTGTGCTCCAAAAACTGCCTCCCATAACCCTGGTCTGCGTTCTTAGACAGAGTGGTAGATAGAAGATAATTTGCAAAGTACCCTGGAAACCCTGGATAACCACTATCGGAAGCAGAATTCATTTCTGTCTCTGAATAGTTCTGGTCCTTAACTAACCAATGACCTCCCTGAGAAACAGAGACAGCTGGGGAAATGGGGGCTGTGTGCTCCATGAAGTCATCTAATGACCCTCTGAGATACTCATGGGCCATTTATGCAGTCCAGAGCAGCGATTCCTGCACCGTCACACCAAAGAGGTGGGCTGACCTGAAGTGAGTCCAGGAAAGAGGGGAGAGCTAGGACACTTAAGCTGCTTGGAAAAGCTAGCTATAGGGTAGAAATCTTCAGTGAAGAATTCTAACTGGGACCACTGGAGAGAGAGGTGAATTGTGGAAAGTAACTCCAGATGAAGCCGAGTGGTGGAAGCCCAATCCACCTGCTTCTCCATCCACTTGCCTCTTCTCCATCCACCCACCTCTTCTCCATCTACGTGCCTGCCCCAGCACTGACCATGAGAAAACCATTTCATTGGTTTAAAATATAGTGATTCTAAACATCCTTTAATGATATATATATACTTACATGGAGTAACAAATCTAATTGTCTACCACTTAATGACTTTATCAGATAACACTGCTAGTTAAGAGAAAAATATTTAGGAATTGTAGTCTTTTTTTGACTTTAGGGTTCCATCCTCCAATGGTTAATTTTATGTGTCAACTAGATGGCATTATGAAGTGGCCAGATTAAACAGTATTTCTGAATGTGTCTGTGAGGGTGTTCTGGATGAGATTAGCATTTGAATCATGGACTCAGGAAAGTAGATTGCCCTCCTCAGTGTGGTGGGCATCATCCAATTCATTGAGGGCCTGACTAGAACAAAAAGGCAGAAAGAGGAATTTGTCCCTTTTGCTTCCCGCCTGCCTGTTGAGCCCTTGTACTGGGATTTACACCATCAGCTCCCCTGGTTCTCAGGCCTTCAAACTCGAACTGGAATTACACCACTGGCTTTCCTGGATCTCCAGCTTGCAGACAGCAGGTCATGAAACTTCTCAGTCTCCATAATCACATGAGCCAATTCCTCATAATAAATCTTTTTATGTATATATATCCTGTTGATTCTGTTTCTCTGGAGAACCCTAACTAATATTCATCTCCTCTTTTAAAAATCACAAATGTAATATAGCACTGAAGGAAATGTCTTTAAAAGAAAGAAAATAAAATGTGATCCACGTATAGTGGCTTATGCCTGCAATCCTAACACTTTGGGAGGCCAAAGCAGGAGGATCATTTGAGGCCAAGAGTTTAAGATCAGCCTGGGCAACATAATGAGACCCCAGCTCTACAAAAAAAAGTTTTTTTTTAATTAGCCAAGCATGGTGGCACATGCCTGTAGTCCCAGCTACTTAGGAGGCAGAGATGGGAGGATTGCTTGAGCCCAGAAGTTCAAGATTACAGTGAGCTATGTTTGTACCATGCAGTCCAGCCTGGGTGACATAGTGAGACCCTGTCAAAAAAAAAAAAAAAAAAAGAAAAAGGAAAAAAGAAAGAAAGGAAAATCTGCCATCATTTTTTAACTATCACAACTGCTTTCAAGTTTGCAATTTTCCAAACCTTTCTTTATAAGGCAGCAGACGAGTTTAGAACTCTAGCTACATGGTCAGATAGTCCTGGGCCCACGTCCCCATTCTGTTATTTATAAATCATCCCATGTTAGGTAAGTTATTTAATCTCTCTAAGCCACACTTGCCTCATCAGTAACAGAGTTAAGATGAAAAAAAATCTCATAGGGTTGTTGGGAGAAGTAAATGGCATAAATACAAGTAAGATGTTCACTGCAGTGCCTGACATGTGAAAGCCATTTTGCATTTGGTGTCTATCACTTTTTATGGTTTCCTGAGGTGGTCATGATTAATTAAATGACGAACACCATAAAGCTGGAGCTGGGGATGCACAGGAAGTTCTGCTGTGTTGTCAAGATCAAGGACACTCCTCAGAGACATGGAGCAGAATGCTTCAGGCACCCTACAAATGAATGTCATTCCTGGGCATCTCTATTGGAGGCAACAATAACTTTGCAACATAAATTAGGGACAAAAACACACTATAGACTATTAAGACCTTTTAGCAATTGAAGAGAGAGATGGATTTGATGTGATAAGTGTTTTAAAGTCCTGTTATAAAAGAATTGAAATTTCTCAGCATAGACTATCCCATTTCATAAAGAAAATATCAGTGTATAATATGTAACAGGAAGAGTTATATATGTAGACTATGAATCAGAACAGAAAATGTGAAACAGAATGAAAATGTGAACTGAACCCTTGGCCACACCTGATGCAGTTTCACAGAATCCACGTGTGGAGGGATTGGAAGACAATACCAAAATCACACAGTACAGTAAATGCAGTTAGTGTTTATTTTCATTGTATAAAATACCTCTGAGGTTCTCATTCTGTATGGCGGGCTTGGTCGCTTCAATTTATCTTTTTGCTTTATTATACAATTTCAAGTAAAAAATGCCTCTGGGTATCATCGTAAGTAAACATCTGATAGGCTAATCTCGAATAATAATTACAGTTAAGATTCTGGTGCCTGGGATAGACACCAAGTGCCTTTTACTAAGCAGCGGCTTAAGTGAAGTTTTTTCTTGCCTCAGTGGGTTATTCATTCCAGAAGAACATTTGTAACTACAGTCACTGGGTTGCACATAGTTTTGTATTTTTTTAAATTTAACATAATACGTTACAATGACTCACAGGTTGTTGCCTAGTTTAATGAAGAACAATTTCTTAAAGAACATTGTGTTCATTATCTCTCCTCGAAAAAAGAACAAATGAAGATCATGAGATTGTTTAAAATGTCAAATTTTGAAAAGCGTTCTATGGAGTAAAAGAAGTAAAGATCATACTCAGAGATAGACACTTCCTTCTTTAGTTTTATTGTTTCTAAATTTTGCTTTGTTGAGCAAGACCATAGAGTTAAAACAACAAGGAGTACGTTTTATCTTAAGAAATTTTCCCAGGGGTGAATAAGTCAGTTAAGAGGCAGCCTCTTTTTCTGTTGTATTTGTCTTTAAGAAGGATGGCTCATGATGCCCAGTTCTGATGACAGAACCTGGATAAAGACTATTAAAATGAACTCTGGTCTTGTCTGGGCCCCAACTGGCTGGGATATTGTGCTGCATGCTCAGATGGCATTTTGAGACCCAGCCGTCCTTCTTGGATTTCCCTCCAGCCAGAACCTCCAGCAAAAGTTTCTGTGGAGACATTTCGCCTGCAGCTTAGAATATCTACTATTTCTCCTGGATGAGACTCCCACTCCATAAGAAAATCCTTCCCTGGAACAGAGGGCTGGGAGAAAGACAAGCAATTACCGTTGCTTCCTATATTGTTTACTGAACTCTTTAAAACACAAGAATCTATTTTAAGAACATGGGTCCTTAATTTGGCTTGCTCACGGAAGTATGGTATGTCATGGGACTACAAGAAGATGAAAATTCTACAGCAGTACAGCTGAACTTTTCCAAGAGCTCAGCACCAGGTTTAACCTTACTATTATCCACAGGTAATTCACAGATGAGGAAACTGAAGCTTAGAGAGTTAAATAACTTGCTTGAGGTGACGCAGTAAATAAATAGCAGACGCAGTACTTGGATATAATCTCTACTGCCTCTTACCACACTGGCCCAGGATACATGCTGTTTAGCAAAGCCATTATCGGAGTCCTTCATATCTAGGGGCAAGAAGGCCAGATAAGGAGAGACCAGGGAAAGAGAATAGCAGTGATCCTATGCCCTCCCTTTATGACATTCCTTCTAAGTTCTTGCCCCACATCCTAATCTACTTATCATTAAGAATTTTTAACTCTTGACTTCCTTTAGTCTTTCCCGTCTTCTTAGAAACTCCTCCAGCCTTGGCCTGGGGCGCTCTCTTTCTCCCCACTCCTTTCCGCCCTTTGACCTGTCTAGCTCCCAGGAGATTTCTTGCCACTGGCCCAGGTCAACAAACAGACTCATCAGGGGCCTGCCGTAAGCATGATTCTGCTCTTCTTATCCTGAGTTATACACTGAGGCTCCACAGGCCCTGATATTTCTGACGCAAGACAGGTGAGATCCAATATTGGGGCTTAGCCCAGGAAGGCTCTTGGCTTTGCCCAAGAAAGAATTCAAGTGTGAGCTGCTGGTGTTAAACAACAACTTTTACGAAGTGACAGTGTGCAGCAGCAGGACATATACTGTTCCTTGCAGAGCAAGGCTACCCCATAGGCTGTGTGCCCAGAGTAGCAGGTCAGAGGCAGTTATGCACTCACATTTATACCCACTTCTAATTATATGCAAATTAAGGGGCAATTTATGCAGAAATTTTTAGGAAAAGGGTGGTAACTTCCTGGTTGTCAGGTCATTGCCAGGGAAAGGGGCGGTAATTTCTGAGTGTTGCCATAGCAATGGTAAACTGACATGGTACACTGGTGGGTTTGTCTTATGGAAAACTGCTTCCACTCCAGCCCTGTTTCAGCTAGTCCTCAACTTGGTCCTGTGTCTGAGCCCTGCTTCCAGAGTCAAGTCCCACCTCCTACTTTACTTCCACTATTTGACAGACTCATGGCTCTCTATTTGGGATCTTAGATATTTGGCTCCACTATTGCCCAGTTCTGCTCTTCCTTGAATGATTAATGTTTGGACAATTTATACTGCCACCCAAAGAATCTGAGGGTTCAAGTTTGACCTTATGCTAATAAAATTTTTATGCCAAGTAAGTTTCTTTTTTTTTACGTTTTAGATTCAAGGGGTGCAAGTGTAGATTTGTTACATGGGTATATTGTGCAATGCTGGGATTTGGACTTCTATTGAACCCATCACTCACATAGTTAATATAATACCCAATAGGTAGTTTCCAACCCTTACCCTACTCCCTTGCTCCTCACTCTTGGGGTCCCCAGTGTCTGTCTATTGTTTCCGTCTTTATGTCTGTATGTACCCATTATTTAGCTCCCACTTGCAAGTGAGGACATGTGATCATTAATTTTCTGTTTTTGTGTTAATTTACTTAGGATAATGGCCTCGAGCTGCATCCGTGTTGCTGCAGAAGACATGATTTCATTCTTTTTTACAGCTGCATAGTATTCCACTGTGTATACATACCACATTTTCTTTATCCAGCCCACTGTTGATGGGCACCTAAATTGATTCCATGACTTTGCTACTGTGAATAGTGCTGCAATAAACATATGAGTACAGGTGTCTTTTTGATAAAACTACTTCTTTTCCTTTCAGTAGATGCCCAGTAGTGGAATTGCTGAATCAAACGGTAGTTCTAAAATAACTTTGAAAAATCTCCATACTGTTTTCCATAGGGGTTGAACTTATTTACATTCCCACCAACAGTGTATAGTGTCCCTTTTTCTCCACATCCTTGCCAACATTTGTTATTTTTTCACTTTTTAAGAATAGCCATTCTAGCATGTGTGAGATGGTATTTCGTTGTGGTTTTAATTTGCATTTCTCTGATTATTAGTGATACTGAGCCTTTTTCATATGTTTCTTGGCCACTTGCTATCTTCTTTTGAGAAGTGTCTCTTCATGTCTTTTGCCCACTTCTTAATGGTTGATATAAATGGATGTTTTTCACCTCCAAATGTTGAAATGTAATTCCCAGTGTTGGAGGTGGAGCCTAGTGGGAGGTGTTTGGGTCGTAGAGGCAGATCACTCATGAATGGCTTGGTGTCTGTCCTACAATAATGAGTTCATGGAAGAGCTGGTTGTATAAAAGAGCTTGGCATCTCTCTCACTCTCTCTCTTGCCATGTGACATGCCTGCTTCCCATCACCTTCCACTATGATTGTAAGCTTCCTGAGGCCTCACCAGATGCTGGTGCCATGTTTGTACGGCCTGCAGAACTATCAGCCAAAAAAAACCTCTTTTCTTTATAAATTACCCAGTCTCAGGCATTCTTTCATAGCAATGCAAAATGGACTAACACCATGGGGTTATTTGTTTCTTTCTTGTTGATTTGCTTAAGTTCCTTACAGATTCTGGATATTAGTCCTTTGGTGGATGCATAGTTTGCAAATATTTTCCCCCTTTCTGTAGGTTGTATTTACTCTGTTGATTTTTTTTTTCTTTCGCTGTGCAGGAGCTCTTTAGTTTAATTAACTCCCATTTGTCAATTTTTGTTTTTGCTGTATTTGTGTTTGAGATATTAGTCATAAATTCTTTGCCTAGATTAATGTCTAGAAGAGTTTTTCCTAGCTTTTCTTCTAGGATTATTATAGTTTGAAGTCTAACATTTAAGTCTTTAATTCATCTTGAGTTAATTTTTGTATATGGGGAGGGGTAGGGGTTCACTTTCTTTCTTCTGCACATGACTAGACTGTTTTCCCAGCACCATTTATTGAATAGCGTGTCCTCGCCCCATTGTTCACTTTTGTCGACTTTGTCAAAGATCAGTTGGTTGTAGGTTTATGGCTTAATTTCTGGGTTTCATGTTCTGTTCTATTGATCTATGTGTTCATTTTTGTACCAGTACCATGCTGTTTGGGTTACCATGACCTTGTAGTATAGTATGAAGTTGGGTAATGTGGTACCTCTGGCTTTGTTCTTTTGCTTAGGATTGCTTTGGCTAGCCAGGCTCTTTTTGGTTCCATGTGAATTTTAGAATTGTTTTTTTTCTAATTCTGTGAAAAATGATGGTAAATTAATAAGAATTCTGTTAATTCGTAGATTGTTTTGGGAAGCATGGACATTTAAATGATATTGATTCTTCCAATCCATGAGCATGGACTGTTTTTCCATTTGCTGTCTCATCTGTGATTTCTGTCATCCATGTATTGTAGCTCTCCTCATAGAGATCTTTCACCTCGTTAGTCAAATGTATTCTTAGGTATTTTATATTTTGTGGCTATTGTAAATGGGATTGAGTTATTGATTTGGTTCTCAGCTTGAATGTGATTGGTGTATAGAAATGCTACTGGTTTTTGTATGTTGATTTTGTATCCTGAACCTTTACTGAGGTTCTTTATCAGGTCTAGGAGCCTTTTAGAATAATCTTTAGGGCCTTCTAGGTGCAGGATCATGTTGTCAGTGAACAGAGATAATTTGACTTTATTTTTTCCTATTTGAATGCCTTTTATTTCTTTTTCTTGCCTGATTGTTCTGACTAGGGTTTCCAGTACTAAGTTAAATACAAGTGGTGAAAGTGGACATCCTTGTCTTGTTCCAATTCTTAAGGGGAATGCTTACAAATTTTGCCCATTCTATAGGATATTAGCTGTGGTTTTTGTCATGGATTGTTATTATTTTGAGGTATGTTCCTTTAGTGCCTAGTTTGTTGAGGGTTTTTCTCATGAAGAGATGTTGAATTTTATTGAATGCTTTTTCTGCATTTATTGAGATGATCATATGGTTTTTGTTTTTAATTCTGTTTATGTGGTGAATCACATTTATTGATTTGTGTATGCTGAATTATGTCTGCATCCCAGAAGTAAAGCCAACTTAATCCTGATGAATTGTCTTTTTGATGTGCTGCTGAATTCAGTTTGCTAGTATTTTGTTGAAGGTTTTTGCATCTATGTTCATCAGGAGTATTAACTTGTAGTTTTCTTTATCTGTCGTGCCCTTGCCAGACTTTGATATGAGGATGATACTGGCTTTATAGAATGAATTGAGGAAGAATCCCTCCTCCTCAATTTCTTGGAATAGTTTTAGTAAGATTGGTACCAGCTGTTCTTTGTACATCTGGTAGATTTCCACTGTGAGTCCGTCTAGTTCTGGGCATTTTTTGGTTGGTAGTTTTTTTTTATTACTGATTGAGTTTTGCAACTCATTATTGGTCTGTTAATAATTTCAGTTTCTTCCTGGATCAATCTTAGAAGTTTATGGGTTTCCAGGAATTTATCCATTTCCTTTAGATTTTCTAGTTTGTGTGCATAGAGCTGTTCATAGTGGTCTCTGAGGATCTTTCGTATTTCTGCAATATTAATTGTAATGTCACCTTTGTCATTTCTGATTGTGCTTATTTGGGATCTTTTCTTTTTTTTTTTCTTGGTTATTCTAGTTAGCAGTCTATCAATCTTATTCATCCTTTCAAACAACCAACTTTATTTTTTTGATCCTTTGTGTGAGGTTTTTTTTTTTTTTTGTCTCAGGTTCATTTATTTTTGCTCTGATTTTAGTTATTTCTTTTCTTCTGCTAGCTTCATCAAAAAAGGTTATCATTGCATGGTTATATGTAGCTAAAGGAACATGAAGACAAATATGAATTAGAACCACAAGGATTTCACTCATTACTTGTACGACCTTGGATAAGTCATGGTGTTGGCGAAAATCAGTTTTCTTATCTATAAAATAATGCACTACAAGTTATCTCACATAGTGGATGCTATGATGTGCTGTTCCGATCTCCCCCTCAAGACCAAAGCAGTCATTCCCCATGCAGGAAGTATTGGTGGCTGACAGCTCTCAGCTGAGTTCCTCCCCAGGAACTGCCCTTAGCCAGTTCCTTCCCTGAGGAACCCACATCAAACAACTGGGCCAACTGGTTGATGAAAGGATATAAAAGTCCAGTCCCCTTTTGCCTCAGTTTGCAACAGCTCTGAGGGTCATTCTAGCTCCAGGGCTCCTCACTGAGTCAGCTGAGGACTTTGTTGCAACTGCATCCGCAGCTCAACTTCTTCCTCTGCTCACTCTTACTTCCCTCACTCCCTCACAGGTATTGATTATTTCATGGGCACTCCTCCATAAACTTTTCACACACAAATCTCCATCTCAGAGTCTGATTTTTGAAAACCTGAGCAAAGATACCTAATATGCCTTTTGAATGTTAAAACAGCAGTGTATATAAAGTACAGTATTTGCTATATTGTGAACACTCAATATTTGCTATTCTCTTCTCTTCCTCATTGTTTTGATCTGTTTTTCTTTCATTCCTGCAAGGATACACAACCCAGGACTTTCCACAGGAGGCAGTGTCTCCCCTTTCACCTGATCAAAACTCCTTTTTGCGCACAAATAATTAAACACATTCTTGGAAAGCCATTCATTCTTTGATGGAAGCCACCAAAAGTCTTAAGCAGCTGAGTGACCTGTTCATATTTTTGCTTTAGAAAGATTACCTTGCCTGGGCGTGGTGGGATTACACACCTGTAATCCCAGCACTTTGGGAGGCTGAGGTGGGCAGATCACCTGAGGTCAGGAGTTTGAGACCAGCCTGACCAATATGATGAAGCCCCATCTCTACTAAAAATACAAAAATTAGCCAGGCCTGGTAGCATGTGCTTGTAATCCCACTACTTGGGAGCCTGAGATGGGAGAATCACTTGAACCTGGGAGGCGGAGGTTGCAGTAAGCCAAGATTGCACCATTGCACTCCAGCCTGGGGCAACAAGAGTGAAAATCTGTCAAAAAAAAAAAAAAAAAAAAAAAAAGAAAGAAAAGAAAAGATTACTTTGGCCTTAGTGTGAGAGAAATTTAGGTAGACCTACAGGCTAGGAACAGATTTGAAGAAATGATGGGTCTTAACTGGAGAAGTAGCAATGAGGTGGGAGAGAAGGAGATCCATTGGAGAGTTATCTCATAGGTGGATTTTTCAGGGTTTGGTGACTTATTGAATGTGGGCTGTGAAGGAGAGTGGCCTATATACTATGGCCTTTACACTTCCAGTTCAGTTTCCCAGTAGATGGCAATGCCATTCTCTAAGAAAGGAAGTATAAGAGGTGGAGATAACTTAGGGGCAAAATTGAGAGCAAGGGGTATAAGATTATTTGTTGGCTTGGGATATGGTCAGTTTAAATGTTTACGGTTCATGCATATGGAGATTTCCAGGGGCTATTTGAAAACACAGAGCTGACTTTGAGAGGAGAAGTATAATCTGAAGGAAAGCAAACAAATATAGAAGTCATATTTTCAACTCCTTCATTTCACCCCAAGAAAGCTAATACTTAGAGACTAAAACTTCTAAGGGACTTACCATATGGCTAGTTTTTGAAAAGCCGTAACCAGAAACCAAATCTCTTGGGTTTAGGTCAATCCACCCATATCCTGATTGAGTTTCATTATGCTCTATTTACCTTCATGGTTCCCCAATCTAACAATGCCTGGCATACAGCAAGTGCTAAAAATGTTTGTGGAATGAATATACTGATTGTGGCCTTTTTTGGTGGGGGTAGAACTGGCCCCACACCTTCACATCATCACTGGAATTATGCCTCAGAAGCATCTTGGAAGTCAGCAGACCTAGGGAAGTCCTACTTAGCCATGAAATTTGCATTTCCCCAGGTACCTCCCAACCCCTCTCCACTTCCTCTGAGAGCAAAACCTCCGTTGTTCATGTCACACCCATGGGCAGCCTTTGTGCTCAGTACACAGACCTGATTGAGAAGATTGATAAAAGCAAAATAGAAAGAAGCCGTGATCTGGGTCATATGAGTTATACAACCATTTCCCTCTTATTTTACACTTGGGGAAACTTAAGCTAAGAGATCTTGTCTTAATTCATTAAAATTAGAGTTGCCAGCCCAGAAGAGAGGAAGGAGAAGTTTGGGACAGAGGAAGGCAACTAATACTTATTGAGCACTTACTGTATGGCAGACTTTATGTGGAATGATTTATTGAGGTTATCTCATTTAATCCTGATTTTAAAAATCATCCACATACGGAAACCGAGGTTTAGAAAGTTTACTTTTCCTGAGGTTCAGAAGCTGGTAAATGACGGTTCTGGAACTCAAACTCAAGGCTGTCTGGCTCCAAAGGTCATGCTCCTTCCCCTATACCACACAACCTCCCAGAAGCTTGAAATGTGGTTCTGGGTACTAGGTATAAGCTTGAAGACCAACCAAACATGCTCATTCCAGTGCTCTCTCTAGGAGCCAACAAGCCCTCCAACATTGCCCCCCTAGAAGGTCCTGCAAAATTGAGTTGTCTAGGGTTTGACAGAGTCCAGAAGACATTTTCGAACATAAGAAGGGCAATGGGTCAAGCCCCAGGGAGTACCCAGTAGTATCAACAAAGAAAGGAGAATGTGTATTTGACTTCCAGCCTCAGCCCTGCTGGTAACTTGCCAGACGGCCTTGGCCTGGCCACTTCCTTCCTGTCCTCCACCAAGATTACAGAAAATTAGGAAATGCAAATTTTATGGGCTTCCCTGCTGACGATTTCTAAGTCTTCTTTGTAGTAATCATTCCTATCACAAAGAGGGTGGGAAACGGTGATTATGGACCAGGGAGAGAGTCCTATTCCTAAGAAGTGGTTCTTGGACTTTGGAGAGGCAACAATTGGTTTGAGTCTTAACAAATGAGTGGGAGTTTGTTAGGTCAACGAGGAGTGGGAGGGGATTCCAGGAAGTGTAAAAGCTTGAGCAAAGGCATTGAGTAAATTCGGGGAACTGCTAGCAGTTCAGGAAGGTTGCAGCATTCAGTGCAAAGGAGGGGCCAAACTAGAAATTGGACAGGAGAAAATCACAGAAACCAAGCCACATAAGGATCAGTAGAACCCTGTAGGCTCTCCAACGAGCCTATCCTTGAAGGATTTAAGCATGAAAATGTTGTCATTATTAAACCTAGGCTTTAAAGAGGTCCTTCTGCTCTGTGTTGCTGTCCTCTGCCAGAGATAGCAAGACTGACAGAGGCTGTGCTCCTGTAGCCTGGGAGCCAGAATGGAGAGACACATTGGGCAGAGCCCGGCAGAGTCACAGGAACTTGTAGTCCCCATCTGTTTATTATTCATGGAAGCTTTCTCCTTTTCTTGATTGGATCAACAGAAAAATAAACTGTCGTCTTTGGCAGATGATTCAATGGGAATTCAAGGGTTTCAATGGGAATTCAAGGTTGAAAATGATAATGTACTCTGAGAACTCACAGGTCTATAAAAGGAGAGGCCTATACAAGGAAAGAAGAGGATGTGGTAAATGCAGAACAGACCCTCAGCATCTTGAAGGACCATCAAGGGGAAATAAGTATTGCAGACCTTTCATTAATCTGTGTAGTTAACTTTTTATTTGAAAATAATGTCAAAAGAGCTGCAAGAAAAAATTATTATTAATAATAGTACAAAGAACACGCTTATAAATATCCTGCAGGGAGGGGTCTACAAGTTGGCTGTGACTGTGAATACCTCTCTGTAATGTTTTGCCCATTTTGCTTTAATATTAGCTAGTTCTCTCTCTCTCTCTCTTTCTGTCTCTATTTGAACTATTATAGGGTAGGTTGCATATGGCATGGCTCTTTATCTTAAATACATCAGTGTAAAGAATTAGGATAATTTCTGACACAACTACAATATAGTTATCACTTAAGTAAATTTTACATTGATAACAATATTCTTGTCTAACCTACTGTTTGCATTTCAATTTTGTCGGTTGACCCTTTGTAACCATAATTTTCCCTCCAGGTCAGGATCCAGTCCAGTATTAGGTATTGCATTTAGTTGTTGTATCTCTTTAGTACCCTTCAACTGTAACATTTCCACAGCTATATCTTCTCCTTTATGACATGGATATATTTGAAGAATGCAGTCTTCCCACCCTTTCCCTTTTTTTTTTTTTTTCTTGAGGTGGAGTCTTGCTCTGTCACCCAGGCTGGAGTGCAGTGGTACAATCTCGGCTCACTGCAATCTCCACCTCCCGGGTTCAAACGATTCTTCTGCCTCAGCCTCCTGAGTAGCTGGCATGCACCACCACACCCAGCTAATTTTTTTGTATTTGTATTTTTAGTAGAGATGGGGTTTCACCATGTTGGTCAGGCTGGTCTCAAACTCCTGACCTCATGATCCGCCTGCCTCAGCCTCCCAAAGTCCTGGGATTACAGCCTCTCTTTTTTAATAGCAAATTCCTCACTTGGGGTTTTTTGGTATTTCCTTATGATTAGATTCACATTATGCATTCCCAGACTAGGTACTACACAAGTGACATTGTACCCTCAAGGTATCACATCTAGAGACCCTTGATGTCTTCTCATCGATAATGTTAATTTTAATCACCTGGCCAATATATTGCCAACAGATTGCCAGATTTCTCTATTGTATAGTTATCTTTTTTGATTTTAACTAATAACTATGTGTTGGCATACAGTGGAAGGCCATGCAGACATCTTACTCCTCATCAAAATTTCCTCTGAGATTTAGCATCCATTGATAATTTTTGCCTGAGCCTGTCTTAATTGTGATAGTTACAAAATAATAACTTTCTTCACTTTAGCACCTCACTCCATATTTGGCATTCTATTGCAAGCAAGAACCCTCCCTTTATCTATCTGATCTATCGCATCTGTCTTCTCTAGTCAGTTTTGGTAGTCTGTGTGATTCTTGAAATTTTTCCATTTCGTCTAATTTATTTCCATACAATTGTTCATACTATCCCCCTTGTAATCATTTTTATTCCTTTAAAGTCAATAGTAATATCCCCTTTTAATTCTTGATTTTGGTCCTTTGAGTCTTCTCCGTTTTTCATTTTATCAGTCTACCTAAACATTTGTCAGTTTTGCTGATCTTTTCAAATAACCAAACTTTAAATTTGTTTTTCTCTTATTTTTGTATTCTCTCCTTCATTTCTTTCCATTTTTATCTTTATTATTTTCTCCCTCTTGCTTGCTTTGAGCTTAGTTTATTCTTCTTTTTATAGTTTCTTAATGAACTTAGTTCTTCTTTTTATAGTTTATTTTCTTTCTTTCTTTCTTTCTTTCTTTCAAGACAGGGTCTCACTGTGTCACTCAGGCTGGAGTACAGTGGCACAATCACAGCTCACTGCAGCCTTGATCTCCTAGGTTCAAGCAATCCTCCTACCTCAGCCACCAAAGTAGCTGGGACTACAGGCATGAGCCACCACACCTGGCTAATTTTTTAAATTTTTTGGTAGAAACAAGGTCTCACTACGTTGCTGGTCTTGAACTCTTGAGGTCAAGTGATCCTCCTGCCTCAGCTTCTCAAAGTGTTAGGGTTACAAGAATGACCCACTAATCCCAGCCTATAGTTTCTTAAGGTAGGAGGTTAGATTATTGATTTGAGATCTTTCTGTTTTAATTTAGGCATTTACAGCTATAAAAGTTTCTCTAAGCATTGATTTCCTGCATCTCATAAGTTTTTGATATGTAATATTTTTAGTTTTATTCATCTCAAAGTATTTTGTAATTTCCCCTATGATTTATTCTTTGACCCATTGTTTTAGAAGTATGTAGCTTGATTTAGAAGTATGTAGCTTGATGAATTTTCCAAATATCCTTCTGTGATTGATCTATAATTTCACTCCATTGTGGTTAAAAACATACTTTTGACATTTCTGTAATTTTAGTCATTTCATATTTGTTGAGACTTGTTTTATAGCCCAACATATAGTCTATCTTGGAGAATGTTCCATGTGCATTTGAGAACAACAAACACATATTCTGCTGTTGTTGGGTAAAGTGTCCTATAGACTTTGGTTAAGTTTAGTTGGTTTATAATGTTGTTTAAGTCTTCTATTTCCTTGTTGATTTTATGTATAGTTGTTCAATCCATTATTGAAAATGGGATATTGAATTCTCCAGTTATTATTGTTGAATTGTCTATTTATCCCTTCAATTCAGTAAGTTTTTGCTTCATGTATTTTGGGGCTCTGTGCATATATATTAATAATTGTTATATCTTCTTGATGCATTAACTCTTATTATTATAAAATGTCCTTCTTTGTCTTTACAACAATTTTTGTCTTAAATCATATTTTGACTGATCTCAGTTTCTAAACCCAGCTCTCTTTTGGTTATTGCTTCCATAACATAATATACCTTTTTCCACCTTTTACTTTCAACCTATAGGTGTATTTGAATCTAAACTGTGTCCTTTGTACACAACATATAGTGGACCCATTTTTTTTAGTCCACTCTAATAACCTCTGCCTTTTATTTGTAATGTTTAATCCATTTATATTTAATGTAATTTCTGATATGGTAGGATTTATGTTTGCCATTTTCCTATTAGTTTTCTATAGGTTTTTTGTGTGTGTGTGTTCTTCTCTTTCTTTATTAGTGCCCTCTTTTGTATTAAATATATTTTTTCTACTGTACACTTAAGTTCCCTTGTCATTTTTTTTTTTTTACTGTATTTATTTTCTTCATAGTTGGTTTGGAGGTTACAATGATCTTAATTGCAATAATATAATACTTTGTTCTCACACAGCTTTTTCTCCTGCCCACATTTTTTGCTGTTATTGTCATACAAATTACATCTTTATACATGTGTGTCATTAACACAGATTTATAATTATTGTTCTATAAAATTGTCTTTTAAATCAGATAAGAGAAAAAAATTACAAACAAAAACTACACTTATATTGTCTTTTATATACATTTTATGTATCATATGCCAGGGCAGCATGCGCGAGCAAGCGCTGGGAGAGCGAGCGAACGGGGAGCGGAGGCGGCCTGACCGAGTGAGTGCCAGCGAGTGTGGAGTTAGGGGAAGCCGCCTACCCCCGACCCGCTTCCCCATTCCTTCTCTCCCCGTTCCCGTTTCTCCCCCCAACCACCACACCCCGCCCCCCGCCCCCCGAACTCCAAGCAGCACCAAGTCTGTGCCAACGGCTAAAGTCAGTAGAAAGGAGCTCAACTCCAACCGCAACCGGGCAGACGAGACCTCAGAAAAAGAATAGCAAGCAGCAATTGAACACATTTGTGAAGTACAAAATGAAACAGACTTCATGAACAAGCCAGTGAGGAGAATTTGAAAGTAGAACAGAAATAGAACAAACTCTGCCAATCATTTTTTCAGAAGAGGTCAGAATTGATCATTGATGGCCCAAATCCCACATTTTTGGGTAACATCATTTGTCAACCACCCACGAGTGTCTGCACTGCTTGTGGAGGAGGATGAAGAGGCACTGCATTATATGACCAGAGTTGAAGTGACATAATTTGAAGATACTAAATTAGGTTACAGAATAGATTTTTATTTTGATGAACATCCTTACTTTGAAAATAAACTCCTCTCCAAAGAATTTCATCTAAATGAGAGTGGCGATCCATCTTCAAAGTCCACTGAAATCAAATGGAAATCTTGAAAGGATGTAACGAATCGTTCAAGTCGAACGAAGAATAAAGCCAGTAGGAAGAGGCAGCCTGAGGCACCAGAGAGCTTCTTGACCTGCTTTACTGACCATTCTGATGCAGGTGCTGGTGAGTTATGAGAGGTCATCACAGGTAGTACTTGGCCAAACCCATAACAGTGCTGCTTGGTTCCCAATGTGGATGATGAAGAAGAAGGAGAAGAACAAGATGATGATGATGATGAAGAAGAGGAAGGATTATAAGATATTGATGAAGAAGGGGATGAGGATGAAGGCGAAGAAGAGGAAGATGATGATGACGTTGAGGAAGGAGAGGAGGATGAAGGAGAAGATGACTAACAGAACACTGATGTTCTGAACAATTTTTTTTTTAATTTTCTCCAGTCCCTGGGAGCAAGTTGCAGTCTTTTTTCTTTTTTCCCCTCTTGTGCTCAGTCGCGCTGTTCTTGAGGTCTCTTTTCTCTACACCATGGTTTTCAACTTATTTGGGGGGAAATGCCTTGAGCATAATACAATGGGAAAATATTCTCTACCCCTTTCTCTTCAGAATTCATTCTTATCTCTTCCTGTCTGAACAAAAACTGTATGGAATCAACACCACCAAGTTCTGTGGGAGAAAAGAAAAACCTTCTCCCTTTGCTCTGCTGGAAGCTGGAGAGTGCCAGACCCCTGTGTAGCAGTGCATAGAATTCTAGCTTCTTTTCTCCTTTCTCTGTATATTGGGTTCAGAGAGTACCGTGTGTCTCTGTGTGAATATGGACCATCATTTATCAACATGTATCTGTCTACTTTCTCTTGTTTAAAAAAAGAAAAAAAAACCTGTAAAAAATGAGGTTATAGAAAGTCATCAAAGGGTGAGTATGAGATGTTTGGGTGGGTTAAGTGGGCATTTTAACAACATGGCTTCTCCTTTGGCATGTTTATTTTTAAATTTTCTTTTTGTTTCACTGGAAAGGAAAGATGATGCTCAGTTTTAAACATTAAAAGTGTACAGATTTCTTTGTTACAATAAAACTAAATGTATACACACAATAATAATAATAATGAAGCAGCTATGTTGTGTACGGTATATCTGGCCTGAGGACCTGGCCAGTGCTACCAGTAACTATCTTTGACTTTACCTGGAAATTTGCAAAAGAATAGAGCTGACTATTCTCCAGTCTTACCCCTCCAAAGCCCTTGACTGGGGAGGGATCACTGACCTTTTTCAGTGTCTCTTGCCTTACTAGTTTTTCCTTAGGAAAAAATACACCCCACTTTACCATGAATATATATATAAGGTTCTTTACTGAATTGTTCAGTAGATCTCATGAGAACAGGGAACTTGAGGAAGAACAAAGGTTATAAAAATTTGCATAATGAAGCATAGTATCACAAGCCTGGAAAACAATTGGGGCTGATTCAGCTTGAAGAATTCTAAAGTTTTGCACATTAAATCTTGCTATCTAGATGTTAATATTTAGCTTTTCTCTTGATTCTTCAAGTTACTACAAAACCTTTCCCATAAAATTCTTCCCCACCTGTATTTATCTGGGTATCTTGCATACAACCAGCTGATATAGGAGGCACGGTTTCTGTCCTTTTCATCCTTTCTCATCTTTTACAAATGCAAATGCCTCATCTTTGGCCAGATGCTAAGTGAAATTCTCCTTTGCTCACTCAAAGCTGATTTTAAACTGGGGAAAGGTAAACACAGGTGTAAAGGATTAGGCAGAAGATGGGTCCACTGCATTCTAGCTGAATCTCCCTACCGGTGAGATTTTCTCACTAGGTGTCTAAATAAATAAGCAGGCCTCAGTTACATTAGGAAAAGAGATTTCTCTCATTAATATGACTCTGATTTTGTGAAATCATAACCCCAGAATTATTATGACAAATAATATTTCATACTTTGAGAACTGGTTTACTTTTCCAGAGCCACTAGTCAAGATAGCTATTTGCCGTCTAGAAATTAGGCAACAGCTTTATTTAGATACCTTTTTATGCAAATCTTTCCAGCAGCCAGATTGTTTTGTTCTTCTCGGCTATCCTTGCATTCTCCTACTTCCTCCTCCTTGAAGGCTTTTCCACACATACCCCTCTGACCTATCTAACACCTCTCCTTTTTCAGTCTCGATTCCAAAAGGAATCTGACCCTCAAAAGAAGATTCAATCTTCCTGACTTATCTCAGTCTGAAATAGTTCTTCCATCTAGCAATTGTCATATTTGACACATGCAGCCATTGACATCATTGGGATTAAATTACTAATTTCCCTTATGACTATCTTCCAGACCAGAACGAAACATGTAGGAAGACAAGAACTATCCCTGCCATTCTCAGTGTTAAATTTGGAAAGGTGTTTGACTCATAGCAGCTGCTCAATGAATACATCTAACTGTTTTTTGAACAGTCTGAACTTGGTATGTTGGGAGCTAACATCAAAGAACTATTTTCCCCCATTCACATGAGGACTGTGTCAAATCTGCCTCCTATCACTTAAGGAGGTTTTGGGAAAATCATTCACTTTCGTTTCTATCACTTCCAGTAACTTAACAGTACGGCTCAGATGTAAAACTCCCCTTTTACTTGTTCCTGTCACTTCAGCCCAAGCTTGTCTCATGATCTAAAAATCTGTAATAGGGAAGAGGGTGTGGTCTGATCTTTCCCCTTCTATTTTACCTCATCTAGTTCCAGATTCTCAAATCATATAGGGCCAGGAGGAGAGGACCAAATTATGTCTTAGTTACCTGGCTGCTGGTGGTTGTCTCTGTTTTTTGTAGAGCACAGGTGTAACGGCTTTCAGGGTGGGGGTGGGGAACTCTCCACTGAGTAGTGTGCTGATGTGGGAGATCTCTGGCTTGGCCTCTTCCGGCCCTCCTCCCACTCAGCTCCCACCAATGATGTATCAATAAAACCTCTTGCTGCTGGAGATCTGCTTACCTGGTGGCCAGGGTGGCAAGACAAGTGAAGCCTGACTATGCCTGCAGCATCCACTGTGGAAACTACTACATCTTTGCCATGCCAAACAGTGAGTATGCAGGCTGCTCCCGATCTTGCTGCAATGTCATGTTTCTACCATGAAGAAAATCAACAGATCCACTACCCAACCGAGAATTCAGACTTTAGTCTCCCTTTCTTTTGCATACCTTGAACCTCTCATGTGGCACTCTTGGAGGTCTCTTTCATGTGGCACTATGGGTGGAGAACCTTACCCATAGGAAGGGAAGGGGAAAGCTGCAGGACTCCCCAAACTCCAACACTTTTGATCCTGATGATCCTCTTTCTCTCTTCTCTCCCTAGTCCTCTGTTTATATAGAGTGGGGGTGAATAACACTGGGGTAGTAGAACCAGTTCAGTCACCCCTTCCTAAGCCCTAGAGGTGGTGCTGCCCCAATTTATTTGCAGCTTTCTAGAATGTGAAGTCTTTTTGTCCTAGCTCTAAATATGAGGCATTAGGAAAAGTGCCTTTGGAAATCCTATTGCAAATATCTGTTGAGGGAACCAACCAATGTGTTTGCTGCGTTGTCGGCTCCTTAGGAGTCTCTGACCAAGTTAGTCACAGGGATAGGAGACACTTGTTGAGGGGACTGTGTTTCCTATGTCAGTAAAGGAGGAAGGAAACAAACCAAGGCACTGCCTGTCAGGGGATGTGCAGACCCTCATGGGCAGCTGGAACATCAGAGGCAGAATTGGCATGGTGAGGTCTGGGTGAAAAGTGGGAGTTATGAAAAAAAATAATCAGCAGGATGGGATGAGACAGAGGAACAGAAAAATGAGAGATGGAAAGATGATGGGAATAGAACATGATGGTGACAAAAATTTGTAGGAGGAGAAGATGGTGGAGGAGAGAGGAGGAAAGACAGGCAGGCTGGAGTTGGGGGAGGGGACCAGGCAAAAGGAGTGGGCTCTCACTCACCCAACTGGGGCAAAGGGCTGGGCAGAGCAGCTGGCGAAAGAGAATAGAGCCTGTGGTTAGCATTTGCCAGCTGGTGCAGGTGGCTCTGAGCTAAATCCATCCTCTGCCCCACCATGCAGTCTTCTAAGGAGGTTAGAGATGGGGGAGGAGGAGTAGAAAGAATTGTGGGGAAGAGAGAGCACACTCTCCAGGTGCAGGAGCTGCCACTTTAACAAACGCACTTGAAGATAGCCCAAGAACACTGTGGAGGAGCTTGATCTTTTTATTCCTGGACAAGAAGGGACAATGAGAGATGGAACCTTTCTAAGGCTGCTTTGATCATACCAACAGTTGTGTAAAATTATCCTGGCCAAATCCTTTAAATGGCCAAAAACCATTTAAAGTCCAAATCCTCAATGAAGACTTTTGGAAACACTTCCACTCTAAACAACCCACAGCCCTGTTCCTTAAAGAAAGCCATGGCCGGGCACAGTGGCTCACGCTTGTAATCCCAGCACTTTGGGAGGCCGAGATGGGCGGATCATGAGGTCAGGAGATCGAGACCATCCTGGCTAACACGGTGAAACCCTGTCTCTACTAAAAAAATGCCAAAAAATTTAGCTGGGCGTGGTGGCAGGCGCCTGTAGTCCCAGTTACTCGGGAGGGTGAGGCAGGAGAATGGCATGAACCTGGGAGGCGGAGCTTGCAGTGAGCCGAGATCGCGCCACTGCACTCCAGCCTGGGTGACAGAGCAACACTCCTCAAAAAAAAAGAAAGCCTTTCAGGTAATGAGCTCAGCACAGAGCCTAGGGCATACGTGGTAGTCAGTGTTTGTTCTTACTAAGTGGCTTCCAGCATGGGACCCCTAGCATAGGTAAGCACTTGGTAAATATAGGTGGTAAATGAATGAACTCACTGATCTGAGGGGCCAGGTCTATTTATATGTACCCCTACCTGGTCCCAACACAAGGGCCCAATCCAAGCTGCTTATTTGTGCAAAGCCAGATATGAGGGTTACTTTCTCTTAGTCCACAGGAGCTCCTGGCCTTGCCAACCTTCCATGTGTAACCTCATGCTGGCTGTTGAGACAAGCTGGTTCCCACCCCAGACCTACTGATTCAAAGTCTGCATTTTCACAAGATCCCCAGGTGATTTGCTGGCAAGTTAGAGTTTGAGAAGCACTGACCTAATCCAAGGCTTTAAGTTTTACTTAAACTTGCTGCGCTGGAGCCAGCAGAGGGCAGTGCAGGAGCTTGCCTGAGCCGCCTGAAGGCCAAGGGGAAGCAACTTATCCTGACACCTCAGTTCACAAGAGTATACTCATGACTGGAAATTGAGGCTAATTCTGGAGTATCCTCTTTGCACAAAGACAAATGGGCTTGTGTATACTGATAAGGGAACACACTAACCTTTATTTATTTATTTTTTTTTTGAGGATACAGGGTCTTGCTTTGTTTCCCAGGCAGGACTGGCAGTGGCTTTTCCCAGGTATGATCACAGCACACTGCAACCTCCACCTCCTGGCCTCAAGTGATCTTCCTACCTCAGCCCTGGGAGTAGCTGGGACTACAGTGTATGCCATTGCGCCCAGCTTCTACTAACTTTTGATGCATAGACAGATATGAGGGGCTGGGGAACATAAGAACCAGGCCTTGTGACTTCCAGAGAAGGCCGTTGTCTTGGTGTAAGATATTAGTTGTCCTTGAGGTAAATTTGGCTTCACGGGCTTGTGACCTGTACAGTGACACGGGGCCCCAGGTCAGAAGGGCCTTGAACCTGGGTTAGTGCTCTGCTGCTGCTGACACTATCTGGAAATTCTTGATAATTTTCTCTTTCAGCTTCTGCTTAAGCATGCAGGTGAGAAGGGAAGATACATGTAATCTGCATGTCTGCCACCATTCCTTGTTACCCTTTTTCATATCCCATGAGCACAGCACTCCAGCGGACCTACCCAAAATATGTGGGAGTTCAGTGAAACTCAAAGTAAGTGCAAAGTGGTCACGTTATGGGAGCCACTGGCTTTCACAGAGTGTTGGGAGAATGTGTATGCAACAAGAAGTAAAATAAAAAAGTTAAGTTGGGTTTTCGCAGCGTTTTCACACTTCCAATAAGAACAAAATATATATGCATGCATGAGCCACGAAATAGAAATTGAGTAATTGCAATGATCCCAAATATGAATTAAATATTCTATTTTCATTTAAAACTAATGTTTTAAAATATAGAAAGTAAAATTCATGATAATTTAAGTTTTTAATTTGCCTTTACTTAGAACAGCATTAAATAGCAAGCAAATAAAAAAATACCATCTCAAGTAGAGAGACTGTGGAAGAAAAGAAAAGGCTTAATATTTCAGTACTTTTATTGGCACATTTTCCTTGCTTTTTGAGCAAGGGGAGCCAACATTTTCATTTTGCACTGAGCCCCACAAATTATGTATCTGGCACTGCCTTGAGGGATGGGAGGAGCAGGGAACCGTTGGTGTCTGTGACCTGAGCCGTCTAAGGTGAGATTTACCTCAGGTTTCCAGTAACTGGAAATAATACAAATACAATGTCCGCAGAGGCACGCTGGTTCCTCAGCAGCTGAGGAATGTGCTTATTTGTGACAGAAAGTGGCATTTGTTTCCTTCTTACTGCTTGTTTATCCCATTCGCGCTCGCGCGTGTGTGTATATGTGTGTGTGTGTGTGTGTGTGTGTGTGCGCGTGAAATTCCCCCCAAAACCCTCTTCTTCCACTGAGAAAAGTGAGGGGAAGGAAAAGGGTGCTGCTTACAGAAAGGGGATGGAAATGGTCCACCTGTAGGATGCAGGATACTCAGAGGTGAGTTTGGATGGAACTGCAGGCTGCTCAGAGATGAGTTCAGATGGGGATGCAGGCTGCTCAGAGGTGAGTTTGGATGGGATGCAGGCTGCTCGGGGGTGAGTTTGGATGGGGATGCAGGCTGCTTAGGGGTGAGTTCAGATGGGGATGCAGGCTGCTCAGAGGTGAGTTCGGATGGGGATGCAGGCTGCTTAGGGGTGAGTTCAGATGGGGATGCAGGCTGCTCAGAGGTGAGTTCAGATGGGGATGCAGGCTGCTCAGAGGTGAGTTTGGATAGGGATGCAGGCTGCTCAGGGGTGAGTTCGGATGGGATGCAGACTGCTCAGAAGTGAGTTTGGATGGGGATGCAGGCTGCTCAGAGGTGATTTTGGATGGGACTACAGGCTGGGCTCAGGGTGGGGGGTTTCTTCGGAAGCCCAGGCTGTCTTGTGGAAAAGACAAAACCCTACCTTTCTTATCATGCTTGTGCAATGTAGGGCAGGCAGCTGCCTTCCAAACAATGGCTCCGATGCAGTTCCTTGCATCATATAGCCAGACTTCCGAAGTCCTTCACTCCTGCCACATCCATGCCGCCCACTTTCTATTGGACAGATTTCATCACATGGCTCCAGCTAAACACAAAAGTAGCTGGGAAAAAGAGTTTTTTCACTCACCCAGGGGAAAATGAGAAGGTTTGGCAAACACATAGCACTGTATCTGTCACCGAGGAGATGGGGTGAGGAGGGAAGGGCCACGAGGGAGATGGGGGAGGCTGGTCTGGTTTGAAAGGCAAGCAGTCTGTGGTGGGCAGTTTTCTGAAGGGGAAGTGCATTCTGTAGTGACCCTTTCAGCTCCAGGCACATGAGGAGACTTAGAGGAGGGGACATTAAGCAAAAATCCCAGGTGTTATGTCAGTGGTGGGCCTGGGGGCGCCTACCTGCATATAGTGGACAACTCTGGTGAGAACACTGTGTCGATCTGATGGTTTTTTTGGATCCAGTGAAACGACTAGGAGTTGAAGACTTGCCCACACAGTCAATGGAAAAGAGGAGAGAGAATTCAGCTCCCTATGCGAGGCTTGTGGGGCAGGAAGGCTTCTTATGAGATAGAGCTGCATCCTTCCTTCTGCGAGAGCAAGCCTGAACCTATGTTTGCAGCAGACTTAAGGAGAGTGGTCCTCAGAGGGGTCAGAGCAAGGCAAGCCACTGGGAAGGAGGCAAAGGCTTGGCAGGGGAGCTGGAGCCCCAGGAAGCTTAGCATGGATGTTGGAATAAGGGTCAGAAGTAGCACAAATTGGCTCCTCAGCTGTGTTGACACACAGGAGCCGGTGGCTCCAGGCTCTCCCCTCTGTGTCTCCAGATTCCAGTTTCTCCCAGCTGATGGAGCAGGCACTGTCTGACAGATTTGGGACAACTTCAGGAATTCAGTTAATTGACAATTATATCAAATGTTTATTTTAAAAAATAATAAAACATTCACATAATGTTGTCACAATTTTGGGTGGGAAAAAAGCATGTGTATCTCTATATCTCTGTGTACTAGAAAACAACAAAGGGATATAAAATTAAATAATAACCAGTATTTAAAAGTTAACTTGAAAATCCTCGTTGATAATTCAGCAGCATGCTTCTGGTCAGCCTATACAGTCTCTGTCCTGGTGAGGAGCATGATCACCAACAGGCAAGATCTTCTGGCCTTGAAGTTTCGCTTGAGTTAAAAGAGCTCATCTCAGGTAAGTAACAGGCCAAGAATGGTGGGCACCGTGACCACTAGCCAACTTGCAATCCATTCTACTCCAAAGGACCGGGCTGAAAGAGCAAGAAAACCCTATATGCTTAGGTATCTTTATCTTGACTAATGTATTGAGAAGGGGCAAGTGTACTGGACACTGGTGTGGGAGCTCACAGAGCAGGGAAATTAATTTCTTCCCTGAATCCCATCCTATTTGGCTGGGACATTCTTTTCCTCAATCTCCCCAAACATAAAGTATAAAAAATGCAGAAATTCCTTAAATATCACTGGCTTACCTGGGCCCTGTGCTCAAAGGTTACCTCGACATATCTGTGGCCTGGGAAAGCATTGCTCCCCTACTCTGGACATCAACGAGGTAGGGTAGATCTTCAGGTACAGACAGATGACCACATGATACAATGCACAGCTGACTTTAGAGAGAAAAGGACCACTTCCTTTCCTTGTTTCTCTACCCCACTAAGTATCTGCACCAACTAGGAAGAAGAAGGGAAGAGAAAGGAAGACAGAAAAGGAAAGGAAAAGAAAAAGGATGGAAGGAAAGCTTAGATGCTGGGGTGGGGAAGGGCTGAGCTGGAGAAAATAAAAAAAAGGAATGAGTGATACAGTAGGGAAAGGAGTTTGAGGGGGCTTTCTAGGATAATTTCGGTGACTAAAAAGTGACAGATGGGTTTACCCTTCCAAAAAAAATGGATTTATTATTGCTTTTATCCTCTCTTCGGATGAACAGTCACACCCATTTTATAGAGGACAGGGAATGTGCGTCTTCCTTTTTCTGGATCTCAGGATGTGATATTGATATGAGGGTGGTGTTGGAACCACCAGCCAAATTGTGTTCTCATGGTCAGATACCACACTGTCACAGTGGGTCTGTGGTGGCAGAAGAGCAAGGCATATCAGGAGAGGCTGGTAGAGACAGGGCCAATTAGTTAGGAAGAATAAGGAAGAGCATACACAGTCTCCGTAGTCCACATGTGGGAGTAGAGATAAAGAAATCAGTGCAGTTAAGGAGGGTAGACAGAGCCCAGGAAGACCACAAAACAGCAACGTTCTCAGAGGCCAGAATCCCTGATGACTGGGCATGACAGGGGTCACAGGTGAATGTGAGCACCTCAGGTCTGAGTTATTCTAGAAGAATGTGTACGCTAGGGCTCAGGGATCTGACTTCAGGATTGTGGAGGGTATCTGACTCTGGTATTTCCCAGAGTGCTGGAGATATTGATCCAAGTTTATTAAGGGTCCCCAAAACTCTAAGAGACTGCGTCTCATTTAGCTCCCGCTTACTAAGGACTTGTCAGCCACTGTGATAGGCAGTTACGTGTCTTGTCTCATTGAATCCTTAGCACGAGATAGGAACTGTTATTTTGTCCTTTATTTAGGAAGAACATGACTTGGGGAAGCTAAGTAACTTGTTTAGCTAGTAAGTGACAGTCCTAGAAGTGACCCCAGGTATGACTGACTCTAAAACCCATGGCCTTAGCTGTCCCATGCTAGCACCAGTGTAGGCCTGATCTAGAGCCAGGTGTGACACTCATGAGTGGATCCTCCCAGGAGACAGGGGAATCTGGCTTCCTAAGTTCATCTAGGAACATCAGGCTGGGGAGGAGAAGCTTCGCCTGAGGCTCAGGCTCTCACGCCTCCTCGACGGCCTCTCTCAGGCCCGTCTCCTCAGTCCCTCTTTCCCTGGCTGACTTTGGCGGTCTAATGACCTCGGTCCCTCTTTCCTTGGCTGACTTCGGCTGTCTAATGAAGCCCCTCTAGACAGCTGCTCGCCCACTTGCCCTTCCTTCTCCCTGCTCACCCTGATGTTTCAGTCTACTCTATGATGACCCTGGCCTCAGATGTTAGGACTATGCTTTGTTAGAGCGGGAGAGGGAAGAGGAGTATCAGAGATCTCTCCCAAACGTCCTTTGCAGGTGAGAACACTGAGCCCCCACGAAGTTGAGGTAAGCTGGCTGGGAGGTGGTGGTAGAGCTGGTGGCAGAACCCACGTCTCCCAGCTCTCCCAGACACCTTAGGGATTCACCACCACACTGTGCAAGGAGGCTGAATAGGACCCCCAGCCTTTCTTTGTTCAAAACAACTCCAGTTACCCTGTGCCCCCCTCAGCTCCCAGGGATCCTTCTTACCCAGGGTACAGGGTGGACTGAGGCAGACCGTGCCATTCTTGCTGCTCACAGAATTGCTGACTTGGCAAGTATAACACCTGGAGTAATTATGTGGCATAAGGGTGGTTTCAAGCACACTGTTCTGGAGCTCCTTTGGGAAGGGCCTTTTGTCCCCATACCAGGTGTAGTTTACAGACTCGCCAGGTATCACACATGACAGTTTCAGATAACAGTTGTCATCCATGTCTTCTATCTTCTCAATTTTGATGACAGGCTTGGGTACAGGGTCTGAAAGTGAGGAGGATGTTATAAGATGAGACAGTGAGGCATTCATGCTGTGAAGGTTTAGCCAACAAAGAACAAAGGGATCCAGGGAAGGGGCCTGAATGCCCCAGGAGGCAGAGTCATGAAGAAGAAGTTCTACAGAGGGAGCCAGTGAGCAGCCTTGACCTCCTGAGGCCTCACAGACTCACTGCAAGAGCGGCTTCTAGGCAGTGAAGCTAAGCTGCGTCCTGGAGGGGGCGCCACAGTCCATCATATGCTCTGGGAACAAAATGGGGTTATGATCGTGTGTGAGCCTGAACGAACAGCCCAGAGACTTGCTGGGGTCAGACTTAGTATATCAACTGCCTGAGATGCTCAGGGACCCTTCTCTAGCAACGGTTCATGGCGGGCACCTTGGCTGGTCTGTCTTTCCAATTATCGGATTCAGCTTCAGCAAGAGTCCTAAGGTAAGAGGTACCTGTCTGCGCGTGGCAAAGTCCTTTGCACAACCATCCAGTGCAGGTGCCAGCCTTCTAGACTCTGGCAGAGCTACAGAGAAGAACTTCATGTAACTTCCAGCCGCATCAATTGTGATAAACAGATTGGTCTGCTAACTTTGGTATCTCCATGTCTAGCACAATCCCTGCCACATGGCAGGTATTCTATAAGTATCTCATGAAAGGATGAATGAAGTAGTTATGAGATAGAAAGGATAAAACACAGCCGGGTGCAGCGGCTCACACCTGTAATCTCAGCAATTTGGGAGGCTGAGGCAGGAGGATTGCTTGCAGCCAGGAGTTAAGAGACCAGCCTGGGCAACATTGAGAGACTCAGTTTCTAAAAAAAAAAAAGAAAGAAAAGAAAAGAAAAGTAGCCAGGTGTGGTGGTGTGCACTTTTAGTCCCTGCTACTCAGGAGGCTGAGGTAGGAGGATTGCTGGAGCCCAGGAGTTCCAGGGTGCAATAAACTATGATTATACCACTGCACTCCAGCTTGGGTAAGGAGAAGACCTTCAAAAAAAAAAAAAAAAGAAGAAAGAAAGGAAGAAAGAGAGAGAGAAGGGAAGAGAAGAGAGGAAAAAGAAAAAGAAGGGAGGGAGGGAGGGAGGGAGGCAAGTAGACACAAAAACACTAGTTTTGGAGTGAGACCAGCCTGGGTCCTGGACTTGACTCTAGTGGAGTGACATTAGGCAAGGTAGTTAACCCCCTTGCTGTCATCTGTAAACTGACTCTACCTCATCGCGCAATGTTAGTAAGATAAAACGTCACCTGTCATGGATAATTGCTTTTTGAAGAGTGTAAGTATTGCATACATTCTAGAGGCCATTTTACCATTATTACTGTTGTACTGCTGCCGGAGAGAATGAGAGATAGTCCCAGCATCTGGTCCTTCCTTGGCTAAGGCCGGTTTACCTGCAATCCTCTGAGATCTTTTCATTCTGGTCAGGGTGAAACATCTGCAGAATCAATGCAACTCAAATCCCATAAGATTAAAAATTGGCAGAGAATTGACCAGATCAGAGCTTGCCTCTTGGTTGTATGTGTGGAGAGGCTCTAGAAGCTCTACCAATCTGGTCTCTAGAACTCTAGTTTTGTCTCCTCTGTGAAGCTGATCTCAGATCGCTAAAAGATTGCTCAGACTACAGAGGTGATAAAAGTTTCCTGGACTTCCCCTATATGTTTTAATTGAGCAATTTTTATCCTGGTTTTCACCATTTCCTGTGTTCTAGCCTCATATCTTACACTCCTTCTGCATTTCCCATGGTGATCAGCACAGCACTGGGCACTTTGCTGATGGAATTAATTGAGCCAGCTTGGGTTGTCCAGCTCCAAGATGCTCGCTTTGAGCTGTCAGAAATGCTTGGGCTGGACCAGAGGACCATTTTTTCTGCTAATCACTTCCTGGAAATCTTACCCTCAGGCAGGATGTGCTGAAGCCCAAGCCAGTTTGTGGATTTTTAAGTACTCAGAAATTTTGCAAGCTTTTTGTGAAACCATTAGTTTATTGAAATCAACTGTGGTAGCAGTATTTAAACCACAGAAATTACAAAGTTGGTAAATGCTACGCTTTAGGGCTTTTTTTTTTTTTTTTAAATCTTGTAGAGCTTGTTAACCAGAACACCACTGTAAGAGACCTTGAATCTTTTTGTTCCCAGGACTTTCTGAATTTTCAGCCCATATGACATGGAAGAAGAGTTAGAAGGGGAATCTGACTGCTTGGATCAGGGACTGTCTGGCTGGTGGAACTTGAATGTATACAACACTCTTCATTTGCATGTTTTGACATTTTAAAAAATGTTTTCACTTTCCTTATCTACTTTGACTCTAATAACATCCTGAAAGGTAAGTAGAATTATTCTCATAATATGATGAAGAACCCAAGGCTCTCAAGGGAACACCACTCTTGGATTATTTAGCCCCGCTCTTCTACAAGAATTGCATACCCCAACCCCTGGAGCCCCTCCCCATATCCATGTTTCTGCCCTATAATCTGATCCTTTCACCAAAAATGTTTAGATCAGGTACACACACCTGAACTAAATTGGGACTATCAGTTTCTCTCTCTTTAAATTGCCCTGAGAATTGAAACTCAGAGGAGCAAAAGTCTAAGTTTTGAGAGATAACATGTGTAAAATGGCAGGAATCCAAATCCATAGGCACAGTCCACAGATTCCTGAAGCTAGGGGTTCTGGCCCGAACCTGGTTTTCAATCTTCTCCCCTTAAGCCCTTCCTAGCTCTTTTAAACTCTTTGAATTGCTTTAAATAGCCCTAGTTTCTTAAACTAAATTCTCCTTTTTTGGTAAAGGTACATTGAATTAGTTTCTGTTATTTGCTATCAAAAGAATCTTACCTAATATGGGCACAGAGATGTGAAGATCTTTTTTCAAGGCTGCACAGCTAGTGAGCAACTGACCAGTTTTGAACCCAAGTCTGTCTGGCTCCAGGTATAATGCCTGAGTCCTTATTCCATATACACTGGTTAGACTGGAGCTATGAGTGGAAGTTTTTTTGTCCTGCCCATTATGAAAGTTGAAAAATTCTCCTGATAACTCCTGCCCCATTCTTTATATTAATACATTCTCTTTTTTCTTAAGTCCAATGAAGCCTAATTTCGGAGATATAATCAAGATGAGCTGAGCTGAT